>NC_000023.11:67462542-68712542 GCF_000001405.40 Homo sapiens
CAAGTTCTGCACATATATCCTAGAACTTAAAATTAAAATAATATATGTGGGAAAAGGACTTCATGACACTGGATTTTAAATGATTTCTGGATATGACATGAAAAGCAAAAACAACAAAAGTAAAAATAGATAAATTGAACTAATATCACAATAAAAAACAACTGTGTATCAAAGGACATAATAAACAGAGTAAAAAGGCAACTTACAGAATGGGAGAGAATATTTGTAAATCATATATCTTACAAGAAGTTAATATCCAGATTATACAAAGAACTCTACAACTCAACAACATCAATAAACAACTAACATGATTTTAAAATGTGCAAAAGACTTAAATAGGCATTTCTCCAAAAAAGGTACACAAGTGGCCAAAAAGCATATGAAAAGATGCTCAAAACCACTAATCATTAGGGAAATGCAAATCAAAACTGCAATGAAATATTACTTCACAACCATTAGGATGGATGCTAACTTAAAAAAAAAAACAACAGAAAATAAAGTGTTGGTGAGAATTTGAAGGGAACTGTTGGTGGATATGCAATAGGGAGGAACTTCTATAAAAACCAGAATTATAGTTCCTCCAAAAATTTGACATATGACTACCATATGATTCAGCAATGCCACTTCTGGGTATATATTTAAAAGGTTATCTGTTTTTTTGTTTTTGTTTTTTTTTTTAAGACAGAGTCTCGTTCTGTCACTCAGGCTGCAGTGCATTGGCGTGATCTCAGCTCACTATCACTACAAGCTTCACCTCCTAGGTTCAAGCCATTCTCTTGCCTCAGCCTCCCGAGTAGCTGGGACAACAGTCACCTGCCACCACACGCCCGGCTAATTTTTTTTGTTTTTTTTTTTTTTTGTATTTTTAGTAGAGACAGGGTTTCACCGTGTTACCTTCTGGGTATATATTTAAAAGTTTTTAAGGCAGGGTATCAAGTAAATATTTGTATAATCATGTCTGTAGAGGCATTGTTCACAATAGCTAAAAGGTGTAAACAACACAAATATCCATCAATGAATGAATGGCTAAACAAAATATGATATATAGATACAACAGAATATTATTTAATCTTAAAGAGGAAGAAAATTTTGATATCTGGTACAATATGGATGAACATTTAAGGCATTATGTTAGGTGAAGTAAGCCAGTCACAAAAAGACAAATGCCATGTGATTTTATTTTCACAGGTTATCAAGAGTAGTCAAACTCAGAAGCAATAAGTAGAGGAAAGGGAGAAATGGAGAGTTGATGTTTAATGGATATAGAGGTGAAAGATGAAAAAGTTTTGGAGATTAGTTACACAGCAATGTGTGTATACTTAGCAGTAATAAATTGTACACTTAAAAATTGTTAAGATGGTAAATTTTATGTTAGGTGTCTTTTACCTCAATTTATTTAAAAAGGCCTTAAAACAATAACTTAACTTTATACCTAAAGTAAATAGAAAAAGAAAAATAAACTGAATGAAAATATGGCAGAAGGAAAGTAATGGCAAAAATTAAACCTAAGATAAATGAAATATTCAGAGAATTAAAAAACAATAGAGAAATTCAAAGAAACTACAGATTGGTTCTTCAAAAAGTTTTTTTAATTGACAAATGTTTAGCTAGATTGACAGTAATGTCCAGAACTATGTTCCTACTTTCATTTCTGATTTTAGTTAATTGTATCTTCTCTCTCTTTATTAGTGTGTCTAGCTAAATTTTCACAAATTCTTTGATCTTTTAAGAGAATCATTTCTTTGGTTTTATTGATTTCTCTTAACTCATCCTATGAGTCTGACACCAAAGACAAAGACAACACAAATAAAGAATATTACACACCAATATTACTTATGAATGCAAATACAGTAATCCTTAACAAAAAAACTAGCAAATCAAATCTAGCAGAATATTGAAAGGATTATAAACTATAACCAAGTGGAATTTATCCCAGGATTATAAGGATGGTTAAACATGAAAAATCAGTAAAAACAATAAGCAACATTAATAGAAAGAAGGGAAACAAAACACATAATAACTTCAATTGACACACAAAAAGGCACTTGACAAAATCAAACACCCTTTTATAATCAAAGCACTCAGAAAATTAATAATATTAATACAAAAGAACTTCCTCAACAGGATAAAGTATGTTTATGAAAAACACATAGCTCACATTACACTCAGTGGTGAAAGACTGAAAATGTTTCCTCTAAGATCAGGATCTATGCAAGGATTCTCACTTGTGCCACTTCTATTCAATATTGTACTGAAAGTTCTAGTAATGCAGTTAAGTAAAAAAATAAATAAATAAATAAATAAATAGAAGTCATGTAAATTTGAAAGGAAGAAGTAAAACTATCTCTATTCACAGATGGCATGGTCCTATATACAGAATTTTTTTAAAAAATCCACAGGCACAAAAGTCTATTAGTACAGGAGAATGGTGGAGCAAGATGGCCGAATAGAAAGCTCCACCAATTGTCTCTCCCTGCAAAGAAACCAAGTTAACAGCCATCTACAAAAACAAACAAAAAAACAAAAACAAAACAAAACAAAAAGCCTTCATAAGGACCAAAAATCTGGTAAGCACTCATAGTACCTAGTTTTAACTTTATATCACTGAAAGGGGCACTGAAGAGATAGAAAACCAGTTCTAAATTGCCAATGCCACCCCTTCCAAACCCCCAGCAGCAGTGCTTGGTGTGGAAGCATCTCTGGGGGCTAAGGGAAGGAGAACACAGCAACTGTGAAACATTGAACTCAGTGCTGTTCTGTTAGAGCAGTAAGGAAAACCGGACAAAACACAGCTGCTGCCTGCCCACGAAGGGAGCATTTAAGTCTGCCCTCACTAGAGGGGAATCACAGATCCTGGGGGTCCACAAACCTTGCCACTGAGGGCCAAAGTGCTCTCAGTCGCTAAGTAAATTTAAAAGGCAGACTAAGCCATAACAACGGCAACTCTTAGGTGAGTCCTAGGGCTAAACTAGGCCAAAAGACAGTAGACTGTGGGCATGAGACATACTGATGCACCAGCTGGAGAAGTCAAGGGTGTGCTGGAATAACCCATTCCCCTAACCCAGGCTGCACAGCTCATGCATCCAAAACAGAGCCTTTCCTTCCACATGAGGAGAGGAGATTTGCATCTTGGATACCAGCTCAGCCACAGTAAGATAGAGAAAAAGTCAGAGTCGTGAGCCCCCGTTCCAGACTCTAGCTCTGAGATGAAATTTCTAGACACACACTGGGACAGAAAGGAACCCGCTACCTTGAAGAAAAGAATCCGGTCTTGCCAGCACTCATCACCTGCTAACTGAAGAGCCCTTGGGTCCTGAATAGCAAACAGTGATACCCAGGTACTATGTCGAGGGCCTTGGTGAGCCTCTGATATTTGCCAGCTTCAGATGAGACTCAGAATATTACCACCTGTGGTGGCTATGGGACAAAACTCCTTCTGCTTGTAAAAAACAGAGGGAAGAGTAAAGGGGACTTTGACTTGCACCTTAGCAACCAATGCTGCCACAGGCAAGTAGAGCACCAAGCAAGCTCAAGGGGTCACTGATTCCAGGACTTGAGTCTGGGATGGCATTTCTGGACATGCCCTGGGCCAGAGGAGAGTGTACTGCCCTGAAGAGTGAGTCCCAAGTCAGGCAGCATTCACCACAAGCTGACTTAACAGACTGGACCTTAAAGGAACATCTGCAGTAGTCTGGCAATACTTCTCATGACCAGGTGTGGCAAAGGCTTTTCTGCCTTTGGAAAGGGGAGGGAAGAGTGGAAAGGACTGAATTTTTTGGTTTGAGTATCAACTCAGCTACCATAGAGTAGAATACCAGGTTGACTTCTAAGGATTTTGACTCTAGTCCCTGATTTCCAGATGGAACTTCTGGACCCACCTGGGGCCTGGGAGACCTCACCACCCTAAAAGAAAGAACACAGGCCTGGCTGAGTTTGTCATCTACTGATTGTAGAGCCCCAGGACCTCAAGTGAACATAGTCAGTAACCAGGAGTAGTGACAGCAGGCCTTGGGCAAGACCCAGTGCTTTGCTGGCTTCAGATCTGACCCAGTGCAGTCATAGTTGTGGTGGCCACAGAGGGGGTTGTGTCACTCCATTCCCAAATTTAGGTGGCTCAGAACAGAGAGAGAGAGAGAGTCTATGTATGTTTGGGAAAAAGAGAAGAGAACAAGAGTCTGTCTGGGAATCCAGACAATTCTCACGGATTTGGTCCAAGACCATAAAAGTCGTACCTCTATGGGTCTGCAAAAACCACAGTGTCACTGGGCTTATGGTGCCTCTTAAAGTTGATACACCTTAGATCACAACACCCAAGTCCTCTCAAATATCTGGAAAGCTTTTGCAAGAAGTGCAGCTATAAATATGTCTGGACAGTGAAGACTGAAATAAATACTTAACTTTTCGATGACCAGACACTGAAAAACATCTACTAGCATCAACAATATCCAAAAAGACATGTCCTCACCAGATGAATTAAATTGTTCAAGCAAGAAACTATATTAAATCACCAGAGAAAGTCATCTTCACTAGAGGAAGACACGAATGAAAAAAGAAAGAAGACCCCAAACAATCAGAAATAAGGCAGGAGGGACGAATCCTGGACAAACAGAGACATTTCAGACAGAAAATACAAAACAAGTGTGTTGAGGAAATTCAAGAAAATTCAAGGTAACACAGAGAAAAAAATCAGAATTCTATCTGATGAAGTTAAAAAAAAGATAAAATTAAAAGAATCAAGGGTGAATTTTGGACATAAGAAATGCAATTGGTATACTGAGGAATGCATCAGAGTTCTTTAATAGTAGAATGAATCAAGCAGAAGAAAGTATTAGTGAGCTTGAAGACATGCTATTTGAAAATACACTGTTTGGCCAGGCATGGTGGCTTACACCTGTAATCCCAACACTTTGGGAAGCCGAGGTGGGCAGATCACGAGGTCAGGAGATCAAGATCATCCTGGCTAACATGGTGAAACCTTGTCTCTACTAAAATACAAAAAAAAAAAAAAATTAGCCAGGCGTGGTGGCATGCACCTGTAGTCCCAGCTATTCAGGAGGCTGAGGCAGGAGAATTACTTCAACCCGGGAGGCAGAGGTTGCAGTGAGCCAAAATCGTGCTCTCCAGCCAGGGCAACAGAGTGAGAATCAAAAAAAAAAAAAAAAAAAAAAAAAAACACTTTCAGAGGAGGAGACAAGAGAAAAAAAGAATAAAGAATAATAAAACAATAAAGCATGCCTACAGGATCCAGAAAATAGCCTCTTAGACGGGCAAATATAAGAGTTATTGGCTGTAAAGAGGAGACAGAGAAAGACATAGGGGGTAGAAAGTTTATTCAATGGGAACTTCCCAAACCTAGAGAAAGATATCAATATTCAAGTACAAAAAGTTTATAGAAAACCAAGTAGATTTAACCAAAAGAAGACTACCTCAAGGCATTTAATAATCAAACTCCCAAAGGTCAAGGATACAGAAATGATCCTAAAATCAGCAAGAGAGAAGAGACAAATAATACACAATGAAACTCCAATATATCTGGCAGCAGACTTTTGAATGGAAACCTTATAGGCCAGGAAAGAGTGACATAACATATTTAAAGTGCTGAAGAAAAAGAAAACTATCCTAGAACACTATACCCAATGAAAATTTTCCTCAAACATGGAGAAATACTTTCCTAGAAAAACAAAAGTTGAGTGATTTCATCAATACTAGACCCATCCTATAAGGAATGCTTAAAGGAGAGTACTTCAGTTAGAAATAAAGTGGCAGTAATGAGCTATAAATAAATACCTGAAGGTACAAAACAAACTGGTAATTGAAAGTATACAGAATAACACAAAATATTGTAACACTGTAATTGTGGTGTGTGAACTACTCATATATTGAGTAAAAAGATTAAAAGGTAAACCAATTAAAATTAATAACTACAGTCAAGACATAGTACAATAAGATACAAAAAGAAACAATAAGAAATTAAAAAGTGGGTGATCAAAGTCGAGTTTTATTGGTTTTTTTTGCCTGTTTGTTTATGAAAATAGTGTAAGTTGTTATTAAGTTAAAATAATGAGTTATAAGATAGTATTTGGAAGCCTCATGGTAACCTCAAACTAAAAAGCATACAATGGATACACAAAAAAATAAAAAGCAAGAAACTAAATTGTATCGTGAGAGAAAATCATCTTCACTAGAGGAAGACAGGAATGAAAAAAAGAAGGAATAGAAGACCAAAAAGCAACCAGAAAACAAATAAGAAAATGGCAGAAGTAAGTCCTTACTTATCAATAATAACATTGAATATAAATGGACTAAACTCTCCAATCAAAAGAAATAGCCTGGCTGAATGGATGAAAAAAAAAAAAAAAGAAAACAAGACCCATTGATTGGTTGCCTACAGGAAACACATTTCACCTGTAAAGACACACATAACGTCAAAAAGGGACGGAAAAAGATATTCCATTTCCAGTGGAAACCAAACTACAGCCAAATCCAGTACACTTATGTCAGAAAAAAAAGTAGGTTTCAAGACAAATACTATGAGATAACACAAAGGTCACTACATAATGTGTCCAGAGTTGTTTCATTCCAGTGGGCTCTTGGTCTCGCTAAATTCAAGAATGAAACCACAGACCTTCACAGTGAATGTTACAGCTCTTAAAGGTGGTATGGACCCAAAGAGTGAGCAGCAGCAAGATTTATTGTGAAGAACGAAAGAACAAAGCTCCCAAAACATGGAAGGGGGACCGGAGCTGGTTGCTGCTGCTGGCTGGGGTGGCCAGCTTTTATTCCCTTGTTTGTCCCTGCCCACATCCTATTGATTGGTCCATTTTACAGAGTGCTGATTGGTGCATTTTACAGAGCACTGATTGGTCCATTTTACAGAGCACTGATTGGTCCATTTTACAAACCTCTAGCTAGCCACAGAGTGCTGATTGATGTGTTTTACAATCCTAGCTACAGGGTGCTGATTGGTGCATTTTACAATCTTCTTGTAAGACAGAAAGGTTCTCCAAGTCCCCACCCAACCCAGAAGTCCAGCTGGCTTCACCTCTCAATAATAATAAAGTGGTCAATTCAGCAAGAAGATATAACAATTTTAAATATATATGCACCCTATAATGGAACAGCCAGATATATAAAGGAAATATTATTAGAACTAAAGAGAGATAGACCCCAATACAATAATAGCTGGAGACTTCAACACTCCACTTTCAGCACTAGACAGATCATTCAGAAAGAAAATCAACAAAGAATTATCAGATTTAAGCTGCACTATAGACCAAATGAATCTAATAGGTATTTACAGAACATCCTATGCAAAAGATGCAGAATACACATTCTTTCCCCCAGCACATAGATCATTCTCAAGGATAGACTATATTTTAGATCAAAACACAGTATTAAAAGATTCAAAAAAATTGAATTACTATCAAGCATCTCCTCGGACTTCAGTGAAATAAAACTAGAAATTAATTTAAAAATAAAGAAAATTCTGGAAACTATACAACTACATGGAAATTAAACAATATGCTCCTAAATGACCAGTGGGTTAAGAAGAAAATTGAAAAATGTATTGAAGTGAGTGATAATGGAAACACAATATATCAAAATCTATGGTATACAGCAACAGCAGTTCTCAGATGGAAGTTTATAGCTTAAGTGCTTACATCGAAAAAGAAAAAATAACTTCAAATAAACAATCTAACAATGCATATTAAGGAACTCGAAATGCAGCCAGGCGTGGTGGCTCATGCCTGTAATCCCAGCACTTTGGGAGGCTGAGGCAGGTGGATCACCTGAGGTCAGGAATTCGAGACCAGTCTTAGAAGATTCAAAAAAATTTAAATACTATAAAGCATCTCCTCGGACTTCAATGAAATAAAACTAGAAATTAATTTAAAAATAAAGAAATTTTGGAAACTATACAACTATGTGGAAATTAAACAATATGCTCCTGAATGACCGGTGGGTTAAGAAGAAAGTTGAAAAATTTTCTGACCAACATAGTGAAACCCCATCTCTACTAAAAGTACAAAAATTAGCTCAGCATGGTGGCGCATGCCTGTAATCCCAGCTACTTGGGAGTCTGAGGCAGGAAAATTACTTGAACCTGGGAGGCAGAGGTTGCAGTAAGCTGAGATTGCGTCATTGCATTCCAGCCTGGGCAACAAGAGAAAAACTCGATCTCATAAAAGAAAAGAACTAGAAATGCAAGAGCAAATCACACCTAAAATTAGTAGAAAAAAAGAAATAATTATCAGAGCAGAAATAAATGACATTGGAATAAAATAAAACAATAAAAAAGATAAAAATAAAAAAGTTGGTTTTTGTAAAGTTAAAAAAAAATTGAGAAAAATTTAGCCAGAACTAAGTAAGAAAAAAAGAGAAAAGATCCAAGTAAATAAAATCAAAAATGAAAAAGGAGACATTACAACTGATACTGCAGAAATTCAAAGGAAAATTAGTGGCTACTGTGAGTAACTATATATCAATAAATTGGAAAATCTATATGAAATGGACAAATTTTTAGGTACATACAAGCTACCAAGATTGAACCAGAAAGAAATCCAAAACCTGAACTGGCAAATAACAAGTAGTAAGATCATAGCTGTAATAACAAGTTGTCCTGTAAAGGAAAGCCCAGAACCAGTTTTGGCCCATTCAGTATGATATTAGCTGTGGGTTCTTCATAGATAGCTCTTACTATTTTGAGATACGTCCCATCAATACATAATTTATTGAGAGTTTTTAGCATGAAGGTTGTTGAATTTTGTCAAAGGCCTTTTCTGCATCTATGGAGATAATCATGCAGTTTTTGTCTTTTGTTCTGTTTATATGCTGGATTACATCTATTGATTTGTGTATATTGAACCAGCCTTGCATCCCAGGGATGAAGCCCACTTGATCATGGTGGATAAGCTTTTTGATGTGCTACTGGATTCGGTTTGCCAGAATTTTTTTGAGGATTTTTGCATCAATGTTCATCAAGGATATTGGTCTAAAATTCTCTTTTTTGGTTGTGTCTCTGACCGGCTTTGGTATCAGGTTGATGCTGTCCTCATAAAATGAGTTAGGGAGGATTCCCTCTTTTTCTATTGATTGGAATAGTTTCAGAAGGAATGGTACCAGTTCCTCTTTGTACCTCTGGTAGAATTCAGCTGTGAATCCATCTGGACCTGGACTCTTTTTGGTTGGTAAGCTATTGATTATTGCCACAATTTCAGAGCCTGTTATTGGTCTATTCAGAGATTCAACTTCTTCCTGGTTTAGTCTCGGGAGGGTGTATGTGTCAAGGAATTTATCCATTTTTTCTAGATTTTCTAGTTTATTTGCGTAGAGATGTTAGTAGTATTCTCTGATGGTAGTTTGTATTTCTGTGGGATCGGTGGTGGTATCCCCTTTATCATTTTTTATTGCATCTATTTGATTCTTCTCTCTTTTCTTCTTTATTAGTCTAGCTAGCGATCTATCAATTTTGTTGATCCTTTCAAAAAACCAGCTCCTGGATTTATTAATTTTTGAAGAGTTTTTTGTGTCTCTATTTCCTTCAGTTCTGCTCTGATTTTAGTTATTTCTTGCCTTCTGCTAGCTTTTGAATGTGTTTGCTCTTACTTCTCTAGTTCTTTTAATTGTGATGTTAGGGTGTCAATTTTGGATCTTGCCTGCTTTCTCTTGTGGGCATTTAGTGCTATAAATTTCCCTCTACACACTGCTTTAAATGTGTCCCACAGATTCTGGTATGTTGTGTCTTTGTTCTCGTTGGTTTCAAAGAACATCTTTATTTCTGCCTTCATTTCGTTATGAACCCAGTAGTCATTCAGGAGCAGGTTGTTCAGTTTCCATGTAGTTGAGCAGTTTTGAGTGAGTTTCTTAATCCTGAGTTCTAGTTTGATTGCACTGTGGTCTGAGAGACAGTTTGTTATAATTTCTGTTCTTTTACATTTGCTGAGGAGAGCTTTACTTCCAAGTATGTGGTCAATTTTGGAATAGGTGTGGTGTGGTGCTGAAAAAAAATGTACATTCTGCTGATTTGGGGTGGAGAGTTCTGTAGATGTCTATTAGGTCCACTTGGTGCAGAGCTGAGATCAATTCCTGGGTATCCTTGGTAACTTTCTTTCTCGATGATATGTCTAATGTTGACAGTGGGGCGTTAAAGTCTCCCATTATTATTGTGTGGGAGTCTAAGTCTCTTTGTAGGTCACTAAGGACTTGCATTATGAATCTGGGCGCTCCTGTATTGGGTGCATATATATTTAGGATAGTTAGCTCTTCTTGTTGAATTGATCCCTTTACCATTATGTAATGGCCTTCTTTGTCTCTTTTGATCTTTGTTGGTTTAAAGTCTGTTTTTATCAGAGACTAGGATTGCAACCCCTGCCTTTTTTTGTTTTCCATTGGCTTGGTAGATCTTCCTCCATCCTTTTATTTTCAGCCTGTGTGTGTCTCTGCATCTGAGATGGGTTTCCTGAATACAGCACACTGATGGGTCTTGACGCTTTATTCAATTTGCCAGTCGTTGTCTTTTAATTGGAGCATTTAGTCCATTTACATTTAAAGTTAATATTGTTATGTGTGAATTTGATCCTGTGATTATGATGTTAGCTGGTTATTTTGCTCGTTAGTTGATGCAGTTTCTTCCTAGCCTCGATGGTCGTCACAATTTGGCATGATTTTGCAGTGGCTGGTACTGGTTATTCCTTTCCATGTTTAGTGCTTCCTTCAGGAGCTCTTTTAAAGCAGCCCTGGTGGTGACAAAATCTCTCAGCATTTGCTTGTCTGTAAAGTATTGAAAATTGTCACAAGACAGGGATGCCCTCTCTCACCACTCCTATTCAACATAGTGTTGGAAGTTCTGGCAAGGGCAATTAGGAAGGAGAAGCAAATAAAGGGCATTCAATTAGGAAAAGAGGAAGTCAAATTGTCCCGGTTTGCAGATGACATGATTGTATATCTAGAAAACCCCATAGTCTCAGCCCCAAATCTCCTTAAGCTGATAAGCATCTTCAGCAAAGTCTCAGGATACAAAATCAATGTACAAAAATCACAAGCATTCTTATACACCAATAACAGACAAACAGAGAGCCAAATCATGACTGAACTCCCATTCACAATTGCTTCTAAGAGAATAAAATACCTAGGAATCCAACTTACAGGGGACATGAAGGACTTCTTCAAGGAGAACTACAAACCACTGCTCAATAAAATAAAAGAGGATACAAACAAATGGAAGAACATTCCATGCTCATGGGTAGGAAGAATCAATATCATGAAAATGGCTATACTGCCCAAGGTAATGTACAGATTCAATGCCATCCCCATCAAGCTACCAATGACTTTCTTCACAGAATTGGAAAAAACTACTTTAAAGTTCATATGGAACCAAAAAAGAGCCTGAATCGCCAAGTCAATCCTAAGCCAAAAGAACAAAGCTGGAGGCATCATGCTACCTGACTTCAAACTATACTACAAGGCTACAGTAACCAAAACAGCATGGCACTGGTAACAAAACAGAGATATAGATCAATGGAACGGAACAGAGCCCTCAGAAATAACACCACATATCTACAACTATCTGATCTTTGACAAACCTGAGAAAAACAAGCAATGGGGAAAGGATTCCCTATTTAATAAATGGTACTGGGAAAACTGGCTAGCCATATGTAGAAAGCTGAAACTGGATCCCTTCCTTACACCTTATACAAAAATTAATTGAAAATGGATTAAAGACTTAAACATTACACCTAAAACCATAAAAACCCTAGAAGAAAACCTAGGCATTACCATTCAGAACATAGGCATGGGCAAGGATTTCATGTCTAAAACACCAAAAGCAATGGCAACAGAAGCCAAAATTGACAAATGGGATCTAGTTCAACTAAAGAGCTTCTGCACAGCAAAAGAAACTACCATCAGAGTGAACAGGCAACCTATAAAATGGGAGAAAATTTTCACAACCTACTCATCTGACAAAGGGCTAATATCCAGAATCTTCAATGAACTCAAACAAATTTACAAGAAAAAAACAAACAACCCCATCAAAAAGGGGGGAAAGGACATGAACAGAAACTTCTCAAAAGAAGACATTTATGCAGCCAAAAAACACATGAAAAAATGCTCACCATCACTGGCCATCAGAGAAATGCAAATCAAAACCACAATGAGATACCATCTCACACCAGTTAGAATAGCAATCATTAAAAAGTCAGGAAACAATAGGTGCTGGAGAGGATGTGGAGAAATAGGAACACTTTTACACTGTTGGTGGGAATGTAAACTAGTTCAACCATTGTGGAAGTCAGTGTGGCGTTTCCTCAGGGATCTAGAACTAGAAATACCATTTGACCCAGCCATCTCATTAGTGGGTATATACCCAAAGGATTATAAATCATGCTGCTATAAAGACACATGAACATGTATGTTTATTGCGGCACTATTCACAATAGCAAAGACTTGGAACCAACCCAAATGTCCAACAATGATAGTCTGGATTAAGAAAATGTGGCACATATACACCATGGAATACTATGCAGCCATAAAAATTGATGAGTTCATGTCCTTTGTAGGGACGTGGATGAAATTGGAAATCATCATTCTCAGTAAACTATCGCAAGAACAAAAAACCAAACACCACATGTTCTCACTCATAGGTGGGAATTGAACAATGAGAACACATGTACACAGGAAGGGGAACATCACACTCTAGGGACTGTTGAGGGGTTGGGGGAGGGGGAGGGATAGCTTTAGGAGATATACCTGATGCTAAATGACGAGTTAATGGGTGCAGCACACCAGCATGTCACATGTATACATATGTAACTAACCTGCACATTGTGCACATGTACCCTAAAACTTAAAGTATAATAATAATAAAATAAAATAAAATAAAGAAAAGCCCAGAACCTAATGACGTCACTGATGAATTCTACCAAACATTTAAAGAAGAACTGATACCAGTTCTATTCAAAATAATCCCCCCCAAAAAAATAGAGGAAGAGGATATACTTCTGAACTCATTCTATGAGGCCAGTATTACCTTGATACCAAAACTAGACGAAGACATTTCCAAAAAAGAAAACTACAGGCCCATAACCTGTTCAATATTGGTGCAAAAATCCTTAACAAAATACTAGGAAACTGAATTCAACAATACATGAGAAAAATCATTTATCATGACAAAGCGGGATTTATCCCTGGGATGCAAAGATGGTTTAACATATGCAAATAGATCAATTTGATACATCATACAAACAGAATGAAGAACAAAAATGATATAATTATTTCAATTGATGCTGAAAAACATATGATACAATTCAATATCCCTTTATTGTAAAAAACCAATAAACTAGGAATAGAAAGAACATACCTCAGCATAATAAAAGACATATATGACAGACCCACTACTAGTATTGTACTAAATGGCAAAAACTGAAAACCTTTTCTCTAATATCCAGAACACGACAAGTGTGCCCACATTCACCACTGATATTCAACATAGTACTAAAAGTACTAACTAAAGCAGTCAATAATAGAAAGAAAGAAAAGACATCCAAATTGGAAAGGAAGATGTCAAATTATCCTTGTTTGCAGATAATATAATCTTATATTTGGAAAAACCTAAAGACTCCACCAAAAAAACTATTAGAACTGATAAGCAAATTCAGTAAAAATGCAGGATACAAGATCAATATATGAAAATCAGTAGCATTTCTGTATGCCAACAGTGAACAATGTGGAAAAGAAATTATAAATGTAACCTCATTTACAATACCCACACATGAAATTAAATACTAAGAAATTAGCCAAAGAAATAAAAGATCAATATAATAAAAACTATAAAACACTAATATAACAAATTGAACACCAAAAAATGGAAAAATATTTTACATTCATGGATTGGAATAATCAATATTGTTAAAATGTTCATACTATACAAAGCAATCTACAGATTCAATGCAATCCCTATCAAAATACCAATTGCATTCTTCACAGAAATAGATAAAACTGTCCTAAAATTTATATGCAACCACAAAGACCCAGAATAGCCAAAGCTATATTAAGCAAAAAGAACAAACTTGGAGGAATATTACCTGACTTCAAATTACACCACAGTGCTATAGTAATGAAAACAGTATGGTACTGGCATAAAAACAGAAACATAGACCAAGAGAACAGAATAGAGAACCCAAGCACCAATCCATACACCTGTAGTAAACTCCTTTTCAACAAAGGTGCCAACAACATACACTGGGGAAGAGTCTCTTCAATAAATGATGCCTGGAAAGCTGGTTATCCATATGAAAGAGAATGAAACTAGACCATTATATCTTGCCGTATGCAAAAATCAAATAGAAATGGATTAAAGACTTAAATCTGAGACCTCAAACTATGAAACTGCTATAAGAAAATATTGGGGAAACTCTCAGGACATTGGGCTGGAGAAAGATTTCTTGAGCAATATCCCACAAGCACAGGCAATCAAAGTAAAAGTGGATAAATGGTATCACATCAAGTTTAAAAGCTTCTGCACAGCAAAGAACAATTTAAAAAGTGAATAAACAACCCATAGAAGGTGAGCAAATATTTCAAATTACCCAAATGACAAGGGATTAATAATCAGAATATATAAGGAGCCCAATCAACTCTACAGGAAAAAAATGTAATAATTTGATCTAAAGATGGGCAAAAGATTTGAACAGACATTTATCAAAAGAAGGCATACAAATGGCAAACAGGCATATGAAAAGGTGCTCAATATCATTGATCATCAGAGAAATTCAAATCAAATCTACAATGAAATATTATCTCTTTCCAATTAAAAATGGCTTCTATCCAAAAGATAGACTGTAACCAATGCTGTCAAGGATGTGGAGAAAAGGAAATCCTTGTACACTGTTAGTGGGAATGGAAATTAGTACAGCCACTATAAAGAAGAGTTTGGAAGTTTCTCACAAAACTGAAAATCGAGCTACCATATGATCCAGCAATCCCACTGCCAGGTATAAACATTGAAGAAAGGAAATCAGTATATTGAAGAGATATCTGCACACCTATATTTGTTGCAGCACTATTCACAATAGCCATAATTTGGAAGCAACCTAAGTGTTCATCAACAGATGAATGGATAAAGAAAATGTGGTACATACACAATAAGGAATACTATTCAACTATAAAAATGAACTAGATCCAGTCATCGGCAACAATGGATCCCCACTTATTTGTGGGATCTAAATTCCAAAACAACTAAAGTCATGGATATAGAAAGTAGAAGCATAGTTAACAGAGTCTGAGAAGGGTAGTCGGGGATGCAGGGGAAGTGGCGATGGTAAATCGGTACCAAAAAAATAGAAAGAATGAGTAAGATTTACTATTTGATAGCACAATAATATAGAGTGACAATAGTCATTAATCACTTAACTGTACTTTTAAAAATAATTTAAAGAATGTAATTGGATTGTTTGCAGCTCAATGACTAAATGCTTGGAAGGGATGGGTACCTCATTCTCCATGATTTGCTTATTTTGCATTGCATGCTTGTATCAAAACATCTTATGTGCTCCATAAATATATACACATGTTATGTATCCACAAACATTGAAAATAAAAATAAAACTTGAAAAAAATATTAGTGCTGATAAATGCATTCAGCAAAAGTTACAGGGTATAAAATTAGAACAAAACAGTTGTGTTTTTACACAATTTGAAAAGAAAATTAAAATGACAATTTCACTTAAAATAGCATCTCATGCTGGTGTAAAGACACATCCACACGTATGTTTATTGTGGCACTATTCACAATACCAAAGACTTGGAACCAACCCAAATGTCCAACAATGATAGACTGGATTAAGAAAATGTGGCACATATACACCATGGAATACTATGCAGCCTTAAAAAATGGTGAGTTCATGTCCTTTGAAGGGACATGGATGAAGCTGGAAACTATCATCCTCAGCAAACTATCGCAAGGACAAAAAATCAAACACCGCATGTTCTCACTCATAGGTGGGAATTGAACAATGAGAACACATGGACACAGGAAGGGGAACATCACACTCTGGGGACTGTTGTGGGGTGGGGGGAGGGGGGAGGGATAGCATTAGGAGATATACCTAACGCTAAATGACGAGTTGATGGGTGCAGCACACCAACATGGCACATGTATACGTATGTAACAAAACTGCACGTTGTGCACATGTACCCTAAAACTTAAAGTATAATAATAATAAAAAAAGAAAAAAAAAAAAAGAAATGGGATACCCCCCAAAAAAATAGCATCTCAAGGAATGAAATACTCAAGACTAAATTTAACAAAGGAGAGGCAAAACAAAACTATAATACATTGCTGAAAAAAAAATTAAGGCTTAAGAAGATAGATTAGGAAATAACACTTTTTTACTTTTATTTTAAGTTCAAGGATACATGTGCAGGTTTGTTATAAAGGTAAACTTATATCATGGGGTTTGCTGTACAGATTATTTTGTCACCAAGGTATTAATCATAGTGCATATTAATAATATTTCCTGATCTTCTCCCTCCCACTGTCCACCTTTAAGTAGGCTCCAGCGTCTGTTCCCTTCTATGTGTCCATGTGTTCTTTCCATATAGCTCCTGCCTATAAGTGAGAACATGAAGTATTTGGTTTTCTGTTCTTGTGTTAGTTTGCTAAAGATAATGGCCTCTAGCTCCATCCATGTTCCTGCAAAGTACATGGTATTATTTCTTATGGCTGCATAATATTTCATGGTGTATATGTACCACATTTCCTTTATCCTGTTTACCATTGAAGAGCGTTTAGGTTGATTCCATGCCTTTGCTATTGTGAATAGTGCTGTGTCTTTATGATAAAATGATTTATACTCCTTTGTATATTTACCCACTAATTGGGATTGCTGGGCTGAATGGTAGTTATGTTTTTATGTCTCTGAGGAATTGCCACACTGTTTTTCACAATGGTTGAACTAATTTACACTCCCAGTAGCCGTGTATAAGCATTCCTTTTACTCTGCACCTGCTTCAGCATCTGTTATTTTTAGACTTTTTAATAATATCCTTTGTAACTGGCATGAGATGGTATCTCTTTGTGATTTTGATTTACATTTCTCTAAGGATCAGTGATGTTTAGCTTTTTTTCATATATGCCATCATATATGCAGAAATATACTTTTCTGCATATATGACTTCTTTTGAAAAGTGTCTGTTTATGTTCTTTGACCATTTTTAATGGGGTTATCTGTTTTTTCTTGTAAATTTGGGAAAACTTAATATTTTTAACGTGGAAATGCTCGTCACATAAGTCTACAGATCAAATGCAATCCCTATCAGTATCCTAACATAGTGTTTTACAGAGATGGAAAAGTTTATCCTAACATTTACATGGGATTACAAGGGACCTCATGTTGGCAAAGCAGTCTTAAAAATGAATAACAAATTAGAAGGATTTATACTTTCTAATATAAGACTTACTATAAAGCTTCAGTCTTTATATTTATATATTCAGAACAATGTGATATTGGCATAAGATCAATGGAAACAAATTGAGAGCACAGTAATAAACCCATGCTTATTGTCAATTGATTCTTGATAATCGTGCCAAGACCATTCAATAAGGAAGAAATAGTCTCTTCAATAAATGGCGTTGAGGAAAATAGATATCCACATACGAAAGAATGGTAGTGGATCTTACCATATATCATATTTTAAAATTAACTTGAAGTAGATCAAAGACCTAAATATAAAGACTAAAACCACAAAACTCCTTTTAGAAAAATAATAATGTTATAACTCCATCTCAAAAAAAGAAAAATAATAGTGTTAGGACAAATGGAAATCTGTATGAGAACGGATGTTGTTAGACCTTTACCTTACACTATGCATAAAAATTAACCCAAAATGGATCAAAGACCTAAAAATAAGATCTAAAGCCATAAAACTCTTAGAATAAAACATAGGATAAATTTTTGTAATTTCGGATTTGGCAATGGTTTCTTAGACATGACAACAAATGCACAAGCAACAAAAAAAAAATAGATAAATTTGGTTTCATCAAAATTAAAAACATATAACAAAAGATAGACACTATCAAGAAAAATAAAGGGCAAACTTTTAGAACAGGAGGAAATATTTGCAAATTATATATTGATAAGGGTCTGCTGTACATCGTATACAAAAAACTCCCAAAACTCAACAATGAAAAGACAAGCAACCCAATTTTTAAGCGAGCAAAAGCCTTAAATAAACATTTCTCAAAAAAAGTACAAGTGGTCAACAAGCACATGAAAAAACTGTTTGACAACATTATTATGAAGGAAATGCCAATTAAAACAATGAAATAACACATTACATACACTAGGATATCTATAATTAAAAAACAGAAAATAATAAACAAGAATTTGCCAAGGTGTGAAGATAGTATAACCCTCATGTATTGCTCATCAGAATAAAAAATTGCGCAATTTTTGTGAAAAAAAATTGGTGGGTCCTCATTACATTAAAGTCAGAATATGTCTCAGTAATTCCACAGATGTTCAAACAAAAACATACACACAAACGTTCATAAAAGCATTATTTACAATCATCATAAAGTGAAAAGGACCAAAACATCTGTCAACTGATAGATGGATAAACAAAATGTGGTATATACATGCAACGGAATATTATTTGACAATAGCAAGGAATGAAGTATTGCCAAATGCTCCAACATGAATGCACCTTGATATAACATTATGCTAAGTCAAAGAAAACAGACACAAAAGGGCACATTTTGTACAATTCCATTTATATAAAATATGCAGAATAGGCAAATTCATAGAGACAGAAAGTAGATTAGTTGTTTCCAGAGGCCAGGAAGAGGGGAAATGGAGAGTGAGTGCTTAATGGTTATAGAGTCTTTTTTTGGGGTGATGAGAATCTTCTAGAACTCAGTGTGATGATGGTACAAAATATTGTAAAAAATAATAAATGCCACTCCTATGTCCACTTTAAAATGGTTAAAATGGTGATTTTAGGTTTCATACTGATGATCATAAAAAGAGGAATGCTGAAAGACATAGTATGCTAACACTAACAGAAGAAAAGCTGAAGTAGTGATATTGATCTCATACATTGCTGCTTTTGGAATGAAGAAAACTATCAAGTATTGAGAAGGGAAATACATAATGATAAGAAAAAGTAGATGAGTCTGAGAAAGCATAACAATCCTTCACATATATGCACCTACCAAGACAGCATCAGACCACAGGCATAACTTGGAGATATTGCAGGCCCAGTTCCAAAGCACTGCAATAAAGCAAATATCAGAATAAAGTGAGTCACACAATTCACTTGGTTTCTCAATGCATATAAAAGTTATGTTTACACTATATTGTAGTTGTTAAGTGTGCAATAGCATTATATCTAAAAATAATATATATACCTTAATAAAAATATTTTATTGCCTAAACATGCTAGCAATCATCTAAGCCTTTGGCAAGTAATGATCTTTTTGTTGGTAGAAGGTCTTTCTTCGATGTTAGTGGCTACTGATTGATGAGGGTGGTGGTTGCTGAAGGAGTGGAAGTTTCAATTTCTTAAAATAAGAATACTATGAAGTTTTCCACCTCTATTAACTCTTTCTTTCATGAGACATTTCTCTGTAGCACATGACGCTATTGGATAGAATTTTACCCACAGAAGAACCTCTTACACAATTGGAGTCAATCCTCTCAATCCCAGCCACTGCCTTATCAACAAAGTTCAATAATATTCTAAATCATTGGCTATCATTTCAACAATGTTCACAGCATTTTCACCAGGAGTGGAGCTCTTCTCAAGAAACCATTTTATTTGCTTATCCGTAAAAAAGCAACTCTTCACTGGTTCAAATTTTATTGTGAGATGACAACAATCCAGTCACATCTTCAGGCTCCACTTCTTGTTCTCTTGGTACTTCTACCACATCTGCAGTTACTTCCTCCACTGAAGTGTTGAACCCTCAAAGTTTTCCATGATGGTTGGAATCAACTTCTTCCAAATTTCTGTTAGTGGTAATATTCTTACGTCCTCTCATGAACCACAAACATTCTTAATGACTTCTAGAATGATGAATCCTTTCCAGGTCTTTAATGTATTTAGTCCAGATCCATCAGAGGAATTACTATCTATGGCATCTATAGCATTATGAAACATATTTCTTGAATAATAAAGCTTGAAAATAAAAGTTACCCCTTGATCCATGGGCTGCCAAATAATGTTGTGTTAGTAGGCATGAAAACAATGTTAATCTCCTAGTAAATCTCCATCAGACTTTTTGGATAATTGGGAGCCTTGTCAATGAACAGTAATATTTTGAAAGGTATTTTTTTCTGAATAGTAGTTCTCAACAGTGAACTTAAAATATTCAGTAAACCATGCAGTAAACAGATGTTCTGTCACCCAGGATTTACTGTTTTATTTATAGAGCAGAAGTAGAGTCGTTTTAGCCTAATTCCTAAGGGCCCTAGGATTTTCAGAATGATAATTGAACTCTAATGCTAGCTTAATGTCACCAGCCATATTAGCCAATAACAAGATAGTTAGCCTGTCCATTGAGTCTTTGAAACCAAACATTAACTTTGACTCTCCAGCTACAAAAGTCCTACATGACATCTTCTTCGAATAGAAGGCTGGTTTATCTGGACCAAGACAAGAATGCCCTCTCTCATCACGCCTATTCAACATAGTATTGGAAGTTCTGGCCAGGGTAATCAAGCAAGAGAATGAAATAAAGGGTATAAAAATAGGAAAACGGGAAGTCAAATTGTCTTTGTTTGCAGATGACATGATTGTATATTTAGAAAACCCCATCACCTCAGCCCAAAAATTTCCTTAAGCAGATAAGCAACTTCAGCAAAGTCTCAGGATACAAAATCTATGTGCAAAAATCACAAGCTTTCCTATATATCAGGAACAGACGAACAGACAGCCATATCACGAGTGAACTCCCATTCACACTTGCTACAAAGATAATAAAATACATAAGGAATACAACTTGCAAGGGATGTGAAGGACCTCTTCAAGGAGAACTACAAACTGCTGCTCAAGAAATAAAAGTGGACACAGACAAACGGAAAAACATTCCATGCTCATGGATATGAAGAATCATTATTGTGAAAATGGCCATACTGCCCAAGGTAATTTAGAGATTCTATGCTATCCCCATCAAGCTACCACTGACTTTCTTAACAGAACTGGAAAAACCTACTTTAAAGTTTCTATGGAACCAAAAAAGAGCCTGCATAGCCAAGACAATCCTAAGCAAAAGGAACAAAGCTGGAGGCATCACACTACCTGACTTCAAACTATGCTACAAGGCTACAGTAACCAAAACAGCATGGTATTCATACCAAAACAGATATATAGACCAATAGAACAGAACAGAGGCCTCAGAAATAACACCACACATCTACAACCATCTGATCTTTGATAAACCTGACAAAAACAAGAAATGGGGAAAGGATTCCCTATTTAATAAATGGTGCTGGGAAAATTGGCTAGCCATATGTAGAAAGCTGAAACTGGATCCCTTCCTCACACAGTATACAAAAATTAACTCAAGATGAATTAAAGACATAAATGTAAGACCTAAAACCATAAAAACCCTAGAAGAAAACCTAGGCAATACCAGTCAGGACATAGGCATGGGCAAATACTTCATGACTAAAACACCCAAAGCAATGGCAACAAAAGCCAAAATTGACAAATGAGATCTAATTCAAGTAAAGAGCTTCTGCACAGCAAAAGAAACTGTCATCAGAGTGAACAGGCAACCTACAGAATGGGAGAAAAATTTTGCAATCTATTCATCTGACAAAGGGCTAATATCCAGAATCTACAAAGAACTTAAACAAATTTACAAGACAAAAACAACCCCATCAAAAAGTGTGTGAAGGATATGAACAGACTCTTGTCAAAGAAGACATTTCTGCAGCCAACAGACATATGAAAAAGTGCTCATCATCACTGGCCATCAGAGAAGTGCAAATCAAAACCACAGTGAGATATGATCTCACGCCAGTTAGAATGGTGATCATTAAAAAGTCAGGAAACAACAGATGCTGGAGAGGATGTGGAAAAATAGGAATGCTTTTATACTGCTGGTGGGAGTGTAAATTAGTTCAACAATTGTGGAAGACAGTGTGGCAATTCCTCAAGGATCTAGAACTAGAAATACCATTTGACCCAGCAATCCCATTAGTGGGTATATACCCAAAGGATTATAAATCATGCTACTATAAAGACACATGCACACGTATGTTTATTGTGGCACTATTCACAATAGCAAAGACTTGGAACCAACCCAAGTGTCCATCAATAATAGACTGGATAAAGAAAATGTGGCACATATACACCATGGAATACTATGCAGCCATAAAAAAGGATGAGTTCATGTCCTCTGCAGAGAAATGAATGAAGCTGGAAACCATCATTCTCAGCAAAATATCACAAGGACAGAAAACCAAACACTGCATGTTCTCACTCATAAGTGGCAGTTCAACAATGAGAACACATAGATACAGGGAGGGGAACATCACACACTGTGGCCTTTTGTGGGGTAGGGGCCTGGGGGAGGGATAGTGTTAGGAGAAATACCTAATGTAAATGGTGAGGTGATGGGTGCACCAAATCAACATGGCACATGTATACCTATGTAACAAAACTACACGTTGTCCACGTGTACCCTAGAATTTAAAGTATAATAATAAAAAAAGAATAGAAGACTGGTTTACCTCCACTGAAAATATATTGTTTAGTGTAACCACCTTCATCCATGATCTTAGCTCCATCTTCTGGATGACTTGCTACAGCTTCTACATCAACAATTGCTGTTTCATATTGCACTTTTATGTTTTGGAGACAGCTTCCTTCTGTAAACCTCATGAACCAACCTCTGCTACCTTCTCACTTTTCTGCAGCTTCCTCACCTCACTCAGCCTTCATAGACTTGAAGAAAGTTAGAGAGTTAGGGCCTTTCTCTGGATTAGGTTTTGAGTTAAGGGAATGTTGTTTCTCATTTGATCTTCCATCCAGATCACTAAAACTTTCTCCATGTCTGCTATTAGGCGGTTTTACTTTCTTATCTTTCGTGTGTTCATTGTAGTAGCATCTCTAATTTCCTTTAAAAACTTTCCCTTTGCATTCACAACTTGGCTAGCTGTTTGGTACAAGAGGTTGAGCTTTCAGCCTATCTTAGCCTATGACATCCCCTCTAACTGAGTTTAAACATTTCTAGCTTTTGACTTACAGCACGAGGGTGCAACTCTGTTTTTCACTTGAACACATAGAGATCATTGTAGGGTTATTAATTGGCCTAATTTCAATGATTTTGTGTCTCTGAGAATAGAGAGGTCCAAGGAGAGGGAGAGAAATGGTGGAAAGACCAGCTCACGGAGCACTCAGAAAACATACAACATTGGCAATAAAGTTTGCCATCTTACATTGGCATGAGTTGTGGTGTCCCAAAACAATTGCAATGGTAACATCAAAGACCACTGATCACAGATCACCCTAACAGATTTAATAATAAAGAAAAAGTTTGAAATATTATGAGAATTACCAGAAGGTGACAAAGAGAGACACAAAGTAAGCCCATGCTGTTGGGAAAAAAAAGGCACTGAGAGACTTGGTAGATGCAGGGTTTCTACACACCTTCAATTTGTAAACACACACACATGCACATAATATCTGTGAAGCTTAATAAAATTAGATAAGCCTAAACTTAAGGTATAAGCTGATAGAATTTCAGGAATAAATATGCAAGACTACTATTATATTTTGAGAGTTCAGCACTCCTCTTTCAACAATTGATAAATTAAGCATGCAGAAAATCAATACAATTACTGTTAAGTTTAACAGCCCTCATCAATTAACTAGATTTAACTGACAAATATAGACCACTTTACCCAACAATAGTAGAATGTACATTCTTCTCAAGCTCACATGGAACATTTATCAAGATAGACCATGTTCTAGGCCATAAAACACACTTTAACAAATTTAAAATAATAGAAATCATACAAGATATATTACCAAAATACAATGGAATTAAATGAGAAATTAAGAACAGAAACCTGAAAATCCTCAAATTATTTGGAAATTAAACAACAAATTTCAAAATAATAAATGGGTCAATGAAAAAGTCTCCACATAATTTATCAAATATTTTAACTAAATTACATAGAGGGGAAAAACACAAACTGGGGTCTTTCAGAGGGTAAGAAATAAGAGGAGGGAGGGGATCAGAAAAAGTTACTACTGTGTACCAGGCTTAATACCTGGGTGATAAAATAATCTGTACAACAAATCCCCATGATTCAGGTTTACCTAGGTAATAAACCTATACTTGTACCCCTAAACGTAAAATTTGAAAAAATAATAAAAATTTTAAAAATGAAATTAAATAATACAATTTATGAACATTGGTGGGATACAGCATAAACAGAGCTTAGATTCCATAGATATTAAAAAGATAATAAAATAATTTAATGAACAAATCTAGGCCCACGAGTTTGGTGACTTAGATAAAATGAACCAATTCCTTGAAAGCCTCAAACAACTCAAGCACTCTCAAGGAAAAATAGATCATCAGAATAGTCCTATATCTGTTTTAAAAAATTGAATGAATAATTAATAGCTTTTCAAAAAATTAAAGAACCAGGCCCAGATATTTCAATGGTGAATTCCACCAAATATGTAAAAAAGAAATTATAACAGTTCTATGCAATCTGTTCCAGAAGGTAGAAGCAGAGGAATTACTTTTTAAGTCATTCTACAAAGCCAGCATTACTATAATACCAAAACCAGATGAGCACATTATAAGAAAGGAAAATTATAGAACAATACTTCTTGCAAACATACATGGAAAATTTCCAAACAAAATATTAGCAAAATGGAATCAAAAATACATAAAAAGCATTGCATATACCATGGTTAAGTGGGATTTATTCCAAGTATGCAATGCTGTCTCAAAATTTGAAAATCAAGAAGTAAGTTCTAAACTATCAACAGGCAGAAGAAGAAAAATAATATGATCATATGAATTCATGCAGAAAAGGCATTTGATAAAATCTGATATCTATTCATTAAAAAACCTTTCAGCAAACTAGGAACTTTCTCAACTTGATAAAAATAAGATCTAGAAAAGCAAGAGGAAACCAAATCCAAAAGAAGTAAAAATAATAAAGATCAGAGCAGAGGTAAATGAATTTGAAATGAGGAAAATAATACAGAAGATCAATGCAATAAAAAGTTGGTTTTCCAACCCCATAAAAAAATGGGTGAAGGATATGAACAGACACTTCTCAAAAGAAAACATTTATGCAGCCAACAAACTTATGAAAAAATGCTCATCATCACTGGTCATTATATAAATGCAAATCAAAACCACAGTGAGATACAATCTCACTCCAGTTAGAATGGTGATCATCAAAAAGTCAGGAAACAACAGATGCTGGAGAGGATGTCGAGAAATAGGAATGCTTTTACACTGTTGGTGGCAGTGTAAATTAGTTCAACCATTGTGGAAGACAGTGTGACAATTCCTCAAGGATCTAGAACCAGAAATACTATGTGATCCACTGATCCCATTACTGGGTATATACTCAAAGGATTATAAATCATTCTACTATAAAGACATATGCACACATATGCTTATTGCAGCACTATTCACAATAGCAAAGTCTTGGAACCAACCCAAAAGCCCATTAATAATAGACTGGATTAAAAAAAAAAGTGGCACTTATACACCATGGAATAATATGCAGCCATATAAAAGGATGAGTTCAGGGGGGTGGAGCCAAGATGGCCAAATAGGAACAGCTCCGGTCTACAGCTTCCAGCATGAGTGACGCAGAAGACGGGTGATTTCTGCCTTTCCATCTGAGGTACCGGGTTCATCTCACTAGGGAGTGCAAGACAGTGGATGCAGGACAGTGGGTGCAGTGCACTGGGCACGAGCCGAAGCAAGGCAAGGCATTGACTCACTCGGTAAGTGCAAGGGGTCAGGGAGTTCCCTTTCCTAGTCAGAGAAAAGGATGACAGACGGCACCTGGAAAATTGGGTCACTCCCACCCTAATACTGCACTTTTCCAATGGGCTTAAAAAACAGCACACCAGGAGATGATATCCTGCACCTGGCTCAGAGGGTCCTATGCCCACGGAGTCTTGCTGATTGCTAACACAGCAGTCTGAGATCAAACTGCAAGGTGGCAGCGAGGCTGGGGGAGGGGCGTCTGCCATTGCCTAGGCTTGATTAGGTAAACAAAGCAGCCAGGAAGCTCGAACTGGGTGGAGCCCACCACAGCTCAAGGAGGCCTGCCTGCCTCTGTAGGCTCCACCTCTGGGGGCAGGGCACAGACAAACAAAAAGACAGCAGTAACCTCTGCAGACTTAAATGTCCCTGTCTGACAGCTTTGAAGAGAGTAGTGGTTCTCCCAGCACGCAGCTGGAGATCTGAGAATGGGCAGACTGCCTCCTCAAGTGGGTCCCTGACCCCTGATCCCTGAGCAACCTAACTGGGAGGCACCCCCAGTAGGGGCAGACTGACACCTCACACGGCCCAGTACTCCTCTGAGACAAAACTTCCAGAGGAACCATCAGGCAGCAGCATTTGCAGCTCACCAATATCCGCTGTTCTACAGCCACCGCTGTTCTGCAGCCACCGCTTCTGATACCCAGGCAAACAGGGTCTGAAGTGGACCTCTAGCAAAGTCCAACAGACCTGCAGCTGAGGGTCCTGTCTGTTAGAAGGAAAACTAACAAACAGAAAGGACATCCACACCAAAAACCCATCTGTACCTCACCATCATCAAAGACCAACAGTAGATAAAAGCACAAAGATGGGGAAAAAACAGAGCAGAAACACTGGAAACTCTAAAAAGCAGAGATCCTCTCCTCCTCCAAAGGAACAAAGCTCCTCACCAGCAACAGAAAAAAGCTGGATGGAGAATGACTTTAACGAGTAGAGAGAAGAAGGCTTCAGACGATCAAACTACTCTGAGCTACAGGAGGAAATTCAAACCAATGGCAAAGAAGATAAAAACTTTGAAAAAAAAATTAGACGAATGGAAACCTAGAATAACCAATGCAGAGAAGTCCTTAAAGGAGCTGATGGAGCTGACAGCTAAGGCTCAAGAACTACGTGAAGAATGAAGAAACCTCAGGAGCTGATGCAATCAACTGGAAGAATGGGTATCAACGATGGAAGATGAAATGAATGAAATGAAGTGACAAGGGAAGTTTAGAGAAAAAAGAATAAAAAGAAATGAACAAAGCCTCCAAGAAATATGGGACTATGTGAAAAGACCAAATCTACATCTGACTGGTGTACCTGAAAGTGACGGGGAGAATGGAACCAAGTTGGAAAACACTCTGCAGGATATTATCCAGGAGAACTTCCCCAATCTAGCAAGGCAGGCCTACATTCAGATTCAGGAAATACAGAGAATGCCACAAAGATACTCCTTGAGAAGAGCAACTCCAAGACACATAATTGTCAGATTCACCAAAGTTGAAATGAAGGAAAAAATATTAAGGGCAGCCAGAGAGAAAGGTCGGATTACCCACAAACAGAAGCCCATCAGACTAACAGCAGATCTGTTGGCAGAAACTCCACAATCCAGAAGAGAGTGGGGGCCAATATTCAACAATCTTAAAGAAAAGAATTTTCAACCCAGAATTTCATATCCAGCCAAACTAAGCTTCATAAGTGAAGGAGAAAAAAATCCTTTACAGACAAGCAAATGCTGAGAGATTTTGTCACCACCAGGCCTGCCCTACAAGAGCTCCTGAAGGAAGCACTAAACATGGAAAGGAACAACCGTTACCAGCCACTGCAAAAACATGACAGATTGTAAAGGCTATTGATCCTATGAAGAAACTGCATCAATTAACGAGCAAAATAACCAGCTAACATCATAATGACAGGATCAAATTCATACATAACAATATTAACCTTAAATGAAAATGAGCTAAATCCTCCAATTAAAAGACACAGACTGTCAAATTGGATAAAGAGTCAAGACCCATCAGTGTGTTGTATTCAGGAAACCCATCTCATATGCAGAGACACACATAGGCTCAAAATAAAGGGATGGAGGAAGATCTACCAAGCAAATGGAAAACAAAAAAAGGCAAGGGTTGCAATCCTAGTCTCTGACAAAACAGACTTTAAACCAAAAAAGATCAAAAGAGACAAAGAAGGCCGTTACATAATGGTAAAGGGATCAATTCAACAAGAAGAGCTAAGTATCCTAAATATAAGTGCACCCAATGCAGGAGCACCCAGATTCATAAAGCAAGTCCTGAGTGACCTACAAAGAGACTTAGACTCCCACAAAATAATAAGGGAGACTTTAACACCCCACTGTCAACATTAGACAGATCAACAAGCAAGAAAGTTAACAAGGATACCCAGGAATTGAACTCAGCTCTGCACCAAGCAGACCTAATAGACATCTGCAGAACTCTCCACCCCAAATCAACAGACTATACATTTTTTCCAGCACTGCACCACACCTATTCCAAAATTGATCACATAGTTGGAAGTAAAGCAATCCTCAGCAAAAGTAAAAGAACAGAAATTATAACAAACTGTCTCTCAGACCACAGTGCAATCAAACTAGAACTGAGGATTAAGAAGCTCACTCAAAACCACTCAACTACATGGAAACTGAACAACCTGCTCCGGAATGACTACTGGGTACATAATGAAATGAAGGCAGAAATAAAGATGTTCTTTGAAACCAACGAGAACAAAGACACAACATACCAGAATCTCTGGGACACATTCAAAGCAGTGTGGAGAGGGAAATTTATAGCACTAAATGCCCACAAGAGAAAGCAGGAAAGATCCAAAATTGACACCCTAACATCACAATTAAAAGAACTAGAAAAGCAAGGACAAACACATTCAAAAGCTAGCAGAAGGCAAGAAATAACTAAAATCAGAGCAGAACTGAAGGAAATAGAGACACAAAAAACCCTTCAAAAATTAATGAATCCAGGAGCTGGTTTTTTGAAAAGATCAACAAAATTGATAGACTGCTAGCAACACTAATAAAGAGGAAAAGAGAGAAGAATCAAATAGACACAATAAAAAATGATAAAGGGGATATCACCACCCATCCCACAGAAATACAAACTACCATCAGAGAATACTATGAACACCTCTATGCAAATAAACTAGAAAATCTAGGAGAAATGGATAAATTCCTCGACACATACACCCTCCCAAGACTAAACCAGGAAGAAGTTGAATCTCTGAATAGACCAATAACAGGCTCTGAAATTGTGGCAATAATCAATAGCTTACCAACCAAAACAAGTCCAGAACCAGATGGATTCACAGCCGAATTCTACCAGAGGTACAAGGAGGAGGTGGTACCATTCCTTCTGAAACTATTCCAATCAATAGAAAAAGAGGGAATCCTCCCTAACTCATTTTATGAGGCCAGCATCATCCTGATACCAAAGACGGGCAGAGACACAACCAAAAAAGAGAATTTTAGACCAATATCCCTGATGAACATCGATGCAAAAATCCTCAATAAAATCCTGGCAAAATGAATCCAGCAGCACATCAAAAAGCTTATCCACCATGATCAAGTGGGCTTCATCCCTGGGATGCAAGGCTGGTTCAACGTACGAAAATCAGTAAACATAATCCAGCATATAAACAGAACCAAAGACAAAAACCACATGATTATCTCAATAGATGCAGAAAAGGCCTTTGACAAAATTCAACAACACTTCATGCTAAAAATTCTCAATAAATTAGGTATTGATAGGACATATCTCAAAATAATAAGAGCTATCTATGACAAACCCACAGCCAATATCATATTGAATGGACAAAAACTGGAAGCATTCACTTTGAAAACTGGCACAAGACAGGGATGCCCTCTCTCAACACTCCTATTCAACATAGTGTTCGAAGTTCTGGACAGGGCAATCAGGCAGGAGAAGGAAATAAAGGGTATTCAATTAGGAAAAGAGGAAGTCAAATTGTCCCTGTTTGCAGATGACATGATTGTATATCTAGAAAACCCCATTGTCTCAGCCTTAAATCTCCTTAAGCTGATAAGCAACTTCAACAAAGTCTAAGGATACAAAATCAATGTACAAAAATCACAAGCATTCTTATACACCAATAACAGACAAACAGAGAGCCAAATCATGAGTGAACTCCCATTCACAATTGCTTGTAAGAGAATAAAATACCCAGGAATCCAACTTACAAGGTACGTGAAGGAACTCTTCAAGGAGAACTACAAACCACTGCTCAATGAAATAAAAGGGGATATAAACAAATGGAAGAACATTCTATGCTCATGGGGAGGAAGAATCAATATCGTGAAAATGGCCATACTGCCCATGGTAATTTATAGATTCAATGCCATCCCCTTCAAGCTACCAATGACTTTCTTAACAGAATTGGAAAAAACTACTTTAAAGTTCATATGGAACCAAAAAAAGAGCCCGCATTGCCAAGTCAATCCTAAGCCAAAAGAACAAAGCCAGAGGCATCACTCTACCTGACTTCAAACTATACTACAAGGCTGCAGTAACCAAAACAGCATGATACTGGTACCAAAACAGAGATATAGATCAATGGAACAGAACAGAGTCCTCAGAAATAATGCCACCTATCTACAACCATCTGATCTTTGACAAACCTGACAAAAATAAGAAATGGGGAAACAATTCCCTATTTAATAAATGGTGCTGGGAAAACTGGCTAGCCATATGTAGAAAGGTGAAAATGAATCCCTTCCTTACACCTTATACAAAAATTAATTCAAGATGGATTCAAGACTTAAATGTTAGACCTAAAACCATAAAAACCCTAGAAGAAAACCTAGGCAATACCATTCAGAACATAGGCATGGGCAAGGACTTCATGTCTAAAACACCAAAAGCAATGGCAACAAAAACCAAAATTGACAAATGGGATCTAATTCAACTAAAGAGCTTCTGCACAGCAAAAGAAACTACCATCAGAGTTAACAGGCAACCTACAAAATGGGAGAAAATTTTTGCAAACTACTCATCTGACAAAGGGCTAATATCCAGAATCTACAATGAACTCCAACAAATTTACAAGAAAAATTCAAACAACCCCACCAAAAAGTGGGCAAAGGATATGAACAGACACTTCTCAAAAGAAGACATTTATGCAGCCAAAAAACACATGAAAAAATGCTCACCATCACTGGCCATCAGAGAAATGCAAATCAAAACCACAATGAGATACCATCTCACACCAGTTAGGATGGTGATCCTTAAAAAGTCAGGAAACAACAGGTGCTGGAGAGGATGTGGAGAAATAGGAACACTTTTACACTGTTGGTGGGACTGTAAACTAGTTCAACCATTGTGGAAGTCAGTGTGGTGATTCCTCAGGGTTCTAGAGCTAGAAATACCATTTGACCCAGCCACGCCATTTCTGGGTATATACCCAAAGGATTATAAATCATTCTGCTATAAAGACACATGCCCACCTATGTTTATTGCGGCACTATTCACAATAGCAAAGACTTGGAACCAAGCCAAATGTCCAACAACGATAGACTGGATTAAGAAAATGTGGCACATATACACCATGGAATTCTATGCAGCCATAAAAAATGATGAGTTCATGTCCTTTGTAGGGACATGGATGAAATTGGAAATCATCATTCTCAGCAAACTATGGCAAGGACAAAAAACCAAACACCGCACGTTCTCACTCATAGGTGGGAATTGAACAATGAGAACACATGGACACAGGAAGGGGAACATCACACTCCGGGGTCTGTTGTGGTGTGGGGGGAGGGTGGAGGGATAGCATTAGGAGATATACCTGATGCTAAATGACGAGTTAATGGGTGCAGCACACCAACATGGCACATGTATACATATGTAACAAACCTGCACATTGTGCACATGTACCCTAAAACTTAAAGTATAATAATAATAAAGTTTAAAAAAAAGAAATCTAAAAAAAAAAAAAGTGTGAGTTCATGTCTTTTGCAGGGACACGGGTGAAACTGGAAACCATCATTCTCAGCAAAGTAACACGAGAAGAGCAAACCAAACACCGCATAAGGGACACAGATGAAACTGGAAACCATCATTTTCAGCAAAGTAACACAAGAAGGGAAAACCAAACACCGCATGTTCTCACTCATAAGTGGGAGGTGAACAATGAGAACACATGGACACAGAGAGGGGAAAATCACACACCAGGCCTATTGGGGGGTGGTGGCCTAAGAGAGGCATAGCATTTGGAGAAATACCTAATGTAAATGACGAGTTGGTAGATGTAGCAAACCAACATGGCACATGTATACCTATGTAACAAATCTGCACATTGTGCACATGTACCCCAGAACTTAAAGTATAATTTTTAAAAAAGTTGGCTTTCTGGAGATAAACAAAATTGACAAATCTTTAGCCAGACTAAGAAAGAAAGAGAGAAGACACAAATAAATAAAAGCAGATATAAAAAGGAGACATTAAAACTGATATTGCAGAAATTCAAAGAATCATTGGTGGCTGCTATGAGCAACTATAAGCCAATACATCAGAAAACCTGGAATAAATGGATAAATTCCTAGACTCAACCTATCAAGGTTAAACCATGAAGAAATCCACAACTTGAACAGACCAATAACAAGTAATGAAATAAAAGCCATAATAAAAAGTATTATAGAAAAGAAAAGCCCAAGACCCTGATATAGTTTGACTCTGTGTCCCCACTCAAATCTCATCTCGAATTCTAATCTCCCATATGTTGAGGGAGGAACTTGGTGAGAGGTAATTGGACCATGTATGCAGTTTCCCTCATGCTGTTCTCATGATAATGAGTTCTCATGATACCTGATGGCTTAAGTGTTTTGCACTACCCCCTTCATTCTCCCTCTCTCCTGCCACCATGTGAAGAATATGCTTGCTTCCCCTTCCCCTTCCCCTTCTGCCATGATTCCTAAGTTTCCTAAGGCCTCCCAAGCCATGTGGATCTGTGAGTCAATTAAAGCATATTCTTTGCTAAATTGCTAAGTCTCCGGCAGTTATTTATAGCAGTGTGAAAACAGACTAATACAGACCTCATGGCTCCATTCTAAATTCTACCAAACATTTAAAAAAGAACTAACACCAATCCTACTCAAATTTTTGTGAAAAATAGAGGATGCAGGAATATTTCAAAACTTATTCTATGAAGCCAGCCTTACCTTGATAAAAAGAACCAGAAAGGCCGGGTGCAGGGGCTCATGCCTGTAATTCCAGAACTTTGGGAGGCAGAGGTGTGTGGATCATGAGGTCAGGAGTTTAAGACCAGCCTGGCCAAGATGGTGAAATCCAGTTTCTACTAAAACTACAAAAATTAGTCCGGCATGGTGGCAGGTGCCTGTAATCCCAGCTACTCAGGAGGCTGAGGCAGGAGAATGGCTTGAACCTGGGTGGCAGAGGTTGCAGTGAGCTGAGATTGTGCCAATGCTCTCCAGCCTGGGTGACCAAGTGAGACCAAAAAAAGAGAGAGAGAGTGAAAGAGAGAAAGAAAGAAAGAAAGAAAGAAAGAAAGAAAGAAAGAAAGAAAGAAAGAAAGAAAGAAAGAAAGAAAGAGAGAAAGAAAGAAAACTACAGGCCAATATACCTGATGATTATTGATGCAAAAGTTCTCAACAAAATACTAGCAAACTGAACTCAACAACACATGAGAAAGATCATTCATCATGATCAGGTGGGATTTACACCTAGGATGCAAGGATGTTACAACACAGGCAAATCAAACAATGTGACATATTATAGCAGCAAAATGAAGGATAAAAACCTTATAATTTTTTCAACTGATGCTGACAAAGTATTTGATAAAATTCAACATTGTTTCATGATAAAAATCCTCAAAAAACTGGGTATAGAAGGAACACACCTCAAAATAATAAAAGCCATATATGACAGACCCACAGCTACTATCATGCTTAATGTAAGAAAACTGAAAACCTTCCTTTTAAGATTTGGAACACAAGGATACCCACTTTCACCACTGATATTCAACATAGTGCCAGAAATACTAGGTAAAGTAATCAGACAGGAGACAGAAATAAATGGCAGACATCTGAATTGGAAAGAAAGAAGTCAAATTATCCTTGTTTGCAGGTGATATAATCCTATGTTTGGAAAAACCTAAAGACCACACCAAGAAATTATTAGAACTAATAAACAAATTAAGTAAAGTGGAAGGATACAAAATCAACATACAATAATCAGAAACACCTTTATATGCCAACAGTGCACAATTGAAAAAGAAATTAAGAAATTCCATTTTAAATAGCTTCAAATAAAATGAAATACCTAGAAACTAACTTAACCAAAATGAAAGATCTCCACAATGGAAACTATAAAACGCTAATGCAAGAAATTAAAGAGGACACAAAAGAATGGAAAGATATTTCATGTTCATGGATTGAAAGAATCAATATTCTAAAAGTGCCCATGCTACCTAAAGCAATCTACATTTTAAATGCAATCCCTATTAAAATACCAATGTCATTCTTCAATGAAATAGAAAAAAAAATCCTATAATTTATATGGAACCACAAAAGATCCAGAATAGCCAAAGCTATTTTTAGCAAAAGAACACAACTGGTGGAATCACATTACCTGACTTCAAATTACACTACACAGTGATAATAAATAAAACGGCATGTTACTGGCATAAGGACAGACACCTAGACTAGTGGAAAAGAATAAAGAACCCAGAGCCAAACCCATATATCCACAATGAACTCATTTTTGACAAAAGTGTCAACAACATACCCTGGGGAAAAGACAGTTTCTTCAATAAATGGTCCTGGGAAAGCTGTGTATCCATAAGCAGATGAATGGAACTAGACCTCTATTTCTTGCCATATACAAAAACCAAATCAAAATGGATAAAGACTTTAATCTGATGTAAAACTATAAAACTACTACAAAAATTAGGGGAAATTCTCCAGGTTATTTGGTTGGACAATGTTTTCTTGAGTAATATCTCACAATCATAGCCAACCAAAGCAAAAATGGACAAAGGGAGTGACCTCAAGTTAAAAACTTGTGCACAGCAAAGGAAACAATCAACAAAGTGAAGAGACAAACCACAGAATGGGAGAAATTATTTGCAAACTATCTATCTAACAAGGGATTAATAACCAGCATATAAAAGGAGCTCAAACAACTCTACAGAAAAAAAAAACCTAATAATTTGATCTAAAAATAGACAAAATATCAGAATAGATATTTTTCAAAAGAAGACATACAAATGGCAAACAGACATATTAAAAGGTGATCAACATCATTGATCATCAGAGAAATGCAAATCAAAACTACAATGAGATCTCATCTCATTCAAGTTAAAATGTTTTTTATCCAAAAGCGAGGCAATAACAAATGCTGGCGAGGATGTGGAGAAAAGGGAAGCATTGTACACTGTTGGTGGGAATGTAAGTTAGTAAAAGCACTAGGGAAAACAGTTTGGAGGTTCCTCAAAAAATTAAAAATAGAACTACCATATGATCCAGCAATCCCACTTCAGCACATGTACCCACAAGAAAGGAAATTAGTATATGGAAGAGCTATCTGTACTTCCACGTTTACTGCCATACTATTCACAATAGCCAAGATCTGGAAGCAACCTGATGTTCATCAATTAACAATGAATCAAGAAAATGTGCTGCATATACACAAGGAAGTACTGTTCAGCCATTAAAAAAAAAAAAAAAGAAAAGAAATCTTGTCATTTGCAACAACATTCATGGAACTGGAGAGCATTATGTTAAGTAAAATAAGCCAGGTACAGAGAGACAAGGTTTGCATGTTCTCACTTATTTCTGGGAGCTGAAAATTAAAACAATGAACTCTTGAAGACAGAGAGTAGAAGGATGGTTGCCAGAGGCTGGAAAGGATAGTGGGGTGATGAGGGTAAGTGGCATTATTTAACGGGTACCAAAAGTGGTTCAAAATAATGAATAAGACCTAACATTTTCTAGCACAACATGGTGACTATGGTAAAAAATAATTTAATTGTACATTTTATAACTAAAAGAATATTATTGGATTGTTTTTAACACAAAGGTTTAAATACCTGGGATGGATACTTCATTTACTCTGATGTGATTTTAATGCATTGCATGTCTGTATCAAAATATTTCATGTAATCTATAAATATATACACCTACTATGTTCCCAAAAAATTAAAAATAGAAACTTAAACATTAAAAAATAAAGAAAACCTGCTCTTAACACCATATTTAACGGTGAGAAACTGAGTGCTTTCCCTCTAAGATGAGGAAAAAAGGAAAAATGACTCCTCTCACTACTCCTATTTAACATTGTACCACATGCCAAAGCCAATGCAATAATGCAAGAAAAAAATTTAAAAGGTTCACAGATTAGGAAGGAAGAAATAAAACTGTTTTTCAGATGATATGATTACCTATGTAGAAAATCCCACAGAATCAAAAAAATAGGTAACAATTCCAAAAATTTCTTCTCAGTGCATTAAATCAAGAGGTTCATGATGTCAATACTGGAGATGTTTACCTTGATCACTCGGTTGAATTGATGTCTAAAGGATTTATTCACTATATGGTTACCACATATCCCTTTGCAATTGATAAATATCTTGAGGAATGATACTTTGAGACTGTACAAGTTCTGTTTATCCTCAGACCTACTAATTTTAGCTTTCATTGGTGGACCTTGTCTGCAACACATTACTTTGGTGGTTTCTAAATAATGATTGTCTTAGTCCGTTTTGCACTACTGTAAAGGAGTACCTGAGGCTTGGTAATTTATAAAGAAAATAGGTTTATTTGGCTCATGTTTCTGCAGGATATACAAGAAGCATGGTGCTTGCATCTGCTTCCAGTAAGGACTTCAGGAAACTTCCAGTTATGGCTGAAGGTAAATGGGAGCAGACATCACATGGCAAGAGGAGAGAAGCAAGAGAGAAAAGAGAGGGAGGTGCTAGGTTCTTCTTAACAATCAGTTATCATTGGAATTAATAGACCAAGAACTCACTCATTACCCCAAAGATGGCATCAGCTATTTATGAAGAGTCCATCCCCATAATTCAAACACCTTTCACTAGGCCCCACTTCCAACATACTGAGGATCAAATTTCAACATGAAAGTTGGAGGGGACAAATACCCAAACTATATCATGGATGTTCTATTTCCTTCTTTAATTGGAATTTTACTCCAAGAGAGAGCTGTCTTTCCTACCCCAGTTATTCAATTCGTTATTCATATATGTATGGAATAAAGGAGATATATATTATATTACATATTACATATGTGTAATATATGTAATATGTAATATAATATATGTAATATATAAATTACTTATAATATATTGTATATGTTACATATAATATATGCAATATATTGTATATGTTACATATAATATATGCAATATATTGTGTATGTTACATGTAATATATGCAATATATTGTATATGTTACATATAATATATGCAATATATTGTGTATGTTACATGTAATATATGCAATATATATGTTACATATAATATATGTAATATATTAATATATTGTAATATATGTATATATGTAATATATGTATATATGTAATATAGGTATATATGTAATATGTGTACATATGTATACATATATTCATATATGTATACATATATGAATATATGTAATATATATTTTTTTATCCTATAGGTTAAAACCCAATACATTTATCTCACCCACCAAAGTGGTAGAGCATAACCCCCAACTTCTTTAGTATAGGCTACCCATACTGACGTCCTCCGATAGTGGATAGTACGGAAAAGGAAAAAATGTAACTTGAGGAAATCTGGCATACGTCACCTCAAGGAGGTGATCAAAATTAACAGCATTAGCTAACGATATGTACCACTGATATGATGTGTTGAGAAGGGCATTTCACCTATGTTGTCTTTCTTCCAAAATCCATACCCAAGTTTGACCACACGGACATAGAGCAGGAAATAATAGACACTGGGGGCCCTGAAAGGGGCAAGGTGGAAAAAGGAGAGAGAATTGAAAAATTATCTATTGGGTACAATATTCACTATTCAGGTGATGGGTATACTAGAAGCTCAAACCTCACCACTATGCAATATGCCAATGTAACACACCTGCACATAAACCCCCAGAATCTATAAAAATAAATTTAAAAAAATAAAAGCAACATTGTTTTTCAAATCCAAACCGAGGGACATTATAAAAATATGCAAATTATACTCCTCAAAATTGTCAAGGTCATCAAAAACAAAGAAAGTCCAAGAATCTTTCAAAGTCAGCTTTAGGAGACATGACACTGAATATAATGAGATCATGGAACACAAAAAGTCATCACATAAAAACTAAGGAAATCTGATGAACTATAAATTTTAGTTAATAATAATGTAACAATACTTGTTCTTTGCTTGTAATAAATATAACACACTAATGTACATTGTTAATAATAGTGGAAAGTGGGTGCAGGATATATGGAAACTCTCTGTAGTATTTTCAATTTTTCAGTAAATTTGAAACAGTTTTTAAAATAAAGTCTGTTAAGAAAAACCATAAGTTAGCCTAAATCCACAAATAGGTCTTTCCCATGTAAATAGGTATGAAGTGCCTAGCATTTCTGAGGGCAGTAAGGTACAATGCTTTCTTAAAGGAGCTCCCAAAATGGGATAGAAACCTGATAAATATATTAAGGCAGATTATAACAAGTTCTGGGAGCTCCCATGTTTGAGAGATAATATGCAGGCAGTTTGAGGTACGCTGAATTTTAAAATATCTGTACCTCAAGAAACCAGAATAAGGCTAGCATCTTGCACAAAAAAAAATAAAACGAAGTAAGTGATGCCTATTAAAATAAAACAAGACAAGTTAAACTAAACAAAATGAACAAAAACCTCTCCTTGAAAGAGCAAAAACTAAGTTGGAAATTTTATTTTTGCAAAGCAACTGTAGCATTATCACTAGAATGGCTATTGGTAGTTTTTGTCTTAGTCATTTTAATTGCCAAAGTTATATTCTAGAATAAGATATTTTAGGAGGGAGGGAAATGAGTGAATATTCCCAAAATGGTGAGTAAAAATTACCATCCACAGCTCAAGGTCTGCAAAACCATCAGCCTACATTTGTGGTAGTTAATTGTCAAGGGCTTAATCCGAATGGTCTTGTGAGAAAGTGGTAACTCCAAGACAGTGGAGTCTTGTTTAAGCCAAGTATCAAGATTGAGAAGCATCTGACAAGAGGTAATGAGCACTCTGGATCCTGGTTCTCTGTTCTAGCTAGGAGACTGAGTTATCTTCCCTGACACTCAGAACAAAACAACAACCAAGTAAGAGAAATCTTCCAGTATACCAAACTGAGATACCTCAATTACTTAGCAGGCTTGACCCTGAGGAGCTCTTGGGCTAGTTCACAAACCTCCTCATTCAGACTAAGGAGAAAGAATGAGGAGAATAAGAAATAGATTATCAAAATGGTATATGGAGATTTACAGAGCAGATTTGGTCACCTATGTTCAGGCCATATGCAGAAACCAGACTATTTATAAAAATTAAAACTGAGATTTAAAAGATAACAAATATTATTTCTTAAATAGTTTCAACTTTTTGATTTGGGGGGTACATGTACAAGTTTGTCACATGGGTACATTCTGTGATGCTGAGTCTTAGGACACAAATGGGTACATTCTGTGATGCTGAGGCTTCGTCCCATCACCCAGGTTGCACATAGTATCCAATAGTTAGTTTTTCAACCTTTATTCCCTTCCCTTTCTCCCTCTTCTAGTAGTCCTCAGTGTCTATTGTTTCCATGTTTATGTCCATGATTATCCAACGTTTAGCCCCCACTTATAAGTGAGAATATGAAGTATCTGATTTTCTTTCCCTGTGTTACTTAGCTTAAAATAATAGCCTCAAGCTGCTTCCATGTTACTGCAAAGGACATAATTTTGTTCTTTTTCATGGCTGTGTAGTTGAATATATTTTTTTTAAAGTTCAATATGGAGCTAACAACTGAATTAATTGTACTCTTGTAACGATCCAAAGAAAAATATTTCAAATAAATATAGTTCATTATATATTAACATTTATGTAATTCATGACATATTATTCATTTATAACATAGAAGTGGTAGTATTTATCATCCTAACAAAATAATATTTTTAAAGGAAAAAAACATTAACATAAAACCATAATCCTATGATCTCCAAATTTTAACTTTTTTCATATCTATTTTAGAAGGTTTTAATATTAGTGCATAACTTATTTTGTTTTACTTTTTTAAAAACCTAATGTCATATCAGAAGCATTTTCCTATAGTGTTGTAGTCTTCCTAATTAAAATTGTAATGGCTACATATTATTCCTTGGAGTTGGTATGCCATATGTTATTTATGTTGGATATTTAGCTTGTTTCTGATTCTTATAATTAGTAGTAGTAAAGAAGTAAGCAAAAATGAAGTTATTTTTCTGGTTAATTTAGTGAAACACACTCCATTATTCTGTCTTTCCCTGTGAATGCCACTGAAATTCCCATACAGGATGTATGAAAGAACTATCTGAGATTCTGCAAAGTAAATGGGAGCAGGTGAATTGTGAAAGAAAACTGAAATCTGAAGTACAGCCAGTCCTCCAGAGTATTTGGCAAATTATTTTTCTTCTGTATCTCTTATCATGGACTAACAGGCAGTATAAAGTCCAAAACTGTGTAATGAATATTGACAAAAAGAACTCCAAGAGAACCCCTACTTTTCAACCAAGGACAGGAATAAGAATACCTATAGAGATAGAGGAAGCAGGAAAAATTTTCTGTGGTTTTGATTTTTATTTCTTTCTGACTCCAGCCTCAAGGCAAATCCATTCTCTAAGGTACAAAATCTTCATGGTGACAACAGCAATGGTAACTAAGCAGGAAACTAAAATTCTGAAAGGAGGTTTTTTTTTTCAATTTGAGCAAAGGAGTTCTGGTCTGAAGAATATGAGTGCAAACTATAAAAATTGACTTTTTTAAAAAAGAAAACCGTAGATTTTCAAATCCAACTTGAGGGATATTATACAAAATGCCCAATAACACTCCTCAAAACTGTCAAGGTCATCAAAAACAAAGAAAGTCTAAGAATCTGTCAAAGTCAGCTTTTGGAGACGTGACATTGAATTTAATGAAGATGGGATCTTGGAACAGAAAAAGACATTACATTAAAAAAAGAAAATCTGATAAAGGGATCACATATGTAGGTTTTTCTTTTCTCTTACTAGTATGTTCCCCATGGCTTAGCTTGGAGGCAGGCCCAGTTCCAGGAAGTGCATGACATTGTGAGGAGAATAAAAAGCCCTGGAATTTTAATCAGAGGACCAAAAAGTGTGTCCCTTGAATCTGGAGAGTGCCAAGGTAACCACAAAGAGAAAGGAGTTTAAGGAAGGGATGCCATGAATTTGCTTGTGAATTTGTGAGTTTACTCTCAAGATGTACATGTGTGGATCCATCCCTAAAAAACACACAAAAGACATTGACAACTGAATTACAAAGTAGAATACTGCCTGGGTTCAAGACTGGACCCTGAGTGATGTACACATGGAAGAAATCTGAATAGCATTGCAAAGGCTTTGAAAATTAAAATGACATTGGAATCACAGTCCACAAAAGTGTGTGGGAAATTAGGAGCTAAAGTCTGCAAAACAAACAAAAACTTATTAGCATTCTAAGAATTAGAACAAGACCTAAAATTTTATAATATATTTTAAATGTCCAGTCTACAATTAAAAAGTACTCAGCATATAAAGAACTAGGAAAATCTCAACCACTCACACTTTAAAAAGCAATCAACATGGCACATGTATACATATGTAACAAACCTGCACATTGTGCACATGTACCCTAAAACTTAAAGTACAATAATAAAAAAGTAAATAAATAAAAAATAAATAAAAATCAATCAAAATATGCCAACTCTGAGATGACCTAGATTTTACAATTACCAGAAAAATATTTAAGTAGTGATTATGATGAAGTAGAGGATAACACTCTGGAAATAAATGGAAAGATAGAAAAGCTTAGCAGAGAAATAGAAGCTATAAAACAGAAAAAAGCAGCAATTTTAGACCTGAAAAATACAACAACTGAAACAAAACATTCACTGAAAGCACTCACATTAGAGATAACAGATAAATGTGTTAGTGAATCTGAAGATAGAGCAATATAAATCACCCAATCTGAAGAAAAAAGAGAAAAGTAAGCAGAGGCTCAGGTAATGTGGGACAATAGCAAAAGGTCTAAAATTTGTGTATCAGAGTTCCAGAAGGGAAAAGAAAAAAGCAATGAGAAAAAAAATATATGTTTGAATAAATAATGGCTGAAAAAATCCTAAAATTGGTGGAAGACCTAAGCTTACAGATCCAATGAGCTCAGCCAAATCTCAAATGAATAAACTTAAAAAATCGACACCTAGAAACATTATAATCAAATGGCTAAAAACCAAAGGTAAAGAAAAAATATTGAAAGCAGTGAGAGAAAAAAGATGCATTTCTTATGGTGTAACAAAAATTCAAAGGACTTCAAATTTCTCATCAGAAACCATGGAAGCAATGCAATATCATTAAAGTTATTAAATACTCATCAACCTAGAATTCCATACCCAGTGAAAATAAGCTTTAAGAATGAAGCTGAAATAAAGACATTCTCAGAAGAATGTCTAATAAAAGAATTATCACCAGAAGACTGGCTCTAAAAGAAATGATATAAAAAAGTTCTTGAGAGATAAGAAAAATAATTCCAGGGAGTAACTTGGGACATCAGGGATGAAAAAAAAGCAACAAAAATATAAATATCTGTGTTAATATAATAAACTATTTTTCTGTTTTTAACTTTATTAAAATATGTACTTTTTCTAGGTTTTTGAGGAACCTCCATACTGTTTTCCATGGTGGCTGCACTAATTTACATACCCACTAACAGTGTACAAGTATATACAATGGACTATTATTCAGTCTGTTTTCATATTTTCACCAGCATCTATTTTGTTGTCTTTTTGACAAAGTCCATTTTAACTGGAATGGGAAAATAACTCATTGTATTTTTTATTTGCCATACCCTGATGATTACTAACATTGAGAATGTTTTCATACACTTTTTGGCCATTTGTATGTCTTCTAAGAAAATGTTTATTCAGATCTTTTGCCCATTTGATTTGTCCAAATTGATGACATGAATCACGTAATTCTGGTTATTAATCATTATCAGATGAATAATTTGAAAACATTTTCTTGTGATCTGTAAGTTGTGTATTCCCTTTATTGATTGCTTTCTTTGCTTCTCAGAAGCTTTTTAACTTGATATAATTCCACAAGTTTATATTTGTTTCTGTTGCCTGTGCTTTCGAGATTTTATCTGAAAAATCTTTGCCCAGACCAACGTACTGAAGTGATCTCTCAAAGTTTTCTCTCAGTAGTTTCATAATTTCAGGTCTTAGATTTAAGTATTTAATCCATTTTGATTTGATGTTTGTATATGGTGAGAGATAGATGTCTAATTTAATTCTTCTCTATATGCTTATTCAATTTTCATGGCACCATTTATTGAAGAGACTACTTTCCCCAATATATGTTCTTGGCACCTTTGTGAAAAGCCAGTTGGCTGTAAGTATGTAGATTTATTTCTCAGTTCTCTATTTTGTTCCATTGGATTATGTGTCTGTTTCTGTGCCAGTACCATGATGTTTTGATTACTATAGCTTTGTAGTATATGTTAAAGTCAGATAGTGTGATGCTTTCAGCTTAGTTCATTTTATTCAGGATTGCTTTGGCTATTCAGAGTCTTTTTTGGTTCCCTACAAATTTTTAAATTGTTTTTTTTATTTTACTATGAAGAATGTCATTGGTATTTTGATAGAGATTGTGTTGAATTTGTAAATTGCATTGGATAGTATGGCCATTTAAAAAATATTGTTTCAATCCATGAACATGGGATATCTTTTCATTTCTGTGTTCTCTTCAATTTATTATACCAATGTTTTATAATATTTCTGCCAAAAATCTTTAACTTATTTGGTTAAATCCATTTCTGCTTTTTTTATTTTTTTATTTTTATTTTTTAAGATGGAGTCTCACACTGTTGCCTAGGCTTGAGTGCAGTTGTGCAATCTCAGCTCACTGCAATGTCTGCCTCCTGGGTTCAAGTGATTGTCCGGCCTCAGTCTCCTGAGTAGCTGGGATTACCAGCACACAGCACCATGCCTGGCTAATTTTTGTATTTTTAGTAGAGACAGGGTTTCACCATGTTGGCCAGGCTGGTCTCAAACTCCTGGCCTCAAGTGATCCACCAGCCTCGGCCTCTCAAAGTGCTGGGATTACAGGCATGCACCACTGCACCCAGCCAATTTATGGGTATTTTTTATTTATGTAGTTATTATAAATGGGATTTTTTGGTTTCTTTTTTAATATGTTAAGGATCAATATGTTAAAGATATATCAGAACTCTCATATTTGTTGCAGCACTATTCACAAAGCCAAGATATAAAATCAACCTAAATGTCCATCAATAAACGAATAAAGAAAATATGGTATATATACACAATGGAATGTTAATGGGCCACAAAATAAAGAATGAAATCCTGTCATTTGCAGCAACATGGATGAAACTAGAGGTCATTATGTTAAGTGAAGTAAGGCACATAAAGACAAATATCACATGTTCTTTCTCATATGTGAGAACTAAAAAACGTGTATCTCATGGAGGTAGAGAGTAGACTGATGGTTACCAAAGTCTGAGAACGGTTTGGACAGGTGGGGAAGTGAGGAAAGATGAAGAGAGGGTACAAAAATACAGTTAGATAGAAGAAATAAGATCTAGTGTTTGGTAGATCAATAGGGTGGCTATAATTAACAATAATTTATTTTATATTTCAAAATAGCTAGAAGAATTCAAATGTTCCCAACACAAGAAAAAGATAAGTGTTTGAGGTGATGAATATCCCAGTTACTCTGGTTAGATCATTACATCTTATATACCGGTGAGGGCTTTACGCTGCTTTCACTCTTGGTGGAAGACCAAGAGGAACCACCATGCAGAGATCACATGGTGAGAACAGAGAGAGAGAGCAGGGGGAGGTGCCAGGCTCTTTTCAACAACCAGCTCTCAGGGCACTATCCCAGGCACTAGTGTAGCAAGAACCCATTCATTACCACGAGGATGACAAAAAACCATTAATGAGAGATTTTCCCGCATTACTTAAACACCTCCCATTAAGCTCTATCTCTAACACTGGAGATCACATTTCAACATGAGACTTAGTGGGGTCAAAAAAACATATATCCAAACCATAGCAGTGACCTTTTGAGACTGGCTTATTTTTTACCCAGTATAATGCCTTTGAGATTCGTCCAAGTTGTTGTACATATGCATAATTCATTTTTTTATTGCTGAGTGGTATTCTATTGTATGAATGTACCACAGTTGTTTATTTACTCACACATTGAAGGGCAGTATATTTACGCTTAACTTTTGCAGTCTACTCAGAATTAAGATTTTACCACTTCGAATGCAATGTAGAAACCTCACCAACATATGAGTCCATATATCCTTCCTCTTTATGTTTCAGTTTTCATATATATGACATGTATATAATTCAAAACTCCACCGAATCATGTTATCATTTTTCCTTTCAATAATCATGCATATTTTTATTGATACATAAAGGTTGTGTGTGTATATTTGGGAATACATGTGATCTCTGCATGCTGTCACTTTTTTGCCTTCCACTATGAGTGGAAGCATCCAGAAGCCCTCACTAAAAGCAAATGTCACATGCTTGATTCTTACACATCCTGCAGAATCATGAGCTAAATAATCCTCTTTTCATTATACATTACCCAGCCTCAAGTATTGCCTTATAGCTGCACAAAGACTGATTAAGACAGTTACATACAGTATTATCCATTTATATAACACTCTTGAAATGACAAAATTATAGAGATAGAGAACAACTCAGTCATTCCCACATTGTGGCAATGGGGGGAAGGGTTGGGTGTGATTGTAAAGAGGTAACACAAAGGAGATCTTTACATTGATGAAATATTGAGTGCAATGATGTTTACACTAATCTACACATAATAAAATGACATAGAACTATATACATATATATGTGTTCTATCAATATCAAATTATTGGTTTTGATACTGTGCTATCATTAGGTAAGATGTAAACACTAGAGAGAACTGGATGAAGGGTACAGTCATTCTTGAAGAAACGTATCTTTGGAAGTGAATGTCCATCATAGTTTCAACATACACACACACATATAGGAAATCTAAAAAATATATAATTAACATTAAATACATTAAAATATTGGGGGATCTGGCAAGATGGCCTAATAGGAACAGCTCTGGTCTGCAACTCCCAATAAGACCAATGCAGAAGGCAGGTGACTTCTGCATTTCCAACAGAGGTACCCTGTTCATCTCATTGGGACTAGTTAGGCAGCGGGTGCAGCCCAGGGAGGGTGAGCAGAAGCAAGGTGAGGTGACTTCATGTGGGAAGGGCAAGGAGTGGGGGGTCCTCTCTCCCCCAGCCAACGGATGCCATGAGGGACTGTCCTATCCAGTCCAGATACTACGCTTTTCCAAAGGGTTTTGCAATCTGCATAACAGGAGATTCCCTCATGTGCCTGCACCACCAAGGCCTTGGGTTTCAAGCAAAAAACTGAGTGGCTGTTTGGGCAGACACCGAGATAGCTGCAGGAGTATTTTATCATACCCCAGTGGTGCCTGGAACCCCAGTGAGACAGAACTGTTCACTCCACTGGAAAGAGGGCTGAAACCAGGGAGCCAAGTGGTCTCACTCAACGGGTCCCATTCCCACGGATACCAGCAAGCTAAGAACCACTGGCTTGAAATTCTCACTGCCAGCACAGCAGTCTGAAGTTGACCTGGGATGATCGAACTTGGTGTGGGGAGGGATATCCGCCATTACTGAGTCTTGAGTAGGTGTTTTTTCTCTGACAGTGCTAAAGAGGCCTGGAAGTTGGAACAGGGTGGAACGCAATACAGTGTGGCAAAGCAGCTGTGGCCAGACTGCGTCTCTAGATTCCTCCTCACTGGGCAGGGCATCTCTGAAAGAAAGGCAGAAGACCCAGTCAGGGGCTTATAGATAAAACCCCCCGTATCCCTTGGACAGAGCACCTGGCGGGAGGGGTGGCTGTGGGCGCAGCTTCAGAGGACTTAAACGTTCCTGCCTGCTGGCTCTGAAGACAGCAGGTGCTCCTGAGGAGGAGGTTTATCCCAGCACAGTGCTCCAGCTCTGCTAAGGAACAGACTGCCTCCTCAAGTGGGTCCCTGACCCCTGGGCCTCCTGACTGGGAGAGGCATCACAACAGGGGTTGACAGACACCTCATACAGGGGAGCTCCAGCTGGTATCAGGCCGGTGCTGCTCTGGGAGGAAGCTTCTGGAGGAAAGAGCAGGCAGCAATCTTTGCTGTTCTGAAGCCTCTGTTGGTGATTCCTAGGCAAACAAGGTCTGGAGTGGACCTCCAGCAAACTGCAGCATACCTGCAGAAGAGAGGCCTGTTAGAACAAAAACTAAAAAACAGAAAGAAATAACATCAACATCAGCAAAAAGGACCCTCCCACAAAAACCCCACCTTTGAGGTCATCAGCCTTAAAGATCGAAGGTAGATAACCCCATGAAGATGAGGAAAAATGAACACAAAAATGAAGAAAATTCCAAAAACCAGAATGTGTCCTCTCTTCCAAATAATCGCAACTCCTCTGTAGCAAGGGCACAAAATGAGATGGAGAATGAGTTTGACGAATTCACAGAAGTAGGATTCAGAAAGTGGATAATAACAAACTCCTCTGAGCTAAAGGAACATGTTCTAACCCAATGGAAGGAAGCTAAGAACCCTAACAAAAAGTTACAAGAACTGCTAACTAGAATAACCAGTTTAGAGAAGAACATAAATGACCTGATGGAGCTGAAAAACACAGCACAAGAACTTCATGAAACATACACAATCAACAATAGCCAAATCGGAAGAAAAGTTATTAGAGATTGAAGATCAACTTAATGAAATAAAGCATGAAGACAAAACTAGAGAAAAAAGAGAATGAAAAAGAACGAACAAAACCTCCGACTAATATGGAACTGTGTGAAAAGGCCAAACCTACATTTTGGCTGGTGTACCTGAAAGTGACAGGGAAAATGGAACCATGTAAGAAAACATACTTCAGGATATTATCCCAGAGAACTTCCCCAACCTAGAAAGACAGGCCAATATTAAAATTCAGGAAATACAGAGGACACCAGTAAGATTCTCCTCTAGGAAAGTAACCCCAAGACACATAATTTTCAGATTCTCCAAGGTTAAAACAAAGGAAAAAATGTTAAGGTCAGCCAGAGAGAATGGTCAGGTTACTTACAAAGGGAAGACCATCAGACTAACAGTGGGTCTCTCTGCAGAAACCCCACAAGCCAGACGAGAGTGGGGGCCAACATTCAACATTCTTAAAAAAAAGAAAAAGAATTTTCAACCCAGAATTTCATATCCAGCCAAACTAAGCTTCAAAAGTAAAAGAGAAATAATATCCTTTACAGAAAAGCAAATGCTAAGGGATTTTGTCACCATCAGGCCTGCCTTAGATGAGCTCCTGAAAAAAGCACTAAATATGGAAAGGAAAAACCAGTACCAGCCACTGCAAAAAACACACCGAAATATAAAGACCAACCACACAATGAAGAAACTGCATCAACTAATGTGCTAAATAACTAGCTAACCTCAAGATGACAGCATCAAATTCACACAAAACAATATTAACCTTAAATGTAAATGGGCTCCATCAATACCTAGTTTATTGAGAGTTTTTAGCATGAACGGCTGTTGAAGTTTCTCGAAGGCCTTTTCTACATCTACTGAGATAATCATGTAGTTTTTGTCATTGGTTCTGTTTATGTGAAGGATTACATTTATTGATTTGCGTATGTTGAACCAGCCTTGCATCTCAGGGATGAAGCAGACTTGATAGTGTTGGATAAGCTTTTTGATGGGCGGCTGCATTTGGTTTGCCAGTATTATACTGAGGATTTCTGCATCGATGTTCATCAGTGATATTGACCTAAAATTCTCTTTTTTTGTTCTGTCTCTGCCACGCTTTGGTATCAGGATGATGTTAGACTCATAAAATGCATTAAGGAGGATTCCCTCTTTTTCTATTGATTGAAATAGTTTCAGAAGGAATGGTACCAGCTCGTTTTTGTACCTCTGGTGGAATTTGGCTGTGAAGTCATTTGTTCCTGGGCTTTTTTTGGTTGGTAGGCTATTAATACTTCCTCAATTTCAGAACCTGTTATTGGTCTATTCAGAGATTCAACTTCTTCCTGGTTTAGTCTTGAGAGGGAGTATGTGTCCAGGAATTTATCCATTTTGTCTCTATTTTCTAGTTTATGTGCGTAGAGGTGTTTATAGTATTCTCTGATGGTAGTTTGTATTTCTATGGGATCAGTGAGGTGATATCCCCTTTATCATTTTTATTGTGTCTCAAAATTATAAGAGCTATTTATGACAAACCCACAGCCAATATCATACTGAATGGGCAAAAACTGGAAGCATTCCCTTTGAAAACTGACAAAAGACAAGGATGCCCTCTCTCACCACTCCTATTCAACGTAGTGTTGGAAGTTGTGGCTAGGGCAATCAGGCAAGAGGAAGAAAAAAAGGGTATTCAATTAGGAAAATAGGAAGTCAAATTGTCTGTTTGCAGATGACATGATTGCATATTTAGAAAACCCCATCATCTCAGCCCAAAATCTCCTTAAGCTGATAAGCAAATTCAGCAAAGTCTCAGGATACAAAATCAATGTGCAGGTGGGAATTGAACAATGAGAACACATGGACACAGGAAGGGGAACATCACACACCGGGGACTGTTGTGGGGTGGGGGGAGAGGGGAGGGATAGCATTAGGAGATATACCAAGTGCTAAATGACGAGTTAATGGGTGCAGCACACCAACATGGCACATGTATACATATGTAACAAACCTGCACGTTGTGCACATGTATCCTAAAACTTAAAGTATAATAATAAAAATAAAAAACACAAGCATTCATATACACCAATAATAGACAGAGAGCCAAATCATGAGTGAACTCCCATTCACAACTGCTTCTAAGAGAATAAAATACCTAGGAATCCAACTTACAAGGGATGTGAAGGACCTCTTCAAGGAGAACTACAAACCACTGCTCAATGAAATAAAAGAGGACACAAACAAACAGAAGAACATTTCATGTGCATGGATAGGAAGAATCAATATCATGAAAATGGCCATACTGCCCAAAGTAATTTATAGATTCAATGCTATCCCCATCAAGCTACCACTGACTTTCTTCAAAGAATTAGAAAAAATTACTTTAAAGTTTGTATGGAACCAAAACAGAGCCTGCATAGCCAAGACAATCTTAAGCAAAAGGAACAAAGCTGGAGGCATCATGCTACCTGACTTCAAACTATACTACAAGGCTACAGTAACCAAAACTGCATGGTACTCATACCAAAACAGATATATAGACCAATGGAACAGAACAGAGGCCTCAGAAATAATGCCACATATCTACAACCATCTCCATCTGGTCTTTGACAAACCTGACAAAAACAAGAAATGGGGAAAGGATTCCCTATTTAATAAATGATGCTGGGAAAACTGGCTAGCCATATGTAGAAACCTGAAACTGGATCCCTTCCTTACACGGTATACAAAAATTAACTCAAGATGGATGAAAGACTTAAATGTAAGACCTAACACCATAAAACCCCTAGAAGAAAACCTAGGCAATACCATTCAGGACATAGCCATGGGCAAAGACTTCATGACTAAATCACCAAAAGCAATGGGAACAAAAACCAAAATTGACAAATGGGAACTAATTCAACTAAACAACTTCTGCTAAGCAAAAGAAACTATCATCAGACTGAACAGGCAACCTACAGAATGGGAGAAAATATTTGCAATCTACCCATCTGACAAAGGGCTAAGATCCAGAATCTACAAAGAACTTAAACAAATTTACAAGAAAAAAACAAACAACCCCATCAAATTTGGGCAAAGGATATGAACAAACACCTCTCAAAAGAAGAAATTTCTGCAGCCAACAGACATACGAAAAAAATGCTCATCATCACTGGTCATCAGAGAAATGCATATCAAATCCACAATGAGATTCCATCTCACACCAGTTAGAATGGCAATCATTAAAAAGTCAGGAAACAACAGATGCTAGAGAGGATGTGGAGTAATAGGAATGCTTTTACACTGCTGGTGGGAGCGTAAATTAGTTCAACCATTGTGGAAGACAGTGTGCCAATTCCTCAAGGATCTAGAATAGAAATACCATTTGACCCAGCAATCCCATTACTGGGTATACACACAAAGGATTACAAATCATGCTACTATAAAGACACATGCACATGTATGCTTCTTGTGGCACTATTCACAATAGCAAAGACTTGGAACCAACCCAAATGTCCATCAATGATAGACTGGATTAAGAAAATGTGGCACATATACACCACGGAATATTATGCAGCCATAGAAAAGGATGAATTCATGTCCTTTGCAGGGACATGGATGAAGCAGGAAACCATCATTCTAAGCAAACTATCACAAGGACAGAAAATGAAACACCACATGTTCTCACTCATAGGTGGGAGTTGAACAACATGAAAACATGGACACAGAGTGGGGAACATCACACATTGGAGCCTGTCAGGGAGAGGGGGGCTGGGGGAGGGATAGCATTAGGAGAAATACCTAATGTAAATGACAAATTGATGAGTGCAGCAAATCAACATGGCACATTTATACCTATGTAACAAACCTGCATGTTGTGCACATGTACCCTAGAACTTAAGGTATAATAATAATAAAAGAAAAGTCCACCTTCAGTGCAAAAAAAATCTAAAAAAAAAAAAATGTAAATGGGCTAAATGCCCCAATTAAAAGACATAGACTGGCAAATCGGATAAAGTGTCAAGACACATTGGTGTGCTGTATCAGGAGACCCATCGCACACACAAGGACACATAGGCTTAAAGGGATGTAGAAATATTCACCAAGCAAGTAGAAAGCAAATAAAAGCAGGAGTTGCAATCCTAGTCTCTGATAAAACAGATTTTAAACCAACAAAGATCAAAAAAGACAAAGAAGGGCATTACATAATAGTAGAGGGATCAATGCAACAAAAAGAGTTATCATAAATATATATGCACCTAACACAGTAGCACCCAGATTCGTAAAACAAGTTTTTACAGACCTACAAAGGGATATAGACTCCCACACAATAAGAGTGGAGGCTTCCAACACCCCACTGTCAGTATTAGACAGATCAACGAGGCAGAAAATTAACAAGTATATTCAGGACTTGAACTCAGCTCTAGAACAAATGGACCTAATAGACATCTACAGAACTTTCCACCCCAAATCAACAGAATATATATTCTTATCAGCACCACATAGCACTTATACTAAAACTGACCACAAAATTTGAAGGAAAACACTCCTCAGTAAATGCAAAAGAAAGGAAATCATAACAAACCGTCTCTCAGACTACAGTGCAATCAAATTAGAACTCAGGATTAAGAAACTCACTCAAAACTGCACAACTACAGGTAAACAAAACAGCCTGCTCCTGAATGACTGCTGGGTAAATTAAGGCAGAAATAATGAAGTTCTTTGAAACCAATGAGAACAAAGATACAATGTATCAGAATCTCTGGGACACAGTTAAAGCAGTATTAAGAGGGAAATTTATAGCACTAAATGCCCACATCAGAAAGTGGGAAAGATCTAATATCAACACCCTAATATCACAATTAAAAGAACTAGAGAAGCAATAGCAAACAAATTCAAAAGCTAGCCGAAAACAAGAAATAACTAAGATCAGAGCAGAACTGAAGGAGGTAGACACACGAAAAACCCTTCAAAAAACTCAATAAATCCAGGAGCTGGTTTTTTTTTAAAGATTAACAAGATAGATAGACCACTAGCCTGACTCATAAAGAACAAAAGAGAGAAGATTCAAATAGACACAAAAATAATGATAAAAGGGATATCATCACTGATCTCACAGAAATAGAAACTACCATCAGAGAATACTATAAACACCTCTATGCACGTAAACTAGAAAACGTAGACAAAATGGATAAATTCCTGGACACATACACTCTCCCAACCCTAAAGCAGGAAGAAGTCGAATCCGTGAATAGACCAATAACAAGTTCTGAAATTGAGGCAGTAATTAATACCCTACCAACCAAAAAAAGCCCAGGAACAAATGAATTCACAGCCAAATTCTACCAGAGGTACAAAGAGGAGCTGGTACCACTCCTTCTGAAACTATTACAAACAATAGAAAAAGAGGGACTCCTCCCTAACTCATTTTGTGAGGCCAGCATCATCCTGATACCAAAGCCTGGCAGAGACACAACTAAAAAAGAAAATTTCAGGCCGGTATTCCTCATGAACATCCATGCAAAAATCCCAAATAAAATGCAGGCAAAGTGAATCCACCAGAATAGCAAAAACTTATCCACCACGATCAGGTCTGCTTCATCCCTGGGATGTAAGGTTGGCTTAACATATGCAAATCAATAAACGTAATCCATCACATAAACAGAACCAATGACAAAAACCACATGATTATCTCAACAGATGCAGAAAAGACCTTCGATAAAATTCAACACCCCTTCATGTTAAAACTCTCAATAAGCTAGGCAGTGATGGAACATATCTTAAAATAATAAGAGATATTTTTGACAAACCCATAGCCAATATCATACTGAATGGACAATGGCTGAAAGCATTCCCTTTGAAAACCAGCACAAGACAAGGATTCCCTCTCTCACCACTCCTATTCACCATAGTATTGGAAGTTCTGACCAGAGCAATCAGTCGAGAGAAAGAAATAAATGGTATTTAAATAGGAAGAGAGGAAGTCAAATCATCTCTGTTTGCAGATGACATGATTGTATATTTAGAAAACCCCATCATCTCAGCCCCAAAACTCCTTAAGCTGATAACCAACTTCAGCAAAGTCTCAGGATACAAAATCAATGTGCAAAAATTACAAGTATTCCTATACAAAAATAATAGACAAGCAGAGAGCCAAATCATGAGTGAACTCTCATTCACAATTACTACAAGGAAAATAAAAAACCTAGGAATAAAACTTACAAGTGACATGAACAACCTCTTCAAGGAGAACTATAAACCACTGCTCAAGGAAATAAAAGAGGACATGAACAAATGGAAAAAAATTCCATGCTCTTGAATAGGAAGAATCAATATTGTGAAAATGGCCATACTGTCCAAACTAATTTATAGATTAAATGCTATCCCCATCAAGCTACCACTGACTTTCTTCACAGAATTAGAAAAAAAAGCTACTTTAAATTTCATATGGAACGAAAAAAGAGCCTGTATAGCCAAGACAATCCTAAGCAAAAAGAACAAAGCTGGAAGCATCACGCTACCTGACTTCAAACTATACTACAAGGCTACAGTAACCAAAACATCATGGTACTGGTAGCAAATCAGGTATGTAGACCAATGGAACAGAACAGAGGCCTCAGAAATAACACCACACATCTACAACCACCTGATTTTGACAAATCTGACAAAAGCAAGCAATGGCGAAAGGACTCCCTATTTAATAAATGGTGTTGAGAAAACTGGCTAACCATATGCAGAAAACTGAAACTGGAACCCTTCCTTACACCTTATACAAAAATTAATTCAAGATGGATTAAAGACTTAAATGTTAGACCTAAAACCATAAAAACCCTAGAAGAAAACCTAGGCAATACTTTTCAGGACACAGGCATGGGCAAGGACTTCATAACTAAAACACCAAAAGCAATGGCAACAAAAGCCAAAATTGACAAATGAGATCTAATTAAACTAAAGACCTTCTGCACAGCAAAAGAAATTTTCATCAGTGTGAACAGGAAACCTACAGAATGGGAAAATATTTTTGTAATCTATCCATCTGACAAAGTCTAATATCCATAATATACAATAAACTTAAATTTACAAGAACAAAAAACAACCCCATCAAAAAGTGGGCAAAGGGTATGAACAGACACTTCTTGAAAGAAGACATTTCTGTGGCCAACAAACATACAAAACAACCGTGTTCCACTCCAATGTTAAAATGGGAATAAAGAGGTTCAGAGAGGGGAAGGGACTTGCTCAAAACCCAACAGTCTGTAAAATAATTGAATTCCATTTTTCTACCAATATTGCCTCAACTCTTTTTATATATACATTCTTGTTTTGTTTTTATCTTTTCATTTTTCATTTCCATAGGTTTTTGGGGAATATGTTATATTTGGTTACATGAGTAAGTTCTTTAGTGGTGATTTGTGAGATTTTGGTGCACCCATCTCCTGAGTATTACACAATGAAATCAAACTGTAGTCATTTATCATTCACCCCCTTCCCACCCTTTGTCCCTGAGTCCCCAACGTTCATTGTGTCATTCTTATCCCTTTGCATCTTCATAGCTTAACTCCCACTTATGAATGAGAACATATGATGTTTTGTTTTCCATTCCTGAGTTACTTAGAATAATAGTCTCCAATCCTATCCATGTTGCTGCAAATGCCATTAATTCATTCCTTTATATGGCTGAGTATTATTCCATTATAAATATAAATATAATGGAATGCTACTCAGTCATAAAAACGCTTTATCCACTCATTGATTGACTTGCATTTGGGTTGGTTCCACATTTTTGCAATTGTAAATTGTGCTGCTATAATTATGCGTGAGCAAGTATCTTTTTCATATTATAACTTATTTTCCTCTGGGTATATACCCAATAGTGGGATTGCTGGATCAAATGATAGTCCTACTTTTAGTTCTTCAAAGAATCTTCACACTGTTTTCCATAGTGGTTCTACTAGTTTACATTCCCACCAGCAGTGTAGAAATGTTTTTGTTCACTATATTCATGCCAATATCTATTATTTTTTGATTTTTTGATTATGGCCATTCTTGTGGGAGTAAGATGGTATCTATTGCATTGCACTTTTGATTTACATTTCCCTAATCCTTAGTGATGTTGAGCATTTTTTCATATTTTTGTTGGCTATTTGTATATCTTCTTTTGAGAATTGTCTATTTATGTCCTTAGCCAACTTTTCAATGTGATTGTTTATTTTTCTTGCTAATTTGTCTGAGTTCATTGGACATTCTGGATGTTAGTCCTTTGTCAGATGTACTGATTTTGAAGATTTTCTCCCACTCTGTGGGTTGTCTATTTACTCTGCTGACTGTTCCTTTTGCTGTGCAAAAGCTGTTTAGTTTAATTAAGTCTCAACTATTTATCTTTGTTTTTAATGCATTTGCTTTTGGGTTCTTGGTCATGAAATCCTTGCCTAAGCCAACGTCTAGAACGGTTTTTCTGATATTATATTCTAGAATTTTCATAGTTTCAGGTCTTAGATTTAAGTCCTTGATCCATCTTGTGTTGATTTTTGTGTAAGGTGAGAGATGAGGATCCAGTTTCATTCTTCTACATGTGGCTTTCCAATTATCGCAGCACCATTTGTTGAATAGGGTATGCTTTCCCCACTTTATGTCTGTGTTTGCTTTGTTGAAGATCAGTTGGCTGTAACTGTTTGGGTTTATTTCTGGGATCTCTATTCTGTTCCATCCGTCTCTGTGTCTATTTTTATACCAGTACCACACTGTTTTGGTTACTATGGCTTTATAGTATAGTTTGAAATGGGTAATGTGATGCCTCCAGATTTTTTCTTTTACTTAGCCTTTCTTTGGCTATGTGGGGTCTTTTTTGGTTCCATATGACTTTTAGGATTGTTTTTTCTAGTTCTGTGAGGAATTATTATGGCATTTTGATGGGAATTGCTTTGAATTTGTAGATTGCTTTTGGCAGTATGGTCATTTTCACAATATTGATTCTACCCATCCATGAGCATGGGATATGTTTTCATTTATTTGTATTGTCTGTGATTATTTTCAGCAGTGTTTTGTAGTTTTCCTTGTAGAGGTCTTTCACCTCCTTGGTTAGGTATATTCCTAAGTATTGTATTTTACTGTATTGTATTGTATTGTATTGTATTGTATTGTATTGTATTGTATTGTATTGTATTGTATTGTATTTTTTGCAGCTATTGTAACAGGAGTTGAGTTATTGATTTAATTCTCGGTTTGGTCGCTGTTGGTGTATAGGATAGCTACTGATAGTGAAATAAAATTGGAAATCCACTCCAAAAAGAACTTTCAAAACTATGCACATACATGGAAATTAAATAACCTACGCCTGAATGATCACTGGGTCAACAATGAAATCAAGATGAAAATTAAAAAATTCTTTGAGCTGAATGACAATAGTGACACAACCTATCAAAACCTCTGGGACAGAGCAAAGGCAGTGCTAAGAGGAAACTTCACAACCCTAAATGCCTATATCAAAAAGTTTGAAAGAGCACAAACAGACAATCTAAGGTCACATCTAAAGGAATTAGAGAAACAAGAATAAACCAAACTCAAACCCAGCAGAAGAAAGGAAATAACCAAGATCAGAGCAGAACTAAATGAAATGGAAACAAAAAAAAATACAAAAGAAATGCTGGCTAACAGAATTCAGCAACGTATCAAAAAGATAATTCATCGTGATCAAGTAGGTTTCATACCAAAGAAGCAGGGATGGTTTAACATACACAAGTCAATACATGTGATATACCATGTAACAGGATTTAAAACAAAAATCACATGATCATCTCAAAAGATGCAGAAAAAGCATTTGACAAAATCCAGCATCCCTTTATGATTAAAACTCCTAGCAAAACCGGCATACAAGGGGCATACCTCAATGAAATAAAAGCCATCTATGACAATCCTACAGCCAACATAATACTGAATGGGGAAAAGTTGAAAGCATTCCCTCTGAGAACAAGATAAGGATGCCCACTCCATTTCTGTTCAACATAGTACTGGAAGTCCTAGCCAGAGCAATCAAGACAAGAGAAGGAAATAAAGGGCATCCAAATCTGTAAAAAGGAAGTCAAACTGCTGCTGTTTGCTGATGATATGATTGTATACCTAGAAAACCCAAAAGACTCCTCCAACAAGCTCCTAGAACTGATAAAAGAATTCAGCAAAGTTTCCAAATAGAAAATTATATACACATTCTTATATACTGACAGATTCTTTACATTTAGATGTTAATGGAATTCCCTGTTGCCTCAACCCCTTTTGTATACACATTCTTATATACTGACAGATTCTTTGCATTTAAATGTTAATGGGATTCCCTGTTTAACCATTCTCTAACTTTAGCAAAATGTTTCCAGATGAGAACAAGAGGCTCATAAAGGCAAAGTATCCTGTCCAAAATCTCACAATGAATTAGAGGTAGAGTTGAGACTAACTGCACAGTGTATTTGTAGAGAATGTCAAATGGTGACCTTTGGCCTAAGTGTGCCAAAAGAAAACCAGTGGCTCTCTGAGACCCACCAATATACCAAGTGAATGTCCATTTTTTCCTTGATGTTAATGAACTACAGATCTTAGTACTCAACCTGGCTTCTTGCTTCCTTTTGAGTATAGTAGCCAGGAACAGGTGGTTCCCAAGCCGCTTTTTCTACTAGGCGCGAGTGAAACAGACAAAGCCTGATGACAATAGGAATTATGAGATGATACAAGATTACTACTGCTTCCTGTTTTCTCTAAAGCCACGGATCCAGGCAAAATAAAAAGGCATTTACAGAGTATCTGACACATTTGTTTTGGGGTTTTGAGCAAGTCTGACCCTTCACTTTGTGTTCCATTCTATGTGAACTTCTCACTCTGTCTCCATTTCATTTTTTTCTCTCTTTCTCTCTCTCTCTCACACACACACACGCACACAAACACACACACTCACACACAAGCTGTGCTGTCTGTCCTGAAGCCTTTATCTTTGCTGATGCTACACCTGCTCGTCCCACAATCCCGACCTGTACCCATCTTCTCCTGAGAAAATCTGCTCACTCTTCAATGTCAGAATGTCATCTCTTAGGTTCCAGCTCCATGAAACCTTCCATGATTCTTTCAGCTGACAGCAAGCTCGTCCTCCTGTGATACTTCACAGCTCTTTCCTTGTACAATTCTTTAGCCTCAGTCCCTTTATGTTTAAGTTAGCATCTTGTACATTCAAGTATAAATATTTATTGAAAAAAACTAATGATCTTATTTGCTCAACACAACAACTGATATTGTTACCCGAAAGAGGTCCCAATACAGACCCCAAGAGAGGATTCTTGGATCTCGTGCAAGAAAGAATTAGGGGCAAATCCATAGAGCAAAGTGAAAGCAAGTTTGTTAAGAAGATAAAGGAATAAGAGAATGGCTACTCCATAGGTGGAGCAGCCCCGAAGCCTGCTGGTTGCCCATTTTTATGGTTATTTCTTGATGATATGCTAAACAAGGGGTGGATTATTCATATCTCACCTTTTTAGACCATATAGAGTAACTTCCTGATGTTGCCATAGCATTTGTAAAATGTCATGGCGCTGGTGGGAGTGTAGCAGTGGGGACGACCAGAGGTTACTCTCATTGCCATCCTGGTTTTGGTGGGTTTTAGCCAACTTCTTTACTGCAATCTGCTTTATCAGCAAGGTCTTTATGACCTGTATCTTGTGCTGACCTCCTATCTCATCCTGTGACTTAGGATGCCTAACTGATTGGGAATGCAGCCCAGTAGGTCTCAGCCTTATTTTACCTAGCCTCTATTCAAGATGAAGTTGCTCTGGTTTAAATGCCTTTGACAACATGGCAGGTAGAAAAAGGATCAACATTCCCATTTGACAGATAATAAAGTTCAGGTTCTGAGAGGTGAAAGGTCACATAGTTACTATGCAGAAGACACTAGACACAAGTCTGCTCTTCTATTTCTTCCTTTCACTCTATCTGGAAAATCAACAGCTATAAGGTTTCTCTCTTCAATATAACTTTGTCAAGATGATCCTAAAGCACCAAACACACACTAGATCTCCTAAAATGTTGGAAATATGGCTTGGAACCCAAATAGCAAGGCTTCGGTGTGGATTCAGGGACTTACGGAGCTGGGCTAAGCTTTCTCATGATCATCATTTTCTACAGCTAGTAATCAGCATTGCATAGCCAGAAAAGACTCTCACATTTATCTCGGACAACTGTGTAAATATAAAAACTGTAAGCTAAGGCTAATTTTTAAAAATGAAAGCTGTGGAAGGCTTTAGGAGGCTGAGTCTCCTCCCCTTCTCTTGTGCATAGACTAAAGCCTCTATTGTCCACTCCAAGGGAATAATGTTTTCAAACCTCCACAGCAGTTAGTATTGTCGTGCCCTTAGACCCTCATGCTGCTATTTTGTTACCCCAGGGAACGAGCCAAGTAGCACCAGTTTAATTGTCATGTTTAGAATGAGCATCCTCTTATGAAGAATTATTGGCCAGCTAGAAGGCTTATGGTCAGGAACTAAACACTATGCAATTGGCTTCCCAGGGTCCTCTTTCTTCTGAGGCTTGTTTGGAGTCAGAGCTGCATACTTCCCCAAAACAAATTTTGCAGCTGCCAGGAGCCAAGACAGCTGTGAAACAGTGAGATGGATTGGGCTCTGCCTCCTGCACCACTCCAAATCTCTGCCAGCACCAGTTTCTAGAACCTTTCCCACTAATGAAAGTACAAAGGGGAAAAAGTCGCGTTTGCTTTTCACAGTGCTGGCAGGACCTGGAAGCTTGGCACTTAAGTACTTCTCCTTGTTTCAATGTGTACCCTGAGTAGTTCAAAATGGGAATGACTAGAGATTAAATATGAGGCACTGGGGTAGTTTGGCTTTTCACAGATCCTCATATCTGGCCATAACTTCCCTAAGCTGTATCTAAACTGAAATCACCAACACCTGTTCTCACTGCAGCACACGATCTGAGAGAAGAGTTTCATATTTGCAAGGTCTCAGACATGCCTTTAAAATTTCATAATACTTCTTCTTGTGTTTCCCATGCTTGATGGGGCTCAGAATTGACAGTGTACATTTTCAGTAATACAGAGATGAGAAGGGTCAGAGAGGAAGTAAAGTGGCTAGGACTGGCTATGTAAATTGCCAAGGGGTGCAGTTCAAATGAAAATGTGAGACCTCTAATATAAAATTTCATGATGGGGATAATGGATCATGAAACTAATCGTGGGGCTTTGTGCGACACCACGGGACACTTGCCTACAAAGCCATCCCTACTCCCTGCTTAAACGGAGACAAGAACACATTGGTGATTCTCAAATGCAAACTGTCCCTTTACTGAAAACCTAATGAGTTTAATGCTTACTATACTGTAGTCCCTTATGTGCTGATTACATTGTGGAATGCTGCAGGGAGAAAAACAAATTCACCTAATGATGCTAAAGAACCATTAGGAGACTTTACTAGTTTAGGTCACAAGTGCCTAGAAATACAGAAATGATCTTTGACCTTTCCTCCATTTTTCAAAAGGACGCTATTTCTGTGAACCTCATTGACCTCTCCAGACAAAGTCCCAGATTGCCTTTGCCAAAGTTAACAACCCATCTTGGCTTCTTGCCATTTCTCATGTATTCACTAGATCAGTGCATGACTGCTGCTCTCAACCCACATCATGGGGCCAGAGCCTTCACTGGTTAATATTTATAAAAAAATACTTTGAAGATTAAATCCTTGGTCAGTAGAGAAAACACTAGACATGGATAGAACAAGAAATTGTGGGGTCTGGGCCTCCTCCCAGAACTGCCACCACCAGACAATGTTATCTTTGACAGATTTGTGGTATCTGGGTGGCTGTACTTTTCTTTTGGTGAAATAGCAAAAGCCAAAAAAAGAGACTGTAACATCTGATGGGATTTTGCCCAGCTCCAGTACTGAATTCCTGGGTTGCCTTAGAGGAAAGGTATTGACTGTTTCATCTCTTTGGCCCTCAGTATACTCCCCCAACCCAAATCCACCCCTCCGTCATACACACATCTTACTCTGGAAATGATTCTTAGCAGGAAAACATACTATTATGAGGAACATACTTAGCAGTGCTCTCATAACCCTGCCAAGGGCTGGCATTTTGATTTTGTTTGCACACAGAAACCTGTTTGACTGAAATCTGGAAAAAAAAAAAAAAAAAAAAGAAAAACCAGACACGGGAGAAAAATAAAAATCACAGTAGTTTTATACATACATTTGATTTCTAAGGCCAGATAACTGATTTTGTTACCATTTTCTATCCTGTTATTCTGGTGCTGCGAATGCACTAGCTAGAAGTAAAAGTTGTGGGGAAAGGAAGAAGTTGGTTCTGAGTTTATTTTCCCCAGGGTTTCTGAGGGAGTTCCACCCTCTCCCCTGAAAGGGAGTTGGGGCAAATCTATGTTTCTAATTCCACATCAAGTGTAACTATAGCCTGTTCAGAATATTCCTCTTTGAAACAGCACTTTGAGAACAGGGAGCTGCAGCAGTGCAAGACAGCTTGTGGTTGGCTTGGGACTTTAGCCTCAACCCAAATTTGGAACTGGGAACATCTCCAGTCAGCTCTATGGCTAGTCTCACCTTCCTGATCAGCCACTTGGGCGGGCTGTAAGCCTGGCTAAACCAGGTCACCTCAACATTTGTGTCAGGGCAAAGAGTGGAGGAGAGAAGGTGTTTCTTCAACTCCTGGCTTTTAGCTGTGCCTGGATGCCTGCATACTGTTAAAATTCAGCTGCCAGCCTTATCTTATCCGTAATCAGTTGAATTTATTACAATAATCTGATTTTAGAAGCCCCTGAGGCATGGCTTGAGGTCCTATATTGACTTAGGCCCTTGGCTCTGAGGCATTAGAGTCCTGAATTGACTTTAAAGAGGCATAGAAACATAGATGTCTACCAAAGGCTTCAAACTGGCCAACTCTCAGTCTATTTCAACATGCCCTACTGAGCCAATCACTCTGTGCCAAGCCAGTACTAAGAACTGGGGGGACAAAGTGGACTGAGTCTACTCCCTGCTCTTCAGAAGCTCAAAGGCTGTTTATGAAACCAGAGAAGTAAATATATGCTTTCAATATAATGTGATTAATTATAGGCTAGAAATGAGATTGAATGCCTTGAAAGCACTGAGGGTGAGGATCCAACACAACCTAGGGGCATCGGGGAAGACTTCCTGTAAAAGGGATCGCCAGGTAGGGTTGAAAGTAGTTGGGGGGAAACAGTGAGAAATAAATGCCAAAGAAGAAGCAGAAAAAGCAAAGGCAAGGAGGTCTCTTACAGCACTCTATGCTCAGGAAATTATAATGAGTCAGGATAAGTAAACCTTAGAGTGCAAGGCTTGAAGGGATGGGAGATGAGGCTGGAGAGGAAGGTGGATGGGACCTAGCCATAGGAGTCTCAGATGCCACATTAAGAAGCTTAGCTTATATCTAAAGCTAATGGGGAGCTAGTTAGCGATTTTAAGCAGAGACAATTTGTCAGTTGAAAGATCTTTTGGAGTGCAGCAAGTATATGAATGAATAAACAAATCTATGTCACAATTTTACTTAAAAATGTGCAATGTTTTCCAGAAGGCTACGGAATAAAGCCAGAAGTCATTGGTTTGGTTCTCTACAAGCTGCTGTAACCTAAACTTTTCTTCTCAACTCACTCTCTGCTCTAGCCACACAAACCTCTTCACTCATTTAAAGCCCTAACCTTAACCCTAACCCTAACTCTAGTCACTTTGGCACTGGAGAAGTTTAATTGTTATCCAGTGGGAGGTATTAGAAAGAGCACCAATCAGGGGTGAGGAGTGGAGGGGTGAGATAGGGCTTGGGATTTCAATCTATGTCCTGCTGTTGACATACTGCAGTCATCCTTTCCTATTTCTGGATTTCAGTGTCCCAAGCTATATATTAATCTAACTGATCTTCTAAAAGATTATCAATCTCTCTCCCATTTCAGATCCAGGTCTCTAGGATTATGTCAGTCATATGGTTCACATTCCTTGCCCTAGAAGGGTACAGAGGTCCCTATGGCAAGGGAATTTATAAAGCATGTGGGTATAGAAGAAATACCATGTCTCTGTGGTAGATGAATACTGCAAAAGGTATCTAAGAGACATTTCTGACTTCCTCATCCAGATTGAAAGCACAGATCTTTCTCTATGTCTCTATTTCTCTGTATCTATCTCTGATTATATATGTGTGTGTGTCTATTTCTCTGTTTCTGTCTCTCTTTCTTTATATATAATATATATTTATGAAATATAAAATAAATATTTCATATTTATTAAATATTTATTTCATATATACACATATATAATATACATACATATATAAATCAGTGTCTCTATTTGTCTCTATATATGTTAAATATATAAAAATATTAACATACACATTATTTATAAGCATGTATTTATAATATATTATATAAATAATAAATATATATAAATATACATATTTCTCTGTCTTGGTTTCTATCTCTTTATTTGGAAAATAGAATATATATATATATATATTCTCTCTGTCTTCATATAGAGACCGAGACAGAGAAATAGAGACACTTATAAATAGAAACACTTATTTATATACGTATTTATATTATATATTTGTATATATGTATATTATATACATATATATGTTATTATATCTAATATGTATATTACATATATATAATTTTTTTTCTAATTTGGGTATCCAAAGAATGGGGCAATAGGAGGACTACAGGGGCATTTTGGGTTGCATTGGTTTGAATTTGCCTAGCCTCAGTAATTCATGAAAGCCCATATAAAAGATTTCACCAAATGAGCCTTGTAAGTTAAACTCCATAGGATACATATTCATTCGTTTCTAACTTTCATGTCCAAACAGATCTGCTGTCTGATATTCTCCAGTCCAGGAAATGTAGGTATTTTTCTGGATTTTACTGTGAAACCAAAGTCACAATGGCACAAGCCAGGTAAGTAAAAGTATATATAGATAGATGGATAGGTATATGGATTAAAGATATTACCAGGATCTTTTCTAGCTGACTGGCAGCAAAGGGGAAAAGCTTAACAATGTTTGCAAAAGTGATGGCTAATAGAATATGTCAGTGAGTACTTAATTTGCATGTTTTTTATTTAATGTGAAAACAGAGCTCGGGTTCTTTTCTGACTCGTTTTTCAGTACCTTCAAATTTCTATAACCCTATCCCATTTTCCCTTCCAGGTTGGAAAAAATTGAATCAGCTAAGCCTAGAGAAATGAGTTGCAGGATATCAGAGGAGAGTATGAAAATAAATAATAACGACTGTTTAAAATGATAGCATTTGCACAATGCTTTACTGTTCCAATCCTCTTTTGCATAAATCATCTTGATTCTTTTAATAACCATGCTCTAGTGCATTTCAGGGCCTTTACACATGCTATTCTTTTTGTTTTGAGAATTTTTCCTACCTATCTTTGCCTAGTTCTACTGATGCCTCAAATCTTAGCTCAGTGGTCATTTTTTTAGAGAAACCTCTAACTTCACTGTCCATAGCAAGCCTCCTTTTCATACACTAAGGGCACTGGTATCTTTCTTTGTTTCTCTTAACATAATTGCAAATTTATTATGAGTGGGCATGATTATTTAATTAGTACATCTCTATAATATAAAAACTATTGCTGAGAAGTGAGGAGGCATGGCATATAATCAGTTTTTATCAATGCAATATGAAAAAAGTGATGTTTGTCACTTCCTGGCCACAGCACTTAAAAAGCAGGTGCACCTTTCTTATTCTCTCTTCGTTCTTCTCTTGCCTGGGTGTAGAAGCTTATGATATCATAGGACAGTAGTTCTCAAACTTTATTGAGACAGGTTCATTTATAAAGACAGCTTCATTGTCTGGTGGGAGTCTGTCTCTGCTTCCAAGATGGCACCTTGGACACTGCATCCTCTGGAAAGGAGAAATGCTGTGGTCTCATATGGCAGAAGGCAGACAAGCAAGAAAGGGGGATGAACTCCCTCCACCAAGCCCTTTTATAAGAGTACCTAACCTAATGCATAAGGACAAAGCCCTCAATCACCTCCCAAAGGGCACAGCTCCCAGTGTCTTTGCATTGGTGATTAAGTTTCAACATAAATGTTAGAGGGGACAAAAACATTCAAGCCATAATATCCACCCTATGAAATAAGTATTGATTCTCTATATGCAGCCATAAAAAAGGAACGAGATTATGTCCTTTGCAGGGGCATTGATGGAGCTGGAAACCATTATCCTCAGCTAACTAATTCAAGAACAGAAAACCAAACACCGCATGTTCTCACTTATAAGTGGGAGCTGAACCATGAGAACACATGGACACATGAGGGGAATAACACACACTGGTGCCTGTTGTGGGGGTTGGGGGGAAGAATTCAGGAAGAATAGCTAATGGACGCTGGCCTTAATACCTAGGTGATGGGTTAATCTGTGCAGCACACCACCATGGCACACATTTACCTATGTAACAAATCCATACATCCTGCACATGTACCCTGGAACTTAAAATAAAAGTTGAAGAAAAAAATAAATAAGTGTTGATTCTGCGTTTTACAAGATATTTATTGGGGGTCTGCTACCTGCCAGGCACAGTGTAGGTAAGGTATTTCTAGCCTCTTTGTAGTGATGAGAAAACTGAAAAAAAATATATATATATATATATACACACACATATACATATACATATATATAGTAAGGTAAAGGGACTTCAGTTCACAGAGCTAAAAATGATTAATCTAGAGTTCCAACTCATGTCTATCATTCTACATTCAAGGTCCTCTCTATTACATGCTGTACAGAGTGAGCAATATGAGCAAGTGCAATATGAACAAAAGTAAGCATTGTATATTTTTTAATTGAAATAAATTTCATTTCCATACATTTGGAAAAATTCATGGTACATTACTGGGATCACTGGCAATATGATCAGCCAACATTTATTGAACATCAATTGTTTGCTGGATAGTAAGGATATATAGAAAATATTAATAATATTAGGCATACCCTGCTAAGTGCCAAGTGAGTGGTAGAAGTGTTCTAGGCCTTCTGAGAAGGACAAGAGCACTGTGAGTTGGAGTGGATCTGGTATGCTTCACAGAAAATGTAAACTTTGAGCTGAGCCTTGGAAGACAGGTAAGAGTCTAATAAAAGGAGTAGGAAGAGGAAGAAGGGCATTTCAAGGAGAAGAAATAATGTGAACAAAAGCTTCCCAAGGTGCTGAAAAACCAGGTTGGGCATCGCTGGTTTTGGACCAATAGTCCAATACAAATACAAACTTCTGAACAAAATGTGGTAAGTGAAAACACAGCTGGTTTTAAGGATTTAAAAGAGTGATAAAAAGGTATGAGAGTGGGAGACGAAAGTCCTGAACTGAGTTACTGAAAGTGACAGCACTTTATAAACTGGAAAGCACAATGCACATAGAAGTGATTAAAAAATTATTGTTGTTGTTGTTATTGCTATCTACCACTGAGTAAATGATTTTATTTAATAATCATTGAGTTTCATCATTGAATGGTGGTTATTTCTATAACCCAATCAAAGGCATAACCTCTGTCCAGAAAGACTTTGAAAACAAAATATGCAAATTAAAAATTTTCTTTCATTTCAGTTTATTGGAAGTTTAGAAAGGCCTGAGGCAGCAGGTGGGTGACTTGAGGCACTGTAAATCCTTCACACTTAAGGTGAGCTTCTTGGAGGAAATGGGTTTGGGAAAGGTAAATTTTTATCAAGGAAAAATAAAGTTTGACAGAATGAGCCCGCAATATTAATGATTGTCTCTCACTTTGGACAACATTTTGATCTCTTTGGTGACTTGTATGCATTCATTTTCCTCTCATTCTGACTCTGGGAAATGAGGGGAACTGATATTGCAATTCTATATGAATGCAGTCTTGAGGGCTATGGAGCCAAGATGCCTGGGTTCAAATACCAGCTCTGTAAGTTCCTAGCTGTGAGAAGCTACACCTCTCTGAACCTCAGAGAGAAAGAATAATCCCTACTTTGCAGAATTCTAATGAGGATTAAATAAAATATGTATATATAGGGCCTCAGGTGTTCCTCAAATATAATTTCTTGTTTGCTTCCCTGACAATATAGAGCATAAGTTTGAGAGTCAGAGAAGATGTGAGTCCAAGTGAAGAAAATTAATTTATTCATTCAACAAATCGCAATTGAGTTCCTCCTAAATGTCTAGCTTAGTGCAAGGGGCCAGAGATAAGAGCAATAAACAAAGCACACAAGATCCTTACTTTTGTAAAGTGAACAGGCTAGGTCTTTTTGACATATACCTGCTTTGCTCCTGTAATATTTTATTCAAAAGATCCTCAGTTTCCTCGATGGAAGAATAGTCATTGCCCAACATACTTTATAGTAAAGTTGTGAAGATTAGATTAGATAACACACAGAAGAGTTCTTATGGACAGTATATTACTATACTGATGAAATTATTAGTAGCTGTGTTCCTATTTGATCCCAAGGGCAGGGGAGCTAAGAGGCATGGGTTGCTAGCTACAGGTACCAGAGACCATCTTATTATGGAATCCTGATCAGGAATCTGATAAGATTGAAGGATACGAGAATGTCATCAACAGCATTAGCCCAGTTGCTGGTGGTGTCCAGGCACTTTGTACAGCCAGGAAGGTGTACCTCTGTAATGGTGAAGGAGAAAACCTTTGTCTTTTAAGCCTCCAGTCATTCCTTCCTGTACTCAACTTTCCTGTTTTCCCTGACAGGAAGCCCACATTTTCATTGCCTTCCCAATGTTCTCCTTTTTCCCCCTCTCTAAGTCAATATGCTCTAAGGAAATGATCTGGTCAATTAATTCATATTGATGTGCCAATGACTACAAAAACTTTATAGGTGACCACTCCTAAGGAAAGGGGCATTGAATTGAAGGCTTAGCCTTACAACAAACAGAAAACTAATGGTAGTATTCTGGGGAATATCAATAAAGCTCAGGTTCCTTGGCAATCATACCAGGTGGGTGAAAGCTGTTGCCACTATAGGAGACTTACAATAGAAAAACCATAAAATGTCACAGCTAAAAGACTTTTCATATTATGTCCCCTAGAACAGTAGTCATTCATCTATTTTTCTGTAAAGGAAGAAGATGACGAAGTGTTTATCAATATCTCTGGAAATGCTGTTTAGCAGCCTCAAAACATAGACATTTTATGGATCATTGATAGGATTAAGAAAGAGCACAGATCTATTGATATACACAGAGAAACTCATCTCCAAATCTCACTAATAAGGTCCTCAGGCTGTAGTAGTTCTCAAAAATGTGTACTTTCTGACTCTGTAAATGAAATCTATTTATTTGATTGTCTTCTCAGAAAGTCCAGTTTAAGGAAACTATCCCTCAATTTTTCCAAAAGGAACCCCCTCATTTACATGGTTACTGAGGTCTAAGATGTTCCTACAATGAGATTCCACTCTATGGTGACAATTAATTGGTGAAAAGGTGGACATCTGATCCAAGCTTGTACAATAAGTCCTCACTTGGACTTTTGGACCAAGAGATTTCAGCTTAGTTTGGTTCTTAATTTGAACTTTAGCAATGTTAGCAATGGCCATTTTCTCCCATTTGGACTTAGAATAAAGAAAGTGGTCAGTGGAGAGAAGACAAGACATGCCAAGAGAAGCAGAGAAAATGGAGGGAGAGAAAGAGTCCTGAGAGCATTGAGTCCCTATTCCAATGGCATCTGAAGCCCAGTAGAATACTTGTTCTGTGAGACATCTTTGTAGGCTTACTTACAAACAGATCCATAGGCTAAGTTATGACATTTTTCTTTTTGCTTAAGTGAACTCAACTGGGCTTCTCTTGCAACCAGAATTCCTAACTAATAAAACTCCATATTTATGAAAACCAAAGACAAGTCATTAATGATCTTTTACATTCACACAATCTTGCTATTATACAAGTATTTTCTTCTTTGATTTGTGTTATCACTTGTTCACACATGATTTTCTAATGGCAGAAGTTGTAGGCCAGGTGCTATTTCCATCGTTAAGAAACCTGTAGAAACTGAGGCACGAAGCAATTCAAAGATTCATCAAGGATCAATATCAGACCTAAAACACATATCAAGGTATTATGATTTTGGATTGTTCATGACTTTTGTTGTCTCAGTCCAGTGTGGAACATCTTGACTTTGAGCTAGTAATTCTCATGGATAAAGATGGCAGGTTAAAGAAGTCAAAATGTTTCCTCTAACCAACTAAAGCCAATGTCATAGTATTTGAGCACAGCCATTCTGAGCCCAAGGTGGTTGAGACATTCATGCAATATGGCATAGAGTAGTTAGAGAGCACAAGCTGTAGAGTCAGAAGATATCTGAATCTTGAGCCGCGCACAGTGGCATGTGCTTGTAGCCCCAGCTACTAGGGAGGCTGAGGCAGGAAAATTGCTTGAGCCTAAAAGGTCTAGTCCAGGCTGGGCAATATAGCAAAAGCCCATCTCTTAGAAAAAGTAAAAATAAAGAATAAAGAAGATGGTTGAATCTTGTCTTTATCATTTTCAAACTGTGTGGAATTGAGCAAGCCATTTAAACTTCATGAGCCTCATTTCCTCATCTATGAAATGAGAATAAAAATATCTTCTTGGAGTGGCAGCAGTAGCTGCAGTTGCAAGTGTCCAGGCTCTGGGCTAGGGCAGTGGTGGCACCATCTTTTGCCCAGGCAGATAGGGAGGCCAGGATTGGGAACTGGAGGATGCAGTGGACTATGGGAACAACCTGGAGTCTGAAGAACTGGAGTTTGAGAGTTGCTGCTAAAGCCTGAGCCTGAACCAGACCCCAAAAGGGGAAGCCCTGGTCCTGGATCAGGAGCCTCTGGCAGCCAGGATGAGAAAGAGGAGCCAGGACTATTTGTGGATGATCTGGGGTATGGTAGCATTGAGGACCCGGAGCTCAAGTAAGGAAGACAGAGGAAGAAGCTGAAAAGCTTCAGGAGCTACAGAATGAAGTAGACAAGCAGATGAATATAAGTCTACCTCTAGACAATGCTAGCCCAGTGATCATCCATTGAGGAGAAGATGAAGGCTGATGTCGCTTCCATCTATGTTGGCAATGTGAACTATGATGCAACAGCAGAAGTGCTGGAAGCACACTTTTATGGTTGTGGTTCAGTCAACAGCGTTACCATACTCTTTGGCTAATTAGAGGCCATTCCAAGGGGTTTGTATATACAGAGTTCTGAAACAAAGAGTCAGAAAGGACTTCCTTGGTCTTTCTATATAGAGAAAGAAAGATCAAGGTGATCCCCAAATAAACCAACAGACCAGGCATCAGTACAACAGACAGGTTTTCCAGGAGTCCTGGTTCCTGGACAACAAACTATGACAGTTCCAGCTCTCATTTCTACAGTGGTTTTAGCAATCGGCCCTGAGGTTGAGCTACAGGGGCCAGGCTAAAATAATATAATATTCCCCTTACTGAAAATGAAGTGTATATTGGGAAAAAGAGAAAGGAAGGGAAAATGAATTAGAAAAATGAAAAGCAGATGAAAAAAGGAAAAACCTCCCCAGCTGAACTCATAAAGTGTATTAGGATTAGATGGGGGGCAAAAGCTTTGAAAAGTCTAAACTGCTGTACATGTACCAGTTGTTCTGATATTTCAACAAAATAGAAGTCTATTCCATGAATGTTGAAAAATGATGACTTTGGTTCTTCACTTTGTATTATGAGCTTCTCGAGAGCATGTTTAGCACATAGTAGGTGCATTTTGACTAAGAGAAAAGGCCCACACACATGACATACAAATATCATTTAGTAGTCAGGATAACATAAGATCTAGAGCCAAGTTCAGGGGTTCCAATCCTGACTTTATTGTTTATTACCTGTATGACTTTCAACAAGTTGCTATATTCTCTGAGCTTCTCTTTCCTCATCTGTAAAATAAAAATAATAATAGTACCTTTCTAATAGGATTGTTGTGAGGATTCAGTTCATTCACGTAAAGCAGTTAGAAGAATGACTGAGATCATGTTCATACTGAGTTAGTTCATGTGAGGCTCTTAGAAGAATGGCTAGGCCGGGCACGGTGGCTCATGCCCATAATCCCAGCACTTTGGGAGGCTGAGGAGGGTGGATCAGCTGAGGTCAGGAGTTCAAGACCTGTCTGGCCAACATAGTGAAACTCCATCTCTACTAAAAAGACAAAAATTAGCTACGTGTGGTGGCACACACCTGTAGTCCCAGCTACTCGGGAGGCTGAGCTAGGAGAATCATTTGAACATAGGAGGCAGAGGCTGCAATGAGACAAGATTGTGCCACTGCACTCCAGCAGCCTGGGCGATAGAGCGAAACTCCATCTCAAAAACAAACAAACAAACAAACAAAAAGAAAGAAAGAAAAGAAGAGAAATGGCTAGCACATAGTCAGTGTATAATAAATGTTAGCTGCTATAATAGTCCATCACTTATATCCTATAATAGATAATAGAACCACAACCTTGTTATTCCTTGATAAGGCCCTTTCATTTCAATCTGAACACACAAGCTAAATGTCCTTGCAATATTGTACTCCTTTTGTGTCCATATGACTGTCCTGGTTTGCCATCTTTGACAGAAACTGCTTTTAACAGCTTTGCATCCAAGTTTTCTGGACACTGCCATAGTGCACACAGTTACATTTTGGCCAGCATTGAAAAGCGGGTGACTAAGGGATGATAATGCTGAATGGGAGACAAAGGGGCTATTTCTGATATGCTAGTATTTGATTGTTGTATTTGAATATGCTTTAGTCCCAGATTTCAGTTGATTCAGGAAATAATATAGCCAGAATTGGTATTCTATGAGAATGTAATCTGTTTTGGTCTGTTGAAAAATACTGTTTGTTTTTCTCCATGGCTTTGATCATAATAATTCAAAATTTTAGTTTACAAAAGCTTGAATCATCTATCTAAATAAAGTAACAGATTTTCAACTGACAAATACCAAAGCACTGTTTGTGACTCATTAGGTATAGGAATTCCTACTGATAACCCTGTACTTTCCAAAATATGAGAGAATAACACCCCTTCTTTTTATTAACTTACATTTTTACTCGGCCAGAAATTAAGGAAACTTCTGACGTTCACAAGTTGATTCATGATATTCTAAGTAGTTATCTGCCCTGGATCAGAGTGAAAGTAAGAGGGCTGGGGGCATTTCCTCAGGGGCTTCTGAGATATGTCATACTTCTCTGTTAGGCAAGTAGAGGAAGGCATTAGCAAGGAATTGTGGGATTCCACCTATAACACATCATCAGTGCTATTCCCTTGTGACTTCGCTGTCACCCATTCCCAGAAGCAGCTGCCAGGAAATGAGTACAAATAATTTGTCCTCAAGTCAAGATAGAGCCAGTCCAACCCTAACCAAAGTTTTCAGTTAGCAGCAAATAATTTGTATCTCTGGGGACCAGGGATCACTTGATGAGTGGGGCTAATTTCTTAAAACCCTGGTGTGGAAGAAATAATTCTGACAAAGGAGAATGCGTGCCCCATATTTCTCTGCGTCTGAATAGCTAAATGACCTTGGGTGAGTCACTTAAGCTTTCAGAGGCTCAGTTTCCTCTCCTGTGCAACAGAGATAATAGTGCATGCTGTGCTTCACTCCAAAAGTCTCTATGAAAATTGACTGAGGTAATACATGCAAATGTTCTTTGTTTACCACAATGTCCTGTACAAAAGTCAGGTGGTATCACTGCTGCCAGAGAGTGAAGGTGCGAAGACAGGGTGAAGGCACCCCTCCTCATCATTTGTATTATTTCACCAGAGAAGTAATACGGATATGACAGCAATCATTTAGTACCTTTGAATTCTACAGCGAGGTTCTGTTACTGTGAAAGATAGCAGTAGCCTCAATTGCATCTTTGGCCTCATTCTGATTTCCCCAGAATACTCCATTCTTAAAGGCCCAAAGGTGACATATGTTCTTTGACTGGTGGTCATTTTCCCTTTTGGCAGCTACTGAGTCCCACCTCAGTACCTGGTGGAGCCTAAATGAATATGAGCCAAGATTCCCAGTATTTTGCCATCTACAAATATATGTTTTGCAGCAAAGAATGCTGCCAAGGACTTTTCTAGAGTGGACTGGGATAGGGCTTTTTTCCTGGGGAAGAGTGAAATGTGGGTAGGGAGGAAGAGGGACCTTGCTAAACTAATTTTCAACTGTTGACCTCTGCTTCACATGTTTTGAAATCTTTTAAATGTGGAGTTTAAACTTTGAATCCCAAATGTTATCCCTGGCACCTGAACTTGGGGTCAAATATCCTTAGGCATTTTGAAAAGCAAATAGCAGTACACAAATGATACCGGTAATTAACTGTTGCCTAATGCCTGAGAAGTAATATGACAGTCAGTTTTGTGTCAAACAAACCAGGCTTCAACCTTTAACTCTGCCTCAATATTGTTACCTTTAAAATGGGGATAATAACAAACAATAATATTTCACTTGGAGAGTTATTATTACAATTACACAATATACATGTTGTCACATAATAGACAATTAAAATAATCTTTATTATGCATTTTCTTTGCATTCATCATTTTACTAGGTTTTTCACAACAAATCATCAAGAAAGAAGTTATTATCTCCATTTTAGAAAAAAAGTAAAATGAGGTTTAAAGTGGTTAAGTGATTAAGACAGAGGTCACATGGCATATAAATAAGAATGGAAATTATTTTTATTTTTCATCAGACGTAACTGTACAACTCTGTTACAAAATGCCTTGCTATAACAAAGATTCAATAACGTCCCTGCTTACCTAATGTCTGGTTCTTATATTATGGATGAACAGAGCACCACACTATAGCATCAGAGAGGTAGTTGAAGTAGAGTGGTAAGAGATCAATTGCTTTCTAATAGAACACCCAGATTCATAGTACGGGCCCTGCCTCAGATTAGCTGGCTGACCTTGGGCAAATTACCTAATATTTCTGAGCCTCAGTTAACCCCTCTATAAAGTAGGAATAAAACTGCTTGGTTTCTTATGCAAAAATATGTAATTATCAGTGTTCTGCAATGCCAGTATATCACAGTGGGTTCCTAGTAAGTTATCATTAGGAGTAAAACAGCAGAAGTATAGACGAGCCCCTCTCTTTCTTATACTACTTTTGTAACATATTTTAATTTAATTTTTTTTTTGAGATGGAGTCTTGCTCTGTCACCCAAGCTGGAGTGCAGTGGCATGATCTCTGCTCACTGCAACCTTCGCCTCCCGAGTTCAAGTGATTCTCCTGCCTCAGCTTCCCAAGTAGCTGGGATTACAGGCCTGCGCCACCATGCCTGACTAATTTTTGCATTTTTAGTAGAGATGGGGTTTCACCGTGTTGGTCAGCCTGGTCTCGAACTCCTAACCTTGTGATCAGCCCGCCTTGGCCTCCCAAAATGCTGGGATTACAGAAGTGAGCCAATGCGCCTGGCCGCATTTAATATTGTATACCTATATTTTGGTTAAACAAAACATGTAGAGCTCTTAGTCCCAGTGTCTAGCAGAGTGCCTGGCATACAGTGAAAATTTCCACTTATTTGTTAACAAATTAGAGAAATGAAGGAATGGCAATGCAGGAGGTGGGAGATACTGCCTGGTGGAGGAGAAAGATTTATTTCTATATCTATAGATCTCCATCTATAAAATTAGAATACATATCTGGTTGTGATAAGTATTTTAAAAGAGATAGAAATAAAGTACTATATAAATTAACTATGATTAATCAATCTAGAAAATAATTCCCAATATTGAATCCCAAAGAATTCAACATTTGGGCTGTCGTTTGAAAGATAAGTTGAATTTGGTCATGAAGGAAGAGAGGGGGGATACAATTTCAGTAAAAGGTAACAGCAAGGTCCAAAGACAGTCAGGTCTTCAGTAGTATGGAGTATATTCAGAGGGAGCCCAAGATGTCTGATGTGACTAAAAAGATTGGTGGTTGGTAGGAGGAAGAGGTGTGAGAAGAGGCTGTAAAGAAAAATTGAAACTTGATTGTGATGGACTTTAAAGGCTAGGCTATGGGACTTGGACATGAATCTGCAGGCCAGTGTTTGCAGACTGGCAGCCCATAAACTGATTCTTATCAACAGACATGTGTTGTTTGGCCTGCAGAGGTTTGGCCTGCATGATGATTTTAAACCATCTGAATTAGTAGCCATCATTTTCAAAAATCAAGAGATGCCACATTAAAATATGGAATGCTGCTGTTCTTGAAAATAATGAAACATCTGGAACATTGAGGCCACATTCCTGACTGACAGCAATCAGTTGGAGCTGCGTAGTGACTGCCCACTTTACATGGGGCATCTGATCCCTAGTCGATTACAGCTGCCACCACTTCCCTTTATCTCTCTAATACCAAGCTCTTTTCACTCATTTTTGTTACTTAAGAGATATTTGGGTTTGAAACCTCTGATGCAGGTAATTGAGGGTTATAGAGCAGAGGACAGATGCTATCAGAGTTGTCTTTTAAGAAAGAACCCTCTGTTCTCATTTTGTTGAAGATAGCCTGGAAGAGGGCAGCCAGGGGAGAAGTTAGGGCTGGAGCTATGAGAAAGGATAAGATGAGATGATGGCTTCAACATTGAGGACAGAAAGAATATTGAGATGAGAAAGTAGTCCATTATAAGCATCTATGCAAAGGAAATAGCAGATGTCCACAAATCAGCAGAGGCAACAACTCTGAAAGTTTATTCATAAGCCCCTCTTTTCATCTCCAATCCAGTTCAAATGTAATTATTTAAATTGTTCTTCACTCTCCTTCCTGGATCATGAATGAGCTCCTTAAATGCAGGGTCCACAGTGTCCTATTCATCAGTGAATTCCAAGTGCCTAGCACAGAGCCTGGCAAATAGTAAATGCTTAACAAATATTCGTTCAGTGCATGAATTGGAGTGATTCTCTACTTTGCTCATAAGTTGAAAAAAGGTTTATTACATACCTAAATATGCTGAAATCACAGGGCATTTGGCAACCCCCCAAAACCAAAACTCCCAGTTTGGAAACAGAATTTTAATTCTGTGAAAATAAAATCCATTCATTTATTCAAAAAATATTTATTAAACAATGACCATGTCCCACACCAGGCTGAGTCCTAAGGATTCAATGATGAACAAAAACCAACATGATTCCTGCTCTTAGGAAACATACAGTTCAGTGAGGAAAACAGATTGTGAGAAGTCCTCCAACAAATACTGGGTGCTATTAAAATATATTAAAAGGTGAGTGGGTGAGGGACTTGAGCTAGCCTAGGTGGTTCAGGAAGTCTTCCTGGATGTGCTGATATGCATAGGCATTAACTAGATAAATAGAGAGAAGGATGAACCAACATTGCAGGTAGAGGGAACAGAATATGCAAAGGCAGGAAGGATTATGGAGTCGTTGGAGGACCTGAATAAAGGCCAGTGTAAGTGGATCTCAGAAAACAGGAGGAAAGGTGTATGAGATGAGATCAGAGAGGCAGATCATGTGGGGTATGGTTAATGTTTTGGACTTTTCTATTAAGAGCAATGGGGAGACAGTGACAGGACTTAAACGGGGAAATAATATGACCAGATTAAACTTTCTAAAAAACCCTCTATGCAAATATATATTGAGAGTTAATTATTGACAAAGATTCAAAGGCAACAAAGTGGAGAGAGAATAGTATTTTCAAAAAATGGTGCCAAAACAATAGGACATCTATATTAAAAGTTGGGTATCTGTCTACAAAACTTAATTCAAAATGGATCACAGACCTAAATGTAAAACTGAAAGCTATACAACTTCTGGAAGAAAACACAGATGGGAATCTGTGTGATCTTGAGTTTGAAAATGATTTATTATATCTGACACCATAATCCGTAAGTTAACATAATTCATAAGTGAACAAAGTGATGAACTGGACTTCATCAGAATTTAAAATGTTTGTGCTTCAAAAGACACTGGTATGATAATGAAGACAAACTACAGATAAGATATTGTTGAATCATATTTCTGATAAAGGAATTGTGCTCAGAATACATAACTCTAAAACCCCCATAATAAATTACAAGTAGCCCAATTAAAAAAAAAAAAAGAGAAAAAATTTACAGTCTTCATCAAAGAAAGTATACAATTGTAAAATAAGCACATGAAAAATGCTCTGCATCTTTATTCATGGGAGAAATAAAAATTAAATGGGAAAGACACCTCTAATTAGAATACTAAAATTAAAAAGACTGACCATACCAAGTATTGGTGAAGTGGAAATGTAAAATGATACAATCACTTAGGAAGATGATTTGGAAGTTTCTTACAAAAGTAGGTGTATACCTACCCTGTGACTCACCCATTCCATGGCTAAGTATTTACCTGAGAGAAATGAAAGAATACATCCATACAAAGATGTTTATACAAATATTTATAGCAGTTTTATTTGTAGTAGCCCCAAACTGAAAAGAACCCAAATGTCCATCAAAAGTGAATGGATAAACAAAGCGTGGTACAGCAATGCAATAGAATACTACTTAGCAATAAAGAAGAATGAGCTAGTGATATACATAACAGCTTAAATGTACATCAAAGGCATTGTGCTCAGTGAAAGATGCAAGTAAAAAAAAAAAAGAGTACATGCTGTATAGTTCCATTGACATAAAACTCTGGAAAGTGAAAAACAGTCTATACTGACAGAAAGCAGATCATTGGTTGCCTGAGGAGGAGGAGTATAGGAGAGGTGGAGGGAAAATGTACAAAGTGGCACAATAAAAACTTTTGGAATCATAGATATATTCACTATCTTGATTGAGTGATGATTTCATGAGTGCACGCGTGTGTCAAAAATGATCAATTTATGCAACTTTAAATATGTGCAGTTTATTGTATATATCAATTATACCTCAGTACGGCTATTAAAAAGAAACCCTCTGGCTGCACAATGCAGAACTGATTCTAGGAAAGAGTGGAGGGAGGATGACCATTTACAGTGCTCCAGGTGGAAGAGAACGGTGCCTTCTGGAAGTGAACTAGGTTGGCAACAACAGAGATGAAATAAATGGGCAGATGTGTGAGATACTTAGGAAATAAAACCCGATGGTCACCATTTTCCAAAGGTCAGCTCATCCTGGCTTTCCAGAGCAAAGAGCTAGGGAAGACTTTATTAATAAATCCCTCTTGAAGTTGCAGAGGAAGCTTATAGCAGAAACTTACTCTCAACCTGACTAATCTGAGAGAACACCTCTGGTTCCATTTGATTACTAAAAAACTGCAAAGAACAGGAGGAGAAAGAAGAAGAAAGCTGGTACAAACAGTGAACTTATATAATATTAATCAATAATTGTCTCTTGTTCTTAAAAGCAATGGGAAGAAAATGAGATTTGAGCTGGAAGATCAGAGTTCAAAATCCAAATAAAGTATATGGCCCTAATATGCTTATAGTAGTTAACCTTTCCTGATAATGATATAATTGTTGACAGCACCATCTTTAAAAATAAAAATAACATAGTAATCCTTCAGATTTGTAGAATGCTTTCCTGTTTACAAGTTTGTTCTATACACATTATGTCTTTTAAATGACACACTAGCCTTCTGAGGGTAACTTATATTGGCAACAGTTTTCAGATGTGGAAACTGTGAAGACAATGTTGGTGATGTGGAAGCAACATAAACTTTGGAGTCTTTCAGACCCAGGTTTGAATGTCAGACTGCTTTTTATTCAGAGTAACTTCAGAGCATTATTTCTCACCTTAATTTTTTTTCAGGCCTCTTTGTGTCTATGTGTCCTCTTCACTCCTGTCCATTGTTCATTCAGTGATTTTTGCACCTTCCTTCACTGTTAGTGTGTAGACACATAGTTCTCCTGGCTCTGAGACCTATGTTAATTCCATTCTACCATCCTGCCAGCCCACTCAATTCCTATTGAGCAATGCTAGTTGAAAGTTGTGGTGGGATTAAATGTTGCAATGAGTATTCAAATGAGGTTGAAGTATCTACGCATTCTACTTACATATGGTGAGGTATATTCAAGGAAGGCTGTAGCCATTAAAATCTCAGGAAATAATTTTTCACCTCCTCAGGTGAAAGGGTCTTCAGGCCTTTGTGTTCTGGAAGGTTCATTTATAGCCATTTCCCAAATGACAATGCGATTGATGAGTCTAGAGTCTAGCTCAAATAGCAATGGACTGGAAGACTAGTTTAGGTTTTACTAATGTGGAACATAGAACAAATTATGTCCTTGTTTCAGCCTGTTCATCTGTGAAATAGAGCCTATCATATCCAGTCTTCCTTGCCTTTAGGTTTGAGTTACCTTCTTTGGTCAAGGTAAGTAAATGCCTATGATGTTTGGCTGTGCACAAGATAAAGCTACAACAAAGCTACAACCCATCTTTTCTCTGTAGAAGACTGCAAAAAGCAAAAGAGACCCAGGCAAAAATCTCGGAATGACTTTTGGAACAGAGAGCCTCCCCAGAATCAGAAGTCAAAGGAATTTAAAACATAGGGAGGCCCAGGGTCTCTACTGACATAAAGGAAAGATGTTTTCCTTATAGGTTTACGTTTACATTTTCTCTCTCTTTCCATTCCCACTTGCATCTCCACCTTTACACAGGGCTTATGGGACCTCCTCCACAAAAGAGCAGTTGCAGTAACCCACATCATCCTCTACGCCTGGCTGTCCATCAAGAGGCGAAAAGCAGCCCTATATAGGTTCTATCCTTGGATAGTTCCAGTTGTAAAGTTTAAAATATGCGAAGGCAACTTGGAAAAGCAAGCGGCTGCATACAAAGCAAACGTTTACAGAGCTCTGGACAAAATTGAGCGCCTATGTGTACATGGCAAGTGTTTTTAGTGTTTGTGTGTTTACCTGCTTGTCTGGGTGATTTTGCCTTTGAGAGTCTGGATGAGAAATGCATGGTTAAAGGCAATTCCAGACAGGAAGAAAGGCAGAGAAGAGGGTAGAAATGACCTCTGATTCTTGGGGCTGAGGGTTCCTAGAGCAAATGGCACAATGCCACGAGGCCCGATCTATCCCTATGACGGAATCTAAGGTTTCAGCAAGTATCTGCTGGCTTGGTCATGGCTTGCTCCTCAGTTTGTAGGAGACTCTCCCACTCTCCCATCTGCGCGCTCTTATCAGTCCTGAAAAGAACCCCTGGCAGCCAGGAGCAGGTATTCCTATCGTCCTTTTCCTCCCTCCCTCGCCTCCACCCTGTTGGTTTTTTAGATTGGGCTTTGGAACCAAATTTGGTGAGTGCTGGCCTCCAGGAAATCTGGAGCCCTGGCGCCTAAACCTTGGTTTAGGAAAGCAGGAGCTATTCAGGAAGCAGGGGTCCTCCAGGGCTAGAGCTAGCCTCTCCTGCCCTCGCCCACGCTGCGCCAGCACTTGTTTCTCCAAAGCCACTAGGCAGGCGTTAGCGCGCGGTGAGGGGAGGGGAGAAAAGGAAAGGGGAGGGGAGGGAAAAGGAGGTGGGAAGGCAAGGAGGCCGGCCCGGTGGGGGCGGGACCCGACTCGCAAACTGTTGCATTTGCTCTCCACCTCCCAGCGCCCCCTCCGAGATCCCGGGGAGCCAGCTTGCTGGGAGAGCGGGACGGTCCGGAGCAAGCCCAGAGGCAGAGGAGGCGACAGAGGGAAAAAGGGCCGAGCTAGCCGCTCCAGTGCTGTACAGGAGCCGAAGGGACGCACCACGCCAGCCCCAGCCCGGCTCCAGCGACAGCCAACGCCTCTTGCAGCGCGGCGGCTTCGAAGCCGCCGCCCGGAGCTGCCCTTTCCTCTTCGGTGAAGTTTTTAAAAGCTGCTAAAGACTCGGAGGAAGCAAGGAAAGTGCCTGGTAGGACTGACGGCTGCCTTTGTCCTCCTCCTCTCCACCCCGCCTCCCCCCACCCTGCCTTCCCCCCCTCCCCCGTCTTCTCTCCCGCAGCTGCCTCAGTCGGCTACTCTCAGCCAACCCCCCTCACCACCCTTCTCCCCACCCGCCCCCCCGCCCCCGTCGGCCCAGCGCTGCCAGCCCGAGTTTGCAGAGAGGTAACTCCCTTTGGCTGCGAGCGGGCGAGCTAGCTGCACATTGCAAAGAAGGCTCTTAGGAGCCAGGCGACTGGGGAGCGGCTTCAGCACTGCAGCCACGACCCGCCTGGTTAGGCTGCACGCGGAGAGAACCCTCTGTTTTCCCCCACTCTCTCTCCACCTCCTCCTGCCTTCCCCACCCCGAGTGCGGAGCCAGAGATCAAAAGATGAAAAGGCAGTCAGGTCTTCAGTAGCCAAAAAACAAAACAAACAAAAACAAAAAAGCCGAAATAAAAGAAAAAGATAATAACTCAGTTCTTATTTGCACCTACTTCAGTGGACACTGAATTTGGAAGGTGGAGGATTTTGTTTTTTTCTTTTAAGATCTGGGCATCTTTTGAATCTACCCTTCAAGTATTAAGAGACAGACTGTGAGCCTAGCAGGGCAGATCTTGTCCACCGTGTGTCTTCTTCTGCACGAGACTTTGAGGCTGTCAGAGCGCTTTTTGCGTGGTTGCTCCCGCAAGTTTCCTTCTCTGGAGCTTCCCGCAGGTGGGCAGCTAGCTGCAGCGACTACCGCATCATCACAGCCTGTTGAACTCTTCTGAGCAAGAGAAGGGGAGGCGGGGTAAGGGAAGTAGGTGGAAGATTCAGCCAAGCTCAAGGATGGAAGTGCAGTTAGGGCTGGGAAGGGTCTACCCTCGGCCGCCGTCCAAGACCTACCGAGGAGCTTTCCAGAATCTGTTCCAGAGCGTGCGCGAAGTGATCCAGAACCCGGGCCCCAGGCACCCAGAGGCCGCGAGCGCAGCACCTCCCGGCGCCAGTTTGCTGCTGCTGCAGCAGCAGCAGCAGCAGCAGCAGCAGCAGCAGCAGCAGCAGCAGCAGCAGCAGCAGCAGCAGCAGCAAGAGACTAGCCCCAGGCAGCAGCAGCAGCAGCAGGGTGAGGATGGTTCTCCCCAAGCCCATCGTAGAGGCCCCACAGGCTACCTGGTCCTGGATGAGGAACAGCAACCTTCACAGCCGCAGTCGGCCCTGGAGTGCCACCCCGAGAGAGGTTGCGTCCCAGAGCCTGGAGCCGCCGTGGCCGCCAGCAAGGGGCTGCCGCAGCAGCTGCCAGCACCTCCGGACGAGGATGACTCAGCTGCCCCATCCACGTTGTCCCTGCTGGGCCCCACTTTCCCCGGCTTAAGCAGCTGCTCCGCTGACCTTAAAGACATCCTGAGCGAGGCCAGCACCATGCAACTCCTTCAGCAACAGCAGCAGGAAGCAGTATCCGAAGGCAGCAGCAGCGGGAGAGCGAGGGAGGCCTCGGGGGCTCCCACTTCCTCCAAGGACAATTACTTAGGGGGCACTTCGACCATTTCTGACAACGCCAAGGAGTTGTGTAAGGCAGTGTCGGTGTCCATGGGCCTGGGTGTGGAGGCGTTGGAGCATCTGAGTCCAGGGGAACAGCTTCGGGGGGATTGCATGTACGCCCCACTTTTGGGAGTTCCACCCGCTGTGCGTCCCACTCCTTGTGCCCCATTGGCCGAATGCAAAGGTTCTCTGCTAGACGACAGCGCAGGCAAGAGCACTGAAGATACTGCTGAGTATTCCCCTTTCAAGGGAGGTTACACCAAAGGGCTAGAAGGCGAGAGCCTAGGCTGCTCTGGCAGCGCTGCAGCAGGGAGCTCCGGGACACTTGAACTGCCGTCTACCCTGTCTCTCTACAAGTCCGGAGCACTGGACGAGGCAGCTGCGTACCAGAGTCGCGACTACTACAACTTTCCACTGGCTCTGGCCGGACCGCCGCCCCCTCCGCCGCCTCCCCATCCCCACGCTCGCATCAAGCTGGAGAACCCGCTGGACTACGGCAGCGCCTGGGCGGCTGCGGCGGCGCAGTGCCGCTATGGGGACCTGGCGAGCCTGCATGGCGCGGGTGCAGCGGGACCCGGTTCTGGGTCACCCTCAGCCGCCGCTTCCTCATCCTGGCACACTCTCTTCACAGCCGAAGAAGGCCAGTTGTATGGACCGTGTGGTGGTGGTGGGGGTGGTGGCGGCGGCGGCGGCGGCGGCGGCGGCGGCGGCGGCGGCGGCGGCGGCGGCGAGGCGGGAGCTGTAGCCCCCTACGGCTACACTCGGCCCCCTCAGGGGCTGGCGGGCCAGGAAAGCGACTTCACCGCACCTGATGTGTGGTACCCTGGCGGCATGGTGAGCAGAGTGCCCTATCCCAGTCCCACTTGTGTCAAAAGCGAAATGGGCCCCTGGATGGATAGCTACTCCGGACCTTACGGGGACATGCGGTAAGTTTTTCCTTCCAGAAATGTCGCCTTTCGGCCCAGGGCAGAGTCACTCTGTGTTCTGGGGTATCTAGCGGCTCCTACCTGCGCGAACACTCAGATTGCCCCTGGGAGAGCTCAGCAGGGTAAACCTAGAGCTCTCCCGTGGACTCCCGGCCTGCCAGAGGTTTAACCTGAGCTCTCCTAATTTCTGCTGCGTGCCCTGGGTGCTGATTCCTGCCCTCCCAGATTCTTCAACTCCCCCAACCGCCCCAAATTCTCACTACCTCCTGGTACTCGAGGTCCCAAACAGAAATCCTATTGCACGGGCCACCTTCAGAGATAAAGCTCCCAAGCCCTCCACTCTTCCTTTCCTCCTGTCCTCAAAGTCTGAGAACCTCAACAGGAATTTGGGCAATTTCTCCTCTTCAGGTCTGTTAGGATTTCACTTTCAGCCTGCGCAGATTAGAGTCAAAAAGACCGGCCCAATAGCTTCTCAGCGGGTATCCTCCAGAGAGGTAAAGTGAAATTCTCGGTTAGGGAAAGAAAGTGGTCTCTGGGTGCTGAGGTCTGCTGTGTGAAAGGGTGAACTTCTTTCTCCTGAAGCAACTGGGGACTTGCTCCAGGGCTGGAGGTCAGTAGAGATAATCCAAACCGTCATGTTTAGAGTAGGCAGAGGGGCAACTTTCTTGGTAAAGACTTCACAGGATTTGCACTCACAGTTTCTCAACGTTGGTTGACTATGTTGAAAGTAGTTGCTTGGGTCGGTTTTCTCTTGTAAAGTGTTTATTTTCTCTGTGGATTATAACAGATCCACAGCCCCCTACTTCAGGTTTGCATCAGATCTATAAAGAGGAGAATATTCTTTTAATGTACAATTTAATTAGGCTTGACTCTGACTTACAAAACTGTTGGAAAACATTTTTTTGTAAAGCATTTCCTGCTATTTCAGTGTGCTCCAAAATCTCCACTGGGGAGGGTGGAGTGAGGTTTTTTATTATATTCCTTTATTTTTAGGACATGTTTGCATTTTAGAATATGTGCAGTTAGCTCTAACAAATTGAGTAAGAACTCTTAATGACCTATGAGCCGTAATCTTACCCCAAAGTTTTAATTAGCATATGAGAAAAGTGGCAGGCAATTGCATCGTGCTTATTAAAAATTATTCCTCACCGCAGTTGTTGAGCTTCTTGGAGACCATGCTGAAGATTTTCTCCCCCAGCAAATTAAGATATTAGTTTATCTGCTGAGGGAGGACAGACTGAATTGGGGAATTAACTCCTCAGGTAGGCCAGGTGCTGATGTCCCTGTGGACTTTTGTCTTATTCTTTGTTTCTATGGCTGTTTTCTTTTACCTGTGACTTCTCCGAAATTTCTTTGTTAGCCTTAACATCTTTGTTTGGGGACTTAAATCCAGCAATTTGCCTTCTTTCACTGATGCTTTCCTTCTTACAAGGTAGATAGCACAGTGTTAGTAAAGAAAGAAAGAGGAGGGTAGGATTTCATATTATTTCGTGGGCTGTTGAAGAAACAGCTTCTTACCAGGCTTTACATTCCATTAGGTTTTTAATGTTTGACTTACAAGATTTTCAGAGGGTTCATTTGATATTGTCAAAGTCTTTTCCAGTTAATTTAGACTCTTCATTTTTGTAATGGGTTTATGCTATGGGACAAAAAAAGTATTCTTCATTTTATAAGAACAAATTTACTTGGTAGGGTTAATTTTTTTTCTAGGGCTGTCACTAGACGGTGGAGCCCCTCTTCTACTGTAAACTTTTCTTGGGGGAAAATGTCTAAGGTGCATTTTGACCTGCCATGATACTAAACCCAGACACTGGAACCTTCCATCTTCTGCATGCCTCCCCCACAACTTACTTACTTAACAGGGAAAAAACTGATGGTTCCACATATTTGCTAAAAAATGTGTGCCTTCAAAGACAAAACCAAAATTTTTAGGGAATAACTATAGAGAGCAAAAGTTACTCCCATCAAGTAGACAACGAGCTTGGTGATTTTATTTCAGGTCTTAATGAAAAAAGCTTCTTTATGAGGAAGGTTATCATATCTTGGTGCCTCCTTGACAGTCCGCTTAAATTAATGACATAAACTAATGAGAATTTAGCAGTTCCTGCAGAAAGTACAAGTTTATTTTTTTTTTCTGGTTTGTGATTGCTGCACTGAATATGAGGAGTCTAGTTAAAGGGACAACTGGTGTTCCTGTCTTGTGAGTTGACGAAGACTTTCCATTTCTAGGATATAGAAAATCCTTAAGCCGGTTTATTGAAAATTAATCAATTTAATCAGAATGCAATCAATTCCAATACAAAAGTTAGTATTTTCTTTCTTTTTATTGAAAATTAATTTAATCAGAATACAATCAATTCCAATCCAAAAGTTGATATTTTCTTACTTTCTCTTTTTTTCCCTCATTTTGTAGGGATACAATTTGGTGAAAGGCAAGAGATTTCTTAAGCCAAAGCAAGAGTGTCTTCCCTCTCTGTGTTGCATGCATTATGTGCCATGTTTGAGCTAAAAATCTCAAAATTGGGCAGGCTTCCAATGACCTGTTGGGTCCCTCCCTTTACCATTCATGTGTGTGTTTATGTACATAATTTTGTGGAGGGGTTTTTTTAAACCTTAGTAACATCTGCACTCACTCTGTGTTCTTATACATTTACAGTGTTTCTGCTGAGAGGAGGGAAGATGCAAAGGTGGTCTCTTTTACTTAATTTAGCATGTGGTTTGAACAGAAGGAAAAATAAAAAGTGATGGGGCTTGTGTGCAACCCTGATGATATTTTATGGAGCTGTCTGTCTTCTCTCTGAGATCAAACAGGACTACAACTTTGTTAATTGACCACTGGCTCCCTTGGCAAAAGTAGGGCTTCTTATATTCCAGCAAGCAGCACAATAATATGACAAAAATTTATTCTTGGGAGTTGGGTTCTAAGAGAGTGCATGCCAGAATTAGAGTTTGGGGTTTAGAGAAATTATCCAGATGCCAAAAGAACATTTTAATTTTTCTCTTGGTAATTTGTTCTGGTCTCCATAGTAGGTAGTATTTTAGTAGTGCTTTGATATTGACAAGTCTTGCTCCCTTTCTCTATTAGATTTTTCAAAATAAGGCATTTTATTAATTCCTCTTTCCTTCTCCTCTCTCCTCTCAGTTATCAAGCATTTTTATGACTATCTTACAAGCAACAGTTTGTCTTGTAAAGCAGAATTTTCCTTTGAAACCAAGACAGATTATTTCTGCCCATAGGCTTCAGGAACCAATATTTTGGCAAGAAGCATCTTTTCTTTGTGGTCAGCAAATAGGTGGTGAGTTCTGTCTGGATCCCAACAATCAACACCTGAGGACCAAATAGCCACACTGGGTGGCACCCCATTCGGAAGTATACACAGGAAGTAGCCCTCTTGCTTGTTCACAGCTCAAGTCAGCCAAAGATTAACACTGGTGAGAGATATTTTCAAAGAAGTTTGCAGGCTTCCAATTGCAGGGTCATTTTGGGGTGCTTTCTTGCCTGTACTAATTTTATCTCATCAAGCTTCCATTCTTTGAGCTGTAAACTTTGAAATAATATACTGGATTTGCTGGTACGTTTAATTTTCTTTGTTAAGTGTTTTCATTCCCATAGTAATTTTTCATCTAGTGTACATATATGCATTTAAAACAAAAATTCTTTGGTCTCCTTATGCGTATATGCACTGCGGCTTGTACACGTACAAGCTACTTGGTGGGATTATGTGAACTGGAGTTAGAAATGTGGACAATTTTATTATGATTATTTTTAATGGTGATATCAAGATCACCAGTTTCATTCGGAACCTTGCATAAGCAGGGAGCAGAATGCGGACTGGGTGTGGCAAAGCAAGGGCTTATTTTATAGCCAAACCTGAAATCACAACTCTGAAAAATAAAAAAAAAAAAAACCAAACAAAAAAATCAAGTTTTGTGAGCTTGGTCAGAGAAGGAAAAGGAAATCTCTCCCTACCCCCCACCTCCACCATTTTCTCTTTGTCTGCAGCTTCCTCAAGTGCTGCCTGTCCCCGATTTTCTTTTATTCCACTCCTTTCATGTTTTTGACATTGAAATACAGACTCTTCTTTCCACTTCTCAGGGTATTTTTCTTATTACACCTGTGGCATGCTCCTAAAGAATTTCTTTTTTAAAAAAAATCTGTAGAGTAGTAGATTAGATTAACCCCAGTATCTCTCCCTTAAGACTAGATGACATGAGGGGATTGCAAAATGAATAGCTGGGTTTTTTTTTTTTTTTTTTTTTTTACCTTGAGGTTAAAGCCTGGTTCAACAGTTGCTGAGAGAGTTAACTAGATTGCTTGAGGACTTGGCAATTTCATAAAGTATTTTGTCTTATGCTGTCTCTGTCTCTGTCTTGATCTCTGTCTCTCTCTGTCTACTGTAATGTTGGCTACTTTCTCTCAGAGCCTGAGAGACAGCTCTGAGACACTTCCCAGGTCTGTTCGGTTCAGACCTCAGTAGCTGGATCACAAGCAGTACCCAATATGCATATGAGGGTGCGTGCTGCAAGTGTCCGGCTGGGCTAATCTGCTTAAGCTTCATAAAAATTAATCATTTGAAAACAAAGAAAGATATTAAAGAAATTATTCTATCTCCGACTTCCCCTATCAGCATTCCATCAAGTTCTGGGATGTTAAATTCAGAGAAAGTTAACCTTATCTTAAACACAAAGTTGACTTTTAAACAAAATTGCTTATAAAGTTCTGTACAGTTACCAGCATTGGTTGCCCTTTGTCGTACGGAAGAGAATTATGAAATCTCATATTTACATAGCATTCTTCCAAAAAAAGAGACGGTGTTTTCCAGTTTATTCACTGCATTCGTGTAAGTGTGAGTAGGCCAGGAGGGGTGCTTAGTGATTACCCTTTTGCTAGGTAACAAAGTAGAAAGTTAGATTTTCTATGATATTTGTTTACCACGTAGGGGAACCTCTCTAGAGCAATACTCCCAAGCTTTTTCTTCTTGAAATTTCCCACCTGACAGATAATACTTTAGATTGTTGCTCTTAAGGACTTCTCTCAGTAGCTGCTACATAGAGATGATTGTCCGTGAATTATTGCTTGCACACTCATGGGTGATGCTACTCCCTCTCTCTCATGGCAATTCTTGCTGCCAACCTGCAGGCCACACCAGGATTGAGGGCAGCTCATCTCGATAAATTTATAGCATTAAAGTGCTGGGTCATTTGAGAATGTTGTCAATTTAGGTTACTTAGTACCTAAGTTTTATTCTTTAAATAACAGCTTTATTGAGACGTAATTTACAATCCATACAATTCACTCATCTAAAGTGTACAGTTTCATGCTTTTTAGAATATTCAGAGTTGTGCAACCATTATTGCAATCAATTTTAGAACATTTTAATCACCCCCAAAGGAAACCCTATGCACCTTTGTGTTCATCCCCCTATATTCCCTCAGTCCTTAGCAACCAATAATCTACTTCTATCTATGGATGTGCTTATTCTAACATTTTGTATGAATGAAATCATGTAATATGTGGTCTTTTGTGACTAGCTTCTTTCACATAAAATATGTTTTCAAGGTCATCCATGTTGAAGCACATATCAGTACTTCACTATTTTTTATAGCCTAATAATGTTCCACTATATGGATATACCACATTCTATCTATCCATTTATCAGGTGATGAGCATTACGGTTGTTTCCACCTTTTGGCTATTATGAATAATACTGCTGTGAACATTCACGTGCAAGTTTATTGTGGACATATTCAGTCCACATATTTTGGACATTTTCAGTTCTTTTGGATACATACATAGGATTGAAATCTCTGAGTCATATGATACCTCTGTGTTTATCCTTTTGAAGAACTGTCAAACTGTTTTCTAAAGTGTCTGCACTGTTTTACAATCCCATCAGCAACCTATGGGGGTCCATTTCTTCCACATCCTTGCCAACACTTGTTATTCTCTGTCTTTTTCATTATAGCTATATTAGTGGGTGTGAAGTGGTACCTCATTGTGGCTTTTATTTCCATTTCCCTAATAACAAATAATGTTCAGTATCCATGTTCTTATTGGCCATTTGTATATCTTCTTTTTTGAGAAATATCTATTTGGATCCTTTGCTCAGTTTTTAGTTGGGTTTTTTATTATTGAGTTTTAAGATTTTTAAAAAATATATTCTGGATACATGTCCTTTAATAGATTGTGATTTGTAGATATTTTTTCACATTCTGTGAGTTGTCTTTTTTACTTTCCTTTTTTTTCTTTTTACGTTCTTAATGGTATCTAGATTGAAGCACAAAAATGTTTTTAAGTTTGATGAAGTCCAATTCATCTATTTATTTTCTGTTTTGGCTTATGATTTTGGCGTCGTATCTAAGAAGTCTTTGCCTAATCCAAGATCACAAAGATTTACATATGTTTCCTTCTAAGAGTTTTATAGTTTTCGCTATTTACATTTAGGTCTTTCATCAGTTTTGATGTAATGTTTATATATGACTGAGGTAGGGGTCCAACTTCATTCTTTTGCATGTAGATATTCAGTTCTCACAATATTGTTGTTGAATCTTTCCTCACTTAACTGTCTTGGCACCCTTTGTGTAAAATCAGTTGACCGTAAATGTGAGGGTTTAATTGTGGACTCTCAACTATATTCAGTTGATCTATATGTTTATTCCTATGCCGGTACCACGTTATCTTGATTATTGTAGGTTTTTAGTGAGTTTTGAAATTAGGAATTTTGAACTCTTCAACTTTGGTCTTCTTTTTCAAGATTGCTTTGGCTCTTGTGGGTCCCTTGAATTTTCAAATGAATTGGGATAAGCTTGTCAATTTCTACGAAGAAGTCAGCTAGGATTCTCACAGGAACTATATTAAATCTGTAAACCAATTTGGGGAGCATTGTCATCTCAACAACGTTAAGTTATTTTCATCCATAAATATGCGATGTCTTCCCATTTATTTAGGTCTTCCTTTTGTCAACAATTTTTATTGTTTTCAGATTATAAGTTTTGCAGTTCTTTTTAAAATTTATTCCTAAGTGATTTATTTTTTGATACTATAAATTGAACTGTCTTATTGATTTTATTTTCAGATTATTCGCTGCCAATGTATGGAAATATAATTGTTTTGTATATTGATCTTGTATCCTGCAACCTTGCTGAAAATACCTGAGTTTTGAATGCTTCTGGGACTTATGGGGAAGAGGGCTTCTGCTGCTGCACTGAAAGTTAAAGCTTACTTCATTTCATCCTGTATGAAGGCTGCATGGGGACATTCTTCTCAGTTTTACTCAGCTATAAATTCGAACTGGTAATCCCATCCCCTTTCGGGATGAATAGGAGAGTGTTTTTAAATGTTCATCTCTTTAGAGAACAGCAGGAAAGAAGCCTAGTAAGGTTTGGGTAGTTTATAATCCCTTTTTTAGAATTTGGATTTGGGAACTATTAGCAAGGCAGTGAGTAATAATAATAATTTCTATATAGAAAACTAACATGTAGAGGTGACAAATGAAATCACTAGCTATATTAGGCTTATGTTTAGGTTATCGTAAGCAGCTAAAATCATAATTTTATGTTTTTATATGTTGTCCTTTGGACAAAGTAAATTCCAGTACTCCTTCTGATGTGCATTTCTAGATGGGGAAAGGATTCATTTACTCTCATATAATTTAAGCTTCTTTTTAGGGATGTACTCCATAGCCATGAAGCAAAGATAAAATTCATCTATACACAGACTGAACTTTGTCTTCATTAACACTCTAGGCTAAGGGTCATAGCTAATCAGCTACAACTGTAATGTCCTGATAATTGTGAATTAACTGCAGGGCACCCAGCAAAAGGTTTAGTTATAATCTAATAGCTGTCTGTAGAGATTAGCCTAATAAAGGGATTTTTTAAAAAAGAATCTGGCCGGGCATGGTGGCTCAATCCTGTAATCCCAGCACTTTGGGAGGCCGAGGTGGGTGGATCACCTGAGATCGGGAGTCCAAGACCAGCCTGGCCAACATGGTGAAACCCCATGTCTACTAAAAATACAAAAATTATCCAGGCGTTTTGGTGAGCACCCACAATCCCAGCTACTTGTGAGGCTGAGGCAGGAGGATCACTTAAGCCTAAGAGGCAGAGGTTGCAGTGAGCCGAGATCATGCCACTGCACTCCAGGCTCCGTCAAAAAAAAAAAAAAAAAAGAATCTATCAATCAACCACTTTTCATTAAGCACCTGCTATGTGCCCAGCATGTGCTAGGAAGAGATAAGGTGAAAGGGGACACAATTCAGACAGAATCTTCTTGAGGTAACTGCTTACGAGGAGCTTATAGCCACTAAAAACAAAAACAAACAAAAACCAAACAACCAAAAACCAAACAGAAATGCAGTATCATCATGCCATGATGCCTGTATGAGATCCTGGATTGTACGGTATGGATTTCTTAAAATGTAGATATTTTAAAAAAAAAGAGGAATGAATCAATAGAGGCTGAAGTGGTCAGCAATGTTACCTGTGGCTGCTTTTAATCCTTCGTGGAAGTAAGTAGGAGCATGTCTAAACTCAAGCAATAGATTAAAGATCTTGATGTATATTTTAAATAACAGAAGTTAGTACCACTGGAAAGAATGAACTGGAGGAATGGGTTGAAATCTATTTCTGCTTATTCAATAGTGCACCCCAGTCAAGTTAGTTGCCAATTTCTTCTTCAGTTTCTTTGGCTATATCATTGCACTTGGTGGGTACATGTTTATGATGTCTTTATCTGAACAAGTCAGCAATAATATGAGTAATAAATTAAAATTGAAGGTGATTAATGGCTCTGAATTTGACATAAGAGTTGTTTTCCTGCCTTCTAAGTTTCCATTGATCCTGATGAATTGCACAAACCAAACAATTCGGGGAGTAAGGGGGCACATGATGATCTTATAAGAGCTTTGCTGTATTAGACAACGTAACATTCTGAAATGGCCTACCACCTAACATGGGCTCTGTTCTCTGCAGGTTGAGTAGGTTCCTTGCTTGTGGAACTGTAGTCCCGCTATTTGGCCGCTAGGGGGACTGCAAGTGCCCCGTGGCAGGATTTCCCTGGGAATGGTGAGCCTCCATTGATGGTTTCAACACACAGCCAAGGCCCTATCGCAGGATAACTTGAACCAGAACTGCCTAGCACCAGACAATAAATAAGCTACTATGGTACTTACTGTTTCATTTGGGATGTTGTTTCTCGAAGTGGCAAGCATTTTTTAGTAATATTTTGACTTTTTAATACCTTTCTTTGCATATGGAGCAGAAAACAGTGACACTGGATATATTCAAGTAGCACTGTCCAGTTTATAGAGAAGTTTCATATTCCATTATTGCATTTCATTCTTGTTTCTACCTTTTACAAGTAACTAGAGTTTGGAGTATTATAATAGTATTCATACTATTACAGTACTATTATTCCCATTATAAAAATTGTGCAAAGAGTGGTTAAGTTACATGTTTACAATCAAACAGCTTCAAAGTGACTGATCTGGAATTTCAGTCCCATTCTTTCTTCTCCAGATCATGTGTTCCCTGCTTTTATCTCACAGCTCTTTTTACCTTATAGATGGGAAACATGAGAGTCAGAGAGGCAAAAGAACCACAAGTGGTATCAATACTAGAAATTTATGAATTTCTTAAGGCTTCTAGGTTTGTTACCCATCCACCAGACTGATGGATTTGGTTGTGTGAGAGTTCTGGGTGCCAATAACCTTGCCATTCTACTTTACAGACTGCATATATTCAATAAATGCTTATTAAGCATCTACTATATGCCAAATTCTGTACTAGGCACCAATGATGTAGTGGTGAACAGAACAGACAAAAATCTCTTCGTGGAGCAGACAGTTTAATGAGAGGAGACATGTAGTGTACATCTGAGCATGAAAAGTGCCATGCAGAATAACTTCACAGAGTGTAGGGTATAGAGATTGATGGTGAGAGGGAATATTTTATATTTGCTGGCCAGGGAAAACCTTACTGGAAAAGTAAATTTTGAGTAGTGACCTGAAGGAAATTAGGAAATGAGCTGCTATTTGGACATCTGGAGTTAGAATATTCCAGGCCCAGGGAACCACAGGCGCAAAGGGCCTGAGGCAGGAGCACACTTGCTGTGATGGAGGACAAAGAGGCCCATATGGCTGGTTTAAATAAGTGAAGGATGGTAGACAATGAGATCAGAGTTAATGAGGTTGCATGGTAGGTCTTCCTTAGGACTTTGAATTTTACTCCTAAGCAGGTTGTATTGGACGGTTTTGAGCAGGGTAACATGACCTGACTTACATTTTAACAGGCTCCCTCCTCTTCATAACATCTGTCACTCTGATATATTATACGTTTGTTTGTTTACTTACTGTATGTGGGGGGAAGAGACTGTGGGAGCAAGGGGGGAAGCAGGGAAACAAGTACACTGCAGTGATCTGGGTGAGAGGTGACCGTGTCTCAGACTAAGGTGGTATTGGTGGAGAAGGTAGGAAGTGGCTGAATTCTGGATGAGTTTTGATGGTATAGCCAACAGCATTTACTGACAGATTGGATATTCACTGTGAAAAAAATAGAGATGAGGATGATTGCCAAGTTTTTGGTCTGAGTAACTGGAAAAATGAGATTGCCATTTACTGAAATGGTGAAGACTGTATGTAGAGCAGGTGCATGGGCAGGGTAGAAATCAAGAGTTTGATTTTTGACTTATAAAGTTTGAATTATCTGATGAACATCCTGATGGCTTCTTCTCAGTTAGTTCTCATGCAGTGCCTTCAGCTTTGCTGTTCTTCAAGAAAATTAAAAAGGAACTTAGAGATCGCCTAGGCTGTAGGTACCCTCTCCCCTCTTTCCTTTTACTTTATAGAGGTCTATAGAAGGGTAGGGACTTATCCAAGGTGAAACAGTGAGCTGGCGACAGAACTAGGGCACAAACCCAGTTCTCTTGAATTCTGAATCAGTAGATTTTCTTTTTTTAGTGTGATTCTGAGGACTCATTTGGGCAAGAGTGAGTTTTTTGTTATTGTTTTTTGTTTGTTTCTTTGCCCAAACCTAAAACCAGGTAATTAAACTAAATAGTGAATAAAACTGGGAAACTATACAAATTGGTTGCTCTCCCCAATCACACTGAAATATTATTATTTTTACTGAACCACATACCAAAATATTTTTCCTGTAAAAACACAGTAAGTGAACTTTTAAAGGCAATTGAGCTTTTAACAAAGCTAGAATCTACAGAGGACCTGGACAGAAATGGCCTTAAATCCTAGGAAATTAGAGTTCATGGAACCTGGGAGACCATCTTGTCCAGCTAGCTCATTTTATGGGTGAGGTGCCTGAGGCACCAAGATGGAAAGGGACCTGGCTAAGCTCATACAGCAAGCTAGTGCCTGAGCCTAGTCAGAGCCTGTTTTAAGGGTTAGTCGTATGTTGTTTTCTTGAAAAAAGTTACATTGGAAAAGTGAAAATTCTTTGGTCCATACTGAGAACAAAGAATTATACATAATCATATATAATAATAATGATAGCACTTCCTGAATGTTTGCTGTGTAAACTTTGGCACCTTGCATGAATTGATTCATTTAATTCTCATGTCAACTTTAGGAAGCAGGCCTAGAGAGGTTAAGGAACATGTCCAAGGGTCACACAGCTAGGAAGTAGCAGAACTTGTGTGCACTCCCAGGAAGTCTGGCTTCTAACCACAAGGTTCTAACTACTGTGCAATACCAGGAGCTTCTCAGATTACCCTTCACCTTTACCAACCCAAATGACTGGTGACGTAGGTGACTTCATTATGCTCTGCCCCTATTATAGTCCACTGATCCTCACCAAATAGGTGGGTGGCCTAGAGGTTAAAGTAGAGGCAGAGTGATGGAAAGGGGTGGTTAGAAGAAGTTGATGACTCATGATAGGGATTGGAAAACAGGACTACAGGAATTATTGAAAAGGGCCTAGAGATCCCAAGGAGGTTGATCTCCGACTGCTACAAACCTGGGCAATTCAATGCCTGCTTAAATAGGAGAGTTAAGATAAGAAAAATAAAATTGCCAATTTTTACAGTCAGACATTGTTTTATTTATTTTACATGTATTAATTCATTTAATCCTCAAAATACTCCATGAGGTAGCTACAATTATCATTTCTATGTTGTAGATGAAGAAACAGGCACAGAGCAATTAAATAACATGCACAAGATTAGAGAACAAGTAAGTGGAAGTGCCAATATTAGAATCTAGGTAGTTCAGCTCCACAACTTATGTTATTTTCCACTATATTTATGGAATGAGGTAATTTTCTTATAACAGAAAGTTTTTAAAATGCAAAAACATTGTGCCTGAACTTCAAACACTGAACAACTCATATCCTTAATATGCACCAGTTTCTTTTAAGCACTCTTAGAAGGAAGGATACTTAACCTAATGTCACATGGTGAGTAAGTAGCAGAACCGGAACTTGAATTTGAGACTCCGGACTGCCAGACCTCTTTCCACTCTATCACTTGGGCTCCCTTCTAACATTGACTTGTCTCCCTCCATTCCTCCTCCGTATTGTTCTGCCCTTCACCTTTTAATTACCTGTCTCCATCAACAAGATTGGACAGAGAATTGGGAGAGTGAGCAGAGTCCATTTCCTTCCAGAGACTGGACAAAAGGAACAAAATGTTAGGAAAAAATGTCAGCATGTGGGATTTGTGGGATTTACACTAAATAAGAAGGGACACTTCCCAGGACTGACAAGATGCTACCTCCGTCCCTCTAGGCCCCAATGTGTTGTGCAGGATCCCATAGGAAGTCATGAATGTGGTTGTCAGATAACCTTTTTGTTACTGTGGAAATGGAAGCAGGCTACTGCAAAAATCTGTCTCTCCAGGTTTTCTTTTAAAGAAGGTAGTCTTGCTAAATGATAACTATTTCAGCATTTATTTGAAAATGGGCAGTGCAGGAGAGAAAGAATTTTTCCAAGCTTGTCACATTGGGCCACCTCTCTGAAGCATTGTCCAACTTCTAATTAGATGAGGAGACTGCATAAACCAAGAGTTGAGAGTAAAGATGGAAACACTTGATGTTTGGTGTTTGGGTGCAGAAAGGATTCCAGAACATGTTTTGGGTCTCTTTACTCTGTCCATCCCTCCTTCCCTTTCATCTTTGTTTAAAAACCACAGTTAGCAAATGTGTAGTCTGTTTGCAATTGTTCATCTGAAAAATTTGTTTGATCAGCCTTTTGAATAAAAAAGACCAAATTAGACTGAGATATTTCAGTCACCAACTATCTAATAATAGACCAAAAATTTTAACCATGCTCATACTTTCATATGGTATGTAGTTTGCTTTAGACATTTTCTGGGCTTCAGTGAGGTGCTAGATTGACTCAAAATATGGCAGGTCAGATGTGGGATTGAGCAGGGTGGACTCTTCTCTACCCTTCCCAATTCAGAGTTCCCCATCAAAGATGATCTCATAGTGTTTGAAAAACCAAGCTGAAGGCTTTGGGAATTAGGGTGCTGAAGGGATATGCTGTTTCCCAAAGCCTTCTCAGTCATTCCTTCTCCCCCCAGTTCAGATTCTTAACACCTCTTTCCAGGATTAGTGCAGTGATCCCACGTCCTTTCTCTCTAGCTCTCTCTGCTACTCTCTAATTCCTATTGTATTTGTGCCACCAGATCTTTCCAAAGTTTAGCTCCAATCTTGTCTGTATACTGCTTTAAATGTCTATTAGTCTTTAAGCTCCTTAAGGGTGGGAGTCCTGTCTTATTTTTTCCCTATTCTTCGTGCTTAATGCAAAGGAAGCCTTGCTGTATAGTTGTGTAATGCATGATTACAATTTCAGCTTCTCCCCATTGGCTTATGGGTTAAAGTCCAAATTATTTAAATCTGGTGTTCAAGTCCTTTTATGATCTGCTTATTTTTCCAGCCTGAATTCCTGGAGTTCCCTTACAAAACTCTTAAAACCCAGCCAAAAGGATCTAGTCACTGTCACTTTAAACCATCCTCACTCTCTTGTTTTTTGAACATGTTATTTTTCTTATAATCCCTTTGACCTTGAAGGCTATCCCAATTTCAATACTATCCATTCTTCTATGACAGCCCCCTACAAAATGAATATTCTCAACCTCCCAACCCAAGGAGAAGTGATCTATATGACACAATATGGTTGAAAGAATGTTGGCTTCACTTCTTTATCTGTAAACCAGGGGCTAGAAATCTCTAGTTTATAAGATTTTGTGGAGAGGGGATCATATGTGATTATGGATGTTAGGCACAAGTCAAGAGTGCATAAGACCTTTTGGATTTATCCCTTTTTTCTTTCTCCATCAATATGGTACTTAGTCCCTTAAATCAGAAGTACTTGTGTTAATGTCTGATAACGTCCTTCTAAATATACCTCTAAACATCTGTCTCTCTTTAGGGCAAAGGTTGGATATATCTGCAAAGATTCTCTTTGGATATAAGATATCCACAGCACATAACTTAACAGTGGTGTACACAGTAGGTATTCCATAAGTATTTCTTTATGAAATGATTCAGAGTCAATAGTAGTAAGTAACTGCCAAAAACAACTGATGGATTGTAAGTTCCATTAACATAAATACAGTCAGCCCTCCATATCCATGGATTCCATATCCACAGATTTAAGCAACTGCAGATGGAAAATATATTTTAGAGACACAGTAAAAATAACAATTCGACAGTAAAAAAATACAAATAAAATTATGTAAAACAACTATTTACATAACATTGTATTAGCTATTACAAGTAATCTAGATATAAATGAAATATATGGGGGATGTATATAGGTTAAATACAAATATGACACCATTTTATATGTTTTAGTTAAGGAACATGAATATTTTTGGATTTTGGTATTCATGGGAGTGGGGGAATGGAACCATGCCCCTTCAAATACCAAGGGACTATTATATGGGACACAGAATAAAGGAGTTGATTGTCTTGCTCTGTTAAATTCTGGTCAGACACATTTGCAATGTATTGTTCAGCCCCAGTATTCATGGAGCATCTCCTTTTGTAAAGCATGGAGGAGCTGTGAGAGAGACATGGAGCAGTGAACATAACTATTGTTTCAACGTACCTGAAGGATTATCATGGAATAAAGAAGTTAGATGTTTTTCTGTAGTACCCCAAAGGGCAAAAGCAATGAGGACAGATTACAGTTCAGTAAACGAAAGAGGTTTTTTTTTTTTTTTTTTTTTTTTTTTGAGATGGGAGTCTTCACTCTTGTCGCCCAGGCTGGAGTGCAATGGCGCAATCTTGGCTCACTGCAACCTCGCCTCCCGGGTTCAAGTGATTCTCCTGCCTTAGCCTCTGGAGTAGCTGGGATTACAGGTGTATACCACCACTCCTGGGTAATTTTATTTATTATTTATTTATTTCTTTATTTATTTTAGTAGAGACGGAGATTTCATCATGTTGGCCAAGCTGGTCTCAAACTCCTGACTGCAGGTGATCCGCCTGCCTCGGCCTCCCAAATTGTTGAGATTACAGGCGTGAATCAATGTGCCCAGCCTGAAAGATATTTTCTTAGAATAGCTTCTTTCACCCTTCATCAGAAGTTGTCAACATGGACCATATGAGTTTTGTTTGGTCTATATGGTGTATATGTGTGTGTGTGTGTGTGTGTGTGTGTGTGTGTGTGTGTATGTGTGTGTGTTTATTGAATTACTTGCTAACATTTTACTTCAAAATTCAGATTTCCACCATAGGGAATGAAGATCTGGCAATACAGGACTTTCATTCCTACATGGTAATGACCAGCTGTAGGTGAAAAGCAGCTGATCCTCTGGATGGGCCATGCACTTTGCAGTTTGCCCAGGCAGCACTGATCCGCTTTATTCATTTAAGTTACCTGCTTGACTCTTCTAGTCATTCGAGTATGTCATCCCCATCAGATCAGAGACCTAAGCAAATCTTGGGTCCCTTGCTTACTCCAAGGGCTTTCACTCCTCGTATAGGAGGAGCTAAAGAAATGTACAAGCAGCACCACAATAGGATCAGACCTGGCTTTCAATTCTAGCACGGCCACATAACATAGTTGGATGACCTCAGGACAGTAACATAACCCCTCTGAGCCTCTAGATCTTCATTATCTGTAGAGCACTCTTCTTATAGAGTTATTATAAGAATGAAATAAAACAACTAGGATAAAGGGCATGGCACTTAGTAGGTGCTGAAATATTAGTTCCCTTCTTCTAATTCACCACACCATATCTGTCTATCTATTGGCTGAATCACATAAATAGTAAATTCACATTCACTGAAGACATTCAAGAAGAGTCTGGACCCTTTGGGAACCATGTATAGGGCAAAGGTTTGAACTCATAGTAGATGATTTTTACAGTCACTTTTTAACAATTTAAAAGCCTATAGATGACTCCAAAATGCCCATTTGGATGATATGAGGCATACTTTGTGTAGTTAAGGATTTTAAATACATAACAGAGAGGCTGAAGGGCCTTCGGGAAAGAAGCTGGGGTAAGAGTCAAAGTGTAGTATGTTGACCGATGTTCAGGAATAGGCTTTGGCATCTGACAGATTTTGTTTTAAATACTGGCTCTGGGTCTTACTAGCTTCCAGTTCTGGGCTGCTTCACCTCTCTTGAGTTTCAGTTTCTTCATTTCTAAAATGAAGATACTAATGCTTCCTTTGTTGGGTTTTTGTGAATATAAGTGAGATAATAAATGTAAATATCTAGCCCAGGGCCTGGTGCATAGTACAAGCTTCATAAATTGTACCTATTATTATTAGTAGTAGTAGTAGTCCAGACAAACAGAGCTTGGGAAAACGCTAGACTCTGGCTGACATACATGGGCTTTTCCCCAGGCCACTGCTGCCTGGCTTCCCCTTCCACAAAGCTTTGAGTCTCCAAAATGCTTTGGCTGGAATGTAAGCGTGAGGTCATTGCAGATAACAGGGGAGCATGATTTGCTTCGGTAATGCAAGTTATTAAGTTACTTCCCTCAGCCCAGCTGAAATCTCTTATTGGTTGATGTGTGCTTCAAAGTGTGAGACAGAGCTAGTCTGAGGAGAGAGGGAGAGTGAGAAGATTCCTCTTCTTGGCCAGAGGTCATGGTCTTCCACAAGGAACAGAATGACTCAATGCAAATTATGGGACCTCTTTGAGTTTGGGGCCCCTACATTTAAACTAGTAACTCCGTTGCACATATTGGCACCCTTCCCCCAACAAAATTACTGGGCAGGAATTTTCTTGAATCCTTCCGTGGCCTGGAATGATCTCCCTTCTCATCCTTGTGATCCACACAGCTGGCAAATGGCAGGCAGCAGAACAAAAACAAGCCTCTTAGCATATAGGGAGAGAAAGAGTCACAGCAGTACTGAATTTGCTTGGGAACCTAATGTTAACAAAGGACCTTCCTCTCAACACCCCAAACAGATTAAAACATTTTTTTAACAGCAAGTTGTGTCTCGGAGCAGCTCTTTGCTTGGGTATATTTAAAGATCTGCTGAGTCATTTAAGAGCAGGCTGGCATATCCTAAGAGGCAAGGACTATACCCCAGTCTATGGGGGAGTAAGTTGAGAGGTGAAATCTGTTTGGCTTTCTCCCATGGAAACAAACAAGGTGATCCACTTCCATCTCCCACGACTCTGGAGAGCATCTACTAAGCCTTCTTATTCTATCAACTTTGAACTCCTCAGTGTATAATAGAGTAAGGGTGAGAGGGAAGGAGCAGTCGTACCAGTGTCATTATTGGTATGTTCAGGAGTTCAATTTCTTCCTGATTCAGTCTTGGCGGGATGTATTTGTTTGGGAATTTATCCATTTTTTCTAGATTTTTCTAGTTTGTGTGCATAGAGGTGTTCATAATACCTTCTGATAGTTATTTTTATTTCTGTGGTGTCAGTGGTAATAACCCCTGCTGTCTGAAATTGTAATGGCCCTGCTATTGGTAGCTGAGAGTAGCATGGAAGTGTCAGGTTGATGGGTTCATTTAATTCTTTTCTTTTCAGTTTCAGTCACATGCATTGTTACCATGGCATATGACAGTTGCTAGAAAGTGAAATAATTTTTTTTCTACTTTATTCTCCACTGCACTTCTAAATTTATTAGTGGAGAAATTAGCAGTTACCAACTGTTCATTATAGGTACACATTGGGGTTTCCTTAGAGCCAATTTTCCCCCTGGTTTTCATCTTGTAAATCTGTAATCCTAAAAATTAGCAAAACCTAGAGCTTCTCTTTGGTCCTGGCCTGTTTGAACCCTGTTCCACAGACCCCAATCTTCTTTCTTGTTTGAGGCAACTATCCTTCTCTTTGCCCACCGCCATTTTCCTTCATCTACTTTTCCCTTCTCTAGCACCTCAGACTGTCTTCCCACAGTGGCACAGCCTCCCACTCCACTTTCACTGTGCCATCTCCTTGCCATCAAAACCATCCTCACAGACCCTTCTGAAACCACTTCTAGGAAGGGAAATCACAATGGATCCATGAAGGATGCTTTCTGGATGACTTTAAAAGATTGGTATTAAGATATTTTATCAGTGGTAGCAACACTGACTTATTCAGGCAGCCATGCCCCGGATCTATAAGAAATCAGGTAAGCTAAAAGTTGCTTGAGCTGGCAGGAGACCTAGTTCTCTTTTTTCCTTTCCCTCTTGCATTTTGTTTATCGATGGTTTTCAAAGGACTTAGAGGCTGGCTTTGTTATAGTTAGTTGGTAAGAGAAATGGTGGAGGACCGGAAAATGGGAGTGGAACGAATGAGCATGTTTGAGACTAAGTTATTACAATTCCTAGGATGTATAAATTGCTTGAAATCTACCAAGTACTTTCAGACACATTATCTTTTTTACTCTTCAAAATCAACTTGGAGGTAGGCACAACAGGGATCAAATCCTTAGTTCACAGATGAGTAAACTGAGACTGGAGGAAATTAAAGGAGATTCCAAGGTAACTCAGACAATAAGCAACAGAACCAGGATTTGGTGAATTTTTTGGGGGGTGGGAGGTACAGAGTCTCACTCAGGCTGGAGTGCAGTGGCAAGGTCTCGTCTCACTGCAACCTCTGCCTCCTGAGTTCAAGTGATTCTCGTGCCTCAACCTCCTGAGTAGCTGGGATTACAGACATGTGCTACAATGCCTGGCTAATTTTTGTATTTTTAGTAGAGATGAGGTTTTGTCATGTTGCCCAGGCCGGTCCTGAATTCTTGGTCTCAAGTGATCCACCTCCATTGGCCTTCCAAAGTGCAGGGATTATAAGCATGAGCCACTGCTCCCAGCCCCAGACCATTAATTTTTGACAGTAAGTCCAACTTTTTTCAAGTTCACAGCTCAGATTTGCTATTGAATGAATGAGTATATATGTCATTTGGGAACATTCTTTCCAACTTTTGGTTGAAGATTTGTTTTATCACTTGTGAAAATTTTTTTTCATTCTTAGCAATGTCAGTTTAGTTAAATGAGCATTTCATTTGCGAATTCACTAATTAATTATTTTATTCATCAATACATTTCCTGAGTACCAACTTTCTATCAAACCCTGTGCTGGATTCTGAGGCTACAAAGAGAAATAAGATACCATCTCAGGCCTCTAAAATCTCACAGACTGGGGACTGACATCTCAGTAGTAAACATATGAACAGCAACTTGTGAAACGCCATTAGCAAAATCTCAAGTTATATTCTTCAGTGACTATGGCCATCCTAAAAATGGGGTGTCTTTTATTTGGGGTAAATGAAGATGAAGCCTTATGAGAAATTGCATTTTAATCTAATCTTGTCTTGCTAAGAACAGAAGTGGAATGTTTCAGCCTCTGTGTGTGTATTTGTGTGTGTGAAGGTTGAGTGTGTGATGATGGATGGGGCTGCGAGATTGTTAAGTAGGATCTATGGGGGGCCTTAAATGGTCCTGGTGAGTCCCAACTTTCTGGTTATGTATTTGAGTAGAGTATGGGGGTGACAAAGATTGTTGTTTAAGAGTTGATTTTAGATTTTTTCCAAGTAAATGGTCAGCTGACTTGGAGCATCATCATTCCACTTGCTTTGAAAACCTGCCACTTAAGGCTCCTTCCAGTCATAGGTTAACTCTTTCTGGTCAAGTATTACTCTTTTTGAGCATTTACCTGTCAGTGACAGGTACAATGTTAGATGTTGTCTCTCTGTTTTCTTGTTTAATCTTTACTTTGATCCTAGGTAGCTCTTATTAGTTCCACTTTATAGGTAAGAAACTGAATTTCAGAGACTTGAATGACTTGTTCAAGATCACATAGTATAGTAACTTGGTAGTTTGGGACTTGAATTTTGATTGTTCAGTTTTTTGTTTGTTTGTTTCCTGGCCTCCCTGCTGTTTTCACTATTCCACACCACTTCAGCTTTATTTTTCATAGAGGCCATTAAATGTACCCTCCATCAGCCAAAGCCTCTTGCCTCCCTTCAACGTAACTCTTCTCTAGCGTCCTCTTAATAATCTTCTGAAAAGGTTTTACAGCCTTTCTGGGTACTGGGACCCAGAGTCTTAATCCAGGCTCTTAAGTGCCTTATTTAACTGTAATATGGAAAATCAAAGTCACAGCTAATTCAGGAAAAATGAGTTTGGGATGTGAATTTCCTAGGCAACTTGTCATCTCTTTTTTACTTCCTTAGCTTCATAAACTTACCCACAATGTTCCCTGAGGACTAAGAGTAATGGAGGGTGATGAGGAAAGGCTTTCCTCCCTTCCTTTCCGAGAGTCCTTTAGCCAAATGCCACACCTCCTCCTGTTTCCCTAGTCTCCGTGCAGAGATGGAAGTGGGAGATAGACATGGGTTCCTTTCAGCCCTGAGTTCATGCCAGGGTTTTCTTTCCCTCTAGCTGGACTGAGGTAGGAGGAGAGGTTGAAGTCCACCAATAAGACCATGAGTGAAGAAGACTAAAGTACTTGAAAGAGCAGCAGACCTACGCTTAAAATACTAGGGTTTGTGTCCAGACTTTGTGGGTTACTATCTGTATAATTTTGGGCAAGTCAACAGTTCTGAGTCAGAGTTCCCTTATCAGCAGATTGGAAGATAAATTCTAATTATATAGATGAAACATTAAGTCTAGAAGTAATTTGTAAATTCAGAAAGGGCTTATAGATTTAAAGTGTAGCCGTTTTGATTACCACAAACTAAATCCTATACTTCAGGGATAAAATCTTCTCCTGTTTTTTCTAAAAGCCTGTGCATGTGTGGTGTAAGGGGTGGGTTTTCCCTTGTACCAGCAACTTAGCAATTGTAGTAACGGGGCTGAGGGCAGTGGCATGCTTCTTCATTGAGCAAGTGTGAAAAGAGGGTTATGCATTCAGGGGTCAGCAGATGGCAGGCAGAGTAGCCCCTCCAAATCTCCCTCCCATACCACAAAGCCCTCTTATTTATTCAAACTTAACATTAGAAGCTCATTTCAAGTAGGCACGTCTGTGTCTGGGCGTCTATTTTCCTTCTTTGTATATAGCAGGCATTTGTCAACTTGGTGAAAAGCATTACTCTTCTTTCCATTTCTGAGGACTAATTGTGCTTCTTCGCTAGACACGAGTTCAAAACAGTGGGTTGAAAGAGGGCAAGTTTATGCCAAAGAATCAGAAATAGTCATAATTTAGAGAGAATTCTAGAGGTCAGTTCCCTTTCGTATGGACTGGGCAACTGAAACCCAGACAGGGAAGGGAATTAGACCAAGTTCACAAGCACAAACACTTTACTGGCACATTCAGATTGGAAATCGAGGGCTTCTGCTCCCAGGTCAGAACTAAATGCCCTTTCTAGCTAGGGTGTTCTTTGATCTCAGTGATTTTGACTCTTTCTACTGCACTCTGGGGACAGTGGGTTCTGCGGTACCAACTCCAATTAAAGTGGGAATATGTACCAGCCCCTCCCCTTGGTTTTTATTTTTCAGAGGCCTGGCAGTCAGAGGGATTCTGATCTCTATATGCAATATTTTCACACTACTGTACTTATTGAAATCACATTTGAATCTTGGCAATTAACAAGGCAGTAATTGGCATCAGGAGGGTATGTTAGTTTGCTTATCTGCGCCGTCCCTCCTCTTCCCAACCCACTGTGTATTGCAGAATGTTTTATCAGCTCTGATTTGCCAAGTTGCTCTCTTCTCCAGTAGGTGCTGCGAGCAGAGAGGGATTCCTCGGAGGTCATCTGTTCCATCTTCTTGCCTATGCAAATGCCTGCCTGAAGCTGCTGGAGGCTGGCTTTGTACCGGACTTTGTACAGGGAACCAGGGAAACGAATGCAGAGTGCTCCTGACATTGCCTGTCACTTTTTCCCATGATACTCTGGCTTCACAGGTGGGAGGTTCTTCAATTGAAAACTTAGAACTCAGTTTCTAGGGTAGTGAGTGTTGTAAGGTTTGGACTGTGACCTAATATTACGCAGCCATGACATTATCTATTAGGCATCTAGACTAGCTTGCTTGAATATCTTAGCATGTTGACTAATTTGGGGCAGAATATAGTGTGGGTGGGGGATTTTGTGTGTGGGGGGGGGTTGGGGGTTGAGCAATTCATTATTATTAAAATGCAAAAAGCACTTAATTCGCTATGATAAGATTGCCTTTTTCATGCATACTGGCCTACCTGCAAGACCCCTAGAGACAGTAAGCAGCATACATGGTGTCTTCCAGTTTTCAGCCTTTGTGCAAGGAACAACTGTGGGTTTCTGCACATGTGTTGTGGTTTGATGTTTGTATGTGATTGTGTACCAGGGTATGTGTGTCTGTTATTGTGAGTTCATTTCTGAGCAGTTGTGACACACAGAGATCCAGAAACAGTGTCTTACCCTGTGTGCTTTGCTAGTGGGAACGTGTCTTTTCTTTTGTGCTCGTATCTCTGTGTAATCGAGTGTCTTGCTAAGTCAATGTGCCTCTGTCTCTTTTTACCAGTTCTGTCTTTGTGTCTCTGTGCCTTCATGTATTTTTTCCCCTGAGTTTGCACGTCTCTGTCTATGTGGATATCTCTCACTCCAGGCCACTGTATCACTGTGTCTGTATTACAGCTGTTTATTTCTGTCGGTGTGTGGATTTCTATGTCTGTTTTCATCTTAATTTGTGTGTCTAAGCAAGACTGTTTTGGGGTGACTATTTCAGTTTATGTCATAGCCATTCTTTGTGTGACTGCTTCTAGGTATGTCTTTTTCTATGCCCCTATTGTCCCCATCTCCATGTGTCTCTGTGTGTATATGTTCTAATGTATCTGCCTACTTATCTTAGTTTGTATTTCTCTGGGTGTATATCCCTCTCTTGCAGTTCTGGGCCTTTGCAGTTTTTGGCTTATGTTTTTGTATATATCCACTAGAATTGGCTTCTTATCTTTTTTGTGCATGTTTTAGTTTGTATGAGTGAGCATATCCAACTCTGTCTTTGAGAAGCAGAACTGTCTGTGTTTGCAGTCAGTTGTGTTGGCTGTCCCTGTGTTTGTCCCTGTGTGTGCATTTCATTGTATGTGTACGCATCCATGTATCTTTCTGCTTCTCTGTGACCAGATATTTCTGTGTAGCTGTCTATGTATATTGGCTTCTGTCTGTGTCTGTGTTGTTGGCTCTACGTCTGTGCATATGCACCCACCGGGTTCATAAAAAGCTCACCTGCTCTCCAAGGAATCTACCAGATTATTTTGTGAAATAACTCACGTTTCGTTTTTTTACTTGCCAGCTGCTATGGTACTTAAAAGTGTGTTGGTACGTAGGTGTGCATAATTTATTCATGTAGGATGTCAAAAGAGTCAGTTAAAAATTATGCACAGTGTGTCTTTATTAACAGGACACTTGTGTGTAGAGAATCCTTGAGAAATGAGTGGTTAGATGATAAATCTTTTCATATTAATTTCATGATGTCAGTGAAGTAAATTTGCAAGATATGGGCTGCATAAGAACTATGTTCTTTTTAAAACTCAGCATATTGATGGTGGAGAAAGCATTTATTTGTACTGCAAAGTCTTATTTCTGATAAGACATCACAAATAAGAATTATTGTGATGAGACTTATCACAAATAAGAATTATTGTGATAATTCTTATTTGTGATAAGAATTACTGGGTTAGAAGGTGTTACTTTTCTGGTTTTGTTTGGGTTTTTGTTTTGAAGTGTTACTACAGATGGTGTCTTAGGGACAAAGAGCTCTGAGGTTGACTTAGAACACATGGAGTACAGATAAAAAGGAGAATGAAAAGTAACAGAGAGATGGGCATATTCCTTGTTTGAATGGAGTCATCCAGGGGCTCAGGATGGAGTGCACAGGAAATGGAGAGGTGAAGGTCATAGAGAGAAGTTTAGCAGGACCAGATCTTTCCTTGTCCTGGGCTGCTGTGACCATATAAGGAAGGCAGTAAGGGGAGGGGTAGGGATGAGGAAGAGACCAGCTCTCCTCTTTCTTTCTGATGGAAGGTTACCACCTCTATTTAAAACTTCTGTTCTTTTGGTTTCTCTTTCTTTCTTTGATTATATTATTTTCTGGACTTGTTCTGCCAAAGCAAGAAGGAAATTCCACATGTGGCTCACTCATTTATTATACTTGTTTCTTTGCACGATATTAAAGACAGCTTGTTAAGTGTCACTGCAAACATCATACACACTGATCCACTGATATGGGCAGGGGGTTCTTTATGCCAGTTCTGCTCTCTTCCCAGTGTATCTGTGGTGCTTAATGGGCGCAACCATGATTTTTCTGATGTCAGTCTGTGATGTCAGTTGTCCAGTGTGTATGCAGGCTGCTTAAGAGTACATACAGTTCCTTCACAATTATGGTAGTCCCTGAGAAGGAAGTGGTCATTAATAAAAGACTAGGTTCAGTAGAAACATGTAAGTTGTCTAGGTGTTGGAAATTAATACAGTACTGTGCTAAGGGAACATATATCTAGAAGTTAACTGAATTATGCTCAATAAAAAGAGTACAAATGTTTCATAAATATTTTGACCTAATCCTCCTGTAAGATTAGGAGAGGGATATTTCCGATATTCAAATAATTTTTTTAATTGGCAAACACCTTAGACATACTATTTACATAAAATTGACATGACAAAATTAAGTCATTGTGTCTGTTTTATGATAAAACAGGCTCTTTTGATTTAGTTAGAATTATTGAATGTAAAATAATGAAAATTAAAAAAAAAACAAGGAGGAGGAATCTATCCTATTTTATAATTCAGACCGTTGAATTGAGTTTTTCTTTTGTTGTATTGATTTAAATGCAGAGAAGTCTATGATGCTGGATTCCAGTCAGAAGATAAACATTTGTATGTGGGCTCTACATTGCAGCCAACCTTGATAATTTCAAACCTCGATTTTCTCATCTGTATAATGGTAATAATAAAGCCTGTCTCAGTAGCTACCAAATGATTGCATATGACAAACTTCTCACTTATTTAAGGGAAAAAATAAGAAAAAGAAGGACAATAGGGTGGATTTTTCATATAGTAAAATTTATTCAGTTAGGGTAATATTCTGAGATTGTCTTCTGAAGCAAACCCTGCAAACCCTGGCCATTCTGTTTTGTTTAGGAAAGAATTCATCAGTTCTGATTCTGCCTTTTCTGGGGAGGGAGGCTGAGTATTGGATTGAAGAGGAGTCACTACTTTTCTGAGATGATATATCCGTGGTAAAAATTATTAATGCTTTGCACATGCAACATAGAGTGTTCAATTTTGTTAGTCAACAAATATTTAAGTGGCAGCTGTTATGACCTCAGGGGTGTAGTGACTTCCTTATTGTCCTTTAATTATTAAAAAAGAAATCTATATCAGAATATCAGGTAAACTCTTATTACATCAAATATTATAATAAAGATACTTTTTATATTCTCTAAACAAAGTAGAGATCTCAGATGTTGGTTCATTTATCAATATAATATTAGATTTGAAAATTCCAGTATACAAAAGGAAAAGGACAGCTTCTTAAAGTTTATAGTGATTTTCTATGAACTATCAATTCCGTTTTTTTCTGTTTTACTGGTATGATGGAAACTAAATTTCGAGTTGTAAGTAGTAGATAATTAGACTGCAGGGTAAGCCTTGAGATTACTTCTTTTCAGGTAGGAAACTCTACTGTGTATTTGGCTAGTTCAACCTATCATGGGTAGTCAAAAATAGTTACATATACAAGTCAGCATTTTTTAAATTGTTCAGTTGTGCTTAAGATTGGTCCTTTCCAGGAACAATCCAGCTTTATCAAAAAATTATTGCGTACATGTAAAGTGTTCTGACATTTTAATGCTCACAATAGCCGAATGACGTGGGTAAGAATCTTCGTCTTCATTTTATAGATGAAGAAATGAAGACACAGAGACATAAATTAACTGGGCCAGGGTCCTACCACTAGAATGTGATAGATGATAATTTGAGCTCAGCACATAGTTATTTCCCTATAATATTTGTTTTATGATTGTATAGATGTCTGCTGACCAACCTTAATCTCTGCTCCCTAAGATTAACCATTCTACAAAGCAGAAACTGGAGGTCATTCAAATGAAAGCTCTACACTTTTAGAGGGCCATTAACAATGCTCAAGTTAAAGAAAAGCAATCAAAGACAACTAAAATACTGGTACCTTCAAACAGTACTTATGAATTATTTAACCTTAGATAATTTGGCTTTGAGTTAGAAAGATAGAGTAAGATGGAGGAACCAATTCTTCCCTGGGTTGATATTTATTTATCTTGCTCTTTTGAAGTCTAGGCCAATCATCCTATTTATTCTGAATGGCCCGTTAACGTTTATCCATTTAGGGACAGCAGGTTTGGCACAAATGGATTGGTTTTCTGAGGTCTTATGTAGAGGGCTGCACTGACTGACTTCTGAAAGTCCCCCCTAACCCTTCAAATCTCAGGGTCATCTGGTCTCAAGCCTTCAATTATGAATACATTTCTATTGCCTTTTTGAGTAACAGCACAACACTGCAAGCTGACCCACTGGGTGGATGGAATGGGGCTCTTGCCCTACCACCCTTTGGCAAACAATTTGAGGGTGGCATTGTCACTACCTCATTGTATATAGGGTCTCTTGAGGCCCAGAATGGCAAAATAATTTTCCCAGTGTCACACAGCGAGTTATTGTCAGAGTAAATATCAATTTTGAATTTGTAGACCACGTGGTTTTACCTCATCATTTCTGTTTGTTATGAAAGTTTTACAAATAATTAGAAGTAGAAATAATGATTAAAATAAAGCATAACTACTAAAAAATAGTTTATTGCAGCACCACCTAAATTCATCTCACCACTCTACCAGTAGCATACATTTCACAATTGGGTTAACATTGCTCTGGATCTTATAGCTGTTGAAGAAGACAAAATTCTTTCCATTCTCCAGCTTATATTTTCCCCATTTGTAAAACATAATGGAAGTGTACGGAAAATAGGAGTTGATAATTTTTAAGGCCCTTGCCAGCACATTAGTACATAGGATTCTTGCAAGTGGTGGTTTACTTCACTTCAACTATAGAAGGCCTATGCGACACCACCCATAGAGGGTAGTTTGAAAGAAAATGCTAGTGACTACGTGTGTTTCCTTCCTGACATATTTTATAGAAGGTGATGAGTTCCAGCATTTTTTCAGACTTGGATCTGGCTTTCATTCCCCTTCTCCTCCCACCCTCTAAAACAACAGAGGCAGCAACCATTTACACACTTTCCAGAAGTAAGTAAGTAAGACTGTATTCCAGAAACACCCTATATCAAAATGGAAATATACTCAAGTGCCCCAATGACCCATTGGGCTAGTTTGAACGTGTGCAGTCTCTGTGCTCCCCGTTTTAGCTTAAGCCTACTCCCTAACCTGTCATATGTCACCCAGCCATGGAGCCTAGGGCAATGACTGCCATCATATCTGACTTTATGGCCTCTCAGCTTTCAATGACTAGCTTTGTAGCAGAAGTTTAGCCTCTCATCCCCATAACTTTGGAAGTAGTGTTGAGATAAAGAAACGTTGAATTGAAGGTTGTGTTTTCTAGATTTCTTTCAATTGCTCCTTAGGCTTTAGAAGATAAATTCTCCTAAAAGAGAGGTGCTACAATTAATCCAAGCAAAGGGAAAGATGTCAGTAAAACTGCCCCTTTTCATAGAGGTGTGGCAACTGCTGGGAAGGAAGAAATTAGCCTGAGGCCATGTGATTACTAATAAACTCAAAGCGGCATTTTTTTACTTCTCAATATGAGGTTGAAACTATAAGCTTAAATTGCTGACTTTCTGGCAGCACCAAACAGTAAGGAAACCACAAAGATAAACCCAAATAATAGAGCCAATTTTCTTTTTTTCCGGGGGGGATGACTTCTAACTAGTGATATGAGGAAGGATAAGAAAATGTTTCTTTGTAGGACATATGATCTTTGCTAAGTGCACTGAATGTATGTAGAGGAGACAAGTCTGCTGAGGGTATGAGAATTGGGCCAAGATTTAACACATTTTCAAAGCTCCATGAAGAAGCCTACTGAGCAGTGGGAGTGGAGCAGGTTGGGGATAGTGAAGTATTTGTAATTCATTTTTAAAAAGGAGAGGGAGAGAGAAAAGGAAAAACTGGGCCACCCATCCTTTGAAAAGAAACCTTGAAAGAGGTCCAAATATCCTTAGAAATCCTTGACTTCTTAAAAGTGATGTTTGTTTTTTCCCCCTGACAATTATAGAGGTCAGAGAGTTTTTCTTTTCTATTACAAAACATTGAGAGTGTGTAGAAATAATTGTAGGTAGCTTAGCCTTGGCTGTAGTCAGAACTTTTGTACTGTGACTTTAGGATCTGTATGGAATCGTATGATATGCGGATACACCAAAAACTCTATGGGTTATCAAAATGGGATAGCATTAAAAGAAATAGTGCTTTTGTTTAGAAGAAGAAATGAAATGCTTGTGTCCAGATGCTTAAAGGAAGGCAGTGCAGACTTTCAGAAACTAGACTTTAAGAGCTGTACTCAGATACTGAGAAGGGCTGATGGCTGAAGGAGGAACAATTTAAAAGAATAACCGTCTCTCCTCTCCCTGTATATTGGACATAAAAGAATATCCCATTCTTTTCAGAAATGTAATACAACAGTTTAGCTTGCTAGTAACTTCACATGCTATTTCCTTTACCTCTTATATTTGAGGTGTCTATTTGGAGTGGGCTGTGTTTCTAGCTATTCTGTTTATCTGGTTTGTTTTTGTTGGTGTAGGAAACTGGTATAAATTTTATTTGGGTAAATATCACCTCAATTTTCAACTAAAGCTTTATTTAAGTTTCACATGAAAAAGACAAATGAGGCAAAGGAAGAGAAAAATGCATTGTCAGAATCAGAATTATGAGAAAAAAAGTCAAACAAACATATTTGAAATGTCCAGAAAACCTGTGAGTTTTTATGTATACTATACAGGAAAGATATTCTGTCATCTGGTTGCCAAACTATGGAGGGTGGGAGACTTCGAATTTTTGTCAAAAAGTATTCTTTCATTAGAAAGATACATGGGTGTGCTTCCATGTCAGCAACATGACTGCAGACCAGGAAGTCCTCACGGAGAGCTGGAATATGGGTATTTTGGACTCTCTGGTTAGATGCAGCTTTTACTTCACATCCTCAGTGGTACTACTGTAAATTTTCATTTTCCTGTGGAATACCCTATTTGGTTCCATTGTATATAGTTGACAACTAGAATTCGTTCGCTGTTGCTTGAGCCCAACTATAACTTCTTGGCACTATACCTATCTTCTGATGTGCCTGTGGAAGAGCTACCATAATGAATGTGTACATGGACAAAAAAAAAGAGAGAGAGAGAGAGAATTAAATCATGAGTTTGTGCCTTGGGAGCTACAGTTTAAACATTTGCTGTTTTTCTCACTTAATGAAAAATTTATTTGAAAATAACAGCACAGAAAGGAAGAAAGACAGGCTGGCAAGCATCCTCCTCCTAATACACTTATCCACGTTTGGATACCTTGGTCTCAGCCTCAGAGGTCATATTTTTAGTAAAATGGCCACCAGAAATAAAGGATTTTATTTTCCAGACTTTGGTGTTTGGAGCTGGTGTGCTGAGAGCTAGCAGAGAAAGCCCTACTCAGGTAGATGTACCAGAGCAGGATGGTTGCTGGTGGATATGGTGGAATACCTTTTATGTGGTTATCTCCTCCTTGTAACTCTTGGCTGCATAACCCTTATTTTCTTTTCTATTTTTATTCTCTCTCTTGGAAAAAAAATTGGTGGTAAATTTTCATGTGAGCCATATTGTCTTTTTAAATAGTTTTATTAATATAAAATGTACGTACCATAAAGCATACCCATTTAAACTGTAAATGTCAATGGGTTTCTCTCTCTCTCTCTCTTTTTTTTTTTTTTTTTGGATGCTCAGAGTTGTGCAACAATTATCAAAATCAATTTTGGAACAATTTCATTGCCCCAAAAGGAAACCCTCTGCCCATTAGCAGTTACTCCCCATTTCCCCCACCCCCTGACCCTTCAACCCTAGGCAAGCACAAATGTACTTTCTGTCTCTATAGATTTAGCCATTCTGGACATTTCATGTAAACAGAATCATGCAATATGTCACCCTTTGTATCTGGCTTCTTTCACTTAGCATGATGTTTCCAAGGTTCATCTGCATTGTAGCATCTGCCAATACTTCATTCCTTATTTATGGCTGAATAATATTCCATTGTATTAATGTATCATATTTGTTTTTTCCAATCATCAGTTGATGGACATTTGGGTTGTTTTCATCCTTTTTTTAGCTATTTTAAATAATGCTGCTATGAACGTTCGTGTACAAGTTTTTGTATGAACATCTGTTTTTATTTCTCCTTGGTATACACCTAGGAGTGGAATTGCTGGGTAATATGGTAGCTTAACATTTAATCTTTTGAGGAACTGCCAGATTTTTCCAAAGCAGCAGAATCATTTTACATTTTGACCAGAAGTATATGAGAGTTTTAGTTTCTCCACATCCTCAACAACACTCATTATTGTCATTGTCCTTTTCAGCTTTTTTGATAATAGTAATCTCAATGGGTGTGAATTGGGACCCCATCATGCTTTTGATTTGCATTTCCTTGAAGAGTAAGGATATTGATCATCTTTTCATGTGCTTATTGGCCGTTTGTATATTTTTTGATCCTTTGCTCATTTCCAAATTGGGTTATTTGTCTTTGCATTATTGAGTTGTAAGATCTTACAATATATTTTGGATGTTTGTCATTTTAGGGATGATACTTCACAGTTATATGATGTTTTCTAGCAAGCATTTGCGTTGTTCTACTGGTGTTACATATCTTAGCTGCATTAGCCACTTTGCTGGGTATGAATGCCAGCAGAATCTAAGTGACCTTGGCTTCACTACTGAGAATGCAACCCAAGAACAGAAATTTGTCAGAAATTTAGCACTGAAGCCCCCCACTTCCCAAACTTATCTGGGACAAGGAGAATCTACATTTAAAGCTCTATACTTTGTGTTGTGTTTTTTTTACTTTAGCTTGGTTGGATTTAGGATCTTTTCTTTTTGTTTTGCCTTATGCATACCTAAGCAGAGGCAAGGGAGGAAAGGGATATGAACCTGGTAGAAAAGTAAGTAAGCTTTATTCAGATTGGCATATCCATCTTAATATGGTTCAATTGGCTGAAGAAGTATCTCAACTAAAACTCTGGAATACTTTGAAGTACCAGCAATATGTACCAAATGTACTTTTTATTTATGTTTGGTCTCTATGTACTTGTGTGTGAAACAATGAGCACAAATAATACCCTCCTTGTTTTTAAGCAATTTATATTGGTGATTTAAAAATAAAATAAACTCAAGTGGGAAATCATGAAACCCCATGTAAAAACAATAAGAGCATGTTTTAAAATCCCACAGACTTTAGTTTCAAATAGTGGTTTTGCTATTTCTTAGCTGTGTGTCACTGTGCAAGTTACTTTGTTTCTCTGAGTCTTTATTGGTGATATATGTAAAAACCCACCTTCTCAAATTATTGTGAGGACAAAATGAAGTAATTAACATAAAGTTCCTGGTGTATAATAAGTGTTCATATTTTGTATTTGAGCACAGGGCAACTGGGTTTTTGAAACTGCACATTACTGTTGCAGTCAAATCTGGCATGAAATTAGTGCATAGACAGAATGGGCTGGGAAAATGAAAGGACTTTGAACATTTATATTCTGCTTTATTTAGGCATAAGTGCTTAATAATTATTGATAGTTTCTTCTGGTTATCTGACATTTTGAAGATACTATTACCTAGCAGAAATTTCTTGTAATAATAATCTCTTACACTTATATACTGTTTTGTGCCTTTAGAAGTACTTAATGCTCTTTATTTCACTATCTGTTCATAAACATTCTCTGAAGCAAGCATACAGTCAGTATGAATTCCATTTTTCAGATGAGACAGCTGAGGCTGAAAGACATAGAGTTACTTGTCTCAATTCACAAAGTAAAGTGCCAGAGTTTGAACCAGAGCCCAGGTCTTCTCTCTCAACGTAGCTCTTTTTCTCCTTCATTATATCAGGCATAGTAGCAACGTATTCTTTTACTAGCTTTTTATCTTGAATATCCTTTTAGCGACTTGCCTTTGGTGTTAGTGTGCCTATAACATTGTCGTTGAATATCTTAATACATTTAGTGGTCTTGGCAAGCAGTTTTGTCTTCAGAAGGACACTGAAATCTGTGGAAAGGACTGCAGAAGATTGGGTGGGCAGACACCTATCACTTTCGGGGCTGGTAGACTTTCTATTGAAGCAATTTGCAAGGCTACTTTGTATTGTCTAAAAGCACTACTTCAGAAAAGGGTTGTGATGTCAAAATAGGCACTTTGAGTGAAGAAAGGGCTGTAAGCATGGGTGGAAAATGTGGTAGATGATTGTCTTGAGTTATTTTCTTTAATGTCAAACAGGCAGTCCTTGGAATGCTACTTCAAAAAGTGTTGTATAATGTTGAAGATACAGTTACAGATTTCCAACACGAAACTCATAAATATGCAATTCCCTGTCCTCCTAGGCACATGAAGGAAAATTTATGAGCTTCAGGTTTCTATGCAGCTATTAAAGCATATTTAATCTGCTTTGAGCTCAAGCTCACTCTCGTTGGCTCTCTTCGTTTCTTCCTCTTACATGAGCAAACTGCCTTTCTTTTTGTTTAAAAATAGTAAGTAGGTTTGTTTTCCTCCAGGTGTCATGAATGCAAACATTGTAATTTCTCATCTGTTCAGCCTTTTTGCACAACAAAATGGCAGCACCCAGGAGGTTGAAAGGGTTAAATTGTTCCTTCTCTGAGTAGTACCATAAGTTGTTAGTCTGCTACTCTTTCTCCCAGTTGGCACATGACCCTAACATCCAATCGCTAGTGGTGTGGCCATTTTTTGGTCTTATTTTGGCCTTTCCTCAGCCACCACTCATCAGTTCTCATGCGTATTTGTCAGATCCTGCTCCCCAACTCCACAGTTCTTAGTTCATCTTAAGCATATGGCTGTCTGTCTTTTCTCTAAAGATCCTCAAGGGAAAAAAAAAAAAGCATCTCCAGGGGGAATTTACTGCCTCATAGCCCTGACAGAGATTTCTGACCAAACCCTAACGAAAAAATTTCTTCCCTCCATTTGTCTTTTATTGTTTTTACAGGGGAGATATGTAACATAATAACAATTATATTGCACATAATAATTACTTCTACAAATAATAATCTGTTGTCAAAAATATACACAGCTTTGGATTTCCTTATTATGGCCCTTCATTAAGTTGTGGTTTAAGAATAGCTATGATTATTACTTTTGTGATAATTATAATCCATAATATGGAAACTTATAAAATTACCTTTAAAGTGTTACTATTATTCTGGCCACAGGATGGAAAGTTGTTCGCTAGTTACTCATTTATAACCTGAATGTACTTTTTACTGAATCTAAAGGTATCATCTTTGCTTGGCAATTCCCATGACTTGTCTTTCTGACTCTTCAGATCTCAGCTTAAAAGCTCTCCCTTCAAAGAAGCCTTCCCTGACCACTCTGGTTTTTTCTTCTTTTTTTACCTCTACTCCTTTTCCCATTACTTGCTGTCATAGCATTCTGTTTGTTTCCTTTGAAGTGCCTATTCCAATTTGTCATTATGAATGAGTTTTTTTGTTCTGTTGCTTATTATCCATTTTCCCCACTAGATTGTCAACTCTGTGAGGGCAGAGACCATGATACTCTGTTCACTCCTATATACATTCCCAGCACTATCAGACTTTTTGGCACATAGAAGATACTCAGTAAATATTTGTTGAATGAATAAGTCATAAAGAAGAGTTTATATTTTAACTCTTAGTTGAATAATCTAAGCCAAGAATTATCAACCTGGGTTGGACGTGAGAATCATTAATGAATCTTTAAAACAATGACAAGGCAATCTATTTATTAATTATCTCCAGGTCTAAACTTTAGCACGTATATACATTTTAAAAGCCCATAAGTGATTCTTACGTATAGCCAGTGCTATCTGTCTCTTCTCCTGTCCTTTCCCCTCCTCTCCTTACTCCTCTCTCATAGTTTTAGGATTAGCATGGCCCCACAACAAATCTTTAATTCACATGGCAATTTCTAGGATTTATCATGGAAAATGAGCCAAATTGCCTTCAAGAAGTTTTTACGTACCTCTTATATAGAATGTGATGTTTTATATGTACCTCTTATAGAATGTGAGCTTTTAAGAGGCATATCTTATTGCAAGAAATTTCAATGTTGAAAAAAATATTGAATATTTATAAAGTCAAAAATGCAAACTTTTATATGATTTTCAAACCTATGAAGTTATATCATGTTCAGGCCTTCTTTCCAGCATGTGGCTCTCAGCCCTGGTACTGTCCTTAACCATAAACCTCATCTTTGCCCTCTATAGGGAGAGGTTTATGGTTATAATTACTCATTTTAAATAGTGTATATTAGTAATGTACACTATTTGTATATTTGTTGACTGCCTCCTATATGCCAACCACTATGCTAGAAATTTTGTAATATTCTTCACGATATTCAAGATATTAACATATCCGCATTTTATAAATGAGGAAACTGCTCTCAAAGAGGTTAGTTTACACAGCCAGTAAGCCGCTAAGCCTAGATTGGATGGAAGGTATGTGAGAAAAAAGCAGCATCCATAAGGTTTTCATTCTCCTACCCTGTACGACAGAGGTAATAGAAATTATTAGTTAAAGAAATAATAGAATTTTACAAGACTCTAGGAAGGGAGAATGTGAAGGATACAGTTCTCAGTTACTGGAATGAGTGCCAGAGTACCAGTACATGGCTTGCCTTGGGGTTTGGACTACCTATCTTAACTCCTTTGCTCCTCCCAATCTTGATCTCATTTGTTTGAAAGATCATCTGCCCAACATAAAAATGCATTTCTAATTCTGTAATTTAAGTCAGTGGCAAGATCAGATTCAGTTAAAGTTTACTTTCCTGACAGCTTTTTAGTATCATATCTATTTTGCAAAACTCTAGTGATAAATGTATGCACATTTACACATACAGCATCTCTTCTGATTCTGACTAAGATATTACTGGGTTGTGTAGAAGTGATGGGCTCTTTAGAAGAAAGGTTTGATATACTACTAATCTAAGGACTGAATTTTCTCATCTTTGTCTTTGCCCCTTTTGACTGATGACCAGAGCAGGAGCACATAACATTCTTTTGTGCTAACAGTATCTCTGCATCACATTGATCAGGAGAATTGGCATCTCCAGAGCCCTGGGATGGTAACTTCTCTGTTGATTTTCAGGAAAGATTAGGTGATATTTTCTCCATGGGAAGAGGATGTTTGATGTGTGTTGGCTTTAGCAAAAGGAAGCTTGTGGAGTCAACTGTAAGTAGACAGAATTGCCTTTGACTTAATCTGTTTCAGTCGTTGTTCATACTCAGGTCCTCCAGAGGACCTTTAAGCATTTTTATTGACTTTGTGGTCTATTACACGAAACTAAAGATACTGATTCTCAGTCATGAGTCTGCTCCAAAATTGCCTAGGGAATCAAAAATAATTGTACCAGTTCCTATTCCTGGACATTATGATTCATTTGGTCTGGTATGAAGGCCAGGAATCTGTATTTTTAAAATTCACTCAAGCAATTTTCATATATAGCTATAATTGAAAATCTGTGGCTGAACTTCTCCACTCCCGTATCCATCGCAATACTTCCCCAAGGTGGCATTTAAGATGGGCCTAGAGGGTTATATAAGATTTCAATATTAAAACATGGATTAAAAGTGAAGACTTTTCACATGGAGATAATTTGGAAGAAAAACTTGCAAAAATGTGAGAGCATTGAGAACTTTTCTTTCCCAAGGAAAGAAGTGGCAGCTTCATTTTTGGTCATTGCAAACAGCAGTGCCATACATGAAAGGAAAGTGGTGGTGCTCATCAACTTTGAATAACTTTGTACAGAACCCTTGAGACTCCTCTCTGCTTATAAAGAAAAAGTGTCAACTGTAAAGTTGATTTATTTATGAACCATAGGCTACTATGAAATCTCTGTTCCCAGCTAGAGGCCTGGGAGAGTAAGATAACTACTTGTTTATTCCACGGAGCCACTTATTAGCTTTTTCTATAGCACATACCTCAAATGAAGCATTTCAATAAAAGAACCACATTCTATTCACATGCTTCATTTTATTCTGATTTATGTAAAAATTCCCAAACTCCTCAAGCAGTGTTTCTTTGTAAGGCAATAATCTTCAGTTCTGTTGCAAAGGTCAGGAGTGATAGAATGAAAATGGTACTAGATACAACAGCTCTTTGGTATTTGCATGGCCATTACATTGCCATGGGGCTGCAAGACTTGTGAGTGCTTGATATTTTGCTTGTTGATGAATGAGTCTGTGTTTGTGCTAATGGAGTGATTTGAGAGGTAGTTCTCCACTGTCAGTCAAGAGGTTGGTTTTGAAAGCTGATTGCCAATGGTCATTCTGCTAACCACTCTGGTTCTCCTTTAGATAGAGACTTATTCAGATTCAAGTCTTCATGTACTTTGTGGCATAAACATTGTACACACCAGATGTATTCAACAACCATAAAAAAAAACAATTAGGACTCAAGTAGTATGTCAGAGTGTAGTCACTGATGATATATAATTCTCCACTACCAAGAAGATGGAAGCACACTGTTGAGTAGCTACATCCTACATATGTTGGCCAGAATTTAGGAATACACATGTGATCTATACATTTTGAGGTATTGTCTGACCCCTAGAAAATCCTGGTGAAGTTTTTCTGGTGTCAGTTTGGTCTTAATGTTTAGGAAATGCCCACAGACTACTCCTGCTTTCTGCTTATTCACATAGTAAACGCAAAGCACAGGACTAGTTTGTCATCTGGATCAAGGAGAAATGAGTTAGCAGATATAAAATAAATCAGAAAGGAGGTAGTTCTCAAATATTTACTCCATGAATAGTTGCTGGATGTTCATTAACTCTATAGCATTTGTTACTACTTATTGGGGATCCTGGAAAGAAAATATATTGTCTATATCCACTGTTCACTGAGGCCCTCTCCCTACCCAGAAACTCCCTGTCTCCATCACTCACTCTCCACATTCATTGACCCAGGGGAACAGTTCATGGATGAGTGAACTTGAGCTCTATCTTAAAGGATGGAGTTCGATTTCAAGGCAAGAGGTATAAGAGAAAGTTCAGAGACAACACTGGCTATGGTCTTTGTGAAGAAAAGTGAATTGAATAGGCTCCTGTGGAGATCTTAAGTAAGTACTTCTGGAGATAAGGTTGAGGAAAAGTAGGTTTGAATCTTCATCCAGAGGTAGCCCCTAAATGTGTTGAGTTTATTGAAAGAGTACTTGACTTGGATTCAGACAGATCTGCATTTGACTCCTGTTTTGCCATTTATAAGAATTTGAGTAATTATTGTTTCTAAATAAGAGTTTATTGAGCCAAGCACTCAGTAAATGTTTGAATGGGAAAATTAACTGCCCTGTTTTTCTATTGTCAGATGGTCCTCTTCGTTGGATAACTTGGTAACTGTTGATAACCTTTTCTCAGGAATCAGAAGGTAGAAAGGTTGGGAAAATATAAGAAACAAAAAGGCATATTCCTATTTTTATTTTCATATTGTCTTCCAACTCTCCCAGGCTTCTTTGTTTGCAAGGCTGACTTTTATAATACTTTTTGGGTAGAGCAGGTCCTTCTTTGGTTTGGGGTTAAACCGTGAGTAACCTTATTTTCTAGGTCTCAGCCAACTTTGAAGGGCATGAACTCACAGTAGCCTCACTAGGATCACTTCAGCAGTGAGAATTTATCTTTCTTGTATAAAAGTGTAAGAGTTGATGGCGGCCAGGCGCAGTGGCTCACGACTGTAATCCCAGCACTTTAGGAGGTTGAGATGGGTGGATCACCTGAGGTCAGGAGTTCAAGACCAGCCTGACCAACATGGTGAAACCCCATGTCTACTAAAAATACAAAAATTAGTTGGGTGTGGTGGCACATGCCTGTAATCCCAGCTACTCAGGAGGCTGAGACAGAAGAATTGCTTGAACCTGGAAAGCAGAGGTTGGAGATTGCAGTGAGCCGAGATTGCACCACTGCACTCCAGCCTGGGTGACAGAGTGAGACTGTCAAAAAAAAAAAAAAAAAAGAGTTGATAGCAAAATAACTATCTGTAGCATAAACCTCAGTATTCTTTATCATTCAGTATCAACATTATTACTGAAAACAATAAGCAATATGGACTGAGTTTCTGTGGGGTGGAAATGTGAAGTGGATCATAGCATGATATAACTTGTCATTTGGCTTCCTTTATAAACATTATCAACTACCTCAGCTCTATCAATCACTTGGCAGTCCGTAGTGAACATTATAACTCAAATGACTAGTCAGGTCTGTTCATTGCCCATGTAAAGGCATATACCTGAAGTGAGAAGTCTGAGGTAACTTAGCAATAAGCTTGCAGTACAGTGTTTAGTGAAGCCGAGGAATTCAAGGATTTGAGTCATGCCAGATTGCTCCATAACCATAGCCTATCTTTGTCACAAGTAAGAAGGTTTAAAAATCACCATACCATTATTGGTCACAACGTTTGGAGATAGGGAAGAGTTTGTGGATGGATCATGGCAGTGCATGGACAGTGATTAGCCCATAACACAACCAGTGAACACTGTTGTACCCAAAGCACATAAATCACCACATATACTATTAATATATTTATGGATGACAACAGACACTATAATTTTATGTCAGTGCTTTCTGCTGTGAAAAACAAAGAAAGTTAAGGGTACCTTTTTTATATTTGCATCATATCTCCAGACCTTTTCCTTTATCTCCTTCTTGCAAGTTCTTCTTTCTTTCAGCTGACTATCTGCTGTTCCTGCTATGGCTCCCAGTGGCTTTTCAAGAGGGTACTTGTTTTTTAAGAGAAGACCCTTGAAGGACAGAGAGAGCCTGAATCATTCAAAATAATGAATTACTCAGGATGAAATTTCAATAATTTGCAAGTGTGTGGAGATAGATATTTTGAGGAAGCATAATTTTCTATGTACCCCTCAAATCGTGGCTGGAGATGACAGCCTCTTCCACCTCCATATAAGACCATTTCATTTCCTTCTACTTTTTTCTCCCTCCTTCCCCCAAACACACAAACATACACATATCCTGTGCTTCAGTCACACAGAACTTCTTACTATTTCATTTCAATTCTCTATGGCTTTGCATGTTCTGCTCCTTCTGCCTAGAATGCTCCTTTCCTTTTTTCACCTGGAAACATCCCAATTCAAATGTCACCTCCCTTATTTATACCAACTTTGTCTGTAACTCCTTTATCACACTTCTTCCTGTGATTAGTCAATTCACTTGTCTGCTGTTACACCTCTATGAGAGATGAAAATTCCTTCTCCATCTCTGGAACTCATGCCCTTCGCATATAGTAGGCAATCTGTAAATGTTTGAAGGTTGAGTGAATTAATGAATGACCTTCAACCTTTCAGGCTTCCAATTTTCTCTCTGAAAAGGACAGCCAAATGAAAACTCATAATTTTAGAAGATGAGGTTAGACGGTTGGTAGGTGCATGCAGAGACCAGTTATTATTTAGGTATTATGGAAGTTTATAGTTCTTGTATGTTGAGTTCAGTGTAAGAGTGGCCCCAAACATAGTTAATGACCACTCCAGACCCAGTTGTTATAGAGTTGGCCCCAGCTGTATTGCTTCTATTTAAGACTAGGATAAGAAATGACACTTTCCTACTTTTTACCTTATTGAAAGGGTAGAGGCTCACTGTTATCAATCTCAGTTCACTTGTTGATTGCACTGGCTTGCCAAGTGAGAATATTAGCACCTCTGCACATTTCTATAGCTCTGCCACTTATGAGATCTTTCCTTCCCATTGTCATATTTAATAATCAGGATAGCCCTATAAAATATGCATTCTCATTTCCCAGATGAGGATACTAAGGCTCAAGTAGGAGAACTTACTTGTTTAGTAAGATCATACAGCTAGGAAGTGGGAGAGGCAAGAGTTGAACCCAGATCTTCCTAGCTCCTAGTCCATTGTTCTGTCTACTGGGTCACACTGGACCAGCCAGGAGGCAGGAAAATCAGCTGGGGAATGTGGTGCCAACGTGTGATGTTTGCCTAAATGTGTGCATCCTTGCTGGAAGCCAGCCATGATTCATGCTGCATAAGTATTCATTAATGTTCATTTCATTTATTTGGCTATCCATATGCTTTCCAGGGCGAAGGCAAGCTAGGACAAGGGCAGACAAGCAGCCTTAAAGTTTGGGTGCTTTCCTTCGAAGTTGAGCTGCCTGTTTGAAAATCACACTTTTTGGTGATAGAAGATGGTTCCAGTACAGATTTTATTTATTACTGCATCTACATGGATAGACATTTTCCAAAGCATAGCTGAAAATATGTGTAAGTCCCAGAATATTTTCTGATTTAGACACAGACTTTGAGCATGATAACCACATTTAGCATGTTAGGAAATTCTGTCAGAATGCTTCTGGAAAGGCTACCTTTCCAGAATGAAATGAAAAAAGAAAAGGATGGACTTTGAAACTGGCTAGATTTGGGTTATACTTACTCATAGTGTGACCCTGGCAAATGATTTAACTTCTCCGAATTTCACTTTTCTTATTCTTTGAAGTGAAATTTTAAAATGCCATCTTGCCTGATTTTTGTGAGAATGAAAATGAGATCCCACACCAGGAATTTAGAAGCTACTCAGTAAATATTGCTTCTCTCCTTTCCCCTTCCCCAGTCCTGTCCCCCGAGACATTCAGTAGTTATTCACAGGCATGCATTCTGAAGTCTGCCTACTGCTCCATGTTGAAATGCACTGCTCTTGCAAGGACTGATTATCTATTTTTCTGTCTTCCAAGGCCCCCTGTGTTCCACTCCACCCTCCCAATTCTGGGGGCTTCCAAAGTGGGCAGGTACAGAATGTTCTGTGGAGCATCGGAGGCTGTTACTCAATATCTTGGCCAGCACTCTCAACTGCTCTTTGCACACACTCCATATGAAGGCAAACTCCAGATCTTGGAGCCCATGTGTGTGTCATGCATTGTACTGCTTCTTGTACCCAAATCCATCTCAAGGGTGAGTAGACCAGGCTCAGACTTGTCCTGGGAGCAGATTTCTCAAGCTGCCCATGTCCCCACACTGTTTGATTAAAAGGAGGTGCTTCAAACTCTTTGGCTTTATATAGACTAGAATCAGAATGATTGGTGGTGCCTCTGTTCTCAAGGTATCCCAAAGCACTTTGTAAGGAAATATGACAAGCGCTGAGGCCATGCAGGCCAGTACAACAGCCGCCACCCAGCACTTCACAATTAGTCATGCCCAGCCTGGGATCATCAAGCCTGTTTTTATTGGAAGAGCAAGAGAGAGAGGGAATGCTAGCTGGCAATTTCCCCAGGTACCCTTTATGAAAGTGCCCTTGGCTCTTCCAATTTCATCTGAATAACCAGCTCAGGCAAATTTTCCTCTATCAAAAAGCAGAATGTGATAGTGACAAGCTGATGCCCGGCTGATGCCCCAGGACATTGACTAAATAGACTTGGCCTCACAATTGGTTTTTATTCTCTATCTCCTTTCTTCCCTTTTGTTCTTTTTCTGTGTTTCTTTCCCCATTGCCATCTGCAGAGTGTTCTCAGTCAGAAGTCAGCTGTGGGGTGGACAGTTTGTCATTTTAAGATCATCCCTATTCTGTCTACCTTTCTTATCCCTCATATCATTGCTTTTAGAGCAAGGACAATTCTGGAAGTGAAACTACAATAACACTCTGGGCTCCTTTCCCTCTAGTAGTACTCAACACACTTGTAATTACATGTTCAAATTTGTCTTTCTTATTTCTACTTAGGTTCATGAAGGCAAGGGACATGCCTGTGTTGCTTACTTTCTCTTGGCAGGCACATACAGCAAGTCTTCAAAAAATGCTTGTTAACTACAAATTAAGTGTTTAAGAAGTCCACTGTTAATTAGCCGGGCGCGGTGGCGGGCGCCTGTAGTCCCAGCTACTCGGGAGGCTGAGGCAGGAGAATGGCGTGAACCCGGGAAGCGGAGCTTGCAGTGAGCCGAGATTGCGCCACTGCAGTCCGCAGTCCGGCCTGGGCGACAGAGCGAGACTCCGTCTCAAAAAAAAAAAAAAAAAAGAAGTCCACTGTTAGTATCTTTTCCCCTGCCTAGTTTGTAAGCAACTGGCCTCTTCTATTTGTAAGTTACCTGTTTTCATTTCCATATGCCCCAAAGCAAACTTTAGCTCACGGCCTTACAGAGTGTGTATGTTAGTATGTTAAAATGAAATCAACTTTCCTCTCCCAGGCCTTCTAATTGACATGAATTTGGGAGTAGACTTGCATTGGCCTTTGTCCTGACAGCCAACAGAGTCCTCTTCTGTTGTATTCACTGTTGCCTTCCATGAGGATCCCATGGAGAAAGTTTGTCATTGATATACATTTTGAGGGCAGACTCAACTTGAGTAAACCTGATTGAGCTTTCCCCATCTGCCTCCCAGAGATCACTGCCTGTGCTTTGTTAAAAAGAGAATTATAGGAGTCCTCTCAAGGCAGAGAGGCCTAAAATTAGACATGGCAGCCATGCCTTTGGTGTGCATGGAGGTTGGATACAGGCAGCCAGTTTCCCCTCTGTTTTCTCCCTTGCTTACACAGCCAAGGAGTGGAGCCAAGCCTCAAGGGGAGGAGCTGTATACTCGAGCATGCCCTGTGGTTCCTGGCCCTGACTGAGGGACTATTTTATATATCCCAATAGAGAAGCGTGGAAGACATCTAGGTTGCCACTGTCATTTGAAATTGGAATTTTTAAAAGAGAAACCTGAAGACTTGAAGAAAGCTTTCTTTTGCCTCCCCTTACAGTTGATTTTTGAGCTTCTTAAAGCTACCTAGTCCAAAGTACCCACACTCTTATTCTTTTGTCTTTCCTACTGGTTTTATTTTTTTTTCATCTTCCCAGGTGTTTGATGATCACTAAGAGCTTCAACATTGCTCACCCTGACCAGGTATGAAGCCAAGAGTTTGGTTTAGGGCATAAAAGAATGTCGGAACTCAAGGACTAGGTTGAGGTGGGGAAGGGGGATGAAGGCTTCTTTTTTTCTTGGGTTAAGCAGAAATAACTTAGATCTCAGAGTGAAAGCCTTGAATTATCACATATATCACTGGAAAAGACTAGTTCTTTGCTATGATAACAATTGTTCATCATCTCTCCCCTGAGGATTTGGGGTCAAGGCCTGGCTACACCTTTTAATGATTTCAGTCATGTGACTTAACCTCTTTAAACTTGGATTTTCTTCATCTTTACAATGGAAATGATGACAATAATCACTACCTCACAGATATTGATAATAATGATATCTCACTAGGAAGAGAATTAAGTAATATGAGGGATAAAAAGGCATTTGTAAATGGTAAAATGAGATTATGATTTTGAAAGCTATTATTATTTTCCTTTCACTGTCTATTATCTCAACTCTTCTATTTTCTTGCCTTTTGTACAGCATGGATAATTTAGATGTGACTCTGGACAGAGGGATGGATCAGATGACTTCTTAAGTTATCTTCCAGTTTAGGAGTTCGTAAACTATACTTTCTCCTTTCCAGACTATCCTAGTAAGAAAATTCTCTTTTAAGACAGAGTAGAACTCTGGAATTCATCAGTTTTGATGTTTCTTAAAGTGTAATCTAAGATAGTGCTCCTGTATTAAGTTCTGATGTCTGACCATTGTTCAAATAAAGAGTAAAATGCAAATGACAGGAAATTGGCTGCGTTCTGAATCCTATTTTTATTTGGGATAACAATAAGCCTGTATGGTCACTGTGACCTTTGATTTGCTGTTTCTGCAACCTCACACTTGTCTCAGGATTCTTCTTCCACTTCTGCACTTTATATTGGGTTTCTTCCAGGCATCATATTAAACTTTAAGCCAGGTATGTGTATATGCATGGGCTGTGGGCCTGAAAAAAATTAGCCCGAGAGAGAAAAAAATTTAAGTAGTGGGCTAGAAGTAAGCATGCTACTAGAAACAGAATTTGGGAACACAGCTCTGGGCCTAGAAAAGCGACCTGTCAACTTGTTACAGTTAACATCAATAACTATAGGATGGGTTTGGTGGAAAATTATGCTGACCAACAGGGTGGGAGAGAATAGGGTCAGAATATATATCGCTGTAAGGTTGAGAAAAAAAGAAGTGAAAAAAAAAGAAATGCATAGAGAGAAAAAGGAGTTTAGAGGTAACATGTTAAAGTGTGAGAAATAAACTGGAGAGCTTGACTTCTCTTGAATATATTTTTAAATAAAGTACTCCTTTCAACTCCAAATGCAGCAGGCTTGGTTCCCTTCTCCTACCTCCATTGCGGATGAAAGCTTAATCTTTAAGATGGGCTTGGGTGGGTAGAGTACGCCCCTTGGTGAGCACTGTGCTCTCTGCAACCCCAATAAGGCCCAACAGGGCTCTCCAAGGAGGCAAAATTCTGATGATACATTTCTGTTTAGTGGAAAATGGGTAGGGAAAATTATGTCTTAGAATCAATTAACCAAACATAAAATCCTCCAAGGGGCTTGGTAGGATGCCTAGGGAAGAGCCACGAGATAAAAACTCCAGGCTGGAAGGGCATTGTTGCAGCACTGTCATTCTCCAGTTTCTCTTGGAGTTGTCACCACCCTCTCCTTTGTTCTCACTGCTGACATCATTTGTAAAATAATTTCTTCCCTTAAATAAACAAGACATACAATCCTCTAAATGACTAAAGAACAGTTACCTAGAAGAAACCTTAGTGGAAAGTATTTTCTTCATCTAACGGATGATTGTCTTTACAGAGGTGGAGTAAAGGATGTGCGAGGGAGCATAATCAAGCTAAGAGATGCATGCTGACTTAAAAGGCATGATATATGTGAAACTAAGATAATGTGTTCAAGAGTGATGCTTTGTTGATGCAGAACCACTGAATTCCTTACTATTATGTTTGCCTGACTATCGGCCTCTTAATAAAGAACTTGTGGTTTGAGTGTTCATTGAAATTAGCCATATTAGGTTTATGTGGGGATGTGAGGATCTATGTCTACCAATTGCAGCCTCTGCTGCAAATTGGAGGCAGAAATCTGGGCTGAACAATAGGTAAGAGTGTCAACTCTACAGATCTCTCACATGCTAAGCAAGCACAATATAGGGCAATCCAGGTTTACACAAAGGATTAATTTGGGAACAATTATCCTCATTTTCACTTCCTAAAAAGATTTTGAATAAGATGTCTTTTAAGTAAGAAGCTCCCTGAATGCATTTAAAATATGATTTGATTATGTACATTTCAGATTTTTCTACCTTTCTAGGAGTATCTCTGTTGTATAAAAACACAAAATTCTGGAACTTTTGAAAGGAAGATGTGCCTCTCTTCATACATTTGTCATTCTTGAACGATTGTAAAATGAAGTGACTGCATATCACGTCATGTGCCCTATTGATTTCTTTTCTTGTTTTAGGAATATTCCCAGAAAAAAAAAAAACTTTTTTTTTTTTAAAATCTACTAAGCATGCTAGGTAAGACTGAAGATGAATCTATTTAAGTTATGTCAATATCTATTTATAAAGATTTTTGTGATATTCTTTTCACTGTAGAACTTCAAGCATATCCTAAAAGGAACGGTTAGATACCTCTACAAACTGTGGCAATGACTTACTGAGTAATTGCTGGCAACTGATTTTTGGTGCTTCTTGTTTTGATAGTATAGCAGTGCGAGTAGGTTTCAGAAGAGCAAAACTAAGACAATCCAGGGAAATGCCATTTGAGAATTTCTAACTTTAAAAAAACAAGTAAAATAGTGCCAAGAATATTATCTAACTAACCCCAAAGTCTACAATGTAACTCTTTTATTTTGATAATGCTGTTCTAACCCTATCTACTTCAGTCCTTTCCCACCCAGCTGGTTTAGGAATCAAATTCCCAATGTTTCATCACTGTTAACATTACTGTTTTACTCTTCACTTTAGTTCTTAAATGGCATAGTGTCTTAAATTCCCTCAGCCTCTTTCACATTTGATTTCTTTGGAAACTTTTTACCTTTTCATTGAAGCCCATATGATCTTTTCCGAAACAGACCCTTATCTTTACCTCCTTCTTTGGAGTCTTTCTCCTACTTGAATTTCTGAACTTCTTAAAATGGCCGCTTTGGGTTGGTGTCAGTAATTCAGTAATAAGTTTTCTTTTCTTTTTTTTTTTTTCTTTTTTTTTGAGACAGAGTCTTGCTCTGTCACCAGGCTGCAGGCTGTAGTGCAGTGGAGTGATCTTGGCTCACTGCAACCTCCACCTCCCGGGTTCAAGCGATTCCCTTGCCTCAGACTCCCAAGTAGCAAGTAGCAGCACCATGCCCAGCTAATGTTTGTATTTTTAGTAGAGTCGGGGTTTCGCCATGTTGGCCAGGATGGTCTCGATCTCTTGACCTCATGATCTGCCCGCCTTGCCCTCCCAAAGTGCTGGGATTACAGGCGTGTGCCAGTATGCCCAGCCAGTAATAAGTTTTCTTAAGTGCTTTCTTAATATTCTGATATTTTTAAAAAAGATCTGGACTATTTTGTCATACAGGCAACAGAATGTTAAACCATTTCATAAAACAATGACAAATATACATGAATTTTTCATCAGTTATAAATGCATTTCCTTTATAACATTGAACATGTTTTTGCAACTGAAATAAGTACGGTTTTCATTTTTAGAAGGCACATGATAAAGTTAAGGCAGTGGTTAATTAATTTTTTCAGATTAATTTTTCAGAAAAGTGACTGTTTCTGTCTATTGTCTTAACCCCAGGCATCAAAGGATTTTAATCAGAAAGAACCGAGGAATAATTTGGTTATTTTAGTGCCTTTTTTTGAGACAAAGTCTTATTCTGTCTCCCAGGCTGGAGTACAGTAGTGCGCTCATGGCTTACTACAGCCTCGATCTCCTGGTTCAAGTGATCCTCCAACTTCACTTTCCCAGCTAACTGGGACCACAAGTGGGCACCACACTCTCTGCAATTTATTTTAATTTTTCATAGAAATGGGGTCTCACTATGTTGCCCTGGCTGGTCTCAGAATCCTAGGTTCAAGCAATCCTTCCACCTCAGCCTCCTAAAGTGCTGTGATTTCAGGCATAAGCCACTACACTCACCCTATTTTAGAGCTTTGTCAAGCTTTGGAAAGAAAACCATTTATAATATAATAGATAAATTATGGATATTTGAGGCAGTTTTTATCATAGTATACATGGTAAACCACAGCCCCCCTTTATAATATTTGTATTTAATAAAAATGAAAATATTACTTTTATCTTAAACATGTTTTAACAAAGCAAGCATATGTAGATTAGCACTAATTAAAACAAAAACCTTTGTAATGATAGCTGTTTTTTATATGATTACAAAAAATTTACTATACAAATTTTTATCCTAATCAGTGTGAAAAACTGCAAATATTAGCTTATAGGGCTAGTCTTCAGAGTCCTCTTCCTACCTACTACTGCTAATAAGCCAATGAAAAACTCTCTGATGTGTGTGGTGGCTCAGGCCTGTAATCCCAGCACTTTGGGAGGCCAAGGTGGGTGGATCACTTGCACTCAGGAGTTTAAGACCAGCCTGGGCAACATGGTGAAACCCTGTCTCTACTAAAAATACAAAAAATTAGCTAGGCGTTGTGGTACGCACCTGTAGTCCCAGCTACTCAGGAGGCTGAGGTGGGAGGATCACTTGAGCCCAGGAGGTTGAGGTTGCAGTGAGCCAAGATCACAGGACTGCACTCCAGCCTGAGCTACAAAGTGAAACCTTGTCAAAAAGAAAGAAAGAAGAGAGAGAGAGAGAGACAGGCTCCTCCGCTTTTTCAGTTCCTAAATAATTTTCCAATCTAGAATGCAAAAGATTCTGAAGGAAGACAGTTACCATTTCAGATCGGCAGAAGTTGTGGCTTTAATCTAGACTCGAATATGTTTTACATCAAAGGGTTGCCTCAACAGTGCTCAAACCTGCCTCTCTGAAAACATGCTGAGCACGAAGGTTACTTGAAGTCTTAGCTTGAGTACTTAAGAGAGTGCTATGGAGGGATTGTTGATGAGAGCTGTGTCACAGCTAATTTTTCTTTAGTAATTAAAGGTTTATAAAAATCTTACACTGTATATTGACAAATTTAGCAACAAAATGAGCTTGAGAAAAAAATCAAGGCCTGCCATGGCATCTTTGCTTTTTTTTCTTAAAAAAAAAACTTTTTAGAAAGATTATGCGACTGTATTATCTGTAACTACTGCAATGGTGTAAATCCTGATGGTATAATTTGCTTTTTAAAGCTATCTTTACTTCAGTATAACTTAGATTAAATTTATTTTAAATTTAAATGATATTTTTCTCTTTGTTTATTATTTTATAATGTTTCCCATAGAATTCACAAAATTCATTAGAAAGATTTTTTTTTACTTCCTTAGGTCATTAAGATTCTGATTTGTCAATGGATTTCACATAAACCCTGTCTTTCCAAAAATATACAAAAAAAAAAAAAATAGCCAGGCGTGATGGTGCGTGCCTATAGTCCCAGCTACTCAGAAGGCCGAGTTGGGAGGATTGCTTGAACCCAGGAAGTTATGGCTGCAGTGAGCTATGGTCACACCACTGCACTCCAGCCTGGGCAACAAAGTGAGACCCCATCTCCAATAAATAAATAAACAAATAAGTAAATAATTTTCACCTTGAAAAGCTTATAAATGTATGAAATCACAATGAGGGTCGCTGATATAGTTTGGATGTGTGTCCCTGCCCAAATTTGGTTTTGAATTGTAATCCCCAGTGTTGGAGATGGGGCCTGGAGGGAGGTGATTGGATCATGAGGGCAGTTTTTTCATGAATGGCTCAGCACCATCCCCTTGGTGCTGTTGTGGTGATAGTAAGTTCTCATGAGATCTGGTTGTATAGCACCTCCCCCCTTGCTCTCTTGTTCCTGCTTTCACCATGTGACATGCCTGCTCCCCCTTCACCTTCTGCCATAATTTTAAGTTGCCTGAGGCCTCACCAGAAGCCGAACAGATGCCGGCACCATGCTTTCTGCACAGCTTGCAAAGCCATGAGCCAATTAAACCTCTTTTTTTTTTTTTTATAAATTACCCAGTCTCAAGTATTCTTTATAGCAAGGCAAGAATGGACTTACACAGTCTCTTTTGTATCAGGGAGAGGGTCTTCTTGGTGACTCCACTTCTTTTCTTTGTTTATGTATCCTTCCAGATGATGTATTTATTTCCTTTGTTTTTCAATTGATATTTACTCTTAAATTAAACTAATTATTTAAAAAAGCATTTTAAAGTCTCATTTTAGATTATTTTGACTATCTGATTTTTAAAATGGTTTAAAAAATCTATCTTGGCCTCCATATGCAATCAAATAAGAAACACATTTTAAGCATATTATTTACCTTGTGGATTCTGCCTTCCTCAGTGTGTTCAGTCTGTGTATATTCATTTCTCCCACACTGTAAGAAGCTAGTCAGATGTATAATTGGATTATCATGCTACATAATCTTAGCACACTCATTTTAAGCATACATAGACTAGTGAGCACCACTCATTACATGTCATTTCTCTAGAGAAACTAGTTGGGCCATGGCTGCAGGACTCTCACTTGAAAAGACATGTGTGGTGATGTTTTCTCAGGCAGTTAAGCAATAAAGTGTACCCTGATTTGCACTGAAAATAAAGATTCCTTTAAAGGGAGCAGTTCTAGTTATCTCTCTCTTTAGGTACCATATGCTGAACGTTTTTCTATGCACTAAAACAGCAACTAGGTTTTATACTCTGCCTTACAGCCTACTTCACACCCATTTCACAGGGAGAGGAACAGAGAGGTAAGTGATTTGCCCCAAATTACATAACTAGGAAGTTATTTGCTCAGTGTGGAAACTTGTTCAGAAGGTCATTTCATTGAAATGTAGGAAGAGTTTCTGGCACTTCTCTTGAGCAGGAGTCAAAAACCTTTTTTTGCACTAGCCCAGATAGTAAACATTTTAGGCTTTGTGGGCCATATGATCTCTGTCAAAACTCCTCTACTTCGTTGTTGTAGTGCAAAAGCAGCTATACACAATCCTGAAATGAATGGGTGTGGCCGTGTTCCAGTACAACCTTACAGAAAAGGCAATAGGCTGGATTTGGCTCTGAGACTGTAGTTTGCTGACCTCAGCTCTTGAACTGAGCTCTTTAACTGACCTCAGCTCTTGAACTATGGTACAAGATCCCATGGTCCTGTTTGGTACCTCCATTTGCCCTCCTTTTCACTCTCTGGGAGCATAGCTAAGTTCAAAATTGAATTAGGTACTTGTAGTAAGAGCATACTTATAATCCTGGGATCTTCATGTTGCCAGATATTAACCTCTTGAAGTTTTTCACCACAACCTGGGCACTTTTCTGATTTGCTCACTTCTAGCCCCACCTTTGGGCCCCTTCATAAGCAAACATGCAGGTTTTCCAGAGAGCTGTATGCTACTGAATGCAGAAAATTTGGCTCATACTGGCCTATGGACTATCTGCTCACTGCCCTGATAACTATTTTCCAAGGGAGTGGGTGCCCTACCTTTCCTACATGAAGTTTTTTGCTAGTCTTGCCCTAAAAATTCTAGGTATCCCTTGCTTTTAGGATAAATATGTTTCACTGGGACCAGCTGGAAAACGAAAAATAGAATTATCCAACTACCACTTTAAAATTGGACAAAGACTTTTGTTGTTGTTGTTGGAGGGGGTGGTAAACATCATTTTAGCAGACCAAATATACTTTTGGTGAAAGGCAGCCTGTTGCAAAGACACAACACTTGGACAAGATTTTGAAGCCCTGGTTGCCTTTACTACTGACTTAACTACAGTATTTGCGGACTTGAGCAAGTTGCTTCCCTTCTGTGAGCCTCAGGTTATTCATCTTTGAAATGAGTATAATACCTGTGATTATAATTACTTATCTGGATTCTGCAGAGAATTGAAGGAGATAATGGGTGTAAAAGTACTTTAGCGCCCAGCACTGCTCCTTATGAAAATGAGGAAATAATTGAGATGAGTGAGCCATTGAGGCAACAGTACAAAAAGTGCTGAAAACTCACTGCTTAAATAAGCACCTCTTACTGCTTTTGTGGCACTTTGTAGCAATGTTTTTTTTTTTTTTTTTGAGACGGAGTCTTGCTGTCTTGCCCAGGCTGGAGTTCAGTGGCACGATCTCGGCTCACTGCAACCTCCGCCTCACAGGTTCAAGCATTCTCTGACTTCAGCCTCCTGAATAGCTGGATTAGAGGTGCGTGCCACCACGCCCAGCTAATTTTTGTATTTTTAGTAGAGACGGGGTTTCACCATGTTGATCAGGTTGGTCTCGAACTCCTGACCTCATGATCTGCCCGCCTTGGCCTCCCAAAATGCTAGGATTACAGATGTGAGCCACCGCACCCCACCTCAGCAATGTGTTTTTATTCTGACTAGAAAAGTAATGTTTGGTTTTGTTTGGCTCTTTGCTTAATATACCCATAATAAGGGTACCTATTTGCCTTTGGACCATTAGTTCAAATATTATTTTATTAATATGGAATTACTGGGCTCCAGAAGCCATAGTCTTCTTAGCTGCTCCCTATCCCCACTCTCACCTCAATTTTTTTTTTTCACTTTTGTTTTTCTTCTCAGGGAAAGGTTTGAGGCAAAGAATGTCTTCTTATGATCCAAAACCAAGCATGGTGGTGATTTATTCACCAAGAGATTCCTAAGTACCTGTGTGATGGACATGGTAGAATCTTTGTCCTGAGGGAGCTATCTAGATCCATTCCTTCTGATATGCAGCCAGTAGCCACTTGTGGTAATGGAGCAATAGAAACAACACTAGTTCAAGTGGAAACGTGAGATGAGAAGTAGGAGGTGGAGAGAACTAACCAGAAGAGGGTACCCAAATAAACCAGAAATATGTATGTGTTAGAGAAGGGGCCTATTGAGCGGGTGGCAGTGGCATGTGTGGCATTACTTGCTCCTGTATTCTCTGCTTTTTACTTAGTTGTGGCTTTGGTGGTATAGTCTCAAATCTAAGTTACGTAGGTAATATTGTTATGTATCATGTTTTGGCAATGTAGACTAAATACTTGCTCATAAGAGTACAGGACAATGAGGATAGTTTGGTTTTGTTTACTGCATGGAAAATGCAGGATGTTTAGTAAATAGATTCATGGCGTAGTGAGTTCACTACTAAAATCAGACTCTGAGAATGGGTTTGATTTAAATGGCTAGTTTAGAAGACTGAATTTAGGCCACTTGATTGAGAAAGGCCATTTTGGGTAATTATAAACCACCAACATTGTGTTTTGAATGTTAAAGCTTATATTTGTCTTCCAGTTACCAGAATGTAAGCTTCTTGAGGAGGGAGAGAGGAGTTTTCTTAATCTCTGAACCTGCACCTTTCTTCTGTGCCTAGCCCAGTGCCTGGCACCAAACAGGTGCTCAATCAATGTTGATTCTATGCTACCAACAAAAATGAGTCCATGATGTTTACTATTCAACAAATGAATACAATTTTAGAGTAAATTTTTACTGCTTACACTACATGTAGATTTTCTTTTTAGAGATTTCGCAATGCTGATTTATTTCAAAATAAGCTTGAAGCTAAGCGACAAAGCTGAATGATGATTTGTTTTTTATTTATTTTTAAATCCAAACTTACAATTTTACATGTCATTGCCAGAAAAATCATTAAATAAATTATGATATGCGCATATGGAATACTTTGCAACCATTAAATCAACCATTAAATACTATGCAACCATTAAATCAACCATTAAATATGTTGGTATATGCAAATGTGCATATACCAACATATTATATAGTTGAGTAAGAAAAGCTAGTTTCAAATGAGTATGTTAATATCATCTGACTCTTGCAAAAGGAAAACCATACATTTGAATGTACATATATGCATATGTTTATATGTGCATAGAAAAAGCTATGAGGGGATATACCTCAAGTTGCTAAAAGTGGCTCCACCTGGAGAGGGACATGGAAAGGAGTTGGCTAAAAACTGAGGTTTGTTATGGTATACACCCCTGCACAGTTTGATTTTTTAAAAACAATGATTATAAATTACTTTTATTATTTATAAAAATATTATTTAAAATTTTGGTACTAAAAACAGAGCTCCATCAACAGGTCAATGGATAAAGAAAATGTGGTACATATATACAACCGAGTACTATTCGTCATAAAAAAATGAGACCCTGTCATTTTTGCAACAAAATGGATGGAACTGGAAATTATTATATTAAGTGAAATAAGGCAGGCACAGAAAGGCAAACATTGCATGTTCTCATTTAATCTGTGGAATCTAAAAATCAAAACAATTGAACTAATGGATATAGAAAGTAGAAGGATGGTAACCAAAGGCTAGAAAGGATAGTTGGTGGGGCAGGGGAGGGTGAGGTGAGCATGTTTAATGGGCACAAAAAAATAGAAACAATGAATAAGACCTATTATGTGATAGCACAATAAGGTGACTATAGTTAATAATAATTTAATTGTACATTTTAAAATAACTAAAGAGGTATAATAGGATTGATTGTAACACAAAGAATAAATGCTTGAGGGATGTATACCTCATTCTCTATAATGTGATTAGTACACATTGCATGCTTCTATCAAAAATTTTCATATACCCCATAAATATATACATCCATTGTGTACTCACAAAATTAAAAAAAACTGTGCATTAAAGAAAAACAAAAATAAAAACCATAGTTCAAGTTATAAACAAAATAAAGGTAATTTGGAGGAAAACTGTCTTCAGTTATATTGGATATTTGGGGGACATTTTTGTATGTTAGTTAGCAAAGATCACTTGAAAAAGAAGATTCTTCCTTCTATGATTCAAGGGAGCCTAGCAAAAAATAAATGAAATGAAATAAAATAATACAAAGAGAAAAGATTATTCCATAAATTCTGCTTACTTATTTCTGGCAAACTTGTTGACAGCACATGTGACCTTTTGGTAAAAAGACATTTTTATATTTTTAGTTAAGTTTCAAATATAAATTGTTTGTGTTTTTAAAATAAATTAAATGGATGATTTCAGCCAGATCATTATGAAAACACATGAGATATTGGGTTATGCAATGACTAACAGTGTGTACCTTTTCTTGATATTTATTCATAAACTGGGGAATAAAAGTACATTTTGGCCCATTTACTCCTTAAATAATTTTATGTCTCCCAAGGAGAGTTGTAAGTTGCTTGATAGTAAATGCTATGTATTTTGTACCTTAGTGTATATATTATGGGATTTCAGCGTTAGAAGAGCTCTTAAATGCCGTGTTCATAGTCCAACCTGTCTTCTGATGCTTGAAATCCCCTTGCAGTAGGAAATGCAAAGTAGAGAGCAGACACTCAATAATGTAGTTAGTGAATTATTTAGAAAGAGGCATTTTGAGCCCATAATGTATGATAGGTACTTCTACATTTATTATTTTATTCTTTGCAGACCTGCAGAAAACTGTAAGAAAAAAGTTTATTTCAGATTCATGTGTTTATTTGATTAATCTCTTCATAGGTTTCATTTTTCAGCTCCTGTCAGAAAATACAGATTCTTATAAGGTTCACCTTTTACCCATAAGAATAATAGTATAAAGGGGATAATGTGAAATACAATCACTTCACAGACTGTTTCAATTAAATAAGAGCTCGTAGATAATTCAGTCCACCACACCCCATTTTACAGATGTTGAAATTGAAGCCCCCACCAAAAGGAAAAGACTTGTTCAAAGTCACACAGCAAGTCAGTGGTGAACCTAATTAGGCCCCCTGCCTTCCATTTTAGTGAGATTCCTGTGCTGATAGTCATACCCATATCAAATCCTCTTTGGCAGTTATAGCTTGCCCACAGTAATGTGTCCTGAAAAATATGACAATTAATTAAGTTGGAGACAGAACCATAACCTCTTTATAAAAATTTTCTGGAAAGTTTACATGACAGTAAGTAATATATAATTAGAAAGGATAATTCTTATTTCATATTTATCTTTTTGTTTCAGAATAATAAACTAAGCTATCTCTACTCAGTCCATTTTAATACAAAAATATTTTTACCCGGACTGAGTTTTTATGCTTTTTAGGAACTTTGTATCTGCCTCACTTAGTTAAAATCCTAGCTGCACTAATCACTTACTGTGGTGGGCAGAATTCTAGAATGACCCTGAATACCTTGTCCTTGTATGATTCCTTCCTCTTTAAGTAAGGATAAAAACTGTGAATATGATATCACTCCCTTGATTAGGCTTTGTTATATGGCACAGTTAACTTTAAGAAAGGACCAATCACACAAGCCATTTGAAAGCAGAGGGTTTGGGTATTTTTTAACTGGTGGCAGAAAGCCACGCAGAGATTTGAACATTGAGGGGAATTTGAATTTGATGTGCCAGTACTAACTTGAAGATAGAGGAGGCTGCATGGAAAGTGGCCTTTAGGAGTGATCCCTGGCTGACAGCCAGTAAGAAAATGAGGGCCTCAGACCTACAGCCATAAAGAATTCTGTCAGTGAACTTGAACTTGGAAGTGGATTCTTCCTCTAGAACTTCCATATAAGAGTCCAGCCTGATTGACACCTTGATTTTGGACTTGTGAGACCCTGAGCAGAGAATCCAGTTGACTTCTGACCTAAAAAAAAAGTCAGATAATAAATGAGTATTGTTTTAAACTGCTAATTTTGTGATAATTTGTTATGCAGCAATAAAAAACTAATATATTTACCATGCAAGGCAAGGCATTTATCCTCTCATGATTCAGTTTCTTTTTACCTGACATAATGGAATTAATTTATACTGCTGTGAAGTTGTAGTTGAGAAACATGACTTCTAAAGTAATAGAGGACATGTATTATTAATTTTAGTAGTATTAATAGTAATGATACTGATTCTCCCAGGCCTATACAAATCCTTTGATACACAAATGAATAGTAAAGGAACATAAATTGTCTCTAGGTAGACTTTCCCACAATGCAATTTTAGGATACAGAGGTCATATGCCTGTTATTCTACTGTGGCAGAGAAAATATGGAGCCTGGAAAACTGTTCATTTGCATCACATACATCTTGGGAGCTCACTCTGAACCTGGTACCATAATAAGCTCTGTAGACAGTATAAAGAGGAAAGGAATCAGACATGGTGTCTGACCTCAAGTGTCTCATAACGTAGTAGAAGAGGTAAAATATGGGTCACACTAACTCTACTGCAAAGTAGGAAGTGCTTGTCGCCTTGAGATTGACAAAATTTGGTAAGAGTTCAGAGGAGATTGTCTGTGAACTGGGCCTTGAAGAATAGTTAGGATTTGAATAGGAGAAGGTGAAGAAGGAAGGCATTCCAGCTAGGGAGAAGAGCACAAACAAAAGCATAGATAACCTTGAACATCATCATATGGGATAATTCAATAGTTCAGTATAATGGAAGTATAAGATGCATAAAAATAAGTGTAGTAGGAAACAAGTTTAAAAGTATAGATTGGGGTTAGTCATACAAGGCCTTGAATTTCAGGCTAAGGAGTTTAGACATTAACATTTGTTTTTGAACAAAGGGGTGAACTGATCACATCTGTGATTTAGAAAGAAAATTCTAGCAATAGTGTAGATAAGGGTTGATGGTAAAGTTTGGAAGGTGGTGAGGCAGAGGCTGGAGACAGGGAGCACATTTAGGATAGAAAGATGATAAAGAGATGATTTAGAAGAGTTGTTTTGGAAAAGGAGAAGACAGAAAATGTTTTAGAGGTGTCATAGAGATAAAATTGGCATGGCATGGTGCAAGGAGGTAAAGCCCAATAGCTTTGTAAGGTGCTGAGATAGATTGAAATCACAGAGTTAGGAAGTTTTAGAGTCAGGATTAGTACCAAGACAGCTTGGCTCTAGATCTCATACTTAACACTTACAGTATAATTCTGAGAGGGTGGGTAACAGCAATAGTCAGAGGAAAGAACCCTTTTATACATGATGGTACAGGAACAACACTGGCTTCCAACCCCACAGCTGCTCTTTAACAGAAGGTCAGAAGCTGGGGAGAAATATGTGTGTGTGTGTGTGTGTGTGTGTGTGTGTGTGTGTGTGTGTGTGTATGTGCCATTTCTGGGACTAAGGATGGGAAGTAGATTAGTTGAGGCCACTGCAGTGGGGTCTGCAAGTTGCTAGCACTCACCCGTTCCAAGAGGCCTTAAAGGTGTTGATCTGTTCCCTGGGCATCACCACATTCCACAAATTAATGTTCCTCTGAGAGAATAGGGTGATTCAATTTCACTGTGCCCGAAGGTTACTTTTGGGGTTCATGTTTGTTCTAAGTCTATGCTAATGATCTGCCAACTGTCTGTTTGTCACTTTCTCTAACCCTTAGCATGTATAAACTGATCTGTTGGGAAATGTGTAGCATTTATAGGATGGTAGGATTTGTAACATGCGATCACAGGACTGTTTATATAGAGTCCCTGGGAAGGGGAGAGAAGAGTATTTCTGTTACAAATGTGGATTCTTTGGCCCCTCCTCAAACTTACTGAGGTTCAAGAATTGACATTTATAATAAGCACATATCCATTTTCAATAAACATGAAAGTTTCATACCCTCTTTTAATGTTTGAAATCCTCAAATAAATTAGTCATTGGTGCCAGAGTATCAAATAATTATGGTACAGAATGTATTTCTCTGAATGACACCTTCTCCCAGAGATTCTGATATATATTCCTCTGCACTCACCCTGTTTGATAATTACCAGTATATGGACCATTTACCTGAAGAATAAGAGTAGGGTTTCCTACTGTTGTTGAAAATTTGCTTGACTCTTAACAACTTGTGTGTGACTGTAACAAGATCACACAGGGTAAACAATATTAGCTTATTCAACCACTGGCTGAAGAAATTTAGGAAAGTGAACACATTTTTCTTTACATTTCTCTTTGTTCTGTGAGCCTTTTATGCTGGAATAGTTTTCACTGCAGGCTGTTATTGTCTGCCTCCAGAGGAGGGAGTTGACCTAGCAGTGGTAACTGGAGAGTGTTTTTTGAAACCTCTTTCCAAGGTTAGTTGCCAATGGCATCTTTGGAACAGTGTCCTTCACTTTTGTCCCTCAGGGACCAGTGTGAGAATGGGAACTTTATGATCTGGAGCTGGTTAAGTGAAGTCCAAAAATAATTAAGAAAGTGTTTCCTTCCCTGGGAATGAGTTCAGTAGGAATCTCAATGTATTGTAGAGCACTAAGGACTCAGCCTCAGGCATTTGCAAAGGATTCTTCCAGTTGCCTGTGTTACAGAGGACACAGTTGGCATTTCCTTTTGGTGTTGAGGGGAGATGTGTACATGGTTGTGAGATGACTCACCCTTTTTGCTTAGATAGTTCCACTTTCATTGTGGACAGACTCTTTGGAGGGCCAGTTTGGCATGCACGTGTGTGTTCATTCCATCCTGGAGCATTCTTTATGAGAAAGCCATTTGTTGAGTGGTTTGCCATTTTGTTTTACAGCCACTCTGTGGGCTATGAAATGGTCATCCGGCCGCTTTATTTGTCCCTAAAAAAAGCAGTTTTTCCCTTTCTTATCTTCATGGCTGCCAAGCAGCAGAAAGAGTAACTCAGGGAAGCCATGTGATAGCCTTTTATCTGTCTGTTCAGAAACTGATGATGTATTGGATTTGATAATTCATCAAATCTGAGGTTTACTGGTTTGTATTTGCCTCAAAATGGGCATATAATATTTTGTCAGGTAACATAATAGACAGATCATTGGCATTGCTTTATTGAAGTGAATTAATTCAATAAGCCTGTAAGTGCCTGACATGTGCCAGGCACTGTGCTAGGCATTCTGTTAACAGATGAGACAAATCTCTGTCTTTTAGGTGTTTTCAGTCGAACAGGGGAGACAAATATATGAGCAAATTGCTATTTTTTTTAAATTTCATAGTGTACATGAGTATAAGGTGCTGAATATGTGATTGATTCTGAGGGAAAAGAGAGATAAGGGAAAGTTCTCAGAGAAAGTCAAGCTGAGGGAAGAAAAGCACCCCAGACAGAGGGACTAGCATAGAGCTATGCTAGTACATTGAGTTTAAGGGAATGGCACATACTTCACTGTTGCTTCAGCAGACAGCAGGCCTGTTAGGTTACAAAGGGCCTTGGATGACATGCTGAGGGGTTTTAAAATTTTATTTAAATTTTAATTGACAAAATATAATTGTATATTTCTGTGAGGTACAATGTGACGTTATGATATATGTATGCAATGTAGAATGATTAAATCAAGCTAATTTGTATATCTACCACCTCACATACTTATTTTTTGGTTAGAACATTTAAAATTTATTCTCTTAACAACTTTGAAATAGACAACACATTATTATCAACTGTAGTCACCATGTTGTGCAGATCTCAAAAACTTCTAACAAAAACTTTTTACCCTTTGAAGATATTGAACTGTTTTATGAACACAATCTTAGAAGGATTTAAAAAATAATTTGCTATTCACCAAGTACTTCTTACGTACACTGTGCATGAAATGATTATTACTTTTTCTAATATTAGTTTTCTTGATTGAGGCTTGGCAATTATTAGTTTGTATGCCTTTAGAAGGATCATAAGCAGAGGTTTATCCCAGTAGGATTTGCATTTTAGAATGATGACTTTGGGAGTAAAATACAGAGAAGTGAAACCAGAGATAGTGGGATCATTCTGGAGTCTGTTGCCTACACTGAACAGTAGTTGAGCGAAAAAGGATGGGCAGAATGTGTTGGTTCTGGGTATTGCAAATTCATGGCACTTGAGTGAAAAAGTTTAAGCCTTCTATTGGCTCTTTGTGAATATCTTCAACATGCATGACTACAAATAGAACACATGGTTTTGTTGTTATTGTTGTTGTGTTTTTGTTTTTTTTTTTATTTGAGATGGAGTTTTGCTCTTCTTGCCCAGACTGGAGTGCAATGGCACGAATTTGGCTCACCACAACCTCCGCCTCCCAGGTTCAAGCGATTCTCCTGCCTCAGCCTCCTGAGTAGCTGGGATTAGAATCATGCGCCACCACACCCGGCTAATTTTGTATTTTTAGTAGAAACAGGGTTTCTCCATGTTGGTCAGGCTGTCTTGAACTCCCGACCTCAGATGATCCTCCCACCTCGGCCTCCCAAAGTACTGAGATTACGGGCATGAGCCACCGCGCCCGGCCCACACGGTATTTTTGAAAGAACAGTGAGCTTGGATTAGAACACTAGTGTCCAGGCCCTGCTGCTACTACATAAGTAATTATGAATCCATAGCCATCTTGTTGCTCTTCTTCTCTGAGCCTTGGTTTCTTTAGCTATAAAATGGGAAGTTGAAACTTTCTAGCTACTTCTTTGAGTTATGAGTAACAAGTTAGGTAATACACTTAAAAGAGAATGTGCTATACAAATACTGGTTCTTAAGACAGCTGTTGTTAATGTACTGAGTATTATGCTTACCTCACAGGGTTATTGTGAGCATCAAATGGGATAATGGATTTGTAAGCATTTTGTTTAAAGTGTGATTCAAATGTTAAGAATTAGTAAAAATAGTAAAAGAACAATTCATTCTCCATCCAGATGTTCTGTCCCCACTGTGACTTATGTGCTCATTCAGAGTTGTACAGAAAAACCTCCACTTAATTTTCACAAGCTGGAGTTCCACATGTAACAGAATCATATGGGACCAAAAAATTCTCTGTATTGGCTTCTTCCCTGCCGTATTTTGGCTCTGGGACCAACAAGACACCCATTTTGCATGAGCTGCCTGCCACCAACTTTGCGCTCACATCTAGTTCTGTTGCCCATGTGCAAGCTGAATTTGGGCCCGGGCCCCCAGATCTAACATGAAACTCAAGTTTCCTTCTGTTCAAACTGTCCAGGCATAATAGTCTTAAAGTCCGATGCCCAGCAGAGCCGTAGATTTTTCACTGGCCAAAAATCAACATGAAACCAGATGTATCTGTAAATCTAGTTTCATAACACTTTGTAGTCAATGGAAATACAGTAGCAGGCAGACCAGACCAGAGTTTACTATTTGCAGTGGAATTAATAACCACATGGAAACTTTGCCTTTGGTATCTGCGAGATGGAAGATAAAGGTGCGAATTCAAAGCAGTTCCCACCTTACCCTCTAAATTCCAACATAAAGAGGCCTTGAATGTCCTTCTATCTTATTGTATATTTCATTAACAGAAGTATGTTCCTAGCTACTTAGTCATTCTATCTCTATTCTCCTTTGTTTTAACTTCAGTGGTGCCAGCTTAAGATGCTCTGGCTTTCAGCTTTCATGGAGCACGTCATGTTTTTAAACTTATCTTTAGGGACAGAAATGTTAGGAAGATCCTAGTTCCTCATCTCTTTGCTCCTGACAAGGAAATTTAGAATTGCCTAAAGAAAGGATGTATTGGCCAACCTAATAATAAATCAGTATTAGTGAATCTAAAGCATATTTGAAAAATTTGTAACATGAGTTGAAATTCAGACCTGCAATGAAGTGTTTTTAAAAGATTTAAAATCGAAATAATATAAAAGAATGTTAAAAACAAGTAAAACATATCACTAGTTAATCACTCTACCAAAATTCATTTTTATGTTTGCATATTTAACCATTTTTATTTTCTATATTTGTCCATGAACATGTGTTTTTATATATTGTTTATATTAAACATGGTTTTAATCATGGCTTATTTCTTTTATGTTTTACTTCTTTTCCTTTGACATAAAATATTGTATTTTTTAAATTTTAATTGCTTCTTGGCATACCCTTCCAATATTGGTGGCTATATAGATTGAAGTTAAAACTAATTACAATCAGAGAAAATTAACAATTCATCCCTTCAATCTCATTAGTCACAAGTTAAATACTCAATAGCCACATCTATCTAGTTGCTACTGTTTTGAATAGTACAGATATAAGACATTTTCATCAACACAGAAAATTCACTTGGAAAGCATTGCCCTGGAGTAAATGTGCCAGACTGTACTATATCATTTTTCTCTTGTTGGACATCTAAGTTATTTCTTATTTTTTAAATATTTTATATAACTTGACGGTGAATATACCTATGTACATAGCTATTTGCTTTGGCTGAATTATTTCTTAGAATCAATTTCAAAAGTGGAGTTATTAGGTCAAAGAGCATGAGAAGATTTTTTGGAACCTGCAGTGTATTGCCATAGTCCTCTCAAAAAAGTTTATGTCAACTTAAAGTACTTCTAGCAGCATATGATTGTACTAATTTCGCTGCAATCTCAACAACACTGGACATTATAAGTTTTTATTCTACCCTATTTTCCATTAAAAGATAGCTTATGCTTGATTGACTTTGCATTTTATTTTATTATTAATAATGATGTGGTTTCCTTTTTTCTAGATTTTATTTTTATTTAAGGCATCCTTTGATTTTAACCTGATTTTTTTTCTCTAAAAATTATTCTAAGAAAAGACAAAGGTGATACGAAATATATCCTGAGTTTTTATTTTTTTCTTGCATGGGATTTGTATATTTGCACCTTTGCCCATTTATACTATGATTTCTTAGTGTCTTCCCTGGCAATTTTAATGAAGACTTCATGTATATCAATTTTTCCACAAATATAATCTTTCTAAAAATATGTTTTTTCCACAATATAATTCAGACGTATTCTCCGAAATGTTGGAAAAACTTAAGTAGGCATCAAAGCATTTGAAGATTTGTTTAAAGGTTGTTTTTATACCAGTTTTAAATTGTAATTTAAGGGTCATAAAATAGGTGAAAATTAAATCATTTTTCAGTAAGGGGGCAAGACCACTTAACTCTTGGAAAATACAGGAAACGTAGATTTCTAGAGGCCAAGAAGGAGGTAGGGATTATTTTGTAACTGCCCCCAACCTTCTAACCTGTAATGAAACAAACACTGAAGGCCCTTAAACATTTTTAGGCTTAATTGGCTGTCCTTGTACTTAGGGCACATCTAAAAATCCTGAGGCAACCACTCAAGAGAACATGCTTTTGTTAATTCAAAGGGAGCTGTCCTACGAGTGTCCAGAATCCTCTGTAGTCTTGGGCCTGGTGCTTGAGAGACCCAAAGGAAAGGTCAATGGAATTACAGCTTAGTGTTAGAGCTTTCATGCATCACACTAATTAATTAATGTCATAAAGGTCTCTCTCCTGTTATGGGAAAAAGCAGCAAATAGGAACTTCTGGTAGGGTGCTTAAAGTTGGTTTGATATTTTTTATTAGCATTTTTAACTAATACAAGTAATACATGCTTATGGTAGAATGATAAAACTGAAAAAAAAGGTATGAAAATTTAGAAGTTCTCCTACTCATGACCTCACCCCTTCTTTCACTCCCAGTTTCACTCCTCAGAGGGTAACCACAGTGACTAGCTTCTTGTGTTTGGTTCCTGAGATTTTCTATGTATATATATTGTTAGATATATGCATGGTATGTTTTCAAAATTCCTGTTACACTATAATTACTGTTCTACAACTTAATTTTTTCACTTAATTAATAGACCTTATATATGCTTTTCCATATCGGTATATATAGATCTATATAAGTTTTCTTAAAGGTTGCACAACTTTCAATTGTATGGCTGTCTTGTAATTTACTTTTTGTTTCCCTTACTAATGGATATTTCATGTTTCCCTAACTCTTTTGATATTAAGAGTAGTGCTGCAATTAACATCCTTGAGAGGCAGTATATATGGTGTTTAAGATGAATGGTTCTGGAGCCAGACTACTTTGGATTGAATATTGGTGCCACCAATTCCTTGCTGTATGACCTTAGGCAAGTTGCTTAATTTCTTTGCCTCAGTGTCCTTGTGTGAAAAAATGGAGGCAATAATGGTCACTATCCAGTAGGGCTTTTATGAGGATTTAGTAAGTTAATAATGCACTTTAAGAACTTAGTTATTTTTAGATTAAGTAGTGAAGGACTATATAATTGTTAGTATAATTGTATACCTTTATTATCATACTTTTGCATGTATAGCAATAAGACAAATTCTTAGATGTTTAACCATTGGACATAAGGAATGTACGCATTTTAAGTACTGGTAGATATTACCTTTTCCCTGCCAAAAATTGCAAATATTGGATATTAACTTTTTAAATCTTAGTAAATCTGATAAGTATAAATAACAGTTTATCATCATTTTAAGTTGCCTATCTTAATTTTGTGTGAAAATGATTATCTTTTCACATGTTTTTTTGGCCATTTATGTTTCTTTCCATGTGAACTAACTGTTCCTGGCCATTGCCTATTTGTTGTTGCTGTTACTATATGGCTTTTCATCTGTTTCTTATTGGTTTATGGAGCTCTTTGTATATACAGGAATTTAGCCTCTATTTATATGTGTGACAAATACTTTTTCCAATTTATCTTTAAAATTTGTTTATGTTTTCCTATTCATCAGTCTAAAATTATGTAGTTAAATTCATCATTGTTTTTTCTTATGACTTTAGAGTTTGGAGATCATGCTTCAAAGGTCTTTCTAGGTGGGGATGATTTAAATCATGTACTGGAAGTATTTTTGCCAAAAAGACTCACGAATTATGGATGTTAGAGCTAAAAGGGACCTTAGAGATTTCCTAGTTCAACCACCTTTTCTTCATACCTTTTTAATTTTTCTCTGCAGATGAAAAGAAGTTTAGTCCTAAAGAAAGAAAAGAGTCTAAAGGTTCTCCAGTAAGCTAATGGCAAAAATGTAGACTGGAACTTCTAGCTCCTGATGTGTATTTCAGTGATCATTCAATTTAACCAGATGGTTTCACAAAAAGAGCTTTCTACTAAAAAATAAAATACATACTTAAGCAACTCAGAGAATTTTTTTTTTATTTTTCAGATTAATTTTCACTTAGAGATTCATCAGCATATGTACTATACATGTACAAATCACCTGTGTGTTTTGGATATTTAGTTAAACAAATGTGCAAATATTTTAACCAAAGGAGCATATTCATTTGTGTTTTATTTTCTTAATGGTTTTCGTTATGAATGTGAAATGTGTATTTACCTTAACAGAAATTAAGTATATTTTTGGTCTGACATATATGAGAACTGAAAAGCATTGGCTTGGCTGCTAACTGCATTCTCATCTTTCTTTCTCTGCTTTGGCAAAGTCTGGGATTAAATCTAATACCTTTTAAACTGTTTGGGACTTCAGCCAGAGTGACCTGTCTTGAATTCAGAACTGCGCAGATCATTCCCCATTCTAAGGCCCTCTCATGCCTCCTCATTGCCTGTAGGATGAGATCCAAGTACCTTAGCATAGCTTATGCACTGTAGTCACTTGACCTCTAGCACCTATGCAGTCTTCCAGTCTTATTTACACATTCCTTTGCACATGCTGTTTCCCCGTGTGGGGCAACTTTTTTCTTGCCTGTCTGCCTGCCTAAGCCAACTTAAATAAACATCATTTCTGTAACTTCTGTGAAGCCTTTTCCAATCTCTCCACTCCAAGACGAAGGTGTTTCTATAGGCATGACTTCTGGAATGGCAGATCAAGGATCTGGTGGACCCTCTACTCAGTGAAACAACCGTTTAACTAGTAAAAATGATCAATCAACCATTTAAAATCTTCAGAAAATATCCTAAGGGCACATAGCAAAAAGAGAAACATTTATTCAAGAAAAGCTATTAAGCCTCAGTAAAAACAGCAAGAGTCTATGGCATTTGAGTCATGACCTGTTCCTAATCCTTCCCTTATCTCCATTCTTCAGGCAAGTGCAACCAAGAAGATGGAGGCTTCCTCTCTCTCAAAATCTTACTCCATAGTTATAATTTCACCCACAATGGGGCAGACCACAAGCATCTCTTTTTTTTCCCCCAGCCCTATATTACAGAATCACTGTTCTAGGAAGGCATAGCTTAGAGGATTGGAGATTCCTTCCACACCCACTTTCTACGTATGAGGGCTTTGCCCCAGGGATGGTAAGTCAAGAATACAGGGATCCTGCTTGTGCCTGCCTCAGCTCATATATAAGGTAAAGCTTCCACACTAGGAAAGGCAAATTAAGAGGACTAGGGAATATACCGTTATCCCCAGGGTCCACTTGTAGAACAGGGGTGTCATTCTGGGAGAAGCAGGTCACTGCCCCACTTGTGGAACAGGGGAGTCACTCGTCACTGTCCCTGGTTCAAATTCTATTGCAGTGACAGAGGTTCTGTCCCAGGGAAAGGCAGGTTGTTAGGATGGAGAACTCCACAGTTCTCCCTGAGGTGACTGACTTTATTTGGAACAGAGCATGAAGAAGTTCATGCCTAAGGGCACTGTCAAAAATAATGGAGATCTTGGTGGTGAGCAATTAAGAGTGGATTGGTAGCTCCATGATACTAGTAACAACAAGCAAAACAGCAGACCAGCATGGAGGATACCAGAGAACCAGACAAAGGAATCACTAAGAAGAGCCCTTGTGGAATTGCACTCACTGCTGGGTGTGTGGAAAGTTATGCATGTGTGCTTTACTGTACCCTCTCAAAAGCAACCTAAACAGGATGTGGGGTAGGCTCTAAAGCATTCCTCAAGCCACACATGGATCCATCAGTAAAATGTGGAGGGCTTAAGGATAAAAAGGCTTAAGTACAATCTCTGGCCCTACATTTTCTAAATGTTATGCCACCCTGACCAAGGGGCAACTCCTACAAAGCCAGGCAAAATAATAAAATCATATTTGTCTCTAGTGGAATGGATAACTATGCCTAAAACTGTGCCCTTTGAAAAGCAACTAGAGAGATAATTTCTGAAGTGTTTGTCCCTACCTGAATGTGTGGCAAAATTCTAAACTCCCTGAAGTGTGAAAGTGGTTTCCAAGCCACATGCACATCCAGTAGTGGTAAAGGGTGAAAATCTAACTGGCTAAGAGGGCTTCATAGCAACATTAACCAAAAAGTGGTTTATGTAGTCTTTGCCTGCTTCATAATTCCCTAGGCATTCTATGCTATTCTGTACTCAGAAGGCTTAAAGTCAGGTTAGGGAAAGGAGGCCTATGAGGTTACTGTGCAGAGGCAGTGCTGGGAAATAAATGAAGTTAAATAAATTTAGGCCATCGTGGTTTAAAGAATGGATTGTGGAGATAAGAAGGATAAAGGAAACCCAGAGTCAAGAAAAATAAAACTTTTCATTGGTGCCATGCCAACCCATATCCGAGCCTGAGGCAAAAGGAAAAATGTGCTCCCTGATATACACTTATACAAAATATCAACTAATTTTATTTGTTGGACTGAATAGAAAAAGTCAACAAAAATTAAAAATAAAAAAATCATGACTATATTTTTAATAAGTGGTTTATGTAAACCCAGAGTTGACCAATGGGATGCCAGTCTCAACCATAAAAACAAACAAAACATTGTGAGTAACAACACCAGAAGTCTCAAAGTGTCAGGGAAACCAATTTCACAGAAGCAGTTCAGCCAAGTCACTAAACAAACAAACGACTAAGCAAAAAACAAGAATGAGTCTCAGAAAGGGTCAAGTCAGTATCCAGAGTTGTTACAATATAGTATCTAAAATATTGTTTTGAACTAAAAATTTTGAGGCATGCAAAGAATGAGGAAAGTATGACTCATACATGGTATTATATGAAAAAATCAACAAAAAACTATCCATGAGGAAACAAAGATGTTGAAATTCACTAGGGAAAGACTTTAAAAACCAGCTATTTAAATATATTCAAAGAACTGAAGGAACTATGTCTAAAATACTAAAATAAAGTATAATAACAATTTCTTGTCAAGTAGAGAATGCCAATAAAGAGATAGAAGTTATAAAAAAAGAAAAAAATGGAAAATCTGGAGTTGAAAATTATAATAACTGAAATGAAAAATTCACTAGAAAAGGTCACAAGAAGATATAACTTGGCAGAAGAAACAATCAGCAAATTAGAACATAGATCAATATAGATTATTCATTTTGAAGGGTAGAAAGAAAAAAAGAATGAAGAAAACTGAAGATTCCCAAAGAAATGTAGGACATCTTAAAGACACATCATTAGGAGAAGAAAAGAAGGGAAAGAAAAGAGCAGAAAGAATATTTTTTAAAAAATGGATAAAATCTTCCAAAATTTAATGAAAAACATCAACCTACACATCAAAGAAAATTTTTTTAAAACTTCAAGCAGGAAAATGTAACGATATTGATACTTAGATACATCATAGTCAAAATATTGGAGTCAAATATAAAGAGAAAATTTTGAAATTAGCAAGAGAAAAATGAAATGGAACCACAATAAGATTAACAGCTGATTCTCATCAGAAATAACAGAGAGCAGAAGGCAGTGCAATCCCATATTCTAAACGTTGAAAGAATAAAAAAACTGTCAGTCAAGAATCATATATTCAACAAAACTATCTTTAAAGGTAAAAATGAAATGAAGACATTCCTAGGTAAACAAAGGCTGAGAGAATTTTTCATTAGCTGACATGCCTTGCAAGAAATACTAAAAGCTTCCTAGACAGTAGCTTTAATCTGCATGAAAAAAAATTCCAATAAAGGGAAATTTGTAAATAATAAAAATACATCATTATATATTCTTTTCCACTTAACTTATTTAAAATCAATTTCTTAAAGCACTATCTGTAAAATTGTATTGTTATTTGACAATAAAATGTAAAAGAGGGGAGTGGGAATTAAGCTAAATTGGAGTAAGGAAATGGTATCACATGGTAAATTGAATTTACAGAAAGAAATGAAAAAATTAAGTGGCAAATATGAAGAGTAACATTAAAAACTTCTATAAATTAATTGTGGCCTCCTTTCTTCCCTTAGCTTCTGTAAAAGACATAAGACTATTAAAAATGACAATAATTATAAACACATTGTTTTATTAGTAATAAACATAGACAAATTATCTACAACAATTATTATTATACAAGGAGAGGGAATGGAGCTGTAGAGGAGTAAAGTTTTTATAACCTACTGGAACTAAGTCAGTATAAATATGATGTCGATTCTGTTAATTTGAGATATATGTTAGAAGCCCCAAAGTAATCACTGAGAAAATGATGCAAAAATACAGTTTTAAAAAGTTAAAAACATAGTTTAGCTTATGTGTGCCTAGTACTCCATTATTATTTTTTTATTATATTTTAAGTTCTGGGGTACATGTGCAGAATGTGCAGGTTTGTTACATAGGCATACATGTGCCATGGTGGTTTGCTGCACCCATCAATCCGTCATATACATTAGGTATTTCTCCTAATACTATCCCTCCCCCTGTCCCCTAACCCCCTCAACAGGCCCTGGTGTGTGATGTTCCCCTCCCTGTGTCCATGTGTTCTCATTGTTCAACTCCCACTTATGAGTGAGAACATGCGGTGTTTCGTTTTCTGTTCTTGTGTTAGTTTGCTGAGAATGATGGTTTCCAGCTTCATCCATGTCCTTGCAGAGGACATGAACTCATCCTTTTTATGGCTGCATAGTAGTCCATCGTGTATATGTGCCACATTTTCTTTCTGCTTGTTCCCAGGAGAAAGTGGCTGAAGATTCCAGAGAGAAGCTGAATGCAGTTTAATTCTTTTTGCCATAAACACGACAACCCATTTTCCTGCAAGCTGTGTTAGTTTGCTCTCTTCTTGGTTCATTCATTCATTTATTCATAGCTTCCATAAATATTTAACAAACACTAATTAGGGGCCAAGCCATGTGCTAGGCACAGGGGATAAAACTGTGAACAAAACAAGCCCCAGCTACTCTTAAGGAACTGATAGACAAATGGACCAGCAAACACGCTGGTCCTGTTTTGAAGGCAAAGCGCCTGGTGCTCCTGATCTCATGAGCACAGAGCATTTAGCCTAAGTCTCATCCTCCTAAGGCCTCAGAAATAAGGCCTTATTTTAATAAGTGCAAGTCAGTCATTTGAAGACTAAATCATAGAATCCTAGAAAACTAGTACCGGGAGCAAGGCAAAAGAATGGGATGAGCATGAAACATATATTCAGAAGTTGTGGTGTGTAGGTATATAAGCCAAGCTCTTTTCTTCACTTGCTTGCTAAGTCACTTAGCTTTTCTGCCTTTTTGTTTGCTCTGTCTGGAAATGGAGTTAATGAAATATATCTACATGATAGGGATATTGAGACGATTAAATAAGATGCTGCTGTCACCCAGTATGCCCTTACCCTGCTGTACTTAGAAGTATATGAAATTCATTTTCTAAATTTTTGTATGAGTGTTTCATGCATGCCCACCACCATGGAAGCTACCTTAAGACAGTGAGGGACTTTGTTTAACTTGTTTGTACTACATCCTCAGTCTAATGGTGTCTGGCTTATGGTAGGCACCAAATATAATTTTATTGACAGAAAGGATGATAATGAATGTGAAGGCATTTTTAAGTTTATGAAGTGTTGTGCATATTGTTGTTAATTTTAAGCTGTTACGTTAAAGAACCCCTAATCCAACTCTCTTGAGTTTTATAGATATCATAGAAGATATATCTTCCCTTGACATAGAAGCTTCCCTTGAAGGTTCCCTTGACTCATGTATTTGCCTCACAGTGATTGTGCAGATCCCACAAGATAAATTTATGTGAATGTGCTTTATGTGCTTGAAGTGCTCCACAAATATGGGTTTTATAAGATGAGAAAATAGAGTCAGGGAGAAAGGTGACTGATCCAAGGTCATGCAAAGAGTTAGTGTCAGAATTTATAATGGAATTTCAGGCTCCCAACTCCCACTCCAGTATACTAAGGCAGATTCCAGAGAAGAAACAGTGGAGAGCAGGCACTGATGAGGGACAAAGAAAAGCAGGCTCCGTCTGGCTGCAACTTGTCTCTTCATGGCAAAAAGAAACTAGGAAAGTGCTATGCCAGAGACGACATGATAACTTTGCAGAATGGAAAGAGCTTGTTTACCACATTGAATACTTTATCTGTGTTTATCTAACGACAGTTCCACCAGCTCTTTACCACTTGACTTTTGCCTAATTCAAAAATATACCAACTATGAAACATTTTCCTTCTCAGTTTTTATTCTAGATTACATTTTGTTCAACTTTATCTTAATGTGTAGTGTAGAAAGAGTAAGGTAAGAGTATAGCAAGTGGTTATTTTCCATTTCTACTGAGGACAGAGAAATAATCTAAGGGATTTGTATTAGAGATGAAGAAGTGCATGGCCAGGACATGAGAGATACTGTGATAGAATGGATATTGTGAAGTCTTTGGTAGTTTTTGAGGGGAAAAAAGAGAAGGTTTTCTTTGTCTGATATAGTTTAGCAACGTCTTAATTTAGGATTCAAAAGTTGTTCAGGGTCCATCTTGGCCTTCAAATTAAGATGCCCTTTGAGAGATAACATTGTTGTTTTCAAACTCTGTTCTGTGACTTAAGAATGAGAGGAGAAGGAAGAAAAGAGGAGAAAATTTGAGGGAAAAGTGCCCAAGCAGCGTCAAGGCTAGACACTGGAAATTTATCAATGAAAGCCACATGGTGGATGGGAATCAGATATGTGCATCAATTATTTGTGTTCCAATCCATATAGAAGTACCGTATAATGCACCAAGCTAATAGGTGCTTTGAAAGAAGACCATACAAGTGGAGATGTGTTCCTATTCTATCTAGGGATAGAGTCAGGAAGGGCTTCATTGAATAAGTGGTAGCCTCTTGGGCTGAGACCTGAGTTATGAGATGATGTGGCAAAGGAGACAGATGGCTGGGGGCAAGGTGGGGTCATTGAAATTGGAGGCAGTAGCAATATAAGCAAAGCTACAGGGGCATGAAAAAGCAAGGTTAGATTAGTGAATTGCAACAGGGTGGTACTGCTGGAAGGTCACATGGAAAAGATTGTGAAGGTATTGAGATAAGAAGCTAGAAATAAGCTTTGAATGCCATCCTAGTACTTTGAATTTGCATGCTGTAAGCCAAGTGGTTTTCACTTGGTCATTTAATAAAATTACAGATTCTCAGGTCTCACCTGTAACTTCAGATTCAGAAGAGTCTGCTAACTGAAGGTGGAATCAGTGTTCCATATTGCTAATTAGCTCCTCAGAGGATTCTAATATATCAGTGAGTTATGACCACTGCTGTAAGCCATAGGTAGTTATTGAAAGCTGCTATGGAGAGGAGCCACAGAAGCAGATGTTTTAGATAGGATTCCTCTGGGGTCCTGTGTAATTTATGGACTGGAGAGGATCAGACAGGAAGCAGAAAGACTTGAATAAGACAGTTGCAGTTATTTTGGAGGCAAAGATTCTCTCTCTCTCTCTCTGTGTGTGTGTGTGTGTGTGTAATTGTAGGAACTATTTAGGCAGTAAAATTAACAGATATTAGTCACTGATTGACTGAGTGGATGGCAGTGATAGGTGGGGTGCGTTGAGGGAAGTGTATTACATTAAGTCCAGGATGACTCATGGTTTTCTAAGTTGAGTCATTGGGGATTGCCATCCAATGTGAGAAACTATATAGTCTTATCATAGTTGATCTTGGAGGTAGACTTGAATTAAAATCTTGAAGCCATCAATTGCTGTATGTGGGTCTTGGGCAGAACACTTAAGGTTTCTGGACCTCAGTTATTTCTTCTGTAAAATGAGGAAAATAATGCATACCTCATGCATTTGTTGTAAAGACTAAATGAGGTTAAAGTATGTAGAGTGTAGTTTAGTAACTGGGACGTATAGTGGTCCAGTAAACATCAGCTGTTATTATTGTGCTATATGTTGTGATGTGTACTGGAGTGAGATGGGGTAGGGGATTTTTTAGTCTCTGCCAATGACTCCTCTCCCCATGATCAAAATCAGAAAATCAGTCTCTTATGTGTTGAGGAGTGAGACACTTCTCCCAAGTGTTTAAGGCTAATACCTTGCCTTGTTTTGCCTTGGGCCAGACCTCACTACACATCTGTTTAAGAGATCAGGGTAAGCTCTGTTCTTGGTGAGTATCTCAATGGGGCTGTTTTTCTAGTTCTTGTAGTTTCTTTGGGCCAACATGAAATGTCTAACCTTGGCTTCTTGGTTGTGGATTCTCGTCAACATTTCACTGCTACCCAAGTTGTGTCTGCTTACATGATGCTATCTTCCTTCTTTTGGGTTTCTGAAGCCCTCAGACACTTGGCTGAACATTTTTCACATTTCTTAAGCTATATCATCTGTGTTTTCCCTGCCACAGACAAAGTCACAAAAGGACTTTAAGATAGGTTTTGGTTTTTTTTTTCCCCAGGGTTTTTATACATTTTGGGTAAGGGCAAGTGGTAAATGCTGCTTTTCTGCCTTAACCAGTAGTGTCTGACAGAGGAGGTAGCATGATGATTGCAGAGCTCACTGGACTGAAAGTCAGATGCTTTACCCGCCTAGACTCTAGTACCAAGGGGAAGATGGAGTGAGATGGGGTAAATGGGGAGAAATTACCATTTATTTTGAGTGTGCCAGGCCTTTTCTCATGTATTGTCTAATGCATTTGTCACAATTCTCTTTGGGTTTGAAATGTGATTTTCTTCATTTTATAGATAAGGAAACTTATGGGAAGGGAGGTTAGGTTCATCTTGTGCCCAACTTTACATGGCTAGTGATCAATAATAGTGAGATTCAAACTCAGATTTCTCTGCCCCAAAGCCTTTGCTTTTTCCTCTTTTGACACTGTAACTAATGAGAAGATGTATTTAACTCTGAGTCTCATTTGCCTCAACTGTAAAATGGAGCTCTGTAACTCTTGCTCTGTATGACAGTAAATCTCCTCAGACCAGACTTATGATAGGGGATAAGGATATTTGTATCTTTGGGCCCCTAATGTATTGAAAGTGCTTCTAAGTGCCTGGCACATAGAAGGGCACTCAATAAATATTTACCACATTTTCCAGAAAGAGGGTAGCTCCATAATGGGTGAGATACATTTTGGTGGCTACTGTAGTGTTTAATGCTTTTACCATCTGTTAAAATGATTTTGGAGTATAGCTAGATAACTGATGATGGTTGTTATATAGATTTTTTCATAGGTTGCCTGTTCCAAATTCTATGCCGTGGAAGAAGTTAAATATCCAGAATTTGACAGGAAATATTATTCTACAACAGATCCCTGGCGTAAGAATGATAACACCTGTGTTCTAGTCTCAGACTTGCCTCTGAATAACTGTTTCTCCTGGTCAATTCTCTGTCTCTATCTAGGCTTGAAATTTCCCCCAAATGATGAAGGAGTTGGACTAGTTTAGTGGGGTTCAGCCTCGAGTGGCCATTAAAATTATTTGGGGATCTTTGAAAAAAATTAGATGCCCAGATTTTTGTCGTTGTTGTTGTTGTTTTTGTTTGTTTGTTTTTTAATTATACTTTAAGTTCTGGGATACATGTGCAGAACATGCAGGTTTGTTACATAGGTATACACGTGCCATGGTGGTTTGCTGCACCCATCAACCCGTCATCTACATTAGGTATTTCTCCTAATGCTATCCCTCCCTAGTCCCCTAACCCCAGACAGGCCCTGGTGTGTGATGTTCCCCTCCCTGTGTCTATGTGCTCTCATTGTTCAGCTCCCCCTTATGAGTGAGAACGTGCAGTGTTTGGTTTTCTGTTCCTGTGTTAGTTTGCTGAGAATGATGGTTTCCAGTTTCATCCATGTTCTTTCAAAGGACATGAACCCATCCTTTTTTATGGTGGCCTGATATTCCATGGTGTATTGAACTGCTCACTCCAGTTCAATTAAATCAGAATACAGAATGTTGAGAGGAGCATCAGTATTTTAAGAAGGCCCCCTAGTGAAGTTCAATGTGCAGCCAAGGGTGAGAAACACTGGACTAGATGATTGATAAGGGCCATCCAACTTTGATAGTCAACAAGAGACAATGCTATAGAGTATGGTGGACAGAGCATGGGCTTTAGAGTTAGCCAGGTATGCATTCAGACCCTGGCTCTGTTACTTACTAGTTGTGTGATCTTGAAGAAATCAAAATGGAGATACACTATGTACCTGGCAGTAATAGTTGTGGGGATTAAGCACCTTCACCAGAGCTTAGGACATAATAAGCCCCCAGTAAATAGCTTCTTTAATATCAGAAGTTCAGATGGAAGATGTGAGAAAAATATTGGTTCAGTAAGATTTAACAGGTAAATTAAAATCAAGTATTTGAAAACATTTTCCTGTTTCTTTAGCAATGGATTCCAGAAACATAATGTGGAAATAGCTCTCAGTCCTTAGATTTGATGACATTGCAGAAAGAAATCTGGCTAGTCGTCCCATGGCTGATTGGCTATGATGGCTAGAAAGCCATTGGAAAAAAAAAATTGGCTCACAGAAGACAGCAGATGTGGCTTGGGAAATGCAAGGACATGACTGTAATAAGGATTTGTCTATCCAGCCCCATTTATGAGAGTGATTCCAGGAGAAAAGGACAGATTTGTATTGTCAGTGGGATACGCTGTTAAAAAACACTTTTGCTACTACCACTCCAGCTGTCTTGGCATGTTTGTTGGTGATGTAAGCTACAGAAAATGGAAATCACCAATAGGGCTATAGCAACCTGATGCATAGTGACAAGTAATTGTTCTATTCATGGTTATGTGTTGTACAGAGCACTTGCTGCATGTCAGGTTTGAGACTTGAGTATGCATTAGGGCCATGGACACCCCCATCTTATCTTTAAGTAGATTTCAAAGTAAATATTTGATGAATATGTAAAATATTTAGTTTGGTCAGTCATAGGGCTGAGAACATGGTGGCAGTTACCTCCTAGTATCTGCAAGCAAAAAAAGTTTTTTCTTCCTATAGCAATTGCCATCTCAGCCACTTTTGCAGCATTTCTTTTTGCTACACTTTGCATTAACCATTTGTGCACTTGTCTTAGCCTCAAACAGGCCATGAAAGCTCCTTGAGGATAGGGGCTATGTCTTTTTCATCTTTATATATGCATCATTTAGCAGAGCTGTCCCTTTATAATGTACTAATTACTGAATGAAGGGATGCATAGATGAATAAATGAATGAAAAGTAGGAGTGACCTGTCTTCTCTCTTTCTTCACGATGGGGACTAGTGTGTGTATATAAGGGGATAATTTTTGTGTCACATAAAATATAACCTTACTTAGAAGGCAAGACTTCCAGAATGGTGGAATGAGAACCACCCCCCCGCCCCCATAAATCCGCCCTTTCATGAAAGCAGTGAAAACGCTAGCAAACGTTGTGAAAATTAACTTTTCCAGAACTCTGGAAAGGAAACAGAGGCTTCCAACAATCTGAGAAGAATGTATTCAAGAAAAACTTCGGTAAGCTCTCTGATCACAGTGGAAATAATAAACAATTAGTAATAGAAGGATAGTTGGGAAATTCACCATTTGTGGGATATAAACAGTGGATCAAAGAAGAAATCATAAGGGAAATGAGAAAATACTTTGAGATTAATGAAAATGAAAATACATTGTTCCAAAACTTACAGGATACAGCCAAGCTAAAGCAGTACTTAAAGGGAAATTTGTAACTGCGAAGGCCTATATCAACAAAGACAAATGATCTCAAATCAAGAACCTAACCTTCCACCTTAGACTAGGAAAGGAACAGCAAACTACAAAGAAAGCAGGAAGAAAGACTAATAAAGACTAAAAGGGAAATAAATGAAATAATAGAGTAGAAAAACACTAGAATCAATGAAATTAAACATTGATTCTTTGAAGAGATCAACAAAACTGAAAAAAACTTTAGTCAGATTGAATAAGAAAAAAAGAGAGAAAATTCAAATTATCAAAATGAGCAATGAAAATGGGGCCATCACTACCTACCTTAAAAAGAATTTTCAAAGGATTAAAAGAAAATGCCATTGCATTAGTTCATTCTCACACAACTATAAAAAAGCTACCTGAGATGGGGTAGTTTATGAAGAAAAGCGCTTTAATTGACTCACAGTTCCACAGTCTGTACAGCAGGCATGGATCATGAGGCCTTAGGAAATTTACATCAGGTGAAAGGCTAAGGGGCATGGAAGACATGTCTTCACACGGCAGCAGGAGAGAGAGCAAAGAGGGAAGTGCCACACACTTTTAAACCATCAGCTCTCATGACAACTCACTCACTATCATGAGAACAGCAAGGGGAAAATCTGCCCTCATGATCCAATTACTTCCTACCAGGTCCCTTCCCCAACACTGGAAATTACAATTCAACGTGCGATTTGGATGGTGTGACACAGAGCAAAACCATATCAACCATACTGTATGCCAAAAAATTAGATGACCTAGATGAAATGGACAAATACTCAGAAAAACACAAACTATCTAAAGTGACCAGTGAAGAAACAGAAAATCTGAGTAGTCCTGTAACAAGTCCTGTAACAAAACTGGATTAGTAATTAAGAAACTTCCCACAAAGAAAAGCCCAGGTTCAGTCTTCACTGGTGAATACTATCAAATATTTAAGGAAGATTTAATCCTTCACAAATTATTTCAAAACTTGGAAGAGGCTGGAACCCTTTCCAACTAATTCTGCAAAGTCAGCATTACCCTGATGCCAAAACCAAAGATATGACACAAAAATAAAACTGCAGGCTAATATCACATTTGAATATAGATAACTTTCTAAAAATCTCAACAAAATGCTAGCAAACAGAATTCAGCAACAAATAAAAAGGGTTATAAAGGGTGACCAAGTAGGATTTATCTCTGGAATGTAAATTAACATTCAAAAACCTAAGAATAGGAGGAAACTTTCTTAACTTTGTAATGGACATCTCTGAAAAACACACAGCTAACATCATACTAAATAGGGAAAGATTGAAATTTTTCCTTGTAAGATCAGGAACAAGACAAGGATGACTGTTCTCACCATTTCAATTTACCATTGTATTGTAGATTCAAGTCAAGGCAATTAGGCAAAAAAAAAAAAAAAAAAAAAAAAAAAAAAGAAAGAGGTAAAAGGCACCCATATTGGAAAGGAAGAGGTGAAAATATCTATATTCACAGATGACATGATCTTATACAAAGAAAACCTTAAGGAATCCATGATAAACTATTAAAACGAGTAAACGAGTTCAGCAAGGTTTCAGAATACAAGATTAATGTGCAAAAATCAATTGTATTTCTGTACACTAGCAATGAGCAATCTGAAAATGAGATTAAGAAAACAGTTCACTCACAATATAATCAAAATACCAGAATACTTAAAAATAAATTTAACAAAAGAAGCGTAAGACTTGTATGCTGCAAACCACAAAACACTGTGGAAAGTAATTAAAAATCTAAATAAATAGAAAAACATCCCTTGTTCATGTACTAGAGGACTCAATATTGTCAAGATGGAAATACTCCCCAAAGATTGAAGGAAATCCCTATCAAAATACTGGCTGTTTTCTTAGCAGAAAATGAAAATCTGACCCTAAAATTAATATTTAAATACATGGAACCTAGGATAACCAAAATAATATTGAGAAAGAAAAACAAAGTCGGCGTACCCATGCTTCCTGATTCCAAACCTTATTACAAAGCAGTGGTAATCAAGAGTGTATGGTATTGGCATAAGGACAAACAGATCAATAAATGGAATACTATTGAGAATCCAAAAGTTAACTCTTACATTTAAGACCAATTGACTTTCAAAAGTGTTGCTAAGACATTTCAATGAGGAAAGAATAGTCTTTTCAATAAATTGTACTGGAAAAATTGGATATCCACATGAAAATAAAAGATTTTGGACCACTTCAAACCTGCAAAAAAAATAAAATGATCTCATGGTGTATCATGGATCTAAATGCTATAGAGCTAAGATGATAAATCTCAGAAGAAAATATCAAAGTAAATCTTTATGACCTTGAAGTAGGCAATGGTTTTTTGGCTATAACACCAAAAGCACAAGCAATAAGAGAAAAAAAATTTTTTTAAAAAAACCCTTGATTATTTTATTAAAATTTTGTTGTGGGTACAAAGTAGGTGTGTATATTTATGGGGTATATGAGATATTTTGATACAGGCATACAATGTTCAATGATCATATTAGGATAAATGAAGTATCCAGTACCTCAAGCATTTATCATTTGTGTTACAAACAATCCAATTATACTCTTTTAGTTATTTTTAAATGTACAGTACATTATTATTGTAGTCATTCCCTTGTGCTATCAAATACTATATGTTATTCATTCTATCTAACTATATTATTGTACCCATTAACCATCCCCACTCCCCTGCCTCCCAGCTACACTTCGTAGCATCTGGTAACCATGATTTCCTCTTATCTCCATGAGTTCAGTAGTTTCAGCTCATGGAGATAGACAGAACTAATTTTATTAGCTCCCACAAATTAGCTCCCATGTCAGAACATGTAAAGTTTGTCTTTCTGTGCCAGGTTTATTTCACATAACATAACGAACTCTAGTTCCAACCATGTTGGTGCAAATGACAGGCTCTCTCTTTTTTTTTTTTTTTTTTTTTTTTGAGATGGAGTCTGGCTGTCTCCCAGGCTGGACTGCAGTGGTGCAATCTCAGCTCACTGCAAGCTCCGCCTCCCAGGTTCATGCCATTCTCCTGCCTCAGCCTCCTGAGTAGCTGGGACTACAGGCACCCGCCACCATGCCCGACTAATTTTATATATATATATATATATATATATTTATTATTATTATACTTTAAGTTTTAGGGTACATGTGCACAATGTGCAGGTTAGTTACATATGTATACATGTGCCATGCAGGTGCGCTGCACCCACTAACTCATCATCTAGCATTAGGTATATCTCCCAATGCTATCCCTCCCCCCTCCCCCACCCCACAACATTCCCCAGAGTGTGATGTTCCCCTTCCTCTGTCCATGTGTTCTCATTGTTCAATTCCCACCTATGAGTGAGAACATGCGGTGTTTGGTTTTTTGTTCTTGCGATAGTTTACTGAGAATGATGATTTCCAATTTCATCCATGTCCCTACAAAGGACATGAACTCATCCTTTTTTATGGCTGCATAGTATTCCATGGTGTATATGTGCCACATTTTCTTAATCCAGTCTATCATTGTTGGACATTTGGGTTGGTTCCAAGTCTTTGCTATTGTGAATAATGCCGCAATGAACATACGTGTGCATGTGTCTTTATAGCAGCATGATTTATAGTCCTTTGGGTATATACCCAGTAATGGGATGGCTGGTTCAAATGGTATTTCTAGTTCTAGATCCCTGAGGAATCACCACACTGACTTCCACAAGGGTTGAACTAGTTTACAGTCCCACCAACAGTGTCAAAGTGTTCCTATTTCTCCACATCCTCTCCAGCACCTGTTGTTTCCTGACTTTTTAATGATTGCCATTCTAACTGGCGTGAGATGATATCTCATTGTGGTTTTGATTTGCATTTCTCTGATGGCCAGTGATGGTGAGCATTTTTTCATGTGTTTTTTGGGTGCATAAATGTCTTCTTTTTAGAAGTGTCTGTTCATATCCTTCGCCCACTTTTTGATGGGGTCGTTTGTTTTTTTCTTGTAAATTTGTTTGAGTTCATTGTAGATTCTGGATATTAGCCCTTTGTCAGATGAGTACGTTGCGAAAATTTTCTCTCATTTTGTAGGTTGCCTGTTCAATCTGATGGTAGTTTCTTTTGCTGTGCAGAAGCTCTTTAGTTGAATTAGATCCCATTTGTCAATTTTGACTTTTGGTGTTTTAGACATGCTTTTGGTGTTTTAGACATGAAGTCCTTGCCCATGCCTATGTCCTGAATGGTAATGCCTAGGTTTTCTTCTAGGGTTTTTATGGTTTTAGGTCTAACGTTTAAGTCTTTAATCCATCTCGAATTGATTTTTGTATAAGGTGTAAGGAAGGGATCCAGTTTCAGCTTTCTACATATGGCTAGCCAGTTTTTCCAGCACCATTTATTAAATAGGGAATCCTTGCCCCATTGCTTATTTTTGTCAGGTTTGTCAAAGATCAGATAGTTGTAGATATGCGGCATTATTTCTGAGGGCTCTGTTCTGTTTCATTGATCTATATCTCTCTTTTGGTACCAGTACCATGCTGTTTTGATTACTGTAGCCTTGTAGTATAGTTAGAAGTCAGGGAGTGTGATGCCTCCAGCTTTGTTCTTTTGGCTTAGGATTGACTTGGGGATGTGGGCTCTTTTTTGGTTCCATATGAACTTTAAAGTAGTTTTTTCCAATTCTGTGAAGAAAGTCATCAGTAGCTTGATGGGGATGGCATTGAATCTATAAATTACCTTGGGCAGTATGGCCATTTTCACGATATTGATTCTTCCTACCCATGAGCATGGAATGTTCTTCCATTTGTTTGTATCCTCTTTTATTTCCTTGAGCAGTGGTTTGTAGTTCTCCTTGAAGAGGTCCTTCACATCCCTTGAAAGTTGGATTCCTAGGTATTTTATTCTCTTTGAAGCAATTGTGAATGGGAGTTCACTCATGATTTGGCTCTCTGTTTGTCTGTTATTGGTGTATAAGAATGCTGTGATTTTTGTACATTGATTTTGTATCCTGAGACTTTGCTGAAGTTGCTTATCAGCTTAAGGAGATTTTGGGCTGAGACAACGGGGTTTTCTAGATATACAATCATGTCATCTGCAAACAGGGACAATTTGACTTCCTCTTTTCCTAATTGAATACCCTTTATTTCCTTCTTCTGCCTAATTGCCCTGGCCAGAACTTCCAACACTATGTTGAATAGGAGTGGTGAGAGAGGGCATCCCTGTCTTGTGCCAGTTTTCAAAGAGAATGCTTCCAGTTTTTGACCATTCAGTATGTTATTGGCTGTGGGTTTGTCATAGATAGCTCTTATTATTTTAAAATACGGCCCATCAATACCTAATTTATTGAGAGTTTTTAGCATGAAGCGTTATTGAATTTTGTCAAAGGCCTTTTCTGCATCTATTGAGATAATCATGTGGTTTTTGTCTTTGGTTCTGTTTATATGCTGGATTACATTTATTGATTTGCGTATATTGAACCAGCCTTGCATCCCAAGGATGAAGCCCACTTGATCATGGTGGATAAGCTTTTTGATGTGCTGCTGGATTCCGTTTGCCAGTATTTTATTGAGGATTTTTGCATCAATGTTCATCAAGCATATTGGTCTAAAATTCTCTTTTTTGGTTGTGTCTCTGCCCGTCTTTGGTATCAGGATGATGCTGGCCTCATAAAATGAGTTAGGGAGGATTCCCTCTTTTTCTATTGATTGGAATAGTTTCAGAAGGAATGGTACCAGTTCCTCCTTGTACCTCTGATAGAATTCGGCTGTGAATCCATCTGGTCCTGGACTCTTTTTGGTTGGTAAGCTATTGATTATTGCCACAATTTCAGATCCTGTTATTGGTCTATTCAGAGATTCAACTTCTTCCTGGTTTAGTCTTGGGAGGGTGTATGTGTCAAGGAATTTATCCATTTCTTCTAGATTTTCTAGTTTATTTGCGTAGAGGTGTTTGTAGTATTCTCTGATGGTAGTTTGTATTTCTGTGGGATCGGTGGTGATATCCCCTTTATCATTTTTTATTGTGTCTATTTGATTCTTCTCTCTTTTTTTCTTTATTAGTCTTGCTAGCAGTCTATCAATTTTGTTGATCCTTTCAAAAAACCACCTCCTGGATTCATTAATTTTTTGAAGGGTTTTTTGTGTCTCTATTTCCTTTAGTTCTGCTCTGATTTTAGTTATTTCTTGCCTTCTGCTAGCTTTTGAATGTGTTTGCTCTTGCTTTTCTAGTTCTTTTAATTGTGATGTTAGGGTGTCAATTTTGGATCTTTCCTGCTTTCTCTTGCGGGCATTTAGTGCTATAAATTTCCCTCTACACACTGCTTTGAATGTGTCCCAGAGATTCTGGTATGTTGTGTCTTTGTTCTCTTTGGTTTCAAAGAACATCTTTATTTCTGCCTTCATTTCGTTATGTACCCAGTAGTCATTCAGGAGCAGGTTGTTCAGTTTCCATGTAGTTGAGCGGTTTTGAGTGAGATTCTTAATACTGAGTTCTAGTTTGATTGCACGGTGGTCTGAGAGATAGTTTGTTATAATTTCTGTTCTTTTACATTTGCTGAGGAGAGCTTTACTTCCAACTATGTGGTCAATTTTGGAATAGGTGTGGTGTGGTGCTGAAAAAAATGTATATTCTGTTGATTTGGGGTAGAGAGTTCTGTAGATGTCTATTAGGTCTGCTTGGTGCAGAGCTGAGTTCAATTCCTGGGTATCCTTGTTAACTTTCTGTCTCGTTGATCTGTCTAATGTTGACAGTGGGGTGTTAAAGTCTCCCATTATTAATGTGTGAGAGTCTAAGTCTCTTTGTAGGTCACTAAGGACTTGCTTTATGAATCTGGGTGCTCCTGTATTGGGTGCATATATATTTAGGATACTTAGCTCTTCTTGTTGAATTGATCCCTTTACCATTATGTAATGGCCTTCTTTGTCTCTTTTGATCTTTGTTGGTTTAAAGTCTGTTTTATCAGAGACTAGAATTGTAACCCCTGCCTTTTTTTTGTTTTCCATTTGCTTGGTAGATCTTCCTCCATCCTTTTATTTTGAGCCTATGTGTGTCTCTGCATATGAGATGGGTTTCCTGAATACAGCACACTGATGGGTCTTGACTCTTTATCCAATTTGCCAGTCTGTGTCTTTTAATTGGAGCATTTAGTCCATTTACATTTAAAGTTAATATTGTTATGTGTGAATTTTATCCTGTCATTATGATTTTAGCTGGTTATTTTGCTCGTTAGTTGATGCAGTTTCTTCCTAGTCTCGATGGTCTTTACATTTTGGCATGATTTTGCAGCGGCTGGTACCGGTCGTTCCTTTCCATGTTTAGTGCTTCCTTCAGGACCTCTTTTAGGGCAGGCCTGGTGGTGACAAAATCTCTCGGCATTTGCTTGTCTGTAAAGGATTTTATTTCTCCTTCACTTATGAAGCTTAGTTTGGCTGGATATGAAATTCTGGGTTGAAAATTCTTTTCTTTATGAATGTTGAATATTGGCCCCTACTCTCTTCTGGCTTGTAAAGTTTCTGCCGAGAGATCTGCTGTTAGTCTGATGGGCTTCCCTTTGAGGGTAACCTGACCTTTCTCTCTGGCTGCCCTTAACATTTTTTCCTTCATTTCAACTTTTTTGAATCTGACAATTATGTGTCTTGGAGTTGCTCTTCTCAAGGAGTATCTTTGTGGCATTCTCTGTATTTCCTGAATCTGAATGTTGGCCTGCCTTGCTAGACTGGGGAGGTTCTCCTGGATAATATCCTGCAGAGTGTTTTCCAACTTGGTTCCATTCTCCCCGTCACTTTCAGGTACACCAATCAGACATAGATTTGGTCTTTTCCCATAGTCCCATATTTCTTGGAGGCTTTGCTCGTTTCTTTTTATTCTTTTTTCTCTAAAGTTCCCTTCTCACTTCATTTCATTCATTTCATCTTCCATCGCTGATACCCTTTCTTCCAGTTGATCGCATTGGCTCCTGAGGTTTCTGCATTCTTCACGTAGTTCTCGAGCCTTAGTTTTCAGCTCCATCAGCTCCTTTAAGCACTTCTCTGTATTGGTTATTCTAGTTATACATTCTTCTAAATTTTTTTCAAAGTTTTCAACTTCTTTGCCTTTGGTTTGAATGTCCTCCCATAGCTTGGAGTAATTTGATTGTCTGAAGCCTTCTTCTCTCATCTCATCAAAGTCATTCTCTGTCCAGCTTTGTTCCGTTGCTGGTGAGGAACTGCGTTCCTTTGGAGGAGGAGAGGCGCTCTGCTTTTTAGTGTTTCCAGTTTTTCTGCTCTGTTTTTCCCCATCTTTGTGGTTTTATCTACTTTTGGTGTTTGATGATGGTGATGTACAGATGGGTTTTTGGTGTGGATGTCCTTTCTGTTTTTTAGTTTTCCTTCTAAGAGACAGGACCCTCAGCTGCAGGTCTGTTGGAGTACCCGGCCGTGTGAGGTGTCAGTCTGCCCCTGCTGGGGGGTGCCTCCCAGTTAGGCTGCTCAGGGGTCAGGGGTCAGGGACCCACTTGAGGAGGCAGTCTGCCCATTCTCAGATCTCCAGCTGCGTGCTGGGAGAACCACTGCTCTCTTCAAAGCTGTCCAACAGGGACATTTAAGTCTGCAGAGGTTACTGCTGTCTTTTTGTTTGTCTATGCCCTGCCCCCAGAGGTGAAGCCTATAGAGGCAGGCAGGCCTCCTTGAGCTGTGGTGGGCTCCACCCAGTTCGAGCTTCCCAGCTGCTTTGTTTACCTAAGCAAGCCTGGGCAATGGCAGGTGCCCCTCCCCCAGCCTCGCTGCCACCTTGCAGTTTGATCTCAGACTGCTGTGCTAGCAATAAGCAAGACTCCATGGGCGTAGGACCCTCTGAGCCATGTGCGGGATATAATCTCCTGGTGCGCCGTTTTTTAAGCCCGTCAGAAAAACGCAGTATTTGGGTGGGAGTGACCCAATTTTCCAGGTGCCGTCTGTCACCCCTTTCTTTGACTAGGAATGGGAACTCCCTGACCCCTTGCGCTTCCCGAGTGAGGCAATGCCTCGCCCTGCTTCGGCTCACACACGGTGCGCTGCACCCACTGACCTGCGCCCACTGTCTGGCACTCCCTAGTGAGATGAGCCCGCTACCTCAGATGGAAATGCAGAAATCACCCGTCTTCTGCTTCGCTCATGCTGGGAGCTGTAGACCTGAGCTGTTCCTATTCGGCCATCTTGGCTCCAGAAAAAAAAATTGTTAAATTGGACTTCATCAAATTTGAAATTTTTGTGCTGCAAATGATACCATCAAGAAAGTGAAAATCTCACCCACAGAATGAGAGAAAGTATTTGCAAATCATATATCTGATAAGGGTATTGAATTTAGAATATATAAAGAACTCTTGCAACTCAATATAAAAAGACAACCCAATTTTAAAATGGGCAAAGTATTTGAATAGAAATTTCTTGATAGAAGATATACAAATTTAAAAATGCTCAACATCATTAGTCATTAGGGAAATGCAGATCAAAACCAAATTGAGATACCGGTTTACACCTATTAAGATGGCTATAGAATAAAAGAACAAATAACAAGTATTGGCTTTAATGTGGAGGAGCCAGAACCCTTATATATTGCTGGTAAAATGTAAAGTCATGCAGCCCTTTGAAATACAGTCTGCAAGTCTTTAAAAAATTACTATTTGTTATTTGGTTTTTCTTCACTTTTAATTTAGGTTCAGAGGTACATATGCAGGTTTGCTATATAGCTAAATTGTGTGTCACAGGAGTTTAGTGTACACATTATTTCATCACCCAGGTAATAAGCATGGTACCCAATAGGTAGTTTTTCTATCCTCACCCTCCTCCTACCCTCCACCATCAAGTAGGCCCTGGTGCCTCTTGTTCTTTTCTTTGTGTTCATATGTACTCAATATTTAGCTTCCACTTATCAGTGAGAACATGTGGTATTTGGTTTTCTGTTCCTGCTTTAGTTTGCTTAGGATACTGGCCTCCAGATTCATCCACGTTGCTGCAAAGGACATGATCTCATTCTTTTTGCATAGTATACTATGGTGTACATGTATCAAAAATGTTACTGTTTGACCTAGTAATTCTATTCCAAGGTAAATACTCAAGAGAAATGAAAACATGTCCACACAAATACTTGTACACAAATGTTCATTGCAGCATTATTTATAATAGCCAAAGAGTGGACGACAAATGTCTTCCAAATGTGGGCTCCAAATGTCCACCAACTGATAAATGGAAAAACAAAATGTGGTATATCCATGCCATGGTTTATCTGTCAATAATAAGAAATGAAGTACTCATACATGCTCCAACATGGATGAACCTTGAAAACATTATGCTAGGTGAAAAAAGCAACTCACAAAAGACTACACTGTATGATTTTATTTGTATTAAATGTCCATAAAAGAAAAATATTTAGAGATAGAAAGGAAATTAGTTTTTCCAGGGTCTGGGAGGAGACAGTATGAGGAGTGGCTGCTAATGGGTACAGGATTTCTTTTTGGAGTGATATAATTGCTCTAAAATTAGTTTGCAGTAATAGATGTGAGTATGCTAAAATGGGTGAATTTTATAGTATGTGAAATATAACTCAGTAAGCCCATTAAAAACAACCTAATTAAATTAAAACCAAGCTATAACAGAAATATTATATGGCTTTGGCAGTTTAGAATAGTGGGAAAATATGGAGTAAGGGTGGGGAAATAGTCCCAAGTATAATTCTGGTTTTGTCACTACTAGTGTATGGACTTGGACAAGTCATTTGCTTTCTCTAAGTATCAGTTTGCATATATGCAAAATAGAGGTAATGATACCTACCTCAGTGGTACCTTTTCAAAACCTTGTTCTTCCTCATCTCTCCTCTACCACTTTCTCATAATATTATTACAGTAATAACCATTTATTAAGCACTGTGTCCGCAGTGGTGTGGGGCTGCTTTACCTCCACAACTTCACTGAATCCTCACTGCAGTCTTGTGGGATCTTTATTTCTTTGCCCATTTTACATGTAAATAAATTGAAGTCAAATGAGTTGTTCAAGGTCCTTCTGTTAGCAAGTGGCAGAGATGGACATGAAAACTAGATCTTCTACCTATGTGTCTTTCCACTTCAACTAAAGAATTTATTAAAGAGAATTGAAAAGCTATGAACTAAATTTCGGTAATACTTTTAATAGTAAACATTGCTGCCCTCGTGAATGAACACACACTAAATTTCAAATCTCACGGTGGCAGGGAATAAAGATGCTACCTATCTTAAGCCATTACTTCACCAACTTCTCCACCAAAATATTCCTTGTAACCACAAATAAGTAAGCACAATAGATCTATAAGGAGAGAATAATTGTGAACTCTGATTTTATCTTAAAAAGTCATGTAGGGATGTCATGTTCCACAATGTGATTAATAAAATATATTTTGTTACTAAACACAAGGAAAAATATTATGTTCCATAAAGATGTTTGGTGGTTGCCTCGACCTCTTTTAGTTTGAAAAGTAGGTATGTATGAGAAAGATATGTGTTTACATGTTTACCCTTGCCTTCTCTCTGTCTCTTCCCCTCTCTCTCCCTCCCTCCCCAACCCCTATGCCCTACACCCCCGCAACCCCCACATGTATTTACCTTTCTCTAAAAGCTCTGCATAGCCAAGAAAAGTGCTCTTTTTTATTTTTAGGATATTAGATATTTCATTTTCTTATGGTAAGACAAAAGATTAAGGCAACCAAGACTTACAATGTGCCTACCATGTGGCAGGCACAGAGGCAAGGGCTTTTACATGTTATTTAATGTAATTGTAATTCTCACAAAAGCCGTCTAGAGTTGAAAATATTTCCAACTCTAAATGAGGCAAATGGAGCACAGAGAGCCTTAATTATTTCACCCAAAGTTCAGTGGTAGAGGCAGGATTCCAACCCAGGTCTGGTGGGCTCCAAATCCTTGTTGGGTTGCCATTCCTCTTGCTAACAAATAAAACTGGTCTGTGACTTTTGCATTTCACCCCGCTTCCACAGTCACTGGTGGGACTTACTTAAGTTAATCAGATTCTTCAAAGTATCCCCAAGTCCTCCTTTGAAAAGAAAGTTGGGGGACAGGAGGAGGAGCAGAGGAGAGGAGATAAAAAGGAAAGGAGTCAGGGAGAGAGAGAGAGAGAGAGAAACCTGGTGATCTCAGCTGGGTGCCAAGGTTTCCTAAGCCCAAGTTCCCCATGGTTGAGCCTGTATTGTCAGGCCAACAGCTTCTAGTAATCCACTTTTATTTAATTAATAGTGAAACTGTTGAAGAATTGCAAGTGGTGTTCTGGTTCAGAAACCTTCCGTTCTATGGGGCACTGCTTTTGCTTCAGATTCATAAAACCAAATGCTCTGCCTCAAGATAATAAGTGAACGTGTAACCCTCGGGAGGTAAGAAAAAACACAATGTCACGTGCAAATTCTGCACTTGTTCTCAAAGCAAACCTCTCCTGTGTTTGCAATTAGGATGTTATCTAGGAGCATATTCAAAACTTTTGAGGTTTTTATTTTAGTTTTTCTTTCATTATGTGCTGTTTTAGTAATATCAAAGAATACATGTAATATATAATTTATATGTCATAACAATAAAATTAATGTTGATGAGCCCAGATTAAAGAATCAACAACATTAACATCATGATTGCATCAACCCTATTAGAATGGAAGCTCTGTGAAGGCATGGATTTTTGTCCATTTTGTTCACTGCTATATCCCCAGGACCTAGAGGAGTGTCAGCCACATAATAGGAGCTTAGTCAATATTTTAAAAATAAGAGCATAAATCTACTTATATCCTCTTTCCTCTTACCATCACTCCCAGCCTCCCCTCAGAGGTAACCACTATCCTATATTTGGGCTTTATTATTCCCTTGCATTTTGATAAGTTTTCACATGTATATTCCCAAATAATATATTGCTTGCTTTTGCTTCTTTTTAAACTTTATATAATGGAATCATATTGTATGTATCCTATTGTGAATTATGTCTTTTACACAACATTAGTATTTGAGATTCAACTATGTGTAGCTCGATTCCATTCCTTTTCATTGCTGATTGTAGTTTATTGGATATGTGTGCCATAAATTATTTTTCTCCTGTCAGTTAATGTTTATCATTTATGCTTTAATAAACAAAACTGCTATGACTGTTCCTGCATGTGCCTCCTAGTACATATGTGACCAACTTTCTCTAGGATATAAGCCTGAGAGAGGGACTGCAGTTGGAATTTACATTTCCAAAGCCCAAAGTTTAGCTCATGAGTCAGAGCTGCAATGTGCCCTTTGTCCACACTAGGTCAGGATCAGTGGGAGTGCTACCCAAAATATTTTGCTAGCTGGGGAGTCAGGGAGAAGCAGAGACTGACCTAGTGAGGCCAGGAGGCACTATCTCAGGTCTCTAGTCAAAATGGGTTGCAATTAGTAAAAGTCCAGATTCTGAATCCCCTTCACTATTTATCTTCCTCTTCCTCCTTTACAGTTATTTTTGTTCAAGGTGCACTTTATTAAACTCATGCCTAACAAACAAAACTCTAATGAATATTTTGTCTTTCATTGATTGTAAATTCAATTAATTAGATTGCTTGAAAAAATTTTAACTGTATTTTCACTTTAGTATGGATGAAAATTTCGATTTCTTTAAAAAACATTTTTTAATAATAACACAACATAAAGTCTACCCTCATAACAAAATTTAAGGGCACAACACCATATTGTTTTTTTTTTATTTTATTATTATTATACTTTAAGTTTTAGGGTACATGTGCACAACGTGCAGGTTTGTTGCATATGTATACATGTGCCATGTTGGTGTGCTGCACCCATTAACTCGTCATTTAGCATTAGGTATATCTCCTAATGCTATCCCTCCCCCCTCCCCCCACCCCACAACAGTCCCCAGTGTGTGATGTTCCCCTTCCTGTGTCCATGTGTTCTCAATGTTCAGTTCCCACCTATGAGTGAGAACATGTGGTGTTTGGTTTTTTGTCCTTGCCATAGTTTGCTGAGGATGATGGTTTCCAGCTTCATCCATGTCCCTACAAAGGACATGAACTCATCCTTTTTTATGGCTGCATAGTATTCCACGGTGTATATGTGCCACATTTTCTTAATCCAGTCTATCATTGTTGGACATTTGGGTTGGTTCCAAGTCTTTGCTATTGTGAATAGTGCCGCAATAAACATACGTGTGCATGACAACACCATATTGTTAACTGTAGGCACAATGTTGTACAGCAGACGTCTAGAACTTTTTCTTCAGGCTTAACTGAAACTTTATAGCCATTGAACAGCAACACTCCATTTCCGTTTCTTAAAGGTCCTTTACAAAATGAGCTTTCTGCGTGTTTCCATTTTGTTTATCTGATAACTTTTTTTTCTTTTTTTATTATACTTTAAGTTCTGGGGTACATGTGCAGAATGTACAGGTTTGTTACATAGGTACACACATGCCAGGGTGTTTGGCTGCACCTATCAACCTGTCATCTACATTAGATATTTCTCCTAATGCTATTCCCTCCCTTGCCCCTCACCCCTCACTGGCCCCAGTGTGTGATGTTCCCTAGCCTGTGTCCAAGTGTTCTCATTGTTCAACTCCCACTTTTGAGTGAGAACATGCAGTGTTTGATTTTCTTTTCTTGTGTTAGTTTGCTGAGAATGATGGTTTCCAGCTTCATCCATGTCCCTGCAAAGGACATGAACTCTTCCTTTTATATGGCTGCACAATATTCCATGGTGTATATGTGCCACAATTTCTTTATCCAATCTATCATTGATGGGCATTTCAGTTGTTCCAAGTCTTTGCTATTGTGAATAGTGCCACAGTAGACATAAGTGTGCATGTGTCTTTATGGTAGAATGATTTATAATCCTTTGTTTATATACCCAGTAATAGAAATGCTTGGTCAAATGGTATTTCTAGTTCTAGATCCTTGAGGAATTGCCACACTGTCTTCCACAATGGTTGAACTAATTTACACTCCCACCAACAATGTAAAAGCGTTCCTATTTCTTCACATCCTCTCCAGCACCTGTTGTTTCCTGACTTTTTAATGATCACGATTCTAACTGGCGTGAGATGGTATTTCATTGTGGTTTTGATTTGCATTTCTCTAATGACCAGTGATGATGAGCTTTTTTTCATGTTTGTTGACCGCATAAATGTCTTCTTTTGAGAAGTGCCTGTTCATTTCCTTCACCCACTTTTTGATGGGGTTGTTTGTCTTTTTCTTGTAAATTTGTTTAAGTTCATTGCACATTCTGGATATTAATTAACCTTTCGTCAGATGGATAGACTGCAGAAATTTTCTCCCATTCTGTAGGTTGCTTGTTCACTCTGATGATCGTTTCTTTTGCTGTGCAGAAGCTCTTGAGTTTAATTAGATCACATTTGTCAATCTTGGCTCTTGTTGCCATTGCTTTTGGTGTTTTAGTCATGTAGTCTTTGCCCATGCCTATGTCCTGAATGGTATTGCCTAGGTTTTCTTCTAGGGTTTTCATGGTTTTAGGTCTTACGTGACTCATCTTGATTTAATTTTTGTGTAAGGTGTAAGGAAGGGGTCCAGTTTCAGTTTTCTGCATATGGCTAGCTAGTTTTCCCAACACCATTTATTAAATAGGGAATCCTTTCCCCATTGCTTGTCTTTGTCAGGTTTGTCAAAGATTAGATGGTTGTAGATGTGTGGTATTATTTCTGAGACCTCTGTTCTGTTCCATTGGTCTATATATCTGTTTTGGTACCAGTACCGTGCTATTTTGGTTACTGTAGCCTTGTAGTATAGTTTGAAGTCAGGTAGCATGATGCCTCCAGCTTTGTGCTTTTGGCTTAGAATTGCCTTGGCTATGCAGGCTCTTTATTGGTTCCATATGAAATTTAAAGTAGTTTTTTTATAATTCTGCGAAGAAAGTCATTGGCAGCTTGATGGGGTTAGTATTGAATCTGTAAAACACTTTGGGCAGTTTGGCCATTTTCATGATAATGATTCTTCCTATCCATGAGCATGGAATGGTTTTCCATTTATTTTTGTCTTCTCTTATTTCCTTGAGCAGTGGTTTGTAATTCTCCTTGAAGAGGTCCTTCACATCCCTTGTAAGTTGGATTCCTACATATTTTATTCTGTTTGTAGCAATTGTGAATGGGAGTTCACTCATGATTTGGCTCTCTGTTTGTCTGTTATTGGTGTATAGGAATGCTTGTGATTTTCGCACACTGATTTTGTATCCTGAGACTTTGCTGAAGTTGCTTGTCAGCTTAAGGTGATTTTGGGCTGAGAGAATGGGGTTTTCTGAATATACATTCATGTCATCTGCAAACAGAGACAATTTGACTTCCTGTTTTCCTATTTGAATATCCTTTATTGCTTTCTCTTTCCTGATTGCCCTGGCCAGAACTTCCAATACTATGTTGAATAGGGGTGGTGAGAGACGGCATCCTTGTCTTGTTCTGGTTTTCAAAGGGAGTGCTTCCAGTTTTTGACCATTCAGTATGATATTGGGTGTGGGTTTGTCATAAATAGCTCTTATTATTTTGAGATATATTCCATCAATACCTAGTTTATTGAGAGTTTGAGCATGAAGCAGTGTTGTATTTTGTCGAAGGCCTTTTCTGCATCTATTGAGATAATCATATGGTTTTGTCATTGGTTCTGTTGATGTGATGGATTATGTTTATTGATTTGTGTATGTTGAACCAGCCTTGCATCCCAGGGGTGAAGCGGACTTGATCGTGGTGGATAAGCTTTTTGATGTGCTGCTGGATTGGGTTTGCCAGTATTTTTTTATTGAGGATTTTTGCACTGATGTTCATCAGGGTTATTGGCCTGACGTTTTCTTTTTTTGTTGTGTCTCTGCCAGGTTTTGGTATCAGGATGATGCTGGCCCATAAAATGAGTTAGGGAGGATTCCTTCTTTTTCTGTTGTTTGGAATAGTTTCGGAAGGAATGGTACCAGCTCCTCTTTGTACATCTGGTAGAATTCATCTGTGAATCCTTCTGGTTCTGGACTTTTTTTGGTTGGTAGGCTATTAATTACTTCCTCAATTTCAGAACTTGTTATAGTTCTATTCAGGTATTTGACTTCCTGCTTTAGGCTTGGGAGGGTATATGCGTTCAGGAATTTATCTATTTCTTCTAGATTTTCTATTTTATTTGCCCCAGAGGTGTTTATAGTATTCTCTGATGGTAATTTGTATTTCTGTGGGATCCGTGGTGATATCCCCTTTATCATTTTTTATTGCATCTGTGATTCTTCTCTCTTTTCTTCTTTAGTAGTCTGGCTAGTGGTCTATCTACAAAATAGACTGTTTATCTGATATTTATTTTGTAATTATCTAATAATAACCATCATTATCATCATCAGCATTATCATTATCATCTCCTTTACCCATACATACATTTGTGTCTTTCAAATAATAATCCCATCTTTGAAGTGCATCCTCATCTTTAGCAGTCTGCACTCTGCTTTCTTATATCATTTATTATCTTATTTTATAATTATTTATTTCCAGTCCTTCTTCTCTAACAGATAGTAGTTTCTTAGGGCCAAGGAAATATCTCGATCACCACTATATCCCCAGCACCTAACCCTGTGCCTGGTCCATAGGGCCAGATGCTAAGAGTTGAGTTGAACCATTGTACCTAATCTTAACCTTCATTAGCACAACATGGTTTGTCAGTGGTTAAGAATCTACACTTTGGAGTCAGACTCACCCAGGATGGAATCCTGGCATTGCCACTTATTATTAATAGATGCGTGATCTTGAACAAGTTTACTTAATTGTTCTGAGCATCAGTTTCCTCTTCTGCAATATAGGGATGATACACAGCTACCTGGTAGGTTGTTGGGAAAATTAAATGGGATGATATGTATGAAATGGCCTGGCATATAGAGTGCCTAAATACATGTTCTTCTGATTCTATTTGGACAGTTTGTGTTAGTAACAGAAGTCAAAAAGGTGGAGAAAGGAGAAAGGTACTTGTGAAAATTTTCTATTTCTTCTCCATGTTTCATTCAGGACTGAGGAAGGGGGCACAGTTTTTACCCAAGGAAATGACATTTTTAGCCAAAAGAAATGATCTTAGCATTTAGCTGAATTATATATTGGAAGTAAGCTCCTTCCATGTGGAACTTATGGCCTTGCTAGCCTTGGTTTGTTGGAAGTGCTCTTGCTGGCTTTCTAGTTAGGGTAGGGAAAGGAAGGCTTGTGGGGAATGAAGATAGGCCATGATATCAAGCCACTGGGTTTGCAAATCAGTAGAATTTTTTATTGCTTTCTGTTGTACTTGGGACTTGAATAAAGGCTGATATTTGTGTCTTGCTGGTAAAGTGCTTGTAAAGTGAGTGAAAGTTTTCTTTGCTCTTGTCCTGACATAGCTGTTCACTTGGGGTTGAGGGGAGGATAACCTTTCATGTTTTTTTTTTTTCTTCATTCTGATGACTGTGCTGAACATTCAAACCAAAAGGCCATTGGTGGAAAGTAAAGGTGAGTGGTGAGAAGACAATAGGGTAATGGAAACTGTGTTGGACTTGTAATCAAATTGTCCTGCACTTCCCCTCTCCAAGTCTTAACGTTTTTCATCTGTACAGTGGATATTAAAATGAGAAAATAAGCTTGTCTTCACAGAGTTTTCGTTAGGTGTTGACACAACAAACAGGCTCCCATTAGGGCTCATTTTCCTTCATTCCTTAGTAAGGAAGAAGTGCTTATAAAATATAGCAGTTGTGCTCTTGTGAATGATAGCATGGGCAGTTGTCATCTCCCTGAAGCAGATGTAACCCAGAATGTCACTTGAGTTTTGTTTAATGCTTAGGCATAAGACATAGGAATGACAAAAGCTGACCTTTGGGTAGTGAGAACAATGTTCCATTTTGTTCAAACTTGAATTTTTTACTATAGGAGACTGAGAATTAACCTTCCATGAAGGTTTTAGGATTGGCTTTCTGGCCCTTCTCCTTCATATCCACCTGAAAGAGCTTGGGCGCAGAAGTTCTTGCAGAAAGGCAGTTAGACAAGGTGACTTCTGAAGCTCCAGTGGCCAAGTATTTTGATGGTAGCCTAAAAGATGTCCAGAATCATTGTACATCATTTTTTCAACAGAAGCTTCAGGCATAGGGATTATGCTTGGTACTTTATGTTGTGGAATGGAATCTGGCGGATGTCCATGTGATCTATAGAAACACCTAAGGAAAGTGAAGAAATGAGGGAAAAAAAAGAACAAGACTTTTATGATAATACTAATCACGATCCTTGTGTATTTATTCCAATGGCATTTTATCCATTATCTGATTTATATTACCACTCACAGCAGCAGCTCAATAGGATGGGAGATATTATCTCTATTTTATAGATGAGATTTGAGGCTCACGAAGCTAAAGCAAGGAACATCAAATCACTTTGATATTTGGTCTGGTTTTGTTATAGGTCTCCCTTTGGATGAGGTAAAGTTACAAACCTGGGTTCATATCATTTAATTAGTCTGAAAATGTTGCCTGGACACCACCTTCAGTTAGATATCTTAACCTCAGGCTTCCTGCCTTCATTGCTCCCGCATATAGACATAGACTATGAGATTGGCTAATCCCAGAGAACTTCCCTAATCCCTTGGCAAGATCCAAAAAGGCTCAGTCACACCCTACAACCATCATCTTTAGGAGAAGTCTCAGAAAATTCAGCTTCACACTAACTAACTTGAGCAATGAATAATAGTCATTTATGCCTGCAGGTTAATGCTGAAGACCTGAGACTTCACTTGCCTATTTCTGCCATTCAGTGACATGTGTTGCATTGGTTTTTTGTGTCTTTCCAGTTTGGAGACTGCCAGGGACCATGTTTTGCCCATTGACTATTACTTTCCACCCCAGAAGACCTGCCTGATCTGTGGAGATGAAGCTTCTGGGTGTCACTATGGAGCTCTCACATGTGGAAGCTGCAAGGTCTTCTTCAAAAGAGCCGCTGAAGGTAAAGGGTCTTGCACATGCACTTCTCTTTCCCTTTCTCCTTTACCTTCCAGAGAGAGACACTAACCTTTCAGGGCCCAGGATTTTATCATCTCAGAAATAGAGTCATTGGCAAGGCCCTATCAAATAACTTAGGAGCCTAAGGAAGCAAATTTTTGTACTTGCTAGTTCCCTGGTTTCAGCAGCCTTGTTTGTACAGGCAATTTAGGCAGTGAAGGTGGTCCCAGCTGGGGCTTGGGGCTCAGTGGGTCCTAGAAATGAAAGAAAAATTAATGATTTGAAAAGATTTAATTTCCTCCCTTCTTGTTTTCTACTCTGCTGGCTAGTAAAGGAAAAATTTGTCCTTATTAGAGAGGTTAGAAGTGGAGAAACCCCAACTGAGTCCCCAGCCTGTTCCTTGGGATGAATATGAGACTGTTCCTTAGCAAAGGCTTCCTGGCCTCGGCCCCAGAAAGGGAGTGTTCTCACTCTTCAGCAGACTATCAGTCTCTGCACCTGCTCCCTCCTGTTGTGGCCTCCTTGGGACCTGTCTTTGCATTAATAGTTCCTAGGTAGGTAAGAACTCAGAGTGAAGAAACACATTTATTCTCCTCTCCAGAGACCTGATCTCAAAGCCTGTCCATTAGTCCCTAACCTTAATCTAAGGTAGCATCTTATATCTGGCTAAATTGGCTCAAGCCCTAGCTCCTTAGTTTTATTTAGCTTAGAACAACTCATGTCTGCTCAACCTCTAGAGGCGCTCAGCCCACATTCTGCAGTAGAAACTCCCATTTTCAGGCCTCTTATATACGGTAATGTCTCCTTCCTCTAACCACCCAGGGCTTAAGCTTCCTGCTTATCCACTTCACCCTGTATTGAGGGCTTTCTTCTCAAAGAGACATTGATGAGGAGCCCCTAGAGAGAGATGCTGTGCTCTGGGACCAGACCCCTTGTTAAACACCAGTATTCACCTCTGCCCCAACTTTCCCCAAAGAGGTACTTCCTGCCAAGGCCTTTCTCTTTCCTCTCACTGGCTGGAAGTGTTGAGTTCCACTTCAGAACCAGAACAGAGAACCTTTCCTTCTATAAGAGCTATAAACCTTGAGAACAGTCTTAAAACATAGGTATGTAGGCCACACCATTCACCACGAATGTACTGATACTCATCAGAATATGGAAGAAGCACCAGAGAGTTTGAAGCATCTAGAGAAAAGGTAGAAAGAGAATGCCCTTTAACTGACCTCCTCAGTGATAGCCAATCACAATGATGAGTGTTGATTCATCATTTTGGCTAGGTGGCAGAAATATCTATAAAACAGAAGCTGCCATGTTGTTTTCTTCCAGTCCTCAGGGCCTACAAGAAGGCAGCTATCATTTGGTATTACTGAAAACATGCCCCATGTTCAGCTCATACCCCCAAATTACCCATTGCTACTGTTTATGCTGGGCTAATATGAAGCCCAGGGCCCTAATGTCTAGGTCTAGGCAGTAAGGCCTAGAGCAGTGCCTAAAGAGCCTGAGAGCAGTGCCTTCCTTTCTTCAGAGTACTCATGAAAGGATGGCTGTCAGAAAAGGAAATGAGGATGGGTTCCAGAGACTTCAGACCACCCCAACTTCCCCAGTGAGACCCTGGCACCTCCCCATACCCTCTCACCTAGCGGGCCCTGTCTATAGAGCAGAGAATGAAACAGAGCACTCATCTAGAGGTAGTGTGTCAGCAAGCCCAGGCACTGCACCACAGTAATAGCAGCCATATCAGATGGGAAAGGAGTTCAAGTGAACAAACAAGCAAATTCAATAGTCAGATAGATTAGATTATACTTGATGCTTCCTCTGAGTTTTACAAATATGGGTCACTAAATTGTTATTTTCAGAAAACAGGGGAAATGCTCAATCACATTGTGAAAGGGAAGATTTTGCTGTCATATCATACATCCCACATGGGAGCTTTCTGCAGAAGTTAGAGCTGAAGGAGGGAGGCAGGCAGAAGGGCAACTGGCAGGGCTGCCTGGGAGGAGCTCTGCAATGAGGTGGATCCTGTGCCATTTGAGAACAGGGAAGAAAAGAAATGAGGTTTTGGGGAGGGAATCACCCAACTCACAGAACACACAGAAATCCAGCAAGGTTTCAAAACGCTCTACACCTTAGAGTCTGTTAAGTTAGGGAAACTCTGTGAGCTCATAGGGCCAAATGCACTTGCCTGCTTGAAATATGAAAAATCAGCAATGGATTCCTTGAAAAACAATGAAAAGGGAACCTTCTGAGCCCCTTGGTTATTTTGACATATGGACCATAGATTTCAGTCCTGAGCCCTTTGAAGGTAGGAGAAGGTGGTTTAGAAAACACACACACACACGCACACAAACACACACCAGAATGAAGCAAAAAAAAAATTACTGGTGTTTTCTTTCTCCTCCCATCTGTGAAGCTGTTGGATTGATTTTACTGCCATCATTATCCCTGTTTGAAGGCAGGGGGCTGTCTTATTACCCAAAGAGGACATTTATTGATTTGGTTTTCTTTTTCCATTTTTACAATGCATCTTTATCGCCCATATGGCCTTTCTGGAGGTGGTTTTCAGTCTGGCTTGTTGAAACATCAAATTATACCTGTCTTAGAGAAAATAGAAACAAAAATCTTTCTCTTCCTTACTTGCTTGTTGTAGTCAGTTAACTCGGACTGAGTATTCAGAGTCTTGATTATCACTTAATTCATAGTTTCATAAATCTCTGGAATGGGCATAGGTACAGGACTTAAAAGCCTGGCATCTCAGACAGAAATATGTTTTTAGCTTTGGTGGTTTATAACAGATGGGACTTTTAGGCTGTCATTGGTGCAGGGCTCAGCACAGAGTCAGTTGTAATCTGGACAGGTTTTGTTGTTGAGGAAGAGTGGGAAGAGGGAGTCCTACATTTTCTCCTTGTCAGTAATGTTGGAGAATTGGGGTGAGGGTGAGGCTGGGCAGGGAGGGTCTGCATAGAAAAAAGGGTGCGGTGAGAAAAAATAATGCTACTAAGCCATGAGGGTAAAATGACCAAATTCTGGTTGAGAGAAACTTGGTCAAAGTGTGTATGGGGAGAGAAAGTTGGTCAAAGTCTGTGTCTGAGTGCTTGGTGGGATGAACTCTGGGTTAGAAACAGGCATGGAGGGAAATAGTTGGTTTATGGAGTGGGTAGGATGAGTGGGGTGGTGAAAGGGAAGGCATTTTGGATGCTAAGAGACCAGGAAGTCAAAGCAAGGCAATACACATAAACAGAGGTAAGGGCTCAGAGAGGTTTTAGTTGTGTAGACTTGGATAAGAAATTTTCCCTTTTGGACCTCAGTTTTCCTTGTTTGTAAAACAACGGACTTGAACTAGATATTTTAAAATGTGCTTCCAGCTTAGACATTTTGTGACCGTTCTACAAATTACAAACATAATCATCATCATTTCAGCAAACTCACATGTATTTATACCTGCATAAGTTTTTGGTCTTGCTTTCCTAGAAGGTGACTAATCCCAGATCCTAATCAATTAAAGAAGCAATCTTCAGATGGGGATAGAGCCAGCTGAGAGAGTGTACTATGGATGGAGTGAGTTAAAACTCAGGACTCAGATTTTCTCCTTGTGATCATTGCTGGGTAACTTCCTTTCTTTTCTATTTTCTCATCTGGAAAATCAGGATATGAATCCCCATCTCTACCTCATTATGTTTCAAAGAGGGTTAATTAATCCATCATGTGCATTATGTGCTCAAGAATTTACTATTTTTCAGACATTTTCTAGTAAAACATTGAAGATTATATGTCCATTTGTTTTGTACACATGGAGTGCTGTTTGGTACACATCATAAAATTGAAACTGTAGTTTACATTCTGAACTCAAAGAATTACACCATCCTCACTGATGTTTACAATAGGTCCCAATTTAGTTTCTTTAGCAAATTTTATGTAAGTATGGCTTTGATTCTCTCTCTCACTCCAGGTTTTTGTTAGGGAAGAAATGCAAGTGAACCCTCATTGAACTCTTTCTGTCCTTTAAATCCATTCTTTCCCACCTCAACTCATGTGGAATTGAATGTTGCCTCTAGTTTGGAGTCTAGCAGAGAGTTTTTGGTGCATATCAGTGTCCCCTTCACTCCCTGACTTTTCAAGTAACATTTCCCAGAGGCAAATTAACTCTGCTAAGAGGATCTGCTTGCAGCTTCAACAGAGCCTTCATCAGGTATCTTTGGCCAAGGAGTTGACTGATCCTGACTTTGCGAGTCCTAGAGATCTTTTCACAAAGCTCCTCTCATGTTTCTGCCTCTGATTTTCTTAAATGTCACAGACAGACTTTAGATTTAGGGGTTGGTTAACTTTTTTTGTAAAGGGCCATGTAGTAAATATTTTAGGCTTTGTAGATCATATGGTCTCTGTGTCAACTACTCAACTCTGCCTTTGTAGGATGAAAGCAGCCATAGACAATACTGGAACTAATGGGAGTAGCTGTGTTCCAATAAAACTTTATGGGCACTGAAATTTGAATTTCACTTAATTTTCACATGTCGTTTAATATTATTTTTCTTTTTTACCATTTAAAAATTTAGAAATCATTCTTAGCTCTTTGGGCCTCACAAAAACAGATGGTAGAGTGGATTTGGTTTATGGGCTGCAGTTTGTTGACCTGTGCTTTAGCTAATCACTTCTGTACTTATAAATCTGCATAGGTTTTATGTTTTTCCATCTCTTGGTATCTTAGTAGGCCAGTCAAAGTTTGAACAACTTGTTAGCACAGAATACCTGGCCTAGTGGCTTCTTGGTCCTGAGCTTATTTACTAAACAAGAGAAAAAATAAATAAGTCTAGAAATGCTAGAAGAGGATACTTTTTTGTTTTAATGATCTAGTAGATCACTCCTCCTTGCAATACCCAGAGGAGAAACTGAAAATATTTCAAACATTTTCTAGACTTCTGTGTTGTAAATTTGTGGATAACTATGAACTATATATGAATGAACTTTTCTGGATGACACATATATTCCAGATGGTAAAAAGGAAGGGCTTTGGGGACTCTCTGGTACCAAGTGTCATGGAAAAACTGTGTGTCTCATAGAAAGTAGATCCCAGGAGGCCAGCAGAGTTGTGGATCTGCCATATATTACCTCATGATTCTGTCTTCGCACACTCACCGGCTTAATTCTGGGCCTCCCCATAACACGACTAGACCACAGGCTTGCAGAAGAAATAATTTAGCTCTGTAACTCATTGAAGTTGGTGCCCACCCAAGTCTCTGTCAGTGCCCAATTCGGGAGCCATGCCAAGAATTTGCCATTGCTGCTTCATGGTGGCCTTGTGCCTGCTTATTTATAGCCTGTGCATTTTATGAAACAGGGATTAATAAGAAGTTGCCATAGCACTTGCACCATTATGTAAATATCTGTAATGCTTACATAACTTTTGTCACTTGCAAGACCTTTTGAGTCCATTGCCTTCTGCTACCATGCCTTACCAATTTCCTAGTCCCTTATTATTATTTTTCAATTCATTATATTTAACTTCTGTGATACACGTTCAGAATATGCAGGTTTCTTATATAGGTATACACGTGCCGTGGTGGTGTGCTGCAACCAACAACCCGTCATCTACATTAGGTATTTCTCCTAATGCTATCCCTCCACTAGCCCACCACCCCCTAATAAGCCCCAGTGTGTGATGTTCCCCTCCCTGTGTCCATGTGTTCTCATTGTTCAACTCCCACTTATGAGTGAGAACATGCAGTGTTTGGTTTTCTGTTCCTGTGTTTGTTTTCTGAGAATGATGGTTTCCAGCTTCATCCGTGTCCCTGCAAAGGACATGAACTCATCCTTTTTTATGACTGCATAGTATTCCATGGTGTATATGTGCCACATTTTCTTTATCCAGTATATCATTGATGGGCATTTCGGTTGGTTCCAAGTCTGTGCTATTGTGAATAGTGCTGCAATAAACATACGTATGCATGCGTCTTTATAGAAGAATGACTTATAATCCTTTGGGTATATACCCAGTAATGGGATGGCTGGGTCAAATGGCATTTCAGGTTCTAGATCCTTGAGGAATCTCCACACTGTCTTCCACAATGGTTGAACTGATTTACACCCCCACCAACAATGTAAAAGTGTTCCTATTTCTCCATATTCTCTCCAGCATCTGTTGTTTCCTGACTTTTTAATGATCGCCATTCTAACTGGCATTGACATGGTATCTCACTGTGGTTTTGATTTGCATTTCCCTAATGACCAGTGATGATAAGCTTTTTTTCATATGTTTGTTGGCCGCATAAATGTCTTCTTTTGAGAAGTGTCTGTTCATATCCTTCACCCACTTTCTGGTGTGGTTGGTTATTTTTTTCTTGTAAATTTGTTTAAGTTCCTTGTAGATTCTGGATATTAGCCCTTTGTCAGATGGATAGATTGCGAAAATTTTCTCTCATTCTGTAGGTTGGTTGTTCACTCTGATGATAGTTTCTTTTGCTGTGCAGAAGCTCTTTAGTTTAATTAGATTTCATTTGTCAATTTTGGCTTTTGTTGCCATTGCTTTTGGTGTTTTAGCCATGAAGACTTTGCCCATTCACAATTGCTACAAAGAGAATAAAATACCTAGGAATACAACTCACAAGGGATGTGAAGGACCTCTTCAAGGAGAACTACAAACCACTGCTCAAGGCAATAAGAGAGGACACAAACAAAAGGAGAAACATTCCATGCTCATGGATAGGAACAATCAATATCGTGAAAATTGCCATACTGCCCAAAGTAAATTATAGATTCAATGCTATCCCCATTAAGCTACCATTGACTTTCTTCACAGAATTAGAAAATACTACTTTAAATTTCATATGGAACCAAAAAGAGCCCATATACCCAAGACAATTCTAAGCAAAAAGAATAAAGCTGGAGGTATCAAGCTACCTGACTTCAAACTATACTACAAGGCTACAGTAACCCTTATCAATTTTTTATGTGCCTCTCCATATTCTGCAGTCAGAAGCTTCTTCAGTCCTTTCAGGGAATTGCTGGGTGACTATCAAACTCTGGTAGTTCATTTTTGCAGTTGGCTGCTGTTGTGAGGATAAGAGTTAGACTCACTTTCTCTTCAGAGATAGAAATTATGTATTAATTCTCTGGGTTCTAGACCCACAGCAAGGAGCATACTGCTCCTCAAAATAACTGAATTCTGCGAGAAGCCATCATTGTAAAACAACAATATCTTCAGTTATAGTAGCCATGTGTGCAACTTCTGGAAACTGTTATTCAGATTTTCATGTTCCTTCCCTGTCTCTTCATAGCTAGGCAGCTGCTTTCAGCCTTGTACAGATGCTAGTGAGCTTTCTACCTACAAACCTGCAGAAAATTGAACTGAGATTTGGAGGTGAAAGACTCTTGATAAAGGGAACAAGGTTTAGAATTCTCAGTCCCTTTGCTCCCAGGCTGTGTTGTGACTACTGAGGCACTCCAGTGAAATCACTATTCCTCCTATCTAGACTAATGCCTGTCTCTGCAGAGCACCTCATAAGAACAGGCCTGGTAGTAATATCCTCATGCATTCAGTCAGTAAATATTTACAGAGTGCTTACTACATATAGGGTATTGGGCTGACATATGCAAGATACAGGGCCTGCTTCCAGGAGGTTATAGCTTATTGATCATAAATGTGGCATTTTTTTTTTTTGAGACGGAGTCTTGCTCTGTCTGTCACCCAGGCTGGAGTGCAGTGGCACGATCTCGGCTCACTGCAACCTCCACCTCCCAGGTTCATGTGATTTTCCTGCCTCACCCTCCTGAGCAGCTGAGACTACAGGGGCTCATCACCACACCCAGCTTTTTTTTTTTTTTCTGTATTTTTAGTAGAGACAGGGTTTCACCATATTGGCCAGGCTGGTCTCGAACTCCTGACCTCGTGATCCACCCACCTCAGCCTCCCAAAGTGCTGGGATTACAGGCGTGAAAATGTGGCAATCTTTAAAGCTCTTCAGTGGATGAAAGGCCACCCTATCTGCTGTCCTTTTGAACTTCGCAACTTTCTTGGTACAGAGTGAGAGGTTATTCTCTTGGTTTTCCATATAAGTAAACTGAGGCTTTGCCAGTTCATCAACAGGTAGTAAATAATATATTTGGAATTTGAACCCAAGTCTTCTGGGGTCAAAGGCAGCATTCACTCTGCTCTGTCACAGCAGCTCCTCAAATAAGCCAACATAGAAACCAAGTACTATGCCTAGGCAACAAGAAAGGCAGCAATGAAGAGCAACAGCAGAGTCAAATATGAGAGAAGGAAGTTAAGAAAGATGTTAAGTACTGTGGGGAGTAACTGAGAAACCACCAAGTATCGCTAACATCACAGGGAACTTGTCTTCCTAAGAAAATTCCAAGCACTTAAAACCGCTGGTAGTTCATCAGCAACTCTCTTCATTAGATGTGCGAGGGACATGTGGGCCATAGTCCTTCTACTAACTTATATTCTTCAGGGGAAAGTTCTGATTCTGATGAGACCCAGCATGGTAGCTCTTAATTCACTGTTGTCACACGACTATAGAACAGGAAGCACAACTTAACACCTGTGCTCATGAGAATTTTGCTCCTTATGACCAAGCTAAAGAAAGAGCTTAGACAGGATGTGTGGCTATAAATGTAGATTAATGGTTCCTTGGCTCTTTGGTTTGAGCCTTCTCAGCAGAGCATCCCACGGAGTGTTTTCCATGGGGCCACGAGCAAGAGAAATCCACTTCCCTCCTCCTCAATGTCAGAAAATAGAGAATATTGTCTTTCAGGATAGAATTAAAAAGTCATAGAGGCAGCAACTTGTTTTCCTATATTAGGGTTTTAAAATTCTGTTTTTCCTTCCTCTCCTGGGTCAGATCATTGTGTGGATGGACCTTGATTTCATTGTGGTATCTGTATGTGGACCCTGAAGACCATGGACTTCTAACAATTCCTTAAGTTACATAAGCACATTCCTACAGGTCACAAGCTCATTTACTTACAGGATGGTTGATTTGGTCACAGGTTATTTCATGAAAATACTTAAAAGATTTGCAGTGTTCAAAACTGCAGTATCTTTAAACACTAAAACTTGAAGGAAGGGAATTTAGAAATCAAAAAATCTGGTCAAACCATTTCATGGAAAAGGAAAGTGAGGCTCAGAGAGAGGAAATTACTTTCCTGGGTTTGTATAGCCTATAAATGGCAGAAATGAGAGCCTCCCTGCCATTTCTAGTTTTCTGTCTGAGAGACTCTCCTGCCTAATAGCTAATTAGCAGAGTCACAGAGGTCATTACCTTGCAATTCTCAAGAATTATGTGAGGCAGCATAGTAAGCATTTATGGCCCTTGGTTCCTAGAAGGAGCTTAGTCCCTGATAGTCATCTCTGCCTTTGCCATTGTGTGAGACTGTCTTCTGTAACTGTATGTCTTCCTCCCTAGTAAGTTAATGAGTAATAAAGGTATTCTATAGTGAGAGGACTCTGTAAGACATTTCTTGGTGTGAGGATTGTTCCAAGGTTGTTTTGTGTGTATGTGCATGTATAAACTTTTTTAGGGAGCATATTCATAGCTTTTACATGGATCTCAGAGGCTCTATAACCCAGAGAAGATTACAGAATACCAGTCTTGTCTTTGGTAAGGATTTTATAGACCCATCCTGACTACAGTGATATCCAACATGGCTATGTAATGACTGGCACTTTCCCCACATAACATATATTTATTCCACACTCAGTGCCTACTGTGTACATGAGACCTATACCGGGCACTGGGATAAGAGACATGAAATAACAGCTAAAATTGTTTATTGAGCAGTCAGTATGCATTAGATGCTTTGTAGTCATTTTCTTATTCAATCTGTATACCCTCAATTTACAAATGAGGAAACTGAGGCACAGAAGAGTTGAGTGATTTGCCCAAAGTCATACAAATAGTCAGTGGCTATGTGATGAATAGTTACCAACATAAAAGAGTGAGATTACTGCTGTACTAAAAGTAGGTACATAATCCCCTGAGCAGACAGTATGAGAGAATGATTTATTTTACCTGGAAAGTTTAGGAAGGCTTCACAGAGGAGTTAAGGGTTGATCTGGGTCTTGAGGGATGGATAAGAGTTTGCCAGATACAAAAAGGTAGGAAGAGAACTTCAGGAGGAGGGAACAGGCTGAGCAAAGACACGGCGATGTGAAAGTGGGAGGCTTGTTTGGGGAACATTATGGAATCTGGAGGTTATTGTGGGGAATCTCATCAGATGCAGCAAGCTGTTTGACAGGCCTTCAGTTGGCTCTTTGTACCTTGCTCCCTCCGCATGCTGAGCTGTCCATAGCTGCCCTAGGCTGGTGTCTGGGATTTTCGGAAGAAGGTTACTATCCAGGTAGTGTAACAAGATGCAGTGCAAAAGCACCAGATTGGGGCTCTGGCTCTGCTGCTGACTTACCACCTGGCCTTAAGCATGTCTAGTTCCCTCTTTGTACATTAAAATCTCCATTGGAACAGTAACATGGTTGTATTAAATGATCTTGAAGATTTTACCTGCACGTTTTGCACATGTACCCTAAAACTTAAAGTATAATAAAAAAATTAAAATAAAAAATAAAAATATAACAATATAAATCTTTAACAATAATTTTAGTAGTAAATCTCTACAATTTTACAGATAATCCAGATGCATCCATTGGCCAATGGTTCACTTTGTATGCATAATATTTGGGAAACAGGCAGACCCAATTTCAATCCTTAGTTGTAAGACTTAATACATATGTGATCTCGAGCAAATCACTTTTGTATGCCTCTATAAGGATAATAATAGCTCACAGAATTATTTTAAGAACTAAATGATGTGTAATAAAGCTACTGGTACTCAGTAAGTTTTGTATCCTTTTCCTAGAGTGAGTCTTGGTCATAGGCATGCGTATACTTGCAGCGTCCCTGGGTAGGCCGAAAGAGCAAATAAGAGATGGTATCTATGGTATTCCCCAGGTAAAGGAGGCCTTGGGTTGGCATAAGATTTCACTTCTCTTTAGAGTTACTTAATTAGGGACCAGAAAGGCCATCAGCATTTGTATGAGAATATAACAAAGGTCAATCTCTTCCTCTTTACTTTTTACCTCCCAGTACACTGTGAGTAACATTCCCCAGCCAGCCCAGCCAGCACGTGTTCATTGCCTCTCTTGACTTCCAGACTTTGGACTTGAAGGTGTCAGAGCTCTCTGTGTATCTTTGTCCCCAACAAGATAAGTCTGACCTCCCCAGCAAATTCAAGTCCTAAGCCACTGTCCAGGAGAAAAGCTAGCAAGGTCATAAATTATTCTCCATATTTTCCAGCCATTGGTTTCCCTTGTCCAGCCAGAGGTGTGTCTCAAAGTATGCTGAGGCCAGATTCAATAGAAACCTGAGCCAGCACCTGTGTAAATAATTTTTAAAGCTCCTTTTCCTGAAGCTGGATGAATATTTTTAAAAACTAAGCTGGATTGTCTTTTATCTAGCATGCCGTCTCCTACATTCCTAGTGCTATGGACCTCTTGGAGGAATGTGGTTTGGTTATAGTGGTATTGTCTTGTCTGTTGTGGGGGAGGGAGACATTTCTTTCAGAAGCAAGGTAATACTTTGGTCTGGTCTATGACTCTATTTTGTTTAAAATGAAACTATGGCAGTATAGTGGTATTCATTCTGCTTCCCATAGGTTAACTTTACATCCCTCTGTCTTCACCCACTCTTCAGTTCTGATTCTTTTAAAAGCAGCCAACCAAAACCAGCAAGTACATACTGCTTATCTCTGACTTCCACCAGAATCAACTTCAGATCTTGTCCAAAGCTCCATCTGAAGAGAGGGGAATAACACCCAGCCAAGAGCCCTCAGGGCCCATCAGTAAGTAGACATCCTGTCCTTGAGGTTCCTTAACTCTGCTCAGCTTCAGAATACAGAAGGGGTTGGTTCTTCATTTGTGTTGTTTATAACTAAAAGCCTCCTACTCCCCACTTTTTTGCATAGCTTCTTCTGCCATCCCACCTGTGTAGCCTCTTCAACTCCCCCAAAACTCCTCTGTAGCCCATGTCACTTGGAAAGAGTTTTCTTTGTCTCTTTTGCAACTTGACAATGACTAGCCAGCAAGTTTAAGTTCAAATTATTGTTCCATGGGAGCAGAGATAGATATAGGAAACAAAAAAAAGGGATATGGAGGTATAGAGTGATTTCCCACCTACCTAGTGAGCACTACTGAGATATTCAAGTACTCTCTACCCAAGAATTCTATTGATATAAAGGTAAAAAACTTGATCTTAGGTCTAATATCCGTTAGTAGTGTGACCTTGGGAAAATGATACCACCCCCAAAGGCTTAGTTTTCTTAACTGTAAAATAGGCATACAGATGACCACCCCCAGAGGATTCATAAGGATAACATGAGATAAGGCAACTTGAAATTTCCTAGCATAGTGATAGACTTTCGAAAATAAAATGAATCAAACACTGATAACAGTACTTCCTAGTACACAAATGAGAAATCAGTCCCTCATCAAATTACAGCACATTTTCAATGCTCCAATTATGTCACTGTAGAAATGCTAATGTGGATTAAATAATTTGTCTGTTGCTATTTATACGGATAATTTGATAGTAGTTATTTTTGGACATGGATAGCTTTGAAGCCTTACAGATGAGTCCATCCCCAAGTACCCAAAACTAAAGAAAGTTGGCTAGAGTGATGACAAGGTGGCAGCACAGAGCTCCCTGCGTTCTGGGCCCTGTCCCCTAGCTAGAGAGAACTCCAGGCTATAAGCATTTGTATTCTCATAGTCCAATGGCAGGGAAGAAGGGCTGGAGGTGAGTAGTTTTCACTCATTTATTTTTTCAACAAGCATGTATGGTATCAGGCCTTGTATGCATCCAGAGACAAATGTGAACTAGCCGTGTCCTCAAGGAGATTCCAGTCTGGTGGGCCTGCCTTCCAAGGTCAGTTGCAGCTTTAGCACTATAAAGAGCACCTACCTGCGGCAGATACAATGTGATGGGACATGACAGAGAAAAAATCTATAAGCAGAGCCTCCCCATTCCCAGGCATTGAAACAATCCTAACCAAGACTGGCATAGTACAATGAGCCTGTCCCTATCAGCAGGTTTGGAAGCCTTAACAACAACAACAAAAACAATAATAATGGTGATGATAATCATAGAGCCTAATGTTACCAAACATTTTCCATGTGTTAAGTACTATACTAAGTGCATACTTAATCCTCACAACAATGCTATAAGATAGTAGATACTCTTACTACTACCCTGATTTTACAAATGTGGAAACTGAGGCACAGAAGACTAAGAGAACAGGAATACACCTAATTCACCTCAGTTCAACAAACATCAAGCATCTGTTTTATGTCAGGCCTCGTGCTGGATGGCAGGGAGAGAGAGATGAGTAAAGCATAGTTTCAGTCCAGTGGGAGCAAATGACAGCACACAGTGGGGCAGGTATATTGCAGCCCTTCTGCTTGATGCTAAGAACTCAGTGTCAGTGATGAATGAAACACAGTCATTCTCTCAAAGATCTTAAAGCTTAGTAGGAGATATCTGTGTGGAAACAAAAATTAAATACTGCTGTGATAAGTGTCATAAGAGATAAGTGGAAAATGAGAGAGAGAGATCACTGTAGCAATTGATTGGTTTAAATCAAAGCCCCCAAAAAAATGTTATTGAGAATTATAAAACAACTAATTGATTTAAATCAAAGCCCAAACAGAAGTGTTTGCTAATTTTATTTCAATTTGGTTGATAATTTGGTTGAAATGAATTTATTTCATTTTTTATTCCATCCTTACAATGGAAGATTAGTGCTTGTTTCCCACCCAAGGATACCAGGATATTTCAGGGGCTGTATTACAATATAGTTAAATTATTCCTTTATCTCAAAGCACATCCACACTTTCCCCTATCCTTACCTTTACTCAGGGTATCTCTTCTGCCTCAGGTGCTTTTTCTCCACATTTCCATATTCTTAAGTCCTACCTTCCTTCAGGGCCTCACTCAAATGCCTCCTCCTCCATGAAGCATTCACCCGACTGAAAGGTACCCCGCCCTCTCCTGTACTCCACATCACTTCATGGGTGTCTCCACTTCCTGCTTTATCTTTCAGTAATACACTTACAGTTCTCTTTCCTCCACTAGACTGAGCTCTTCAGAGGAAGACTCACTTGGCTGAAACCATGATTTTACTTTAAACACATTGAAAACCTCTACTGGAGTGCATTGTGTCTGGTGGGCTTCAACCTTAATTCTTAAGTATGTGAAAACACATCACCTATCTGGAGGTTTACACTTTCTGCTAATGACTTTATTTTTAAGCCCACCACCCTAACACAACAAATACTTAAAACTTGTCTTCATTTCCTTTAGGTCTGGCCCTCATGCATGCATATAATTTATAGAGTCACTGTTTTGCTCGGTTGTCCTCATGCCTCTATATTATTGGAGGTTTAGATTGTTTCCATATACTCAGGTTGTATTCATGTCCTTTTTTTCTTTTTAAATTTCCTTAGCATCCATTTCCACCATTGGAAATTCAGGGTCAAAACAGGGGTTTGGGATTGGAGCATGTCTATCACAGATAACCAATCATGTGTTATGACTTAAGAATTTATGAAAGGGCCCTCTACCTGAAGATATCTTGCTACTGATGCTGTCTCACAGTGTCTGAAACTCCCATCATATGTGGAATTGTTTTGGAAGGCTTTGCCTCCTGGGACACATTCAGCCATAATCAAGAAATAGTATTGAGCATTAGACTGTCAGTATGTCCATTAGCAAGACTGTGGAGGAATGGAATCACCAATATTATATTTTATAGGGGATACAGAATACAAGAGAAGTTCTGAAGAGAAAATTCTTATGTAGAATAGGAAGGCTTAGATACAGCATGAAAGCTGCAGGCTTTGAGGAGCCAGAGGTCAAATGAAAGCATTGAGTATTTGTTTAGATGAAAGAACAGAAAGGGAAAAAGAAGCAGAGGAAGGGATAGTAGAGAGAAATGTATAAGTTTTATCCATTTAACTTGTAATTGTGTTTGGCTATGGGCACAATAGAAGCAGTGAGATCACTTTATTTTATTTTATTCTTTATAGACAGGGTCTTGCTATGTTGCCCAGGCTGCAGTGTGCAGCTCTTCACAAGTGTGATCATAGCGTACTACACCCTCAAACTCCTGGACTCAAGCAATCCTCCCATCTCAGCCTCCTGAGTAGCTGGGACTACAAGTGCACACCACCACGCCCAGTGAGATCACTTGAAACTAGGGAGAGATGTGTGAGTTCTGGGCAACCAGTAGTTGGCTTTACATAGAACTGTAGGGGTCAAGGCCAAAGGGGACGTCCTGTTCCAAGTCACCTTCTTTGGACATTAGAAAACCACGAGGGGTTTGGAAATCAGAAAACCAGCAGAGGCAGGAAAACTCAGGGCAGCATGGGAGATTCAGTATATACAAAAAGGTTCACACCAGTAATCAAACAGAATTTTAACTGCTGATGTGGAGTAGAGGCAGCTTTGTCTGCTGTGTGATAACCAAACCTTTACGAATAGTAGGTGTATATGGGGAATTGGAGGGAGATAGGTGGCTGTGTTTAGTAATTGGTTGACTTCACTGAGATGGTTTGGGGATTGTGGCTTCCAGATGATCAGATTTTCTTTTTTAGGTAGAGACTCCAACATCATTACAGAACTATAAATTACATGTGGAAAAGAAAGGCCTCCTATGTTAGAATAGAAAATAAAATGCTGTGGGGTTGAGGGACAGAGGTGCTGTCTAGGAAGTCAGATAGCGTTTTCCAGTTCTGTCCCTCAGAGTTCCTTGTCCTCATTGAGACTCAATTTCTCTTACTTTTTTTTTTATACTTTAAGTTTTAGGGTACATGTGCACAACATGCAGGTTTGTTACATATGTATACATGTGCCATGTTGGTGTGCTGCACCCATTAACTCATCATTTAACATTAGGTATATCTCCTAATGCTATCCTTCCCCTCTCCCCTCTCCCCACCACAGGCCCTAGTGTGTGATGTTCCCCTTCCTGTGTCCATGTGTTCTCATTGTTCAATTCTCACCTGTGAGTGAGAACATGCGGTGTTTGGTTTTTTGTCCTTGTGATAGTTTGCTGAGAATGATGGTTTCCAGCTTCATCCATGTCCCTACAAAGGACATGAACTCTTCATTTTTTATGGCTGCGTAGTATTCCATGGTATATATGTGCCACATTTTCTTAATCCAGTTTATCATTGATGGACATTTGGGTTGGTTCCAAGGCTTTGCTATTGTGAATAGTGCCATGATAAACATACGTGTGCATGTGTCTTTATAGCAGCATGATTTATAATCCTTAGGGTATATACCCAGTAATGGGATGGCTGGGTCAAATGGTATTTCTAGTTCTAGATCCCTGAGGAATCGCCACACTGACTTCCACAATGGTTCAACTAGTTTACAGTCCCACCAACAGTGTAAAAGGGTTCCTATTTCTCCACGTCCTCTCCAGCACCTGTTGTTTCCTGACTTTTTAATGATCACCATTCTAATTGGTGTGAGATGGTATCTCGTGGTTTTGATTTGCATTTCTCTGATGGCCAGTGATGATGAGCATTTTTTCATGTGTCTGTTGGCTGTGTAAATGTCTTCTTTGAGACGTGTCTGTTCATATCCTTTGCCCACTTTTTGATAGGGTTGTTTGTTTTTTTCTTGTAAATTTGTTTGAGTTCTTTGTAGATTCTGGATATTACCCTTTGTCAGATGAGTAGATTGCAAAAGTTTTCTCCCATTCTGTAGGTTGCCTGTTCACTCTGATGGTAGTTTCTTTTGCTATGCAGAAGTTCTTTAGTTGAATTAGATCCCATTTGTCAATTTTGGCTTTTGTTGCCATTGCTTTTGGTGTTTTAGACATGAAGTCCTTGCCCATGCCTATGTCCTGAATGGTATTGCGTAGGTTTTCTTCTAGGGTTTTTATGGTTTTAGGTCTAACATGTAAGTCTTTAATCCATCTTGAATTAATTTTAGTATAAGGTGTAAGGAAGGGATCCAGTTTCAGCTGTCTACATATGGCTAGCCAGTTTTCCCAACACCATTTATTAAATAGGGAATCCTTTCCCCATTTCTTGTTTTTGTCAGGTTTGTCAAAGATCAGATGGTTGTATATATGCGGCATTATTTCTCAGGGCTCTGTTCTGTTCCATTGGTCTATATCTCTGTTTTGGTACCAGTACCATGCTGTTTTGGCTACTGTAGCCTTGTAGTATAGTTTGAAGTCAGATAGCGTGATGCCTCCAGCTCTGTTCTTTTGGCTTAGGGTTGACTTGGCGATTCAGGCTCTTTTTTGGTTCCATATGAACTTTAAAGTAGTTTTTTCCATTTCTGTGAAGAAAGTCATGGGTAGCTTGATGAGGATGGCATTGAATCTATAAATTACCTTGGGCAGTATGGCCATTTTCACAATATTGATTCTTCCTACCCATGAGCATGGAATGTTCTTCCATTTGTTTGTATCTTCTTTTATTTCATTGAGCAGTGGTTTGTAGTTCTCCTTGAAGAGGTCCTTCAAGTCCCTTGTAAGTTGGATTCCTAGGTATTTTATTCTCTTAGAAGCAATTGCAAATGGGAGTTCACTCATGATTTGGCTCTCTGTTTTCTGTTATTGGTGCATAAGAATGCTTGTGATTTTTGCACATTGATTTTGTATCCTGAGACTTTGCTGAAGTTGCTTATCAGCTTAAGGAGATTTTGGGTTGAGACGATGGGGTTTTCTAGGTATACAATCATGTCATCTGCAAACAGAGACAATTTGACTTCCTCTTTTCCTAATTGAATGCCCTTTATTTCCTTCTCCTGCCTGATTGCCCTGGCCAGAACTTCCAACAGTATGTTGAATAGGAGTGGTGAGAGAGGGCATCCCTGTCTTGTGCCAGTTTTCAAAGGGAATGCTTCCAGTTTTTGCCCATTCAGTATGATATTGGCTGTGGGTTTGTCATAGATAGCTCTTATTATTTTGAGATACGTCCCATCAATAACTAATTTATTGAGAGTTTTTAGCATGAAGCGCTGTTGAATTTTGTTAAAGGCCTTTTCTGCATCTATTGAGATAATCATGTGGTTTTTGTCGTTGGTTCTGTTTATATGCTGGATTATGTTTATTGATTTGCGTATATTGAACCAGCCTTGCATCCCAGGGATGAAGCCCACTTGATCATAGTGGATACGCTTTTTGCTGGTATTTTATTGAGGATTTTTGCATCAATGTTTATCAGGGATATCGGTCTAAAATTCTCTTTTTTGTTGTGTCTCTGCCTGGCTTTGGTATCAGGATGATGTTGGCCTCCTAAAATGAGTTAGGGAGGATTCCCTCTTTTTCTATTTATTGGAATAGTTTCAGAAGGAAGGGTACCAGCTCCTCCTTGTACCTCTGGTAGGATTCAGCTGTGAATCCATCTGGTTCTGGACTTTTTTTGATTGGTAAGCTATTAGTTATATCCTCAATTTCAGAGCCTGTTATTGGTCTATTCAGAGATTCAACTTCTTCCTGGTTTAGTCTTGGGATGGTGTATGTGTCGAGGAATTTATCCATTTCTTCTAGATTTTCTAGTTTATTTGCATACAGGTGTTTATAGTATGCTCTGATGGTAGTTTGTACTTCTGTGGGATCGGTGATTATATCCCCTTTATCATTTTTTATTGCGTCTATTTGATTCTTCTCCCTTTTCTTCTTTATTAGTCTTGCTAGTGGTCTATCAATTTTGTTGATCTTTTCAAAAAACCAGTTCCTGGATTCATTGATTTTTTGAAGGGTTTTTTACATCTCTATTTCCTTCAGTTCTGCTCTGATCTTAGTTATTTCTTGCCTTCTGCTAGCTTTTGAATGTGTTTGCCCTTGCTTCTCTAGTTCTTTTAATTGTGATGTTAGGGTTTCAATTTTGGATCTTTCCTGCTTTCTCTTGTGGGCATTTAGTGCTATAAATTTCCCTCTCCACACTGCTTTGAATGTGTCCCAGAGATTCTGGTATGTTGTGTCTTTGTTCTCATTGGTTTCAAAGAACATCTTTATTTCTGCCTTCATTTCATTATGTACCTAGTAGTCATTAAGGAGTAGGTTGTTCAGTTTCCATGTAGTTGAGCGGTTTTGAGTGAGTTTCTTAATCCTGAGTTCTAGTTTGATTGCACTGTAGTCTGAGAGACAGTTTGTTATAATTTCTGTTCTTTTACATTTGCTGAGGAGTGCTTTACTTCCAACTATGTGGTCAATTTTGGAATAGGTGTGGTGTGGTGCTGAAAAGAATGTATATTCTGTTGATTTGGGGTGGAGAGTTCTGTAGATGTCTGTTAGGTCTGCTTGACAGTGGAGTGTTAAAGTCTCCCATTATTATTGTGTGGGAGTCTAAGTCTCTTTGTAGGTCTCTAAGGACTTGCTTTATGAATCTGGGTGCTCCTGTATTGGTTGCATATATATTTAGGATAGTTAGCTCTTCTTGTTGAATTGATCCCTTTACCATTATGTAATGGCCTTCTTTGTCTCTTTTGATCTTTGTTGGTTTAAAGTCTGTTTTATCTGAGACTAGGATTGCAATCCCTGCCTTTTTGTGTTTTCCGTTTGCTTGATAAATCTTCTTCCATCCCTTTATTTTGAGCCTATGTGTGTCTCTGCATGTTAGACGGGTTTCCTGAATACAGCACACTGATGGGTCTTGTCTCTTTATCCAATTTGCCAGTCTGTGTCTTTTAATTGGAGCATTTAGCCCATTTACATTTAAGGTTAATATTGTTATGTGTGAATTTGATCCTGTCATTATGATGTTAGCTGGTTATTTTGCTCGTTAGTTGATGCAGTTTCTTCCTAGCCTCGACGGTCTTTACAATTTGGTATGTTTTTGCAGTGGCTGGTACCGGTTGTTCCTTTCCATGTTTAGTGCTTCCTTCAGGAGCTCCTGCAGTGCAGGCCTGGTGGTGACAAAATTTCTCAGCATTTGCTTGTCTGTAAAGGATTTTATTTCTCCTTCACCTATGAAGGTTAGTTTGGCTGGATATGAAATTCTGGTTTTAAAATTCTTTTCTTTAAGAATGTTGAATATTGGCCCCCACTCTCTTCTGGCTTGTAGAGTTTCTGCTGAGAGATCAGCTCTTAATCTGATGGGCTTCCCTTTGTGGGGAACCTGACCTGTTTCTCTGGCTGCCTTTAACATTTTTTCCTTCATTTCAACTTTGGTGAATCTGACAATTATGTGTCTTGGAGTTGCTCTTCTCAAGGAGTATCTTTGTGGTGTTCTCTGTATTTCCTGAATTTGAATATTGGCCTGCCTTGCTAGATTGGGGAAGTTGTCCTGGATAATATCCTACAGAGTGTTTTCCAACTTGGTTCCATTCTCCCCATCACTTTCAGGTACACCAATCAGACATAGATTTGGTCTTTTCACATAGTCCCATATTTCTTGGAGGCTTTGTTCATTTCTTTTTATTCTTTTTCCTCTGAACTTCTCGCTTCATTTCATTCATTTGATCTTCAATCACTGATACCCTTTCTTCCAGTTGATCTAATCGGCTACTGAGGCTTGTGCATTTGTCACGTAGTTCTCGTGCTGTGTTTTTCAGCTCCATCAGGTCCTTTAAGGACTTCTCTGCATTGGTTATTCTAGTTAGCCATTTGTCTAATTTTTTTTCAAGGTTTTTAACTTCTTTGCCATGCGTTCGAACTTCCTCCTTTAGCTCAGAGTAGTTTGATTGTCTGAAGCCTTCTTCTCTCAACTCGTCAAAGTCATTCTCCATCCAGCTTTGTTCCATTGCTGGTGAGGAGCTGCATTCCTTTGGAGGAAGAAAGGCACTCTGATTTTTAGAGTTTCCGGTTTTTCTGCTCTGTTTTTTCCCCATCTTTGTGGTTTTATCTCCCTTTGGTCTTTGAAGATGGTGATGTACAGATGAGCGTTTGGTGTGGATGTCCTTTCTGTTTGTTAGTTTTCCTTCTGTCAGGACCCTCAGCTGCAGGTCTGTTGGAGTTTGCTGCAGGTCCACTCCAGACCCTGTTTGCCTGGTTATCAGCAGCAGAGGCTGCAGAACAGTGGATATTGGTGAACAGAAAATGTTGCTGGTTGATCATTCCTCTGGAAGTTTTGTCTCAGAGGAATACCCGGATGTGTGAGGTGTCAGTCTGCCCCTACTTGGGGGTGCCTCCCAGTTAGGCTACTCGGGGTTCAGGGAACCACTTGAGGAGGCAGTCTGTCCGTTCTCAGATCTCCAGCTGCATACTGGGAGAACCACTACTCTCTTCAAAGCTGTCAGACAGGGACATTTAAGTCTGCAGAGGTTTCTGCTGCCTTTTGTTCGGCTATGCCCTGCCCCCAGAGGTGGAGTCTACAGAGGCAGGCAGGCCTCCTTGAGCTGTGGTGGGCTCCACCCAGTTCGAGCTTCCCAGCTGCTTTGTTTACCTACTCAAGCTTCAGCAATGGCGGGCACCCCTCCCCCAGCCTCGCTGCTGCCTTGCAGTTTGGTCTCAGACTGCTATACTAGCAATGAGCGAGGCTCTGTGGGCGTAGGACCCTCTGAGCCAGGCACAGGATATAATCTCCTGGTGTGCCGTTTGTGAAGACCATTGAAAAAGTGCAGTATTATGGTGGGAGTGACCCGATTTTCCAGGTGCCATCTGTCACCCCTTTCTTTGACTAGGAAAGGGAATTCTCTGATCCCTTGTGCTTCCTGGGTGAGGCGATGTCTCGCCCTGCTTTGGCTCATGCTCGGTGCGCTGCACCCACTGTCCTGCACCCACCATTTGACACTCCCCTGTGAGATGAACCCGGTACCTCAGTTGGAAATGCAGAAATCACCCATCTTCTGTGTTGCTCACGCTGGGAGCTGTAGACTGGAGCTGTTCCTATTCGGCCATCTTCACAAAAATCTTACTTTGGTTTCTAGTGTTACCACCCACTGTTCTTTCTCATCTCAACCCTGAGTATAAGTACAGATCACATTCCTTGGGTTCTTAGAAAATAATAGAAATGAACTCTCATTCATCAAAATGCCCATTAGTAAATACTGAGGGAGAACAAACTAGAAATCCAGTATAGAAAATAAAAATAGGATTATATTCCTTGGAATCTCAGAAAAAAACAATGAAGAGCTTTCTTTGGGCATTAGACACTTTCCCATAAGGTGGCTGACTCTCTTTTAGTCATGTCAGCTTGGCCCAATCTTCACTTGGTAGCCCTTCTTTCTTCTTCATTAATCCATCTCCTATGCTCCTATGGGGTCCTAGAGAAATGCCCATCATGTACACACACATCTAATAACACAAAGATCACTCTCGACTAGCAAGCCCTTTTATGATGGTGTGAGCATTTGACACCCTTGTTGCTAGTAACATCAGTGAGTGACCTGACCCATTTTTGGAACAGAATATGATCAGTATGTTGCCTCAAGGAGGCCCTCACTGTTCTAGGAAATATAATTCCAGAGTTTGCTGACTCACACCATGGAATATATGCATAAAATGGATCCTGCAGATAAGCCTTTCTCTGACTAGTTTCAGACATTTTTTTCTGGGTAATTTTAAAGTTATTTTTTATTTTTGTGGGTACAAAGTAGGTGTATATATGTATGAGGTACCTGAGGCATTTTGATACAAGCATACAGTGTATAATAATCACCAGAGTTAATGGGGTATCCCTCACCACAAGCATTTATCCTTTCTTTGTGATACAAACAATCCAATTATATTCTTTTAGTTATTTTAAGATGTATAATAAATTATTGTTGACTGCAGTCACCCTGTTGAGCTATCAAATACTAGATCTTATTCATTCTAACTATACTTTTGTACCCAGTAGCCATCCCACTTCCTCCCCTCCCACTACCCTTCCCAGCCTCTGATAACCATCATTCCACTCTCTATCTCTATGAGCTCAATTGTTTTAAGTTTTAGCTCCCACAAATATGTGAGAAAATGCCAAGTTTGTCTTTCTGTGCCTGGCTTATTTCACATAATATAATGTCCTCTAGTTCCATCCATGTTATTGCAAATGACAGGATCTCTTTCTTTTTTATGGCTTAATAGTACTTTATTGTATGTATGTACCACATTTTCTTCATCCATTTGTCTGTTGATAGACAAGAGTTGCTTCCAAATATTGACTATTGTGAATAGTGCTGCAATAAACGTGGGAATGCAGATCTCTTTGATATACTGATTTTCTTTCTTTAGGGTGTATACCCAGCAGTGGGATTGCTGGGTCATATGATAGCTCTATTTTTAGTATTTTGTGGAACCTCAAATCTATTCTACATAATGGTTTTACTGACTTACATATCCACCAACAGTGTATGAGGATACTCTTTTCTCCACATCCTCACCAGCATTCATTACTGCCTGTTCTTTGGATGAAAGCCATTTTAACTGTGGTGAAATGAGATCTCATTGTTGTTTTGATGTGCACTTCTCTGATGATCAGTGAGGTTGAGGACCTTGTCATATATCTGTTTGTCATTTGTATGTTTTATTTTGAGAGATGTCTACCCAGATCTTTTGCCCATTTTTTAATCAGATTGTTAGATTTTTTTTTTCCTACAGAGTGCTTGAGCTCTTTATATGCCCTAGTTACTAGTCCCTGGTCAGATGGGTAGTTTGCAAATAGTTGCTCTCATTCTGTGGGTTGTCTCTTCACTTTGTTGATCGAATCACTTGCTGTGCAGAAGGTTTTTAACTTGATGTGACCTCATTTGTCCATTTTTAGTTGCCTGTGCTGGTGCGGTATTACTCAAGAAATTTTTGCCCAGATTAATGTTCTGGAGAGTTTCCCCAATGTTTTCTTGAAGTAGTTTCATGGATTGATGTCTTAGATTTAAGTCTTTAATATGTTTTGATTTTATTTTTGTATTTGCTGAGAGATAGGGCTCTAGTTTCCTTCTGCATATGGATATCCAGTTTTTCTAGCACCTTTTGTTAAAGAGACTATTCATTCTCTAATATACGTTCTTGGCACCTTTGTTGAAAATAAGTTCACTGTAGATGTATGGACTTGTTTCTGGGTTCTCTGTTCTGTTCCATTGGTCTATGTGTCTGCTTTTATGTGAATACCATGTTGTTTTGGTTGCAAAAGCTCTGTAGTATAATTTGAAATCAGGTAATGTGATTCTTCCAGTTTTGCTCTGTTCTTTTTCCTCAAGATAGCTTTGCCTATCCTGGGTCTCTTGTGGTTCTATATAAATTTTAGGATTATTTTTTCTATTTATGTCAAGAATGTCATTGATATTTTGATATAAATTGCGTTGAATCTGTAGATAGCTTCAGGTAGTGTGGACATTTTAACAATATCAATTCTTGAAATCCACGAACATGGAATATCCTTCTATTATTTGGATGTCTTCTTCAATTTCTTATATTAATTTTTTTTTAGTTTTCATTGTAGAGATATTTCATTTATTTGACTAAGTTTATTGCTAGGTATTTTATTTTATTTTTACCTATTGACAATGGGATTGCTTTCTTGATTTCTTTTTTAGATTGTTCACTGTTGGCATACAGAAATGCTACTGATTTTTATGTGATGATTTTGTATCCCGCAACTTTACTGAATTTGTTTATCAGTTCTAATAGGCTTTTGGTGCAGACTTTAGGCTTTTCCAAATATAAGATCATATTATCTGCAAACAAGAATAATTTGACTTCTTTCTTTTCAATTTGGATGCCTTTCATTTCTTTCTCTTGTCTGATTGCTCTAACTAGGACTTCCAGTACTCTGTTGAATAACAGTGGGGAAAGTTAACATCCTTGTTTTGTTTCAGATCTTATAGCCAAGGCCTTCAGTTTTTCTGAATTTAGTATGATACTAGCTATGGGTCTGTCATATATGGCTTTTATTATGTTGAAGTATGTTCCCTAGTTTTTTGAAGGTTTTTATATTTTAAGGAAGATAAAAATTGAACTTTATCAAATGCTTTTCATGCAACAATTGAAATGATCAAGTGCTTTTTGTCTTTCATTCTGTTGATACGATGTATCACACTGATTGACTTGTGTATTTAGAACCATCCTTGCATCCCGTGGTAAATCCCACTTAGTCATGGTGAATGAACTTTTTAATGTGTTGTTGAATTCAGTTTGCTAGTATTTTGTTGGGGATTTTTGCATCAGTGTTTATCAGGGATATTGGCCTATAGTTTTCCTTTTTTTTATGTGTCTTTTGGGTTTTGTTATCAGGGTAATACTGGCCTTGTAGAATGAGTTTGGAATGATTCTCTCCTCTATTTTTTGAAATACTTTGAATAGGATTGATGTTACTTCTTTAAATGTTTGGTAAAATTCTGCACTGAAGCCATTGGGTCCTGGGCTTTTTACTGCTGGGGAGACTTTTCATTACAGCTTCAATCTTATTACTTGTTATTGGTCTGTTCAGGCTTTAGATTTTTTTCATGAATCAATCTTCACAAGTTGTCTGTTTCTCAAAATTTATCAATTTCTTCTAGGTTTTCCAATGTATTGTCATCCAGTTGCTCATAATGCCCTCTAATGATGCCTTGAATTTTTGCAGTAACCACTGTAATGTTTCCTTTTTTAATCTCTGATTTTATTTGAGCTTTCTCTTTTTTTCTTAGTCTAGCTAAATATTTGTCAATGTTGTTTGTTCATCCACAAAACCAACTTTTCATTTCACTGATCTTTTGTATTATTTTTTCCTTTTAATTTTATTTATTTCTATTCTGATATTTATCATTTCATTTCTTCCAGTTATTTGAGTTTGGTTTGCTCTTGCTTTTCCAGTTCTTTAAGATGCATTGTTAGGTTATTTATTTGAACTTTTTTGATATAGGTGCATATTGCTATAAACTTTCACCATAATATTGCTTTTGCTGTATCCCATAGGTTTTAGTATGTTGTTTAGTATGTTTCCAATTTGGTACATTTCAATAAATTTTTAAATTTTCTTCTTTATTTATTGACATAGTCATTCCAGAGTATACTGTTTAATTTCCATGTGGTTTGTATAGTTTCCAAAATTCCTCTTGTTATTGATTTCTAGTTTTATTCCATTGTGGTCAGAGAAGAAGCTTGATATGAATGCAATTGTTAATAATTTTTTTAAAACTTGTTTTGTGACCTAAGATATGATCTGTCATTGAGAATGATCCATATGCTGAGGAAAGAATGTATATTCTGCAGCCATTGGATAAAATTGTCTTTAAATATCTATTAGGTCCATTTAAGACATAATGCAGATTAAAGCCGATGTTTCATTGTTCATTTTTCTGTCTGGATGATCTCTTCAGTGCTGAAAGTGGTGTGTTAAAATCTCTAAATATTATTGTTTTGGGATCTTTCTCTTCTTTCAACTCTGATAATATTTGCTTTAGATACCTGGGTGCTCCAGTGTTGGGTGCATATATACTTAAAATTGTTGTATCCTCCTGATGAATTGACCCCTTTATCATTATATAATGACCTTCTTTTTCTCTTTGTGTAGTGTTTGTCTTGAAATCTATTTTGTCGGATATTAGTATTGCTGCTAATTTTTTTGGTTTCCATTTGCATGAAATATCTTTTTCATTCCTTTATTTTCAGGCAGCGTGTTTCTTTATATTTAATAGGTGAAATATGTTTCTTGTAAATAAAAATTATTATTTTAAAATATTTTTAAAATAATACTATTTTTTAATAAGAACAATTATTATTTTTTAAAAAATTTCATTAGTTTTGGGGGCACAAGTGGATTTTGGTTAAATGGGTGAGTTCTTTAGTAGTGGATTTTGAGATTTTAGTGCAGCAGCCACCTGAGAAGTGTACATTACCCATATATTATATATATACTATATATGCTTTATATATATAGTGTGTATATATAATATATATACAACTACATATTGGGTAATGTACACTTCTCAGGTGACTGCTGCACTAAAATCTCAAAATCCACTACTAAAGAACTCACCCATTTAACCAAAATCCACTTGTGCCCCCAAAACTAATGAAATTTTTTAAAAAATAATAATTGTTCTTATTAAAAAATAGTATTATTTTAAAAATATTTTAAAATAATAATTTTTATTTACAAGAAACATAATTCACCTATTAAATATAAAGAAACACGCTGCCTGAAAGTAAAGGAATGAAAAAGATATTTCATGCAAATGGAAACCAAAAAAATTAGCAGCTATACTAATATATTATATATATACTACATAAAGCATATATATAGTATAGTATATATATAATACATTTATAAAGCATATATATAGTATGTAGATAATATATGTTTATATACTTTAAGTTCTGGGATACATGTGCAGAACGTGCAGGTTTCTTACATAGGTATACTCGTGCCATGGTGGTTTGCTGCACCCATCAACCTGCCATATACATTAAGTATTTCTCCTAATGCTATCTTTCCCCTAGCCCTACCCCACTCCCTGACAGGCCCTGGTGTATGATGTTCCCCTCCCTGTGTCCATGTGTTCTCATTGTTCAACTGCCACTTATGAGTGAGAACATGTGGTGTTTGGTTTTCTGTTCTTGTGTTTTAGTTTGCTGAGGATGATGGTTTCCAGCTTCATCCATGTCCCTGCAAAGGACATGAACTCATCCTTTTTGATGGCTGCATAGTATTCCATGGTGTATATGTGCCACGTTTTCTTTATCCAGTATATCATTGATGGGCATTTTGGTTGGTTCCAAGTCTTTGCTATTGTGAATAGTGCTGCAATAAACATACGTGTGCATTTGTCTTTATAGAAGAATGATTTATAATCTTTTGGGTATATACCCAGTAATGGGATTGCTGAGTCAAATGATATTTCTGGTTCTAGATCCTTAATGAATTGCCACACTGTCTTCCACAATGGTTGAACTAATTTATGCTCCCACCAACAGTGTAAAAGCGTTCCTATTTCTTCAAATCCTCACCAGCATCTGTTGTTTCCTGACTTTTTAATCGCCATTCTAACTGGCATGAGATGGTATCTCATTGTGGTTTTGATTTGCATTTCTCTAATGACCAGTGATGATGAGCTTTTTTTCATGTTTGTTGGCAGCATAAATGTCTTCTTTTGAGAAGTGTCTGTTCATATTCTTCACCCACTTTTTGATGGAGTTATTTGTTTTCTTCTTGTAAATTTGTTTAAGTTCCTTGTCGATTCTGGATATTAGCTCTTTGTCAGATGAATAGATTGCAAAAATTTTCTCCCATTCTGTAAGTTGCCTGTTCCCTCTGCTGATAGTTTCTTCTGCTGTGCAGAAGCTCTTTAGTTTAATTAGATCCCATTTGTCAATTTTGGCTTTTGTTGCCATTGCTTCTGGTGTTTTAGTCATGAAGTCTCTACCCATGCCTATGTCCTGGATGGTATTGCCTTGGTTTTCTTCTACAGTTTTTATGGTTTTAGGTCTTGCATTTAAGTCTTTAATCCATCTTGAGTTAATTTTGTATAACGTGTAAGGAAGAGGTCCACTTTCAGTTTTCTGCATGAGGCTAACGAGTTTTCCCAACACCATTTATTAAATAGGGAATCCTTTCCCCATTGTTTGTTTTTGTCAAGTTTGTCAAAGATCAGGTGGTTGTAGATGTGTGGTGTTATTTCTGAGGCCTCTGCTCTGTTCCACGTGTCTATATCTCTGTTTTGGTACCAGTACCATGCTGTTTTGGGTACTGTACCACTTGATTGGTGAGAGAGGGAATCCTTGTCTTGCACTGGTTTTCAAAGGGAATGCTTCAGCTTTTGCCTATTCAGTATGACCAATATGTAGTCTTTTATTCCTCACCCTCTCTCAACACCCCACCCCCACGGAGTCCTCAAAGTCCATTATATCACTCTGTATGTTTTTGCGTTCTCATAGCTTAGCTCCCACTTATAAATGAGAAAATACAGTATTTGGTTTTCCATTCTTTGGTTACTTAATTAGTATAATGGCCTCCAGCTCCATCCAGGTGTCTTGTTTTTCATCCATTCAGCCAGTCTATAACTTTTGCTTGGAGAGTTTCGTCCATTTAGATTCAGCGTTATGATTGATAACTAAGGGCTTACTCCTGCCATTTGGTTGTTTTCTGGTTATTCTGTGGTCTTCTCTTCCTTTTTTCCTTCTTTCCTGTCTCCCTTTTAGTGAAAGTGGTTTTCTCTGGTGGTGTATTTTATTTTCTTCCTTTTTATTTTTTTTTGTGTGTATTTGTTGCATGTTATTGATTTGAGGTTACCATGAGGCTTGTACATAATATTTTCTAACTCATTATTTCAAACTGATGACAACACTCTATCGCATAAAAAAACATGGAAAGAGAAAACTAATAAAAACTCTACATTTTAACTTCATCTCTCTGCTTGTTGTCACTTTGTCGTTTCTATTTACATCTTATTGTACTGTTTATGTCTTGAAAAGTAGTTTCAGTTATTACTTTTGATTGGTTCATCTCATAGTCTTTCTACTCAAGATATGAGTAGTTCACACACCACAATTACAGTGTTACAATATTCTGTGTTTTTCTGTGTACTTTCAATTACCCATGAGTTTTGTATTTTCAGATAATTTGTTATTGCTCACTAACATCCTATTCTTTCAGATTAAAGAGCTCCCTTTAGCATTTCTTGTAGGAAAAGTCTGGTGTTAATGAATTCCTTCAGCTCTTGTTGATCTGTGAAAGTCTTTATTTTTCCTTCATGTTTCAAGGATATTTTCACTGGATAGTCTATTCTAGGGTAAAAGTTTTTTTTTTTTTTTTCTTCAGCCCTTCAGGTAAGTCATGCCACTCTCTCCTGGCCTATAAGGCTACCACTGAAAAGTCTGCTGCCAGACATATATGAGTTCCATTCTATGTTACTTGTTTATTTTCTCTTGTTACTTTTAGGATCCTTTCTTTATCTTTGACCTTTGGGAGTTTGATTATTAAATGCCTTGAGGTGGTCTTTTTTGGATTAAATCTTCTTCGTGTTCTTGTACTTGGATATTAATATCTTTCTCTAGGTTTGGGAAGTTCTCTGTTATTATCCCTTTGAATAAACTTTCTACCAAGATCTCTCTTTCTCTCTCTGTCTCTCTCTCTCTCTCTCTCTCCTTCTTAAGGCCAATAACTTTTAGATTTGCCCTTTTGAGGCTGTTTTCTAGATCTCGTAGGTGTGCTTCATTGTTTGCTATTTTTTTTTTTTTTTTGTCTCTTCTGACTACATTTTCAAATAGCCTGTTTTAAAACTCACTAATTCTTTCTTTTGCCTGGTCAATTATGCTGTTAAGAGACTCTGAGGCATTCTTCAGTGTGTCAGTTGCATTTTTCAGCACCAGAATGTCTGCTTATTTTTTTTTAGATTATTTCCATCTCTTTGTTAAATATATCTGATAGAATTCTGAATTCTTTCTTAGTGTTATCTTTAATTTCCTTGAATTTCCTCAACACAACTATTTTGAATTATCTGTCTGAAAGGTCACATATCTCTATTTTTCCAGGATTGCTATCTGGTGCTTTATTTAGTTCATTTTGTGAGGTCATGTTTTCCTGGATGGTGTTAATGCTAGTAGATGTTTTTCAGTGTCTGAGCATTGAAAAGTTAGATGTTTATTGTAGTCTTCACAGTCTGGGCTTGTTCATACCTGCCCTCCTTGGGAGACTTTCCAAGTATTCGAAGGGATTTGGATGCTGTGATCTTAGTCTTTGGTCACTGCAGCCATATCTGCTTTATGGAGCATCCCATGCTCAGTAATGCTGTGGCTCTTTCAGACTCATAGAGTTACTGCCTGCATGCTCTTGGGTAAGAGCCAGGAAAATTCCCTGGATTACCAAGCAGAGACTCTTGTTCTCTTCTCTCACTTTCCCCCAAACAAATAGAGTCTCTCTCTCTCTCTCTCTTTCTCTCTCTCTCTCTCCCTCTCATTCTCTGCCGACCTGCCTGAATCTGGGGTAGGGATGACACAATCACATTTGTAGTCAACACCATTGGGACTGTGCTAGGTCAGACCCAAAGCTGGCACAGCACTGAGTCTCGCCCAACGCCCACAGAGACCACTCCCTGGGTAATGTCTGTGTTTGCTCAAAGCCTAAGGGCTATACAATCAGTCAGTGGTGAAGCCAGCCTGTCTTATGTCCTTCCCTTCAGGGTGATGAGTTCCTCAAGCAGGTCCAGGGATGGTGTCCAGGAGCCAAGGCCTCGAGCTGTGACTGAGCTGGCACCCAATCCATAAGACAAAGATTTTTTCCACACTTTCCTTCCTTGTCCTCAAGCAAAGGAGTCTCTCCCTGTGGCCACCACCACCCCCATGTTCATGGCAAGTATTGTCTGGCTACCACCAATCTTCACTCAAGGCCCAGGGGTTCTTTAGTTAGCTTATGGTGAATGCTACCAAGGCTGAGTCTCTCCCTTCAAGGAAGTGGGCTCCTCTCTGGCCCAGGGCAGGTCCGGAAATACTATCCAAGAGCCAAGGCCTGGAATCAGTTTCCCCAAGAGTCCATTTGGTGCTCTACACCCACTGTGGCAGAACCAGTACCCAAGCTGCAAGACAAAGTCCTCTTTACTCTTCCTTCTCCTTTACAGAGACTCTCCCTATAGCCACCACAGCTGGGAATATGCTGGGTCACTCTTGAAGCAAGAACAGCTCTGAGTCTCACTCAAAACTCCTGGCAAGTACTGCCTGGCTATCACACTGATTATTCAGGGCCCAAGGGCTCTTTAGTCAGCAGGAGATGAATCCTGCCAGTACTGATTCCTTCCCTTCAAGGCAGCCGGTTTCTTTCTGGCCCAGTGTGTATCTAGAAATATCATTTGGGAGCTAGGGCCTGGCATGGTGACCTCAGGACTCTGCCTGGTGCCCTGTTCTACTGTGGCTGATGTAGTATCCAAATTGCAAGACCAAGTCCTCTTTACTCTCCCCTCTCCTGTCTTCAAGCAGAAGGAATGAGTCCGCCCTGGAGTTGGGAGCTGCATTGCCTGGGATTGGAGGAGGGGTGGCACAAGCACTCTCTTGGTCACCCCAGCTGGTGTCTTACTAGGTCGCATGTTCCCCAAGTCCACTGGCTCTGAGGCTAGCACACCAGGATTTGACCAAGAATTGCAATTCTTGTGGCTTACACTGCCTTTCAAGTTTATTTGAGATCCCAGAGCACTTTAGCCCACAGTGACAGGGCTTGCCAGAATTTAGTTTCTGACTGCTGAGATGGACAATTTGCGTCTGATTAGGGCTGGTCTAAGTGCTCCTTCTGTGGGCACTGGCTGAGTTCTGCTCCATGTTGCTTTCTGCTGTGACAGGGCAACATTGAGTTTCAATGCAAGTCCCACAGTCACTGCAATCTTCCTCTCCCAAGCCTGCTCTGAACACCATGTGGTTGCTGCTGGGGGCTGGGGGAGGGATGTTGTAGGCAATTCAAGAATGTCTTTCCTACCCTTTTCGGTGCTTCTTTCCTTGGTATGATATTAAAACCAGTTACTGTGATTGCTCACCTGATTTTTGGTTCTTATGAAGGTGCTTTTTTGTGTGGATCACTGTTCAATTTGTGCCTGCAAGCGGGGATGGGGGACAATTGCTGGAGGCTTCTCTTTGGCCATCTTGCTCCACCTCTACCCTAGTATTAGCAATTTCAAAGCAGTTGGGATGGAGGTAGAAGGAAAGGGCGCTTGGAATCAGAAAATCCATGTCTTAGCTTTGAGCCTTAGAAAATTCATTTGACCCTTGTAAGCCTCAGTTGCTTCATCTGTAAAAGAGAAATAATATAATGGCTGAAAAGATCAAAGGTGATAATGCTTTTGAAAACACTATAGAAAATGACAAAATATCACATGAGTATTATTTTCTAGTTTCTAGGAGTCTCCTTACCATTGTACAGGACAACCATGTCTATTTTTAAATAAATTATTATTTGCCTCTGAGCAACCCTGCAAAGAGTTGCCTGTAGGAGAAACAGCTTTACTTGCAAATCACTCCACTGTTTTCTTTGTGCACAGCTTATTAATACATAAGGCACATGTCCTCCAGCCTGCAGTAACATTGGAATCATTACCTCTTTGGAGTACCTACCAGAGCTTCTCAAAGTGAATTTTGTTTATCACCACAAAAAATAGTCTGTTGCAGAGATAACCTCCAAATTCAATGACAATATTTCCAATCACTTTTGCATGATGCAGAAATAGACAAATATATAATTTTGCTTATAGAGACAATTATTGTCTCCCAACAAGTGATCAGTAGTCAGAAAATGGCCAAGAAATACCATGGGGTGTGCCTTCCCATAACAGCTTATCTTTGTGTTTTAGTTGCAAGGTTACTAAAAGCCTGTGCAGGGTTTATGGCAAAAGTAAAACTTGCTCCAGGAGCAAGCCCTTGTTTCATTGTCTAATGTTCTTAATCCCCAGCAGACAGGATTTGGATCTGGCATTTGGTAACAGGGCAGTTTCCAAAGTTGCTGTACGCAACTTGAGGAAGAGAGGTGATATTATCGGAATGAATTTCTTTGTTGTAAGTTATAAATGTATGGGCTTTTCCAATCCCATCACCCTTAAAACTTTATTTGTTTTCTGCAGTGAGGGTGTCTCCGTTGTCTTTAATATGCTTGCTTTGAGTTCATGGATGAACATTCCTGCCTGGCTGACATGTGGACTCTCTGAAATTGTTATAAGGTCTTTTTCTTTGTTTTTTTCTTGATGCCCAAGCTGCCAAGGGTAGTACTGGCAGTGGTGGGCAGACAAGGAGGTGATAGCAAACTTTGTCCTCTGGCCTCCCTTGACCCATTCCATTCATTATCTAAGGGACTCCAAGCCAGCATTCCACAGAGTGCCCTCACCAAACTCACTAAGACTGAAGGCGAACCAGGATTCCAAACAGCCATTATGAAAGGAAAGAGAGAGAGACTTAGGGTTTGCAAAATAAGATACCCTGTTGATTCTTTTTATTCCATACAGATACTACTATTCTTTAGGAAAACGTTAAAATCACATGATCTTCCAGGACCTGGGCTGCTTCTTTAAGAAGCATGTTACAGAAAGCTTTATTGGCCAACAACATATTGAAAGATAGATTAATCAATCATTCATTCAAATAAGGTATATTCAGAATTGAGGTATATTGTAGCCAGACAGTGAGACTACAAAAAAAGAATGCACCGTACCCTTATCTCTTGCACAATCTAACGAGGGAGATAACCACTCTTTCAATTTATAGTGACCTATAACATTTCGTACACTGCTGAATATCTTTACATGGTAATAACACAATGGAAAGCTTGCAAAATAGACAGAGGCTAGGGGAAGAAGGATTGAGTGTGAATATAGCCTCTTATAAATCGAGAGGAATGGTCTGTGTCTTCTGATCATACAGAGATAATAAATATGGAAATGATTTCAAACTAACAAAGCAAATGTGCAGAAAATACTGAGAATATAGTGGGCAGGATACCTGAGTTTTGGTTCCATCTCTGTTATTGACTCATTGTGTAATCTGAGTCAGGTCTGTTCTGCTCTCTGGATCTCACCCTTTCCTATCTGTAAAATGAGATTGTTGGATTAGATGATCTCCATAGAGGTTCTCACCTATTCTGACATTCAAAAGGACTCCTAATTTTTCTTATATAATAATAATATATATGATCTGTAGAGTGCTTTACACTTTATATGATATTTTTGCATCTGTTATCTCATGTGAGAAAAGCACTGGACTGCTGGACTGGCAATGAGGACACCTGGATTCTTGTCTCTGTTTTGACACTGATTCATGGTGTGATCTTCAAGCAAATTCTCTGAGTTTCAGTTTCTCAATCTGTAAAATAGGGGGGTATGAAGATTGGACTAAATCAGTAGGTCTCTAAAATGTTCCACAAAGCCCTGGGGTGGGGGGCTCCTACAGAGTTTCGCTAAGGCAAACCACAACGCTAAGCCTGCATGGAAGAGGAGAAAAAGAGTGGCCTGACAAGAGAAGTTCCCAGTTTCCTATGCCAACCCCAGGCAGATTACATTTAATTTTATCTGATTTATATAGAGAGTTTCTATGTAATGTTTTATTCTTAAAAATAGTTTACTATAAAAAACTCAACTGGTTTGATTTTTAAAGATTGCACATATAAGTGAGATCATGCAGTCAGTATTTGTCTTTCTATGCCTGGCTTATTTCACTTAGCATAATGTCTTCCAGCATCATCTATGTTGCTGCAAATGACAGACTTTTCTTTTCATTAAAGGCTATATAGTATTCCATCGTGTATGTACACCACATTTTCTCTTTTGTAACTTTCATTTTAGGTTCAGGGGTTCATGTGCATGTTTGATATATAGGTAAACTGCATGTCAGAGAGGTTTCTTGTACAGATTATTTCATCACCCAGGTAATAAGCATAGTATCTAATCAATTTTTTTCTGATCCTCTCCCTTCTCCCACCCTACAACCTCAAGTAGGCCCTGGTGTCTATTGTTCCCCTCTTTGTGTCCATTACACCACATTTTCTTTATCCACTTATCCATCCATGGACACTTAGTTTGCTTCCATATGTTGGCTATTGTGAATAATGCTGAAAAAAGTCAAACTCATAGAAGCAGAGAGTAGAATGGTGGTTACCAGGGACTGGGAGGCAGTTGACTGAGCTAGGAAAAGAGAGATAATAAAAGGGTACAATGTGTCAGTTATATAGAAGGAATAAGTTATATTGAACTATTGCACAGCATGGTGACCATAGTTAATAATAATGTATTATATGTCTCAGTATTGCTAAAAGAGTAAATTTAAATATTCTAACCACAAAAAATTATTAGTAGGCAAGGTGATGGATATGTTAATTTGCTTGATTTAATCTTTCTAGAATGCATACATATATCAAAACATCCCACTGTACCCCATAAATATATACAATTATTATTTGTCAATTTAGAAATTTAAAAACTTGATTTAGATGAGCTCTAAGGCCTTAAGTATTAAAGTATTAAGTATTAAAGTGATATGTAACCAAGTATATTGTTTGGTAACTTCATTTTTGTTATTATTTTAACAAACCAATATATTGTGAATATACTTCCAAGTGAAAAGAAAAAAGACATTGCAGTCATCACTAATAACTGCAAAACATTCCTTTGCAAGAATATGGAATAATTCATTTAATCATTCCCCTAATGTTAGACATTCAAATGTTTCCAACTTTTTCTATTTAAATAATGCTACAATAAACTTCTATTTTGTGCTTATTGTATTATTTTCTTACAACACATCCCTAGAAGTGGAATTCCTAGAAGTTTATACACATTTCCAATTTTTTTCCAAATATATGGCAAAATTTCTCTCTAAAGTATTTTTATTCCTACCAGAAATACCTCTTCACCAACACGTAGTATTTAATCTGTACCAATCTGGCTTAAGACAATGATATTTAATTTGTATTTCTGTGATTTCTAGCTAAATTAAATAATCTTCATATGCTTATTGGTCATTTGTACTTCTAACTGCTTTCTCCTGTCTGTTGCCCATTTTTCTATTGTGCTGTTTATTTTTATATATCGAATATATTGACCATTGGTTTTACATACTTGATGCTAATAATTATTCTTAGTTTATGGTTTGTCTTTGAGTTTTATAATGGTGTTTATTTCACATAAGAAATTATAAATGTTTTCTAATGAAATTTATCAAGTCTGTCTTCACTTATGTTTTCTTCATTGTCAATAACTTAAAATGACCTTTTCTACCTTTAAAAATTTTGAAATTTTCCTCTGTATTGTCTAATAGTACTTACATGATTTCCTCTTTTAAATTGACATATTTAATCCATTTGGAATTTATTTTGATTTTAACTAGTAATTTAACTTTATTTTCTTCTCCAAATGATTCACTAGTTGTTCTGACATTATTTAGTGAATAATTCATCCTTTCTTCACTGAATTGGAATGGCATATTCCATATACTGTGTCTGGTTTTGGCTTTTCTGATCTCTTCCACTGATCAACCTAAGCTGGAGCCAGTATCAAACTGTTGTAATCATTATGCCTTTAGATACTTTAAATGTACAGCAGGGAATGTCTTATTACTCTTATTTTTCACAAATATCTTGGCATTGTCTCATGTTTTATTCCTTCAGATAAATTTTGGGATTATTTTGTCAAGATTTTGTTTGAGTTGTTTTAAATTTTTAGATTTCATTGGGAAAGAACTGAAATCCTTGAAATATTGCTTCTTCTTAGCCAGGAATATGGTACAACTTTGCATTTAATTCAGTTCTTTCCTTAAATACCACCATGAAGTTTTTTGTTTTGTTCATATAGGTCCTGCATTAACACCATATATATAAAGTGTGAGAAATACTACATTCTTCAGGATTCTCTGTAGGTTAACAATGAAGATGATGACTCAACCCTTTCTTTGTTTGCATAATGTGATGCCACTAATAGTGGGTAACTTCTCTGCCTTACCTCCTCTGTTCCAAACAGGATTTTTCAGAATGAACAAATTAAAAGAATCATAATCAGACACTAACCCCAAGCCATACTGCATGGCAGCACCAATGGGACTGACAGAAAACAACAGAAATAGGAAGAAATCCTACAGAGAAACAAACTTGAAAGCTGTCTCATGGCCTTTGAATCATACTTAAGTTTTATGATGGAAGGATACGACTATGAAGAAAGACACAGAGCAACATCAGACAGTCAAGAATTTCAGAGCCAGCTGGCATGCAGTGGACCTCATGCCAGCCCATTTTATGACTATTTAGGTAGTCAAGGGTTTAAGATTTTTCTAATAAGACAGTTATTATGCATTTCAATGAGTGATTTCTTTGCAGCTCTAGAGTGTGGCCTTACCTACTTCAACATGAGAAGATTTTTGTATTTTGTCAGTCATTTCACAATGACTTTTAGTGAGCCCTTCATTATAGACTGTGGATACAACTTTGCTGTTGGAAATTAACAGTGTCAAACAACTGGGTATAATGTTTGTAATATCTGAGGAGGGGGAGCTGCCTAGGAAGTTGTATTCCCTGTGTTAATTTTTCAGTCTCTTAGGTTATAGAGGACCTTCTAGAACCACCTTACAGCAGGATTACATCCCATTTACACAGTTCTCTGTCACTTGAATACAGAGAAGGGATCCACAAGGCCATATGCTTCCTAGACAAAGAGAAAAGATTTCTGCCACACTCAGAACGCTTTGTCTTCAGACTATAATCACCCACACCATATTTCCTTTGGATCCACTTTCCAGATTTTTGTGCTGGCACTAACACCAACTTGCTGTGGCTTGGGGCATGTAATTTCAATACTTTGTGCCCATTTTCATAAGTGAAGTGTCAGGCATCACATTGGACATTTTAAGATTCTTTACAGCCCAATGATTCTGTGTTTCTAATTAGGCCCAATGGGTTAGAGCTAAAAGGAAACAGTGAGTTTCCTGGAAGGAAAGGACATATAACACAGTCCAGAGGTAAAATGGGCTGTATTCAAGAAAAGATAGGACAATACTTTGCAGGGATGCTGCAGAGAGGATTCAAGCCTTGTATGGAGGAATGGATGTGATACAACCAAAAAGTCTTTAAAAATTCTTTCCAACTAATCTGAGATTTGTAACCTTATGGACTGTGATTTGCAGCAAACCAAGGATGTGATAAAGACTAGTATTGTTTCTAGAATGCAAGGATGGTTCAACATATGCAAATCAATAGTATTAACAGAATGAAGGACAAAAACTATATGATCATCTCAATAGATGCAGAAAAATAATTTGACAAAATTCAACATCATTTTATGATAAAATCTTTCAAGAAATTGGGTATTAGAAGGAATGTTTCTCAACACAATAAAGGCCATATCAGACAAGCCCACAGCTAACATTATATTCAATGACCAGGAATGAGATAAGGATGCTCACTCTCACCACTTCTGTTTAACATAGTACTGGAAGTCCTAGCCAATTTCATATTAATGAGCCTCATTTTCTTCATCATAGAATGAAGTATATAATAATCCCTGTTATACTTACTTTGCACAGATTATTATTATTATTTAATTATTATTTTGAGACAGGGTCTCACTCTGTCACCCAGGCTGGAGTGCAGTACCACAATCACAGCTTACTTCAGCCACGACCTCCCAGGCATAAAGGATCCTAGCCCCTCAGCCTCCTGAGTAGCTGGGAGTACAGGTGCACACCACCACACCTAGCTAATTTTTTTTTTTCATTTTTTTATAGAGACGGAGTCTCACTATGCTGCCCAGGCTGGTCTCAAACTCCTGTGCTCAAGCAATCTTTCCACCTTGGCCTTCCAAAGTGCTGGGATTACAGGAGTGAGCCACTGCACCTGGCCTTGCAGATTATTATTAAACTTTGTAAACTAATCAAATGAGAGTGATTATTGTTACTGTTAAGAACTCTGATAGCCTCATCCATATATTTGGAGAAATTGAATAAATAATAGGAAAGAAATAATAGCATCCCAATGATTTTACCTTGGCTCTACCATCATTTGGGGAAGTGATAATTCAGATAGGAGAAGTGACTTGGAAGCAGTCTTGAGAGATTGCCTGTTCCATCCCCTATCTTTGTCCTTAAACCAAATTGTACAGATAAATAAGGTCTTATTTTTAGGACTTACAGAAAAAAGATTCCTTTCATATCCATCTTTGCAATCCTCAACCACTTCTGTCACTATTATGTGTCATTTCAAACATTAAATTCCTCATTCTGCTTTGAAGGAACACATGTGTCATGTGTACCCATTTGTATGTTTTGGTGTGTTTTATGCTTTATGTGATCACCCACATATGCACAGATAATTCCAAAATCCAGTGTGTGGGTGTTGTATTCCCTGTGTTAATTATTCAGTCACACTCAAACACCTATGCACTCACACATACATGAATACACACATGTACATTAGCATGTTTATGCTTATGTTGCATGTGACTGGCAACATCAGTGCCTTTCTAAGGCAATGTTAACTACCTTGAGTTTTGGGAGAGCTTTAGAGAACAAAGACAAGAGACTAAATGATTCTAGATGTAAGAGACAATGTTGCAATAAGTTACTATCCTAAAAAGACAGAATACAGGGACAAGAGACTATTATTTTGGATAGTTTCTTGCTTACCAGTAATACTTAAGTCCTTTACATTAAAAAAAAAAAACTCTGTAAATATATTGCAGAAGAAATCCAGACATCCTTCAAGATTCTTAGAGCTGGAAAAGATTTTAATGACTTTCCAGTCCAATCTATCTCATGTAATCAATGGGGCCCAGAGAGGCAAAAGGTCTTGTCCAAGGTCATATAGTGAGTTAGTGATAAGGCTGAACAAGGATTCAGATGTTGGGGCTTCCAGCCCACTGCTCTTTCTCTCATCTGGGATTTGTGTATTTTTGTTCATTAGAGATTTTCCTCTGTAACCTCAATATCCAATGCAGGGCCTTGCACATAATAGATTATCAGTAAATGTTAAATTAATATGTCATGGCTTTGGTTGTACTGGGCTTTTGCACTTACTCCTGAGTAAATTGTAAAGAATATCTACGTTTTAGGTTGCCTTGTTTTAGACCAAGAGGTACCCAGAGAAAAGGTGTGAACTATGCTAAGGAAATTATCCGAGTTCCAAATTGAAAAAAAAAAAAAATCATGCTTTTCCGCTATAACCTCTCTCATTCACAGAGTGATTCTCTTTCAGAAGGGCAATCTAGAACTATTATGGGAGCCATATTCCATTGGTGGTGCAACCATTTCTTGACAAACTAGGGTCCAAGAAAGTATTTTCCTGGGGAAGATGAGATTTCTCAAAGAAGGCACGCACTTTCTAACCTAAGCTTATTTCAGTAATCAATGTAACAAGCTGGTCTTGATGATTGCAGCAGTACCAATACTGTGGGAGTGTACCAGTTCTAGAACAGCTACAACATTGGAATTGAACGCACTAGAATTGGATACAGGACCTGTTTTTGAGGAGCTAACACCCAAAGGCTGAACAGCACTCGTAGCACCGTCCTTTCTGTGCACATATGGTAGTCCTCAGTTTGCAACAGAAATAAAGCTGTTAGCAAATTATGTGTTCTATTTATGCAAATAAAATCTTGTGGTATGCTAGAAAGAGCACTGGCCTGGAGACCTTAGTTTTCTCATATGTTAAAAACCCCTAACACAGGCCTGGTTCATAGTAGGCACCCAATAAATAGTAGTTTTCTTCCTTTGGGGGCCTCCGATTCAGTGTGCTTCTTCAGGTAAGTCACTTCCCTGGAACTCCTCCTTGGAATGAGAGTTGTACTGTTGTGATTTTTAACAGTTCCTTCAAGCCAAGCATTTTGGAATCCTTTCATAAAGGGAGAAAGGAAGGAAAGAAGAAAGGAAAATTAAAGGAAAAAGAACAAATAAAACGTTAAAAAGGAGGAAAGGAAAAAGGATCCTTTACTACAATAAAACTAATCTTATGTTCTTGCAAGTAGCACTTTAAGTAAAAGAAGTTCTTTGCTGACCTGGTTACTACTGAACCTACTACATAAAATAGCCTACTATAATAGATGCATTTATGTGCCTAATCTTCACTTTTTAGGCTTAGTAAAGGGAGAGGAAAGCTGATGTATAGTTAAATTTATGTTTTTAGTTGTTTTTTTTTCTACTCTCAAATATCAATCACTCTTTAGTTTCTCTTTCTTTTTCCGACCACAAGCATTCTTCCTCTGCTTAAAGAAGCTTCCCTAAAATCCCAGTCTATCCAGTAAGCCAAAGCACAGCAATAAATTTGAGGAAAAAATACCAGGGACTTAGAGACAGAAAGGAGTGAGGGGATGCAGAAGCTGAAGCTGGAGCACGGTTGCAAGCATGAGAAGTTCTGCGTGTTTCAGAGCAGCCAAGGATGTATTTTTGCCTATTCCTGCTGGTGACTCTGTGTGTCTATGCATCCATCTGCTATATTTACATGTTTAGTCAGTCAATCCACGTTTGCTGAGAGCCTGCTGTGTGCCAGGATTGTGCTAGCGTAAAGGAGCAAAGTATTGAGCAAAATATGTTTGAGCAGCTGTAATTCTGAGGATCTCTAGGTCTGAGCATGTGTATGTGTGTGCGCTTCTATGTATCTGTGACAACTCCAGGTGTTCATGACAGTGATCTTTGTTACTCTGTTGGCTTCATCGAACTTCCTTTTACTTGCTGTGATTCACTACATAGAGTGGGCTTTATCTCTGATTTTTATAACCTGCAAGACTGGGGGTATGATCACCAGCAATCTAAAAACAGTTAGAAATCCCATGGAGTTATCTTTTGTAGAAATTTTCCTCTACTAATATTATGAAAAATAAGCATCTTATTAGCTCGAGTGTAATTCTATGCATGATTACAGGTATCAATAGGAAGAAACATTGACTGAGTTCAAATCTCTTCTACGCCATGCTAAAGGGGTGACAAGTTCCACAATGGATCATTTTCTCATGGGCATTTCTGACTTTTGGTAAAAGTAGAGCACCTTATTTTAAAAACCATTGAGTAGTCCTAATAGTGGAGATATCATCAGGATCTGAATTGTTCATCCCTAAAAAAAACACCAATGGAAATCAAACAATATAGTGCCAAATTAAACTGTTTGAATATTTAGGTTCTGTATGATCAAATTGTTTGGTGCCATACTCTGTCCACTTTTTTCATGTGGTAGGATATAATTTCATATCTTTTCTGTTCTAGAAATACCCGAAGAAAGAGACTCTGGAAACTCATTATCAGGTCTATCAACTCTTGTATTTGTTCTCCCAGGGAAACAGAAGTACCTGTGCGCCAGCAGAAATGATTGCACTATTGATAAATTCCGAAGGAAAAATTGTCCATCTTGTCGTCTTCGGAAATGTTATGAAGCAGGGATGACTCTGGGAGGTAAGATACTTTTCTTTCTCTTCCTCCTCCTTCCTCTCTCCCCCTTCTCCCTCATTTTCTAGTCTCTCTTTAGACCAGATTTTCTTCTTTGATGCTTCCAAGGGGACCAGCCATGCTCTAGACACAGGCTGACCCTTTCATAGGCAACGTGGCCATCAGCCAGCTGGTGCCTTTTTTTTAATCCTTATCTATACCAATCCCCATTCCGGGGCTCAGCATTAGAGCAGGCGGTGTGAAGCAGGGATCAGGAGCCAACAGAAGGTGAGTGAGGATGCATCTGACTGGGCAGGGCCCCCAGGGGACTTAATGATACTGGCCTGATGTTGTTCAGTGGTAGCTAGGATGAGAGAACTAAGAAATCCAGAACAGTCAGAGGTGCAGGATGACCCAGGCATAGGCGCAGGATGACCCAGGCACAGGCTGATCCTGAACACCTGGGAATATCCCTTAGCTAACTGCTGCCTATGTTGTAGGGCCAGCCACCTCGAATGAGAAGCTACTTCTCTTTGGAGCCTGTGACTAGGCTGCCACACAGAGCCAATTTCCTATCCTATCTCTCCCAAAGATGAGCAGGTGTTTTAATAATTTCCTTTTCTTTGCAAAGCTATTGACCATTTCCAAAAGCATTTTTTTTCAGTAGCACAGTAACGTGATAGATGGAAGATACAGCTCTTTCAAGGGCGTTCCTCTATCATAAGGCTCTCTGTCCCACAAACCTGTCTACCATGAGTGTTGTCACCATTCCAGAAAGGCTTGACATCAGTTGATTGAGACTTATATTTTCCCTCTCCAAACTCCCCCATCTCTTCATGTTTACATCTGCCCAATGCCAGGGTCCTCGCTGCTGCCTGCTACTTCCAAAAAGATGTGTCTTTCATGAGAAAAACAAGATCATTAATCCACTTCGATTTGGAAATGGAATTTGAAGAAAGGCAAGCCTATTTCTGAGTGCCTGCAACTGTAGCCTCATACCCAATTATTCATTATTAGCCTGGAAAACCCAAGTGCCTAGAATCCAACCCTCTCCCCTCTCCTCTTAAGTCTAATTTAGACCAGTTGTCTATCTCTGGCTTTCTGTGAGGTGTTCAATACCTTGTCTGCCTATGTGCACATTTATAGACAACAACTAGTTCTCTTATCCTGGAGCAGGGCCATGTGTGGATCTTCATATAGATAACTATATCCTCCCCATCCTCACAGGGCAGTAGTATTATTTAAACAGAACAAAGTACCTCACATGAATTGACCCAGGCTGGATGAGAGACAATTTCAAAAGAATCATCTCAAGTAGCGTCCAGTACTCCCAAACATCACAGGTAGATGTTCTGTGAGTGGCTTTCCAAGCATCCACATCAAATGAGACTCAGATATCTGAGAAAACTCAACCTTGTTTTGGTTTGCTTGGTGCACCCCAAAGAAATCCAACAATTGAGGTCTACAGTGGAGAAGAAGTAGGACTGGGGTCAGGGAGTACAGAGGCAAAGGCAGGAAGGGTGACAAAGTGATTGACAAGAAAAAATGTTCTCCATATGAATGTTGCAGCCCCATGTTGAGGGTTCTTATACACTCAACTGTCAATTATTTAGCCTTCTGTGAATTATGTATAGTATAAAAGATAGGGACTCTCAAGTAGGGAACCTCTTGGCTTGCCATCTGGCAATATGAATTGCAAGTCCACTTTGATGCAGGTAAAGTTTAATGGTAACAAAAGTCCTCATAACATTTGGATGCAAATCTTAACATTAATTCCATGTCTCAGCCAACATTCTCCATTATTAAGCAGCCTGTGATGTGATTACAGTGAACCACTTTTGAAAAGGAGCCTGTGTATAACAGATAGTTTCACTATACTATATAACCGTCAGATGCAGGCTTGTAAATTAATTTGTTGGTGACAATGTTTCAGTACATTTTCAAATTGATTCATTGGTATAGTACTCAAATTTGAGTGGGCTTGGTGAACACAATGAAGACAAGCTGAGAAGTGCTGTGACTGGCCTTCATTTCAGTTGCAGGCCCATGATATTTTGAGTGTCTTCCATGTACAAGGCACCATGCTAGGCATTAGAGCTTGAGGCTGGCAAACTTCAGGAAGTGTTCACAAGATACCAGGATTCTTGATGTTGTGTAAATGGCCTTGCCTTTAGAGTCAGGCAGATCTAGTTTAAAGGCTCAGCTCCTTTATTTACTGTGTGCCCCTCTGAGCCTCAATTTCCTCATCTCTGATTTAGAAATACCATCCTCATAGAGTTATAATGAGTATCAGATGACATGATGAATGTGAACATCCTTGATAAATAGCAAAATGCTAGACAAATATGGGGGCTTAATATGACATTGAGGTCACTAGTAATTTAGCTGGAAAGTCTGTAACACAGCACTTCCCGATGGCTTTTACCCTAAGTAACTTGGTATGCCATATAATATGTAACAGCACCAACAGGCAGAGAATCGCCAGAAAACACTCTTGATTACCTCAAACGAAAAAGTACCACCAGGATCCTGTTCAGAAGCTAATTTTAGTAATTAAGGGAATCATATGCTATGTTCAAATACCATGCCAGTAAAAACCCAATTGTTTACCTTCTTAAATCACTGCTTGAAGAGCAAATCTTTCCATTTTGCTGAATGAACTTATCTCCACGTTCCCTGCCCTACTGACACAACCCCCTCCCAAGTTTATTGTTAACTTACACATTCAATGCACAGCACACCTTTACTCAAACAATGGAAAAGAAAGAAAGTGTCAATTCAAAGTGGCCCTTGTCTATTCCTTAAGGAGTAGACTTCCATTTTCATCAGATTTGGATTTAGCATAGACATATTGATTACCTTGAAGAAGAATTCATATAATTTTATCTTCTGATTCCCATCACTCAAATCAAAATTACATAATATATTCCAAAATGGCAACTAGGAATGTGGCCTTGGGCAAGTCCCTTCTCTCCTCTGATGCTTGGTTTTCCCATCATAGAACTGGAATTGTGGCTTCACCGAGGACCTTTCTGGTGCTAACATTTTGTGATTCTATGTAAAAAGCCACACAGAAAGGATTGTTTTTCAGCCCTTTCTTAGATTGTCTGTTCCCTGCTCCCAGAAGTATAGATAGTGAGACTTGAGTGCTTTGATACATCGTAATTGTATCTACCTCCATTCACACCTACTTAAGATATCTGTCTAAAAGTAGACTAGACAGATTATTCAGAGAGTGGAGGGCAGAAGGGCTGTCTCTGTATCTTAAAGAAGCTGGCACTCTTCAGCTGATGGCTGCTTGGTCTTGAGGCCTCAAGATCTTTAATCTGGCTTTCTCTATAGTGTTTCATTCACTGTTTGGTGATGGAATCTCTTCAGTTCAGAGATACTTAATAGATATAGCTTTTTCTTTCCTGCTTCCAGGCCTACCTACCTGTTTCTTGCTTTTTTTTCTAGCAGCTGTTGTTGTTTCTGAAAGAATCTTGAGGGTGTTTGGAGTCTCAGAATGGCTTCCTTAAAGACTACCTTCAGACTCTCAGCTGCTCATCCACAACAGAGATCAGCCTTTCTTTGTAGATGATTCATTCCTGGCTGCATTTGAAAACCACATATTGTTAATTGCTTGACGAATTTAAATCCCTTGACTACTTTTCATTTCAGAAAACACTTACAAAAAAAGTCCAAATGAGGACCTTCCCTCCAGTGAATTAGCTGTGGCTTTCTCACAGTCCATAGTTAGGATAAATGTAAAGCCATTTCTCATTTTTCTCCGCACTTTCCAAGGGTACACTCCTTGTTTCCAAGATGGAATGAGAAATAAAGAAGTGCCCTTCCTGCCATCTTCTCCCCTGACCCTTTCCTCCTTCCCACTTTCCTCCTATTCCTCCCCAAACATGATTTATTTCTGCGTTTTGCAACTCTTGAGTTCTCAGCATTTAGTAAATGGTGTTGGTCCCTGTTGATTCCTTCCTCTCCTGGACCATGGAAGGTAGTAGGCCTTTCAGAAATTTCAGGTAGCAGCCAAACCCCAGAAGAAGAGAAGGAACACAGAGACCTAGACCATGTGAGAACCTGAGGTGTGCAGCATTTACTTCACAGATTCGTCTAGCATATTTGAGAGGTGTCTTTCCTACTAGGAGACTGAACTCTGCATCTGAGAATAAAAACTTAACATATCTACAGGTTTTGACAACCTCTGTGAATTATCTAGTTGAGAGGATGGCTCAAGGAGCCTATTGCCATGGTCTGATGTCGTTATGGACGCTATGAACATCCTTGCAGTTTCCATTGTTGAAGACAGCCCTGATGCCAGCTGTCTCATCATTCCCCATGTTCAAGAGCATCCCAGCATTGCTACCTCAGGATCCCATGTCCTGAATGCAACAGAGTGATTTCGCTGCTGAATTACTATTCATGGCATGGCTCTTCACAGCATTTATTCATCCATGTATCTATCCATTCATCCTTCCAGCCAGCCAAGAAGTTCACGCTTTCATCTTTTCATCCATTTACTCACCTATTTATTCATTTAGCAAATATTTATTGAGTACCAACTATGTGCCAGACACTCTGCTAGGCATTTTGGGGAAGCAGAACTGAATAAGATACTATTCCTTTCCTCAAAAATTTGAGCAAGAGGAGAAAGGAAGTAATGAGGAATATTCCTTAGCCATAAAGGAAAAATAAGAAATCACTTGGAAGAAGTTAGGTGAGATGGAAGGAAAAGGACATCTAAGGTAAAGCGTACAGTTTGAATAAAGGCACAGAGACATGAACAAAATGCATTGAGGGTTTGAGGAACAGCAATTGGTTTAACATGGCCAGAGCTGGGGAAATGGTAAGGGCAAGCTGAAACCACATTGAAAGCAAACTTGGTTATTATACTAGGTAGTTTAGACTTCAAGCAGTTGAAAATCTTTGAGCATGGGATAGGCATGATGACATTGTGTTTATTTGCATGTTTCTTTAAAGAAAACTGGCAGCAGCACAAATGTTTTGTTGATGAGGGTTTAAATTGTAGAAAGTGAGACAATTTTAGGAAGGCCAGCTAGAGAGAAATTTCTAGCATCAAATTTTGCTAAACACCTAGGATTTGTAGTTACCTCCATTTGGGTTGTTACCTGCAAGTACTGACCACGTATATGAAGAAGTACTGGTTTAGACCAAGGCAATTGGCTTGTATAAGAGGCCTACCCTCATACCAAAAGCCAGTTTCCTTGGTCTAGGCCAGTGTTTACTGGTATGTGTCCTGAGAAAACTAGTTCCATGACATGTTCCATGAAAAATATGATTTCTATTGTCAAATAAGTGAGGGAAACTTGCATATCATGGTCCTGCTCAGGAAGATTTACAATCCTTATTAGCATATCACAGGTCCTGGTGAATACTGCGGTAAAGTAACCGAGGAGCTTTGTAACTCAGGATTCCCGAAGTTGATTCAACCACAGGACCTCATTTATTCACATAACACCTGTTATCCTACAAAACCACTGTTCTCTGGAATACACTTTCGAAAACATGGGTATAGACAAAAACTCTATCCTATAGGCAGAGAATACCTATACCTCTAGCTCAGGTCATCATTTTGCAGATGTGTGTGTCATTAAGAATCAGTCAATAATGCATTAATGATCAAAAGCAGACCATCCTTACCACATGGTGCATAAGATTATGCTATTATGCTATTAGCTACTAATGCCACTAAAGTTAATTATGTTGGGTCTGCAACGTTGTCATACACAAAGGATAGGATGCAAAACTGTCCTAGGCCAAAGCATGGTTATTGCCCAAGTTATCTAATGTCTGCAGGTACATATTCCTGGCCTAAGGATTGTGCTAAAGAAGTTATTTCTAAGAAATATAGTGACTTCCAGCATCATGCAGAATGACCATTTAATATTTTGAATATCTAGACATTCTGCTGTAGAATTTAATAGTCCTTTTATACACTGTCTGACCAACATTTTGACATTTACTCAGAACCCCATCACAGTGCTACCACATAACCTCATTGCTAAAGTGGGAGGCCTAGAAATCACAGATTTGTAGAAACCATCCAATGATTGAATCCCCTCTACTTCCTGTTCAGCAGGCAGCAGAGTGTCATAAAGAATTAACAACGTGGAACTCAGTTACTGGGATTTCTTCCATTCTCCTTTGATTCTCTAGACTAGAATTCCAAAGACCCTCAGGCTGGTGATGCAAGTGGGAAGTCTCATTTCTGAGAAGTGCTGCTTCCTACCCACAATTCTTTGATAGCTGAGTGCTTTAGCTGATCTGCATAACTGAGGTGTGCACCAAGGAGCAGAATTACTCTATAAATTTTGGCATCAACATGTGCAACTTGTGACTCAGCACTTTGAAACTCTGGGGATTTTTTTGTTTGGTTGGTTTTTGTTTTAAGATGTCCTGTGGTATAGTGGAAATAGTACAATAGACTCAGATACAGAGAGGCCTTGTTTCTAGTCTTGGTTCTGTCACTTACTATCTTGATGTCCTTGCACAAATCACCAGACCTCTCTGAGCCTCAGTTTCTCCAACCACACTGTGGGAATAATAAAATCTTTTTTACGGCATTGTTGTAAGTATGTAGAGAAACTGGTACACAGTAGGCACACAATCAATGTCACCGTACCCTTCAGCCCTTCTTTTGTGGATGAAAAATGGTCTTTGTGCTCCCAGTCACCACTGGGGTCTGTTCTCTCTCTCTCTGCTGTTACAGTGTGGCTTTTGGTTCTTGTTTCTTTGTTCTTTGGTCTGTAAATTACCCTTGAAACAACCCTTGAAATTTCCACTCCATGACCTAAATCGTCATCCCTAAATTGGTTACATACATATTTGGTGACACTTTGGAGGGGAAAAGCTTTATGTCTCTCTAACTGTAGTTCTTAAGGGAATTTGCATATGGAAAAAACAGAGACTGCGTCTCTTAATTCCTCCAAACCAAATTATCTGGGATAGCACATATATGTTGTACTCTGTCTCTGAGCATTTGCTCTTAGAGAACTATGGTTAGAGCGAAGTAAATTTTTCTAATCATAAAAATTAATGATACCGCATATCTGATACTTGAATGAGTACCTCCTTGTAAAATTTATACTTAAATCCTTGAGTTTTTAAAGTGTAATAGCAATAGAAAGATTTTATTGTTGTTTACTTTTACTGTGAGTGCTCCAAAATCCCTCAGTTGCTCTTGAAAGAGCAAGATGATGCCATAGGCAATATTTTCCAAAGGTAGTAGGCAGAAAACTGAGTACACAGCACACAATAGGCCATATATACAAAAGCAAGTATTTTGCAAATAATAATAATTCAGGAAAAAAGCTTCACTTTCGTTGGTAACCTGTTTGTTTAAAACCATTTTATTATTTATTATTTAAAAAGAGTGTCACTTGTTACAGATTGTGGGATGTGTTCCTTAAGATCACAAAAATGTAAAATATTTTCTTTTTATACTGAACACATGCATAGACAACTTACCTGAGCAAGCTGCTTTTTGGAGACATTTGCACATCTTTTGGGATCACGTTGTTAAGAAGTAGAACTAAGGGAAAAACACGCAGCCACCCAGAAATCGGTAGAGCCTTCAGCTCATCTGTTATTAATATTTCTGTGACAACAGATATCTAGGAAGTAAACAGGAAATTGCATCGCTATCCTGCATCACCTTTTTTGGAATCAGGTTCCATTCTTCTCAGTCCAGTTCAACCTTGTGATACTTTTTAGATCTCAACCAAGGCATAGAAATATATTTTCCCTTGCTTAATACCCCATGGAACCAATGCCCCTGTGGTTGAAGTAAAAATTGATTGTTGAGGGACATTTCAGCCCTCTAGCAGTCAACAATTAAAAACATGTAAGCACCGAGCACCTGCAGAAAACTTGGACTGGCATTTGGATCTAAGAAGAAAATCTGCATCTTGACCAAGATGAAAAGTCACCAGCCCAAGCTTGTGCAGTGAAGTGTCATGTTGGCCACAATGAAACTGAAAGAGACTGATGACTCTCCTCAGGGTGGAAAATGAGGCATGGAAGCTTTGATTAGTGAGCTGTTAGGCACACAGACATTAATTTCAAAGCATTCTCATCTCCAGTCTGAGTAATAATGCTTATAGTATTATGCAATTGTTTGGCTGCTGCAAGAAATTCAGCAGACTCCAACAAGTAGTCTTTCTTGGTCTCTGAGTGACTGTAACTTAAATTCTACCTCCCTTCTCTTCTCCTACATCTTCTCACTCCCCACCCCACCCCCACATACACACAATTCTTGTCCACTATGTTCAGAGAGATGCACGCACACATATATATGTATATATATAGTATATTTGTCAATAAAGCAGAAAAGAAGAAAAAACTCCAAGTAAACAATTTTCCATTTCCCCATCTCACTTCTGTCTTACAAGTGGATAGGAAAAGAAAAACCCCCAGTAAAAAATGGCAACCGCCCACCTCCCCAACTTTACATGCTGCTTCCTATGTTAGAGGATCTGTCTTAGGCATCTGATTATGGAGCCTGCTAGATACAAGCCCGTATTTAGACTGCTACAGTCAACAATGTCTCTCTTTCATACTAGAAAAATTCCGGGTTGGCAATTGCAAGCATCTCAAAATGACCAGACCCTGAAGAAAGGCTGACTTGCCTCATTCAAAATGAGGGCTCTAGAGGGCTCTAGTGGATAGTCTGGAGAAACCTGGCGTCTGAGGCTTAGGAGCTTAGGTTTTTGCTCCTCAACACAGACTTTGACGTTGGGGTTGGGGGCTACTCTCTTGATTGCTGACTCCCTCCAGCGGGACCAATAGTGTTTTCCTACCTCACAGGGATGTTGTGAGGACGGGCTGTAGAAGTAATAGTGGTTACCATTCATGTAGTTGTGAGTATCATGATTATTGTTTCCTGTAATGTGGCTTGGCATTGGCAAAGTGCTTTTTGATTGTTCTTGATCACATATGATGGGGGCCAGGCACTGACTCAGGCGGATGCAGTGAAGCTCTGGCTCAGTCGCTTGCTTTTCGTGGTGTGCTGCCAGGAAGAAACTTTGCTGATGGGACTCAAGGTGTCACCTTGGACAAGAAGCAACTGTGTCTGTCTGAGGTTCCTGTGGCCATCTTTATTTGTGTATTAGGCAATTCGTATTTCCCCCTTAGGTTCTAGCCTTCTGGATCCCAGCCAGTGACCTAGATCTTAGCCTCAGGCCCTGTCACTGAGCTGAAGGTAGTAGCTGATCCACAGAAGTTCAGTAAACAAGGACCAGATTTCTGCTTCTCCAGGAGAAGAAGCCAGCCAACCCCTCTCTTCAAACACACTGAGAGACTACAGTCCGACTTTCCCTCTTACATCTAGCCTTACTGTAGCCACACTCCTTGATTGCTCTCTCACATCACATGCTTCTCTTCATCAGTTGTAAGCCTCTCATTCTTCTCCCAAGCCAGACTCAAATATTGTATTGATGTCAAAGAAGAATCACTTAGAGTTTGGAATATCTTGTTCTCTCTCTGCTCCATAGCTTCCATATTGACACCAGTTTCTTTCTAGTGGAGAAGTGGAGTCTGTGAAGCCAGGGAAACACACATGTGAGAGTCAGAAGGACTCTCCCTGACTTGCCTGGGGCCTGTCTTTCCCACCTTCTCCAGTCTGTCTAAACACACACACACACACACACACACACACACACACGCTCTCTCTCTCTCTCCCCCCCCAACACACACACACTCTCTCTCTCTCTCACACACACACACATACACACACACTTCTTTCTCTTTCCCCTGACTCAGCAACATTCTGGAGAAAAGCCAAGGAAGGACTTCAGGAGGGGAGTTTCCCCCTTCTCAGGGCAGAATTTTAATCTCCAGACCAACAAGAAGTTCCCTAATGTGGATTGAAAGGCTAATGAGGTTTATTTTTAACTACTTTCTATTTGTTTGAATGTTGCATATTTCTACTAGTGAAATTTTCCCTTAATAAAGCCATTAATACACCAATCGTATTTTCTTATTTACAACAGACTGAGAGAATTAATGCTGTTAACATTGGATCTTTTTTCTTTTTTTTTTTTCCTTTTTTTTCTCTCTCGTTTGCTTTCCAGGTCATGCTGACCTGTTCAGCTTGGACTGTTTCACATTTGTTTTTAATGTCAGTTTAAATGTAATTGTAAAAGCATGTATGCTCTAAAATCATGTAGTTACTTTTTTCAGTGGAAAAGCCTGGTATTCGAAAGCATTTCCAGGCTCTGCAATTTCATATGAGCAGGTTTTTGGTAAAATCTTTTGTCCCTCACTCAGGGTGGTATCTGGACAGTGAGCCCCTTTCTTCTGGCTCAGTAGTCAGAGAGAGGAGACTTGGAGACAGTTTCTGCTGGATCCTGTGCTTTGGCAAGGATGTGCAGCATTGCATATCATTCTATCATTAATTATGTTTACTCCTCCATGAACTAAAAACCATTAGACTAAATAGTCCAACATAAACCTTGAAAGATAAAATTTGATATTCTTTTGCCTGGCCATTTCTCTGACCCAGAATTGGGGCTGGGAGGGGATTGGAGACTTGGGGGAAAGAATCAAGGAGCCTTCTTGCCTGGGGGAATTTGGCATGCACTTATTAATCCCATTTGGTTGCACTCCCTACTAATCCCTCACTCCATACCTGCCAAGGATTGGCTCTGCTCCCTGCTTCTCATCCCTGTCCTAGTTCTTCCTCACCTATCTCCATTTCCCACTACTGATCCTTCTCTCCAGTAAGATGCTATTCAACCCGATGAAATATAAAGAGTAGCACCACCCTGGAAGTCAGGATACCTTAGTTTTAGCTCCTGCTCTACCATTATCTAGCTGTGTGACCTGGGGCATGACTTAACCTTTGCTCTTCAGTCTGAACAGTCTTTAAGAATTGGTTTGGAGGAGGAAGGAAGGGATAGACAAGATCCAAGGCCTTTGAACTCTTTTTTGGAAATGGGTCCTTTTCTTCAAACAAAATTTGATGCAGAGTCCCAAATTTACCTACAGAATAAAATACTGCTGTTCTTGTTTGAAAGGAAGTGGGGTGCTTGGAGCCACATGCTCAGGCCCACTTTGCCCCCTCTCAGGAACCCTCGAAAAAACTTATAGGACTTATAGGACTGTTGGGGATCTGCCAAGTCTCTCTTATGTTACATTTCAGTCCTTGTGAAACTCTATATGTTTCATCAGTTCACTTTTTCAGAAAGTTCACCTGCTTGGGGTAAAGGTCATGAAGTGGAGAATGTGGGGCTCAGTAACTAGCAATAGTAAAAAACATCATTGATTGGCTTGCAGAATTTACTCTGTTCTAAGCATCTTACACACATACTCATCCGAAAACTCACAACAACCTTGTGAGGTAGATCTGTTATTATCTTAAGATTCTGAAACCTGCCAGCATGACTCTCAATCTTTGACTTGAGACCAGTTGCCCAACATGGAAGGTTATACTTTTCACAGTTTACCACCATAAGCAGTCTTTCAGAGTGATTTCTAGCTAGAGATCCATTCTTAGAAAAAGTCAGAACCTGCCCATTAGCATACACTGTCACATGGTGCAGAGTACCTTCACTGGGTTCATCTCATTTCCTCCTAAAAATAGTCCTATGCAGTAGTCCAGTCATATCATCACCATTATATAGATGAGAAAAACTGAGGTGTAGGAGAAATCAAGAGATCTGTTCAAGGTCACACATTCCATAAGACTCTGAATACCACCATCAAGAATAATAAACCTTTTATGTGAAAAGCATTTTAGAACTTCAGTGTCATTATTGCATTCTGCCTCCTGGAGTTCAGTGCACTTTTTCACCATGCTTTAATCTTGGAGTCCTGGTGGTACAGAATCTGCCTTCTACTCTCAGACAACACCACAGTGTCTTTATCCCTCATAACAAACTTATGAATTAAGTAATGATATTATCCCCATTTTACAAATTAGTTAACTGAGATACCAAGAGGCTAAGTCTTGCCCAAAGTCACACAGCTAGTCAGTGATAGAGCCGGAGTTACAAATGAGGCATCCTGACTCCAGAATATTTGCTCTTAACTACTACTCTTTATACATATGTAAGGAAACTAAAAGCAAAAGAGGGAAAGATGTCCCTGAGGCCCCACAGTGAGCTCCCCTGACTCACAATCCAGTATTCCTCTGACCTTCTAATCCTAAAGTTATACAGTAAGGTCCCTTGACTCTAATCCTAGTAGATGGAAAGATGGCTGGCATGATTTAAGCCAGAGGCCACAAACTGGCTTCCCCAGAGCCAGAATTCACCTGCAGAATTCTGTTTGTCCAGCACAGTGTTTGTTTAGAAAATTGACGTAGACTGCCCCTAGGCAGGGCATCAATCACTGTCATTGTCCCCAGCCCTCCTTATTTATGTTTGCCAGGCTTTTTTACTCATTTATGTGTCTGCCTGACTTGTGAAGGTATTTGAGTTTATGACTTTTAGATTTAAGCATTGCAATATATAAGCACTGCACACATGCATTCACAAAAGTATAGCCTAGTCTAGCTTCACAAAGAATTTGTAGCCCTACACCAAACACACCTTTATGTTTACTTAGTGTTTAGAATTAGATTTAAGATCAGAATTTAGTTTCACAGGCATTCATGTGTGGAAGAACCTCAGTTATTGTTTTTTGTTTCATACTGTCTCACCCTTGCTTTCCCTGCTGTGTCTGGACCCCTGTCAATCCTGCTTTCTGCCATTCTTCATGCCTGAGTTAGGGCCCCTGCAAGCCATTCACTGGTTAATCTTTAGGAATGAATGGAGAGTGAAAACCAGTTTGGAGGGTTCACTGTGTCCCAAGCATCCTCTCATTTAGTTCTCATAAGTGTCCTAAGAGACAGGTAGCAGCACATTCGTTTTATAAATGAGGAAACTAAATCTCAGAGAAGCTGAACAAAGACCTCAAAGTCATTAAGGTAGTAATTAACGGAGCCGGGATTTGAACGCAAGACTGTTGGACTCCAGAGCCTATTCTTTTGCCCTACACCACAGTTCCTTACAAGGAAGATGTATTCATTTTCTATTACTGCATAACACATTGCCACAAATTTAGCAGCTTCAAACATTTATCAGCTCACTGTTTTGTAAGTCAGAAGTCTGGCACAGCATGGCTAGATTCTCAGTTCAGGGTCTCTGAAGGATGAAACTGATGTGTTTACCAGGATGCATTCTAATCTGAAGCTCAGGGTTCTCTTCCAAGCTCATGTAATTATTGCAGGATTCAGTTATTTGTGGTTGTAGGACTAAGGCTCCCTCTTCCTTTCTGGCTACCAGCCAAGGGCCATTCTCAGCTCTTGGAGGCTGCCCTCTTTCCTTATCATGTGGACCCCAACGCCTTCAAAGCCAACAACAGAGACTCTTCCTTGTGTTGAATGTTTCTCACTCTACGGATGTCTTTCCTGGAGGATCCCAGTCCCGTAAGGGCTCACCTGATGAGGTCAGGTACATCAAGAATAGCCACCCTTCAAATTCAACTGAATTAGCACCTTCATTACATCTACCTAGCCTTTTTACAACAGCATCTAGGTTAGTGCTTGACTGAATGACTGGAAACTAAGGTCTCAGAATCTCGGGGACCGTCTTAGAAGTCAGCCTACTACAGATGTTGATTCTTTTCATGTGTCAAATTTCATAGTGAGATAGGGAGAACAGAAACATCACATCCTTGACCTTAGGTAAAGGGATTCAAACTTCCTAAGACTTTGGAAACTTCACGCCACTTTCACCTTTTCCTTAATCATGGTTGAGAAGGCCTATATCTTGGAGTGGCCAGGAGTGAGACTGGAACAGTACCTAAAGGTTAAGGACGCTAAAGAAGTTACAGATTGGTTACATCTGCTCCTCCCTAGGAATGATCCATGGAACCTGATTTGAAATTTTTTTCTCTGGTGCTATAGATAGCTCCCACAGGGGTCTAATGCCCCAGGGCTGAAAAGTTAGTTCCCCATAGGATCCATCCAGGCATGATATCAGGCCAGGTGTTACAATCTCCTAAAGAGGAGGTATGGACTGGAAAGCCCCTTGCCAATGGCCCTTTCTTGTCACTGCTCTGACCCAAGACTAACAGGGCAGAGATAGTGAACTCACATACTATTAAAACTATCCACTTATACTTCCCCCTTTCTCTTTGCTTTATCACTCCATTTAAGTAAACCAATGAGTCTCTGCCTTGACACAGTGGCAAGCTGACCTGTATCTTATATGAAAGAATTAGATTTGACTCTGGGGCTCAGGTGCAGAGGGCAGGAGGGGCATAAGGATGGCCTTCATGGAAGAAAAGAAGTCCTTGGATACTGAGTAACAGCTGAGACTAGCAAGCCTCATTGTCCAGGATTCCAAGTCGTCTAGCAACATCCTGGTCTCTGCTGCAGACAGAACAGAGGATCCCCCGGCAGAATGAATGGAGTCTGATTTCAATTACGTTCAGTATAGTCACTCTCTTTAGGCAGAGAAGCCAGAACACCTGGTGCAGCTAGGGCCACTGTGGTCACAGGGACAAGCACACTACCTGGGTCCTGGAGGCAAGTGGGAATGCAGTTTTTCTTCCTTAAGCAGATGCCATATAGGCCTGGGGAGGAGGATGTGAGAATACCAGCCAAGTTCTCATTGGCACTATACAGAGAAAGGGGAATTATTTCATCTTGATGGATTCTCCCCACAGTCTCTGCACATATTGATCTTACTTGTAATGAGTTTGCTTAGGTTCACGAGTCATCATCCCAGGGAGATCTGAGTCATTGGTGGGAAAGTCGAGGCGACAGATTATATCTCACTGATCTCACTGTCACCAATTGCTCTGTGTGTCCCTCCACCTTTTGAAAAAGTCCATGGATTCATTTGTGTGTAATTCATTTGGATTTATTTCTTCTTTATCAATAGCTTTAGTGGGGTATTGCAAATGGGAAAGTTGCCCCAGAGAACAGTGTACATTCACAGCATTATTCAGTAGAACTTTCTGAGATGATGAAAATCTTCTATATCTTATGTTGTACAATATAATACAGCCACTAACTACATGTAGCTTTTGAACACTGGAAATGTGGCAGGTGAGACTGAGGGATTATATTTTTAATTTTTTAATGTTGTAATTAATTTAATTTTTTAAAATTTTTGCTTTCTATTTTATAGTTTAATAATTAAACTAAACTTACGTAGCCCACATGTGGCTAGTTGGCTACTATACTGGACAGTACAAGTCTAGAAGGATCTCAGAGAGACACATGCTGAGATACAGCAGGAATAAGTCAAAAAGAGAGCCAATGTAACATAGGGAATTCTGGATTGGGAATTAGAGCCCTGGCTCTAATCTCAGCTCTGCCACTAGGTGACCTTGCCCTCTCTGGCTTCAGCCTCCCCATCTTTGACTTGAAAGGTTAAACTAACTAACGTCGAAAGTCCCAAAATGGTGGCTATGGACTGAATTCAATTTTGGGATACACAAGTTTCAGGAATTTTTTAAAAATCTATTAATGCCTTCTAGGTGTGTGTATGCACGCTTGCAGACATGTGCCCATGCACAAGCATGGGAAGGCAGTAAGGCATTCATTTCAATTCACCAGTGTACTAACCATTCACACACACACACACACACACACACACACACACACATGCACACACACCCTACTGTATTGCCTATGTAGAGCCTGAAGATCTTTTAATCTGTCACCATTGGATAAGATAATTTCTAAGGACCCTTCCTGTTTTGTCATGCTGAAAATCTTTAAGCCACTATAGTGTCCCAAATCTATTCCAGTTTGGGCAGATGACTGGAGTATTCTCATAGCCTCCTGTCTATTCCCTTCTGGATTTGATACTAGTTATGAAGTTTGGAGTCAAGGGTGAAGAAGGGAGGCAGGGATGATATAACCCCAGCCCCACTCCTCAACTCTGCTTTTGAGTTAGAAGTAGGGTTCAGGGCTTCAGATTCCTTGGGGAGGCAGTAGAGAGAATATGGGCTTTATAATCAGAAGATGAGGTTCAGATGATTGGGTTCTCACCTTTTTTATAGCTGTGTTACCTCAGTTTATTCATTTGTAAAATAGGGATAAGAAATATCTTTAACCTCCTAAGATCATGTGGAATTAAGTGATGTAATGTGATGAAGCGAGGCACGCAGAAGGCCCTGAAAAAATTAGTAGTTACCCTTAAGGGGACTAAATGGTCTGGCAACTCCCGAGCTCAAAGCTAGAAAGGTCCAGTAATGGGGAAGATGGGGTCTTTCTGTAGGAACTGTAGCAGGGGAGCAGATCCTGTAGGCCACCAGTCTGTGGAGCTGTGTCCAAGAACTCATGTTTGCAATAAGCCCACCAAATGACAAGTTATTGTGGGGTTCAGGCCTCTAACTCAAGAAGATGGTCTTGGCCCAGATCATACCTTGCAGCCTGTGCCTTTGGTGGGATGTGGGTGTTGGCAGTGGCTATGCATATCTCCTTATTACTGGCTGTGCCAAAGCCCCGCAGAAATGATTGTTGGACAAAGTCATCTTGCACTCAGGGCTGGTTTTCCAGGCTTCCTTGTTATTTTCCCCTGAGTTCTTCTGTGTTCCTCTTGCAACACCAACCCCACTATTTTCCTCTTCCCTACCCTAGTTGTTGGTCCAAACATGTAATCCATTCTTGCAGTGATTTATTGGGTGACACCATGACTGGAGTTTGCATTGAAGGACTTCTTTTTCTAATTAGAACTAAAAGTCAGTTCCAGGCTGGGTGTGGTGGCTCACGCCTATAATCCCAGCACTTTGGGAGGCCGAGATGGGAGGATTGCTTAAGGCCAGGAGTTTGAGTCCAGCCTGGACAACATAGTGAGATCCCATCTCTACAAAAAATGTTAACCAGGAGTGGTAGTGTACAACTCTGGTCCCAGCTACTTGGGAGACTGAGGAGGGAGAATTGCTTGAGCCCAGGAAGTTGAGGCTACAGTGAGCTTTGATCGTGCCACTGCTCTCCAGCTGGGTGACAGAGGAAGATCCTCCTTCAAAAAATAAATAAAAACTAAAAAAAAAGTCAGTTCCAGGTTGTATCTTTTTTCACAGGGGCCAGACACAGATGAGAGCAGGTTTTGTTGTATTTATCCATTTAAATTGAGCAATAAAATTCTCTCTTTGGTTTCTACCTTTCTTATTTATTATTATTATGTTAAAGGGATTAAAGTGGTTCATGGTCTTTCTCAGTGCAACTGCTTATGCTAGACCTCAGAATTATGACCTTTTCAATTATTTATATTTCTGTCTATATAAATACTGGAAAAAATAGTACAAAGTAAGCATCGGAATGCCTAAGGACCTCTAAATTGTGTGTGTGAGCACATGGGGAAGATGGTTCTTAAGGTTTGAGTTTTGGATTATTGTGGTTGTCTTAAATAATGTTATTTCTATCATTCTTTCCAATGACTGTCTCCTAGCATAGTTCCCATTTTACAGACTGATGGCAGAGGCAGAAAGATTCTCTCACTTCTTTGATACTATTGAGGACTTCAGCCTTTCACCGCTCTTCTCCCCTTTGCTAAAAAAGAAAAAAATCAATATGTATGTTACAGTGCATTTTTTTAAATATTTTTTATTATACTTTAAGTTCTAGGGTACGTGTGCACAACTTGCAGGTTTGTTACATATGTATACATGTGCCAAGTTGGTGTGCTGCACCCATTAACTCCTTATTTACATTAAGTATATCTCCTAATGCTATCCCTCCACCCTTCCCCAACCCCACAACAGGCCCCAGTGTGTGATGTTCCCCTTCCTGTGTCCAGGTGTTCTCATTGTTCAATTCCCACCTGTGAGTGAGAACATGCAGTGTTTGGCTTTTTGTCCTTGAGATAGTTTGCTGAGAATGATGGTTTCCAGCTTCATCCATGTCCCTACAAAGGACATGAACTCATCATTTTTTATGGCTGCATAGTATTCCATGGTGTATATATGCCACATTTTCTTAATCCAGTCTATCATTGATGGACATTTGGGTTGGTTCCAAGGCTTTGCTATTGTGAATAGTGCCACAATAAACATATGTGTGCATGTACCTTTAGAGCAGCATGACATATAATCCTTTGGGTATATACCCAATAATGGGATGGCTGGGTGCAATGGTATTTCTAGTTCTAGATCCCTGAGGAATCACCACACTGACTTCCACAATGGTTGAACTAGTTTACAGTCCCACCAACAGTGTAAAAGTGTTCCTATTTCTCCACATCCTTTCCAGCACCTGTTGTTTCCTGACTTTTTAATGATCGCCATTCTAACTGGTGTGAGATGGTATCTCATTGTGGTTTTGATTTGCATTTCTCTGATGGCCAGTGATGATGAGCATTTTTTCATGTGTCTGTTGGCTGCATAAATGTCTTTTTTTGAGAAGTATCTGTTAATATCCTCTGCCCACTTTTTGATGGGGTTGTTTGTTTTTTTCTTGTAAATTTGTTTGAGTTCTTTGTAGATTCTGGGTATTTGCCCTTTGTCAGATGAGTAGATGGAAAAAATTTTCTCCCATTCTGTAGGTTGCCTGTTCACTCTGATGGTAGTTTCTTTTGCTGTGTAGAAGCTCTTTAGTTTAATTAGATCCCATTTGTCAATTTTGGCTTTTGTTGCCATTGCTTTTGGTGTTTTAGACATGAAGTCCTTGCCGGTGCCTATGTCATGAATGGTATTGCCTAGGTTTTCTTCTAGGGTTTTATGGTTTTAGGTCTAACATTTAAGTCTTGAATCCATCTTGAATTAATTTTTCTATAAGGTGTAAGGAAGGGATCCAGTTTCAGCTTTCTACATATGGCTAACCAGTTTTCACAGCACCATTTGTTAAATAGGGAATCTTTTCCCAATTTCTTGTTTTTGTCAGGTTTGTCAAAGATCAGATGGTTGTAGATACGCAGCATTATTTCTGAGGGCTCTGTTCTGTTCCATTGATCTATATCTCTGTTTTGGTACCAGTATCATGCTGTTTTGGTTACTGTAGCCTTGTAGTATAGTTTGAAGTCAGGTAGCGTGATACCTCCAGCTTTGTTCTTTTGGCTTAGGATTGTCTTGGCAATGCAGGCTCTTTTTTGGTTCCATATGAACTTTAAAGTAGTTTTCTCCAATTCTGTGGAGAAAGTCATTGATAGCTTGATGGGGATGGCATTGAATCTATGAATTACCTTGGGCAGTATGGCCATTTTCACGATATTGATTCTTCCTACCCATGAGCATGGAATGTTCTTCCATTTCTTTGTATCCTCTTTTATTTCATTGAGCAGTGGTTTGTAGTTCTCCTTGAAGAGGTCCTTCACGTCCCTTGTAAGTTGGATTCCTAGGTATTTTATTCTCTTAGAAGCAGTTGTGAATGGGAGTTCACTCATGATTTGGCTTCTGTTTGTGTGTTATTGGTGTATAAGAATGCTTGTGATTTTTGCACATTGATTTTGTATCCTGAGACTTTGCTGAAGTTGCTTATCAGCTTAAGGAGATTTTGGGCTGAGACAATGGGGTTTTCTAGATATACAATCATGTCATCGGCAAACAGGGACAATTTGACTTCCTCTTTTCCTAATTGAATACCCTTTATTTCTTTCTGCTGCCTGATTGTCCTAGCCAGAACTTCCAACACTATGTTGAATAGGAATGGTGAGAGAGGGCATCCCTGTCTTGTGCCAGTTTTCAAAGGGAGTGCTTCCAGTTTTTGCCTATTCAGTATGATATTGGCTGTGGGTTTGTCATAAATAGCTCTTATTATTTTGAGATACGTCCCATCAATACCTAATTTATTGAGAGTTTTTAGCATGAAGGGCTGTTGAATTTTGTCAAAGGCCTTTTCTGCATCTATTGAGATAATCATGTGGTTTTTGTCTTTGGTTCTGTTTGTATGCTCAATTACATTTATTGATTTGCATATGTGGAACCAGTCTTGCATCCCAGGGATGAAGCCCACTTGATCATGGTGGATAAGCTTTTTGATGTGCTGCTGGATTCAGTTTGCCAGTATTGTATTGAGGTTTTTTGCATCGATATTCATCAGGGATATTGGTGTAAAATTCTCTTTTTTTGTTGTGTCTCTGCCAGGCTTTGGTATCAGGATGATGCTGGCCTCATAAAATGAGTTAGGGAGGATTCCCTCTTTTTCTAGTGATTGGAATGGTTTCAGAAGGAATGGTACCAGCTCCTCCTTGTACCTCTGGTAGAATTCAGCTGTGAAATCCATCTAGTCCTGGACTTTTTTTGGCTGGTAAGCTATTAATTATTGCCTCAATTTCAGAACCTGTTATTGGTCTATTAAGAGATTCAACTTCCTCCTAGTTTAGTCTTGGGAGGGTGTATGTGTCGAGGAATTTATCCATTTCTTCTAGATTTTCTAGTTTATTTGCATAGAGGTATTTATAGTATTCTCTGATGGTAGTTTGTATTTCTGTGGGATCGGTGGTGATCTCCCCTTTATCATTTTTTATTGCATCTATTTGATTTTTCTCTCTTTTCTTCTTTATTAGTCTTGCCAGCAGTCTATCAATTTTGTTGATCTTTTCAAAAAACCAGCTCCTGGATTCATTGATTTTTTGAAGGGTTTCCCATGTCTCTATCTCCTTCAGTTCTTCTCTGATCTTGGTTATTTCTTGCCTTCTGCTAGCTTTTGAATGTGTTTGCTCTTCCTTCTCTAGTTCTTTTAATTGTGATGTTAGGGTGTCAATTTTAGATCTTTCCTGCTTTCTCTTGTGGGAATTTGGTGCTATAAATTTCCCTCTACACACTACTTTAAATGTGTCCCAGAGATTCTGGTATGTTGTGTCTTTGTTCTCATTGGTTTCAAGGAACATCTTTATTTCTGCCTTCATTTCATTATGTACCCAGTAGTCATTCAGGAGCAGGTTGTTCAGTTTCCATGTAGTAGAGTGGTTTTGAGTGAGTTTCTTAATCCTGAGTTCCAGTTTGATTGCACTGTGGTCTGAGAGACAGTTTGTTATAATTTCTGTTCTTTTACATTTGCTGAGGAGTGTTTTACTTCCAACTCAGTGGTCAATTTTGGAATAGGTGTGGTGTGGTGCTGAGAAGAATGTATATTCTGTTGATTTGGGGTGGAGAGTTCTGTATAAGTCTATTAGGTCCACTTGGTACAGAGCTGAGTTCAATTCCTGGATATCCTTTGTGTCTTGTTGATCTGTCTAATGTTGACAGTGGGGTGTTAAAGTCTCCCTTGATTATTGTGTGGGAGTCTAAGTCTCTTTGTAGGTCTCTAAGTAATCACTTTATGAATCTGGTTGTTCCTGTATTGGTGCATATATATTTAGGATAGTTAGTTCTTCTTGTTGAACTGATCCCTTTACCATTATGTAATGGCCTTCTTTGTCTCTTTTGATCTTTGTTGGTTTAAAGTCTGTTTTATCAGAGACTAGCATTGCAATCCCTGCCTCTTTTGGTTTTCCATTTGCTTGGTAGATCTTCCTCCATCCCTTTGTTTTGAGCCTATATGTGTCTCTGCACATGAGATGGGTTTCCTGAATACAGCACACTGATGGGTCTTGACTCTTTATCCAATTTGCCAGTCTGTGTCTTTTAATTGGAGCATTTAGGTTAATATTTACGTTTAAGGTTAATATTGTTATATGTGAATTTGATCCTGTCATTGTGATGTTAGCTGGTTCTTTTGCTCGTTGGTTGATGCAGTTTCTTCCTAGCCTCGATGGTCTTTACAATTTGGCATGTTTTTGCAGTGGCTGGTACCGGTTGTTCCTTTCCATGTTTAGTGCTTCCTTCAGGAGCTCCTGTAGTGCAGGCCTGGTGGTGACAAAATCTCTCAGCATTTGCTTGTTTTTAAAGTATTTTATTTCTCCTTCACTTATGAAGCTTAGTTTGGCTGGATATGAAATTCTGGGTTGAAAATTCTTTTCTTTAAGAATGATGAATATTGGCCCCCACTCTCTTCTGGCTTGTAGAGTTTCTGCCAAGAAATCCACTGTTAGTCTGATGGCTTCCCTTTGTGGGTAACCCGACCTTTCTCTCTGGCTGCCCTTAACATTGTATCCTTCATTTCAACTTTGGCGAATCTGATAATTATGTGTCTTGGAGTTGCTCTTCTCGAGGAGTATCTTTGTGGCGTTCTCTGTATTTCCTGAATGTGAATGTTGGCCTGTCTTGCTAGGTTGGGTAAGTTCTCCTGGGGAATATCCTGCAGAGTGTTTTCCAACTTGGTTCCATTCTCCCTGTCACTTTCAGGTACACCAATCAGATGTAGATTTGGTCTTTTCACATAGTCCCATATTTCTTGGAGGCTTTGTTCGTTTCTTTTTACTCTTTTTTTCTCTAAACTTCTCTTCTCGCTTCATTTCATTCATTTGATCTTCAATCACTGATACCCTTTTTTCCAGTTGATCGAATCAGCTACTGAAGCTTGTGCATTCGTCATATAGTTCTCGTGCCATGGTTTTCAGCTCCATCAGGTCATTTAAGGCCGTCTCTACATTGATTATTCTAGTTAGCCATTCGTCTAATCTTTTTTCAAGGTTTTTAACTTCTTTGCGATGGGTTCAAACTTCCTCCTTTAGCTTGGAGAAATTTGGTCATCTGAAGCCTTCTCTCAACTCATCAAAGTCATTCTCCGTCCAGGTTTGTTCTGTTGCTGGTGAGGAGCTGTGTTCCTTTGGAGGAGAAGAGGGGCTCTGATTTTTAGAATGTTTCAGTTTTTCTGCTCTGTTTTTTCCCCATCTTTGTGGTTTTATCTACCTTTGGTCTTTGATGATGGTGACATACAGATGGGATTTTGGTGTGGATGTCCTTTCTGTTTGTTAGTTTTCCTTCTAACAGTCAGGACCCTCAGCTGCAGGTCTGTTGGAGTTTGCTGGAGGTCCACTCTAGACCCTGTTTGCCTGGGTGTCGGCAGCAGAGGCTCAGAACAGCGAATATTGCTGAACAGCAAATGTTGCTGCCTACTCATTCTTCTGGAAGTTTCGTCTCAGAGGGGTACCTAGCCATGTGAGGTATCAGTCTGCCCCTACTGGTGGGTGTCTCCCAGTTAGGCTACTCGGGGGTCAGGGAGCCACTTGAGGAGGCAGTCTGTCCGTTCTCAGATCTCCAGCTGTGTGCTGGGAGAACCACTACTCTCTTCAAAGCTGTCAGACAGGGACATTTAAGTCTGCAGAGGTTTCTGCTGCCTTTTGTTCGGCTATGCCCTGCCCCCAGAGGTGGAGTCTACAGAGGCATGCAGGCCTCCTTGAGTTGCGGTAGGCTCCACCCAGTTCGAGCTTCCCAGCTGCTTTGTTTACCTACTCAAGCCTCAGCAATGGCGGGTGCCCCTCCCCCAGCCTCACTGCTGCCTTGCAGTTCGATTTCAGACTGCTCTGCTAGCAGTGAGCGATGCTCCATGGGCGTGGGACCCTCCGAGCCAGGTGTGGGATATAATCTCCTGGTGTGCCGTTTGCTAAGACCATTGGAAAAGTGCAGTATTAGGGTGGGAGTGACCCAATTTTCCAGGTGCCATCTGTCACAGCTTTGCTTGGCTAGGAAAGGGAATTTCCTGACCCTTTGCACTTCCCGGGTGAGGCGATGCCTCTCCCTGCTTTGGCTCACACTTGGTGCACTGCACCCACTGTCCTGTACCCACTGTCCAACAAGCCCCAGTGAGATGAACCCGGTACCTCAGTCGGAAATGCAGAAATCACTCATCTTCTGCGTCACTCACGCTGGGAGCTGTAGACTGGAGCTGTTCCTATTCGGCCATCTTATGAATCATGCATGTTCAACTATGAGCAACTATGTGTATTCAATGGGAAATGGAATACCATAAAATTGTCATATGTTGAGCCCAAAATGATAGGATAGAATTTGATAGTCTGAGGATGGAAAGGACCTTCAAGGCCACTTTTAAAAACCCCATTCCCATATGATGCTTGAATTCTTAACCACTGTGTGTCTAGTATTTTCTCATTTCCAGTGATATGTGTGCCTGCCAACCTTTCCGTCTCCAAGAGCTTTAACTATCAAAATGTATGTGTGTGTGTTTTTGTGTGTGCATGTGTGTGTGAGTGTGCGTGTGTGTGTGTGTGTGTTTAGAGAGAGAGAGAGAGACAGAAAGAGAAGGAGAGACTAAAATCCAATTCACTGTTCTTTCTGGGACCCAAAGAACAAGTCTAGTCATTCTCCATTTCTAGTCTCTTTCCCTAGCAATCGGCTAGACATGCTAGACATAGACACATGTACATCACTCCTTTGAATTACAACATTCAGTATTTGTCTATCACTTATATGATAAAATACAAACTTAGCTTTTATTTTTATTTTTTTAGAGACAGTGTTTTACTATGTCACCCAGGCTAGAGCATCAGTGGCACAATCATAGCCCACTGCAGCCTGGAACCCCTGGGCTCAAGGAATCCTTCCACCTCTGCCTCCTGAGTAGCAGAGACTACAGATGTGCACCACCAGACCCAGCTAATTTGGTTTTTTACTATTTTTTGTGGAGATGGTGTATTGTCTTGTGGTGTTGCTCAGGCTGATCTTGAGCTCCTGGCCTCAAGCACTCCTCCCATCTCAGCCTCCCAAAATGCTGGGATTACAGGCATGAACCACCTTACCCAGCCAAATTTCTTAATATGATATACATGCTCCTTTAAAATCAAGCACCATCTTTGCTTTCAACCTCATTATTAACCACTTTCCCATATATGCAACATATGTTTCAGCCATACTAGTGTCTAGTTTTTCCCTGAACACTCCTTGGTGCTTTTGTTTATGCCCTTTCTGCCCACCTTTGCCTGGTGAAATCCTCATCAATCTTCAAATTCTATCAAATACTATCTTCCATATAAAGCATTTTCTAAACCCACCTATGTAAAAAGATTAGTGTTTTCCTATTTTGTTGATGCCTCCATTGCAGCATTTTCCAGTCCAACGTTTTCTAGAATTGATTGTGGCCAGGCTACCAGACTGGGCCAGGGCCTGTGTCTTTTCTGTCACCCAGAAGCAAAGGTCTAACAATGGATATCTGCTGAATGAATGAACGAAAATGAATCATTAATATATTAGTAAATACGTTAATTAAAGTTCCAGGTATGAATACTGAAGGCTGCATTCAGGCAGAGCTGGATCCAAGGATATGCTAGGTTGGTCTAGCACAAGAATCAGAGTTTTCCTCTGCAAGCTATGAAAAATTTGGGTTTAGCAGGTATTTGGGATGATGAATTATACATTTAACCAGTGTTGAATGAGCACTTGTCCTTAAGGAGTTTAGAGTCTGTGACCAGGGAGAATGGTGATTTTCTTAGCTAGGGCAGTTTTTCTAAAAAGGTAGTTGCATTGTGTGTTTTTGACCACTGATGATAAATTCAAGTCTCTCTTCCTTCCCAATAGCCCGGAAGCTGAAGAAACTTGGTAATCTGAAACTACAGGAGGAAGGAGAGGCTTCCAGCACCACCAGCCCCACTGAGGAGACAACCCAGAAGCTGACAGTGTCACACATTGAAGGCTATGAATGTCAGCCCATCTTTCTGAATGTCCTGGAAGCCATTGAGCCAGGTGTAGTGTGTGCTGGACACGACAACAACCAGCCCGACTCCTTTGCAGCCTTGCTCTCTAGCCTCAATGAACTGGGAGAGAGACAGCTTGTACACGTGGTCAAGTGGGCCAAGGCCTTGCCTGGTAAGGAAAAGGGAAGTGGGAGCATGAGATAAGGGGGATCATATTTAGTGAACGCTCCTATGGACCAGCCACCATGTCTGGTGCTTTTCTGCCCATTAACTCAGGCAGTCTTCATCATAACCCTGTGGGAGAGGGATTGTTACAAGTCTCAATTTAAACATACAGGGATCGAAACTCAGAAAGCAAAGAGAAAGATAGTATTATCGGGTGTCTTATGTGGCCCACATTGATGCACAGCAGTCATGCTTTCATATTCAACTCACAAAAATGGTCAGCAAATTTTCCATTAATCACAAATCACATAGACATACCCATATATGCCTTAGGATGCTCTTCTATATTTGCACACACAGGCTCACCCCAAAGATAATCTCTAGTTTGACTGACATTCTGTCTTCAATGTCATCTTTAGGAGCTATATCATGGGAACTCTCATAATATGGTATGGTGGAAAGAACATGAGGTTGGGAATCAGAACACTTCGGGTCTGCTCTTAGCTCTGCTAGTAACTTATTGTGTGATCCCTTCCCCTTCTGGGTCTCAATTTCTCTATCTGTATAATGTATAAAGCGTGGTTTGTATCAAATTGATGGTTTCCAGTTTTTGAAAAAAGGAACGCTTTTTGCACCTTAAACTACCTAAGGAATCATAATGAGAGGAAAGATTAGGTAATAGTGAAAGAATTACCAAGTGTTGGTCTAACAGAAGTTGGATAACAGAAGTTCCTCAGTGATGGGGAACTCACTTCTTTCTTATGTCATCTGTTGTTTAAACAAGTCTGGTTATTAAAATATTACAGCTTAAGGAATTCTTAGAGATCCTCTATCCAATGATTCACAAACTTTCCTTTAGCAGCCAAGTGCTTTATTTCTCAAAAGAATTGTACACAGATACAAGTGGAGCTAGTTTATTTAAAGCCAGAGCCTGTAGCTTGGGCCTCACCAGTTCAGCCTCTTTCTCTCTATCCCAGGGAAGCCCTAGGTCACTCTTGCAAAATCTTAGGGCTCCAAGGAACACAGTTTGAAAACCAGTGAAGTATATGCCCTTTAAAGGTTCTCCTAATCCTGCAATTATGATTCAAAGATTCTTTTGAAATAACAACAACCAAACCTTCTCTTGTGGAGTCAAAGATTAACCTGCCTTTCAATAATAACTGCCATTCAGGTAGAAATTTATAGTGAACAGAGCAATTTTGTATGTATTACCTGAATTGATTCTTATAGGAATCCTATAACATGAGATTCTTTCTCTTATTTTACAGACCAAATAGGGAAGCTGTGAGAATGATGTGATTGGCCTATAGTTACATAGTCAGAAAATAGCAGGACCAGAACTTGAGCCCAGGTTCTCTCCTGATTCCAAATTCTCTCTATTCCACTCCACCTGTAGGCTGTAGCACCACTGCAGTTCTGTAGCTCTGGGCTTTACAGTGAGGGGCCAAGGCTTCATTGAAGGCCACTTGGGTCATAGTATGGGCTTGTTGCATTTGAAGACATTTCATGTTGGCTGTCAAGTCTTAGATTTGTATTTCCAACTCACAGGGCCTGGTCACAGCCCTAACCATCTCTTATACCTTCTCAGCTTGGGAAGCTGAGGTCGACTAGCCAATAAGAACACTGGGAAGGAAACCCAAGGACTCTGACTGGATATGCTCTGTGCCAAAACAGAGGGTTCACTCAGAGAGGAAAAATATAAAAAAGAAAAAGGAGAAGGTTGCTTTAATTCTTATCACTTTTTCATCTGGATATTTTGATATCATGTGTTTGACAGAGATTCAAAGTTTAATCTTCCCAAGCAGTTTCCAAACACTTATCTCATTTTATAGGCTACAGAGCTTTTTCATATATATGATCCCACTTAATCTTTACAACAATTCTATGAATCATAGAGACTATTATTTCCATTTCACATGCCAAGGCTCAAAGAGGTTAACTAACTTGCTCCATTTGGTCACTTAACACATGGAACCAGAACTTGACCTAGACCTTCGGGTTTCTAAATTGGTTATCTTGACAATAACCTAGTGCAAAACACTATAGCAGAATTTGTATGACTTGGGATCACTGGGGCTTTCCTTGGCCCAACCACCAAGATGGAAAGCCCCCTCCCCTTACATTAACAAATCTGCAAGCCAATATCAGTTCACCATCTAGCTTGCCAGACTAAATGATTTCTGACCCCAAGTCTTTTAAAAGAATAGCTTCAAAAGAAAGCCAATTACCACATTCACAAGAACTGTTCTTCATATTATCTATAATTACCTACAAGTACAAGTAATTTGCTAATTCAATAGATTGAGTTCTTGACCTGTAAGATGAACTGTGCTAGGCCCCTAATAAGATAAATTTTGTTTTAAGTTTTCTGTGACAGTAAAGATGTATGAAAATTGCCTAGTAGAGTACCTGGCACATTAATAAATGATAACTGTTAATTTGGAGTGGGTGAGTAGACTGGGTGTGCACAGTATATTTAGAATCAAATTTATCTGGTTTGGAATCCTAGCTATGGACTAGTTCTGTGACCTTGAGCAAATCACATGTCTTCTCTGTGCTTCTGTGTCCTCATTTGTAAGATGATAGAATAATCACTACCTTTCAAATTGTTGTCAACAAAAAGATTATGTATAAAGAGCACCTAGTAACGTAGCCTGAAACATAGTCAATGCTCTGTAAATGGTGGTTTATTATTATGAGACTTGAATGCTAAGCCACTGCTTTCACGAAACTCAATTTTAGCTACCACTTGCCTTGCCTAGAAGCTCATGCATGGACCCCAAGGTGAAATTGTGTTCTCTGAAGACCTCGGCTGGCAGATGTACTACAGCAGCAAAGATTTCCAAACTGGCCTTTCTTTGAGCCCATTCTCCCAGACTAGACAGGAGACTACAAGTTTCTGCTGCACATGAAAAAAATATGATGTCAATCGGATTCTAGTGAGAAAACAGAGTCTCAAAGAAACTGCTTCTGCTCCCTAGCGTGTTTAATGTGTTTCAGAACCTGAGAATGACTCCTCTCTGTTTCTCCAGAACAGCCTAACACAGTGGCAAATGGGTGTTGAGTGAATGCATACTTAAGGAAATCTGTAGGGTTGCAGCTACTCTTTCCTCAAGTAATCCCTTGATAGTCATGTAGGCTACTTCAGAGATTGGGCATTAGAGAACAGAGTCAGGTATTATAATCAGATTAGACTCTAGGGAGGTTAGCCAGCCATATTGCTGATATGTGCACAGTTACTGGGTTTGAGTGCTAAGCAGCTCTCATTAAGGACGGTTAATTAATATTATGGCCAAATTAAGCTTTCCCTTTTCTCTCCTCTTTGTTAGTTCGGTGGCATTTTAGGGAGAAAAAAATAAGCATCAGTATGGACAATTTGCTTGATACCTGTACAATTTAATTCTCATCCTTCCATGTGCCTTCACATTCACACATTCCACCAGAAGACCAAGGTTCACCAGCCAAAAGCTTTTCTTGCTCCCCACTGCCTCCTACCCAAGATATTCAGGGTCAACCTCCCAGGCCTCTTCTCTAAGAGATCCTTGGTTGCTACATGCTTAGACCCTGCTTCTTATTTCCTGCTGAGAAGGGTCAGTCCAAGGCATTCTGTGCTACAGAAGGGTTCCAAGCAGGAACTACTCTGGGATCTGAGGCTCCAGCCGGTCTGTCAGCGTGTCATTACAGTGAAGGTGGGAAGCACAGGCCTGGGAGCTAAGACTGCTAAGATGAGGGACTCTAGAATCCCTGATACCTGGAAGGCCTAGGATCTAAAAGAAAAGAACAGGGAAATGGGGCTATATGAGTGGACAGGGACCAACCAAGCAGAACAATGTGTCTGGATAATGTAGACTTCAGACCTGATCCTATGGCTGACAAAAGCTGGTGACCTTGGTAGTTCCTGAGCTGTAACCTTCATTAGTGGAGTAGAAAAAACACTGGAGAAGAGAATCAGAACACCTGGGTTCTAGTATTAGTTCAGCCACATATAAACCATATGACCTTGGGTAAGTCAGTTTATTTCTCTGGCCCTCATGTTCCTTGTTGGTAAAATAAGTGCCACATCACCTAACCTCTGGGATTATTGTGAGAGTTAAATTAGGTCATCAACAGGAAAGTGAGAAGTTTGATCTAAATTTGGGGAAGCATTCCTAATGAGGTATGATGACAAAATTTCAGATAATTCTGGATTTGTTGGTGAGAAGAGAGAGTGTTGGTAGGGACGAGCTCTGAGGTGATGCCTTTATAACTTTAAGCATCCAACTGTTTCAAAAACTCCAGGAGAACATGGCCATGTCTGTTCTACCTGTGTATTATTGTAGACGTAGCTTCTGGGAGCCTCTGCTCTCTGAGCTTAAGGGAGGTAATTTGGAGATCATTTAATTCTCATTTTACAAAAGGAAAAAAAATTGAGGGTCTTTAGGCCATTTGTTTAGGTAATATTTCTTAAGTGCCCACTCAAATACGTGGACTGTACTAAGTACTAGGGAGGTAAAGATAAATAAGAAGATATGGTCCCTGTCTTCAAGAAGCTCCAAGTCTTGTGGGGGAGACAGACATGTATATACATAGACTTCAATGCTGTGTAATGACTGCTATAATTGGGTGAGGCTACACAAGGTGCAATGAGAATGTAAAAGAAGAATCTTTAAGCCTTCTTCTTGGATGAGTTGGGAAAGCCTTCACAGAAGAGGTAGCCTTTGAGTGAAGACTTGAAAGATGAGTAGTGTTTACCGGATGAAAGGCCTGAGAAGGAGGAATGCATTCTAGGCAAAAGTAACTGCCTGTGCAGAGATAACAGAGATATAGAGGCATGTGAGAGCGCAAGTGGCAAGAGATCAGTCTAGGTAGGCAGGTCATAAAGGGCCTATTCATGTATAATGATGGCAGTAAGATGAGGATGGCAGTAGGGTGGGAAATTAGTAGGGCCAGGGTACCTATTGAGTAGAAAAGAATGGAGAGGAAATGCCAGGCAGAAAGAGGATGGACGCAAGAGAGGGAACATGAAAGTGGTGAACAGGTGGCAGTGGCTGTCAAGACATCTCTCCATACCCTGTACACTGTATGTAATATCCATCTCCCAGGGTTGTTAGAAGGGTCAAACCAGATCGTAGCTGGAAAACAGCTTTGTGAAGTGAAAACTGCTGTTTATGTGGGGGAAATGATTGTTAAACTGCATCTTTGGAAAGGTGAAGTGATCAAGAGCACAGACCTTGGAATCTGACTGCTTTGCTTTGTAACTTGGTCTGCCAATTACTAGCTGTATGATCTTGGACAAGTTCCTTAACCTCTCTCTGACTCACTTGTACTGGTTCACAGAATGGAGATAATAATAGTACTTACCTTACTCATTGTTGTGAATGTTAAATGAGATAATATAAGTAAAGTGCTTAGAAAAGAGTTAAATGTACCCCATAAATACATACAACTATCATGTACCCAAAATTATTTTTAATTTTTTTAAAAAAGAGCAATCCAATAGCAAAAGAAAAAAAGAGTTCACTCATATAAGCAGTCAATAAGTGTTAGATTATTTTTCTCTTACAACTGACAATGCCCTTTTTGTCTCCATCATCATCTCATTTGAGCAGCTCAGGGAAGTAGGGAGGATAAGGAATATTATCCTCACCATATAGTTTGTGCTTTTCCCCACCACCCCTTAATGGCCAGCCTGGATGGTCCCTGGGGATCCTTAGGGGATGCCCGAATACCAGAGCATCTCTGCCCAACAGGGACTCAGACTTAGCTCAACCCGTCAGTACCCAGACTGACCACTGCCTCTGCCTCTTCTTCTCCAGGCTTCCGCAACTTACACGTGGACGACCAGATGGCTGTCATTCAGTACTCCTGGATGGGGCTCATGGTGTTTGCCATGGGCTGGCGATCCTTCACCAATGTCAACTCCAGGATGCTCTACTTCGCCCCTGATCTGGTTTTCAATGAGTAAGTGCTCCTGGGGCCCAGACCTCACTAAAATACAGCAGCTTGGCCAGACCTGGTTGGTGGTGATGGTGATGGGGTGACAGTGAAGCTTAGCTCATTTGATCTGCAGTTGTCGCAGCGGATGCCCCAGCCAGCCAATCCAGTATGAGGCGGCTTTGCCCTGGCTTTCAGCCAACTGGCAGGAGCCCAGGAGGATGGTGCTGAGACCACCCCTTTCACACCCAAGAACCAATCCTAGTCATATTTCTGGTCTGCTTTGCAGCTTATCTCAAAACCACATGGAAAGATTCCTCCCCTTCACATATAAAAGAGGCAGAAAGACTCTGGCTTTAAGGGCTGGAGTTTCTTGGGTTCTTTTGCTACCACCAAAGGCTACTTCTAGTCACCATTTGCTGAGCAACTAGTTTGTGCCAAGACTATGCTAGATACTTTCTAAATCCTAGCTCATTGAGTCCTCATGGTGACCTGACCTCACCTTTTTATAGATAACACTATTTTTTTATGGATGGGGAAAATCAGGCTCAGCAAAATAAAGTGACTCACCCAAAGTCACAGAGCTAGTGCCTGTTGGAGACAAGATTCAAACGTATGTCCCTGTCGATCTCAGCTCTTCTGCGTCATGGTGGTAACTGATGGGAAGGAGTACCTCTACCGCTCTCTGGCTGTGTGACCTTGGTACTGCCATTTTCCTTCCCTTAAACAGCTTTAATTAATACCTGCCCTGCCACCAGCTCCATATAACATCATGAATTTGGCCAGTGGCTCAGATTTTGGAATTACATTTTTCTCCACTAAAATCTCAGTTCTACTATTTTCTTAGTCAGCATCTTTGGGAAAGACCTTTAACTTTTCCGACCCTCAATTTCTTCATCCATTAATGATAACAGAACCTTCATAAGTAATTTCTTATGATAACTAAATGGGAATTGACAGATGTGGAATGTCTGGCCCATAGTAGGCAAGAAGGAAAAAAAAAGTCCCTTTCTGATTCACCCTTTCCCTAATAGTGATACATTTTTTTTCCCCGAGATGGGGTTTTGCTCTGCCACCCAGGCTGGAGGGCAGTGGCGCAATGATCTCAGCCCAGTGCAACCTCCACCTCCCTGGTTCAAGCAATTCTCCTGCCTCAGCTTCCCGAGTAGCTGGGATTATAGATGCCCGCCACCGTGTCCATCTAATTTTTGTATTTTTGGTAGAGACGGGATTTCACCATGTTAGCCAGGCTGGTCTCAAACTCCTGACCTCATGATCTGCCCGCCTCAGCCGGGCATGATAATCTTTTCTATGTCTGCTGTATGAGGTCCCTCGATGGCATTGTGAATGGAGCTGGCCAGAGAAATCTTCCCAAGGACCTTGAGCTAGTCTCACCACAGAGAATCCTTCCAGTCAGGACAGGAATTGACCTTCCCCCCTCTTCAGCCCTCTAACCCAGAAGAGTCTTAAAATAAAATCTACAGGCCAATGGTTCCTTCCAGTACAGCACTGCAATGCGAGGGAGAGTGAGCGTCCCCAGCTGCCCTCTCCCAACCCTGCCAGCCTGGTAGCCAAAAGCTAAGAATAACCACTAGGCTTTTGGCACAAACTGCTTTGTGGTTTTCAGATCTCCGCAAAGTTGCCTATGATGCCATCTTCTGGGGCAGGCCTTGAAAAGCCCCCTAACTGTTCATCTCCCATCCTTAAACCCCTGCTGCCCTTAAGCAGTTGAATCAACTCCATGAGCACCTGCTCTACCTTCCCCAGAGCCCTGAGACCTTTGGAGCTTTGAAAAGTGATAATTGGTTGTTCTCTAAATCCTCATTTCCTTCTCTGCCTCTAAGTAAGCATGTGGCATCCCACCTCGGCTTCCTGGTCCAGTCTTGTTCATCTTATAAAAAGGCCTCCCTACGGGGTCAGAGGCCTAGACCCATCAAACCCAGGGCTCCTGAAACAATAGGACCCCTATTCCTCCTGTAGGAAGCCACTGTGTTAGAGCTCTCAGGGTGTCTACAAACATCTAGATAAGTGTTTCTCAACATGGATTCTGTTGACATATTGGGAAAAATAATTTTGTCATTATGTAGAATATGGTTAACATACCTGGCACCAGCCTACTCTATACCAAATAGGATTCCAGTCATTCTGACAGCCCAAACTGCTCCCACACATTTCTGACACCCACTGAAGAGGCAGTACTCTCCAGTTGAGTGCAACTAATCCCTGCCAGCCTTCCTAAGGTGCTAATGGGGAGCCTCAGACCCAAAGAGAGAGAGAAGAACTTGTCCAATGTAGGTCAACCCATTTGCTGATCTCTTCAACACCAAGCTCTATTATCAGCCCTGTTTTTTTCTTTCTTTCTCTCTTTGTAGAGATCACATGTTGTGAGGATAATGAGCTTGAACCTTAGCTGTGTGACCTTGGGCAAATTACTGAACTTCTATGTGCCGCAAATTTTATCTGGAGACTGCTGAAGAGTATTATAATAGCACCTTTCTATATGTCATTTATTGAACACCTGCTATGTGTCAGGCACTGTGCTCAGTGTTTTCCAATCTTCATTTCTCCTCTTATTTTCTCTCTTGCACTCCCACCAACCTTGTTCTCTTCCTAAATTCCATTCCTGCCTCATTTTTCTACCCTCCATTCTCCTCTCTCTTCCTTCCTTTAACTGTCTCCCTAGTATTTTTCCCCTTTTCCCCCTTTCTTTTCCCCTTCCCCCATGAATTTCTTCTCTTTCCTTTCCCCTTCTCTTTCCTCCATTCCCCACTTTTTCTGCCCCTGAGGCCTGCAGCAATGTTAAAGGAATCCTCATTCCAGCATTGTGATTTCAATGGTAAAAAGATTGCAGCATTGTCATCAACAGAGGTGGGAAAGTACATTGGAGACTGGAGCAGAGCCAGACCTCAGGGTCAGCCAATCTTACTAAAAAATTCTCTACAGTGAAAGAGCTTGGAGCAACACTGTTCTGCTCAATTGATTTGTGATACCATCTAAACACTTCCTCTTTCTAGTTGGGCTTCAGCCTGAGTTGAATAATTCTACACCATCTGCCCTCTTCTCTCTTTCTCCAGGACAGCCAAGATCTCTCTGAGATAGGATGCTGAGCTTCCACCCAGACAATACCAGGCCTGCTCATCCTATGGAGTAGGCTAGTGGCTTGGAAACCAAAATGTCAAACCATAGCCTTTAGGCTCCATCTGGGAGGTCTTTGTCCTCACCACTTAAGTGGGTGTCAAATTTCCTTCCCTTTCTGCACACGCTGCACAATCAATTTCTGTCTTACACACACACACACACACACACACACACACGATTTTTGAAGTGCTGAAAACTGGAAGGCCTACTAGCATGAGGATGCTGTGTCTTCTCTTAGAGGTATGCCATGGTCAGCCATGGAACCGAGAGGTTGCTCTTCCTTGAAAAGCTGGCCAAGCATTGGCCACTTCCCCATATAATTTATAGGTGATAATGTGGTGATCTGTTCAGAAGTGACTATAATAAATGCAACTCACATATGTCTACAGTTTCCAAACTGTGGTAAGGAGCAGCCAGCATATGAGGGAATGGGCTCCCCTTCAGCAGGGGACATTTAAACTAGACATTCAAAAACACTCCCTGGCAGATTTAACATTGGAACTCGTTTTGAAAGAACAATGTGGAATCTCCTTCACTGGGAGTTTTTGAATAAGTATGAAATTTCTAGTATTCCAGGCCAGAGGCAAAGGGGTCAACAGGATGACCAAACACTTCGGGTCATTTGCAAATCTTGATGTCCTGATGTTAAGAGCTGACTACTGGGGCTTCTCCTAAAAATCCTTCATGTTGAGCTGCCTGGAAGGCAGGTTCTCATTCTGGCTGTAGCTGAGATGTTAGAACTGTAGTCAGGGAGACCATGTGCCTCCCCCATTGTGTTCATTTGGTTAGGCTTTCCTGTCCCTGACTCAGAAAACAGAAGGGGCACAGAGACCTGGAAATTCCATGTGCTAACCCATATCCTGGCCAGAGAAGATGAGTAGTTATCAGGGTGTCAGGATTTTGGAAAACAGAGAGAGAAAAAAAACAAACAAACAGACAAACAAACAAAAAAACCTTTTCCTGGTCCCTGGAGCACCAGCAGGAGAAACAGCAAGCTCTTCTTGGAAAACCTGGCGAGGGATGGCAATCAGAGACATTCCCTCTGGGCTTATTGTAAACTTCCCCTCATTCCTTTTTCCTCTGTGTATCTCCTTCCCAGGTACCGCATGCACAAGTCCCGGATGTACAGCCAGTGTGTCCGAATGAGGCACCTCTCTCAAGAGTTTGGATGGCTCCAAATCACCCCCCAGGAATTCCTGTGCATGAAAGCACTGCTACTCTTCAGCATTAGTAAGTGCCTAGAAGTGCAGGGAATGCCCCCTGAGGGCACAGAGATTCAGAGAGGACCACTTTTGCCATTAAAACATTATTAGGGAAAAGCCAGCTCCTGGACATTTCCCTTCTTCATTCCCCCTCCCCATCCCCACTCTACTCTCTCTCAGCATCATTTTCCTAACAAGAAACAATTTCATGACTAGAAGCCAATTTATTTGCTAGAAGTCAACCTCCATCAGATTCCCCACCTATCCCCAGTCTGTCTTTGGGACAAGGCCTTTTTGACTGGTTACAGCAGGTCTCTGAATTTTTCCATAGCTTCTGCTATAGAAACAGACATGGGCCACCTTGTATTCTTTGCAGGGCAGTAGAGCAGGAGGCATTTCCTCCTGGAAAGATTTCCTCTTCTGCCAACAGGAGGAGATCTATGTAAGCAACTCAGATAGGATTTGTATGGCAGCCAAGGAACTTTTCTTTAATATCTTTTCTAAGAGCCCTCTCTTAGCCCCTACGGAGGGAGAAGGGCAAAATTTGATATTCAAAGCTATGTGTTTTGGTTATCTAAATCAGGGTTTTACTGTGAATGACATAAAAGCTTAGGTCCTAAAAAATGAGTATCTGAGAAGAGTAGAAAAAGAAAAGGTTCAGGAAATTTGATTTACTTGACTCCTTTCAGATCGGATCCAGCTATCCTTTCCCCTGAGATCTCCCTGACAGACTGAAGGCCCCAAGCACACAGACTTCAACTAACAGGAAGCCAAGTAGATGGTTCCCTGTGGGGGTGGGGGTCAAGTCTGTGGTCAGAAAACTTGGTGCTTTGTCTAATGCTCCTTCGTGGGCATGCTTCCCCTCCCCATTCTGTCTTCATCCCACATCAGTTCCAGTGGATGGGCTGAAAAATCAAAAATTCTTTGATGAACTTCGAATGAACTACATCAAGGAACTCGATCGTATCATTGCATGCAAAAGAAAAAATCCCACATCCTGCTCAAGACGCTTCTACCAGCTCACCAAGCTCCTGGACTCCGTGCAGCCTGTAAGCAAACGATGGAGGGTGCTTTATCAGGGAGAACAGCCTGATAGAGCCAATGATAATATGCTTCTCTAGAGTCTGGCACCACCTGTTGGGAGGTGCTTCCATTCCCCTCTGGCTTTGAGTGTGGTCCAGGAAGAAAATGTGGTGAAGAAAAGAACACGGGTCACAGTGTCCCAGCTGGATATTGTGAAAGGGGTGGAGGAGTTGAGAACAGAGCAGTTGGGACTCAGGGAAGGGACTTGCAGCAGATGAATTCTCTAGGCAGACAAAACAGACCTGGATGTTTTTCCCCTCTTCTTTGAGTCATGTTCATGTGAGTTTGTCTGTCTGTGTGTGTGTGTGTGTGTGTGTGTGTGTGTGTGTGTGTGTCAGAGAGAGAGAGAGAGAGAGAGAGATGGAGTGCGGAGGCTTGGGTGAGAGCACAAGCTGGAGAAGTCTTGAGTCAGAGAGCTTACAATGGTATAAGACATCTCTTGGGAGCCCTCAGTGACTCCATGGAGACCATTTCTTTCTCTCTCTCTCGCTGTCTCTCTCTAACACACACACACACACACACGACCTCATGGGGGAGGACCAAGGAAGTACGGGGAAGGGGGAGGAAACAAAAGGCTGAAAGACCAAAAATCAGAGGTTGGGGAAGAGGCTAGCAGAGGCCACCTCCTTGTCAACCCTGTTTTTCTCCCTCTTATTGTTCCCTACAGATTGCGAGAGAGCTGCATCAGTTCACTTTTGACCTGCTAATCAAGTCACACATGGTGAGCGTGGACTTTCCGGAAATGATGGCAGAGATCATCTCTGTGCAAGTGCCCAAGATCCTTTCTGGGAAAGTCAAGCCCATCTATTTCCACACCCAGTGAAGCATTGGAAACCCTATTTCCCCACCCCAGCTCATGCCCCCTTTCAGATGTCTTCTGCCTGTTATAACTCTGCACTACTCCTCTGCAGTGCCTTGGGGAATTTCCTCTATTGATGTACAGTCTGTCATGAACATGTTCCTGAATTCTATTTGCTGGGCTTTTTTTTTCTCTTTCTCTCCTTTCTTTTTCTTCTTCCCTCCCTATCTAACCCTCCCATGGCACCTTCAGACTTTGCTTCCCATTGTGGCTCCTATCTGTGTTTTGAATGGTGTTGTATGCCTTTAAATCTGTGATGATCCTCATATGGCCCAGTGTCAAGTTGTGCTTGTTTACAGCACTACTCTGTGCCAGCCACACAAACGTTTACTTATCTTATGCCACGGGAAGTTTAGAGAGCTAAGATTATCTGGGGAAATCAAAACAAAAACAAGCAAACAAAAAAAAAAAGCAAAAACAAAACAAAAAATAAGCCAAAAAACCTTGCTAGTGTTTTTTCCTCAAAAATAAATAAATAAATAAATAAATACGTACATACATACACACATACATACAAACATATAGAAATCCCCAAAGAGGCCAATAGTGACGAGAAGGTGAAAATTGCAGGCCCATGGGGAGTTACTGATTTTTTCATCTCCTCCCTCCACGGGAGACTTTATTTTCTGCCAATGGCTATTGCCATTAGAGGGCAGAGTGACCCCAGAGCTGAGTTGGGCAGGGGGGTGGACAGAGAGGAGAGGACAAGGAGGGCAATGGAGCATCAGTACCTGCCCACAGCCTTGGTCCCTGGGGGCTAGACTGCTCAACTGTGGAGCAATTCATTATACTGAAAATGTGCTTGTTGTTGAAAATTTGTCTGCATGTTAATGCCTCACCCCCAAACCCTTTTCTCTCTCACTCTCTGCCTCCAACTTCAGATTGACTTTCAATAGTTTTTCTAAGACCTTTGAACTGAATGTTCTCTTCAGCCAAAACTTGGCGACTTCCACAGAAAAGTCTGACCACTGAGAAGAAGGAGAGCAGAGATTTAACCCTTTGTAAGGCCCCATTTGGATCCAGGTCTGCTTTCTCATGTGTGAGTCAGGGAGGAGCTGGAGCCAGAGGAGAAGAAAATGATAGCTTGGCTGTTCTCCTGCTTAGGACACTGACTGAATAGTTAAACTCTCACTGCCACTACCTTTTCCCCACCTTTAAAAGACCTGAATGAAGTTTTCTGCCAAACTCCGTGAAGCCACAAGCACCTTATGTCCTCCCTTCAGTGTTTTGTGGGCCTGAATTTCATCACACTGCATTTCAGCCATGGTCATCAAGCCTGTTTGCTTCTTTTGGGCATGTTCACAGATTCTCTGTTAAGAGCCCCCACCACCAAGAAGGTTAGCAGGCCAACAGCTCTGACATCTATCTGTAGATGCCAGTAGTCACAAAGATTTCTTACCAACTCTCAGATCGCTGGAGCCCTTAGACAAACTGGAAAGAAGGCATCAAAGGGATCAGGCAAGCTGGGCGTCTTGCCCTTGTCCCCCAGAGATGATACCCTCCCAGCAAGTGGAGAAGTTCTCACTTCCTTCTTTAGAGCAGCTAAAGGGGCTACCCAGATCAGGGTTGAAGAGAAAACTCAATTACCAGGGTGGGAAGAATGAAGGCACTAGAACCAGAAACCCTGCAAATGCTCTTCTTGTCACCCAGCATATCCACCTGCAGAAGTCATGAGAAGAGAGAAGGAACAAAGAGGAGACTCTGACTACTGAATTAAAATCTTCAGCGGCAAAGCCTAAAGCCAGATGGACACCATCTGGTGAGTTTACTCATCATCCTCCTCTGCTGCTGATTCTGGGCTCTGACATTGCCCATACTCACTCAGATTCCCCACCTTTGTTGCTGCCTCTTAGTCAGAGGGAGGCCAAACCATTGAGACTTTCTACAGAACCATGGCTTCTTTCGGAAAGGTCTGGTTGGTGTGGCTCCAATACTTTGCCACCCATGAACTCAGGGTGTGCCCTGGGACACTGGTTTTATATAGTCTTTTGGCACACCTGTGTTCTGTTGACTTCGTTCTTCAAGCCCAAGTGCAAGGGAAAATGTCCACCTACTTTCTCATCTTGGCCTCTGCCTCCTTACTTAGCTCTTAATCTCATCTGTTGAACTCAAGAAATCAAGGGCCAGTCATCAAGCTGCCCATTTTAATTGATTCACTCTGTTTGTTGAGAGGATAGTTTCTGAGTGACATGATATGATCCACAAGGGTTTCCTTCCCTGATTTCTGCATTGATATTAATAGCCAAACGAACTTCAAAACAGCTTTAAATAACAAGGGAGAGGGGAACCTAAGATGAGTAATATGCCAATCCAAGACTGCTGGAGAAAACTAAAGCTGACAGGTTCCCTTTTTGGGGTGGGATAGACATGTTCTGGTTTTCTTTATTATTACACAATCTGGCTCATGTACAGGATCACTTTTAGCTGTTTTAAACAGAAAAAAATATCCACCACTCTTTTCAGTTACACTAGGTTACATTTTAATAGGTCCTTTACATCTGTTTTGGAATGATTTTCATCTTTTGTGATACACAGATTGAATTATATCATTTTCATATCTCTCCTTGTAAATACTAGAAGCTCTCCTTTACATTTCTCTATCAAATTTTTCATCTTTATGGGTTTCCCAATTGTGACTCTTGTCTTCATGAATATATGTTTTTCATTTGCAAAAGCCAAAAATCAGTGAAACAGCAGTGTAATTAAAAGCAACAACTGGATTACTCCAAATTTCCAAATGACAAAACTAGGGAAAAATAGCCTACACAAGCCTTTAGGCCTACTCTTTCTGTGCTTGGGTTTGAGTGAACAAAGGAGATTTTAGCTTGGCTCTGTTCTCCCATGGATGAAAGGAGGAGGATTTTTTTTTTCTTTTGGCCATTGATGTTCTAGCCAATGTAATTGACAGAAGTCTCATTTTGCATGCGCTCTGCTCTACAAACAGAGTTGGTATGGTTGGTATACTGTACTCACCTGTGAGGGACTGGCCACTCAGACCCACTTAGCTGGTGAGCTAGAAGATGAGGATCACTCACTGGAAAAGTCACAAGGACCATCTCCAAACAAGTTGGCAGTGCTCGATGTGGACGAAGAGTGAGGAAGAGAAAAAGAAGGAGCACCAGGGAGAAGGCTCCGTCTGTGCTGGGCAGCAGACAGCTGCCAGGATCACGAACTCTGTAGTCAAAGAAAAGAGTCGTGTGGCAGTTTCAGCTCTCGTTCATTGGGCAGCTCGCCTAGGCCCAGCCTCTGAGCTGACATGGGAGTTGTTGGATTCTTTGTTTCATAGCTTTTTCTATGCCATAGGCAATATTGTTGTTCTTGGAAAGTTTATTATTTTTTTAACTCCCTTACTCTGAGAAAGGGATATTTTGAAGGACTGTCATATATCTTTGAAAAAAGAAAATCTGTAATACATATATTTTTATGTATGTTCACTGGCACTAAAAAATATAGAGAGCTTCATTCTGTCCTTTGGGTAGTTGCTGAGGTAATTGTCCAGGTTGAAAAATAATGTGCTGATGCTAGAGTCCCTCTCTGTCCATACTCTACTTCTAAATACATATAGGCATACATAGCAAGTTTTATTTGACTTGTACTTTAAGAGAAAATATGTCCACCATCCACATGATGCACAAATGAGCTAACATTGAGCTTCAAGTAGCTTCTAAGTGTTTGTTTCATTAGGCACAGCACAGATGTGGCCTTTCCCCCCTTCTCTCCCTTGATATCTGGCAGGGCATAAAGGCCCAGGCCACTTCCTCTGCCCCTTCCCAGCCCTGCACCAAAGCTGCATTTCAGGAGACTCTCTCCAGACAGCCCAGTAACTACCCGAGCATGGCCCCTGCATAGCCCTGGAAAAATAAGAGGCTGACTGTCTACGAATTATCTTGTGCCAGTTGCCCAGGTGAGAGGGCACTGGGCCAAGGGAGTGGTTTTCATGTTTGACCCACTACAAGGGGTCATGGGAATCAGGAATGCCAAAGCACCAGATCAAATCCAAAACTTAAAGTCAAAATAAGCCATTCAGCATGTTCAGTTTCTTGGAAAAGGAAGTTTCTACCCCTGATGCCTTTGTAGGCAGATCTGTTCTCACCATTAATCTTTTTGAAAATCTTTTAAAGCAGTTTTTAAAAAGAGAGATGAAAGCATCACATTATATAACCAAAGATTACATTGTACCTGCTAAGATACCAAAATTCATAAGGGCAGGGGGGGAGCAAGCATTAGTGCCTCTTTGATAAGCTGTCCAAAGACAGACTAAAGGACTCTGCTGGTGACTGACTTATAAGAGCTTTGTGGGTTTTTTTTTCCCTAATAATATACATGTTTAGAAGAATTGAAAATAATTTCGGGAAAATGGGATTATGGGTCCTTCACTAAGTGATTTTATAAGCAGAACTGGCTTTCCTTTTCTCTAGTAGTTGCTGAGCAAATTGTTGAAGCTCCATCATTGCATGGTTGGAAATGGAGCTGTTCTTAGCCACTGTGTTTGCTAGTGCCCATGTTAGCTTATCTGAAGATGTGAAACCCTTGCTGATAAGGGAGCATTTAAAGTACTAGATTTTGCACTAGAGGGACAGCAGGCAGAAATCCTTATTTCTGCCCACTTTGGATGGCACAAAAAGTTATCTGCAGTTGAAGGCAGAAAGTTGAAATACATTGTAAATGAATATTTGTATCCATGTTTCAAAATTGAAATATATATATATATATATATATATATATATATATATATATAGTGTGTGTGTGTGTTCTGATAGCTTTAACTTTCTCTGCATCTTTATATTTGGTTCCAGATCACACCTGATGCCATGTACTTGTGAGAGAGGATGCAGTTTTGTTTTGGAAGCTCTCTCAGAACAAACAAGACACCTGGATTGATCAGTTAACTAAAAGTTTTCTCCCCTATTGGGTTTGACCCACAGGTCCTGTGAAGGAGCAGAGGGATAAAAAGAGTAGAGGACATGATACATTGTACTTTACTAGTTCAAGACAGATGAATGTGGAAAGCATAAAAACTCAATGGAACTGACTGAGATTTACCACAGGGAAGGCCCAAACTTGGGGCCAAAAGCCTACCCAAGTGATTGACCAGTGGCCCCCTAATGGGACCTGAGCTGTTGGAAGAAGAGAACTGTTCCTTGGTCTTCACCATCCTTGTGAGAGAAGGGCAGTTTCCTGCATTGGAACCTGGAGCAAGCGCTCTATCTTTCACACAAATTCCCTCACCTGAGATTGAGGTGCTCTTGTTACTGGGTGTCTGTGTGCTGTAATTCTGGTTTTGGATATGTTCTGTAAAGATTTTGACAAATGAAAATGTGTTTTTCTCTGTTAAAACTTGTCAGAGTACTAGAAGTTGTATCTCTGTAGGTGCAGGTCCATTTCTGCCCACAGGTAGGGTGTTTTTCTTTGATTAAGAGATTGACACTTCTGTTGCCTAGGACCTCCCAACTCAACCATTTCTAGGTGAAGGCAGAAAAATCCACATTAGTTACTCCTCTTCAGACATTTCAGCTGAGATAACAAATCTTTTGGAATTTTTTCACCCATAGAAAGAGTGGTAGATATTTGAATTTAGCAGGTGGAGTTTCATAGTAAAAACAGCTTTTGACTCAGCTTTGATTTATCCTCATTTGATTTGGCCAGAAAGTAGGTAATATGCATTGATTGGCTTCTGATTCCAATTCAGTATAGCAAGGTGCTAGGTTTTTTCCTTTCCCCACCTGTCTCTTAGCCTGGGGAATTAAATGAGAAGCCTTAGAATGGGTGGCCCTTGTGACCTGAAACACTTCCCACATAAGCTACTTAACAAGATTGTCATGGAGCTGCAGATTCCATTGCCCACCAAAGACTAGAACACACACATATCCATACACCAAAGGAAAGACAATTCTGAAATGCTGTTTCTCTGGTGGTTCCCTCTCTGGCTGCTGCCTCACAGTATGGGAACCTGTACTCTGCAGAGGTGACAGGCCAGATTTGCATTATCTCACAACCTTAGCCCTTGGTGCTAACTGTCCTACAGTGAAGTGCCTGGGGGGTTGTCCTATCCCATAAGCCACTTGGATGCTGACAGCAGCCACCATCAGAATGACCCACGCAAAAAAAAGAAAAAAAAAATTAAAAAGTCCCCTCACAACCCAGTGACACCTTTCTGCTTTCCTCTAGACTGGAACATTGATTAGGGAGTGCCTCAGACATGACATTCTTGTGCTGTCCTTGGAATTAATCTGGCAGCAGGAGGGAGCAGACTATGTAAACAGAGATAAAAATTAATTTTCAATATTGAAGGAAAAAAGAAATAAGAAGAGAGAGAGAAAGAAAGCATCACACAAAGATTTTCTTAAAAGAAACAATTTTGCTTGAAATCTCTTTAGATGGGGCTCATTTCTCACGGTGGCACTTGGCCTCCACTGGGCAGCAGGACCAGCTCCAAGCGCTAGTGTTCTGTTCTCTTTTTGTAATCTTGGAATCTTTTGTTGCTCTAAATACAATTAAAAATGGCAGAAACTTGTTTGTTGGACTACATGTGTGACTTTGGGTCTGTCTCTGCCTCTGCTTTCAGAAATGTCATCCATTGTGTAAAATATTGGCTTACTGGTCTGCCAGCTAAAACTTGGCCACATCCCCTGTTATGGCTGCAGGATCGAGTTATTGTTAACAAAGAGACCCAAGAAAAGCTGCTAATGTCCTCTTATCATTGTTGTTAATTTGTTAAAACATAAAGAAATCTAAAATTTCAGATGAATGTCATCAGAGTTCTTTTAATTAGCTCTTTTTATTGGCTGTTTTTATTGAAGTCAAGAGTTGGTATCATGCCCGGTTGCGTTTTATGCTATTTTGATTTTCATATATTTTTAAAAGTCTTTGCACAAGGGTTACAAATTTGCCCTGTGGTGGCCTTAGCATAAGCTGACCTGGGACCACCAAAATAACAAGGAATTTGGGCTAGAAAGCACAGATGGACACTGGTGACCCATCACAACTTCTCTTGAAAAACCCCAAACTTGTCAGCTGGGGAAAAGCCACACAAAGCCCAGCTGCCCACCTTCACATCCTTATCCTTGTAGGAGCATAAAATGGTGTCATCACTGCCCAGTTCTAACCAAGCTTCAGTTAAAGAATGGGTACCTTCACATCTTCACTATTTTTCAGGGGCCTTACCGTCCTTGACCACCCAAGTAAAATCTAAATCAGCCTTCTTTTGGGTTCTTCAGTTCAAGCAAGGCCTCTTCTTGTGGCCTCTCAGTATTAATATTTATGAGGTTGCAGATTGAATTTTTGGGCCTGAGATACAAGCCATCAATGAGGTGTGACAAAGCATGTCAATGAATAATAAGAAAATTATCTATTCTTCCATATCCTCCCCTGTAATAAGGGTTGTCAGAATGCCTTCTTTCTGGGCTGGGTTGAGGATTCAGTGAGAACATATGTGACACAGCTGGTGGGCTATTAAGCTCTGGCTTTGCTCCCTGTTAAAATGCCAGAACCCTTGAGAGGGATCCCACATTGAGCCATGTTTATCACTGACCACCTTAGAATGGATGGATTTCTCAGATTTTTCCTGAGATCAATGCTTGATGGAGAGGAGAGGAGAACAATAGATTCTTGGGATGTGTGTTATGCATGTGTTTAAGTAAGAGACAGAGAGTATGTTTATTTGCAGGTTGTGTGTGTAAAGTCAGAGCCTGCCTCCAGAGGATCTTCTCTAACCACCATTGCTTAGGTCCTGTTCGTTTGCATCTACAGCGAATGACCTTACAGCCATCTGACTTGGCTTCACTCACCACTCAGCTCCTGCCTAAACAGACGAGGTGGTTAGCATCCACCATAAGTTTTCCAAGGAGTAGCAAAGCACAAAGGACACCTATTGGGTTGAAAAGAGCCTAGAGGCATGAGTCCTGTGTGTGACTTGTTCATAGTCATGCAGCTAGTGTATAGCTAGGATTCTCCCCTGCTGATTTACTATGTGACACTAGGCAGCAATCTGCCCTTGCTGGACCTCGGTTTTCTAATCTGTAAAATGTGTGGAGTAAAACTACATGAGATGGGAAGTCCCTTCTAGTGCAGATGCCATGGTTATTGAAAACTGCAGCAACATCTTTCTTAATCGTAAGGGGAAAGAAAAAGACCATTTACTACTCCTAGAACAGTTTTGGAGCTAGAATATTCACATTTGCACTCAATAATTATTTACAAAACAACTAGTGTGGAGAGGGTCAAAACAACAGCTGAGTCCTGTGTAATAGATATTGTCAACCCCTTGATGGATGAGGAAGGGGCTCAAAGGGAAATAGTTTCCTATTGAGATTATCTCATAAATGGCAGAGATAAGTAGGAGTTAAGCCCCAGTCCATGCACTGTCTGTGCCTTCAGTGAGTTTACATTCTATTAAATGCCTTTGCCAGACCACTCTGGAACTTCAACCTATAACACCCAACCCCAGTCCTCCCACATCACTCTCTCCAAAGAGATTGGGCTAACCTCTAATTTAGAATTCCTGCCGGTAGAACTAGAAAGGATCTTAGACCTCATCTAGCCCTAACTTCTTATTCTTCACATGAGGGAGCTGTGCAAAAAATTTGAATGTTATTGTGAACTAGGGCCTGTGTCAAGGGACCAGCCCTACAACACCCAGCTCGTGGTCCCTTCATGTGCCTGCAGGCAGCATACCAAAGTAATAGGGCACCTGAGACTTTCTACCATCCCTTTGCATATGGGTTCAGAGCCCTAGTGAGAGAGCTTCCACCTCTTGTCTGGCTCCTACATATACAGACCCAGGATCTCTACACCAACTACAGCATCTACTTCACCTACCACCCACTCCTAGGGGTTTTCTTCATGCCACTCTAGGGGAGGGTGAAAGAAGGAGAAAACTGTTGGGGGAGCTGGAATAGGGACTACAGAGGCAATGAGAACAATTTAACAGACACGAGGTATGAGAACTTTCTGAATTAACAGGCAGATGCAGATGGTTCAAATCCTCATATTATCCCACCACCAATTCTTTTTCAAGCCACAACTTCCCTGCTTCCCTTAGCTTCTTCCCCACAGGCTTCAAGCAAGGAGAAGGTCATTAGGGGAACCTCGTATGGCTGTCAACCACAAGGCTTCATGCCAAACAAGGTGGTTTACTCCAAACTCTATGCAAATAGCCCTCCCCACACCCCCATTAGAGTACTTTGGATCTCAGACCAGAAAACAGCCCAGCAGAGCAAGCAGATGCTGTGTGAGGCACAACACTCACTACCTGAGCAGCAACACTTGTTTCCAAAGGAAGCAGGCCTTTTTGATGTGTGTGCACAGTGCCACGGGTGGCTAATGTCTGTGTTGGACTATATTGTGGGACAATTCCACTGCCTCAAAAGACTGCAAGAATCCCTCACAGGGACATAGTATTCAGTGTTCTCCTCATTTATTTGTTCTTTCCTTTATTCAACAGCTATTTATTTGACACAGACTATTGTAATATAATGTAATGGATGTTATGTTGAGGGAAGTTGGGGATTTTGCTGGGGTACAGAGGAAGGAGGCCTAGCCCAGTCTAGTAGAAAGGTCAAGGAAGGGTTCTTAGAGAAGTCTAGGCTGTGAAACAAGTTGCATGAAGATGGGGCTGGGTGTGGAGAAAGGGGCATTCTAACTCAGGCAAGAGACAGTAGCCTAGTAAGGGAAACTGTGATCAGTTTAGCCTGAGGGAAGGGTTTGAAGAAGAGTATGGTTTTGAGAGATGAAGATAAAGAAGGAAGCACAAGCAAAGCCAGCAATGGCCTATATGTCACACTAAAGAGTGACATATAGGCCTTTATCCCAAAGATGAAGGGGAGCCATAGAAGCCTTTGCCACCATTTCAATTCCTAAAGCACTGTCAGACACATAATCTCATCTAAACCTCATAACATCATGAAGAGGCAGGGGGGTCAGGGATCAGGCCCATTTTGCAGAAAGGAAAACTGGTCCATCAAGATGAAGTGATTTGTCCAATGGCTGCTCCCAAATAACTGATAGCCCTAAGTCTAAAGTGGAAGCCCCAATTCTCCTGATTTTCAGTCTCAGTCTATTCACATTACACCAATCTATCAAAGGACCTGGCAATGCAATTCTTGGAATGTGTTTACATGACTCTAGTGAGAACAGGCATTGCCTACTATCCCATGTGCAACTGGCATGGCTTTCCTGAGGTGACATTCAATGGCACAGGGTTCCCAAAATGGCAGACAGGTGACCCCAGAGAAAAGCAGTAGCATCATCTTAAGGGGTAGTGCAGTCTGTGGAAAGCCAGCCAAATTGCTGCTAAATGGGTATTGGGCCTCATTCATTCATCCAAACAGGAAGTAAGAAAAAAAATGATGAAAGACGAGACAACTTTTCACCTTCCTAGAGGAAGTAACATTTGCCCCCAGCCTTGAACAATGAGATGAAATTTCATAACAGGAAAAGGTAGCTGGGCAGGCAACCAAAGAAGGAACAGATGGACAAATTCACAAGAAGCAGAAAAGAGTATGCCTTCTGTTTGGGAACTAGTGGGGAGTAAGAGTTGGAGATGAGTCTGGTCTACGACCCATTGTGAAAGGCCTCAAGTCCCCTGTTAAGAGGTAGGTTTTCTTCTGTAGGCTAGTTATTCTCAGTTGCCACATGTGAAAGATAATGGCCACTTGTGGCATACTCTCAAGGGAGCCACTAGGGCTGTATTCAACTCCTGAAACACTTAGTTCCTTTTTCTCACACTTAAGAAAGCAGATATGAGTGCAAGCAAGACTGACAGTATTGAAAGGAAAAATCTGAAACTCTTACAGTATGTTTAAATTATCCTCCAACTTCAATGTTTAAAATATTATCAACAAATTATTTGCCACACCTCACATCTGATTACAGAACACTAGTTGAGATAACTAAGGATTTTTGAGCAAAACTGTAACATAATGAGTTTCAGTAGATGGAAACTATGCTAAAATTTATTGTGTGAGAATATGATAGAAGATGAATAGAGACTGATTCCAAAGCAAATTAACAACAACAACAATAATAAAATTTACTGAGTACTTACTATGTGCCAGAAAATGCTAATGCAAAGTTCTTTACACCATATATGTTCTATAATCCTCACATCAATCCTATGAGTTGAGAAGTTACCTTCATTATATAAATAAGGAAACTGAGGCTCTGACTCAACATTATTGCTGATCCAGACCGAAGGTTACTTTTAAGTAATAAAGCCTAAACTTAAACAAGTATATTTGTAACCAAATCTTGAAATTTTGATCATTACATTACATTTTATTTCTTGAAAGTCTGGTTTATTTTCTCAAAATCTTTCCAAAGAGCCCAAAGAACTCAAAAGCAGGCAGCATTATAAACAGGAATAAAGAAGCTATGTCAATGGAATTGTCTTTATAACCACCCACTCTGAGAATGACAGTTATGCCTGGTCTATAAGAGCTCAGGATTTCCACAGAGCAGCTGCCTCTTCCCCAAACTTCAAGTGGGTTTTATTGGGAGAATGAATGCCCTACCATCTCCCAAGTGTCTTACTGAGGCTTTTGCTCCCCCTTCCTGTCTCTGGTTACAGGTACCTGTGGTGCAGGAGTTCACTGGGCATCCAAAGAACCTATGAGCATATTTGTCTATAAAGGCAGGCAGAGAGTAAGAACATTGAACCAGGAATCAGTATTTCAGCTGCTGCCACTAACCAGCTTAACTTAAGTAGGTCCTTTCCCCTTTCTGGGCCTCAGTCTCCCCATCTGTAGAGCAAGAGATAAAGGACTCATTTTTTTCTTCCAGCTATAATATGCTTTCTTAGACTCTGAAATTGTTGGCTAAAACGAGAATTTTGTCAATCTGGGAATCTCTCACTTTGTCTCACCCCAATGCCTATAATCTTATCCCCACATTTTAGAATTCTTTATCCCAGAAAAGACCAATGACAGTGTTTTCCATACTTGCAAATATCCAGCCATCAGCCTTCTGACTACACACCCAATAACGTATTGTTTGTTGTTCCACAGCAGTCTCCACCTTATAGTACACCATTCTGCCTGCTATTCAGACACACCTGTCAATCTTAGTGGGAATATGTTTCTACAAATGCCCCTTTGGCTGTTCTGTATACATATTTTGATATGGGCCAAAGACTCTGCCAGACATATCTCCCATTCAGAATAAATGTGGGCAACTGTGACTGCTTGAGGAGTTTCTGAGGTGAAGGTGATACGTTCTTACTGGAACCAGAATATAGGCAATGCCCTTGGATAAGCATTAGTGGGCAAGAGACCAGACCAGAGGCTTCCCTTTGGAAATAGGACAATACATCTTATCAGCCCTTTTTTCACGTGGTTCTCTCCATATGAAATGCCCTCCCCCATTTCTGCCTGACAAAATTTTTCCTCCCCATTAAGGCTCAGATTAAAAACTAGCTCGAAGATGTTTTCTCTGATTTCTCCAATGGGAAATGAGCTCTCTATCCTTCGAACTTGGAATCTCCATTCTCTTAGCCCAAACCACTAGCTTGGCTTGCAGTTAGTATAATAGCAACCCACTGCTATATAAATAATGCTTTATACCTTATAGCACTATGTCGTTGAAGACACACTGGAATCCTAAAGGAAAGCAGAGCAGAAATTAATGTCTCATCTAAATATGTGACAGAAAAGAAGCATTGTTATTTTAGAAGTTGGCTAGAGACTTCTATTTCTAGCAGTATGTCTTACTGGATACTGTGAATGACCCACCCAATAAAAACTATTAAAATGCTAAGTGAAATATAAAAATAATCTTTTAAAATTCATTGCAGTGCTAGTGTGATAGTAAGGAATCCACAGAGGCTAAAAGAGAAATGAAAGCAGGAACCCTGGAGGTAAATTAGTGTCAAAGCCAGATTTTGCCCTTAGAATCTTACCAGACCCTGGGAGATTCTGAGTTTCTACTTTGATGGCTGTAAAATATTAGGGAAACAGGAGGTAAAGACTGTGCCAGCCCAAGATGCAGAGACTTACTTATAGGAGACTTCCACATAAAGCTGGTACCCTAAAGGACCATAATCTCAGTGTAAGAGCAGATAATTAAATCCATCTCACAGAAGAGAATAGCAATGAAACCTGCTTTGCTTGACTTTGACCCTAGGTGAAGTGGCGAGATAAACCTCTCATGAGAATTTGTAACCACAGGTGGTCCTCATATAATTTTGTAGTCCTAATTCAAGATACTTATGAGGTCTGAAAAATCAAAAGCTGAGATCCCAGATCAGCAATTCTCATGGGTGATTAGCAAAGGCAAATCCTCTATGGAGAATGCAACTTTCATCCAGCCTCAAAAATGTCTACAGATAAAAGTCCAAAGAAAATGAGCATCTCACAGTCAAAAGTTACAAAATGCACAAACAAACATAACACTCTGAGTAAAAGCACACAGAAACAAGAAACATCAGAATCAGACCCACAGACTTCAGAATGTAGGACCATCACACATAGAATATAAAGTTAATTTTATTGAAAGTGGTTAAAGAGATTTTTTTTAATGATATAAATATGAGAAAGGAACAGGAGACTATAAAGGACAACCAATTGTATTTGAAAAAGGACAAAATAGAATGTCCAGAACTAAAAAGTAGAAAAGGGGACTCAAACATACATTGACAGATTAAAGAACAGAATATATACAACTCAAGAGAGAATTAGGGAAGTGGAAGATAGATGCAAATAAAATATTCATAGCACTTTCTGTAGCACTGAAAGGCAATGAAATGAAAAATAAAAGAGGTTAAGAGGCATAAAGGAAGAGAAGGTAGATCTAATTTACATCTAACCAGAGTACCAGAGCAGTTATAGAGTAGAAAAGAGGTGATATTCAAAGATTTAATGTCTGAGAATTTTTCAGCATTGTTACAAGACACTCATCTTTAAAGTCTAGAATTCTGAAAAATCCCAAGCTAGGCAATTTTTAAAAAAATCCACACTAGACAACATCATAGTGTTTTTACAGAACACTAAAGAAAAATATAATATTAGAAAAGCAGCCAGTGAGAAGAGGGAAATGAGAACAAAACAGATCAGGTACAAAAAAAATAGCCATTAGATTTAAGTTTAACTTACCTATAATAATAATGGCTGCCGAAGACAGTGGAAAATACCTGTAATGTACTAAGATAATTGTGTACCTAGCAGAATTATCTTTAAAGAAAGTTAAAATAAGAAAAATTTTAACCAGATCCATGCTAAAGAAACATCTAAGTTATGTACTTCAGATGAAAAGAGAATAATTCTGGATGGGAAGTTTGAGATGCAAGAGGTAAGAGCAAGCAAAGACATTGGCAAACATGGGGGTAAATCTCAATATACATTAACTATTAAAAACAACAGTGATGTCTAATTTGTGGGAAAATAGCAAGATAAATAATTGAACAACAATTTATACAATGGTAAGGAGTCATTAGAGTTAAAAAATTCTAAGATCTTTAAGTTGTTGAGGATGAAGATAAAGATACTCATTAACTTTAGACTTCACTAAGTATCTACATTAAAATTACTAAGATAACCAGAAAGTTTGAAAGCCAAAAAAATGGAAAAATTTTTACTAGGCAATGCTAACCAAAGAAAGCTTATGCATTTATATCAATAGCAGACAAACTTTATGACAAAACATTACTATAAATAGAGAATAATTTCATAATGTTGAAAGTCCAGTTTCTCAGGAAGTTAACACCATTTTAAATATGTTAACTCTCATAACAAAGCCTCAAAATATATAAAGCAAAGTGTGACATTACATTAAAAAGTTAACAAACTCAATATTATAGTGAAAGATTTTTAACATATTTCATTTGGGAATTGATAGATTAAAGGAAACAAAATATCAGTAAGGATATAGAAGATTTATACAGCAAAATTAAGCAAGCTTAATTTTTTGGTCATATGTAGAGTTTTATACCCAACACAGGAGAGTGCATATTCTTCTCAAACACATGTAGAATATTTATGAAAATAGTCCATGTCCTAGACCAGGAGTTGGCCCTTGGGTGAAATACATCTTGCTGCTTGTTTTTCACTTTATTTTTTTAAACAGCTGTATTTAGATATAATTCACATACGATACGTTTCACTCATTTAGAGTTTATAGTTCAGTGGCTTTTAGTATATTCACTTATTTGTGCATCCACTGCCAAAATTAGCTATAGAACACTTTCATTACCTCAAAAGGAAACCCCACACCTCTTAACTGTCACTCTCCAATCCCTCCATATCCCACCCCTATCCCCCAGCCCTAGATGGTGACTAGTTTACTTTCTGTCTCCACAGATTTGCCTATTCTGGACATTTCGTATAAATAGAATCATACAGCCTGTTATTCTTGGTGACTTGCTTCTTTCACTTAGCCTAACATTTTCAAAGTTCATCCATGTTGTAGCACATATTGGTATGTCATTTCCTTTCATTGCCAATTGATATCCATTGTATACATACATAACTTTGTTTTTATCCACTCATCATTTGGTGGACATTTGGGTTGTTTCTTCTTTTTGGCTATGATGAATAATGCTACTATGAGCAGTTGTGTACAAGATTTTGTGTTGACATCTGTTTTCTTTTCTTTTTTTTTTGGATATATACCTAGGAATGGAATTGTTGGGTCATATGTGGTAACTCTTAAATTAACATTTTGAGGAACTGCTAGTCTGTTTTGACAGAGCCTGAAACAGTTTATTTTCCCACCAAGTATGTGAGGGTTCCAATTTCTCCACATCCTCAACAACATTTGTTACTATCTGTCTTCTGGTCATCACCATTTCAGTGGGTGTGAAGTGGTATTCCACTGTGGTTTTTATTTGTATTTCCTTGATGGCTAATATTGTGGAGCATATTTTCATGTGCCTATTGGCACTTTGTATATCTTCTTTGGAGAAATTCCCATTCAGATAATTCGCCCATTTCCAAAATGGGTTATTTATCTTTTTTATTATCAAGTTTAGCATCTTTTTGTATTCAAGAAAGAAGACCATTATGTGATTTGAAAAAAATTTCCTCCATTCTGTAGGATATCTTTTCACTTTCTTCATGATGTCCTTTGAAGTACAAAGTTTTTCATTTTGATAATGTTCACTTTGTTATTATTTTTTGCTGCTTTTGCCTTTGGAGTCATAGCTAAGAAACCATTGCTAATCTAAGGTCACAGAAATTGACACCTATGTTTTCTTGTAAGAATTTTTCACTTTTAGCTGTTTACATTTAGTTTTTGACCCATTTTGAATTAATTTTTATATATTGTGTAAAATAGAGGTCCAACTTTATTCTTTTGCACGTGGATATCAAGTTGTCTCAGCATTATGTGTTGAAAGATTATTCTATCTCCCACTGAATTTTCTTAGCAAACATGTCAAAAACCAATTGACACTCAGTGTAAGAATTTAGTTTTAGACTCAATTATATTCCATTCTTCTTTACGTCTATCACTACTCCAGTCCCACATTCTCTTGATTGCTGTAGCTTTGTGGTAAGTTTTGGAATTGGAAATTGTGAGTCCTCCATCGTTGTTCTTTTTTCAATGTTGTTTTGGCTATTTTGGATCCCTTGTAATTCCATATGAATTTCAGAATAAGCCTATCAATTTCAAGAAAAATGACAGCTTGGATTTTGAGATTGCCCTAAATATGTAGCTCAATGTAGGAGGTATTGCCATCTTAACAACATTAACAATCCATGAACACATAATGTCTTTGCATTTATTTAGGTCTTCTTTAGCTTCTTTCAACAATATTTTGTAGTTTTCAGTGTACACTTCTTGCACCTCCTTGGTTAAATTTATTCCTAAGTATTTTATTATTTTTGATACTATTCTAAATAGAATCACAGTTTGGATTTTGTCATTTGCCTCCTCACAGCATAGTTTAACAAGCTTCTCTGACCTTTGTAGGTCAGAGAAATTGCAAATTGGTAGGTGGAATTTGTGGTTTCATCAAATTCAGCTTTTTTTTTTTTGGTAAAACGATTTCTATTTCATAGGTGTACCTATCTTAATGCACAAAATATTTGTCTCTGCTGTGGCAAAAGCCATTGATGATCATTGCCTAGATTCACTAATTAAATAGGGAATGTAAAATAATGACACACTAATTCCATCACTCTTCATTAACTAGATGGAATAATTTTTGAGGAAAATAAATTTTGAGGAAAATTTTCTTGATGTACTATTGAATTACTCAATGGGGCAGTCTATATAGGAAATTACTCTATTTTAATATTTAGGTATTAAATGAAATGATTACTTCCCACAGGCTGAAGGAATTAGAGGACATTCAGGTGGAAGACACTTGGATTATCAACAGGAGAAAATTTATACTTGTTCAAAGCCACACTAAAACCACTATATGGCTTAAATCTGAAACTGAAATCCAAGTCTTCAACTTCTAAATTTCATACTCTTCTAATTCACTATGTTCATATACAAGGGCTTATCTCACCAAGTTTCCCAACTCTGTATCCTCCACAATATACAGTTTAGTACTCAGATCAAAGTAGGATAACATATTTTCACCAATGTGTGTATTTATTCGATAGATATTTATTGAGTGCCTACTTCAAGATAAGGAGTGAAAGTATCCATTGGCTCTAGCAATCCAGATATCTTTGCTAATGACTGTAAGACAATTCCACTGGAAAGTTTGAATACCTACAGTATGTTAAACACTATGTTTGGTGCCTTCAAATATTTTTTTCATTACATTTAATAGATAATCAATGTGTATGATTGATTCATGTCCTTTGATTAAAATATGTAGAATCTGGCCAGGCGCAGTGGCTCAAGCCTGTAATCCCAACACTTTGGGAAGCCAAGGCGGGTGGATCACCTGAGGTCAGGAGTTTGAGACCAGCCTGGCCAACATGGTGAAAGCCCATCTCTACTAAAAATACAAAAAATAGTCAGGCGTGGTGGCAAGCACCTGTAATCCCAGCTACTCGGGAGGCTGAGGCAGGAGAATCGCTTGAACCGGGGAGGCAGAGGTTGCAATGTGCCGAGATCACACCACTGCACTCCAGCCTGGGCAACAAGAGCAAAACTCCATCTCAATAAAAAAAAAATGTAGAATTTGTTATTATTAGTAATGAATGTTATATTTTGAATTAAAATTAAACAAATACATAAAGTAATGAAGTCAGTGTCTCTTATACAACTCCTCAACTTAGAGGTTATTTTGAAAATTAAAATGGTACCACCTTTGCCTGTATGCTATTTCATTAGATATGAGAGACCTATAGCCAAAGTGAGACCATTCATTTACTCATTCATACATCACAGAAATCTTCAACAAGATCAGCTGTGTCTCAAGCTTTGTGATGGCTACTGAGGAGGCAGAAGATATGAGATATGGCTTGGAGAAGTTCATAGTTCTAGTAAACAGATAACATCAGTACAATGTAGTCAAGGATGCAACCAAGAAAAACACAAAGTTTATGAAGAAGAAATTGGAGGGAGAAAATCACCAAGGTGAGAAGAGGAGGATCCAAATGTTGTATCACACCTGCACACTGGGCCTTTCTGATTTGGAGTCCACAGACAGTTTAGTCAAGAAGATAGAATGTGCAATAGGTCAAAAGGAAAGAAAGGTCTAGAGCCTATATGCTCCCCAGGTATTGCACAGGGGAATTATCTATACTGCTAAAGAAAAGTCTAGCTGCCTATCACTGAGCAAGAGCTGCCTAATGACTTCTCTACCTCCAGGACCTGCTCACCTTGATTCTCTTGCACATGATCTGTTAATGTGTCAGGTTATGGCTGCGAAAATGAACAAGACTCTGACATTTTTTAGGATGTCAGTAGGAGGCAAACTGCAAATGCCAGTGTCTGTTTTCTTCCTCATGGTTAGACTAGCACTAAGGGAGGGAGGGCTAGAAGATTTGGGGGAGAAATTTTCCTCCTATCCCATTATACCAGCAGACAGATAGGAACCTACAATTTACCTTCTGTCAAAATCCCCTTTATGACTCACTTTCCAGCCCACTCTTCTTCCAGTCTCAGAGCAGGATGTAGCCCAATGGCAACTGGATTGGGTTGATTCCAATATCTCGTTCATTTTTTTCTCCTTCATTCTGTCTCACTTTTCTTTCATTCTGTCTCTGCCTCTCTCTCTCCTTTCCTATCTCTTTCCTCTTCTCTCTCACTTGCTCTGTCTTCTCTTCCTCTCATATTTCTTTCTTCTTCTTTCATTCCTTCTATTCATATTTTCTTTATCTCTCTACTGCTTCCCTTCTCTTAGTGTTCTTGTTCTTTCTCATTTCTACTGCCCTATCCCTCTCTCCCAGCTTAGTCTCTTTCATTCTCCCTCCAATAACAATCTTCCTCTCCTCTCTTCTAATCTTCTGCTCTCAGATTTCACAAGTTCTGTTTTTTTAATGCTCTGCCCAATACCCACTAGGTGCCTGTACAAAACCACCCAAGGAATGCAATTAACTTTGAATTGTACTAGGGCCAATCTTTACCTCAAATAGATCCCAAACTTTGCCTCAAGTATTCCAATTTGACAGATATTTATAGAATAATCTCTAGGTACCAGACATTATGCTTGATTTTATTATTCATAATTTCGTAGACTCTTCACAACAACCTTGCAAAGAAAGAAAGGGCTATGATTCCCATTTTACAAACAAAGAAACTGAACTGAGCGGTGAGGATCAGAGATAAAAGGGGGCATGAGTAAAATCACATACTAAGAAGATGCAGAATTAAGTTTTGTGTCTGGCTCCAAAGCCTATTAAATTCTTAATTTATCTGCCTGGGAATGATTAATACCTACACCAGGAACTGAGACAGACAGCAGAGGTGAAAGATATGCGTGAGGAGGAAATGGAACAAGAGGAATGGCCAGGTGATATAAGCCCCAACTTCCCCTCTGCACAATTTTCCAATCCAAATTTGCCACACTATTGACTTCCTTCTCAGCCTGGTAAAGTGGCCCAGTTCCTAAGTAAGTCTTGACTACAACAGAAATAATCTTGAATTTTTAGCCCCTTCAGCCAATGCAGCCTTGAAAGAAAGTGTACTCCTCAGATGTGGGGTCTAACAGTGGTTTACTATGCTGTGCATCCCACTTCCCCCAAGTCTCCTTTGCTGATGATTGAATCTGATACCCAGTGGGCAATGAGTAAGACATGGGCATCAGTGTACCCTCAAGTTTCACTGTTCTGTCCCCTCAACTCATGTTTGTCTAGTGACTTGTTCTGCCCTGCCTAGGCTGCTTGCATCTACTGGGTCCTATCATTGCAGTCAAAATAGTCTTCCCCTGGATATTTGGTTCCCACCAGGCCCAAGTCACCAAGATCTTCAGGACCCTGGGAGTCCTATAAATGAATAATGAAAAAAACAGAGTTTAACTCAAAGAAATGCCTGAGTTTTGCATCCTCCCCCATAACATTATCTTGCTTCTACAGCTACAATCCAGACTGGAATTAATTAGGTAGTACACATTTCTCAGGTACAGCATAACCTTTCCATGGGGAACTCTGACTGACAGTTTCTAATTTATAAGCTTTATTCTGGTGCATAGACAAACACTGCCATGCTCAGACTGTATCTTTTGAAGGTTATAGCATTTAGACCCCAAAGCTCTTAATTTTATTGGAAATGGGAGAAAAAATGTCATACAAATATTTCATTTTGAAGCATAATGATCCCAACACACACCTCTTACTGCAATAATTACCACCCACTCAGTTTCACCATAGTCTGAAAATCAGCCACAGGAGGGCCCAGCTCCCTGCCTTGTCTGTTTTTGGGGTCCCCAGGCAGCAGAAGTGTGCTTTTTCTTCACCCTGATGGTTTATAGACTATCATCTTTATATAACATATGAACTGGAGCCAGAGAGGGGATTTTGGCTTCAAGTTTAGTATTTTAGTGTGTTCAGTGTAAATACAGAAGCGTCCTTCCAAATATAATGGTGCCATTGAGACATATTCCTAGCCCAGAGTTCCCTAGTGGGCAGGCTGGCAGAAGTACCTGATCATCCAAGCCTAGATTGAGTAAATGTTGCCTGGAAGGAAAAGAAGGAAGAGAAACCAAAAACCAGAGAAGCTTACAGAATTTGGTACCAAGAGAGCTGAGGGGAGAGAAATGGAAATCCCAAGAGAACCACTGGGCAGTGCTTCAACAAGAAAGGCTGAAGAGTAATCTCAGGGGAAAGAACTATGTTGATTAAAGCAAGGGTGAGATGAGAAAGAAATGGGAAATTGTGTAAGGAAGGTGTCTGGGAAGAGAAACACTTGTGTATGGGGACGAGAGAGGATACTATCCAACTCAGAGGTGAGAGAGTTACCTGAGGGCCAGTTGTAGCCAGGACCCTAGTGGTGGCAGCCAAACCTACTAGAAGGAAACATGTTTCTTTGAGGATAAAAGAAGAAAAGGAAGCCCAAATGGAAAACGGTCTAGAGATAGGGGGAATGAGAAAGCAGACTTGCCTGGGTCATGAATAACACCCGGAGGTTTGGCTTGGACTCTCTATTGGAGCATTTACCTGTGGTTCACTGCAAGAGGAGAATTTGTCTTTCTCAGTGCAAGAGGCTCTGGCTTTGTCTACCAAAACCTTGTCCAAAGAGGAGGTTACGAATAAGGACTTAGGGATCCAGGTGTTGAAGAGAAAAGGGTTGGTGAGGCCTTGGCCTTTTCCACATTGTAATTCCATATGGAGCCTTTTTTTCAGGGACTCCCCCAGAAATCTTCATACCTGAGCTCTAGTCCTGGTTCTATCACCAGGTGGTCATAGGTGAGTCACTTCATGTCTATAATTCTTAGTTTCCCCTTCTGTAAATTTAAAATAATAATCTTAATCTCACAGGTCGTTGTTGAAGTGTTGAAGTGTCTCAATAAGTCTTAAGCGAATTTAATGCAGCTGTGACTCTGTCCTGCTATCCGCAAGAGGGCAGATACAGGAAATCCCAAGGTTGTAACACCACTTGCCTTTTGCTCTTGGATGGGCTGGGCCTTGGGCAGGAGTGGAGCAGGAGTCTGGTGACACCTGCAAGATTGAAGATAGGATGGATATCAGGGTAGGGACAAATTGCCAGAATTAAGGTTATTCTCAGAGGATTGAGAGGAAATGGCAGCTACAAGAATGCCCAGTGCAGCTGGAAAGTCACCTCTCACCAGCTCCTCATCTTCATTACTACACTGAAAGAGAAAGTGTCCTTGACCTCAGTTAGTGGAAGCTGTTTCTCTCAAAGTCATCTGGATTTTCTGACACGTGGTTTAAGTCCCTCCACTCTCCCTTTCTCCCTCCTTTCCTCTTCCCTGCCTCTACTTTCACCAGAATAGCTATGAGAACTATCCTCTTTGGGGCTCTGCCCACCTCCAGATTTCCATTCTCGGTGTGAATATTTATGGCTATGTTTCAGAGAATACATAGCCCCAAATCTCTCCACTTGTCCTTTCAGCCTTATACAGCCTTTAGTAAATGTGTGTGGGGGCGGTGGGGGTGGTAGGCACCAGAATTTGTTGAGTGCTAAGTATATGCTGGACACATTGTCAAACACATTGCATTCGTTTTCTCATTTAATCAGAACAAAGGTTGTATGATCACTTTACAAATGAGAAAACTAAGGCTAGGGGGAAGGTCATAAACTTATGCAAGGTTACATAATGAAAAAGCAGCAAAGTCAAGACTATGGTTTTCCAACTCCAAATCCAATGCCCTTGCCACTAGGCATCCCTCTGTGAAAGCCTGGCCTTCTGCCTTCACCTCAATCATGTTTATGTGGCAAAGGATCCCCTTCTGGTTTTACATACATGTGGACCATCATACATAGTGGAGACAAGAAGCCATTTACAGGTGACCTCCACTCGCACTCACACTGGGCATTCTTTCAGTTGTCACTCCTCACCTCCAGATAATCAGCAGGCAGATACTGATGACTCTGTTCATCATTAACACCTTACAGGTCCTCAGAGCCTCCCAGAATTTGCCTAAATAAGGTGCCTTCCATGGCCTGGACCAGATGTCAGGGACCTGACCCTCTTTTCCTTATTCCTATCCTGATGCCATTACCCCCTGGTAGGTTTAGCTCTCACCATTATTCTTATCACAGAGTCCCTTGGTGGGCAGACTGGCAGAGGAACCCTGATCTTTCTAGTCTGGATGGAGTAAATGCTGCCTGGAAGGAAAGCAACCTCAGTTTTGCATCCATGAATCTCACAAGTGGAGCCTTAATGTCCACCTCTGTGCCCTTCATTGTCTTTTTCTGTACAAAGCTAATCAAGGTTTCAAATCAGATAGGCCACCTAAGTTAGCTAATTTCTGCCATTTGGCAGTGATCTGCCACAAACTTGTACCTTGGAAGGATAGTGAACCATCCAGGCCCAAGAGCTCAGCCACAGCTGCTCTGGGAACCCACAGAGTGTGCCTGGCCCATTCTCTAGCCCTGCAGTTTTATTAGCTTCATTTTTTATGTGCGTTTTAACTCTCTGAATGCAGCCAAAACCAACATCAAATAACATCAAGGAACATAAGGTCATGACTTCCCCCCCACAGCGCTCAGCCCCCCCAAATCATTTAGAGGCAGTGTGAACAGAATACACCACAATTTTTCCCCTGCCTGTCTTTTCAGAGGGCGGCAAAGACTGTTTCTGCTCTGTGAGCTATTCTCAGACATTGCTGCATCAGAACTCACTGTGAGAGATGTTTCAGGTCACCATAACCCAAAGAGCAAAAGGAGGGGAAAAAAGGAGGGGTAGGGGAGAAAGAAAATACAGCCAGTAATCGATCTTCAGATCTCTGCCTCCCTGAGGCCATGAGTACTGGGCCCAGTGGTCCTGGCCAGTGCCTTCTGGGAGGGACAGTTGGAGGAACCAACCCCCTGCTTTTCTGCCTCATTGTCTCCCTCCTCTCTTCTTCCTCCTTTCCTTCCTTATCTCCATCCAGGGCCAGCTAGGAACAAGCATTCCAACAGGTTCCCCACATGGGCTACTAATCCCAGCCACCCCAAAGGATTCACCAGTACCTTCCCTTGAGTGTTTGGGTAGGGAAGTCAAGAGCCCCAGACAGGCCTGGGAAGTTTCTCAGCACTGAATACTCAGCACTGGGCCTGAAACCAGATGTGGGAGCCAAGCCGCCCAAGCTGAAGGAGTTCTCCATTCTAGAGAAATTTAGAAAATCAGTTCAGATTACAGTTTTCCTGACCCATACTGCTGGGAGGTAGAGAAAGAACTCTAGGATTGGCTGGATAGAGCTTTAGCTTTTCAGTCAGGAGCCAAGGGTTCTAGGCCTGACTGTGAGTCCTTAAGAAGTCATTTACCTCTCTTTGTCTCAGAATCCCCCAGAAACATAGCAACCACTCCTTCAAATGGATTTTCTCAAAGTGGAACTTTTTTACTTTTTAAAAACAGATAATATGTTTACATTTTGGATGGTAAGTCTTTAATGAAGAGATCTTAGTGGTAGCAGTATGAAAGGAACACCATGTGACAAAGAGAAGATAATTCTTAAACTTTTATTACTTGCTTGCCCTCCCTTAGGAAACAAGGGCTCAGGCCCTTCTACTATTCCCACACTCTTTTTCAACCTTTCTCCCTCTGTTAGAATCTGGTCAGCTCTCTAATGTCTACATCTGTAATGTGGCCAGCGGGTCTCTAGATACCCTACCACTCTAACATCCTATTATTATCTAGCCTCTGAGTTTTCTTCCCCACCCTTCTTGATGAAAACATTTGAGAGTTTAATAATTTTTCCTTAGTGGATAGTTTTGACTCTCTCTATATATAGAACTTATCTCTACCTCTACTTACTACCTACTTATCTACCTATATCTCTCTACTTATCTACCTATATCTACCTCTACTTATCTACCTATATCTGTCTACTTATCTACCTACCTATCTACCTACTTACCTCCCTATGTTAAGTATAGCATTTAGAGCATTAGAGTTTCTTGTGCCAGTGAAAACCAAGGTCAATGGTAATTCCTCTTATAAATGTAATCTATTTTTCTGTGGACCTTTTTCTTATCAAGTGAGCTCAAAATATTAATTAATGAGTTTATTTTGTCCATTGGTAACAAGAACAGGTAAATAACATCTCTCTCCTTCAAATGGGGAGCTATCACTAAAATGGAGTAGATAAAGCTATTTTATTATGGCCTATAAAAAAATCCTACACCCAAATTAGAAACTACGATAGATACTTGGGGTTCCAGTCAAAGACAGTTTTTCTTCTGCAGACAGGTAAAGTTAAAAAATGCTTCCCCAACACTTCCCCCTAACAACTGTCCATCTCTCAGTCAGTGAAGGGTTAGAGACAAGGAAAGAAAAACTGGAAGAAAGCTCTGGGCAGTCTTATGACCTCTATTCCAGAACAGGGAGATGGGTGAAAGCGGAAACATTTAGGTCACCTTCCTCATCCATTTCTCTTGGTTTATCGGGTTATATCAGAAGTTCTTAAGCTTTCTTGGTTGCCAATGTCCTTAGCATCTCATTAATTCACAGTGCCGCTAGGCCAAAATAAATATCTAACAGTTTCATTTATTCAGAAGTTAAGTTCACAAAACTTAATAAGTATTTATACCCTTAATAGCTTAATAGCCACTTAAAATCATAATACACATAAATTAAAAGAAAAATATTAATATGCATATTAATGGAGAAAAATATTTTTATTTTACCTTAAATAGATACCTTTCAGGCAGTGCACAGCTTCTCAGATCTTGAAATCAGATTGGACACCACCACCTGCATTTCCTGCTTCATGTGGATTTTCACACAGCACTTGATTTTTGTCACAGCAGCCATCAAAAGGAATGTAGTACAATCTAATGTTGAAATTGTGAACTGACACAAGCTAGTAGCTTGTGGAATGTCTGACAGATGTCTAGTGTCATTGTGTTCCCCTCAGAAATGTAAAATATCCCACGAAGGCCCTGTGAGTTCACAGTTGTGCCCCGGGAAACCTCAGCTCATAATCTGGGAAACCTAGGGTTAGATCAACAAATTCCTGGCCATTCTTAGACATAACTTCCTTCCTTCTCCCTTCACTGGTGGAAATGTATTTTCTTAGTTCTATTTCCCCAGAATACCCTTTGCTGTAATAGCAATCTGAAATAAAATAAAAAGTATGTCTACATCCTCCATAAAATTGCCATTGAAAGTATGTTGTACTCTTTCCCCTTACAAGACATGTTTCTTATTGTAGTTAGAGAGATCTTTTTAAAAATGCACATCAGACACACCCATCAGATTGGAAAACATTTGGAAGACTGGCAATAGCAAGTGGTAATGAAGATGTAGAATAATGGGAGCTCTCATATATTGTTGATGGCAGTGTAAATTGGAAAGCCACTTAGTAAAAATATCTGACATTATCTACTAAAGTTAAACATATTTGTACTCTATGATCTAGATATTCTACAACAACTGTTATGACTTGAAAACTAACATACTTATGCATCATAATACATATATCAGAATGCTCATGATAGCACTGTTTATAATAGCACCAATTTTGAAGCAACTTAAATGCTTATGTAGAGTAGAATGAATATGTAGATTGTAGTGTATTTGTACAATGGAATATTATATGGCAATGGAAACAAAGGAACTATAGTTACATGCAAGCAACAACATGTATTGATCTTACAAGCATAATGTTGAGCAAAAGAAATAAAATAACATATACTATATGATTCCGTTAATATAAGGTTTGTAAAAAGGAAAAATCTAGCTATAATTTTGTAGATGTATATGCAGGTATAAAACTATATTTAAAAAGACATACTTTTAGAACTTCCAGATAGCTGCAGACATGGATATTTCTAAAGGGTGACGCACCCAGGGAGGGCATGCAGCTCCACACCCCTTCCCTCATACCTCACCATATGCATCCCTTTGTCTGTGTCATTTATAATATTGTTATAATAAACTGGTAAACATTTAAAGAAGACATATTTCTGGTTCTGCCAAGATGATATAGCCCCCATGGGACTGGGGCTGAACCTCCACAATCACCTGACAGCAATAAATCTGTATGAGGCAATGCAAAGCAGAGCTAGTTGGCACTTATTCCCTCTCCTCTCACCTCCTCCTATGTCAGCAGGGTCTAGTGGAAGCTGAGCTTTCACCCCCATCTCACAGCAACAGAGCAATTTGAATCAGCTCTCTTTGGGGGTGGGGAGGCAGTGGAACCAGTGAGGAGTTGATTTTACACGTCCACTTGGAGGCAACAAGAGGGTACCCTGCTTTCACTGGGAAGGCGTCAGAGGAGTGAGGAGTGGAGGGAGTGGCTAAATTTCTACCTTTTCCATATGCAGTGAAGCAGTACAAGTTAGTGCACCGCTTTGACAGAGGTGGCATCAGCAGGGCCCAGTGACAATTTGAACAAACATACCCACCTGATCCTTGCATGACATCTCAATAGGGGAGAGTGTCTTCTTTAAAAAAATATAAAACAAATTAAAATATTTAAATGAGACTCACTCAGAATATCATAACACAATATCCAACAAATCCAGAGTCCAATAAAAACATTAACTACTATATCAACCATGAAAATCACAACTTCAATGAGAAAAACAATCAAATGACACCAACAATTAGACGTTGAAAATTTCTAACAAGGCTTTTAAAGCAGCTATCAGAAAATGATTCAACAAGCAATTACAAATTTTCTTGAATCAAATGAAAAGAATTAGAAACTCTCAGCAAAGAAAAAGAAGTTATAAAAAAAAAAACTAACTGGCAATCTAATGCCAGAAAAAAATTCTCACTAGTTGAGCTAAATAGTAAAGTGGAGATGACAGAGGATAGAATAAAAAAATTGAGGCCATAACAATAGAATTCACACAATCTGAATAACAGAGAAAATAGACGGAAAAAAATGAACAGAGCATGGGATACCTATTAGAGAATAATGAAAGATCTACTGTTTGGATCATTAGAGTTCAAGAAATAGAAAACAGAAGGTGTTGACACATTTTTCAACCACTAAAAGAAAAAACTGTCACATTTTCTTAATCCAGTCTATCATTGATGGACATTTGTGTTGGTTCCAAGTCTTTGCTACTGTGAATAGTGCCGCAATAAACATATGTGTGCATGTGTCTTTATAGCAGCATGATTTATAATCCTTTGGGTATATACCCATGCACGTTGTGCACAAGTACCCTAAAACTTAGAGAATAATAAAACAAAAAAAAGAAAAACCTGTCAACCCAGTATTCTATATCCAGCTAAAATAAACTTCATGAATGATGGGAAAAATGAAGACATCCTCAAATTAACTACAATTAAAAGAATTTATTGTCAGCATACTTACCCTAAACAAATGACTAAAAGAAGTTTTTAAATCAAAATAAATGATAACAGAAGAAAGCTTGGAACTTTTGAAAAGAAAGAACATTGCCATGAGTAAAAATAGGGGTAAATATAGTAGAATATCTTACTTCTCTTGAGTTTCTTAAATCAATATTTGGAGATTGATGTAAAAATTATAAAACTGTCTAATGTCATACCCCGTGAATACAGAAGAAATACATAACAAACTACATTTTTAAGTAGGAAGGATAAAGAGACCTAAAGAAAATGAGGTTTCTACAACTCACTCAAAATAGTAAAACATTGATACCAGCAAACTATGGTGAGTTATGTATGTATATTGCAATATCTGGAGCAATTGCTAAGAAAATGGTGCAAAGCAATATACTCAAAAACACTAAAAATAAATTAAGATGGAATCCTTAAAAATGATCAGATAACCTAGAAGAATATAAAAAAGATATCAAAGGAACAAGAAACAGATAAATTAAACAGGAAAAAAAATAGTACAGACTAACATGACATTTACCTTAAATATAAATGGGCTAAATATAAGTAAAAGAGCTTTCAAAACTGGAAAAATAATTTATTCAATGATATGCTGTCTACAAGAAACCTACTTCAAATACAATGGCGTTGCTATGTTAAAAATAAAAAGATGGAAAAAGAGATACCATGAAAATATTAATTTAAAAAGCAGGAATATCTATATTGATATAAGATAAAGCCTACATTAGGGCAAAAAATACGATGGATGAAAAGGGATATTACATAATAATATAAAGATCAGTCCACTGGAAGGACATATAATTCTAAATGTGTATGCACCAAAAACTGATACTCAGATAACAATGAAAAAAAATGGTAGAGTTGAAAAGAGAAATAGACAAATCCAAAACTGTAGTTGAGAACTTCAACATTCTACTCTCAGAGATTTATAGAACCACTCAACAGAAAATCAACAAAACAGTATATAGAAACACTGAACCATGCAATCCACCCAAATGACCCAACCAAAAAACTATTATCTATAAGAATTCTCAAAACTCTAAACGATCTAGTTAACAAATGGGCAAAAGAAAGAGAAGACATTTTGCTGAAGAGAATATACAATTGACAAGCATATAAAAAGGGGTTCAACATAATTGTACATTAGTGAAATGCAAATTAAAACAACATCACTAAGAAACATCACTACACACCTATCAGAATGGCTAAAACTAAAGACAATGGCAACACCAAATGCCGGTGAGAACATGAACAAACTGCATGATGTACATTTCTAGTGACAATTTGAAATGGTACAACTACCTTGGAAAATAATTTATCAGTATCTTAGAAATTTAAACATGTACAATCCAGCAATTGCACTCTTGGGCATTTATCCCAAAGAAATTAAAATTTATGGTCACACAAAAATCTATACACTAATGTTTACAATATCTTTATTCTTAATATTCCAAAGCTGGAAACAATCCAATGTGCTTCAACAGATGAATAGTTAAGCAAACTGTGCTAAATCTATACCATGGAATACTACTTAGCAATAAAAAGGAATGAATTAGTGATAAATGCAACTATTTGGGAGAATCTCCAGGGAATTATGCTGAGTGAAAAAAGCCATTCCAAAAAGGTCACATACTGTGTATATGTGATCGTTTATATAACATTCTGGAAATGAAAAAATTAGAGAAATGGAAAATATGGAGAACAGATTAGTAGTTTCTAGGGTTCAGGAATGAGTGGGGTGGGGGAAAAGGAAGCAAAAGGCAAGTATGGCTGTAAAAGGACAATCAGAGGGACTATTGTGGTGTTCTCTATCTTGACTGTATTAATGTCAATATCCTGGTTGTAATATTGTACAATAAGTTTGCTAGATATTATTACTGAGGAAAACTTGGTAAAGAGTACAGGGATCTCTCTGTATCATTTCTTACAACTGCATATAAATCTGTAATTACCATAAAATAGAAAGTTTATCTCATAAAAATAAAAAAAAAAAACCCATGGGCCCTACAAATGTCAGGACAGTGATTACCTCTGAGGGAAGGAAGAAGGTTATGATCTAGTCACATAAGCGTTTCTGTGGTCTTAGCAATGTATTATTGCAAATTTATTGACTTGGGAGATGGCTACACAGATATCATTGTATAAATATTTATTGCATTGTGTAAACAAGTCTTATGCACATTGCTACATATGTGTCATATATCATAGTGGAAAAATTTTTTTTAAATACACATTGGATAATTTCATTTCTTTGCTTAAAATTCTCCAATGGCTTCTTTTGCTCATAGGATAAAAATCCAAACCCCTCATTGAGGCCTACAGAGCCTTCTTCACCAATCATTCTTCTCATGCTCTGTGTTCCTGACATACTCACCTTTTAACAGGTCCTCCTTTGTTAGAGTTTTTGCACATGCTTTTCCATCAACCCAGAATGTCTGATTACTCTCTCTACCTCTCTTCACCTATAGATTTCAACTAAAATCTCCAGGAGTTTATCAAATCCCCTCTGCGATATGCTTTCTTGACTCCCTGTGTTTCACCTTACTACCACCTTCATAGTTTACAATAGTATATTTTGAGTAATTTGAGTAATAATTTGAGTACTGCCTGTGTCCTCTTTGACTCCTAGGCCTCCAGACCTACAGCTTAAGCTCCATAAGTGCAAGAATCCTCTCTGCCTTGTTTCACACAGTGCCTAGAGCAGTTCCTCCTAGAACATAACAAGAACTCAATATATATTTGTGGAATAAGTTGATTGAAATTCCATTATGTCATTCTGTGTTACTTTTGGAGGCAACATAGGTTGAAAAGGTTCTTTAGATTAAAATTGATCCAATCTTGGTCAAATCTTGACTCTATCATATCCTAGATATTGATCTTGGGCAGGATTATTTATCACTCTGATATTTAGTTTCACCATCTTCAAAATAAATCTTATCTAACATGGTTGTTGCAAAGTCAAAAGGAAATAATTCATGTTCTCTTTTCATATAATTCAAAAAATCTTTGTTTAGCATAAATAACTTGTTTTCTTTTCTCAAACATAGAAATTATGTAGCCCACCATATTTCCCTTTTTTGCTCTAGCCTGTATGAAGCTCAAACACTAAACTTATCAGAGCAAGCACTCTAAGTGCCTTAGTTGCATTAGGTGAGATCTAAGAACCTTGTTGATGGCTATCGTTTTTGGGTCTTTCTAGGGTAGTGCTCAGGATAGATAGAAGAGCATTCACTGAATGAGCCCTTAAGGACTGAAATATTCTTCCAACCATTGGCTTTTGCACGTATGAAGCAAGTAGTTGACTACTTAGCATGCTCTGATAAGCCTAAGCAGAGTTGCAAATAAATATAATTTTTGTTATTCTAATGCTTACTCATTTCCAGAGGATACTGCCAGGCAGTATCTTAGTGCTGTAGAAGAAAGTGGTATGATCAATTAGTGATTTGTGCACAGGCACAGGAAGGGGGAATGGTGGCATCTTTATTACGTGACTATCATTCCAGATCTTAGAATATATTTCCCTATCACATGACCCAATGCATGAAATTCCACCACTGGTGCTTTGTGCCTCTGGGAAGGCGAAGGGAACAGCCTGCGACTTATTAGCAGGCCTCATAGTAAAAACTGGTTGAGAGACAGCTTGGACCTGATGGTAATGGCACATAGTACAAAAATGGCTGCTGAAAGCTCAGAGCATGGAGGAAAAATAAAACTTCCTAGGTGAAGGCTGTATTCAGTGCTTGTCTGAGCCTCCTGGGCTCTCTACACCCTTTAGAAGCCACCACACAGAAGTGATAATGCTAGAGTTGACACTCACCTTGGTCCTTTAAATTATGTTGTATTCTTAGATAAGTCACCTGAAGCCTGTGGGGCTCCAAAACCGAAAGTCTGTAGAGAAGTATGTATAGATAACTCAGTTTCCACAGACCAGCTAGGAAGACTTCCCTCTCTCCCTCACTCCTCTTGTCCACCCCTTCGTTTCCTCCTTCCCTCCTTGCTAACCTCTTCCCTCTTGCTCCCAGTTGTCTCCCCAAACTCTTTCATGCTACTTCCTGTCAAAATTCCGAGCTGTGTCCCTTCTGTGTCATCAGGGTGTGTCCCCTACCCTGGATCCCTTCAGGAGCCTTGATTCAGAAACACTTATGGACTGCAGATGCCAAGTTATTATTCATTACAAAGAAGCTATTTATCCACTAAGGCTAGCAAATATAAGCTGAAAGTGTGGTTTCCAGTGGAAATCTTTGGAGTAAGATCATGGGAAGCATCTAGGGGACACAGAGAGCACAAGATAGGCCACTCCCTGGTCTTTCTCCTCCTCTACAATTCTGAGAGCAGCCTGACTGCGCCAGGCTAAACATCCCATTACCTTCTGGACTTACACACACATATGCACACATGCACACATGCACACACAGGCCACACATCCCCAGACTCAGGGAAGATTAGTGTGATCTTCCTTCCTTCCTCCCTTAAAACAGGAGCTCTATGAGGAAAAGATGGTGTTTAGCTCACATAGGGCCTGGCGTTGAGGATGTAACCATTTGGGGACTGACTGAATGAATGCACTGGAAGAACTTTAAAGTCCGCTAATGGAGACTCCTGGTTTACATTTTATTACATACTATATTGCAAATATGGAACCTGGTTTGAGGAGGGGAAAGGCTACAGAGTGACTTAAGGGCAGAGCTAGGGCTTAATTCTAATCATTTAGATCTTCAGACAAAAGTCCTTCCTGCTATAGAGAGCTAGAATTCATGAATTTGAACTTTGGCTCTGACACTTCCTAGCTGTGGTAACTTGGGCTACCCTCTGTGCCTCAGTTTCTTTGTATATAAAATGAAGATAATAATAGTACGTAACTCATTGATGCCTTGTGAGGATTAAATAGCTTCATCCATTTCTAGCACTTAGAATATTCCAGGTCCATAGAAAAATGTTTAATAAATATTAGGTATTATTATTTTGCCTACCTCTCTGAGCCTCATAAGCCTGGCATACAATAGGCGCTTCCTAGACCTCAAGTCCTTTCTACCTCTTCCTACCTTCTTTAGTGCTCTCTTTCATGCAGGAACTTTGGTCTCAAACTTTTTGCCATTTGTTGTGATCTCCAGTACATGGACTTCCTACTGCCCCACCTTTATTGTGTGTGTGCATGCATACACACACAGAGAGAGAGAGAGAGAAAAAGAAGAAAGAAAGAAAGAAAGAAAGAAAGAAAGAAAGAAAGAAAGAAAGAAAGAAAGAAAGGAAGAAAATAGAACAAATCAGCTTATATTCAGTATTTTTTTAGTATTTTCTGTGTCAGCTCTCTGAGGGGCACTGAGACCATAAAGATGAACATGACATGGTCTCCACCCTCAAAGGGATCACTTTCTAGCAGAGGAGACATTCACACACACTAGCTATTTATTCCATATCCAGAGCATATGGGAGCTAAGACAGAGAGAAAATATGGATTCTAACCTTATTTAGAAGGAATGAGAACATGGGAAGGAAGGAGAATCAAGGAAGGAAATAGAGGTGTATAGGTCAGAGTTGCAGGGAACAGAGCAGTGTAGAGAAGAGAGTGCTTCTGGTGGGGCAAGTAGAAAATGTTCAACACAGATGAGGAATATTGGCAGGGGATGAGATTTGGAATGTACCTTGAGTGTGAAGTGCCTGTGGGCTCTCCAGGTGGAGATAGCAGTTATAGTTGGCTAATACCGATCTAGAGTTTGAGAATGAAGTTAGGGGTGAAGAGCTGGATTGAGGAAAGATTAACACAGAAGTAAGACTTGAGGCCCTGAGATAGAGGAAACCAGATGGTTAAAGTAATTAGGCAGGGAAGACCCAGTTCTCAGAGGCCCTTCTTTTGGAGCTATGACTGTGGCCTAGCCCAGAGAAGCTTCTAGAACATTTCTTTCAAGACGAGCTCTTAGAATCTCATCAATGCTCCCCTACTCTGTACAATGTGAATTAGAAAAAGATACCTTCTTTGGGCAGACCAAGTACACAAAGATGTCCCTTCTGGGTGGGTACAGAATTATGAGCTGCCATTTGGCAAGTAGGACAAGTCTGCCTTTTAGTCTTTGCTTGCCTTCTCAGCTTTTGTTGTGTAAGGCATAAGTAGTGCCACCCTACAATGTGGTCTTGAGTACCACGACCAGGTGGCTGGATGCAGGTGGAGAAAGTCATCAGTGTTAGCCTGGCTTTCTCTGAGGGAAAGCTACCTAGGTTCTCATACAAGGAAGAGGGCCTCAAGTCTTCTGCTATGGCTGGAAAAAAATATTTTTTCCAGAATGTTCATGGTTGTTATCCATGGTTGTTATCCGCAAGTTTTGGTATTTCAGGGACTTAAGCAGGAATAAGTTTTCATGATATAATTATAGAGCAGTTAAACAAAGACTTTTGGTTTGGGGTCTTGTCCTAAAAACGGCCCATCAAAAGAGTCTTAGTTGGCTTTACTGAGAAGGTACAAGTACTAAGCCCTCAGCAGATGTTTATCTGCCTCCCTCACTCCTTCAACCTTTTGTAGCTGGATGAGAAGCCCTCTCAGTAGCCCCGGAGTCCAGCTACTCAGAGATGAAGTCAGATTCCCTAGATCCAGGCATTATAAACCTGCTGCTAGTTAGGCTCATAATCACTGACCTGGGGTGTGGGTGGGGGGCTGGCTTTAGAGGACTGAAGGCACAAGATAGGCAACCCAGGCAGAAACTCAGATTTGGGGCCCCGGGACAGTACCATAACAGTAGCAAAAGGAAGCCAAGTAGGACTTGTTTGGGGCTGGTACTACAGGCCCAGTCCAAGACAGGTTGGGTTAACTGATTAGGTCAAAAGGGCCCTAGCTATTCTTGGAGGAAGGAGGCAGAGGTTGGAATCCAGGTAGGGTCTGACAAGAGAAACTCAGATGCCTTGTTGTCTATAGCTGCTCCCATTAGTCCATAAGCCACCTCTTTCTTGCTCAAGCCAGAGAGTTGGTTTGAGGGACACCTATGCATGTGGGTTGCATTCCTCTTCCCTGCCCTTGTCTTAGCTTAGATGAGCATGTAACTGGACACTGAAGCTGTCAGCAGAACAGATTACTTATGACTAGGCATGTCAAAAACAGGAGGCAGATTAAAGTCTGGCCAATCATCCCATGAGCTAGGCCCCAAATGCTGGTACTTAGTGCCAGCTCTGGCCTGTGGGGCTTACTATGCCTCTGGGAGTAAGCGCTGTGTTGCCACAATTTCTCTTGGCAGGAAGGATCCCTAGAATTTAAGTCAAGAGCCTCAGGTTCTACCTCTGGCTCCATGACACATTTGAAATATGACTTGGGGCAAATCTCTTCTTTCTCTTTGTCTCAGTTTCTCCATATGTAGCATGACAGATTCAGACTCTTCTAGTTCTATTACTTTGTAGCTTTTCAGATACCTTGACCTGACTTATTCTTCCATCAGTCCTTTCCCTCTCTTTTCTCCCTCCTTCCCTTCTCCTTTCATCTGCATATTCTCTGAGGGACCCTCTGGCCTTAACTTGTGACATTAACTATATCAGGAAAAATCTCTATACTTCAAGAAGGGCTTTAAGGAAGTTACATCTTAAACCAGCATTTTTCAAACCGTGGGTCACAACTCACTAGTAAATAATGGAATCAATCTGGTAGATAAGAACTGGCACTTTTTAAAAGTGAAATAAAATAAAATAGAAAATATCAATGTGACTGCATATATTAAGGGTATTTTTTAGTGAAACTTTTGTTTTTATATTAGGTTGAACAATATATAAAATTGCCAATATGTATGTATACACACATATGTACGTATACATTTGTGTATGTACACATACACACACAGTGAAAGCATTTACTAGTTTACACTATAAAATGTATACCTTACTATGAGTCACAGTAAAAAATGTTTAAAAGTCACTGTCCTAAGAAGGAGATAGCCAATGGTGAGCTATGTGGAGATACTGAAAGAGGCAGCTATGCAGGGGCCTTTTGGGACCCATCACTTCTCAAATATAGGTAGAGACCTTCTTTATTACCTATATAATCATCCAATTCTGTTTATACACCAGGTCTGGTGCATTTTTGGTAGTGTGTCCTCCTCATCAAGACAATAGAGTGTGTGCAGGGGACCTTTTCTGCAGAACCATCCCTAAGAGGGAAAAAGAGTAATGAGGCCTTCTGAGAGTGGTGATTTGGGGCCTCCATCATTGGTCTTCAGTGTTTGCTGGGCCAGTGGGCTTCCACTCACCCTGATGTTCCCCCCGCCACAAGTAGGGATGCACCACATGGGGCTTTACGGCACCTCCTGTAGCTGCCTGTTCTCTCAACATGGATTCTTTTTTGGACAGGAGGAGGGGCTCTTGTACTCCCAGAAGAAGATAAAACATCAACTCTGTTCCCAGTGTTATATGCAACAGAATTCTCATCAGCTCCCCGACAGGTTGGGGAGTGCCAGGGACATGGTTAGAAAGAAGAATGAAGAGCATCTGGCATGCAAGTCTGTTCTGAAGGGAATGAATAAAAGTGGCCAGCCAGCTGTTGCAGTTCCTAGTCCTCTTAAGACGCGATTCACTGGCAGTTGTTTCCCCTTCTTGGCCTCCCTATGTGAAGAGGACACTGACCACTGTTAAGACGACAAGGTCTTTCTGGCACTGAGTCTGCCACTTTCTCCAATAATTTCCAAAGAAAGAACCCCTGAGGAGAATAAAACACATCAAAGCTCAGATACCTGACTTGTAATGTGAGTTTAACGAAAGAGAATGGCCAATAAGCTCTCACTCCTTGTCAGGCACTGAATAACCTTTTTTTGTTTATCATCATAGGTTTCCATGTAAAGAAGGGTAAGCAATGGCTGGGCTAGAAATCATGGGAAATTTACATAAGGAAATCTTAATCCCTTAATATCTATATCCCCTGCCTCCAGGGTTTCAAGGTTTCAGTCTTCTGTCCTGACCTCCATATGTTTTTTATTTTATTTTATTATTATTATACTTTAAGTTTTAGGGTACATGTGCACAATGTGCAGGTTAGTTGCATATGTATACATGTGCCATGCTGGTGTGCTGCACCCATTAACTCATCATTTAGCATTAGGTATATCTCCTAAAGCTATCCCTCCCCGCTCCCTCCACCCCACAACAGTCCCCAGAGTGTGATGTTCCCCTTCCTGTGTCCATGTGTTCTCATTGTTCAATTCCCACCTATGAGTGAGAATATGTGGTGTTTGGTTTTTTGTTCTTGCAATAGTTTACTGAGAATGATGATTTCCAATTTCATCCGTGTCCCCACAAAGGACATGAACTCATCCTTTTTTTAATGGCTGCATAGTATTCCATGGTGTATATGTGCCACATTTTCTTAATCCAGTCTATCATTGTTGGACATTTGGGTTGGTTCCAAGTCTTTGCTATTGTGAATAGTGCCGCGATAAACATACATGTGCATGTGTCTTTATAGCAGCATGATTTATAGTCCTTTGGGTATATACCTAGTAATGGGATGGCTGGGTCAAATGCTGACCTCCGTATGTTTAAATCCTTCAAGATCCACCTAACTTCTACATCTTCTGTTAAAATTTCCTTCCCCCACCCTAAATTGGCGTTGTCATTCTACATACTGCCATAACATTTTTTCTGCCCTTTTATAATTCTCATACTTTCTGACTCATATATTATGCTATGTGTGTCCATGTTCTAGCCTTCAGAGTCAGACAGAACTGAATTCAAATACAAGCCCCACTACTTACTTCATGATCTTGGGCAAATTCCTTAACATCTCTGGGCCTCCATTTTTCATCTGGAAAATTATTGTGGCAATAATATCCACCTCATAAGGCTGATCTGTTGACAAAAAAAAAAAAGCATGTTTAAAATGCTTTCCCAGACTTCCAGTTTCATATCTCATATTAATCCTATCATAACAAAAAGGAAAGTCTGGAACAAACTCAATACGAATAACTTTTATTGGACCCATCAGAGAACTGGCAATGCAGAGCAAGCTGTCATTCCAAAATCTGGTGAAACAGGTGAATTATGAGACTTATAGCCATGATTTCTAGAGCAGAAGTCCCTGGAGCCATAAAATCATAAGAACATTTAAATGATAATTTTGACAAATTACAGGAGGCTGAGTGTGAATTAGTGTGAAAGTGGGAGCCACAGGGTTTTTTTGGGAGGAGCACAATTTTGTGGAGTGTCTCTTCAGGAATCCCATCAGTTTATCATGGTGAGGAGTCAAGAAAAATCTCCTGATGGCTCTGGCAGGAGGAAGGAAAAAGTAACCATCATTTTTAAGTGCACCCAGAGCATTCTCCATAACAAAGGCCTACTTTCCAGGGCAAAAGGCTTGACAAGAGAATTCCATATTCAGTAAAATTATCCTTCAAAAGTGAATAATAAATAAAGATTATCTCGGAAAAACAAGAACTGCAGGAATTTGTTGTTAGCAGACTTGCTCTGCAAGAAATGTAAAAAGTTCTTCAAAGAAAAGTAAAATGATATAGATGAAAAACCAGGATGCACATAAAGAAAGAAAGAGCATTGTAGAATAAATAAATGAAGGTAAAATAAAATATTTTAATTTCTCATTCTTAATTGATCTAAAACTGTCCATTTAAAGTGATACTAGTAACAATGTACTGTGCAATTACAGAATATGAATAAGTGAAATGAATAATAGCAATATTATAAGGGAAGGGAGGAAGGAATTATGACTACTCTAAGGTACTGCACTACACATCACATAAAAGTGGTATAAAATCATTTGAAAGTGGACTTAGATAAGTTGGACTTAGGTTATATTTCAAACCCTAACATAATCACTAAATTTTTTAAAAGTACAATTGGTGTGTTAAGAAAGGAAAAAATGGAATCATATAAAATGCTCAAAACCAGAAAAGGCAGAAAATGAGGAGAAGAAAAAAAATAAAGAGCAAGTACAACAAACAGAAAACTGTTACAAACATGATATATATTAATTCAACTATATCAATAATCACTTTAAATGTGAATGGTCCAAGTACAGCAATTAAAGGACAGAGGTAGTCAGAATGGATTAAAATAACAAGACCCAACTGTGTGGGTTGGGTCTACAAGAAACCCACCTTAATTCTAAAAACTCGAATAAATTAAAAGTAAAGGGATGAGCTAGATGCAGTGGCTCACACCTGTAACCCCAGCACTTTGGGAGATAGAGGCAAGAGGATCGCTTGAAGCCAGGAGTCCAAGACCAGCCTGGGTAACATAGCGAGACCTTGTCTCTACAAAAAATAAAAAAATAGCCAGGCATGGTAGCACATGCCTGTAGTCCCAGCTACTTGGTAGGCTGAGGCAGGAGAATCACTTGAGCCCAAGCATCAACTATGATTTTACTACTGCACTCCAGCCTGGGTGAAAGAGCAAGACGCTGTCTCAAACGAAAAAGTAAAGAAATGAAGTAAAAAGGAAAAGGAATTTAGAAAGATATATATTAATATAATGATAAAATACTTTCACATAGTAAGAGCTCAGTGAATGATTCTTATAATTGTTGTTTTTGTTGCTGTTGTTATCGGACTTAGAGCTCCTAGGTAACTGGGGCCTAATCTGCTTCATCACTGCCTCCCCAGCACCTGACACAGAGCAAATGGGAAGAAAGGGAAGCCAAATCAATTCATATAAAATGGATTAAGTGCCTACACTGTGCCAGGCCCTGTTTCAGGGAAAAAGGTCATTTAAATGCCGATTCTGTTATTGAGTAGCTCACGGTGAAATGGAGAAGATAAATTTTCACTCTTTCAACAAATACTTATCTGTAAATCAATAATGACAAGTACAGTGTGGTCAGTGTTTTACATTTTGACATCTCTGAAATCAGGAGGCATCTTGAGACCAATGATTTCTTAGCAATGTGCTGTCATTTCATTGACAGCATTTTTTTTAGTGTTACATAAAATGATGGTGTAATTTCAATCAATGGCATCTTAGATTTGAGGAAATATGGCAATAAATTATGGCCTTTGGCAACCTTGGGCCATAGATTTCATTGATGAGAAAAACCAAGGTTTAGGAAGGTTAAATAATTGTTCAAGATCACAAAGCTGGTAAGTAGCAGGTCCTTGTGACTCTAAAATACATGCTTTGTCTTTCACTGCAACACTTCAAGAATTGAGTAGGCACTCAATATCAGTTTGAGCATTTAAATGAATGAACGAATAAATGAGTAACAGTAAATGTCAGCCTTTGAAATAAAGTGTTTCACGACATTTTGTTGCTGTCCAATAGAAATATGTGAGCTTCATATGTAATTTTAAATTTCCTAGTGAATACATTTTTAAAGTTTTTTTTAAAAAGTGAAATTAATTTTAATAATGTATTTATTTCATCTACTATGCCAAAATGTTATCATTTCAACATGCAATTCAATTTAAAAAATTGTTAATGAGATAATTTACATTTTGTTTTTCATACTAACTCTTTGAAATCTAGTATATATTTCATACTTACAGCACATCTCAATTTGCAATAGCTACATCTCAAGTGTTCAGTAGCCACATGTAGGTAGTGGCTACCTCATTGGACAGTGCAGTACTAGAGCACCAGGAAGATCTTACTGCCTCTCTTCCTGGCTCACTGATGCCAACAAGTTTGCCTCTAGAACTTTCTTCATTTGGCTATTAAATGACTGTCTTCTCTCCCTCTCCACGATGCTTTAGTAATCATCATACATCAGTGTTAAGGACCTTTTTTCCTCTTTCTATTTTTTACATTTTACTTGTTAACTTATTATTATAAAAAATTTCTGACACATAAAAAAGTAGAGAGAACAGAATAATAAACTCCCATGTACTTAACCTTTTGCCCATCTCATTTCATTTTCCATACTCTGCTGCCTTTCCATGCATTTTCCTCTCAGGGTATTTTAAAGTAAATCATTTAGTCCCTAAGTGTTTCAGAATGCTTTTTTAACAGAAAATGTTTCTATTTTAAACATAGCCTCAATTTTGTTTTAAACATAAGCCCAGTACTCGATGTCATTATTAGAGTCTTTTTGAATTATTACCCACATATTTCCCTCTAATCTGTGCAAGGCCCTGGCAGGCGGGATGGGAGAAGAAGATGCAGTGATCTTGGCTAGTCACTCTACCTCTCCGAAACTTCAATTTCTATAAAATGGAGATAAAATAGCTACCACACTGGATTGTGGTGATTATTCTGTGAGATACCCCAGGTATAGCTCTAAGCCTAGTGCCTGACAGATAATGGAAGCTTAATAAGAGAAAGGTTCATGGTAAAAGGGAAGTCTTAACCAATATAGACTAAAGCAGATTGATAGCTTTCATTGTTCCGGGTATCATGCTTTTATCAATGCATCCTGTCACTTTCCTAGCTTTTGTCACAGTCATATCACATTATTGAGCCAAGGATGTTGTTGTTAATTAAAACCCCTTTGTCATTTTCACAGTTGCTGCTATTGAGCCCTGACTTTGCATCTTGTGATTGTCCCTGCACTTTTACCCTCTCACAAATCTGTCCCTCCTTGCTCAGCTCCTCATTGTCTCACATTGGGATAATCTTAATTGTCTCCTAACAAGTCTCCTTGCCACTATTTTAGTCCCACCCCATTCTACTGGCTTTGAGGTTTCAACTGAGAGAAGGACCAATTGTTTCCCAGCTCCTTCGGGGATCTGGAACAGGAAGGATAGGAGACAGGGTCTCCTAATTGCTTTTCCTACTTTCACATGTTCCTTTTCAACTCATCCTTCTTTAGCTACCAGAATGATCTTTCTAACACAGATATCCACATGCCACTCTCCTCAAAACCATTCACAGGGCGGGTGTGGTGGCTCACACCTATAATCCCAGCACTTTGGGAGACCGAGGTGGGTGGATCACCTGAGGTGAGGAGTTCAACACCAGCCTGGCCAACATAGTGAAACTCTGCCTCTATTAAAAATACAAAAATTAGTCAGTCGTGGTGGTAGGTGCCTGTAGTCCCAACTACTCGGGAGACTGAGGCAGGAGAATCACTTGAACCTGGGAAGCAGCAGCTGCAATGAGCCAAGATCATGCCATTGCACTCCAGCCTGGGCAACAGAATGAGACTTCATCTCAAAACAACAACAATAGCAACAACAACCACCACCACCACAACAACAAACATTCAAAGGCTCCTCTTATTCTCTAGAATAAAGTCTAACTGTTGAACAAAGCATTCAAGTTCCTCTAAGGTCTGATCATAACCTCCAGTGGCTTCCCACTTCATTCAGAATAAAAGCCGAAATTCTTATTGTGGCTTACAAGACCCTCCATGCTCCGCCTCCCACCTTGCCCTATAATCCTAACCTCTCTGACCTTGTGTCCTACTACTCATCCTTGCTCACTCTGCCTCAGGGACACCAGTCTTCCAACTTATTCCTTGAACATAAGAAGTATGTTCCCACCTTGGGACCCTTGTACGTATCACTCCCTCTGCCTGGAACTCTCTACTCCAGATACTCACATGGCTCATTTGCAATTTTTTTCAGCTTTTTATTCAAATGTCACCTTCTCAGTCATTGTACCTTATTTAAAATTACAGCCCCAGCAAGCCCCCACATCCCATCCTTTTATCTGCTTTACTTTCCACCATATCACTTAATATGAGTATATAATATTTTTGTATTTATTGTGTAAATTCCTATACTAAAAAGTAAGCTGCATGAAGACAGCAATTTTTGTTTGTTGTTCACTGTCATATTCCTGACACTACCTTCACCTTCCCATCTGGATGTATTCTTCATGCATCTTAATATAGTGCTCCCACAGTGTTATATATTTATCCCTATGGTAGCACTAATCACTCTGGACAATATCTTTCTATTTCTTTTTCTATTTCCCTCACTAGTTCTAGAGCTTCCTGTGGTATTTTCATGGAGTCAGTGTCTATTATTTCACTGACTTTTTTAAAGTTTCATTTTGTTTTTAATTGACACTACAGCTAGATTTTAGAGCTGAGGTACAGGACTTTGCACTTGAATAAGATTAATACATCTTGTCAGCTGTGGTCTGGAGCCCAGGTCTACATGCACCCTCCTTGGACTGAGGATATTACCCTGGGCTCTTGTTTCCTGGCCCTACCCATTTACAGCCTGTTTGCATATGTAACCTTGATTGGAATGTTCTCTAGCCCTCAACAAAGCAATTGGTAAAATTATTGGGCAAAATGTTAAGATAGGGTTGGGGAGGGAATGCTTTGTGTCAAACTACCAAAGATGTCATCTGCAAGGACTCTACCATTCATGCAGTCACCTCCATACATATCAGCCTGAGCTATTCTCTATATGAGTTTTTTATATTTTCTTAGATTGCTCACAGAAGGCAAAGAGGCCTGAACCACCCCATATACACACCCTCTGGGCTCCAACACTGATGTTTCAATTTTGCGGGATGCTCAGAGGCCTGAGGAGCTCCAACATCAAGGCACTTCAGTTAATTGGATAGTGTCAGAGGCCTTCTCTCTCCCAGGTCCTGTGAGTAGTAGTCTGAGAGATCTTGAGGGCAGGCAGCTTATCTTTCATTTCTATATCCCTGTAACCTGGTAAGGCCTTAGTGCAAAGTAGGCACTTATCCTGTGATTAATGATGAATAGATGAATGACCAAATAAACCAACAAATAAAATCATCCATAATCTAAAATACCACAGGGAAAAAGAAAACTATTAGGGCTATCTAGCAAAAAGCATCAGGTGCTAGAAGCCAAAGACCAAAATGAGAAAACATTGGTAAGAGTCTAGAGGCCATGTAACTTCCTCACCCTTGTATTCTAGGTTGTCCACTTCCATTTTCCTGAAGAAATTATTAAGAAACCACTCAAAGTTCAAAGGAAATCTATGTTCATGAGAATATAGGAAAATGAGAAACCTTGTCTTCTACTGAGAAGCATATAAATTGCTCTGGAAAGCAGTCTTGATGCAGCAATTCCATCCCTAGGAGCTAAACCCAAGGAGACAGACAGACTATTAGACTACAAGCTCCAGCACGGCAGAAAATTAACATGTTTTACCCACCATATTTCCCCAGAGCCTAGCACAATAAGCACCTGTAAGCATTAAATCAATCTTTCCTGAATAAGTACATTTTAAAACATGTATTTTATATACAGGAATATTTTTTAATTTTTAAGTGTTAATATAATCCAATTCATCATTTCTTTCCGTTTTTTAATGATTCATGCTTTTTGCGTCCTAAGAACACCTTGAACAACCCAGTGGTTCTCAACCTGGGGGCTAGTCACTTTGTAGGGGACATTTGGCAATGTCTAGAGATTTTCTTTCTGTTTTTTATTTTTGGAAATGGAATCTCCTTATGTCATCCAAACTGGAGTACGTTGGCTATTCACAGGCATGATCATATAATAGCACACTGTGACCTCGAACTTCTGGTTTCATGTGATCCTCCCACCTCAGCCACCAGTGTAGCTGGGAGGACAAGTGCCCGCCATCACACCTGGCTACACAAGAGTATTTATTACGATGTTTGTACTACTGAAAAATTATCGCTGGGATGGAGCTCCCAGAGAGAGGGGCAGGCTGCCATCTTTGCTGTTTGGCCAACTTAGCATTTCTTTGTTGCTTTCAGTCTTTGCAGAGTCTGAAGCAACTAGGGGCTGCAGTGGCCTCCCAGGACAGCACAGCTGCTCTACAAAAATGTGGCCAGACTGCTTTTATAGTGGGTCCTGGATCCATTTCTCCTCACTTGGCAGGACCTCCCAACTGGGGTCTCCAGCCTTCTTCCTACAGGTGCATTCAGGCTGGCAACAGGTCCATACCTCCCTGTGATGGAACTCCCAGAGGGAGGGGCAGGCCACCATCTTTGCTGTTTTGCAGATTTCACTGTTGGTGCTTTCAGGTACTGGAAAATTCAAAGTGACTAGGGACTGGGGCAGAACCCCATCATACCACAACAGCCTTGTGGAAAAGTGTCCAGACTGTTACATAGGTGCCCATTCCCATATTTCCTCCCTGGGTGAGTCTTCCAGGCCTGGGCCTTCAGCCAGCCCCCACCAGGGTTATTGAGCCAGTAGCAACTCTGCAGCTCCTTGGACAGAGCTCCCAGTGGGAAAGGTGAGTTGCCATCTTTGCTCCTTTCAGCCCTTTCCCTTGCTGTTTCCAGGCTTGGAAGAGTCTGTGGGGACCAAGGGCTGGTTTGGACCCCCAGCACAGAGCAACCACCTCACAGAAAAGTGGTCAGACTGTTCTCCATGCAGGTCGTGGTCCTCACTTCTCAATGGGCAGAGCCACCCAACCTGAGACTCCAGCACAACCAACCTGCCCTTACCTGATCACCGCAATCAGAGGCAGGCCAGCATTTCTCTGAGGAAGAAATCCCAGAGTCAATTCACAACCACTCCACCACTGCAGTTGCAGTAGTACAGCCATAACAGCCCTCAGACTTCAGAATAAGGAAGGAACAAAAGGTCTAGTCATTACACTGGTACTTCCAGCACACCACAGCCACCATACAAAGTGTGGAGCACAACCCTTCTTCCCTGGAAACCTACACTGCGCACTCTTCACCAGGCAGGAGCCCTGGCTCATGAATGCAGAACAGCCACCCTACCCATGGATGAGCATGCCCACTGGTAGTGGCCCAGATTTTCCCCAGGGAGAGGCTATCAGAAGCATATGACAGCCCCTCCATCACTGCCATAGTAACAGTTCTATCCCTGCTGCCCTTCATCTGGAGAAGAAATAAAGAGCTTGAGGGCTACATGCAAGCTTACAGCATGCCACCAGTACCATACAGAGAGGAGAACAATCTCTCCTCCCTGCGAGCCTTCTGCCCCTAGCTCCCCAACAAGTGGAACCCCAAGCTCACAACAGCAGTGCAGCCTCCCCACTCCAGTGGCTGAACAACCCCAATAACAGTGGCTCTGTGTTTCTTGGAGGCAGAGCTCCCACAGGCAACTGAAAACTTCTCTGCCACTGCTTCTGCAGTGGAACTGCTCTTGCTACCCTTAGACTAATGAAGGAGCAAAGACCCTAAGTGCCTTATCTACACCTCCAACAAGCTGCAGTCAACCCAAAGAGAGGAGGCTAGTCCATCTCCCATGGGTTCCACTTACTTCCTTGCTGATCACCATTCAGAGAATCCTTGAATTAGGCCCAGAGCACAGACCTTCCATCCTGGGCTAATTGCACTGAGCAATTGCTGACCTGCAGCTCTCTGTGGTGGAACCCCCAAGAGGCAAGCAAAGGACTCTTGGCCACAGCCACTACTAAGATCCCTTCCTCTGCTTCCTCCAAATTGGAGGAGGGGGGACATAAACCCAGAGATCACCCTAGAGCTGTGGTGGACAGCCCAAGAATGCCCAGCCACAATCTATGGCCAGCACTTAAGTGGGAGAGGAGCCCACACCTTCAGACCATTGAGAGGGAGCACAGCTGCAACTATGAGGAAATATAGGGGAGCCATGTGACTGAGGAAGAGTCTACCAACTAGCCAATATGCCTAAGCACCACCTACAGATCACGCCCCAAAGCTTCAATACAAAAAAAAAAAAAAACCATACTTCACTAACATACACCCCGCTGAAACCAAAGGCAAGAAGTAAGCTGCAAATAAGGACCCTGCACAAAGCCTCAGCCCTGTATAAACATTCAGAAAAGAAGTCCATCAACTTTACTCAATCTACAATGCCGTTAAGGGAACACTCACAGGCAGAGATGAGAAAGAACAAACACAAGAACTCTGGAAGTGCAAATGGCCAGAGTACTGTACATCCTCCAATCAACCACAACAGTTCTCCAACAAGGGTTCTTAACCAGGCTCAGCTGGCTGAAATGACAGAAATAGAATTCAGAATATGAATAGGAATGAAGATAATCGAGATTCAGGAGAATGGCAAAACCAATGCAAGGAAACTAAGAATCACAATGAAATGATACAAAAGCTGAAAGATGAGATAGCCAGTATAAAAAAGAACCTAACAAATCTTACAGAGCTGGGAAACACACTAAAAGCATTTCACAATGCCATCACCAGTATTAACAGCAGAATAGACCAAGTTGAGGAAAGAATCTCAGAAACTGAAGACTGGCTCTCTGAAACAAGACAATCAGACAAAAATGAAGACAAAAGAATGAAAAGAAATGAACAATACCTCCAAGAAATATGGGATTATGTAAAGAGACCAAATCTATGAATCAGTGGCATCCCTGAAAAGGATGAAGAGAAAGCAAACAACTTGGAAAACGTATTTCAGGATATTGTCCATGAAAACCTTCCCAACTTTGCTAGAGAGGCCAACAGTGAAATTCAGGAAATACAGAGAACCACTGCAAGATTCTACACAGAAAGATTATCCTCAAGACACAAAATGATCAGAGTTTCCAAGGTTGAAATGAAAGACAGAATATTAAAGGCAGCTAGACAGAAAAGGCAGGCCACCTACAAAAGGGATACCACAGGCTAACAGCAGACCTCTCAGCTGAAACCCTACAACCCAGAACAGATTGGGGCCTATATTCAAAATTCTTAAAGAAAAAAAAAAAAAGGCTTCAAGCAAGAATTTCATATCCAGCCAAGCAAAGCTTTCTAAGTAAAGGAGAAAGAAGATCCTTTCCAAATAAACAAATGTTGAGGGAGTTTACTAACACAAGACCTGCCCTTGGCTCACGCCTGCAATCCCAGCACTTTGGGAGGCTGAGGCAAGTGGATCACAAGGTCAGGAGATTGAGAGCATCCTGGCTAACATGGTGAAACCCCATCTCTACTAAAAATACAAAAATTAGCCGGGTGTGGTGGTGGGCGCCTGTGGTCCCAGCTACTCGGGAGGCTGAGGCAGGAGAATGGCGTGAACCCAGGAGGCAGAGCTTGCAGTGAGCCAAGACTGAGCCACTGCACTCCAGCCTGGGCGACAGAGCAAGACTCCTTCAAATAAAAAAAAAAAAAAGAAAAAGACCTGCCTTACCAAAGATCTTGAAAGAAGCACTAAATATATAGAAAGGAAAGACTGCTAGCAGCCAATATAAAAACACACTTAAATACACAGACCAGTGACACTATAAAGAAATCACACAATCTGGCATAATAACCAGCTAACAACACAATGACAGGATCAGATCCACACATATCAATACTGACCTTGAATGTAAACGAGCTAAATGTCCCAATTAAAAGGCACAGAGTAGCAAGCTGGATAAAAAAGCAAGACCTAATTGTATGCTGTCTTCAAGAGGCACATCTAACATGGAATGAAACCCATAGGCTCAAAATAAAGGGATGGAGAAAAATCTACCAAGCAAATGGAAATCAGAAAAAAAGCAGGGGTTGCAATCCCAATTTCAAATAAAACAGACTTTAAACCAACAAAGATCAAAAAAGACAAAGAAGAGCATTATATAATGGTAAAGGGTTCAATTCAACAAGAAGACATAACTATCCTAAATATAATGCACCCAACAAAGGAGCACCCAGATTTATAAAGCAAGTTCTGAGACACCTACAAAGAGACTTAGACTCCCACACAATAATAGTAGGCTACTTCAAAACCTCATTGACTGTACTAGACAGATCATCAAGGCAGAAAATTAACAAAGATATTTAGAACCTGAATTTAACATTGGATGTAATGGATCTAATAAATCTCTGCAGAGCTCTCTACCCAAAAACAACAGAATATACATTCTTCTCATCACCACATGACACATCCTCTTAAATAAACCACATAATTGGATATAAAACAATCCTCAGCAGATGCAAATGAAATGAAATCATACCAAACACACTCTGAGGCCACAACACAATAAAATAGTAGTTCAGATGTTTAAAATAACTCAAAACTATGCAATTACATGGTAATTAAACAACATGTTCCTGAATGACTTTTGGATAAATAATTAAATTAAGGCAGAAATCAAGAAGTTCTTTGAAACTAAGGAGAACAAAGATACAACATACCAGAATTTCTGGGACACAGCTAAGGCAGTGTTAAGGGAGAAATTCATAGCGCTAAATGCCCACATCAAAAAGTTAGAAAGATCTTACATTAACAAGATAACATCATAACTGAAAGAATTAGAGCAGCAGGAGCAAACCAATCTCAAAACTAGCAGAAAACAAGAACAAAAAAAATTAAGGCTAAACTGAAGGAAATTGAGACAGGGAAAATGATTCAAAAGATCAATGAATACAGGAGTTGGTTTCTTTGAAGAAATTAATATGATAGGCCAGTAGTTAGAATAATAAAGAAGAAAACAGAAAAGATCCAAATAAACACAACTAGAAATGACAAAGAGGATGTTACCACTGACTCCACTGAAATAAAAATAACCACCAGAAACTGCCATAAACACCTCTATGCATACAAACTAAAAAACCTGGAAGAGAGGAATAAACTCCTGGACACATACACCCTCCCAAGACTGAACCAGGAAAAGATTGATTCCCTGAACAGACCAATAATAAGTTCTGAAATTGAATCATAAATAAATAGCCTACCAACCAAAAAAAGTCCAGAACCAGATGGATTCACAGCTGAATTCTAACAGATATACAAAGAAGGGCTGGCACCATTCCTACTGAAACTATTCCAAAAAATCAAGAAGGAGGGAACTCCTCCCCAGTGCATTCCATGAGATCAGCATCATCCTGATAACAACATCTGGTAAAACACAACAACAACAACAACAAAAGAAAAAGCCAGGCCAATATCATTGATGAACATTGTAGCAAAAATTCTCAACAAAATACTTGCAAAACAAATTAAGCAGAAAATTAAAAAACTAATCCACCATGATCAAGTAGGCATCATCCCCAGAATGCAAGGTTGGTTCAACAAACACAAATTAATAAATGAGATTCATGACATAAACAAAACTAAAGACAAAAAACACATGATTATCTCAATATACACAGAAAAGGCTTTCAACAAAATTCAAAACCCCTTCATGTTAAAATTTATCAATAAACTATGTATTGAAAGAACATACCTCAAAATACTAAGAGCCATCTATGACAAAACCACAGCAAACATCATACTAAATGGGCAAAAGCTGGAAGCATTCCCATTGAAAACCAGCACAAGACAAGGATGCTCTCTCTCACCACTCCTATTTTAACATAGCATTGGAAGTCCTGGCCAAAGCAAACAAGCAAGATAAAGAAATAAAGGACATCTAAATAGAAAGAGAGGAAGTCAAACTATCCCTGTTTACAGACAACATAATTCTGTATCTGGAAAACTCCATACTCTCTGCCCAAAAGCTCCTTCACCTGATAAACAACTTCAGAAAGGTCTCAAGATAGAAAATCAATGTCCCAAAATCATGAGCATTCCTATACACCAACAATACCTAAGCTGACAGCCAAATCAGGAACAAAAATCTCATTCACAATTGCCACAAAAAGAATAAAATACATAGGGATACACCTAACCAAGAAGGTGAAAGATTTCTATAATGAAAATTAAGCTCAAAGAAATCAGAGATGAAACCAAAAAATGGAAAAACATTCCATGCTCATTGATAAGAAGAATCAATATCATTAAAATGGCCATACTAGCTGAAGCACTTTATAGATTCAATGCTATTCCTATCAAACTATCAATGACATTCTTCACAGAACTAGAAAAACTATTTAAAATTCATACAGAACCAACAAAGAGCCCGAATAGCCAAGACAATCTTAAGCAAAAAGAACAAAGCTGGAGGTTTCCCGTTACCTGACTTCAAACTCTTCTGCAGGGCTACAGTAACCAAAGCAGCATGGTACTGGTACAAAACAAACACATAGACCCAGGGAATGGAATAGAGAGCCCAGAAATAAGGCCACACACCTACACCATTAACAATAACAAGCAATAGGTAAAGGACTCTCTATTCAATAAATGGTCCTGGAATAACTGGCTAGCCATATGCAGAAGATTGAAACTGAACCCCTTCCTGCACCATATACAAAAATCAATTCAAGATTGGTTAAAGAGATAAATGTAAAACCCCAAACTATAAAAACCCTGGAAGGCAACCTAGACAATACCATTCAGGACAAAGGAACGGGCAAAGATTTCATGATGAAGACACCAAAGTAATCGCAACAAAAGCAAAACTTGACAAATGGAATGTAAAATTAAGACCTTCTGTGCAGCAAAAGCAACTATCAGATTAAACAGAAAACCTACAGAAAGGGAGAAAATTTTTGCAAACTATCCATCTGACAAAGGTCTAATATCCAGCATGTATAAAGAACTTGCCAATTTATGAGAAAATAAACAAACTGTAATCCCAGCTATTCGAGAAGCTGAGACAGGAGAATCACTTGAACCCAGGAGGCGGAGGTTGCAGTGAGCCGAGATTGTGCCACTGCACTCCAGCCTGTACAATAGAGTAAGGCTCTGTCTGAAGAAGAAGAAGAAGAAGAAGGAGGAGGAGGAGGAGGAGGAGGAGGAGGAGGAGGAAACCCACATGTGACCAACAAGCATATAAAAAAAGCTCAATGTCACTGAAAACTAGAGAAATTCAAATCAAAACAACAATGAGATACCATCTCACATATCAGAATGGTTATTATTAAAGTCAAAAAATAACTGATGGGGATGAGGTTCCAGAGAAAAGGGAATGCTTATACATCATTGATGGAAGTGTAAATTAGGTCAATCATTGTCAAAGCAGTGTGGCAATTCCTCAAAGAGCTAAAAACAGAAGTATCATTTGACCTAGCAATCCTATGACTGGGTACATACCCAGAGAAATATAAATGGTTCTTTTATAAAGATACATGCACATGAATGTTCATCGCAGCACTATTCACAATGGCAAAGACATGAAATCAACCTAAATGCCCATCAATGATAGTCTGGATAAAGAAAATGTGGCACATATATGGCATGGAATACTATCCAGCCATAAAAAAAGAACAAGATTGTGTCTTTCACAGGAATATCAGTGGAAATGTAGGCAATTACCCTTAGCAAACTAATGCAGGAACAGAAAATCGAGTACTGCATGTTCTTCTGATAAGTAGGAGATAAATGGTGAAAACTCATGGACACAAAGAATCAATAGACACTGGGGCCTACTTGAGGGTGGAGAGTGGGAGAAGAGAGAGCACCAGAAAAAATAACTATTGTTGCTAGGCTTAGCACGTGGGTGTAAAATAATCTGTACAACAAACCCATGACACAAATTTACCTATATGACAAATGTGCACATGTACCCCTGAACCTGAAATAAAAGCTAAAAAGAAAGAAAAATTAGAAGCAACCTAAATATCTCCCAAGAGAAGTACCTATGGGATATTATGTCATTAGGAATGATACTTTAGATCAGAATGTTTTGCCAATGCATATTTTCAATAATATAACGTTGCATTACACACACACACACACACACGAGCGTGTGTGTGTTTGCCAATATAAGATTTTCAACAAAACGTCAAATAATGGTTTATGCCTGAATGGTGGGATTGTAAGAATCTTGAACTTTCCTTCCTTTTTTTAAAATATTTGACCATGTGTATGTATTCTTCTAAAATAAAGTGTTAACATAAAAAGATATAAGCTGTTAAGGGGACTGGTAAGAAGGAGGCTCTTGGAATATTACAGCCCTTTTTGCCATCAGTCTTTTCTCCAAGACTGTCAGAAATACGGCCGGTTTTAAAAAGCTGAGTGCTGACAGTCAATATTGGAATCAGGCCAGCCCTCCAAGGATGAAGAAGGGGTTGTGACATAAATGACTAGAGGCCCATTGATCCTGAAAACTTCTGAGCCATCAGAGGAATCAGGTTGATGTGCTGATGTGCCCTTGCTTGGCCTGATATCCCAGGGCTTCATCTCTGGCAGCCAACTGGAAATCTTACTTTATCCACATCTGAATGAGCCAGCCAGTATGTGGGGTTCTCCCTGGCAGAGGCCCAGGTAGGCTGAGGGAGATGTTGCTATTGGAGCTGCCTTCTCCACCGAGCAGCAGTGAGCTGCTGGTTCTCACTGATCAAAGTCGTTTTCATGCCACAGGCCTTGAGAACTGCCCCCAGGAGCACCCAGAGAAGGTGGCCCCTACCCTCCTGAAGGAATGAATGAGGGACTTGATGTCTCAACAAAATAGCAAAACAGGCTCATGTAGAGAGAAGAGAGGAAATTATTACTAAAGTTTGAAAGCTGAAAAGGAGGGAGGAATATTTCAGGCCATGGAGTTAGGCTCCAAAAAGATGTCAACAGGCTGAAGTAAGTGGTTGAACCTGACCAGATGATTGACAGTTACAAATGGAGAGGCCTGCAATTGAGTGCAGAAAACCAACTGACTATTCACAGGGTGGAATAGACTGTCCTATACACAGTTTGCAGAAAAGGAACTTGAGACTTTCCCTTATAGGCATCATCACTGAGATGATAAAGCCCAAAAAATCTAATGGGAACTTAGGCTGCAACAACATATGTATAGTGTTTAGATCAAGGGAAGCAACAGTCCCTTTCCACTCTGTAGTGGTTAGACCCTTACTGAGGGACTTCCTTTTGGCTCGGACTACCATACATTAAGTGGGTCATATGTAGGATGTGTACAGAAGGGAGTGAACAGACAAGGGTGCGGCTGAAAGAATTTGGAGCTGTGGCCATTTATGCTAGTGTTTTAGTCCATTTTGTGTTGCTATAAAGGAATACCTGAGACTAGGTAATTTATGTAGAAAATAGGTTAATTGGCTCATGGTTCTGCAGGCTGCATAAGCATAGTGCTGCTGTCTGCTTGAATCCTGGTGAGGCCACAGGAAGTTTACGATCATGGCGGAGGAAGAAGAGGGAGCAAGAGAGTGAAGAGGGGTCCTGGACCTTTTTAAACAACCAGATCTTTCATGAACTAACTGAGCGAGAACTCACTCATCACCAAGGAACTAGTGCTAAGCCATTCGTGAGGGATTTGACCCCAGGATCCAATACTTCCCACTAGGCTCCACTTCCAACATTGGAGGCCACATTTCAATATGAGATTTGGAGGAGACAAACATCCAAATCCTATCAGCTGGAGAAGAGAAGACTTAAGAGAAGTGCTCTTTTTGTAGACCTCTAAGATATTGTCAGGAACAGAGAGAGCAGATGGAGTCTGAGAGGCTTCAGAAGGCAGAAATGAGACCCTTGGGTGGGAACCAGCAGGAAACAAATTTCAGCTCAACACAAGGAAGGACTTTTTAACTGAGCAGCCTATAAATGAAACAGGTTGTCATTAGATGGAGTGAACTCCTTATCATAGGAGATATGCAGGAGGGGCCTAGACAAGTGTTTTTCCAAGTTATTGCAGAGAAGAATCATATCTAGATAGATAGATAGATAGATGATAGATAGATAGATAGATAGATAGATAGATAGATAGATAGATAGATAGATCTTTTAAAGGGAGCAGAGGTAGTCTAGGTAATCTCTTAGTTTTATACGTGCGTAGTATTCTAGGTTCTGTGCAACTGAGAATTCCCCCAGTACAGGCCCAAGCATAATCTGTTTGGTAGTGTCTCACAGCTCACAGAGACTTAGATAACAATTCCTGCCTCAAAAGATTCTGTTAGGGGATCCATGGCCTTTCCTCTGGAAATTCAGAAACTTATTTTCTGACTTATCTGCCAGCAGAACTGCTTTACCACTTCTAATTACCAAGAGAATATTTTACAGCTTACTTCTCAAGATGAGGGTTGAGAACCAGACAAAGACAGGGGAAAAAGATAGGCAGATGTCATAATTCGATAACCCAGAAAGAGCACGCTTAGAGGAGACACAAGGAGTGGTCTGAGAGACAGGCAGACAGACAGACAAGACACAACTTTCAGGAAGGTGAGGGCAGATGAGGGAAGAAGTGGGGAGTGGGCAGAAGAGGCCAGACTGCCTTAAATGTACATTCACTGGAACTCTCATTACAATGACAAAGCTCTCATAATAGTGACCTTAGTAGTTAAACAATCTTTGGATTTCTAAGTGCTTCCTAAATGCGGATTATTTTTTTAATTGATTCCACCCAAAAGGTACTAAATTGTCCAGTAAATCATTCATGTCTTTCTTGGGGGTTAGGTATTTGTTTTACACAAGGAGAGAGCGCAGCACCTGTGCAAGAATCTCACCATCCGGGGAAGACAGCTACAAATCTAGACTGGAATAGCCTTCTGACTCTTCACACCAGCTCCCAGCCTGCCTCTGGGACACAATCTCCAACCTTGCAACAAGGAGTGCTACAATATCACCTTGGTATGCAGTGCAAAGAGCAGGCAGCAGCTGTGAAGGCAGGCCAGGGAGGGGGATAAGTACTTAGCTAACCAGCACACTTGCCAGGATCAGCACCTAGAAAGACCAAAAGAACTCTCAACATGAGAGTTTCCTGTTAACTGGACACTCCCCGATTCATTCTCTTATTTAATCCTCACTCATTCATTTAACAGCTTTTCACTGAGTACGCATTATATGTCAAGCACTGTTCTAGGCACTGGGCATGCAGAAGTGAATAAAGCAATCAAAGAGCCCTGCCCTCATGGAGCTGACATTTCAATTGGAAAGACAATAAGTAAATAAATTATAAGGTATGCAAGAAAGTTATAAACGCTATGAAAATACGTAAAGCTGCATAAAGGGAATTAAAAGTACCCAGTGAGGTTCTCTCCCTGTTTTACAGATTTAAAAACCTGAGTTTTGAGAAGAGAAATGAACTTGCCTGGTATAGTAACCCAGTCTGTGGGACTTTTTCTATTTTGCCATACTGTCTTCAGGGACACACAACTAAGGAGTTGGGAGCCAGAGGGTTGACCTGCTGGCATGTTTGCAGTGGGGAGTGTCCTGTATTAGGCACAAGATCAGGAAGAAGGTTCTGATAGGGCCTAAAAAACCCACCAGACTAACAGCTTTACTTGCTGGCCAGGGCTTCAAAATGAGACTTCCAGTACCATCCTAGAGAGGCCAAAACACAATGGGGAAAAGCGAAGCATGCTAGAGAGAGCTAGGATTCTTATATCCTTAGAGTGCAGTTCCACCTGCCTAAGTACTGTGTGTTGACAGGTTCATCTCTATTCCTTTCTGGGCCACAGACCCCAATTTGTATAATCAAGGACTCGATGAACTTCCTAAGATCTCTTTCCCCTTTGACATTATATAGGCCACTGAGCTTAGTGGTAGATCTGGGCCAGTTACTCAAAACATTCTATAAGATTACTTAGTTATTTTGGTTTTCCCCTGGCCCAGAAGTGAATAGCACCAACACCCAAAGTTCCTAAATGCTCACTGCTCAGCAAGGCAAAAAATGAAAGAAGCTAAGGAAACTATATCCAAATCCACAGTTAAACTCCAGCTGAGCATACTGAGGTGGAACCCAAGGAAATTGAGTCAGTAATAATGTGTAAGACAAGTAAGAAGATATAATCCTGGAGCCAGAGGAAAAGAGAAAGAAAGGACATGGAGAAAGCACCCTGGTAACTTCCCCAATAAGACTGCTGGGTTCCCTGACACTGCTCCCATCTTCCCCTCCAGCCTATTCCACCACCTACAAATGCAGTCTGGGTTGTACTTGCTGCCCAGATCTAGCTTACCATTACCATCACCTTCTATCCCTATTCCCCTATGTGCCCAGGAAACCACAGCTTGAAGAGAAGGGTTTAAAGGATTATTGCATAGTGCAGAGTGTCTGCACTGATGTCAGAGGCCTGGTTTCCAGTCCCAGCTCTAACCCTGACTAACTCTGTGGCCTTGGGCAAGCTCCTCCCCTCTCAGTGCCTTGTCTGTAACTTAAAGGGCTTGTAATGTTTCTTAACTTTTCATGGAATCACAGACTTCTGAGAATCTGACGAAATCTGTGGATGCAGATGCCACAATTTAGCATACAATTTCAAGTGACTCATGGACTTGTAGGCTAAGAATTTCTGCCTGATAGCTAAGGGCTCTTTCAGCTCTGAGTCTGTGGTTCTGTGATCTGGGCATGAGGCCAAGATCTGCCTGCCCCTTCCGGAGGAAGAGGAGGAGGAATCCACCTTCCAAATATATCCTTTAGCTTGTGCTTCCAGCTGCTTTTGGCTTTAACCCATGATACTCTGAAGCCATGAGGAGTTCTTGCTTCCCTACAAAGCCTGAAACGGAGTAACAAAGACAAAGGCAAAGTGCTAGAGCTTCCTTCAAAACCCAATGGCTCTGAGCTTCCTTCCTAGAGCCTCTTGGGCCCCAGTCTAAAATTAAAGGCAGAGGTAGGAGGGCCTCTGGTTTAGGCAATAAATAATTCCAGAAAGGCTGGCTTGCATTGCTGGTTGGCAAGCCTTGTCCAGACCGTACTGTCCTCTGGTGGTTATGAGCATGTATAGGAGCTTAGCCGGAGGCCTCAAGCTTTAATGACAATATAGGGATAATAACCAGCTGGTAACATTAGCAGGGGTCCCACATGTACTTGGATTTTCCCCTAAGCTACTGCTATAAGCCAAGCTCAGAATGTGGGGTGTGGGGAGAGGGAGTGACAGTATTACCAGTATTCTGAGGTCAGCCTGAACAAGTGCTGACTTTGGGCCTTGGAGATATCATTCTGATTCTAGTGAGGCCCATGCCCCTTCTTTTGCAGCTCCCTGCTATTCTTTCCCTGGAACCCTGAAGTAGAGCTCCCCTATTGTGACCCTGCCAATAGATTAGCTATAAGGAAGTGGGAGGTCGGTCACAGTGGATAGCCAAGCCCCCACCTGCAAGGAGGACTAGAGCTCCTTCCCCATTACTGAGGCCAATCTCATATCTTCTTTTAGGTTTAAATATATATGGTCAACGGACTATTAGGCATCAAAAACATAGATGTCAGGCTGGGCATGGTGGCTCACACCTGTAATCTCAGCACTTTGGGAGGCAGAGGCAGGCAGATCACTTGAGATCAAGAGTTCAAGACCAGCCTGACAACATGGTGAAACCCGCCTCTAATAAAAATACAAAAATTAGCCAGGCCTGGTGGTGTGTGCCTGTAATCCCAGTTACTCGGGAGGCTGAGGCATGAGGCAGAGGTTACAGTGAGCCGAGATCGCGCCACTGCACTCCAGCCTGGGTGACAGAGCAAGACTATATCAAAAAAAAAAAAAAAAAAAAAAGATGTCCCATAAATTTTTTCAAATTCTATATATCCCAACTTAGCTCATTATTTTCCTTCATATCTTAATTGTATCATTTTGGAGACTTTAAGGTGCAAGTAACAGAAACTTAAGTAAAAATGATTAAATTATGTTAACAGTGTATTGGCTTTATCTAACAAGTACTCTGTTCTGCTGTTGGTCAATTCAGCGGTTCACTGGTATGAAGAATCCAGGTTCTTTCCATCTGTCTGCTCTATTACCCTTAGCATGTCAGCTGCTCCTCTTATGGTCAAAATATGGCTGCCACAGTGCCAGGCATCAAGTTTCCATACACTAATAGCCAAAGGCTGAAAAAGAGAAAAGTCTTTCATTTTCACTCATCTTTAGACAGCAAAAATCTTTCCTGTCACTTCTCTGCCTTTTGGTGAGGATCAAGTGAAGTAACCTTTCCTCCAAGCTCCACAACAGACTTCTTCTCACATGTCATTGGTAAGAATTGCACTATGTGCTTTAGCAGTTAGGACTTTAGATTCTGCAGCAATACAACAGAAAAACAAACAAATGAAACAAAACATAAAACAAAATGGATGTCCTGAATATAGTAACATTTTATTTCTGTATAGAAGCCCAGGGGCAGGCAGCTGAGGGCCGGTATGACAGACTCACAAAGTCGTCAGAGACCCAGAATCCTTCCAGCCTTCTCTTCTGCCATTCTTATGGAATTGCCCATATCTACATGGCCCCAAATGGCTGTTGGAACTCCAGTCATGACATTCATATTCAGAAAGGAAGACAGAGGAAACAGAAGAGAAGACGCACTATCCATTTTAAGGAGCCTTCCCAGAAATCGAATACAACACTTCCACTTAAATCTCATTGGTGCATGGCCACCATGGTGAAACCCTGTCTCTACAAAAATACAAAAATTAGCCTGGCATTATGGCGGGTGCCTGTAATCCCAGCTACTTGGGAGGCTGAGGCGGGAGAATCGCTTGAACCCGGAGTGGGGGGCGAGGTTGCAGTGAGCCAAGATCGTGCCATTGCACTCCAGCCTGGGCGACAGAGCAAGACTCCCTCTCAAAAAAAAAAAAAAAAAAGAAAAAAAAAACTCATTGGCAAAAACCTAGTGTCATTCCTACACCCATCTGTAAGAGAATCTGATAGCAAAGTGCCCAGCTAAAAAGTGGCACTCTATTGCTATGAAAGAAGTGGAGAACAGGGGGGACAGCCAGCACTCTGAAATGCATGTCACTTCCTAATCAATTAGTGGCAAAGTAAATGAAATAACCACGATTAGTTTAGACCAGGGTTAGATTAGACCCAGTGATTCCCAACCAGAGGTGGTTTTGGTCCCCAGAGACTTTGACAATGCTTGGAGAAATTTTTCGTTATCACAACTTGCGGGGAGTAGTACGACCAGCATCTGCTAGAGACCAGGGGTGCTGGTAATACCGTACAATGCACAGGACAAGCCCCACAACAAACATTGATCACACCTAGTATGTCAATAGCACTAAACATTGAGAAACCTTGGCTTATACTCATCAAGATCTACCATACACCTAATCTTGGTCTTCCAGCTGAAGAACTCAGGCTTCAATAGGCTTCTCTATGTCACTGAATAGCATCATAAGGTATCCATTTGCCCCAGCTGAAAATTTGGAGAATGTCCTTCCTCTACTTAAATCTCTATAGTGGTTTCTTATTGCCTTCAGAATAAAGACTAAAACCATTGCTGTGACCCGTGATAACCTACATGATCTGGCATCTACCAGCTTTATATCACACCACTCTCCCTCCTTGCTCTCTGTGGTACAGCCATATTAGCCTTTTGTTTGTTTCTCAAATGTGCCGTATGGTCTTTTTCACCTTTCCGCCTTTGCCTCATCCTTCAGCTCCAACTGTGGTAGACTGATTGCATTAATGGTCTCAATTATTCACCCTTCTCTTTATCCATGCTCTTTGTTGACATGTGACATGTCACTCCCTTCCACTCTGATTCTAGGCCCAGTTATGTTATTTTCTTCTGCCAATGGAAGGCTGGCATAAGTGACAGCATGCAAATTCTGAAGCTAGGTACTAAGAAGCATTGTGTGTGTTTTCTCATTCCTGTAGCCAATCCAGGACAAGCCCAGCCTGGTCATCACAACCCTAGTTGACCTGAAGTTATTCTAGTGAGAAATAAATATTTGTTGTTATACGGCATTGAGATCAGTGATTGTTCTGGAGCATTAGTAGCTCACTCTTAAACCCCTCAATCCAATATTACTCAAATTCTGTTAATCTACTACCAAAATATCTTTTCTATCTGTTACACTGACTCAGTTCTGTCCTTCAAAATGTTCTCACTCATCTCCCTATTTTCAGGCTTCCCCTCCTCCAGCCAGTCCTCCACTTTGCTGCCATAATTATTATCCAGAGAAAGAAAACAAAATAAACAACAAAATATGATCATGTGACTTCCCTGCTTAAAACTCTTCAATGGCTCCTCATTTCCCCAAGGATAAGACCCATACCCCTTAGCCTGGCATTGCGGGCTTCCCTTTTATACCACTCTTAACTGTAAAACTTCATCTACCCTTTCCTCCCTGTTATTCTCCTATCACAAGGTTCAAACATGTTCTATTTTTTCAGGTTCCTAGGCATTTACTCATCCCACTGTTCCCTTTCCCCTCACCTTCCCTGATTTGGGTGAAATCCTTTTCAGCTTTGTAGGCAGAACACAAATGCCAGTTCTTCTGTGCAGCCTTCCTTTTCCCTCACCCCCACTAGAAGATAACATCCCTCTCCTTTGTACTTCTATATTGAGCTGTTTAGCTCACACATCCTTCAGCTCCGAGTTATAATTAGCTCCTTAAGCAATCACCTGCCCTACTCCTTGTGAAATTCTTTGTGTAATTTTTCCCTGCCACTTTCTCACTCTCATGCCCTTCCCATACCTAACACGAAACCTGGCACAAAGTAGGTGCTCAGTAATGAGTATCTCATTGAAAGAATTCTCTAACTTTAAGTCCTTGGTGCTAGATCTGTAAGGTATTATATTAGGAGTAGTTATATCCCCAATATTATCCCCCCTCCCCTAACTTCATATTTCCAACTATAATCATCCATCAATGAGATTTCATTGGAGGCAGTTAGCTCTCCTTTTGAAAGCGATATGACACCAGAGAGGGAAAATGGCATCATTAGTGTTTAATCTAGGCCTTCCTTCCCATATATCTACCTGAGATAAGGTAATAAACATTTTGTTTTTGATGGGGTGGAGCAGGAATGCTGTATAGAGTTATACAGGATGCACACTGCAACTCTAAGAGGTGCCACTCAGCTAGGTATAGACACAACCTACAAAACTAAGATGGGGCCTAGGAGTAGTGATTCTGAAACAAAGAACCCAAGGGAGAGAGAGAAACCAGAGAGAGAAACTGAGGAGGCCAAGCAAGGATAGGATAAATGGAGAGAGATGAGAAGAGAGAAATGATGGAAACCAAGAACTGGAGGCTATAGCAATTTTTACATGTGCCTCTAGTGTATGAGCCTTCCTTCTGCAGCAATCTTTGGAAATGAAGACCACTATCCAGGGCAGGATTGCCTTAGAAAGAGTAAACACACTCTTTGTGTGTGGTCTGCCTGCTAATTCCCTGGTGTCAAATCTCGGCAGCCTTTTCTTCCATCTCCCACTTCATTCTTTATGGGGTTTCCAAATACCTCTTTCTCTGTGTCTCCATTCCCTAGCTTACCGCTGACTCTCTGTGTGACCTTGGGTTGATCCTTTCTCTTCTCTGGACCTCTAGTTCCCCATTGATAGCATAAGGCCGGGGGGGGAGGGGCGGGGGTGTTGGATAAACTGTGTTACAGTGGCTCAGTTCCAGGACACTGTGTATCTACGATTCCATAACTTTAAGGTGTGTTTGTGAGTGTGTTTATGCATGTGTATGAACTCGGACATGTCTCTGCCCCTTGGGCTTCAGCTTCCTAACTTACAAAATGGTGATATTTGACCCAGGCAATCCTTTAAGGCCCTTCCAGTCTTTAAATATCACAATCCCATCATTCTGTACTTTAGATGACCCCAAGCCTTCTCCTTAAGTCACATCCTAGGGCTTCTCCTTGTATCATTTCTGTGCCTTTGTTATCCTTTTACCCATTTTCTCTGTAGTTCAAGGATGTTTCCCTTCTTGCAACTCCCAGAAAGCAACATGCAGATTCCCAGGCCCTGCCCCAGAGCTAAGGAGCCATGTTTCCTTCTGGCCATACCACTGTTAGCTTCAAAGGACTATAAAAATGCCAGCAAATTACCTCCTCCCCACCCTGCCCCCCCAACCTCAGGAGAAAAAAAAAAGCCATCTGCTTGGAGCAGTCTCCCACTGCTAATAGTTTTTTTTCCAGTTGTCTTGAGAAACTAAATTATTCTCTAAATAAGCCCCACTTAAGTTTATAATAGATGTGATTTAAATGAGAAAATTATCACCTTCTCAGCCTGGAAAAAGCACTTCAATTCCTCTAGGGAAGAAATGCCTTCATTAGCCAGGGCCTCTCTCAGACCTTTCAAGGCCAGGGCCCCATGCTAGGGGTGGCACTCAAAAAAAAATATTAAGAATACAAAGGCTAGGAGACTGGAGTGAGCTCGAATTAGCCCCAGACTACTTGGGGGACACAGACATTCAAGGATCATTGGGCTTTCAAGGGGATCATCCTATACAACCCCCTGCCCTCATGCTGGGCAGCCTTCTTTTCAAGCCAGACAGATGAATCTCTCCTGGTTGTAAGGGTCTTTGGATATCTCATTTCACAATTTATGCCAAAATTACAGAGCTGTAAGTTTCTTAGAGATCATCAGGTCTAGCCGCCTTATTGCAGAGATGGGGATACTGAGGCCTAGAAAAAAGAGAACTTACCCAAGGTCACATAGTGAGTCAGTGGCAAAGCCATAGGAAAAGAAGCAACCACATTACAGTTTGATTTTGCCAATTTTCCACACCTCATCCCTCACCCTTTATGGCCTAACACTCTAGTGGAAGTCATCCCTGTCAGAGTTTTTGGTTCATGTGAATTCCCAAGTTTTGGACACAAGGGGAACTATCAAAGAGAGGGCCCTACTCCTTCCATCAGTTTGGTTCAAATAACTTGCCAACCACACCTGATTCTGCTTGGGACCTTGGTTATCTGACAACATAAGCCTATGATCAGCCTCTGTATCATTTTATGACTGCTCTGGCTCAGTTCCCAGCCTCTTTCTCTATAATCAGGCACAGCTGCCCCATCCTTTTCACAGACAGGAACTGCTGTAGGTCATGAAAGTTTCACGTCCCCTCAAGAAACATCTTTAAGAGCATGCCCTATGGGAAAGGAATGGAATGGGATGTATCATCCCTGGAGATCTTGATGACTTAGGCTTCTTCCACCCCAACTCGTGTCCTCCCAAACACCATCCCTCCCTATCAGCTCCCTCTGCTGATAGCTAGTCCAGTGAGTTTTAACACCCATAGGTTATCATGAATAAAACGGGGGGTGTGGAGTCACATTTTAGGACATCATGAAAGAGGGTATTATATTAAATTCTGCAAAAGTGATGTGTATGTGGCAGAACTTATAAAATCTGTCATTGGGGAGTCTTGGGAAGGGAGAATATGATGATCCCACTTGCTGCATTTTGTTTTGCATTCATCATCAATTCATTCATTCATTCCCAAACAGCCACCAAAAGTCTACTGTAGGTCAGGCCCTGTGCAAGATGCTAAGGATAAAGAAATAAGGCATAGAACCTTGTCCTCAAGGAGGTTCCAGATTAGTGAGGGCCATGTGCAAAGTGTTGAATAAACCTAAGTGAATCCCTAATTTTGCTTAGCTCTTCATAAAGGAGATAAATTTGGAGTGATTTTGGAAGGACAAAAGAGAGTTTTCCAACAGGAGAGGTGGAAAAGGGTGCTCCAAGCAGAGGAACTAACACGTCAAAAGCCCATAGCTGTATTGCAGTAGCTAACATTTATTGAGAACTAGCTATGTGACAAGTACCTTATGAACTAACTCACTCAATCCTGACAACAACCCTATAAGGTAGGTAATGTTATTATCCCATTTACAGATGGCTAACTGAGACACAGTGAGGTTATATGACTTACCTAAGGCTATCTTAAGTAGACAAGAGGGAAGGCAGTATTGCACCCTTCAGAGCTGAAGCTCTTAATCACATTATATTTATATATCATGTAAATAATATCTAATCTCTTTGAGATGCCAGTGGGAAACATCTTGGCTAGCATGTGGAGTTGAAGGGGGTAGGGACACAGAGGGCAAGCACAACAAGAAGCAGGTAGGTGAAGTCAGCATCAAAGGGCCATGTGGAGGAACAGTGAGGAACCATTGGAATGAGGGAGACATTTGCATTAGGTATGACTCTCAGGTACAAATGCAGGTGTACATGGCATATTCCATTTGCTTACCCCCATGTAAGCCATTAATGTCACCTCCCACGTTGGTGATCCTGATCCAGCAGGCTTATGCAGCATCCAGAGAAATGGGAGAAGGGCCTCTAATCTTCAGTTGTTCATTGCCACTGCTGACATCCCTGTTACCCAAGCCCCGTCAATGGACTATGAATGAGGCAGGCTGAAAACTGTACCTGAGGAAATTCGGCCCTAGGCAACCCCTGTCTTTGGCCTTAGGTTAGAAAGAGCTTGTGAGACCCAAGAGAGTGCTCCAAAGGTACCTTTGTTATCCTTCTAATATTTTCATTACTATATTTATAACTATACAATGCTAGTTCTGTACCAATACAGCCTTGTAAAGCAAGCATAATGCCATCTGATCCTTACAAAAGATACTCATTTTAAAAAGACAGTAAAATAAACAAGAAAGGTGGCACTTGTGATTTAGAAGGAAGCTGGGAGGGCAGAAATGTAGTTTCCTGGGAGGTGGTGCTAGCAAGGCCCCACTGAAGTGGTAGAGGCGCCTGGATACTTGTCTTCTGGCCACAAAGAACTGCTTTGTAAAATTGACCTTGTTAATAAGATTTAATTTTCTTGTCATTCTTTCCTTCTTTGATCTGTTTTTAGTATTTAATACAATTATTTGTGAAATGACAGCCACTTTCACCTGTACCGCAAAGAAGCAGAAAATATGTGTGGCAGACTGCTTGTCCTTATCCCATACCTACACTCTTATTCCTGTCTAACAGAACATTAATTTTGTTTGAGGCAGAAGTGTGCCCAGCTGAACGAACTACACTTCTCAGCCTCCCTTGCCTTGTAGAAGTGTAGCCAGATGACAGGTAGCCAATGAGATATAAGCAGAACTCACTGTGTTGCTATTCTAGAAGTTTATTTTTTTAAAGACACTTATATGGGCACATAAGTTTTGCCTTTTTCCTGTCCTCTTCTTTCTTCCTGCAATGCAGCCATGATGCCTGGAGCTTCAGGAGCTATCTATCCTGTAGATAGATACCTATATCACTAGGATGATGCTGCAGGCAAGAATGGCAGAGCATAAAGACACGAGGGCCTGAATATCCAGTGGTTCCTGGACTTGCTAGCTTTTGATTTCTTGTTATATGAGAAAAGCAAACCTTTTGCTTGTTTAAACTTCCGGGTTTCTTTGTTTGCTTATTTGCTTTTATTATTTGTGGCCAAATGCAATCACAAATTTATGTAGTTTGCATACCTTCTTGAGCTAGAGTTGAAAGAGTAGTGGGGCAGTTGTGTCTGCTGAGAAAGAGATCATCCTGAGAGGTGAGCTGTGGGCAGCCAATCCTTCCCCTCCTGCAGGCCTTCCTTTCCAAGCTCTTCTTTGTCCAAACCTGGGAATTTCTCCGTGCTCATTAAATTGAGAACTCTGTTCCCTTACAAGGGGTGACAGTGAGAACCAGTGCCTTCAAGGGAAAGTAAAACCCAGTAGATAAAATATGGGCATCTGATACAAACTGTACCTTCCCTCCTACACCCTTGTCTTTTGGAACTCTTCTTTGGCAAAACCTAGGATGTTCCCAGTTCTGATTTTTAAAAATACGCAAATGTAGTGATTTAATAGTGATAAGCAAGACAAAATGATAGAATTGTGCTTTTTTTTACATAGAGGGGACAATGAAATGTTTAGCCAAAAATTTTCCATATAAACCTGAAGCAATATTCATATAGAATAAACAGCCTCACATGTAACTGATAGATGATAAATATACACAGTTTGGCCAAAGCAAAATATATATGGAAAATTGTTGGAGTTATTCATATTTTATGTTCAACATGCTCACTCTATTTTAAAATTAATACATGTAGAAGATCATAATAAATTATTTGTATTATCAGACATTACAGAGAAGGTATATTCCATTGTTTATAACTGTTAAAGTAACTATTAAATTAGAAAATGCTACTATGCCCCATACTAAAAGAAAAATTCTGATTCATTTAAAAATTTAAACGTTTCATTTTAAAATTTGCTATAGAATTATAGTTACTGACAGGCATTTTAAAAACACACTAATTCCACCATAGCCAACAGGCAAAATTTAGAACGATATACACAATTTTTATATTCCTTGGTTAAGAGATTTTCTTTATTATAGTAATAAAATTTTAAAGTAAAAAATGTATTATTGGAAATATTTCAACATTGTAATGATTTGTCAATTTCTTCCAATGGAAAATAATTTAGATTTGTGTATCCACATTTAAAATGTTACATGATGATAAGCAAGGTTCAAACACAGAGTATCTGCCAAGTCTGAACTAGTTTGGATAACTTGAAAACCATTTCTAAGTACATGAAACACAATATTTTCATTATTATATTTATAAATATACAATACTGTTTCTGTACGAATACAGCATTGTAAAGCAAGCATAATGCCATCTGATTCTTACAAAATATATTCATTTAAACAAGTCAGTAAAAATAAACAATAGTACCCACTTTTAAAGCACACAAATTGTAAAACTGCTGTTTACTTTCTTAAGATTGTTCTGTGCAATAACAGAGAAGTAAAGTGAAATGAAGAACTCAAAATGGTTAAATATGCAAGAAATGGCTACTCACAGTTACATCGCAGCATTTGATGTATAGTCTATGCACCATTCTATGCATATTCTTTTTATTTTTTAAATTTCAAAATAAAAAGCATGTGTTGTCTACAGGTTCATAAAACAACATAATAGCAAGAACAATCCAAGAGCATGTAACACAGATGTTAATGGAGATTGACGAACTATGGACCAAGGTTTATGTCTATTTTAGAGGGTTTTCACATTCAAACAGTGTTTACAGAAAACACTTCACACAGAAGAAAACATTGCCTGCCCACACAAAAACCAGTTCTTTTTAAGACAATCTTTCTTTCCAAGTAATGTATATATGAATGTCACACTTGGTCCATCTTTTATAGTCAAATTCAATGTAACTACAAAAGAAAGCAAATTTGACCACAGTCATGTGTATTAGTGTTTGTAAAGCTGTAATGGCATAGACATACCTATATAAATTAGGAGCTTGGCTGAGCACTATGGCTCACATCTGTAATCTCAACACTTTGGGAGGACAAGGAGGGAGGATTGCTTGAGCCCAGGAGTTTGAGACCAGCATGGGCAACATAGGGAGACCCCCATCTCTACATTTAAAAAAAAATTTAAATTTGTTGGGCATGGTGGCACTCACCTGTGGTCCCAGCTACTTGGGAGGCTGAGGTGGGAGGATAGCTTGAGCCCAGGAGGTCTAGGCTGCAGTGAGTTGTGATCACACCACTGTGATCCAGCCTGGGCAATAGAGCAAGACCCTGTCTCAAAAAAAAAAAAATTAGGAGCTGGATTTTTTTTTCCTTAACAGTCTCAGTTATCAACCTAAGAATGAAGTTTCTAATAACCCATTTGCTGATGATTTTTTAGGTCTGTTGGCAGAGAAAGGTTCATAGTTACCAGTGGGACTGTTCCTGGTGGCATTCATAATACTGGGCATGTGAGGAAAGTGAAGATGAGGAGACTGGATTGGAGTAGTGCAGCTAGGCAAACAAGAAGAGCTAGAGGAAATAACTCCTACTAGGCCATTGGCCTTGTTAATTCCAAAGTCACATTCCAGTTCTCCAGCATTTTTGTCAGTTCATCTCTCCAGCAACTAAGCTTCATTCTTTTACTAATAGGTCAAACACCGTACTTTAAAGGAAGAAGTCCATTTCTTATCCACATATAAATGTAAGTAATATCCATTAATGTATATTTATCCTTTAAAGATTCCTCTTCATACATGACATCAATTGGGAAGTATAAGATATGTTCCTTAGGTTCATCACAGTCATTCTGGCTGAGCATTGTAAATAACTTTTATCATTCACCTCCTCCTTAAACTTCTCTTTGTCTTTGTTTACTTTCTGTTCTGGTCAAAAAAAAAAATCCAATGGATAAGCTTATTGTTTCGCCATCAGTTATAATTCTCTTATCTTCATCTGCAACTTCTCTATTTTCATTAGCGCCATTGGCAGCAACAGCTGAATAAAGAGATGCATAAAGATCCCTTCTCATTTTATTTCTGAAAAGGCCTGGAAGTAATTGTATACAATAGATTGAGGATTTTTATCTGATGTTATATTCAGAGCATAATGGTTTTGTGAACTTGGACATTAAAGGACAATATTTGCTGATCTATAGGTAACACGAAATACAGGTTTCACAGAAGGAATGCAGATATTCTATTATGGTTCTGGCATCAATTAAGTATCCTCCACAAAGCACACACATTAAGTGGGGATTTAGCTCAGTGATTTTGACTCCGATTGCTCAATGCATTTTTGCGTTATGAAAGATCTCAGAAAAGCAGCCACTTTGAGGTTATCAAAGCGAGTGGAAAAGACAATGAAAGTTAAAAGTCATTGAGCAGAAAATGAATGTGGGCTAACTGGCCATCTTAAAGTGAGCAGCAGATACCACTGTCAACAGCCAAAGAGGAGCCTCTGCTTCGTAGGTGTTCAGCTGGGCTACCTCCCAAGCCTGGCTCCTCTTCTGTGCCCTGGGGAGGGAGCATGAGGAAGGAGTGCGATCAGTAATCAATACTGTTCTGCTGGGCTAGAAGGTATTTCTAATTCGAATCAGGGCTTCCTTGACAACATCCCCTCCCCTCCCACCCCCACCCTCACCCTTGCCAGTTCTTTTTCAGCAAGGGCAGCTGTTTTCCTTGTGTGATGGCAGGAAAAGAAGAAAGGGGGCCTACTAACCTGGCTAGAAAATAGAGAGAGTGTCTAGAAGGCAGAAAATTAATAACAGTAATAATCATGGTTGCCATGGATTAATCATTTTCTTTTTCCCAGGCAATGTGCTATGGACTTTTTATGTTTATTTCTCATTAACCCTAGTACGAATGCTATGCCATAGGTGCAATTGTTGTTCCCGTTCTATAGAAACTCACACAGAAAGGTTAAGAAACTTGCCCAAGATCACACAACCAGCAAACTGAAAGCTGCAATTTTAACTTAGAAGCACTACCCAAGTATAACCTGAAAAACTTCCATAGTTTCTTATCGTCTCTGGGGAAGTCCCAGACATTTCAAAAGGTATTAAAGATCTAGTATGATCTGGCCCTAAAATACCTTTTTGGCCAAACCTGAATCAATTCAAAGGAACCAAGTCTGTTTGGGCTAGAAGTTTTTTTAGAGATCATCTAGTCTAATGTCCTTCTTATATAGATGGAGAGACTGAGGCGTAGAACTCATTCCTAGTGGTAGTACTAGAACTAGGACTCAGGTCTTCAGGATCAGTCCAGTATTTCTTTTCTGGTGTGCCTGGTCAGGAAAATGTAATTAATAAATGTTCATTAAACTCATAGATAAATGGATTAAAGTTACACCTAAATGACAACAAGTGGTTCCAACAATGCTGTGGGAAGGCATAGAAGGGATAGAGTAGGACTATTGTTCTTAGACCAGAAGCTCCTGGGAGGTAAGAACAAAGTTTCCTGGTCCCTTCCTATATACATACATATCTTATTTGTATATGACCCAGTTAGTACCATCAGGAACCTAGAAAATGCCTCATGAGGGCAGTGATTGATTCTTCTCTCAAAAGGTTGCATCTCTCTCTCTTTCTCTCTCTCTCTCTCTCTGTCTCTCCCTGTCTAATACACACACACACACACACACACACACACACACACACACACAATCTCTCTCTGGCAGAGTATCCTGTAAGAAAGCTGTCATGCAATAGTATAGAAGAAAAAGCATAGGAAAAGATAGATCTAGATTTGGGTCCAGACTGCTACTTAAAAGCTGTGTGGACTTAGACAAATCTCTTAGCTTCTGTTTCTTCATGTGTCCAATTGGAATAATAAAGCCTACCTCATGAAGTTATTGAGAAGATTAAATGAGATTATTTTATCAGCTAAGATTGTGCTGTCTTTGCGTAACAGAAATTCTTTCACCTAAAGTGGCTTAGATAATAAGGGCTTTATTTGTGTCACTAAAAAAAAAGGATGGACTTAAACCACAGAGGATTGGAACAGTGGTTCTAAAGTCTTTAAATATTAGGTTCTTAGGATTCTTGGCCCCCCAAATCCTTAGCATGTATATTTCTTCCTTGTGCTCTCAAGTTGCATCACATTCTAGGCATGAAAGGATGAAGGGCAAAAGGCACAGGATGAGTGCCAGCTCAATCTATCATTGGCCACAGTGGGTCACATTATCACACCTAGTTGCAGGGAGTTTGTGGAGAGGAGTATTTTAAGTGGGTGCATTATTTACCCAAACAAAATCATGGTTCTGTTTAGAAGGAGGAAAGAATGGATAGAGAGTAGGTAACTTGCCGAGTCTATCACAATGGTATAGGTCAAAGTTTTTAGACACAGAGCCAGTTTGCTATAAAAGAGATGTTTAGTAAATGTGAGTGATTGACCTATAAACCTGAAAAAAAGTTCAAGTGATAGATGAAGTCAAGGACATTCTGGCCCATTAGTGGGGCACTCAAGACCCAGGGTCCCAGCTTGGAGGTCTCCACCAAAGTGTCTACTGGGAAATCTGTAAATACAAAAAAAAAAAAACAAAAAACAAAACAAAAAATAACAAAATCTCTCATATTAAGTTCTTGTCCACTGGCTTTAAACCATTCCTGAAATTTTACTATTCAGCTTACTCTTTTGAGCTGAGGTATTGTCTCTAGGTTAAAACACAAACATGGAAGTCCTAGCCAGAGCAATCAGGCAAGAAAAAGAAATAAAAGGCATCCAAATCAGAAAAAAAAGTCAAACTATCTTTCCCTGCCAATGATATAATCTTTGGAGAACTCTAAAGATTCCTCCAAAATACTTTATATTTAATAACTGAATTCAGCAAAGTCTCAAGTATCAAAATCAATGCACACAAATCAATAACACTGCTGTATACCACCAAACAAGCTGATAATCAAATCAAGAACTCAATCCCTTTTACAATAGTTGCAACTTAACAAAAAGCATGAAAGTTATCCACAAGGAGAACTACAAGACACTGCTGAAAGAAATCATAGATGACAAAAACAAATGGAAATACACCCCATGCTCATGGATTGGAAGAATCAATATCATGAAAATGGCCATACTGCTCAAAGCGATCTACAGATTCAAAGTAATTCTTATCAAACTACAAACATCATTATTCACAGAATTAGAAAAAAACAATCCTACATTTCATATGGTGCCAAAAATAGAGCCCAAATGGCAATCCTAAGCAAAAGAACAAATCTGGAGGCATCACATTACCAAACTTCAAATTATACTATGAGGCTATAGTACACAAAACAGCATGGTACTGATATAAAAGTATATATATAGACCAATAGAACAGGATAGAGAACCCTGAAGTAAAGCCAAATACTTACAACCAACTGATCTTTGACAAAGCATATGAAAACATAATGTGGGGAAACGACACCCTCTTTAATAAATGGTGTTGGGAAAACTGGATAGCCACATGTAGAAGAATGAAAGTGGAGCCCTGTCTCTCACCATATACAAAAATTAACTCTAAATGGATTAAAGACTTTATTCTAAGTACTGAAACTATAAAAATTCTACAAGAAAATCCAGGCAAACTCTTCTGGACATTGGCCTAGGCAAAGAATTTATGACTAAGACCCCAAAAGCAAATTCGACAAAAACAAAAATAAATAAATGGGACCTAATGAAACTAAAAAACATCTTTACAGCAAAAGAAATAATCATCAGAGTAAATAGATAACCTAGAGAATGGGAGAAAATATTTGCAAACTATGTATCCAACAGAAGACTAACATCCAGAATCTACAAGGAATACAAACAAATCAGCAAGAAAAAAAAATCCTTTAAAAAATGGGTAGATGTCATGAATAAACATTTCTCAAAATAATATATACAAATGGCCAAGAAACATAAAAAAATGCTCACTACATCAAACATTACTACATTTTCTTCAGGTAAATGCAAATTAAAATCACAATGAGATACCACCTTACCTTGCCAGAACGCTAGGTAAAAAGTCAAAAAACAGGATTGTTGTGATTACTCACACCTGCAATCCCAGTATTTTGGGAGGCTAAGGTGAAAGTACTGCTTGAGCCTAGGAGTTTGAGACCAGCCTGGGCAACATAGTGGGACCCCATCTCTTCAAAAACTAATAATTAAAAAAAAATTAGTCAGGCCTGGTGGTACACATCTGTAGTCCCAGCTACTCGGGAAGCTAAGGTGGTTGACTCACTTGAGCCCTGGAGTTTTAGGCTGCAGTGAGCCATGATTGTGCCACCACAATCCAGTCTGGGTGACAGAGTGAGTGAGACCCTGTCACAAATATATATATATATATGTGTGTGTGTGTGTGTGTGTGTGTGTATATATATGTGTATATATATGTATATATATGTATGTATATATATATGTATATATGTACACATATATATACATATATATATTTTTTTAAAGATGTTGGCATGGATGTGGTGAAAAGGGAACACTTATATATTGCCAGTGGGAATGTAAATTAGTACAACCTCTATGGAAAACAGTATGGAGATTTATCAAAGATGTAAAATTAGATCTACCATTCAATCCAGGAATCCCACTACTGATATCTACTCAGAGGAAAAGAAAATATTATGCAAAACAGACACCTGCATGTGTGTGTTTATTGCAGCATTACTCACAGTCGCAAAGATATGGAATTAACCTAAATGCCCATCAACTGCTAAGTGGATAAAGAAAATATGGTATATACATATACCATGAGATATTACTCAGCTATTAAAACAAACAAACAACAAAAAAAACAAAGTAATGCCTTCTGCAGCAACATGGCTAGAACTGGAGGCCATTGTTCTATGAGAGGTAATTCAGGAATGGAAAACCAAATACCACATAGTCTCACATACAAGTGAGAGCATTCAAGCTATGGGTAAGCAAAAGCAATCAGAGTGGTATAATGCACATTGGAGACTAAGAAGGGGGAGGGTGCAAGGGAGTGACGGATGAAAACCTACCTATTGGGTACAATGTACACTACTCAAGTGATGGGTACACTAAAATTCCAGACTTTACCAATATAAAATTCACCCATGTACTGAAAAAATTTATACCCACAAAGTGATTGCAATAAAAAAATAAAAATATATAAATAAACCAAATAAAATACCAACATGTTATAACTTTAGATTGGGTAACATATTGGTCTCTTAAGCCCTTTGCATATCAGCACAACTAAAAATGTGAGCATAAGATGTGCCCTGAAAGAATAAGGGGCACTTATGAAAAGGTGGAAGTGGGGTTTGAGAAAGTCCAAACAATGGGGGAAGCTCTGTGGAGACAGGCAACCAGGTTTAGAGTTAAATGTTGGGCACAGAGAACCCAAAGGGAAGACATAAACTCTGCCCACTTTACTATTTTTCTTTGAGATGGACCTGCTGAGTTGCTTTTAAGTCAACTGTGGAACACAGACACACCAACAAGTTTATCAGACTCTTGTGCCCAACTCTGCTTTCCAAGCCACTAACAAAAGTTGGCCTTATTCTTCTTCCCATTACCATGGTTGGGATTTTTTTTTTTTTACTTAGAGAATAGGAGTCAGGAGGTCTGTGTTCAGTTTATAACTCTAGCATCCACTTGTTGATAGCATAGGGAAATTGTTTAGCACATACATTCCAAAGTTTTACTTCCCCACATATCAAATGAGGATAAAAATCTCCACCTAGCTCATAATTCATAATTGAAGGAAAGTACTTTAAAAATAATAAAGTCTAATGTGTTATACAAATGTAAGAAATTACTTTCTGGGTTTATCTATTCCGTAATTCAACAGCATTTATTGAGAGCTTACTATGCTTTGGAGTCTGTTTTAGCATAGGGGATACTACTGTAGAAAACAAATTTTATTTTTACAAAATTTTAATCCTGTTGAAAGATCTAGAAAATAAACAAGAAAATATCACCTAGTAGTACATAAGTGCTATAATGGAATTAAAAAGGGTAATGTTGTTAGGAGTAACTTGTGAAGTAAAGAAAACTATTTTAAAATTCATATGGAACCAAAAAAGAGCCCAAATATCCAAGGTAATCCCTAGGCAAAAAGAACAAAGCTGGAGGCATTACACTACCTGACTTCAACCTATACTACAAAGTTACAGTAACTAAAACAGCACTGTACTGGTGTAAGGACAGACACATAGACTGGTGGAAGAGCAGAGAACCCGGAAATAAGACCTCGCTCCTACAGCTATCTGATCATCAACAAACCTGGCAAAAACAAGCAATGGGAAAAAGATTCTCTATTTTATAAATGGTGCTTGGATAACTGGCTAGCCACGTGCAGAAAATTGAAACTGGACCCTGTCCTTACACCTTACACAAAAATTAACTCAAGATAGAGTAAGGACTTAAATATAAAACCCAAAACTATAAAAACCCTAGAAGAAAACCTGGGCAATACCATTCAGGACATAGGCATGGGCAAAGATTTCATGATGAAGATGCCAAAGGCAATTGCAACTACAGCAAAAACTGACAGATGGGATCTATTAAACTAAAAAGCTTCTGCACAGCAAAAGAAACTATTAACAGAGTAAACAGACAACCTACAGAATGGGAGAAAAGTTTTGCCAACTGACAGAAGTCTAATATCCAGCATCTATAAGAAACTTAAACAAATTAACAAGAAAAAAACAACCCCATAAAAAAGTGGGCAAAGACATGAACAGAAACTTCTCAAAAGAAGACATACATGTGAGCCAGGAAAGGTGGCTCAAGTCTATAATCCCAGCTCTCTGGGAGGCTGAGGTGGGTGGATCATACGGTCAAGAGATCGAGACCATCCTGGCCAACATGGTGAAACCCTGTCTCTACTAAAAATAAAATAAAAAAAAATAGCTGGATGTGGTGGTGCACACCTGTAGTCCCAGCTACTCAGGAGGCTGAGGCAGGAGAATCACTTGAACCAGGAGGCGGAGGTTGCAGTGAGCTGAGGTCATGCCACTGCACTCCAGCCTGGCGACAGAGCAAGACTCCATCTCAAAAAAAAAAATTTTTTTTTTTTTGCACATTGATTTTGTATCCTGAGACTTTGCTGAAGTTGCTTATCAGCTTAAGGAGATTTTGGGCTGAGACGATGGGGTTTTCTAGATATACAATCATGTCATCTGCAAACAGGGACAATTTGACTTCCTCTTTTCCTAACTGAATACCCTTTATTTCTTTCTCCTGCCTGATTGCCCTGGCCAGAACTTCCAACACTATGTTGAATAGGAGTGAACAGGCAACCTACAGAATGGGAGAAAAATTTTGCAATCTATTCATCTGACAAAGGGCTAATATCCAGAATCTACAAAGAACTCAAACAAATTTACAAGAAAAAAACAAACAACCCCATCAACAAGTGGGTGAAGGATATGAACAGACACTTCTCAAAAGAAAACAATTATGCAGCCAAAAGACACATGAAAAAATGCTCATCATCACTGGCCATCAGAGAAATGCAAATCAAAAACACAATGAGATATCATCTCACACCAGTTAGAATAGCGATCATTAAAAAGTCAGGAAACGACAGGTGCTAGAGAGGATGTGGAGAAACAGGAACACTTTTACACTGTTGGTGGGACTGTAAACTAGTTCAACCATTGTGGAAAACAGTGTGGCGATTCCTCATGGATCTAGAGCTAGCAATTCCATTTGACCCAGCCATCCCATTACTGGGTATATACCCAAAGGATTATAAATCATGCTGCTATAAAGACACATGCACACGTATGTTTATGGTGCCACTATTCACAATAGCAAAGACTTGGAACCAACCCAAATGTCCAACAATGATAGACTGGATTAAGAAAATGTGGCACATACACAACATGGAATACTATGCAGCCATAAAAAAGGATGAGTTCATGTCCTTTGTAGGGACATGGATGAAGCTGGAAACCATCATTCTCAGCAAACTATCACAAGGACAAAAAACCAAACGCCGCATGTTCTCACTCATAGGTGGGAATGGAACAATGAAAACACTTGGACACAGGAAGGGGAACATCACACACCGGGGCCTGTTGTGGGGTGGGGGGAGGGGGGAAGGATAGCATTAGAGATATACCTAATGTAAATGACGAGTTACTGGGTGCAACACACCAACATGGCACATGTATACATATGTAACAAATATGCATGTTGTGCACAAGTACCCTAGAACTTAAAGTATAATAATTATATATATATATATATATATATATATATATATATATGACTTACTTGTGGCCAAAAATCATATGAAAAAAAGCTCAACATCACTGATAATTAGAGAAATGTAAATCAAAACCACAACAAGATACCATCTCACACCAGCCCAGAATGGCTATTATTTAAAAAGTCAAAAAAACAACAGATGCTGGCGAGGTTGTGGAGAAAAAGGAACACTTTACACTGTTGATGGAAGTGTAAATTTGTTCAACCATTTTGGAAGACAGTGTGGCAATTCCTCAAAGACCTGAAGGCAGAAATACCATTCGACCCAGCAATCTCATTACTGGGCACATACCCAAAGGAATATAAATCATTCTATTGTAAAGACACATACACATGTATGTTCATTGCATCACTATTCACAATAGCAAAGACATGGAATCAATCTAAATTCCCATCAATGATAGACTGGATAAAGAAAATGTGTTACATGTACACCATGGGATACTATGCAGCCATAAAAAAGAATGAGATTATGTTTTTGCAGGGACATGGGTGGTGTTGGAGGCCATTATCCTTAGCAAACTAATGCAGGAACAGAAAAGCAAACACTGCTTATTCTCATTTATAAGTGGGAGCTAAGTGATGAGAACACATGGACACATAGAGGGGAACAACTCACAGTGGGACCTTCTGGAGGGTGGAGGGTGGAAGGAAGGAGAGGATCAAGAAAAATATCTAATGAATACTAGGCTTAATACCTGGGTGATGAAATAATCTGTACAACAAACCCCTTACCTATGTAACAAACCTGCACATCCTGTATATGTACCCCTGAATTTAAAAGTTAAGGAAAAAAGGAGTGATTGTGGCTATCAAATAGTTTGGTCAGGAAAAGAGAAGCTACTCTATGGATTCCAGCTGTGAAGAGTCTTAGTGTAGGAACTAGGAGATGATACAACTGTTGTATGAACTGGGGTAGCAAAGGTGAGGTATGCTGCTAATAATGATTGTATTCTGAAACACAGAAGTGAGTGGTTTCTAAGAGCTCATGAGAAAATTGCTAAAATTCTCCAGAATCCTTCAGGGATATTCCCATCTACAATTTTAGTCTTAGTGAAGCAGGTAGATAGACCTTAAGAGCTCACTGGAAAAATGCTGTAAGTCTCACATTTGCCTACATGTCTTGCTGCAACTGCCTCCACAGAATAACATCTTCTAATTCCAAATCTGATGCAAGTGCCCTTTCTTGGAAAACTATAACCTAAAACCACATAAAGAAGAGGATTCTGAGAAATATGGCTCTGAAATTGATACCAAGTCGACAGAGACAATCCAGCATATTGGGAACTACTTTAGGCTGTGTCATGAAAAGTCTTTCTCACAGGACCTTCACGAATGATTATACAATGTATATTGCACAAAGGCTCTCAACTGAGAACAGAGGGGCTGAAATTCAGCCCATTATCTGCTAGCCAAGACTTGAGCCCTGGCTTGGGGTTGTGTCAGAATAAAAAGAGTGCCTCTTCCTAATCAATCCCTGAAGTTGCCTTTTGTACAGTTTATCTTGGGTGGGGAGGTTCCTTTTAATAATTTACACAAAGGTACTATATGTCTTGGCAATCCTCTCCTGTCTTAGAAGATGACAATCAAGATGTGAGATGTGACCTGAGCCATGATGGGACATGTCTATCTCACCCTATCTGTTGTCACCACCTTAAGGTCACAAAAGGGCCCATATATTAGCCTTCCTCTGTGCTGGTTGGTGGTCTGGCTGATTAAAATAAAGTTTGGCTGGCTCTCTGACTGACAGAATTACTGACTGGCTAACCAGCTGCTGTACTAACTAAATTTCTGATTGGCTGACTTATATAGAGTGAGTGGCAAATTTATTTAGTTGATAGGATAACTTTCTGATTCTCTGACTAATTGAATGATTGGCTCACTGACTTATTTGTGCTCTAGTGAACAAGCTTTCTGTGTGTCTGATTAGTGGTCTGGCAGGCTGATTCCTTAGTTACCTTTTCTATCATATAGGTGATTGATAGATTATCTGATGGACTGTCTGATAGACTGATTCATTGACATACAAACTTGGTGATTCTCTGACTGTCGGACACTTTGACTGACTGGCCTACTGGCTGGTTTCATACTGGATAACAGATTACCTAGCATTCTTTCCAACAGACAAGTCTTCAGGCCTACAGGCTGACTGACAGGCTAGTCAATTGTGAGTGGAAATGGCCGACTGGATAGCTCTTATTTTGTCTGAAAGACTTTCCAATTGTGTATTCATGTAAAGAGACAAGGGTGAAGAAAGAAGACTGATAATACAATTCAAGACACTACCCTATGCAGATGAAAAAGGAAGGCAAATTGGTGACAAGCAGAAGAAAAGGGAATTTGATAAAGGGGTTAACAGCTTTTTTCTGATAGTTCAAAGGGGAAAATGGCTCTACATAAAATCAACCCATTAATAATGAGGCATGGAATTAATGTTAGCTCTAAACTGCCTGAGACACAAAGCTCATTACTCAACTTGATCGTTAACAAGGAAAACAACAGATGACACTTGAATAATAAAGAAACAGTAAAATATCGGGAATGGTCATAAAGGAGTCACTTATTGAGCCAGCAAGATGAAGACTGAGAGGGCACAAATCCCAGAGCCCGCTGATTAAGCCCCAAGCACTTAGTCATAAAGAAGCAAGCCCAGGAAGAAGAGAAACTCAAAAGCCATACTTGTTTTGTAGTAGAAAAAAGGTGAAAGTATTATTCTCTCTTTATTCTCTGATTAAACTGAACAGCTGAATCTTTGAAATCCCTTTTTGCCCAATTCCCTTTGACTTTATACTAAGAAATACCAACTGGTAATTTACATACTGTGCTCTATACATTATTTATTTTGTGTCAGATATAAATTGTGATGCCTGCTCACTCATGGTTTCTTTTTTATATATATTCTTTAAGTTTTAGGGTACATGTGCACAACGTGCAAGTTTGTTACATATGTATACATGTGCCATGTTGGTGTGCTGCACCCATTAACTCATCATTTAGCATTAGGTATATCTCCTAATGCTATCCCTCCCCCCTCCCCGCTCCCCCCACCCCACCACAGTCCCCGGTGTGTGATGTTCCCCTTCCTGTGTCCAAGTGTTCTCATTGTTCAATTCCCACGCATGAGTGACAACACACGGTGTTTGGTTTTTTGTCCTTGCCATAGTTTGCTGAGAATGATGGTTTCCAATTTCATCCATGTCCCTACAAAGGACATGAACTCATCCTTTTTTATGGCTGCATAATATCCCATGGTGTATATGTGCCACATTTTCTTAATCCAGTCTACCGTTGTTGGACATTTGGGTTGGTTCCAAGTCTTTGCTATTGTGAATAGTGGCACCATAAACATACGTGTGCATGTGTCTTTATAGCAGCATGATTTATAGTCCTTTGGGTATATACCCAGTAATGGGATGGCTGGGTCAAATGGAATTTCTAGTTCTAGATCCCTGAGGAATCGCCACACTGTCTTCCACAATGGTTGAACTAGTTTACAGTCCCACCAACAGTGTAAAAGTGTTCCTATTTCCCCACATCCTCTTCTTATAGACTGCTGGCCATGACTTCAGACCCTACTAAAAGAACATGTGACTTTACTCTCATGCATGGCCATAGCTATTAGACTATGGTGCAAACTTAATAAACTTTTAGCCTAATCATAGATTTGCCAGTGAGCTATTACACTTTCTACTACAAAAAGATGTGCTGGGGCAACTCTCTAACTTTTGAGAAGTTGAACTAAGAAATACAGAGAGAAAGGAGCAATTAGCAGTACCAGTACAGTAGGCCAGAATATGAAAGGTTATCGGGTAAAGAGAGACAAGAGCAACAGTGATGAATCTATTTTAACCCTAAATTTTGTGGAAACAGAACCACAAGTAAGCAGAAGCCAGGAGGTAGAGAAAAGGGTATAAAATTGGCCACAATTGAAAAGTGAATAGAGAAATTATTGAGGAGCTGAGTTCCATTCATGGAAGACTACTAGCATGAGAAACCATAACCTCCAGTTGCTGAAGACCCTGGAACTTCTTTGACCTATTCTGTAGTTCTCCATACTACTGAATACCAGATGATTTGCTTTTCTTGGTCTCCTGGGTACAAGTCCTTAAAATGGATCCTCTATACTTAAAAAAAGAAGTGGACTTCTTATAAGCAAAAGTACCATATAAAGTCTGTACATAGAAACTCCTAACATCTTCCTCCTTTCCCCATCTAGATTTCCTTAGAATTTAATCCTTTTACCAAAATGTTCCCTCTTCTCCATCCCTTCCATATCCCCAAGAGTGTTAAACTAAAATATCAGATATAACCCTACTTGCTTAGATATGTAATGCTATTTCCCAAGCCCACAATACACAATACTTGTGTATTGGATTTCTAGTGATTATTAATATTTTTACAGAATTTTCACATTCCTCTAAAATTTTATATTACATAACTCTTAGAAGTGGGCAAGGTAACTGTTTTTATGCTCATCTTCGAGATAAAGTAACAGAGACTGAGGATAAAGAATGATGAGTCCAAAATCACACAGTAGTCAAGCCAGGAGTAGAACCCACTTCTTCTTACTTCCAGTCCTCCACTTCCTCAAATGCTTAGAGTCATTCTTTAGGCCTGAGTTCTCAAAAGTGGGGTGTGCCTACATCAGGAAATGTATAAGATAATATGTTGTGCAAAATAAACAAAATATTTTATATAGACTTCTGCTTCTGAGAAGATGGAGTAGATACAATTTTCCCTATTCCTCACATTAAGTACAACTAGAAACCCTGAATGTGATATATAAAACAAACATAAAAAGACTGAAATCTACAGAAGAGAAAGCAGACTGGCAAGGGACATTGAGACCTGAGGAACAACATGGTGATAGGTTCCTTTGGGTTTTCCTTTTGCTCATATATCTAAGACATGGAGCTGAAAAATCAGCAACCCAAAAATACCAATGGGCACAGACCAAAAATGGTACAATAAAAGCCTGCTATTTTTATCCAAAAGATCAAGGAAAGAACAATCTAGCCAGTCAGAAGATTTTAGACAATAACCACTCTACTTCAGCCAAACAATGCAGAAAAAAATGATAAAATCATATCAATCTTAGTACGGGTTTTCTAGAAAAACAAAACTAATAGCAGGCTTCTATCCTCCAGAGGTGTGAAACAATAAATTTCTGTCATTTAAGACAACCAATACAGTCAGGTGCCGTATGATGACATTTTAGCCAATGATGAACCATATATAACATGATGGTCACATAAGAGTATAACACCATATTTTTACTGTACTTCTTCTATGTTTAGTTATGTTTAGATACACAAATACTTACCATTGTGTTACAATTGCCTACACTATTCAGTACAAAAACACGCTTTACATGTTTTTAGCCTAGAAGCAAAAGGTTATACCATGTAGCTTAGGAGAGTAGTAAGGTTATTCCATCCAGGTTTGTGTAAGTGCACGCTATGATGCTCACACGGTGAAGAAGTCGCCCTATGACACATTTCTCAGAACACATTCCCCATCTTCAAGTGACACACGACTACATATGGTATTGTGTTATGGCAGCCAGAGCTGGCAAATACAAATACTACGACAGCAAATAAGGCATTCCGTAAATCCGTGGATGATAGTTTTAGTAGAAACATGTGCTGGGAAGACAAATCCATATCCAGAATGTCTATTCAAATAATAACAAAATAGTGCCCCTTTTATGATGGAAAATGTTCAATGTAATCAACCTACCACCAGGCTGGTCACCCTACAGAATGGTGCGGTACTGGGGACTCAGTGTTGGTCTCTGCTGTTGGAGGATTGGGTACTCAGCAGTGGCTGCAGCCATGTCAGCCTTGGTAAATGAAAAAACAAATTGTTAAGTCCATGCATGACGTCCATCTCTGCCTCCATGTCCAGTTTGTCCATGAACTCATTGGGCAATGACTAGAGTGACTGGGGAAAGAGGCTGACTGGTATCCACAGAATGGGCTATCCTATGCGTTTAATCATTAAAATTCTCCTCTGCTGAGGTTACCCTTTGGTGTGCATTCACAATATTCACATAGATATTCACACAAATATCTTCATGTTTTTCACCCATTCAGAGAGGTCTATCCATGCCTCTTCCCCAGACCTCCTTGTTATCAATTTTCCAATCATGTTCCTTCCAAGTCCCTGATTATCCATCCAAAACATTGGCCATGATGCATGAACCAGTATACAATCACATGTCTGGCCATTTCTCCTTTCAAGTAGAATAAATGAACAGGTATACTACTAGAAATTATTCCCACTAGGAGGATTTTTCTTCACCACTGTCCTTCAGGCATGTCCCAGAAAGAGGATGTAGTGCTAAAGATGTCCACTTTGGGATGGTGCCTCCATACTGCAGAGAAGCATCTGTAAATCAGTCCCTAGTTTTCACTTGCCATATCAATTGGTTACAGGAAACTCCTCAAAAGGCTTAGGTTGAGGCTGGGAGAAAGAAGGTAAGATAGGAGGAATCAGGACCATGGACATTTGGGCTACTTCTTTATGTAATTTTGTTGTGCCTTCAGTCCTGTTTGAGGCTTCTGTGCACATCCACATTTATGATTTGGTGGGTCAAACAACACCCAGTTTCTGATAGGCAGCTCAGATATGGTAACTTGGTGGCCCATGGTTAAGCAGTCAGTCCTTATTAAGGTCCAGTAGCACACCAAAGCCTCTTTCTCAAAAGGATTGTAGTTACCTACAGAGGATTACAAGGCTTTGCTCCAACATCCTGAGGATCTGAACTGTGATTCACCTACAGGGGCCTGCCAAAATGTCCGAACAATATCACTATCCACCACTATCACTTCAAATACCATTGGATATGCTGGCTCATATGGCACAAGTGGCAGAGCAGCTTGCATGGCAGCCTGTACCTGTTGCAGAGCCTTCTCTTTTTCTCAGCCCCACTCAAAATTAGCAGATTTTTGGGCCTCTAACACCAAAATGAGGAATATGTTGTCTCCCAAATTCAAAGAATTCCACTAAGCACAGGACCACTTTTTTGGTTGTAGCAGGAGCGAGATGTAACAACTTATCCTTCACCATAGAAGAGTTATATCAACATGCCCTACACCACTGAGCCCCTGCACATTTTACTGAGGTAGAAGGCCCCTGAATTTCTGCTGGATTTATCTCTCATCCTCTGATATGCAAATGCTTTACTGACAAGTCGTTGTAGTTTCTACTTCTGGCTCACTATGTCCAGTAAGCATAATGCCATCGATGTAATGGACCAGTCTGATGTCTGTGGAAGGGAAAGGTATCAAGATCCCTCAATCTAAATTATGACACAAGTCTGGAGAATTGATATATCCCTAAGGTAGGACAGTGAATGTGTATTGCTGGCCTTAACAAATTAAATAAAACTCTTTCTGGTGGTCCTTGCTACAAGTTATAATATTTTTAAAAAGAAAGCATTGGCCAGATTAATAGCTGCATCAGAGAATTTGTTATTCTGCTCAAGCAATGAAACCACATCTGATAGAGCAGCTGCAATTGGAGTAACCAGCTGGTTAAGCTTATGATAATCCAGTGTAGTTCTCCAAGACTCACCAATTTTCTGCACAGGACACATAACAGTGTTAAATGTAGACTGAGTGGAAAACCTAAGCTTCCACCCTTGTAAGGCTGTAATGAGGTACTCCAAAACCCCCCAGAGTGGTGTCAGAAAAGGCTAAGTAGAAAATCAAAACTTTCACACAGCGGCTATTAACATGTCCCTCCATCACGAAAGTGTTAGTGGAGACCACTCAGCAGCCTAGACTTCCCCATCAGTCGCCAGTAATAAGGTGTCCCACCACCTCTTAATTGCAGTGGTGTCAGAGTTGTACTAGTGGAGAGTCAGGACTTTCACTATCACCAAGCGATAAATACATTTCCCCCAGCACAGTGTACATGAAGACTTTGCAGAAGTCAAAACTCTCACTCCCACCTAGCAGTAATGAAGAACCCTGGCCTTCTGTCAACAGAAGCTGTATGAGAACTTCTACTTCTACCTGGGAGTAATGAGGTGGCAAACTTTCTTCCCTTACCAGAGTGGCCTTTTTAAAAAGTCAGTTAAAACACAATTTAAGTCAGGTTTAAATAGTGTCCAGAGGCTCCTAACATAACTGAAAATGTTCATGTTTTAATAAAAATTTATCATTATACCAAGAACCAGGAGGAACCCAAATGAAATGAAAAGAAAATAAATAGGTGGCAAGATAAGATGATAGAGATGTTAGAATTATCTGGCAAATATTTTAAAGCATCCATGAAAAAAAAGTTTTAAAACACAATTACAAATATACATGAGACAAATGAAAAAATAGAAAACCTACCCCAAAAAATAGACTCAGCAAAAAAATGAAGAAAGTAAAAAAAAAAAAAAAGATGAAAGAAACAAAAAAAGAAAATGAAAATACGAGGAACAAGCAAATGGAAAACTAGAACTGATATATACAATAATTGAAATAAAAAGTTACAGGGATGGGCTTAACAGCACAATAGAGACAAGGTGACAGAGGAATCAGTGAACTAGAAGATGGAATAATAGAAATTATCCAATTTGAACAGCAGAAAATAAACAAAAAAAAATAGTGGAAAGAGCCTATGGTATATATGAGACTATAACAACAGACATAACATTTGTGTCATTGGAAGCTCAAAAGAAGAGGGGAAAGAAGGAGAGGCAGAAAAAGTATTCAAAGAAATAATGACTGAATTTTTATTAAAAATTGGTGACAAACATGAACCTATGGATTCAAGAGGCTGAAGAAATCCCAAACAGGCTAAGCCCAAAGAAATCCATGCCTATATACATCATAGTACAACTTCTGAAAGGTAAAGACAAAGAAAAGTAATTTTAGAGCAGTAAGAATCAACACATTATCAACTAGAGAAAAACAATAGGAATGACAGCAGATTTATTGTCAGAAACCAAGCATACCAGGAAGAGATGGCATATTTTTAAGTATTGAAGGAAAACAATCCAGAAACCTATACCCAGTGAAAATTTCTTACAGAAAGGAAAAAAAAAAAATGAAAACATTCTCAGATGAAGGAAAACAGAGAATTTGCCATCAGCAGACCTGACCCCCCCCCCAAAAAGGTTAAAGGAAGTTATCTAAAATAAAGAAATTAATAAGATAAGAAACCTTGGACAATCAGGAAGGAATAAAAGACAGAATAAGCAAAAATATGAGTAAATGCAATAGGCTTTCCTTCCCTTGTGCTTTCTAAATAATATGTGATAGTCCACACAAAATTATAACACTTCAGTGTGGTTCATACATATGTAGAGGAAATATTTTAAGAAATTATATTATAAATAGGGAAAAGTAAAAAAGATTTATATAAAGGGTATATATATATATATATATAGAGAGAGAGAGAGAGAGAGATAAATGAAATATAAAGAAATATATGTAGATATATTTACATATAAACATACCTATATGGAGAGAAAGAGACAGACTCTAGCAAGACTGTCAAAAAGAGAAGATACAAGTTACCAATAATAGAAATGAACATATAATATATACACAAATCAAACAGTTGGAAACCAACACAAAGAGATACACACAAAAGCTATAGAGATAAATGAAAATAGAATTATAAAAAACATTCAAGTAATACACTTGAAGGCAGGAAAATAAATCCAAGGAAATAAAATACAGAGAAAACCAGGAAAAAAATAAAAGGCAGACTTAAGTCCTAACAGATGGACAATTATATTAAATAAAAATGGTCTAAATACATTATTTAAAAGACAGAGAATGGATAATGTGGGTGACATCAGCAACTAGGATAGTGGACTAGGAAGCTCCAGGCCCTTGTTCCTTCAGGAAAACATTAAAATAATAACTGCAGGCTGCCTAAAATAACTTTATAGGCACCACGGAAATCAATCAAAGATCTACAGCAACCAAAGAAACACCAACTTATGAAAAAGCCAAATTCAAATAGAGGGAAATTTCATAATGTTTTTATTTGCCCTTGCCTCATCTTCTCTGGCATGGCATGGTCAGAAAGAAGCAGTAACTTCCTGGTTTCCTCTCTCAGACTAGAAGGAGCAGAGCAGAACTTATTTGCTATGTTCTAAACTCTCTGTGGACTGCTAAGGGAATAGTTTCTGTTTTTCCTGGCTTGATTGTCAAACTGGGAAAAATTGTGTAAGTTGGATGTCAGGCTATAAAAGATTGTGGAAGGCAATAGTGAGTAAAATAACTGAAATAATAAAATGTACTAGAGAAGATCAATATCGGATTTGAGCAGGTAGAAGAGAGAAACAGAGAACTTAAAGATAGGACAATTGAAATTTTCTAGTCTAAAGAATGGAAAGTAAAAAGAATTTTAAAAAGTGAACAGTGTTTTAAAAATTCAAGGTGGCAGACTAAGGGTTTTCCAGCACACCTTGCCCATTTGGAAACAGCAAAGTGTGTGTAGCAATTCATGCCATGAACTTTTATCTTAGAAAAAATATAGAAGTTAAACAGGAAAGAAAGAAAATTTCAAATACTGGTATTGGGGGAAATTCAGCCAGATATCGGGTGAAATTCACCCCTGATATTTCACGTAAGTTCTTTTCTATTTTCCCTAAGTGTTGGCTGGTCTGAGAAATAAAGGGAGAACAAAAGAGAGAAATTTTAAAGCTGGGTGTCCAGGGGAGACATCACATGTCAGCAGGTTCTGTGATGCCCCTTGAGTGGTAAAACCAGCAAGTTTTTATTAGTGATTTTCAAAATGGGAGGGAGTGTACGAATAGGGTGTGGGTCACAGAGATCACGTGCTTCACAAGGTAATAGACTATCACAAGGCAAATGGAGGCAGGGTGAGATCACAGGGCCACAGGACTGGGGTGAAATTAAAATTGCTAATGAAGTTCCAGGCACGCATTGTCATTGATAACATCTTATCAGGAGACAGGGTTTGAGAGCAGACAACCGGTCTAACCAAAATTTATTACGTGGGAGTTTCCTCATCCTAATAAGCCTGGGAGCGCTATGGGAGACTGGGGCTTATTTCATCCCTACAGCTTCTACCATAAAAGACAGCCACCCCTGAAGCGGCCATTTTAGAGGCCTACCCTCAGGGATGCATTCTATTTCTCAGGGATATTCCTTGTTGAGAAAAAGAATTCAGTGATATTTCCCCCATTTGCTTTTGAAAGAAGAGAAATATGGCTCTATTCCGCCTGGCTCACTGGCAGTCACAGTTTAAGGTTATCTCTCTTGTTCCCTAAACATCACTGTTATCCTGTTCTTTTTTCAAGGTGCCCAGATTTCATATTGTTCAAACACACATGCTCTACAAACAATTTGTGCAGTTAACGCAATCATCACAGGGTCCTGAGGTGACATACATCCTCCTCAGCTTACGAAGATGATGGGATTAAGAGATTAAAGTAAAGACAGGCATAGGAAATCACAAGGGTATTGATTGGGGAAGTGATAAGTGTCCATGAAATCTTCACAATTTATGTTCAGAGATTGCAGTAAAGACAGGTGTAAGGAATTATAAAAGTATTAATTTGGGGAACTAATAAATGTCCATGAAATCTTCACAATCCACATTCTTCTGCAATGGCTTCAGCCAGTTCCTCCATTCGGGGTCCCTGAGTTCCTACAGCAACTGGGAAAAAGAAGGCAGGCAGCATCCTGCCTGGTGGGGTCTGGGAAATATGGGAAAGGGGGAGTGAGTGTCTCTGTAATACACATTCCCACTAGGAAATGATGCATTCCAGGCCATGAGGAAGCAACTTGACTTTCCCAAGCCCTGGATCCAATTTGGGGAGCAGTCTGGAGACTGTGAGAAGGAACAGCACTGGGAAGTGTCCCACACACATTACCATACCTGGGCACGGATAGAAGGAAGCCATTATCCAGCCTAGTTCATAGCAAGCTGCGTGGGATTCACCCAGCTAACAAGGACAGCAGCCACCGATTTGGAGAGTCTGGGGTTGGGGATTGGCAATCTGGTCTTGAGTGGAGGAGGGGCCCTCAAGGCCAGAACTGAGAGGCAAATGTGGCATGAGCTCCAACCACGGGTGGTAGAATTGGTCTTTTTTACTTCTTGGGACTGAAGCAAAAGGAGACTTGTCTGAGACACATGAGTTTAACCTGGGCAGCAAGTTTTATGACCTGGGGCGGGTTTGCAGACTGAAAACAAACTGAGTGGAACCTGGCTAACTGTCCTGACTTGCTGCCAGGGTCAGGCTATGGCAAGGAGTTTCACTGGGTCTGAAATGTGAGAGCAAAGCAGGTCAGTCTCCCACTCATTTGGCTGTGGAGTTGGAACTTCCCCTTCTTCCCCATGCTAAGACTTTGGTGAAGCAGCAGTTGCTCTACTCACCTGGGCATTTCTCCAGAGGTCTGAGGACTTCCTCTTGACATCAGTCAGGGCCAGCACTTGCACCTGCCATTGAGGGCCCACGTGCAGTCCCCAGGTCCAACCTCATCCAACTTCACCCCCTTGCCTCTGAGGCAGAGCATGAGACCAGACTACTGACCATTTCACAGCCCAACCCATTGCCTAGCACATCCTAACACTTCTGCTTAACAAAGGCCAAGCAGTAACTCTACTGTTACCACTGCAGCTGGCTCTCACCTGCAAGTGCCACCTACTAGCCAGGAGACCAACCCACACAGTCCATTACAACATCTACTGACACAAATACATACCATTGGGGAATGAGATAATCTTCTTATGACCTCTGCTACCACAATTGCCCATGCCACCTCAGCTAATCAGGAGGCTGTAAACCTGATCACTAACCCAGTACACTGGCTACTACAACTAGCAATTAGGAAAGCCACTAACTAAAACTATAACCAAGGAAATCATACAAATACTTCACTACTCAGTGCACCCAGAATCAAAACAAAATGGCCCTACTCAACGTACATCATAGTCACATGCTCAAAGAAAAAAACAGTCTCATCCTAATGAAAGAACATTCAAAATAAAAAGTGACTGTTTCTCCATATGTGAAAAAAACTCAGTGAAACAATACTGGAAATATAAAAAAGCAAGATATCATGACACACTGAAAGGAACACACGGAGGGAACACAGTAATTCTCTAGCAATGAATCCTAACCAAAAAAAATTTTAAATGCCAGATGAAGAATACAAAATACTGATTTTAAAGAAGCTAAATTAGATACAAGTGAAATCTGAAAATCAACACAAGGAAATCAGAAAATCAATTCAGAGTATGAATGAAAAATTTACTAAGAAGTTATACATCTTTAAAAAAACAACATAACTCCTGGAAATGAAAACTTTGTTGAAGGAATTACAAAATGCAGTAGAAAGATTCAACAATAGATGACTAAGCAGAAGAGAGAATTTCAGAACTTGAAGACAGATCTTTTGAATTAATCCAGTCAAAACAAAATAAACAAAAAAGAATGAAAGGAGTGAATAAAGCCTTCAGGAAGTGTGGGACTACATAAAACAACCGAATCTACAAATCATGGGCATTCCCAAGGGAGAAGAAAAAGCAAAAAGTTTAGAAAACCTATTTAAGGAAATAATTGATGAAAACTTCCTTAGTCTAACAAGAGATTTAGACATCCAGATACAGGAGGCCCAGTGAACATCAGGAAATACATTGCAAGGTGGACTTCACTATGGCACATAGTCACCAGACTATCTAATGTCAATGTGAAGGAAAAAAATCCTAAAATCAGCAAAAGAAAAGCATCTAGTAACCCATAAAGAAAACCCCATAAAAGTTACAATAGACTAATCAGCAAAATCCTTGCAAGCTAAAAGAGATTGGGATCTTATTTTCAAATGCATAAGAGAAAAAAAAGCTACAAACGACAAATTTTCTATCCTGCCAGAATAAACTTCATAAATGAAAAAGAATAACGTGTTTCCTAGACAAGCAAATGCAGAGTGAGTTATTCATCATTAACTAGTCCTACAAAACAATTCTCATAGGAGTTCTAAACATGAAAAAAACGTTGATATTCCTCCATCATAAAAAACATACAAAAGTATGAAAATCACAACTCATAAAACAATTGCACAAAGCAAGAATAAAAAAATCAAGTGGCAATATTACAGAACCCCATCAAATCAGAAAGATACACACACAAAAGAAACAGGGGGTGGAACAAGATGGCAAAATAAACGGCTGCAGTTATCTCTTCTGCACCCTGCAAGGGCACCAATTTAACAACAACTATCTATATCTATCTATCTATCTATCTATCTATCTATCTATCTATCTATCTACGTATAGATCTATCTATATATATATATACAAATATATAGATAGTATATCTATATAGTATATATTTGTGTATATATATATATTTTGTATATATATATACCAAATATATAGATATAGATATACTATCTATATCTATCTGTATAGATATAGATATACTATCTATATCTATCTATCTGTATAGATATAGATATACTATCTATATCTATCTATCTGTATAGATATAGATATACTATCTATATCTATCTATCTGTATAGATATAGATATACTATCTATATCTATCTATCTGTATAGATATAGATATACTATCTATATCTATCTATCTGTATAGATATAGATATACTATCTATATCTATCTATCTGTATAGATATAGATATACTATCTATATCTATCTATCTGTATAGATATAGATATACTATCTATATCTATCTATCTGTATAGATATAGATATACTATCTATATCTATCTATCTGTATAGATATAGATATACTATCTATATCTATCTATCTGTATAGATATAGATATACTATCTATATCTATCTATCTGTATAGATATAGATATACTATCTATATCTATCTATCTGTATAGATATAGATATACTATCTATATCTATCTATCTGTATAGATATAGATATACTATCTATATCTATCTATCTGTATAGATATAGATATACTATCTATATCTATCTATCTGTATAGATATAGATATACTATCTATATCTACTTATCTATATAGATATAGATATATATAGATAGATAGATAGATCTATCTATCTATATATATATACCAAAAACTGGTGAGCACTCACAATATCTGGTTTTAATTTCATATCACTGAAATAAGCACTGGAAAGGTAGGAAAAACTGTCATGAATCACCAACTTCCCACCTCCTCCATCCCCCAACAGTGATGGCATAATGTGGAGATCATTCCTCTGCCCTGGGGAGAGGGAGAGTCAGCAACTGTGATGCATTGAACTCAGTGCTGCTCTTATTATATCAGGAAGCAAAAATGGACAAAACTCAGCTGATGCTTGCCAATGGAGGAAGCATTTAAACCAGCCCTAGCCAGAGAGGGATCACCAATCTTAGTGGTCAGAATTTGAGTTCCTGCAAGCCTTGCCACCATAAACTAGAGGTCTCTGGGGCCCCAAATAAAGCTGAAAATCAGTCTAGGCCACAAGGACTGCAACACCTAAGCAAGTCCTGGGGCTGAACTTGGCCAAAATACGCTAGACTGTGGGGGCATGTGATTTACTGAGACATCAGCTGGGGCACCTAGGGAGAATTGGCATCATCCCTCCCCTAAGCTCAGGCTGCACAGCTCACAGCCCTAAAAGAGACCCCTTCCCTCCAGTGAGGAGAGGAGAGGGAAGAGTGGGAAGGACTTTGTCTTGAATCTTGGATATCAGCTCAGCCACAACAGGATAGGGTGCTGGTCAAAGTTGTGAGGTACCCTTTCCACACGCTAGCTAGCTCCTGGATGACATTTCTTGACACATGCTGGGCCAGAAGGGAACCCACTGCCTTGAAGGGAAGAACCCAGTCCTGGCAAGATTTATCACCTGCTAACTGCAGAACACTTGGGCCCTGAATAACTATCAGAGATACCCAGGCACTACATCAAGGGCTTTGGGTGAGACACTGAGACTTGATAACTTCAGGTGAGACTCAGCACATTCCCAGCTGTTGTGGCTACAGGGCAAGACTGCTTCTGCTTGAGAAAAGTGAAAGAAAAAGTAAATGGGACTTTGTCTTGCATCTTAGATACCAACTCAGCCACAGGGTCCCTGACTCCTGGATTTCCCTCTCAGATGGCATTTCTGGACCTGTCCTGGGCCATAGAGGAACCCACTCCCCTGAAAGGAAAGTCCCAGGTGAGGCATCATTCACCACAAGCTGACTGAAGAGCCCTTGGGCCTTAAAAGAACATTGGTGGTAGTCTGACAGTACTCCTCATGGGCCTGAGGTGGTAGTAGCCACAGAGTGAGACTCCTCTGCATTTAAAGGATGAGGGAAGAGAGTAGGAAGAACCGAATCTCCTGGTTTTAGTGCCAGCTCAGCCAGAGTACAACAGAATATAAGGTAGACTTCTAAGGTTTTTGACTCTAGACTTCAGCTCCCAGACAGCATCCCTGGACCTGCCCAGGGCCTGGGGGGAACTCGCTGCTCTGAAGGGAAGTATATGAGCCTAGATGGCTTTGCCACCTGCTGATTGTAAAGGCCCAGGGCTGTGAGCAAACATAGGTAGTAGCCAGGGAGTGGTTACTGCAGGCTTTAGGCAAGACCCAGTGCTGTGCTGGCTTCAAGTCTGACCCAGTGCAGTCCTAATGCTGGTGGCCATAGGGGCGCTTATGTCACTCCACCCCCATCTCCAGGTAGCTCAGAGGAGAGAGATAGGCTTCATTTGTTAGGGAGAAAATAAGGGGAAAGAACAAGAGTCTCTGTCTGGTAATCTAAAGAATTCTTCCAGATTGTATCCAAGACAATCAAGGTAGTACCTCTACAAGGCTAGAAGAATGACAGCACTACAAGGCTTTTGGTCCCTTCTAAAGCAGATATAGCTTAGATCAAAACACTCAAGTCCTTTTAAATATCTGGAAAGTCTTCTTAAGAAGGATGGGTGTAAAAAAGCCCAGAGTGTGAAGACTATAATACTTAACTTTTCAATGCCCTAAAACTGATGAATATCTACAAGTACCAAGAAGATCCAGGAAAATGTGGCCTCACCAAATGAACTAAATAATGCATCAGGGGACAATCCTGGAGAAATTATTAGACACAGAATTCAAAAGAGTTGTTCTGGGGAAACTCAAAGAAATTCAAGATAACACAGGCAAAGAATTCAGAATTCTATAAGATAAATTTAACAAACGAAATAATAAAAAAGCAAAAATTCTGGAGCTGAAAAATGCATTTGGCATATTGAAGAATGCATCAGTTTTTAACAGCAGATTTAGCCAGGCAAAAGAAAGAATTACTGAGCTTGAAGATAAGCTACTTGAAAATATAGTCAGAGGAGAGAAAAGAAAAGAATAAAAACCAGTGAAGCATACATACAAGATCAAAAGAATAACCTCAAAGGGTAAATCTAAGGGTTATTGGCCTTATAGAGTAGCTAGAGAAAGAAATATGGCTGGAAAGTGTATTCAAAGGGATAATAACAGAAAACTTCCCAACCTAGAGAAACATATCAGTATTGAAGTACAAGAAGGCTGTGGAACACCAAGTAGATTTATCCCAAAGAAGATTACCTGGAGGTATTTAATAATCAAACTCTCAAAGATCAAATATAAAGAAAAGATCCTAAAAGCAGCCAAAGAAACAAATAACATACAATGGAGTTCCAATGCATCTGGCAAAAGACTCTTCAGTGGAAACCGTACAGGCCAGGAGAGAGTAGCGTGATATATTTAAAATGCTGAAGGAAAAAAAATTACACTAGAATAGTATATCTGGTGAAAATATCCTACTAATATGAAGAAAAAATACAGACTTTACAAGACAAACAAAAGCTGAGGGATTTTATCAACACCAGACCTGTCCTAAAAGCAATGCTAAAGGAAGTACTTCAATCAAAAAGAAAAGGATGTTAATGAGCAATAAGAAATCATCTGAAGGTACAAAACTCGTTGATAATAGTAAGTATTCATAAATACCCACAATATCAGAACACTGTACCTGTGGTGTGTAAACTACTCTTATCTTAAGTAGAAAGACTACAAGTTGAACCAATGAAAGATAATAATTACAACTTTTCAAGACATAGACAGTACAATAAGATATAAATAAAAACAACACCAAGTTTAAAAGTGGAAGGACAAAGTAGGTAAGTTATAGACTTTTATTAGTTTTGTTTTCACTTGTTGGTTTGTTTACTTATGTAAACAGTGTTAAGTTACTATGAGCTTAAAATGATTGGATATAAGATAGTATTTGCAAGACTCATGATAACCTCAAACAAAAAAATACAACAAATACACAAAATAAAATGGAAGAAACTAAATAATATAACCAGAGAAAGTCACCTTCAAAAAAAAAGAAGACAAAAAGGAAAAAAAAGAAGGCAGAGAAGACAACAAAACAACCAGAAAACAAATAACAAAATGGAAAAAGTAAGACCTTACTTATCAATAATAACATATTGAATGTAAATGGGCTAAACTCTCCAATCAAAAGACATAGACTAAAAGGATAAAAAACACACTACAGCTATAAAGACACACATAGACTAAAAGTAAAGAGATTGAAAAAGATATTCCTTACCAAGGACACTAAAACAAAAGCAGGAGTAGCTACACTTATATGAGAAAAATATACATTTCAAGACAAAAACTATAAGAAGAGATAAATAAGGTCGATATATAATGATAAAAGATCAATTCAGCAAGAGGATATAAAAATTTTAAATATATGTTCACCAAATACTGGAGAATTCAGACATCTAAAACAAATAATATTAGAGCTAAAAAGAGATACAGGCCCCAATACAATAATAGCTAGAGACTTCAAAAACCCACTTTCAGCATTAAGCAGATCTCACAGACAGAAACTGAACAAAGAAACACTGGATTTAATCTGCACTACAGAACAAATGGACCTAATAGATATTTACAAACATTTTATTTAGCATCACAGAATACACATTCTCCTTCTCTACACAAGGATTATTCTCAAGGATGGATCACAGGTTAGGTCATAAAAAGGCTTTAAAAATTCCAAAAAAAGTTGTAATAATATCAAGCATCTTCTCTGACCACGTTGAAACAAAACTAGACACCAATAACAAGAGGAATTTTGGAAACTATAAGAATACATGGAAATCAAACTACAGGGTTCAGAATGACCATTGGGTCACAGAATAAATTAAGAAGGAATTTTTTTAAAAATTAAAACAAATAATAATTGGAACAAAACATACCGAAATGTATGGGAAACAGCAAAACTAGTATTAAGATGTAAGTTTATAGCTATAAGTGCCTACATCAAAAAAGAAGAATAACTTCAAATAAATAACTTAACAATGCCTCTTAAACAATTAGGAAACCAAGAGTAAACCAAAACCAAAATTAGTAGAACAAAGAAATAATAAAGATCAAAGCAGAGGGAAATGAAATTGAAAGTTAAAAAAAAAAAGATCGTTTTAAAAGAGTTGGTGTTTTTATTTTTAGTTTTATAATTTTATTTCATTTTATTATTATTATACTTTAAGTTTTAGGCTACATGTGTACAATGTGCAAGTTAGTTACATATGCATACATGTGCCATGTTGGTGTGCTGCACCCATTAACTCGTCATTTAGCATTAGGTATATCTCCTAATGCTATCCCTCCCCTCTCCCCCCACCCCACAACAGTTCCCAGAGTGTGATGTTCCCCTTCCTGTGTCCATGTGTTCTCATTGTTCAATTCCCATCTATGAGTGAGAATATGCGGTGTTTGGTTTTTTGTTCTTGCGATAGTTTACTGAGAATGATGATTTCCAATTTCATCCATGTCCCTACAAAGGACATGAACCCATCATTTTTTATGGCTGCATAGTGTTCCATGGTGTATATGTGCCACATTTTCTTAATCCAGTCTATCATTGCTGGACATTTGGGTTGGCTCCAAGTCTTTGCTATTGTGAATAGTGCCACAATAAACATATGTGCACATGTGTCTTTATAGCAGCTTGATTTATAGTCCTTTGGGTATATACCCAGTAATGGGATGGCTGGGTCCAGTGGTATTTCTAGTTCTAGATCCCTGAGGAATCGCCACACTGACTTCCACAATGGTTGAACTAGTTTACAGTCCTGCCAACAGTGTAGAAGTGTTCCTATTCCTCCACATCCTCTCCAGCACCTGTCATTTCCTGACTTTTTAATGATTGCCATTCTAACTGGTGTGAGATGGTATCTCGTTGTGGTTTTGATTTGCATTTCTCTGATGGCCAGTGATGGTGAGCATTTTTTCATGTGTTTTTTGGCTGCATAAATGTCTTCTTTTGAGGAGTGTCTGCTCATGTCCTTCACCCACTTTTTGATGGGGTTGTTTGTTTTTTCTTGTCAATTTGTTTGAGCTCATTGTAGATTCTGGATATTAGCCCTTTGTCAGATGAGTAGGTTGTGAAAACTTTCTCCCATTTTGTAGGTTGCCTTTCACTCTGATGGTAGTTTCTTTTGCTGTGCAGAAGCTCTTTAGTTTAATTAGATCCCATTTGTCAATTTTGTCTTTTGTTGCCATTGCTTTTGGTGTTTTAGACATGAAGTCCTTGCCCACGCCTATGTCCTGAATGGTAATGCCTAGGTTTTCTTCCAGGGTTTTTATGGTTTTAGGTCTAACGATTAAGTCTGCAATCCATCTTGAATTAATTTTTGTATAAGGTGTAAGGAAAGGATCCAGTTTCAGCTTTCTACATATGGCTAGCCAGTTTTCCCAGCACCATTTATTAAATAGGGAATCCTTTCCCATTGCTTATTTTTCTCAGGTTTGTCAAAGATCAGATAGTTGTAGATATGCGGCGTTACTTCTGAGGGCTCTGTTCTGTTCCATTGATCTATATATCTGTTTTGGTACCAGTACCATGCTGTTTTGGTTACTGTAGCCTTATAGTATAGTTTGAAGTGGAAACATTAATCAAAATTGATGAACTTTTAGCCAGGCTTCCTGAGAAAAAAAGAGAAATTAATAAAATGAGAGATGAAAAAGGAGACATTACAATTGATATTGCAGAAATTCAAAGGATCATTAGTAGCTACTATTAGCAATTACATGTTAATAAATTGGAAAAAAAATAGATAAATTCCTAGACACACGCCACCTACCAAAATTAAACCATGAGGAAATCCAAATCATAAACTGACCAATAACAGGTAAAGATATCAAAGCCATATTGAAAAGTTTCCCAGTACACACATTCAAAGCAGTGTGTAGAGGGAAATTTATAGCACTAAATGCCCACAAGAGAAAGCAGGAAAGATCCAAAATTGACACCCTAACATCACAATTAAAAGAACTAGAAAAGTAAGAGCAAACACATTCAAAAGCTAGCAGAAGGCAAGAAATAACTAAAATCAGAGCAGAACGGAAGGAAATAGAGACACTAAAAACCCTTCAAAAAATTAATGAATCCAGGAGCTGGTTGTTTGAAAGGATCAACAAAATTGATAATCCGCTAGCAAGACTAATAAAGAAAAAAAGAGAGAAGAATCAAATAGACACAATAAAAAATGATAAAGGGGATATCACCACCGATCCCACAAAAATACAAACTACCATCAGAGAATGCTATAAACACCTCTATGCAAAAAAACTAGAAAATCTAGAAGAAATGGATAAATTCCTCGACACATACACCCTCCCAAGACTAAACCAGGAAGAAGTTGAATCTCTGAATAGACCAATAACAGGATCCGAAATTGTGGCAATAATCAATAGCTTACCAACGAAAAAGAGTCCAGGACAAGGTGGATTCACAGCCGAATTCTACCAGAGGTACAAGGAGGAACTGGTACCATTCCTTCTGAAACTATTCCAATCAATAGAAAAAGAGGGAATCCTCCCTAACTCATTTTATGAGGCCAGCATCATCCTGATACCAAAGCCGGGCAGAGACACAACCGAAAAAGAGAATTTTCGACCAATATCCTTGATGAACATTGATGCAAAAATCCTCAATAAAATACTGGCAAACTGAATCCAGCAGCACATCAAAAAGCTTATCCACCATGATCAAGTGGGCTTCATCCCTGGGATGCAAGGCTGGTTCAAAATACGCAAATCAATAAATGTAATTGAGCATACAAACAGAACCAAAGACAAAAACCACATGATTATCTCAATAGATGCAGAAAAGGACTTTGACAAAATTCAACAACCCTTCATGCTAAAAACTCTCAATAAATTAGGTATTGATGGGACGTATCTCAAAATAATAAGAGCTATTTATGACAAACCCACAGCCAATATCATACTGAATGGGCAAAAACTGGAAGTATTCCCTTTGAAAACTGGCACAAGACAGGGATGCCATCTCTCACCACTCCTATTCAACATAGTGTTGGAAGTTCTGGCTAGGGCAATTAGGCAGGAGAAGGAAATAAAGGGCATTCAATTAGGAAAAGAGGAAGTCAAATTGTCCCTGTTTGCAGATGACATGATTGTATATCTAGAAAACCCCATTGTCTCAGCCCAAAATCTCCTTAAGCTGATAAGCAACTTCAGCAAAGTCTCAGGATACAAAATCAATGTACAAAAATCACAGCATTCTTATACACCAATAACAGACAAACAGTGAGCCAAATCATGAGTGAACTCCCATTCACAATTGCTTCAAAGAGAATAAAATACCTAGGAATCCAACTTACAAGGGATGTGAAGGACCTCTTCAAGGAGAACTACAAACCACTGCTCAAGGAAATAAAAGAGGATACAAACAAATGGAAGAACATTCCATGCTCATGGGTAGGAAGAATCAATATCGTGAAAATGGCCATACTGCCCAAGGTAATTTATAGATTCAATGCCATCCCCATCAAGCTACCAATGATTTTCTTCACAGAATTGGAAAAAACTACTTTAAAGTTCATATGGAACCAAAAAAGAACCCACATCACCAAGTCAATCCCAAGCCAAAAGAATAAACCTGGAGACATCACACTACCTGACTTCTAACTGTACTAAAAGGCTACAGTAACCAAAACAACATGGTACTGGTACCAAAACAGAGATATAGATCAATGTAACAGAACGGAGACCTCAGAAATAATGCCGCATATCTACAACTATCTGATCTTTGACAAACCTGAGAAAAACAAGCAATGGGGAAAGGATTCCGTATTTAATAAATGGTGCTGGGAAAACTGGCTAGCCATATGTAGAAAGCTGAAACTGGATCCCTTCCTTACACCTTATACAAAAATCAATTCAAGATGGATTGCAGACTTAAACGTTAGACCTAAAACCATAAAAACCCTAGAAGAAAACCTAGGCATTACCATTCAGGACATAGGCGTGGGCAAGGACTTCATGTCTAAAACACCAAAAGCAATGGCAACAAAAGACAAAATTGACAAATGGGATCTAATTAAACTAAAGAGCTTCTGCACAGCAAAAGAAACTACCATCAGAGTGAACAGGCAACCTACAAAATGGGAGGAAATTTTCACAACCCACTCATCCGACAAAGGGCTAATATCCAGAATCTACAATGAGCTCAAACAAATTTACAAGAAAAAAAACAAACAACCCCATCAAAAAGTGGGTGAAGCACATGAACAGACACTTCTCAAAAGAAGACATTTATGCAGCCAAAAAACACATGAAAAAATGCTCACCATCACTGGCCATCAGAGAAATGCAAATCAAAACCACAACGAGATACCATCTCACACCAGTTAGAACGGCAATCTTTAAAAAGTCAGGAAACAACAGGTGCTGGAGAGGATGTGGAGAAATAGGAACACTTTTACACTGTTGGTTGGACTGTAAACTAGTTCAACCATTGTGGAAGTCAGTGTGGCGATTCCTCAGGGATCTAGAACTAGAAATACCACTGGACCCAGCCATCCCATTACTGGGTATATACCCAAAGGACTGTAAATCATGCTGCTATAAAGACACATGCACACATATGTTTATTGCGGCAGTATTCACAGTAGCAAAGACTTGGAACCAACCCAAATGTCCAACAATGATAGACTGGATTAAGAAAATGTGGCACATATACACCATGGAACACTATGCAGCCATGAGAAATGATAAGTTCATGTCCTTTGTAGGGGCATAGATGAAATTGGAAATCATCATTCTCAGTAATCTATCACCAGAACAAAAAACCAAACACTGCATATTCTCACTCGTCGGTGGGAACTGAACAATGAGAACACATGGACACAGGAAGGGGAACATCACACTCTGGGGACTGTTGTGGGGTGGGGGGAGGGGGGAGGGATAGCATTGGGAAATATACCTAATGGTAGATGATGAGTTAGTGGGTGCAGTGCACCAGCATGGCACATGTATACATATGTAACTAACCTGCACAATGTGCACATGTACCCTAAAACTTAAAGTATAATAAAAATAAATAAATAAATAAATAAATAAAAATAAAAATAAAATAAAATAAAAAAAGATTTGAATAGACATTCCTCAAAAGAAGACATACAAATGACAATCAGGTGTATAAAAAGGTGCTCAATTTCATTGGTTATTATAGAAATACAAATTAAAACTACAATGAGATATAATTTCACCCCAGTTGAAAAATATTATATCCAAAAGACAGGGAATAACAAATGCTGGTGAGAATGAGAAGAATAGGGAACTCTAGTAAACTATTGGAAGAAATGTAAATTAGTACAACTGGTATGGTAACCAGTTAGGCATTTCCTCCAAAAATTAAAAAAGAGCTACTATATGATCCAGGAATCCCATCTCTGGATATACACTCAAAAGAAAGGAAATTACTATATTGAAGAGACATTTGCACTCCCATGTTTGTTGCAGCATGGCTGGCAATAGCCAAGATTTGGAAGCAACCTAAGTGTCCATCAACAGATGAATGGATGAAGAAAATGTGGCACTTATACACAATGGAGTACTATTCAGCCATAGAAAACAATGAGATTCAATCATTTGAAACAACATGCATGGAACTGAAGGTCATATTCTATGTGAAATAAGCCAGGCACCTAAATCATTGCATGATCTCACTTATTTTGAGGATCTAAAAATCAAAATAATTGAACCAATTGAGATAGAGAGTAGAAGAATGATTACTAGAGGCTGAGAAGGTTAGTCAGAGGTTGAGGGGGAGGTTAGGATGCTTAATGGGTTAAAAAATAGAGTGAATGTATAAGACCTGGTATTTGATAGCATGACAGGATGACTGTAGTCAATAATAATTTAATTGTATATTTTAAATAACTAAAAGAGTAGAATTTCATTGTTGTAACACAAAGAATAAATGTTTGAGGGGATGGATACTCCATCTTCCATGATGTAATTATTATGTATTGCATGCCTGTATCAAAACATCTCATGTAACTTATAAATATATGTACTACTATATACCCAAAAAATTAAAAACATAAAAGAAAAAAGGAAACAAAAAAATTTTAAGACAACTAGAGAAAAATTAGCAACATGAATATGTAACAAACCTGCACATTGTGCACATGTACCCTAAAACTTAAAGTATAATAATAGTAAAATAAAAAAATAACAACATGAAAGAAACAAAATCTCACATATTGATATCAACCTTGAAAATGAATGAATTAAATGCTCCAATTAAAATATATAGATCTGCAGAATAAATTTTTAAAATGACCCAACTATATGCTGCTTACAAGAAACTTACCTTTCCTGTAAAGACACTTACAGACTAAAAGGAAAGAAATGGGAAAAAGATATTCCATATAGATGAAACCCAAAATTGAGAAGTAGCTATACTCATATCAGATTAAAAACCCTTATTTCATTAAACCAGTAAATATAAGACAAAGAGTCAGGTGTGGTGGCTCATGCCTGTAATCCCAGCACTTTGGGAGGCTGAGGTGGATGGATTGCTTGAGCTCAGGAGTTCAAGACCAACCTGGGCAGCATGGTGAAACCCCATCTCTACAAAAAATACAAAAATTAGCCAGATGCTGTGGCACATACCTGTAGTCCCAGCTACACAGGAGGTGGGAGGATCGCTTGATTCCAAGATGTGAAGGTTGCAGTGAGTTGTGATTGCACTACTGCACTCCAGCGTAGGTGACAGAGTGAGACTCTGTCTCAAATGAAGATAAATAAGTAAGACAAAGGACATTATAACATGTTAAAAGGAGTCCATTTCCAAGGTTGCAGTGAGCCCAGATCATGCCACTGCACTCCAGCCTGGGTGACAAGAGTGAGACTCCATCTTAAAAAAAAAGAGAGAGAGAGAGAGAGTCTATTTCCATTCATTTCCAAAAAAAATTAAATTTCTGCCTTAATTTCATTGTTTACCAAAAGATTATTTAGGAGCATGTTGTTTAATTTCTTGGTATTTGTGCAGTTTCTGGAGTTCCTCTTGTATTGATTTCTGGTTTTACTCTGCTGTGATCTGATAAGATTCTTGATGTAACTTCCATTTTAAAAAATTCGTAGAGACTTGTTTCGTGGCCTTATACATGGTCTATCTTTCAGAATGTTCCACATGCTGACAAAAAGAATCTATATTCTGCAGTTGTTGGGTAGTCTAAAGCCCGATTTACATCCAATGGTTTTTTGTGGACAGTATATTTGACAGTCTGTCCAGTGCTGTGATTGGGGCAAAGAAGTCCCCCATGATTATTGTATTGCTATCTTTTTCTTTAGGTCTAATTGTATTTGTTTTATAAATCTAATGGCTCTGGTGTTGGGTATCTATATAGGTTGTTACACCCTCTTGCTGAATTTTGAAATAAATGGAAATTGAAACACAAGTTACCATAACCTTTGGGATACAGGAAAGGCAGTGCTGAGAGGGAATTTTATAGCATTAAATGCCTACATTCAAAAAACAGAAATATCATAAACTAGCAATTTAACATTGCACCTTAAGGAACTAGAAAAACAAGAACAAACCAAACCCAAACTTAGCAGAAAAAGAGATATCAAATATAAGAGTAGAATTAAATAAAATTGAAACCAAAAAATATATAAAGGATTAACAAATTGAAAAGTTGTTTTTTTGAAATGATAAACAAAATTAATAAACTGCTAGCTAGACTCCCAAGAAGAGAGAAGATCCAAATGAATATAATCAGATATGAAAAAGAAGACATTACCACTGACATCACAGAAATACAAAAGACAATCAGAGACTGCTATGAACAACTCTACATTCACAAACTAGAAAACCCAGAGGAAAATGGATAAATTCCTGGAAACATACAACCTCCCAAGATTGAACCAGAAAAAAAATAGAAATCTTGAACAGAGCAACAATGAGTAGAAGATTGAATCAATAATAAAAATCACCCCTTCCCAAAAAAGATGGATACACAGGGGAACTCTACCAAACATGAAAAGAGAAACTGGCATCAATATTCCTGAAACTGTTTCAAAAAAATAAAGAATAGAATCCTCCCTATTTCATTCTATGAAACCAGTATCAGCTGTATACCAAAACCAGACAATGACACAACCAAAAAAGAAAACTACAGACCACTATTCCTGATGAACATAGATGGAAAAATTCTAAAAAAATCAGCAAATATAACTCAACAGCACATCAACAAGATAATATATCATGATCAAATGTGTTTTATTTCAGAAATGCGAATATGGTTTGACACATGAAAGTCAATAAATGTGCTTCATCACATAAACAGAATAAACAAAAATCACATGATTATTTCCATAGATGCAGAAAGAGCATTTGATAAAATTCAGCATCCCTTCATGATAAAACCTTCAACAAACTAGGAATAGAAGGAACATACCTGAAAATAATAAATGCCATATGGAACAGACTCAGAGCCAACATTATACTGAATGGTGGAAAGTTGAAAGTATTCCCCCTAAGAACCAGAAAAAAGATAAAGATGCCCGCTTTCACTACTATTCCACACAATACTGGAAGTCTTAGCCAGAGCAATCAGGGAAGAGAAAAATAAAAGGCATACAAATTGAAAGAGAGGGAGTCAAGTTATCTCTGTTTCTAAAGTATGATCTTATATCTAGAAAAGTCTAAATACTCCTCCAAAAAACTCTTAGATTTGATAAATGATTTCAGTAAAGTTTCAGGATTCAAAATTAACATATAAAAATCAGTAGTATTTTATACAACCATAATAATCAAGCTGACAACAAAATCAAGAAGGCAATCCTGTTCACATTAGCCACAAAAAAATGCAGGGAAAACATATTTAGGATGTAAAATACCCAGGAATAAAGTGAAGGAAGTGAGAGATCTCTACAATAAAAATTATGAAAAATTGATGAAATAAATTTATAGAGGCCACAAATGTGAGCAGAATATCTCATGCTCATGGATCTGAAGAATTAATATCATTAAACTGACCATACTGCACAAAGCATTCTACAGATTGAATGCCATCCCTATTCAAAATAATATTGTAATTTTCACAGAATTTGAACAAACAATCCTAAAATTAATATGGAACCAAAAAAAAAGAGCCTGAATAGCCAAACCAATTTTTTTTTAACTTTAAATTTCAGGGCTACATGTGCAAGTTTGTTATATAGGTAAACTTGTGTTATGGGGGTTTGTTGCACAGATTATTTCATCACACAGGTATTAAGCCTAGTACCCATTAGCTATTTTTCCTAATCTTTTCCCTCCTACTCTCTACCTTTCAATAGGCCCCAGTGTCGTCTTTCCCCTCTATGTGTCCATGTGTTCTCATCATTTAGCTCCAGCACAGCAATCTTAACACCAAAAGACAAAGCTGGAAGCATCACCTTATTTGATCTCAAATTATGGGGTTATAATAACCAAAAGAGCATGATATTAGTATAAAAACAGACACAAAATGTAATGGAACAGAATAGAGAACCTAGAAATAAAGACACATATCTAGAGCCAACTGATTTTTGACAAAGGTGACAAAAATATACACCAGGAAAAAGCCATCCTTTTCAATAAATAATACTGGAAGAATTAGATCATGAAGGCGGCCAGGCATGGTGGCTCACACCTGTAATCCCAGCACTTTGGGAGGCTAAGGCAGGTGGATCACCAGAGGTCCAGAGTTCGAGACCAGCCTGGCCAACGTGGCAAAGCCCTGTCTCTACTAAAAATACAAAAAGATTAGCCAGGCATAGTGGCGAGTGACTGTAATCCCAGCTACACAGAAGGCTGAGGCATGAGAATCCCTTGAACCCAGGAGGCGGAGGTTGCAGTGAACCGAGATCATGCCACTGCACTCCAGCCTCGGTGACAGAGCAAGACCCTGTCTCAATAAATAAATAAATAAATAAGTAGAATTAGATCACCATATGCATAAGAATGAAACTAGATCTCTATCTCTCATCATATACAAAAATCAACTCAAGATGGATGAAATAATTAAATGTAACAGAAGAAACTATAAAAATACTAGAAAAAAGCTAGATAAAACTTCTCTTGGCTTTGGTCTAGGCAAAAAACTCCTGACAAAGTGCTCAAAAGCAGAGACAACAAAAACAAAATAGGCAAGTGAGACTTAATTAAATTAAAAAGCTTCTACACAGTGCATGAAATAATCAACCCACTGTACAGACAACCTGCAAAATGGGAGAAAATATTTGCAAGCTATGCAACTGAAGGAAATGACATTCAGGATTTACAAGGAACTCAAGAAACTCAACAAGAAAAACAGGAGGGGTGGAACAAGATGGTGAAATAGAAGGCTCCACTGATTATCCCTCCTACAAGCACACCAGTTTAAAACTATCTACACAAGGAAACTCCAAAGATGGCCGAATAGGAACAGCTCCAGTCTACAGATCCCAGTAAGATCGATGCAGAAGACAGGAGATTTCTGCATTTCCAACTGATGGCATATCTGAACAAAAGGCAGAAGACAGCTTCTCCATACCTAAACATCCCTGCCTGACAGCTCTGAAGAGAGCAGTGGTTCTCCCAGCATGGCATTTGAGCTCTGATAATGGACAGAACGCCTCCCCAAGTGGGTCCCTGACCCCCGTGTAAACTGACTGGGAGACACCTCCCAGTAGGGGCCAATAGACACCTCATACAGGTGGGTGCCCCCTGGGACAAAGCTTCCAGAGGAAGGATTAGGCAGCAATATTTGCTGTTCTGCAGCCTCCACTGGTGATACCCAGGAAAACAGGGTCTGGAGTGGACCTCCAGCAAACTCCAACAGACCTGCAGCTGAGGGGCCTGTGTGTTAGAAGGAAAACTAACAAACAGAAAGGAATAGAATGAACATCAACAAAAAGGACATCCACACCGAAAATTCCAAAAACCAGAATGCCTCTTCTCCTCCAAAGGAACACAACTCCTTGTCAGCAAGGGAACAAAACTGTACAGAGAATGAGTTTGACAACTTGACAGAAGTAGGCTTCAGAAGGTTGGTAATAACAAACTTCTCTGAGCTAAAGTAGCATGTTCTAACCCAATGCAAGGAAGCTAAATACCTTGAAAAAAGGTTAGACGAATGGCTAAATAGAATAAGCAGTGTAGAGAAGAGCTTAAATGACCTGATGGAGCTGAAAACCACAGTACAAGAACTTCATGAAGCATACACAAGCTTTAATCGCTGATTCAATCAAGCGGAAGAAAGGATATCAGTGATTGAAGATCAAATTAATGAAATAAAGTGAGAAGACAATATTGGATAAAAAAGAGTGAAAAGAAATGAACAAAGCCTCCAAGAAATATGGGACTATGTGAAAAGACCAAATCTACGCCTGATTGGTGTACCTGAAAGTGACGGGGAGAATGGAACCAAGTTAGAAAACACTCTTCAGGATTTATCCAAGAGAACTTCCACAACCTAGCAAGGCAGGCCAACATTCAAATTCAGGAAATACAGACATACTCCTTGAGAAGAGCAACCCAAAGACACACAGTTGTCAGATTCACCAAGGTTGAAATGAAGGAAAAAATGTTAAGGGCAGCCAGAGAGAAAGGTCGGGTTACCCACAAAGGGAAGCCCATCAGACTAACAGCAGATCTCTTGGCAGAAACCCCACAAGCCAGAAGACAGTGGGGGCAAATATTCAACATTCTTAAAGAAAAGAATTTTCAACCAAGAATTTCATAACCAGCCAAAATAAGCTTCATAAGTGAAGGAGAAATAAAATCCTTTACAGACAAGCAAATGCTGAGAGATTTTGTCACCACCAGGCCTGCCTTACAAGAGCTTCTCAAGGAAGCACTAAACATGGATAGGAACAACCGGTACTAGCCACTGCAAAAACATGCCAAATTGTAAAGACCACTGATGCTATGAAAAAACTGCATCAATTAACGGGCAAAATAAGCAGCTAGCATCATAATGATAGGATCAAATTCACACATAACAATATTAACCTTAAATGTAAATGGACTAAATGCCCCAATTAAAAGACACAGACTGGCAAATTGGATAAAGAGTCAAGACCCATCAGTGTGCTGTATTCAGGAGACCCATCTCACATGCAAAGACACACATAGACTCAAAATAAAAGGATGGAGGAAGATCTACCAAGCAAATGGAAAGTGAAAAAAAGCAGAGGTTCAAACCTGGTCACTGATAAAACAGACTTTAAACCAACAAAGATCAAAAGAGATAAAGAAGGCCATTACATAATGGTAAAGGGATCAATTCAACAAGAAGAGCTAACTATCCTAAATATATATGTACCCAATACAGGAGCACCCAGGTTCATAAAGCAAGTTCTTAGAGACCTACAAAGAGACTTAGATTCCCACACAATAATAATGGGAGACTTTAACACCCCACTGTCAATATTAGACAGATCAACAAGACAGAAAATTAAGAAGGATATCCAGGACTTGAACTCGGATCTGGACCAAGCAGACCTAACAGACATCTACAGAACTCTCCACCCCAAATCAACAGAATATACATCCTTCTGAGCACCACATCACACTTATTCTAAAATTGACCACATAATTGGAAGTAAAACCCTCCTCAGCAAATGCAAAAGAACAGAAATCACAGCAGACTGTCTCTCAGACCACAGTGCAATCAAATTAGAACTCAGGATGAAGAAACTCACTCAAAACCTCCCAACTACATGGAAACTGAACAACTTGCTCCTGAATGACTGCTGGTAAATAATGAAATGAAGGCAGAAATAAAGATGTTCTTTGAAACCAATGAGAACACCACATACCAGAATCTCTGGGACACATTTAAAGCAGTGTATAGAGGGAAATTTATAGCACTGAATGCCCACAAGAGAAAGCAGGAGAGATCTAAAATTGACACCCTAACATCACAATTAAAAGAATTAGAGAAGTAAGAGCAAACAAATTCAAAAGCTAGCATGAGACAAGAAATAACTAAGATGAGAGCAGAACTGAAGGAGATAGAGACACAAAAAGCCCTTCAAAAAATCAATGAATCCAAGAGCTGGTTTTTGAAAAGATCAACAAAATTGATAGACCACTAGCAAGACTAGTAAACAAGAAAAGGGAGAATAATTCAATAGATGCAATAAAAAATGATAAAGGTGACATCACAGCCAATCCCACTGAAATACAAACTACCATCAGAGAATACTACAAACACCTCTACATAAATAAACTAGAAAATCTAGAAAAATGGATAAATTCCTGGACACATCCTCCCACCCAAGAGTAAACCAGGAAGAAGTTGAATCGCTGAATAGACCAATGACAGATTCTGAAATTGAGGCAATATTTAATAGCTTACCAACCAAAAAAAGCCCAGGACCAGACGGGTTCACAGCCAAATTCTACCACAGGTACAAACAGGAGCTGACACCATTCCTTCTGAAAGTGTTCTGATCAACAGAAAAAGAGGGAATCCTCCCTAACTAATTTTATGAGGCCAGCATCATCCTGATACCAAAGCCTGGCAGAGAAACAACAATAAAAGATAATTTTAGACCAATATCCCTGATGAACATCGATGTGAAAATCCTCAATAAAATACTGGCAAATCGAAACCAGCAGCATATCAAAAAGCTTACCCACCACGATCAAGTCGGCTTCATCCCTGGGATACAAGGGTGGTTCAACATACGCAAATCAATAAACATAATACATAACATAAACAGAACCAACGACAAAAACCACATGATTATCTCAATAGACGCAGAAAAGGCCTTTGACAAAATTCAACAGCGCTTTATGCTAAAAATTCTCAATAAACTAGGTATTGATGGAACGTATCTCAACATAATAAGAGCTATTTATGACAAACTCACAGCAAATATCATACTGAATGGGCAAAAGCTGGAAACATTCCCTTTGAAAACCGGCACAAGACAAGGATGTCCTCTCTCACCACTCTTATTCAACAAAGTATTGGAAGTTCTGGCCAGTGTAATCGGGTAAGAGAAAGCAATAAAGGATATTCAAATAGGAAGAGTGGAAGTCAAATCTTCTCTGTTTGCAGATGACATGACTGTATATTTAGAAAACTCCAGCGTCTCAGCCCAAAATCTCCTTAAGCTGATGAAAGCAACTTCAGCAAAGTGTCAGGATACAAAATCAATGTGCAAAAATCACAAGCATTCCTATACACCAAGAACAGACAAACAGAGAGCCAAATCATGAGTGAACTCCCATTGACAATTTCTACTAAGAAAATAAAATACCTAGGAATCCAACTTACAAGGAATGTGAAGAACCTCTTCAAGAAGAACTACAAACCACTGTTCAAGGAAATAAGAGAGGACACAAACAAATGGAATAACATTCGATGCTCATGGATAGGAAGAATCAATATTGTGAAAATGGCCCTACTGCCCAAAGTTATTTACAGATTCAGTGCTATCCCCAAGAAGCTACCACTGACTTTCTTCACAGAACTGGAAAAAACTACTTTAAACTTCATATGGAACCAAAAAAGAGCCCGCATAACCAAGACAATCCTAAGCAAGAAGAACAAACCTGGAAGCATCACACTACCTGACTTCAACTCTACTAGAAGTCTACAGTAACAAAAACAGCATGGTACTGGTACCAAAACAGATGTATAGACCAATGGAACACAACGGAGGCCTCAGAAATAACACCACACAACTACCACCATCGGTTATTTGACAAACCTGACACACATAAGCAATGGACAAAAGATTCCCTATTTAATAAATCGTGTTGGGAAAACTGGCTAGCCATATGCAGAAAACTGAAACTGGATCCCTTCCTTACACCTTATAAAAAAGCAACTCAAGATGGATCAAAGACTTAAATGTAAGACTTAGGACCATAAAAATCCTAGAAGAAAACCTCGGCAATACCATTCAGGACATACACATGGGCAAAGACTTCATGTCTAAAACACCAAAAGCAATGGCAACAGAAGCCAAAATTGACAAATGAGATCTAATTAAACTCAAGAGCTTCTGCACAGCAAAAGAAACTATCATCAGAGGGAAAGAAGCAAATTACAGAATGGGAGAAAATTTTTGCAATCTATTCATCTGTCAAAAGGCTAATATCCAGAATCTACAAAGAACTTAATCAAATTTACAAGAAAAACACAAACAACCCTATCAAAAAATGGGCAATGGATGTGAACAGGCACTTCTCAAAAGAAGACATTTATGCAGCCAACAGACATATGAAAAACTGCTCATCATCACTGGTCATTAGAGAAAAGCAAATCAAAACCACAATGAGATACCATCTCTTGCCAGTTAGAATGGCGATCATTAAAAAGTCAGGAAACAAAAGATGCTGGAGAAGATCTGGAGAAATAGGAATACTTTTACACTGTTGGTGAGTGTGTAAATTAGTTTAACCATTGTGGAAGACAGTGTGGCGATTCCTCAAGGATCTAGAACTAGAAATACTATTTGACCCACCAATCTGGGCATATACCCGAAGGATTATAAATCATTCTACTATCAAGACACATGCACACGTATGTTTATTGCAGCACTATTCACAATTGCAAAGACTTGGAACCAACGAAAATGTCCATCAGTGATAGACTGGATGAAGAAAATGTGGCACATATACACCATGGAATACTACGCAGCCATAAAAAGGATGAGTTTACATCAATAACAGACAAAACAGAGAGCCAAATTATGAGTGGACTCCCATTCACAATTGCTTCAAAGAGAATAAAATACCTAGGAATCCAACTTACAAGGGATGTGAAGGACCTCTTCAAGGAGAACTACAAACCACTGCTCAATGAAATAAAGAAGGATACAAACAAATGGAAGAACATTCCTTGCTCACGGGTAGGAAGAATCAATATCGTGAAAATGGCCATACTGCCCAAGGTAATTTATAGATTCAATGCCATCCCCATCAAGTGACCAATGACTTTCTTCACAGAATTGGAAAAAACTACTTTAAAGTTCATATGGAACCAAAAAAGAGCCCTCATTGCCAAGTCAATCCTAAGCAAAAAGAACAAAGCTGGAGGCATCATGCTACCTGACTTCAAACTATACTACAAGGCTACAGTAACCAAAACAGCATGGTACTAGTATCAAAACAGAGATATAGTTCAATGGAACAGAACAGAGCCCTCAGAAATAATGCCACATATCTACAACTATCTGATCTTTGACAAACCTGAGAAAAACAAGCAATGGGGAAAGGATTCCCTATTTAATAAATGGTGCTGGGAAAACTGGCTAGCGATATGTAGAAAGCTGAAACTGGATCCCTTCCTTACACCTTATACAAAAATTAATTCAAGATGGATTAAAGACTTAAACGTTAGACCTAAAACCATAAAAACCCTAGAAGAAAACCTAGGCAATACCATTCAGGACATAGGCATGGGCAAGGACTTCATGTCTAAAACACCAAAAGCAATGGCAACAAAAGCCAAAATTGACAAATGGGATCTAATTAAACTCAAGAGCTTCTGCACAGCAAAAGAAACTACCATCAGAGTGAACAGGCAACCTACAGAATGGGAGAAAATTTTCGCAACCTATTCATCTGACAAAGGGCTAATATCCAGAATCTACAAAGAACTCAAACAAATTTACAAGAAAAAAACGAACAACCCCATCAAAAAGTGGGCGAAGGATATGAATAGACACTTCTCAAAAGAAGACATTTATGCAGCCAAAACACATGAAAAAATGCTCATCATCACTGGCCATCAGAGAAATGCAAATCAAAACCACAATGAGATACCATCTCACACCAGTTAGAATGGCGATCATTAAAAAGTCAGGAAACAACAGGTGCTGGAGAGGATGTGGAGAAATAGGAACACTTTTACACTGTTGGTGGGACTGTAAACTAGTTCAACCATTGTGGAAGACAGTGTGGCGATTCCTCAGGGATCTAGAAGTAGAAATACCATTGGACCCAGTCATCCCATTACTGGGTATATACCCAAAGGATTATAAATCATGCTGCTATAAAGACACATGCACACATATGTTTATTGTGGCACTATTCACAATAGCAAAGACTTGGAACCAACCTAAATGTCCAACAATGATAGTCTGGATTAAGAAAATGTGGCACATATACACCATGGAATACTATGCAGCCATAAAAAATGATGGGTTCATGTCCTTTGTAGGGACATGGATGAAATTGGAAACCATCATTCTCAGCAAACTATCGCAAGGACAAAAAACCAAACACCGCACGTTCTCACTCATAGGTGTGAATTGAACAATGAGAACACATGGACACAGGAAGGGGAACATCACACAGGGGACAGTTGTGGGGTTGAGGGAGGGGGGAGGGATAGCATTAGGAGATATACCTAATGCTAAATGACGAGTTAATGGGTGCAGCACACCAACATGGCACATGTATACATATGCAAGAAATCTGCACGTTGTGCACATGTACCCTAAAACTTAAAGAATAATAATAATAAAATTTTTAAAAAAAGGATGAGTTAATGTCCTTTGCAGAGACATGGATGAAGCTGGACTATCACAAGATCAGAAAACTAAACACTGCATATTCTCACTGATAAGTGGGAGGTGAACAATGAGAACACATGGACACAGGGCGGGAAATATCACACACCGGGGCCTGTGTGGGGAGGGGGGCTCTTGGAGGGATAACGTTAGCAGAAATACCTAATGTAGGTGACAGGTTGATGGGTGCAGCACACCACAATGGTACGTGTATACCTATGTAACAAAACTGCATGTTTTGTACATGTAACCCAGATCTTAAAGTATAATTTAAAAAAAAAAACTATCTACACAAAAAAGCACCATCATTAGAACTAAAAATAAGATGAGCACTCACAGAGTCTAGTTTTAACTTTATATCACTGAAAGAGGCACTGAAGAGGTGGGAAAAAGAGTCTTAAGTGATGAATGCCACCCCTCCCCCATCCCTAGATATTGGCCGTATGGTGCAGAGAGCATTTCTGTGCACTACGGAGAGGGACAGTGCAGCAGTTGTGAAGTATTTCACTCAATGGTGCCCTGTTGTAGCAGAAAATAATACCAGACCAAACTCAGCTGACACCCATCCAGGTGTAGAGCATTCAAACCAGCCGTAGGTGGTGAGAATCTCTGATCCCAACAGCCCAAACTTGAGTTCCCACAAGCCTCGCCACCATGGGCTAAAGTACTCTGGGATCCCAAGTAAACTTGAAATGCAGCCTAGGCCACAATAACTGCTACTCCTAGGTAAGTACTAGTGCTGAATTGGGCGGAGCCAGTGGACTAGGGTGCATGTAACCTACTGGGACACCAGCCTGGGTAGCTATAGAAGTGCTGGCATCCTCCTCCCCTAACCCCAGGCTGCACAGTTCACAGTTCCAAAAGAGACACCTTCCCTTTGCTGAAAACAGGAGAGGGAAAAATGGGAGGACTTTATCTTCCATTTTGAATACCAGCTCAGCTGCATTAGTATAGGGCACCGGTCAAAGTCCTGAGGCCACCTTTTCAGGCACTAGCTCCTGGATGACATTTCTAGAGACACTCTGGGCCAGAAGGGAAGCTACTGCCTTGAACGGAAAGACCCAGTCCTGGTGAGATTCATTACCTGCTAACTGAAGAGCCCTAGGGCCCTGAATAACCAGCAGAGAAACCCAGGTACTATGACAAGGCCCTTCGGTGAAACTTTCAGACTTGCTGGCTTCAGGTGAGACTCAGCACATTCCCAGCTTTGGTGGCTACAAGGTGAGACTCCTTTCGATTGAGAAAAGTAGAGGAAAAATTAAAGGAGATTTTGTCTTGGACTTTAGGTACCAGCTCAGCCACAGAAGGGTAGAGCACCAAGCCAGTTTTTGGGGTGCCCAATTCCAGGGCTTGGCTCTTGGACAGCATTCCTGGACTGGGTCTGGGCCACAGAAGAGCCCACTGCCATGAAAGGTGAGTCCAAGGCCAGGCAGCATTCACCGCAAGCTGACTGAAGAGCTTCTGGGCTTTAAGAGAACAAAAGAGGTAGTCTGGCAATTCTACCCCTGGGACTGTAGTGGTGATGGCCATGGGGTGAGGCTCCTCTGTCTTTGAAAAGGGGAGGGAAGAGTGGGGAGGTCTGCATATTGTAATGTGAGTGCCATTTCAGCTGCAGTAAAATAGAAAACCAGGTAGATTTCTAAGGTTTTTGACTCTAGTGTCTGGCTCCCAGACAACAACTTTGGACTTGTCTGGCACCTAGAGGAACTTGCTACCCTGGACATAGGCCTAATTGGCTTTGCCACCTGCTGAATGTAGAGTCCCCAGGACCTTGAGAGAACATAGTCTATAGCCAGGGAGTGGTTACAGCAGGACTTGGGTTAGACTTAGTGCTTCGCTGGCTTCAGACCTGACCCAGAGCAAGTCCTAGTGGTAGGGGCATCAAAGATGTTTGTGTAATTTCACGTCACCTCCAGGGGGCTCAGAACAGAGATAAACTCTATTTAGGGGAAAATAAAATAAGAAAACATGAGTCTCTGCCTGGTAATGAAGAGAATTCTCCCAGATCTTGTCCAAGACCATTCAGGCAGTACCTCTTCAAGTCTGCTAGAACCGCAGTACTGGGCTTGGGGGTCCCTGTAAAACAGATAAAGCTTAGATCACAACACTCAAGTCCTTTCAAATATCTGGAAAGCCTTCCTAAGAGGAAAAGATACAAACAAGACCAGACCAAGAAGACTACAATAAATACTGGATTCTTCAATGCCCAGACATAGATGAACATCCACAAGTATCATGACTGTCCAAGAAAATATGACTTCACCAAATTAACTAAATAAGGAATCAGGGAACAATTCTGGTGACCTTTCAAACAGAGTATTAAAAATAGTTGTTCTGAAAAAACTCAAAAAAATTCAAGAAAACAAAGAGAAGGAATTCAGAATTCTATCAGAATAATTTAAATAAAAGATTGAAATAATTAATAATAAAGAGAAATCCTGGAGCTGAAAAATGCAATTGGCATACCAAAGAATATATCAGAGTCTTTTGTAGTAAAATTGATCAAGCAGAAGACAAAATTAGTGAGCTTAAAGACAGGCTATTTGAAAAAAACACAGAGGAGACAAAAGAAAAAAAGAACAATAAACAATAAAGTATGCCTACAGGATCTAGAAAATTACCTAAAAAGTGCAAATCTAAGAGTTATTGGCCTTAAAGAGGAGGTAGAGAAAGAGATAGGGGTAAAAAGTTTATTCAAAGAAATAATAACAGAGAACTTCCCAAACCTAGAGAAATATACCAATTTGTAAGTAAAAGAAGGCTATAGAACACCAAGTAGATTTAACTCAAAGACAGTCAAAAAAAATGAAGTAAAGGGCATCCAAATTGGAAATGAACAAGTGAAACTCATTTCGTTTGCATGAGATATGATCTTCTATTTAGAAAAACCTAAAGACTACACCAAAAAAACTATTGGAACTGATGAACAAATTCATTAAGCTGCAGGATACAAAATCAACATACAAAAATTAGTATCATTTCTATATGCAAACAGAGAATAATCCAAAAAGAAATCAAGAATGTAATAAAATTTACAGTAGCCACAAATACAATCAAATGCCTAAAAATTAATTTAAACAATAAAGTGAAAAATCTCTACAATGAATACTATAAAATACTGCTGAAATAAATTGAAGGAGACACCTAAAAATGGGAAGATATTTTATGTTCATAGACTGAAAGAATCAATATTGTTAAAAGGTGGATGCTACCCAAAACAATCTACAGATTCAATGCAATTCCTATCAAAATACTAATGATATTCTTCACAAAAATAGGAAAAAAAAACCCTAAAATTTATATGGAACTACAAAAGACACAGAATAGCAAAGGCTACCCTGAGCAAAAAGAAGAAAACTGGAGGTATCACATTACCTGACTTCAAATTATACTACAGAGATATAGTAAACCAAACAGTATGGTATTTGCCAAAAAAAAAAAGACACACAGACCAATGGAACAGAATTGAGAACCCAGAAACAAATCTGCACACCAAAGTGCACTCATTTTTCACAAACGTGCAAAGAACATACATTGTCTCTTCAATAAATGGTGTTGGGAAAAGTGAATATCCATATGCAGAAGAATGAAACTAGATTCCTTTCTCTCATTGTATGCAAAAATCAAACCAAAATGGATTAAAGACTTAAATCTAAGACCTCAAACTATGAAACTACAAGAAGAAAACATTGAGGAATCTCTCTAGGACATTGTTCTGGGCAAAAATTTCTTGAATCAAACCCCACAAGCACAGGTAACCAAAGCAAAAATTGACAAATGGGATCACATCAAGTTAAAAAGCTTCTGCACAGCAAAGGAAACAATTGACAAAGTGAAGAGACAACACATGGGATGGGAGAAAATATTTGCAAATACCCTTCTGACAAGAGATTAATAACTAGGGTGTGTATAGAGTAATACAAGGAAAAAAGCTAACAATCCAATTTAAAAACAGGCAAAAATCTGAATAGACATTTCTCAATAGAAGACATACAAAAGGCGAACAGGCCTATGAAAAGATGCTCAACATCATTGATCATCAGAGAAATGCAAATCAAAACTACAATGAAATGTTATCTCTTTCAGTTAATATGGTGTATATCCAAAAGACAGGCAATAACAAATGCTGGCGAGGATGTGGAGAAAAGAGAACCCTCGACACTGTTGGTGGGAATGTAAATTAGTAAAATCACTGTGGAGAACAGTTTGGAATTTCCTTTAAAAAACTAAAAATAGAGCTACCATATGATCCAGCAATTCCACTGCTGAGTATATACCCAAAAGAAAGGAAGTGAGTATATTGAAGAGATATCTGCACTCCCACATTTGTTGCAGCACTGTTCACAATAGCTATGATTTGGAAGCAAACTAAGTGTCCAAGGGATGAATGCATAAAGAAAATGTTCTTATACTCAATGGAGTACTATTCAGCCACAAAAAAGGAATGAGATCCTGTCATTTGCATGAATGGAAATGAGGTTTATTATGCTAAATGAAATAAGCCAGGCACAGAAAGACAAACATAACTTGTTCTCACTTATTTTTGGTATCTAAAAATCAAATCAATTGAACTAATAGACATACAAAGTAGAAGAATGGTTACTAGAAGGTGGGAAGGGTAGTAGGGGATGAGGAGGAGGTGGGGATGATTAATGGGTCCAAAAAAAGATATTTAAAGTGAATAAATAAGACCTAGTATTTGATAACACAACAGGATGTGTGTAGTCAAAATACTTTAATTGTATATTTTTAAACAACAAAAAGTATAATTGTATTGTTTGTAACACAAAGGATAAATGTTTTGGGGGATGGATACCACATTTTCTATGAAGTTTTTATTATGCATTGCATGCCTGTATGAAAATATCTCATGTACCCCATAAATACATGTACCTACTATGTACCCAGAGAAATTAAAAATTAAAAAATTTTAAAGATAGTTCAGATTGTTGGATCCACAGCTAATGCTGCTGATACCATAAACCAGGATGTTAGGGGCACAGGGTTTCTTAGTAGGCGCAAGGCCAAAGCTAGCTCAAGCAAATGCTGGAGCCTTGCTGCAAACAGTAACACTGAAAAAAGAGCTGTTGGCTTTAGCTGTGGTGGTGCTCCAGGAGTTAATGCTCTTCATGGTTGACGTAGAGTTGTGTTAGCTATGCAAAACACTATGATACTGAAGGCAAGACCAGATATTGATAGTTGTAGCCAGTTTCTAAACTTCATGAGGGGTATTTAATTATTTCTTTTTTTCTTAGATTGAGTCTCACTCTGTCACCCAGGCTGGAGTGCAGTAGCATGATCTCGGCTCACTGCAACCTCCACCTCCCAGGTTCAAGCAATTCTTCCACCTCAGCCTCCCAAGTAGCTGGGATTACAGGCATGCACTACCAGGCCCAGCTAATTTTGTATTTTTTGTAGAGACGGGGTTTCACCATGTTGGCCAGGCTGGTCTCGAACTCCTGACTTCAGGTGATCTGCCCACCTCGGCCTCCCAAAGTACCGGGATTATAGGTGTAAGCCACCATGCCCAGCCCTTGAGGGGTATTATATCAATGTGGAACTCTCTTTCCCAGGGCCAAATTACGCAATGGCAATCTGAAGTATGGGAGAGGGTTCTGTCTTGATCATTGACTCTTGCATCTGGTAATGCCAGCCTTACTAGATTAGAGAATAGATGAGATGTGTTATCTTCCTCTGAAAATTTCATGTGTGTGCCTGGGAGAGGATTAATGGCTTGTAGGCAGCCAGGTCTTCCCAATACCTTCTGGTGGCTCTTTACCATACTCTGGATATGATTTGCCTGCACATCAGTGATTCTGGAAAGCAGTACAGCATCTTTCATGTTTCCCTTCACCATAAGTAGTGGGACATTCGAACTCTCTAAATAGCTCCATAGAGCCTATTGAGTGAGCTGTCCTGTGCAGCAAAGTCCACAGTGTTGCGTACTATTGTGTGCTACTACTCCCTTGGAATATGGTTCTCTTGAGATTGTAAAATCCTTTACTGAATATGTCCCTGGCAACTTGGGAATGATACCCTACTTCAGGCATCATTTCTCTTGAGTTTACCAATGGTTAGAAAGGTGATGGAGTCCACATAATAGAAATGAAAGAAAGAAGATTAAAGTGCTTTGCAAACTCTAAACTAAAAAAAACACAAATAATTCAATTAAAATGTAGGGGAAGGATATGAATAGACATTTTCAAAAGAAGACATACAAATGATCAACAAAAGTGAAAAAATGCTCAACATCACTAATCACCAGGGAAATGCAAATTAAAACCACAGTGAAATATCATTTTACACCAGTCAGAATGGCTATTATTAAAAAATTTAAAAATAACAGATGTTGGCAATTATGTGAAGAAAAGGTGCTTATACACTATTAGTGGGAATGTAAATTATTAGTACAAACTTTATGGAAAAACAGTATGGAGGCTTATTAAAGAACTGAAAATAGAACTGCCATTCAATCTAGCAATCCCACTACTGGGTATGAACCCAAAGAAAAGAAGTCATTATATCAAAAAGATGCATACACTCATGTGTCTATCACAGTACTATTCAGAAAGATACTTGCACTCATATGTTTATCACAGTACTGTTCACAATAGCAAAGACATGAAATCAACCTAAATGTCCATGACTGGGTAAAGAAAATGTGGAATACTATTCAGCAATTAAAAATAATGCAATCATGTCTTTTGCAGCAACTTGGGTGCAACTGGAGGCCACGATCTCAAGTGAAACAACTCAGAAACATAAAGTTAAATACCACATATTCTCACATATAAGTGAGAGCTAAATAATAATACACATACATATAGAATGGGAAATAATAGACATTGAAGACTTGAAAGAATGGGAGGGGGTGGATGATGAGAAACTACTTAATGGTGACAATGTATGTTATTCAGGTGACGGATACAACTAAAAGTCAAGCCTTCACCACTATGTAATATCTCCATATAATAAAATTGCACTTTACTTGTACCTCTTAAATTTATACAAAGAAAGAAAAACTGGTGAACAAGAGACTAAGGACTTATGGTACAGCATCAAAGTAAATAATATATGCATTATAGGAATCCCCAAAGGAGAAGAGAGGGAGAAAAGGAGACGCTTGAGAAAAATAATGCTTGAAAATTTCACAAATTGAAGAAAAGACATGGATCTACAAATGCAAGATGCTCAATGAACTTCAAATAGGATATAACTAAAGAGTCCTACACTAAGACTCATCATAATCAAACTATTGGAAGCCAAAAACATGGACACTAAGACACATTTTTTCTTTTTTTTATTTATTATTATTATACTTTAAGTTTTAGGGTACATGTGCACAATGTGCAAGTACAAAGACACATTATAATCAAACTATTGGAAGCCAAAAACATGGAAAGAATCTTGGAAGCATAAAAAAAAAGTACCTCATAATGATCAAGAAATTCTCAATGGGGTTGTGGATTTCCCAACAGAAATATTGCAAGTCAAAAGGCTGATATATTTAAGGACCTGAGAAAACAACAACAACAACAACAACAAAAACTTGCCAACTAAAAATTCTACATCTTGCAAAACTGTCTTTCAAAAATAAAGGAGAAATTAAGACATTCCCCAAAAAACAAAAGCTGGGAGAGCTCATTACCACTACAGTTTCCTTACAGGGAATGCTAAAGGGAATTCTTCAGGTTGAAATGAAAAGATTATAGGCAGGAACTGAAAGCCACAAAAAGTATAAAGCCTGTTAGTAAAAGTAAATACGTGGAAAAATATTACAACCAGTATTAATTTAATTTTGATATGTAACTCCACTTTTCATTTTTCTATAGGATTTAACAGATAAATAATTATAATATATGTAAATGGGTACATAATATACAGAGGTATAATCTGTAACATCAATAATGTAAAGTGGGGAAGGGCAAGGTGGAAAAGGAGTAGAATGCTTGTATGTGACTAAAATTATGTTGGTATCAGTTTAAAATATATTATTATAACTTTAGAATGCTATACCCATTCCCACAGTAATTCCCATAGTAACCAAAAAGAAAATATCTGTAGGATACACACAAAAGAAAATCAGAAGTAGATGCAAACTTGTCACTACAGGAAAAAAAAAGCTATCAAAATAGAAAACAATAATGGAGAAAATAAGACACCAAAAGCTATAAGACTCACAGAAAATAAATAATAAAATGGCAAAAAGAAGTCATCTCTTATTAGTAATTACTTTAAACTTAAATGAGTAAACATCCCAATCAAAGACATAGAGTGGCAGAATGAATAAATAAACAGAGTACAACTCTATTGTGTCTTTTGAGAGACTTACTTTAGATCTGAGAACATGCATAGGTTGAAAATAAAAGTATAGCAAAATATTCATATAAAAACCAGACAAGATAAAGAAATAAAGGGATCCAAATTGGAAAGGAACAAGTGAAATTAATATGGTGTGCAGAAGATATGATCATATATTTAGAAAAACCTAATGACTCCTCACAAAAAAACTATTAGAAGTGATAAACAAATTCAATGAGTTGCAGGACACAAAATCAACATACAAGAATCAGTAGCATTTCTATATGCCAACAGTGAAGAATCTACAAAAGAAATAAAAAAGTAATTCTATTGACAATAACCAAACAAAAAAATTAAATACCTAGAAATTAACCAAAGAAATGAAAGACCTCTATAATGAAAACTATAAAACATTGATGAAAAAATTGAAGAGGACCCCAAAAAATGGAAAAATAGTTCATGTCCACAGATTGGAAGAATCAGTGTTGTTAAAATGTCCATATTAGCCAAAGCAATCTACAGATTCAATGCAATTTCTATCAAAATATCAGTTACACTTTTCACAGAAATAGAAAAAAAATTCTAAAATTTACGTGAAACCACAAAAAAAAAAAGAAAAACAGAACAACCAAAGCTATCCTAAGCAAAAATAACGAAACTGGAGGAATCATATTACTTGACTTGACATTATACTATAGAGCTATAGTAACCAAAACAGCATGTTACTGGCATAAAAATAGGCACATAGACCAATGCAACAGAATTGAGAACACAGAAACAAATCCACACACCTACAGAGAGCTGATTTTTGACAAAGGTGCCAAGAATACATTGGAGAAAAGACAGTCTCTTTAATAAATGGTGCCGGGGAAATTGGAGGTCCATATGCAGAAGGATGAAACTATACCTCTATCTCTCACCATACACAAACTTCAAATCAAAATGAATTAAAGACTTAAATCAGAGACCTCAAACTATGAAACTACTACAAGAAAACATTGGGCGAAATCTCCAAAACATTGGTGTGGGGAAAAAGTTTCTTGAGCAATACCTGACAAGCACAGGCAACTAAAGCAAAAACGGACAAATGAGATCATATCAAGTTGAAAATCTGCACAGCAAAGGATACAACCAACAAAGTGAAGATACAACCCACAGAATGGGAGAAAATATTTGCAAACTACTTATCTGTCAAGTGATTGATAACCAGAATATATAAGGAGCTCAAACAACTCTATAAGAAAAAATCTAATAATCTGATCAAAAAATGGACAAAAAATCTGAATAGACATTTCTTGAAAGAAGACATACAAATGTCAAGCAGGCATATGAAGAGATGCTCAACATTATTCATCATCAGGGAAATTCAAATCAAAACTACAATAAGACAGCATCTAATCCACGTTAAAATGACTTATATCCAAAAGACAGGCAAAAACAATTGCTGGTGAGGTTGTGGAGAAAAGAGAACACTTGTACACTGTTGGTGGGAATCTAATTTAGTACAATCACTCTGGAGAACTGGTTGGAGGTTCCTCAGGAAGCAAAAAATAGAGCCACCCCTCAGCAATCTCACTGCTGAGTATATACCCACCAAAAAGGAAATGAGTATATTGAAGAGATATCTGCACTCCCATGTTTGTTGCAGCACTGTTCACAATAGCCATGATTTGGAAGCAACATAAGTGTCCAACAGATGAGTGGATAAAGAAAATGTGGTACTTATACTCAATGGAATACTATTCAGCCATAGAAAAGAATGAAATTCTGTCATCTGCATGAATGGAAATGGAGTTCATTATACTAAATGAAATAAGCCAGGCACAGAAAGACAAACATCACAGGGTTTCACTAATCTGTGGGATCTAACAATTAAAAAAATTGAATTCATGGACATAGAGAGTAGAAGGACGGTTACCAGAGGCTGGGAAGGGTAGTAGGGGGCTGGGAGGGAGTTGGAGATGGCTAATGGTTATGAAAAAAAGGTAGTTAAAAAGAATGAATGAGATTTAGCATTTGAGAGCACAACAGGATGACTGTAGCCAATAATAGCCTAGTTGTACATTTTTAAATAACTAAAAGAGAGTAATTGGATTGTTTGTAACACAAAGAAGGGGATGGATACCCCTTTCCCCATGATGTAATTATTTCACATTGCATGCCTGTATCAAAACATCTCATATACCCCATATATATATATATACATATATATACATATATATACACATATATGTGCACACACCTACTATGTATTAAAAATTAAAAAATTATATAAAAATATTTTATACAAATAGTTACCAGAAGAGAGCAGGAGTGGCTATAGTAATATAGGATAAAATAGGTTTTCAGATAAAAACTATTATAAGAGACAAAGTAAGACATTACATAATGATAAAAGAGTCAATTCACTGAGATATAATGATTATAAACATATACCAATCGAAGATCAGAGCTACTAAAAGTATGAAACACACATTGACAGAATCGAAGGGAGAAAGAAACAGTTCTACAATAATCCTAGGAGACTAAAATGCTACTTTCAATTATGAATAGAACAACAGACACAAATCAATTATGCAATAGAGAATATGAACAACACTGCAGACCAATTGGACCTAAAACATACACAGAACACTTCATGCAACAAAAGCTGAATGCACATTTTTCTCAAGTGAACATGGAACATTCTCCAGGATTGACCATGTATAGTTCACAAAACAAGCCTTAATAAATTTAAAAGCTTGAAATTATATAAAGTATCTATTCTGAAAACAAATAAATGGAAATAGAAAAGAATAACAGAGGGAAAATTGTAAAATTCACAAATATGTGAAAATCAAACAACACAGTCTTAAACAACCAATGGATTAAAGGAGAAATCACAAGAGAAATTAGAAAATATCCTGAGACAAATAACAATTTAAACACAACATACGAAAACTAATGGAATACAGTAAAAGGAGGGCTAAAATGAAAATTTATAACTCTAAATGATTTCTCATTAGAGTTATACACTGAAAAAAATATCAAATCTACAACTCAACTTTACATCTTCAGGAACTAGAAAAAGAAGAGAAAAATTAACTTGAAAATAGCAGAAGGAAATAATAAAAATCAGAGCAGAGAAAAATAAAACAGAAATAGAGAAAATCAATGAAGTGAAGAATAGGTTCTTTGGAAAAAATCACCAAAATTGACAAACCTTTTCTAGATTGACTGAAAATGAAAAAAAGAAGACTCAAGTGACTAAAATCAGAAATGAAAGTGGAGACATCACTATGGATTTTACAGAAATAACAAGAATTATAACAAGTATTATAAATAATTTCATATCAACAAATTAGATAATATAGATGAAATGAGAAAATATCTGGAAACACAAACACACCAAGACCAAATCATGAAAACCTGCCAAAAAAGAAATGCCCAAAACCAGATGGCTTCACTAATGAATTCTGTTAACCATTTTAAAAAGAATTAACACCAATCCTGCTCAAAACCTTGCAAAAAAATTGAAGAGGAGTGTATTAGTCTGCTTGGGGTTTCTATAGAGGAATATCTGAGGCTGGGTAGTTGATAAAGAAAGAAGGTTTATTTTTGCTCACAGTTCTTCAGACTGTGCAAGAAGCATAGTGCCAGTATTTGTTTCTGGTGAGGACCCCAAGAAGCTTACAATCACAGTGGAAGAGGAAGGAGGAGCAGACATGACACACGGTGAGAGGAGTAAGAAGGAATGGAGCAGTTGCCAGGCTCTTTAAACAGCTCTCATATAAACTAAGAGAATGAGAAATCACTCACTACCACAAGTAGGGCACCAAGCCATCCATGAAGGATCCACTCCCTTTGCAAAAACACCTCGCATCAGGCCCCACATCCAACATTGGGGATCACATCTCAACATGAGATTTGGAGGGGAAAAACATCTGAACTACATCAAGGAAGGAAGACTTTTTAACTCATTCTATGCAGCCAGCCTTACCTGGATAATACATCTATACAATGACACTATAAGAAAAAAACCCCTACGAACTAATATCCCTTATGAGTATGGATTCAAAAATCCTCAACAAAATACTGACAAAATGCATCCAAAAGGACATTAATAGAATTATACACCATGACCAAAATGGGCTTATTTTTTGAAGTCAAGGATGTCTCAACATATGAAAAGAAAACAATATAATATACCACAATAACGGAATGAAGAAAAGATGCCCATATTATCATTTCAATAGGTGCAGAAAACACATTTGATAAAATTCAAGCCCTTTTCATAATTAAAAAAAAAATACTCAACAAACTAGGAATAGAAGGACACTACTTCAATATAGTAAAGGTCACATGTTAAAAACCCACAGCTAAAGTCATGCTCAATGGTCAAAGACTGAAAGCTTTTCTTCTATGATATGTTTTATTAGACATCAATGCCTGCTCTCACCACTTCTGTTCCTTATGATACTGGAAGTCCTAGCTAGAGCGATTAGACAAGAAGAAAAATAAAAGCCATCCAAATTGGAAAGGAAGAAGTAATATGTTTTTTAATTGTTAATTTGTCAATCACATTTGTTGATTTGCATATGTTGAACCAACCTTGCATTCCATGGATAAAGCCTATTTGATCACACTGAATTCAATTTTGATGAGTTGCTGGATTTGATTTGCTAGTATTTTGTTCAGGATTTTTGCATCTATGTTCATCAGGGATATTGGCCTAAAGTTTTTGTTTTTGTTGCTGTGTCTCTGCCAGATTTTGCTATCACATTTTTGGAATAGTTTCATCAATATAATTGGTATCAGCTCTTATTTGTATGTCTGGTAGAATTTCGCTGTGAATCCCTCTGGCTCACAGCATTTTTGGTTAGCTGGTTGGGTTTTTTTTTAACTGATTCATTTTTGGAACTCATTACCAGTCTGTTGAGCATTTCAATTTCTTCCTGGTTCTACCTTGGGAAGTTGTGTGTTTCCAGGAATTTATCCATTTCATCTAAATTTTCTAAATTGTGTGCATAGTGCTGTTCATAATACTCTCTGATTATTTTTTATTATTATTGAGATGGAGTCTCACTCTGTCACCCAGGCTGGAGTACATGGCATGATCTCAGCTCACTGCAACCTCTGTCTTCCAGGTTCAAGTGATTCTCCTGCCTCAGCCTCCTGAGTAGCTGGGACTGCAAGCATGTTCCACCATTCCCAGCTACTTTTTTGTATTTTTAGTAGAGACACGGTTTCACCATGTTGGCCAGGCTGGTCTCGAACTCCTGACCTCAAGTGATCCACCTGCCTTGTCCTACCAAAAGTGCTGGGATTACAGGCTTGAGACATCATGTCAGGCCAGTCCCTAATGAACTTTTTTATTTCTGTGAGATCAGTTATAATGTATTTTCATTTCTGATTGTGCTTATTTGAATCTTTTTTTTAAATTTTCTTTGTTAATCTAGTTAGCTGTCTATCACTCTAGTTTATTCTTTCAAAGAACCAACTTTTGGTTTCATTTATCTTTTTTATGGATTTTTGCATCTCAGTTTTATCCAGTTTTGCTGATTTTGGTTATTCTTTTCTTCTTCTAGCTTTGGGGATGGTTTGTTCTCACTAGCTGTGATGTTAGAATTTTCATTTTAAATCTTTTTAAAGTGTTGATGTATAACAGGTGTTTAGCACTATAAACATTCCTCCCCACATTATTTTACTTGGATCCCAAAGATTTTGGTATGTTGTGTCTCCATTTTCATTAATTTCAAGGATTTTTTTTAAATTTCTGCTCTAATTTCATTGTTTACCCAAAAGTCATTCAGGAGAAAGTCCTTTAATCTCAATGTAATTGTGTGTTTTTATGAGGCCTTCTTGATATTGATTTTTATTTCACTGTTCTGAGAGTATGCTTGGTATGATTCTGAATTTTTAAATTTATTGAGACTTACTTTATGGCTGAGAATGTGGTCGATCTTAGAGTATGGTCTGTGTGCAGATGAGAAGAATGTATATGCTGTTGATGTTAGTTGGAGGAGATAATGTGATTTTTATCTGTAGAAAACTCTAGAGATTACAGGGAGAAAAACTGTTAGAACTAATAAATGGACTAAATTTTTGTGTCTCCCTCTACCCCCACAATTTATATTTGAGGCCATAACTGCCATTGTGGCTGTATTTGCAGTGGGAAGTAATTAAAGTTAAATGAGTTCAAAAACTGGGGCCCTGATCTGATAGAATTAGTGTCCTTATAAGAAGAGACACCGGACAGCTCACTATTCAAGCAAATTCACTGAGGAAAGGCCATGTGATGATATAATGAGAAGGCAGCTGTCTTCAAGCCAGGAAGAGAGACCTCACCAGAAACCAAATCAACTGGAATTTGATCTTGCAATTGGAGCCTCCAGAACTATGAGAAAAGAAATTTCTGTTATGTAAACCACCCAAACTGCAGCATTTTGTTATGGAAGCCTGAGCTTATTAATACAAACAAATCCAGCACAGTCACAGAATATAAATACAACATGCCAAAATCCATTATGTTTCTATACATTAACAATGAAAAATCTGACAAGGATATAAATAAAACAATTCTATTTACAATAGTATCAAAATAAGAAAATATTTGGGGTCAGCTTAAACAATATGCTTAAGAGGTCAATACTACAGAAAATGTGTATGTTCAATACAATTCCTAACAAAATCCCAATAAACTTGTGTCTAGAAATGGAAAAATCCATCCTAAAATTCCTATGAAATCTCAATAGACATCAAATAGCCAAAATAATCTTGAAAAACAATATAGCTAGAATTTTCACATTATCTGAATTCCAAAGTTATTACAAAGCTACAGTAATTGAATTAGCATGGTGCTGGCATAAAACTAGTCATATCAACTAATGGAGTAGAATAGGGAAGATGCGGTTGGCAATAGCTAAACTAGATAATACCTCTGTGAGAAAGGGGGGAAGTTACTGTCTCTGAGAGAAAGGTCTGTTTTAACTTTCACTTATCCCCTCACTGGGCACCACTGGAAAACAAAAATTGTCACAACTCTATGTGGCAGACTGGGCTGAGTGGAAGATCAAAAGCTTAGATCTCAGAGAATCAAGGAACCATCTACTTCTGGGTTTCTTGTTATGTAAGACAAATTAAATCCTTAATAATGACCATGTTGGGAGGGTTTTTTTATTCATGGGTAAGTTCAGTTCTTAACTGATATAACTATGGAAAGGGTTCTTTGGGGAGGGACATCATTGCCAGAGCAAAAAGAAGTCCAAATATTTTTCTTTTTTTTTCTTTTTTTTTTTTGGTTATTCTTTTTTTTTTGTTTTTCTTTTTGTTTTTATTATACTTTAAGTTTTAGGGTACATGTGCACAACGTGCAGGTTAGTTACATATGTATACATGTGCCATATTTGTGTGCTGTACCCATTAACTCGTCATTTAACATTAGGTATATCTCCTAATGCTATCCCTCCCCTCTCCCCCAACCCCACAACAGGCCCTGGTGTGTGATGTTCCCCTTCCTGTGTCCATGTGTTCTCATTGTTCAATTCCCACCTATGACTGAGAACATGCGGTGCTTGGTTTTCTGTCCTTGCGATAGTTTGCTGAGAATGATGGATTCAAGCTTCATCCATGTCCCTACAAAGGACATGAACTCATCAATTTTTATGGCTGCATAGTATTCCATGGTGTATATGTGCCACATTTTCTTAATCCAGTCAATCATTGTTGGACATTTGGGTTGGTTCCAAGTCTTTGCTATTGTGAATAGTGCTGCAATAAACATACGTGTGCATGTGTCTTTATAGCAGCATGATTTATAATCCTTTGGGTATATACCCAGTAATGAGATGGCTGGGTCAAATGGCATTTCTAGTTCTAGATCCCTGAGGAATCGCCACACTGACTTCCACAATGGTTGAACTAGTTTACAGTCCCACCAACAGTGTAAAAGTGTTCCTATTTCTCCACATCCTCTCCAGCACCTGTTGTTTCCTGACTTTTTAATGATTGCCATTCTAACTGGTGAGAGATGGTATCTCATTGTGGTTTTGATTTGCATTTCTCTGATGACCAGTGATGATGAGCATTTTTTCATGTGTTTTGGCTGCATAAATGTCTTCTTTTGAGAAGTGTCTATTCATATCCTTCATCCACTTTTTGATGGGGTTGTTTCTTTTTTTCTTGTAAATTGTTGGAGTTCATCGTAGATTCTGGATATTAGTCATTTGTCAAATGAGTAGATTGCAAAAATTTTCTCCCATTCTGTAGGTTGCCTGTTCACTCTGATGGTAGTTTCTTTTGCTGTGCAGAAGCTCTTGAGTTTAATTAGGTCTCATTTGTCAATTTTGGCTTTTGTTGCCATTGCTTTTGGTGTTTTAGACATGAAGTCCTTGCCCATGCCTATGTCCTGAATGGTATTGCCTAGGTTTTTTTCCGTTCCTTACACCTTATACAAAAATTAATTCAAGATGGATTAAAGACTTAAATGTTAGACCTAAAACCATAAAAACCCTAGAAGAAAACCTGGGCAATACCATTCAGGACAGCTCCCTCCCCACTTGGAGTCTTCCTGCCTTTGCTTCAAGTTGTCCTGCCTTTCCGGACTGACCCAATATACTTTTCACATATATTAGTTGATTTCTTATGTCTCACTAAATGTATAAAACCAAGCTGTGCCCCAACCATCTTGGGCACATGTCATCAGGACTTCCTGAGGCTGTGTCACAGGCGCATCCTCAATCTTGGGAAAAAGACTTTCTGAGTTAACTGAGACCTGTCTCAGATTTTCTGGGTTCAGGATATGATCAGGTGATTTTTCTATATCCTGCTAATATGGTGAATTACAATGATTATTTCTTGCCAGAGGTATATCAGTTTTACTAGATGTTTAGGATATCAACTTATGGCCTTGATAAATGTTCCCATTGTAAGTCTGTTTTCAATTGAAATAAGTTCTACTCTCATCTTTACTATTCCAATTCCCTTATTTTCTTTGGGTTTTATTGGTTTCTAGTTTTCTAACTTTTTGACATGGATACCTAGATCATTGATTTTTAATCTTCTTCCTTTACATTTAATACTATGATTACTAAATATTTAATACATGTAATATATTTTATGCTATGCTTTCTTATATATGTATTCGACAACTGTCAAGTATAGCTAAGGTGGTTCACACAACTTTGGCATGCCATGTTTTAATTATCATTCAGTTAATTTTTTTTCTAATTTCCACTGTGATTTGACCCATGCATTATTTAAAAGTGTGCTCCCAGCAGCAAAGACATAGAATCAACCTAAATGTCTATCAATGGTAAACTGGGTAAAGCAACTGTGGTACATATATACCATGGAATACTATGCAGCCATAAAAAAGAATGAGATCATGTCCTTTGCAGAAACATGGATGGCACTGGAGGCATTATCTTACATGAACCAATGCAGAAACAGAAAACCAAATACTGCATGTCCTCACTTAAAAGTGAGAGCTAAACATTGAGTACACACTCATACAAAGAAGGGAACAAAAGACACCAGGACCAACTCAAGGGTGGAGGGTGGCAGGAGGGTGAGGATAAAAATGAAACCACCTTTGCAAAAAATCATAACTGAGAAAATTATCACAGTGAAACAGATCTGACCTAACCAAATTCATCTTGCTTCTAGCCTCCAGGCTGTCCTTGTTCATTCCTAGGTGTAGGCTGAAGTAATTTTGGGAGGAACTTAGTTTATAGTTTAGCTTTGAAACAAAGATAATAACAGCCCTTTCCCTAAACAAACTCCCTTCCTGCCTGGAGAATAGACTGCCTTTGCACAACTAACTAGCCACAAGATTAGAAATTATGGTTTAAGAGTCAAACAACTAGAGGCTGCAAAATGTTAAACCACCTCAAATTGCTCCTGGGTATAACATCACTGCAAAACCTAAGATCAGTGCTTAAGATATTTTACAGACCCCTCATTGGCTGGATCACCTGGCACCACCCAGATTGATAAACTGGCTCATTTGATCTCGTGGCCCCCACCCAGGAACTAACTCAGCATAAGAGGACAGCTTCAACTCCCTATGATTTCATCTCCAACCTGACCAATCAGAACTCCTGACTCACTGGCCCCCTACCCACCAAATTATCCTTAAAAACTCCATTCATGAACTCTCAGGGACATTGATTTGAGTAATAACAAAACTCTGGCCTCCCCCAACAGCCAGCTCTGTGTGAATTACTCTTTCTCTATTGAAATTCCTTTGTCTTGATAAATTGGCTCTGTCTAGGCAGCAGACAAGGTAAACCCATCTGGCAGTTACAAAAATACTACCTATCAGGTACTATCCTTATTACCTGCATGATAAAATAATCTGTACATCAAACCCTGTGACACAGAATTTACCTATGTAACAAACCTTCACATATACCTCTGAATATAAAATGAAGGTTAAAAAATTGTATCATAGTTGAGATTTTTGTTAAGTAGGTTTTAGCTGCTCTTGTCACAAAAAAAGTAATTATGTGAGATGCTAGATATGTTAATTTACTTCACTACAGTAACCATTCTACTATCTATATGTATCAAATAGCATCATGTTATGTAAACCTCACATATACACAATAAAATGTATTTTTCAATTAGAAATGACAAGAGGGATATTACCACTCACCCACAGAAATACAACCATCAGAGAATACTATGAACACTTCTATGCACATGAACTAGAAAATCTCAAATAAATAAATAAGTTCCTGGACACATACACCCTTGCAAGACTGAACCAGGAAGAAACTAAATCCCTAAACAGACCAATAATAAGCACTGAAATTGAATAAGAAATAAATAGCCTACCAATCAAAAAAAGGCCAGGACCAGACATATTCACAGGTGAATTCTATCAGATGTGCAAAGAAGAGCTACTACCATTCCTGCTGAAACTATTTCAAAAAAATTGAGGATGAACTCCTCCCTAACTCATTCTATGAGGTCAGCTTCATTCTGATACCAAAACCTGGCAGAGATACAACAACAACAAAAACTTGAGACCAATATGTTTGATGAACATCAATGCAAAAATCCTCAACAAAATACTAGCAAACTGAATCCAGCAACACATCAGAAAGCTTATCCACCACAATCAAGTAGGTTTCATCCCTGGGATGCAAGGTTGGTTCAACACATGCAAATCAGCAAGTGTGATTCATCACATAAACAAAACTACAGACAAAAACCACATGATTATTTCAATAGATGAAAAAAGGCCTTCAAACAAATTTAACATCCCTTCATGTTCTAGGCCTAGTACCTAGGTGATGAAATAATCTGTGCAACAAACCCCCATGACCCAAGTTTATCTATGTAACAAACCTGCACATGTACCCCCAACTTAAACGTTTTTTAAAATTTTTTTAAAAATAAATAAAATGTAGTTGTTTTAAATCCAAAAGCAAAAAAATAAAAGACATGTGTTCTATAATTTTCAGGAAGTTTGGGGATTTTCTATTTATCTTTTTATTATTGATTTCAAGCCATGGCCCTGTAAAGTTTCCTGAAAAATTACTTACAGAAGCCAAATTGACTAGTAAGATAAAAAGCATACAAATGTATTCATTGTGCATACACAGGACCTTCAGAATGAAGACCCAACCCAATAATATATACAGAGGTTTGTATAACATCTTAAGATTATAGAAACAATGTGGGTTCAGAATGTGCCCCACAACAGGCTTTAGTGGCAAGAGAGGTTATAAAAGGGAGAAAGGAAGAGGCTTGGCTAGCAAAGGTGGCCTCGTTGTATAGATGAAGCATCCCTTAGAGAGAATAAATGGCATTTTTTTTTTTTTAGACTTTTAAAGTTATCAGACTCTCATTCTTTCCTAGATCTAGGAAAGGAATAGAAAACACCTGGCTAGATTAGTGGAGATTTTCTACAAATACAAATTATTCTCCACAAAAGTCAGCTTTGCAAGGCCACTTCTCTTTGCTGGCTCTGCAGCAGCCATTTCAAAATATGTCAAAGAAATATATTTTAGGGTAAAATGTTTTAAATTCCTTCAAAGCTAAATAAAATTATGATCAGCGAATTTATTTTGTATGATTTTAACTCTTCGAATTTGTTGAGACTTGCTTTATGGCCCAACATAGTGTCAATTTTGGTAACAGTTTTATGTACACTTGAAAATAATTATTCTTCAATTTGGGGGTACAGCGTTCTATACCGATTTGTCAATCTTCAGTTAAAATCTATAATCTCCTTACTGATTTTTTGTAGTCTGCTCTATAAATTACTAAAAGAGGTATTTTAACATTTTCCACTGTTATTGTGGATTTATCCTTTTTCTTTCTGTAGTGCTATCAATTTTAGCTTTCCTTTCACTATTTCTGTATCGTTATATTTAAGATACACTTACATTCAGCAGTATTTAGTCAATTTTTAATGCAGTATAAAAATTTTGTCCAAGTGGGTTATTTAATTCATTTATACTTAATGTAATTACTAATGTATTAGTGTTTAAATATACCATATTACTATTTGTACCACCTATTATATGCCTCTTTTTTTCCTTTCTTTACTTATTTTGGATGAATCCAGTGACATTCATTATTTCATTTCCCCTTTTCTTATTTTGTTACTTATAAACTTACTTTTTTACTATTCTTAGTCATTATCCTAGATAATACAATGTTTTTTCACTTCTTAGATTCTAATACAAATTAGTCTTTTTAAAATTTTCTGTACAACATAAGAACTGCAGAATAGTAAAAGTCCATTGACCTTTTCTTGACTTTTGTCCTTTGTTTTTGTGTTTTGTGGCTGTATATCTATTTTAAACCTTGCAAGAATTTATTTATTTTTATATAGAAAATTTGAATCTAGATTACCCCTAATATTTATCCTTTATGCTGCTCTTGATATAGTGCTGTGTTTTCCTCTGTCATATTTTCCTGCTTCATGAAAGACTCAGTTCAATAATTTTTCAGTAAAACCTGCTGACAATTTTCTGTGTTTTTTTTAACTGAGAGTGTGTTTATTCATCTTTCACACTTGGAAAAGAGTTGGCAGTGATTTTCTTTTAACATTTTAAGGCACCATTCTATTTTTTTCTGCTGGCTTTTATTTCTAATAAGTAATCAGCTAGAATACTTTTGTTACACCTTTGAAAGCCCCATGTCTTTTTTTCTTCTAGCTATGTTCTAGATTTGCTCTTTGATTTCTTTTTAAATATATATACACACACACACATACACACACACACACACTTTAAGATCTGGAATACATGTGCAGAATGTGTAGATTTGTTACATAGGTATACACGTGCCATGGTGGTTTGCTGCACCCATCAACCTGTCATCTACATTGGGTATTTCTCCTAATGCTACCCCTTCCATAGCCCTCCACCCCCCAAAAAGCCCCAGTGAGTGACATTCCCCTCCCTGTGTCCTCATTGTTCAACTCCCACTTAAGAGTGAGAACATGCAGTGTTTGGCTTTCTGTTCCTGTGTTAGTTTTCTGAGAATTATGGTTTCCAGCTTAATCCATGTCCCTGCAAAAGACATGAATTCATCCTTTTTTATGGCTGCATAGTATCCCATGGTGGATATGTGCCACATTTTCTTTATCCAGTCTATCACTGATGGACATTTTGGTGGGTTCCAAGTCTTTGCTATTGTGTATAGTCCTGCAATAAACATACATGTGCATGTGTCTTTATGGTAGAATGATTTATAATCCTTTGGGTATACAACCAGTGATGGGATTGCTGGGTCAATTGGTATTTCTGATTCTAGATTCCTGAGGAATCTCCACACTATCTTCCACAATGGTTGAAGTAATTTACACTCCCACCAACAGTGTAAAAGCATTCCTATTTCTCCATATCCTCTCCAGCATCTGTTGTTTCCTGACTTTTTAATGATTGCCATTCTAACTGGCAGGAGATGGTATCTCATAGTTGTTTTGATTTGCATTTCTCTAACGACCAGTGATGATGATTTTCATATGTTTATTGGACACATAAATGTCCTCTTTTGAGAAGTGTCTGTTCATATCCTTCACCCACTTTTTGATGGGGTTGTTTGGTTTTTTTCCTTGTAAATTTGTTTAAGTTCCTTGTAGATTCTGGATACTAGACCTTTGTCAGATGGATAGATTGCAAAAATTTTCTCCCATTCTGTAGGTTGCCTGTTCACTCTGATGGTATTTTCTTTTGCTGTGCAGAAGCTCTTTAGTTTAATTAGATCCCATTTGTCAATTTTGGCTTTTGTTGCCATTGCTTTTGGTGTTTTACTCATGAAGTCTTTCCCCATGCCTATGTCCTGAATGGTATTGCCTAGGTTTTCTTTTAAGGTTTTTATGGTTTTAGGTCTTACATTTAAGTCTTTAATCCATCTTGAGTTAATTTTTGTATAAGGTGTAAGGAAGTGGTCCATTTTCAGTTTCTGGCATATGGCTATCCAATTTTCCCAACACCACTTATTAAATAGGAAATCCTTTCCCCATTGCTTGTTTTTGTCAGATTTGTAAAGGTCTGATGGTTGTAGATGTGTGATGTTATTTCTGAGGCCCCTGTTCTCTTCCATTGGTCTATATATCTGTTTTGGTACCAGTACCATGCTGTTTTGGTTACTGTATCCTTGTAGTATAGTTTGAAGTCAGGTAGTGTGATGCCTCCACCTTTGTTCTTTTGGCTTAGGATTGTCTTGGCTATATGAGATTTTTTTTTTTTTTGTTCCGTATGAAATTGAAAGTAGTTTTTTCTAGTTCTGTAAAGAAAGTCAAGTTTTCTAGCTCTGTAAAGTTAATCATGTGGTTTTTGTCTTTGGTTCTGTTTTGTGATGGATTATGTTTATTGATTTGTGCATGTTGAACCAGCCTTGCATCCCAGGGATGAAGCCAAATTGATCATGGTGGATAAGTTTTTTGATGTGCTGCTGGATTCAGTTTGCCAGTATTTTATTGAGGATTTTTGCATTGATGTTCATCAGGAATATTGGCCTGAAGTTTTCTTTTTTTGTGTATATGTCTCCTCCTGGTTTTGGTGTCAAGATGATGCTTGCTTCATAAAATGAGTTAGGGAGGAGTGCCTCCTTTTCAATTGTTTGGAATAGTTTCCGAATGAACATTACCAGCTCCTCTTTGTACCTCTGGTAGAATTTGGCTGGGAATCCATCTGGTCCTGGGCTTTTTTTGGTTGGTAGGCTATTAATTACTGCCTCAATTTCAGAACTTGTTATTGGTCTATTCAAGGATTCAACTTCTTCCTGGTTTAGACTTGGGAGGGTGTATGTGTCCAGGAATTTATCCATTTCTTCTAGATTTTCTAGTTTACTTTCATAGAGGTGTTTATAGTATTCTCTGAGGATAGTTTGTATTTCTGTGGGATCAGTGGTTATATCCCCCTTATCATTTTTTATTGTGTCTATTTGATTCTTCTCTCTTTTCTTCTTTATTATTCTGAATAGAGGTCTCTTTTTTATTCTTTTTTTTTTTTTTTTTTTTTTTGACAGAGTCTCGCTCTGTCTCCTGGGCTGTAGTACAGTGGCGTGATCTGCAAGCTCCACCTCCCAGGTTCATGCCATTCTACCACCTCCGCCTCCTGAGTAGCTGGGACTACAGGCACCTGCCACCACACCCAGCTAATTTTGTTTTTTGTATTTTTAGTAGAGACGGGGTTTCACCGTGTTAGCCAGGATGGTCTCAATCTCCTGACTTCGTGATCTGCCCATCTCAGCCTCCCAAAGTGCTGGGATTACAGGTGTGAGCCACTGCACCTGGCCTGGTCTATCTATTTTGTTAATCTTTTCAAAAAAACAGCTCCTGTATTCAATGATTTTTTGAAGGTTTTTTTTTGTTTCTAACTCCTTCAGTTCTGCCCTGATATTAGCTATTTCTTGTCTTCCTCTGGCTTTTGAATTTGTTCAGTCTTGCTTCTCTAGTTCATTGAATTGTGATGTTAGGGTGTTGGTTTTAGATATTTCCCACTTTATCCTGTGGGCATTTAGTGCTATAAGTTTGCCTCTAAGCACTGCTTCAGCTGTGTCCCAGAGATTCTGATACATTGTCTCTTTTTTCTCATTGGTTTCAAAGAACTTTTTATTTCTGCATTAATTTTGTTATTTACTCAGTAGTCATTCAGGAGCAGGTTGTTCAATTTCCATGTAGTTGTGCCGTTTTCAGTGTGTTTCCTCATCCCGAGTTCTAATTTGATTGAACTGTGGTCTAAAATGCTGTTTATTATGATTTCCATTCTTTTGCATTTGCTGAGTAGTGTTTTACTTCCATATATGGGGTCAATTTTAGAATAAGTGTGATGTGGTGCTGAGAAAAATTTATATTCTGTTGATTTGGGGTGTAGAGTTCTGTAGATGTCTATTATGTCCACTTGGTCCAGAGCTGAGTTCAAGTCCTGAATACCGTTGTCAATTTTTTGTCTCGTCGATCTGTCTAATATTGATGGGGGGTGTTAAAGTCTCCCACTATTATTGTGTGGGAGTCTAAGTCTCTTTGTAGGTCTCTAAGAACTTGCTTTATGAATCTGGTTGCTCCTGTATTGGGTGCATATATACTTAGCATAGTTAGGTCTTCTTGTTTCATTGATCCCTTTACCATTGTGTAATGTGCTTGTCTTTTTTGATCTTTGTTGGTTTAAAGTCTGTTTTATCAGAGACCAGGATTGCAACCTCTGCTTTTTTTTTTCTTTCCATTTGCTTGGTACATATTCCTCCATCCCTTTATTTTGAGCCTATGTGTGTCTTTGCATGTGAGATGGGTCTCCTGAATACAGCACACCAATGGGTCTTGACTCTGTATCCAATTTGCCAGTGTGTGTATTTTAATTGGGTCATTTAACCTGTTTACATTTAAGATTAATATTCTTACGTATGAATTTGATCCTGTCCTTATGATGCTAGCTGGTTATTTTTCCCTTTAGTTGGTGCAGTTTCTTCATAGTGTCAATGGCCTTTACAATTTAGTATGTTTTTGCAGTGGCTGGTATGGGCTTTTTTTTTTCTTCCATATTTAGTGCTTCCTTCAGGACCTCTTGTAAGGCAGGCCTGGTAATGATAAAACCCCTCAGCATTTGCTTGTCTGTAAAGGATTTTATTTTTCCATCAGTTATGAAGCTTAGTTTAGTTGGACATAAAATTCTGGGTTGAAAATTCTTTTCTTTAAGAATGTTGAATATTGGCCCCCACTCTCTTCTTGCTTGTTGGGTTTCTGCAGAGATATCCATTGTTATTCTGATGGGCTTTCCCTTGGGGGTAACTCGACCTTCCTCTCTAGCTGCTCAAAAAATTTTTTCCATCTTTTCAACCTTGGTGAATCTGGCAATTATGTGTTTTGGGGTTGCTCTTCTCGAGAAGTATCTTTGTGATGTCCTCTGTATTTCCTGAATTTGAATGTTGGCCTGTCTTGCTAGGTTGGGGAAGTTCTCCTGAATAATATCCTGAAGAGTGCTTTCCAACTTGATTCCATTCTCCCCATCATTTTCCGGTACAGCAATCAAACGTAAGTTTCATCTTTTACATAGTCCCATATTTCTTGGAAGCTTTGTTCATTCCTTTTTATTCTTTTTTCTCTAGTCTTCTATTCACGCTTTATTTCATTAATTTGATCTTCAATCTCTGATATCCTTTCTTCTGCTTGATCAATTGGGCTGTTGATACTTCTGTGTGCTTCATGAAGTTCTCGTGTTGTGTTTTTCAGCTCCATCAGGTCATTTATGTTCTTTTCTAAACTGGTTATTCTAGGTAGCAATTCCTCTAGCCATTTTTCAAAGTTCTTAGCTTGCTTGCATTGGGTTAGAACATGCACTTTTAGCTCAGCGGAGTTTGTTATTACCCATGTTCTGAAGCCTACTTCTGTCAATTCATCAAACTCATTCTCTGTACAGTTTTTTTTCCCTTGCTGGCAAGGAATGGTGATCCTTTGGAGAGAAGAGGAATTCTGGTTTTTGGAATTTTCAGACTTTTTGCGCTGGTTTTTCCTCATCTTCATGGATTTATCTACCTTTGGTCTATGATGTTGGTCACCTTCGAATGGGGTTTTTGTGTGGACGTCCTTTTTGTTTATGTTGATGCTGTTTTTTTCTGTTTGTTAGTTTTCCTTCTAACAGTCAGGACCCTCTGCTGCAGGTCTGCTGGAATTTGCTGGAGGTCCAGTCCAGACCCTGTTTGCCTGGGTATCACCAGAAGAGTCTACAGAACAGCAAAGATTGATGCCTCTTCCTTCTTCTGGAAGATCTGTCCCAGAGGATCACCCACCAGATGCCAGCCGGTGCTCTCCTGTATGAGGTGTCTGTTGACCCCTGCTGGGAGGTGTCTCCTCACCAGGAGGCACAGGGGTCAGGGGCCCACTTGAGGAGGCAGTCTGTCTTTTAGCAGAGTTCGAGCACTGTGCTGGTAGATCTGCTGCTGTCTTCAGAGCCAGCAGGCAGGAATGTTTAGGTCTGCTGAAGCTGCACTTACAGCTGCCCCATCCCCCAGGTGCTCTGTACCAGGGAGATGGGAGTTTGATCTATAAGCCCCTGACTGGGGCTGCTGTCTTTCTTTCAGAGATGCCCTGCCCAGAGAGGAGGAATCTAGAGAGGCAGTCTGGCTACAGGGCTTTGCTGAGCTGTGATGGGCTCCGCTCAGTTTGAACTTCCCAGAGGCTTTGTTTACACTGTGAGGGGAAAACCACTACTCAAGCCTCAGTAATGGCATTCCCCCCTCGCCTCACCAAGCTCAAGCATCCCAGGTCAACTTCAGACTGCTGCACTGGCAGCGAGAATTTTAAGCCAGTGGATCTTAGCTTGCTTGGCTTAGTGGTAGTGGGATCCACTGAGCTAGACCTCTTGGCTCCCTGGCTTCAGCCCCCTTTCCAGGGGAGTGAATGGTTCTTTCTCACTGGCATTCCAGGTCCCAATGAGGTATGAAAAAAATCTCTGGCAGCTAGCTCAGTGTCTGCCCAACCAGCCACCCAGTTTTGTGCTTGAAGCCCAGGGCCCTGGTGGTGTAGGCACCTGGGGGAATCTCTTGGTCTGTGGGTTCTGAAGACCATGGGAAAGTATAGTAGCTGGGCTGGAATGCACTGTTCCTCACAGCACAGTCCCTCACAGCACAGTCCCTCACAGCTGCCTTTGGCTAGGAGAGGGTGTTCCCCTATCCCTTGTGCTTCCCAGGTGAGGCAATGCCCCACCCTGCTTCAGCCCACCCTTTGTGGGCTGCACCCACTGTCTAACCAGTCCCAATGAGATGAGCTGTGTACCTCAGTTGGAAATACAGAAATCAACCATCATCTCCATTGATCTCACTAGGCACTACAGACTGGAGCTGTTCCTATTCGGCCATCTTGCCAGCCACCTATTTCTGCTCTTTGTTTTTTTTTTATTTTTTTAATCAATTTTTCCATAGCATTTGGTGTTGTTAAAATTGGTATCACTCCTTGAAACTGGTTTTATGTCTTTTAGAGGTATTCAAAAAGTCTCAACCATAACTTCTTCACATAATGCTTCTCCTTTTTCACTCTCATTTCCTTTGATAATCTATTTATACCTACGTGATACAGTTTGGGTGTTTGTCCACTCCAAATCTCATGTTAAAATGGGACCTCCAATGGTGAAGGTATGCCTAGTGGGATGTGTTTGGATCACAGGGTAGGATACCTCCTGAATGGCTTGTTGCTTTCCTCATGGTAATGAGTGAGTTCTCATGCTATGAGTTCACATAAGATCTGGGTGTTTAAAAGAGCCTGATAGCTCCTCCCTCTCTCTCTTTCTCATTCTTGCCATGCTGTGTGCCTGCTCCCTGCTTCACCTTCAACCAGGATTGTAAGCTTCCTGAGGCTCTCACCAGAAGCAGATGCCAACATCATGATTTCTGTATAGGCTGTAGAACTGTGAGTCAAAATAAGCCTCTTTTCTTTATAAATTACCCAATCTCAGATACTCCTTTATAGCAAGGCAAATGGACTAATACACTATGCTAGACCTTTTCACTGTTTTTCATACATCTCTTATTCTCTCTAGTTACCACTTTTCTTTATCTAGCCTTCTTTGTTAATTGTGTTTTAGATTCAGAGGGTACATGTTCAGGTTTGTTATAAGGTTATGTCATGTGAATCTGAGGTTTGGGCTTCTATTGTTCCCATCACCAAAATAGTAAACATAGTACTCAATAGGAAGTCTTTCAGCCCTTGACTCCCCCTTCCCTTCTCCTTTTTTGAGTACCCAGTGTCTGTTGTTCCCATCTTTATGTTCATGTGTATCTAATGTTTAGCTCCCACTTATAAGAGAGAATATGCAATATTTATTTTCCTGTTTCTGTGTTAGTTTGCCCAAGATAATGGCCTCAAGCTGCATCTATGCTGCTGCAAAGAACATGATTTTGTTCTTTATTATGGCTGCATAATATTCCACAATGTATTTGTACCAAAATTTTTTAACCCAATTCACTGTTAATGGGGACCTGGTTTGATTCCATGTCTTTGCTTTTATTTTCATTTGTTTATGTTATCTGTGATTTCTTTTAGCAATGTTATGTAGTTTTTTTGTAGAGATTTTTCACCTCCTTAGTTAGATCTATTCCTAGCCATTTTATTTTTTGTGGCTATTATAAATGGAATTGCATCTTTCATTTAGCTCTCAGCTTGAATATTACTCATGTAGAGAAATGCTACAGATTTCTGTATGTTTATTTTGTATGCTGAAACTTTATTCAACTTGTTTATCAGGTCTATTAGTCTTTCAGGAGTCTTTTGGACTTTCTAGCTATAGACTCATACTGTCAGCAAAGAGAGATTATTTGACTTCTTCTTTTCCTATTTGGATGCCTTTTATTTCTTTCTCTTGACTAATTGCTCTGCTATCATTTCCAGTACTCTGTTGAATAGGAGTGGTGAAAGTGGACATCCTTGTCTTTTTTGCAGTTCTTAAAGAGGATTCTTCCAACTTTTGCCTGTTCAGTATTATGTTGCCTCTGGGTTTGTCATAGATAGCTCTTCGTGTTTTGAGGTATGTTCCTTCAGTGCCTAGTTTGAATGCTTTTATCATGAAGGGATGCTGGATTTTATTGAAAGATCTTTCTGCATCTATTGAGATGATCACATGGTTTTTTTTTTAAATCTGTTTATATGGTAAATCACATTTATTGATTTGTGTATGTTGAAACAAACTTGCCTCCCAGGAATAAAGGCCACTTGCTTGTGGTCCATTAACTTTTTGTTGTGCTGCTGAATTTGGTTTGCTAGTATTTGGTTGAGGGATTTTGTGTCTATGTTCATCAGGGATATTGGCCTCTAGTTTTCTTTTTCTGTTGAGTCTTTGCCAGATTTTAATATCAGAATAATACTGGTTTTGTAGAATCAGCTAGCGAGAAATATTTTCTCTTCAATTTTTGGGAATAGTTTCAGTAGGATTTGTACTAGCTCTTCCTTGTATATCTGTTATAATTTAGCTGTAAATCCATCTGGTTTAGGACTGGTTTTAGTTGGTAGGTTTTTAATTTACTGATTCAAGTTTGGAAATTGTTATTGGTCTGCTCAGAGTTTCAATTTTTTTTCTGATTCAATTTTGGGAGGTTGTGTTTTACCAGGAATTTATCGACTTCCTCTAGATTTTCTATTTTGTGTGCATAGAGGTGTTCATAATATTCTCCAAGGATCTTTTGTATTTCTGTGAGATAGGTTATAATGTTAACGTTGTCATTTCTGATTGTGCTTGTTTTGATCTCTAAATTTTTCTTTGTGCACCTAGCTAGTAGTCTATTGATCTTGTTTATTCTTTCAATTAATCAACTTTTTGTTTCATTGACCCTTGGTAGTTTTTTTCTCAATTTCCTTTAATTCTGTTCTGGTTTTTGTTATCTCTTTCCTTTTGGTAGCTTTGCGATGCTTGTTCTTGTTTTTCCAGTTGCTTTAGGTGCAGTGTTAGGTGGTTAATTTGAGATCTTTCTATCTTCTGACTGTAGGCATTTAATGCTATAACTTTTCTGTTAACACTGCTTTTGCCACATCCCAGAGGTATTTGTATAATGTATCTCTATTTTCATTTGTTGTGAAAAGTTTTTTAATTCTTCCTTAAATTCATTTTTTACTCAAAAGTCATTCAGGGTCAAGTTGTTTAGATTCCATATAATTGTGTGTTTTTTAGAGTTCCTCTTGGTACTGATTTCTATTTTTACTCTACAGTGGTCCAAAAGGATGGTTGGTATAATTTTAATTTTTTTAATTTATTGAGATTTGTTTTACATCAAGCATGTAGTTAGTCTTATAGTATATTCCATGTACTGGTAAGAAGAATGTATATTTTGTGGTTGTTGGGTGGATTATTCTGTAGATATCTATTAGATCCAATTGGTCAAATGTCAAATTTAGGTCCAGAGATTCATTGTTAGTTTTCTGATTCTGTCAGTGGGGTACTGAAGTCTCCTACTATTATTGTCTGGCTGTCTAAGCCTCCTCCAAAGTCTAGAAGTAACTTATTAATCTTGGTGCTTTCAATGTTGGGTGCATATATATTTAGTATAGTTAAATCTTCTTGTTGGATTGAACCATTTATCATTATGTAATGTATTTCTTCTTTTTCACTGTTGTAAGCTTAGCATTTGTTTTATCTGATACAAAAATAATGACTCCTACTTTTCTTTGTTTTCCACTTGTGTAATAAATATTTCTCTATCCTTTTACTTTGAGCCTATGGGTATTATTACATGTGACATGGGTCTATTGAAGACAGCAGAAGGATGGGTCTTGTTTTTTAATTTAATTTTCCACTTTATGTCTTTTATGTGGAGGGTTTAGATCATTTACATTCAAGGTTAATATTGATATGTGAAGATTTGTTTTTGTCATAGTGTCATTAGCTAGGTGCTTTGTAGTCTCAATTATGTAGTTACTTTATAGTGTCCGTGTGCTGTGTGCTTCTGTGGTAGTGAGTATCATTCTTTCATTTCCATGTTTAGAACTCCCTTAAGCATCTTCTGTGGTACCAAACTGGTGGAGATGAATTCCCTTAGTAATTACTGGTCAGGGAAAGGCTTTTTTACTCCTTCATTATAAAGCTCAGTTTGGCAGGATGTAAAATTCTTGGCTGTCCTTTTTTTTTCTTTAAAAATGGTAGAAATGGACACCCAATATTTTCTAGCCTGTAAGTTTTCTGTTGAGGAGTCTGCTATCAGTCTGAGGGGTTTTCTTTTATACATAATATGACCTTTTTTTCTGGCTGCCTTTAAGATTTTTTTCTTTCTTGTTGACCTTGGATAGTCTGATGACTATATGCCTTGGGGTGTCTATGCTTCTGTTTGAGTACTTTCTACTGACTTATCTTCTAGTTCACCAGTCCTCTAATTATCCATACGTTACATGCTGTTAAACCAATTACTAAGTTCTTAATTTTAGTTATTGCATTTTCATTTCTGAAGTGTCCATTTTGATGCCATTGTATATTTAATTTCTCTATTGAAATTCTGTATTTTGTTATATATTTTGTTGAATGTATAATCATGTTACTTAAGGTCCAACTGTGATCGTTGCAAATATAGATCTACTGTGAGTCTGTTTTCTATCTATTCTTTTCTTTTAATCTTGTCTCCATGTGCATTGGTAACTTTTTTATTGATTGCTAGGCATTGAAAAACTACAGAGGCTCTGGATGATATTACTTCTGTATCTCACAGACCAGACAGGTAGACTAGAAGCAAGTCACTTTAATTCAGTTTGGGATTAAACTGGTTTGAAATTGTGTTTCAGTATTCATTAAAACTGGTCTATTTTCAGTTCACTGTTATTCCTAGGAGCCAGACTTCACGCGTCCCATCTGAAAATATGAGGGGTTCATCAAGGCCTCTCAAACTTAATAGGTTTTTGAAGCAAAAAAAAATTCTTTTGCTCTGTAAACTGTCGAAGTTCTGTTCACCTGCTCAACCCCTTAGTTGTGGCTTTGACCAAGATTCCAACTTCTTAGCTTTGTGCCAGTTACAAATTAGTAAAGGCCTTCAGAGAAAAAAAGTCGTACAAATTTCAGACTTATTTTGTGCTTTTATTTCTTGAAGATCTTGTCTACTCAAATGCTGGTGGCCACCATGGAAGCTTTACAATTTATTTATATTTATTTTTCCCCATAATCATGTTTATTTTAACAATTTTATTTGCTTTCTTTCAGATAGGATTAAACTTTCTGTAAATTTAAGTTTATAAAATAAAACTAATATGTTGATTAATTTTTAACATAGTTTTATAAATATATGACTTTTTCATTTTAAAATATTGGTTTTCTTATTTCAATATTTGTCAAAATTTTAGAATTACAAGATATTTATTTGATAGAATCATTTAGTTTTCTTTGATGTAAAGTTCTTTGATGTAAAGTTTCTTTGATGTAAAATTCTTTGATGTAAAGTTCTAAATTTTATGATGGTAAAAAACAAATAACATGAGAACTACTCTTAAAAAATTTTAAGTATACAATACAGAATTTTTTACTATATGCACATTGTACAGCAGACATCTAGAACTTTTTTATCTTGCATAACTGAAACTCTACACCCATTGAACGCACTTCTCTGTTTTTCTTTTTCCCCAACACCTGGCAACTATTGTTCTATTTCCAGTTCCTATAAGTTTGACTACTTTAGATACCTTATGCAAGTAGAATCACGCAGGAATTGTCTTTCTGTGACTGGCTTATTTCACTTAGAATAATATACTCAAGGTTTATCTGTGTTGTAGCATATCATAAAATTTCTTTATTTTTAAAAGATAAATAATATTTCATTTTATGTATATAGCACTTTTTGAAAATCCATTCTTCCATTGATAGACATTTAGTTTTTATCTTTTGACTATTGTGAATAATGCTAAAATAAATATGCATACAAATATATCTTTGAATCCTGATTTCAATTATTTTGGATACCTGAAAATGGGATTGCTGGATCACATGGTAATTCTACCCTATTTTTTTTAAGCCTTCATGTTATTTTCGGTAGTGCTGGGACTATTTAACATTTCTACCAGCAGTACTTAAGGGTTTCAGCTTCTCCACCTTCTCACAATACTAGCTATTATTATTGTTAATAATGACTTTCATAAAGGTTATGAGGTGATATCTCATGTGGCTTTAATTTGCATTTCCCTGATGATTAGTAATATTGAGCATATTTCTGTTTGCCTTTGGCCACTTTATATGTCTCCTTTGGAGAAATGTCTATTCAAGTCCTTTGCCTATTAATTAAATCATTTTTTTTGCTATAGACTCATACTTCCTTATGTATTTTGCATATTAACCCTTATCAGATATATTGTTTGTATATATTTTATTCCATTCCATAAGTTGCTTTTTTACTCTTAATAGTTTAAATGCTTTTGAGTATGGTGTAGTTCTACTTGCCTATTTTTGCTTTTCTTGTCTATATCATTGGTATCATATCCAAAAATTTATTGCCAAAACCAATGGTATAAAGCCTTTCCTCCAATGCTTTCTTCTAGGAATTTTATACTTTCAGGTCTTAAGTTTAAGTCTTTAATCTATTTTGAGTTCTAATTGACAAATAGGATCTAATTAAACTAAAGAGCTTCTGCGCAGCAAAAGAAGCTGCCATCACAGTGAACAGACAACCTCCAGAATGGGAGAAAATTTTTGCAATCTACTCATCTGACAAAGGGCTAATATCCAGAATCTACAAAGAAACAAATTTCGAGAAAAAAACAACCCCATCAAAAAGTGGGCAAAGGATATAAACAGACACTTCTCAAAAGAAGACATTTATGCAGCCAACAGAAACATGAAAAAATGCTCATTATTACTGGCCATCAGAGAAATGCAAATCAAAACCACAATGAGATACCATCTCACACCATTTAGAATGGCAATCATTAAAAAGTCAGGAAACAACGGGTGCTGGAGAGGATGTGGAGAAATAGGAGCACTTTTACACTGTTGGTGGACTGTAAACTAGTTCAACCATTGTGGAAGACAGTGTGGTGATTCCTCAAGGATCTAGAGCTAGAAATACCATTTGACCCAGCCGTCCCATTACTGGATATATACCCAAAGGATCATAAATCATGCTGCTATAAAGACACATGCACACGTGTGTTTATTGCAGCACTATTCACAATAGCAAAGACTTGGAACCAACCCAAATGTCCAACAATGATAGGCTGGATTAAGGAAATGTGGCACATATACACCATGGAATACAAGGCAGCCATCATAAAGGATGAGTTCATGTCCTTTGTAGGGACATGGATGAAGCTGGAAACCATCATTCTGACCAAACTATCGCAAGGACAGAAAACCAAACACCGCATGTTCTCACTCATAGGTGGGAATTGTGCAATGAGAACACTTGGACATAGGAAGGGGAACATCACACATGGGGCCCTGTCGTGGGGTGGGGGGAGGGGGGAGGGATAGCATTAGGAGATATACCTAATGTAAATGATGAGTTAATATGTGCAGCACACCAACATGGCACATGTATACATATGTAACTAACCTGCATGTTGTGCATATGTACCCTAGAACTTAAAGTAACAACAACAACAACAAAAATTGACCAGCCTTCTTGGAGGTTCTGAAAGTTAATCATTTCAGGGAATATGAACATACAATGGAACACTGGCCCAAGAACATTTTAAAAATTTCTTCTTATTATATCAATAATAATCAGTTGCAATTTGATCCCTGAAAAAAAAATTAAAAAAATTAATACTGAATCTCTTATATCTTAGATATTTTTCATTCAATCACTCCGTCTTTTGAATGGATAAATCAATCCATTTACATTTATAGTTACTGATAGAAAAATCCTTACTCTTGCAATTTTAATTGTTTTCTGTATGTCTGATACCTTTTCCTCTCTTGCTTTCTTCTTTTGTGTTCTGTTGATTTTTGTAAAAAAAAAATTTATTTTTTCTCTGTCTTTATTTTATTTATTTTATTTTATTTTATTTTATTTTATTTTATTTTATGTTCAGAAGGTACATGTGTATGATTGTTACATAGGTATATTGCATGTTGGTGGGAACTGGGCTTCTTACATACCCATTAACCAAATAGTGAACATAGTACCCAATAGGTAATTTTTCAAACTTATCCCACCTAATGTCCTCCCTTTTTGTGGAGTCCCCATTGTCTATTATTTCAAACTTTATGTCCATATATATCCATTGTTTAGCTCCCACTTATAAGTGAGTATATACAGTGTTTCATTTTGTGTTTCTGGGTTTGTTCACTTAGGAGCCACCAGTTCCATCCATGTTGCTGCAAATTACATGATTTCATTCTTTTTCATGGCTGTGTAGTATTCCATGGTGTATACATACCACATTTCCTTTATTCAGTCAATGTTAATGGACTCTTAAGTTGGTTCCATGACTTTGCTATTGTGAATAGTGCTGCAATTAATATATGAGTACTTGTGTCTTTTATGTATGATGATTTCTTTTCCTTGAGTAGATGCCCAGTAGTGGGATTGCTGGATTAAATGATAGTTCTATTTTTAGTCCTTTGAGAAATCTTCATACTGTTTTCCACAGACGTTGAACTAATTTACATTCCCACCAACAGTGTATAAAGGTTTCCTTTTCTCTGTATCTGTGCCAATATCTGTTGTGTTTTGAATTTTTAATAATAGCTATTTTCACTGGTATAAGATGACATTACATTGTAGGTTTTAATTTACATTCGTCTAATGATTAGTGATGTTGAGCATTTTTTCATGCATTAGTTGGCCATTTGTATTTCTTTAGATAAATGTCTGCTCATGTCCTTTGTCTGATTTTTAATGGGGTTGTTTTTCTCTTGTTCAATTGTTTGAGTTTCCTGTAGATTCTAGATATTAGTTTTTTGTTAGAGGCATAATGTGCAAATGTGTTCCCCCATACAGTAGATTGTTTACTGTGTTGATCATATCTTTGTTGTGCAAAGCTTTTTAATTTAATCCAGTCCCATTTGTCTATTTTTATTTTTATTGACTATACTTTTGAGGTATTAGTCATAAATTGTTTTCATAGACCAATGTTCAGGAAAGTTTTCCCTAGGTTTTTTCTAGTATATTTATAGTTTGAGGGTCTTAATATTTAAGTTTTTATTCATTTGGAGTTGATTTTTGTATATGGTGAGAGATAAAGGGTCCAATTTCATTCTTCTGCATATGGTTGGCCAATTTTCCCAGCACCACTTATTGAATAGACTGTCCTTTACTCATTGTTTATTTTTGTCAACTTTGTCAAGATCAGTTGGTTGTAGGTGTGTGGCTTCATTTCTGGGTTCCATATTTTGTTCTATTGATCTATGCCTCTATTTTTATAGTAGTACCATGCTATTTAGTTACTAGTTACTATTGCCTTATAGAATAATTTCAAATAACTTCAAGTTAGACAACGTGATGCTTCCAGGTTTGTTCTTTTTGCTTAGGATTGCTTTTTCCTTTTGGTCTCTTTTTTGGCTACCTTGGGATTTTTTCTAACTCTATGAAAAATGATGTTGGTGATTTGATAGGGATTACATTGAATCTGTAGATTGCTTTGGACAATATGGTCATTTTTACAATATTTATTCTTTCAATTCATGAGTATGGGATGTTTTTCCATTTATTTGTGTAATTTATGATTTCTTTCATTGGTGTTTTATAGTTCTCCTTGTGGAGATCTTTCACCTCCTTGGTTAAATTTATTCCTAGATAATTTTTGTACCTACTGTAAATGGGATTGTCTTCTTAATTTCTTTCTCAACTAGATCATTGTTGGTGAGTAGGAACGCTACTGATTTTTGTATATTGATTTTTGTACTGTCACTTTATTGAATTTATTTATCATATCTACGTTTTTTGGTGGAGTCTTTAGGTTTTTCTAGGTATAAAATCATATTGTCAGCAAAGAGGGACAATTTAACTTCCTCTCTTTCAATTTGGATGCCGTTTATTTCTTTCATTTGCCTGCCTGCTCTGTCTAGGACTTCCAGTACCATGTTGAATAGGAGTGGTGAAAGTCAGTATTCTTGTCTTGTTCCGGTTTTTAGGGAAAACGCTTTTAACTTTTCCCCACTCATTATGATGTTGCTTATGGGTTTGTCTTACATAGCCTTTGTTATTTTGAGGTATGTTCCTTCTATGCCTCGATGAGAGCTCTTATCATGAAAGAATGCTTTCTTTCATGCTATCAAATGCTTTTTCTGCATCTATTGAAGTGATCATTTGGTTTTTGTGCTTTGGTCTGTTGATGTGAATCACATTTATTGGTTTGGATATGTTGAACCATTCTTGTATTCCTTGTATGAATCCCGCTTGATCATGCTGCATTAACTTTGTGACGTGCTGTTGAATTTTGTTTACTAGTATTTTGTTGAAGATTCTTGTATCTGTGTTTATCAGAGATATTGGCCTATAGCTTTATTTTTTGTTGTTGTTTTGTCCTTGTCTGGTTTTGATATCAGGATGATGCTGGCCTCTTGGTTAGGGACATTTCCCTCCCCTTCAATTTTTAAATAGTTTCAAGAGGATTGGTATTAGTTCTTCTATGTAAAATTCTTAGAATTTGGCTGTGAATTCATCCAGTCTTGGGCTTTTCTTTGCTGGGAGATTTTTTATTCCTGATTCAACCTTACTACTCATAATTGGTATGTTTAGGTTTTCTATTTCTTCCTGATTCAATCTTGGTAGGTTGTACGTTACTGAGAACTTACCCACTTCCTCTAGGTTTTCCAGTTTGTCAGCATATAGTTGTTCATAACAGTTTCTGATGATCCTTTGTATTTCTCTGGTATCAGTTGTAATGTCTCCTTTATTATTTCTGATTTTATCTGAGTCTATCCTTCGTTCATCTAGTTAGTGGTTTATCAATTTTGTTTATCTTTGAAGAGTCAACTTTTCATTTTGTTGATCCTTTGTATTTTTTAGTCTCTATTTTATTTAATTTTTCTTTGATCAGTTTAATTTCTTTTCTTCTGCTTCTTTGCAGTTTGGTTTGTTCTTGCTTTTGTTATTCCTCGAGATGCACTGTTACATTGTTAATTTATAATCTTTCTACTTTTTAAAAGTAAATATTTATTGCTATAAGCTTCCTCCTTGGCCATGCTTTTGCTATATTCCACACATTTTGGTGTGTTGTCTTTCAGTTTTATTTGTTTCAAGAATTGTTTTGTAATTCCATCTTAATTTCTTTGTTGACACAATGGTCACTCAAAAGAATGTTGTTTAATTTCCATGTATTTCTATGGTTTCCAAAAGTGTGAAAATTCTCAAAGTAATATCCAACTTAATTCAACAGCACATTAAAAGTACTATATATTATTATCAAATGGGATTTATCCCTTGGATACAAGGATCATTCAACATATGCCAATAAATAAATGTGATATACCACATTAACAGAATAAAAGAGAAAGATCATATGATCCTCTCAATAAATGCAGAAAAAGCATTTGACAAACTCCAGCATTTCTTCATGAAGCAATTCTCAACCAACTGGGTATAGAAGAAATGCCTGTCAACATAATAAGGCCATGTATGACAAACCCACAGCTAGTATCACTCAACCATAAGCAGCAGAATGTTTTTTCTCTAAAATCAGGAACAAGACAAAAGTGCCCACTCTCACTTCTATTTGACAGAGTAGTCAAAGTCTTAGCCATAGCAACAGGAAAAAAAGAAATTAATTCCATCCAAATGTAAAAAGAAGTAAAATTGTCTCTACTTGCAGATGACATGATCTTGGATACAGCAAATTCTAAAGATCCAACAATAAATGTGTTGGAAATAAGCAAATTTAGAAAACTAGCAGGATGTAAAATCAACATAAAAAATCAGTGTATTTCTATACACTAATAACAAAATATCTGAAATTAAATTTCTAAAAAATCTTCTTTAAATATCATCAAAATAATAAAATATGTAGGAATATATTTAACCAAGGATTTGAAAAATCTGTACCTTAAAATTGTAAGACATTGATGAAAAAAATGAAGAATAGACACAAATAAATTTTAAAAGTCCTTTGTTCATAAATTGGAAAATAAATATTGTTAAAATGTTCATAATTCCCAAAGTGATATATGGACTCAGTACAATTCCTATCAAAATTTCAATGGCATTTTTCACAGAACTAGAATAAACAATTCTAAAATTAGTATGGAAACCACAAAAGATCTCAAAGACTCAAAGCAATCTTGAGAAAGAGAAAGCTAGAGCCTTCACACTTCCTGATTACAAATTATATTACAAAGCCACAGTAATCAAAATAATATGATATTGGCATTAAAAGCTGACACATAGACCAATGAAACAGAACTAAGAGCCCAGAGATAGATCCGCACATACACTGTTAACTAATATTTGATAAGGATACCAAGAATGCACCACGGCAAAAAGATAACCTTCAATAAATGGTATTTGGAAAACTGTATATCCACAGGCAAGTTAATAAACTTGGACTCTAAAACTCACAAAAAGCAACTAGAAATAAATTAAAAATATAAACATAAGACCAAGAACCATAAAACTTTTGGAAGACATTGGGTGGAGGGAAACACCTTCACATTGAGTTGGCAATTATTTTCGGATCCAACAGCAAAAGCACAAGCAGCAAGACAAAAATAAACAAGTGTAACTACATCAAACTAAAAAGCTTCTGCATAGCAAAGGAAACAGCAGAATGAAAAAGTAGCATATGAAATGGGAGAGAATATTTATGAAGCATATATCTGATAAGCAGTCAATATTCAAAATATATAAGAAACTCAAACATCTCAATAGCAAAAAAACAAACAAACAAACAGACAAACAAAAAAACAAATGATTTAAAAAATGGACAAAGGGGCTGAATAGACATTTCTCTAAAGAAGACATAAAAATGGCCAATAGATACATGAAAAGGTACTCAACTTTACTAATCATCAGGGAAATGCAAATTAAAAGATTTACCTCATACCTGTCAAAAAGAGATAAACAAGTGTTGGCAATGATGCAGAGACAATTGAAGCCTTTAACACTATTGGTGGAAATGTCAATTGTTATAGTCACTATGGGGAAGAGCATAGAGGCTCCTTCAAAAATTAAAAACACAACTGTCATATAATCCAGCAATCCCACTTCTGAATATATATCCAAAGGAAAGAAAATTAGTATCACACAGAGATACCTTCACTCTTATGTTCATTGCAGCATTATTCACAATAGCCAAGACCAGGGAACAATGTCTGTTTATGGATAAATTAATAAAAGAATTGCGAGACCCATATATAGAATAGAATATTTTCCCTAAAAAAGAAGTAACTCCTTGAATTTGTAACAATGTGGGTAAGCTTTGAAGGCATTGTGCTAAGTAAAATAAGCCAGACATAGAAAGGCAAATACTGCATGATGTTACTTATATGTGGAATCCCTGAATGCATTAGAAACAGAGTAGAATGGTGGTTACCAGTGTTTGGGGGTGAGGGAAATGGAGAGATATTGGCCAAAGGGTAAAAACAAACCCTACAGTTATAAGATGATTAAGTTCTGTAGACCTAATTTACAGCATGGTAACTCTAGTTAGTAATAATGTATTATATACTTGAAATTTGTTAAGAGAGTAGATCTTAAGTATTCTCACCACACAAAAAGGTAACTATGTGAAATAATAAATATGCTCATTAACTTGGTTGTGGCAATTATTTTAAAATGTATACATACATCAAATCATTACCTTCTATACCTGGGCTAAGCTGACTACCACTGTCTGACTGAAAACTCATTCTTAAGGTGACACACTTGAGAAAGGCTTAGGGGCCACAAGCTTATCTCCTGCTGAAGCTACTTCTACAAAGTCATCACTTATAAGCAGCTGAAGATTATCTCTTTCATAGGACCTTGCAAATGGCAAAAAGCAGCTAACACATACCAGTACCAGAGTTTTGGTCTCTATTAGCATGCGGTCTGGCTTTCGAAGTATCACTAGCAAAACCATTAACAAATATTCTTCCATAGCATAAATAGGGTTACTATCTTTCTAGCCTACAATTTTTGTGTTCTCTCTGCATGCTATTCACACACTAAATCCTATAACAGTGCCTCAACTCTCATACCAAATTCTATATTAATTAATTAATATATATAATGAGATTGATATAACAAAGATACCCCAAAATACAATAGATTAAAAAGATAGAAGCTTATTTCTCACATGAAATTAAGGTAAGTGGAAGGAGGAAGGTAGAGCAAGATGGTAAAATAGAATCCTCTAGCAATCATTCCCCCAACCCCACAGGAACACCAAATTGATTATCTACTAAAACAAACACAAACAAACAAAAACAAAAAACTCCTTTACAAAAACCAAAAATCAGTTGAGAGATCATAGTACTTATTTTTAACACCATATTAAGAAAAGAGGCAATGGAGACATGGCATGAAGACGGAATCTGTGCTTTCTGGGGAGGGAGAGTGCAGAGCTTGTGAGACTTTGCATTGAAATTCAGTGCTGCCCTGTCACAGTGGAAAACAACGTAGGCAGAACTCAGCCAGCATCCATGGTAGGAGATTTAGACCAGCCCTAATTAGAGGCAAATTGTACATCCCAGCAGTTGGAACCTGGTTTCCCACCAACTTTGCCACAGTGAACTAAAGTATTCTGGGATGCTAAATAAACTTGTATGGCAGTCGAGGCCACAAGGACTGCAATTCCTGTGCAAGTCCTAGTACTGTGCTGGGCTCTAACCCAGTGGACTTTGGGTACATATAAGTTAGTGAGACACAAGCTGGGGTGGCCAAGGGAGTGCTTGCATTACCCCTCCCTCAACACTAGGGAACACAGCTCACAGCTCTGGTAGAGACTCTTTCTCTCTGCTTGAGGAGAGGAGAGAGGAGAGTAAAGAGGACTTTGTCTCACAACTTGGATACCAGCTCAACCACAGTAGGATAAGGCACCGGGCAGAGTCTTGAGGTCCCCCATTCCCGGCCTTAGCTCCTGGATGATATTTTGAAACACATCCTGGGCCAGAATGGAACTCACTGCCTTCAAGGGAAGAACCCAGTTTTTGCAGAATTTATTATGAGCTGACTAAAGAGCCCTTGGGCCCTCAATAAGCAGCAGTGGTAGATGGGCAGTATTCACTGTGGGCATTGGGTAAGACTCAAAACCATGCTGACTTCATAACCAGCTGTGGTAGTTATGGGGAGAGACCTCTTCCACTTGGACAAAGGAGAGAGAAAAGGAAACTTTCTCTTGCAGTTTGGGTAACAGCTCGGCCACACTGGGGTCTTAGCTCCTGGATGGCATTTCTGGACCTGTCCTGGGACAGAGGAGAACCCATTACCCTGAAGACAGAGACTCAGTGAGGCAACAGAATAGGACCTGGAGACAGGGAACCTAAGGACTTCCTAGAATTAAATCAAATGGTAACACTTCAGCTATGAAAGGAAAAATATCCTCTTCATTTACACAGGGCATACAACAAGTAACAAATGGGAACCTCTAGAGGATATTTAATCCCCAGAAAATTCTGTAACTGGGCCCTTGAGCTGCTTGTCCGGGCTTGCTGAAGAGCCCTAAGGCCTCAAGTGAAAGTTGGTGATAGGCAGTACTAACTGTGGACCTGGCATGGTGGTGGCCAAGGGAGAGATGTCTCTGCTTGAAGAAAGGAGAGGAAACAGTGGGAAGGACTCTGTCTTGTGGCTTGTGTGTCAGCTCAGCCCCAGTAGAAGAGAGCACCATGTAGATTCCTAAGGTATCTGACTACATGCCCTGGTCCCAGACAGATTTCTGGGACACAGGCGGAACTGAGGAGAACTTGCTGCCCTGGAGGGAAGCACACAAACCTGGCTGGATTTGATAATTGCTAATTGTAGAGCTCTTGGGCCTTGAGTGAACATAGGCAGTGGTCACTGCAGGCTTTGAGCAAGATCCACTGTTATGCTGGTGTAAACCAAAAAGTATCTGAGACAAGTCTCAATCGAGTTAGAAAGTTTACTTTGCCAAGGTTAAGGACACATCAGTGAAACAGACTCAGGAGGTCCTTACGACATGTGCCTATCATGGTTGGGGTACAGCTTGCTTTTATACATTATAGGGAGACATAATAAATCAATCAATACATGTAAGATTTACATCGGTTCAATCTGGAAGGGCAGGACAACTTGAAACAGGGACTTCCAGATCAGAGATAGATTTAAACATATTCTCATTGGAAATTAGTTGAGTTGTTATCTAGAGAAAGGAATGTATGGGTTAAGATAAGGGTTGTAGAGACCTAGGTTTTATCATGCAGATGAAGGCTTCAAGTAGCAGGCTTTAGAGAGAACCGACTGTAAATGTTTCTAATCAGGCTTAAGGTCTTTTGTGTTGATATTAATGCTGGAGGAGTATAAAGAGACATGTCCAACCCCCACTTCCCATCATGTCCTGAACCAGTCTTTCAAGTTAAATTTTAGGGTGCCCTGGCTGAGAAGGAAAAATAAAATTTCACAGGGCCTTCAAATTTTATTTTTGGTTTACATTCTTTCACTTCTGGCCAAGAATTGCTACATCAATGGCCACCAAATTTTAATTTTGTTCCATAGTATTGCTAGGGTGGCATGCCTGCCTGCCCCAGGCCCATCCTGTCCTTCCGTGGAATTCTAAATCCCACTCCTTAGGGACTTAGAGTCAAAAAGATTTACAGCCAATTAATTGTTCTAGGCCAGATAGGAATGGACATGAACAGGCATTCATTACCCCTTAAATTTATTATTATTTTTTACGTAGAAAGCCAACAAACAAAAAGCCAAAGGCGAGGTTACAAAACTGACATTTTTAATTTATATGCTTTGAGTTACTCTAATCTTGGTTTTAGCTACAGACATATGGCAATTAACTATACAAAATATACATATTGTTCTGAAAAAATATTTTAAGAAAATATGTATCTATTGGGACAACTCCTAACTGGGAGTATTATGCTTAGGAGGCTTTGTCACAAGGTATCTTTATCTTATCAGGAATTATTTTCTTCTAATTCTGCAGGAAGCAGGAAATTCTTTATGGTTGGGTAGATGCAAAGGTGCCACATAATAATAGCTCAGGAGGCAAAGTCCCTTGTTTTGCAAGCAGTTTAAACATCTTTGTACCCATCCTTGATTTGGAGGGTCTGAGCTTGACCTAATTTTACCCCTCAAAAGCAGCCCTTACAATCTCACATGACTGCCTCTTTTGCATCGGTCCCTGGGTGAAGAGGGAAGGTGCTTATACAGTCTTAGCAGTAGTGCATTTGCAGTGAAAAACAGATCAGGCCCAGTGGGATACCAAATGAGGGAGATTCACCTTTCTGGTTTTCAGAATACGATGATGTTGGTTTCCTTGGAAGTAAAACACAGAGAAATAAATGACATTAATATTTTGACAATGAAAAGAGTATTTGCATGTCAGAACAGAAAAAGAAATCAATTCCATTAGGGTACCAACTAAAAATATAAAGAAAATTTATAATCTGGTACTCTCTAGGGGATAACTGTAGCCAAGAAATAATCCATGATTCAATCTGCACTGAAAGAAAACAAAACTTAGGGCTGAAATCTCGTATCAAGTGTTACACTTCTTCTTTGAAACAATTTCTTTTTCTCTCTAACCCTCCTTTTCTATTAAATAAAAATTACAGTAAGACCAATTTGTGTACAAAATACGTTTTAAGCTTATTATACTTAGTCTGATTATTCGCATAAGGTGCAGCAAGAATTGATTGGCTATGTAGGCTCCTCTTAAGTTGGCTTTGCTGGAACTTTACCCAAAAATGTGCTGTTTTAGTCAAAGTCTTAGTAAAATAACCAGTGTCTTCAATTGTTCTGTTCTAAAAGACTCTTACTAAATTTAGGCAAATAACTCTATTGTCACAAAATCACAATCTGGATTTTGGAGAACTCAGAGAGAAAAGTAAATTTGCTTACAAAACATATTTTACCCAAATGCTCTAAAATATAAATAAATTAAAAGAAAAACAAATTTGACCCTTCCTTAACCAGAGCAGCAGCCTTCCAAACAAGATGTTTATTCACTTTGGAACTGCCATTCACAAGCCAAACAGCTCAAGGGAGCTATCAAGTGCTATGGAATCTAGCAGCTCCTCACATAGTTAGAATCAGTACTAGGGAAAAAAGAGGTGCACTGCTCATGAGTATCTCCTCCTTTTATCCCCAGGTAACAAGAGCCTATGTAAACCATTTATATTTTATCATGGAACTCTTTTGGGCACCATTATTTTTATTAGCACAGGGGTAGCCTCAGTCAACATTCGATAGCGAGACAGTAAGTGCTGCTGAAGTGGAAATTTACCAGTCCAGTCGTTGTTATTGGGAAGTACTCACAGCCTTTTGCCATAAGCCCCAATAAATGCTCCACAAGAGGTTACAAAGCGGAGAATTTTTCCTGACTAGCATTCCAGCTTCTACCCTATATTTTTAGGCTCAGACAATCTTCTTAGTTTCCATTTAGTGTGTCCAGTGAACATTTCTCAAAAAGCAGATTTACAAATAGGGGAAACATCCCCTAGTTAGATGCAATACCCATTTTCATAAGACATTTTGGTAAAGGAATTACAATTACCTCACATAAACTCTTTTTAAATATCTCACATGTTATAATTCTATTAACTTGTATGTTTTTCATGTTGTGGTCCCAGGAAGTTTTCTACTCCCAGATCATTTTACCTTCTCTGGTGAAAAACAGTTTTGGGTTCCCAGCAGGGAGTGAGCCTAGGAATTTGGGCTCTGTTATAAATTTTTAACTTGATTTGGCTCAGCATTGCCTCAGGCAATGTCAGCAGTCTCATGATAACTTATGCCTTCTAATTTTTTTTTTTTTTTAATTTTCCGATTTGGGGTAAACAGTGAATAACCATCCAAAAATTTCTACTCCCCTTCTGGGGAAATTAATTTAACTCCCTTTTTCCGTTCCTTTTTTATTTTTATTTTTTTGTTGTTCATTATCCCCAATGCTTTAATAAGAAACTACAAGAACCATGAGAGACAGCAAATTTGATAAGGCTTCTCAAAGAGGCATATAATTCTGTGAGGGGGTAACCAAGTAAAAGGGGCCCACTTAAATTTATCATGACCTAATTATAGACATATTCTTTATTATTATTATTATTATTATTATTATTATTATACTTTAAGTTTTAGGGTACATGTGCACAGCATGCATGTTTGTTACATATGTACACAGGTGCCATGTTGGTGTGCTGCACCCATTAACTCATCATTTACATTAGGTATATCTCCTAATGCTATCCCTCTCCCTCTTCCCTGACCTCACAACAGTCCCCAGTGTGTGATGTTTCCCACCCTGTGTCCAAGTGTTGTCATTGTACAATTCCCACCTATGAGTGAGAATATGTGGCGTTTGGTTTTCTCTCCTTGTGATAGTTTGCTCAGAATGATGGTTTCCAGCTTCATCCATGTCCCTAAAAAGGACATGAACTCATCATTTTTTATACCTGCATAGTACTCCATGGTGTATATGTGCCACATTTTCTTAATCCAGTCTATTATTGATGGACATTTGGGTTGGGTACAAGTTTTTGCTATTGTGAATAGTGCTGCAATAAACATACATGTGCATGTGCCTCTATAGCAGCATGATTTATAATCCTTTGGGTATATATCCAGTAATGGGATGGCTGGGTCAAATGGTATTTCTAGTTTTAGATCCTTGAGGAATCGCCACACTATCTTCCACAATGGTTGAACTAGTTTACAGTCCCACTAACAGTGTAAAAGTGCTCCTATTTCTCCACATCCTCTCCAGCACCTGTTGTTTCCTGACTTTTTAATGATCACCATTCTAACTGGTGTGAGATGGTATCTCATGGTGGTTTTGATTTGCATTTCTCTGGTGGCCAGTGATAATGAGCATTTTTTCATGTGTCTGTTGGCTACACAAATGTCTTCTTTTGAGAAGTGACTGTTCATGTCCTTCACCCACTTTTTGATGGGGTTGTTTGATTTTTTTCTTGTAAATTTGTTTAAGCTCTTTGTAGATTCTGGATATTAGCCCTTTACAGATGGGTAGATTGTAAAAACTTTCTCCCATTCTGGAAGTTGCCTATTCACTCTGATGGTAGTATCTTTTACTATGCAGAAGCTCTTTAGTTGACTGAGATCCTATTTGTCAATTTTGGCTTTTGTTGCCAATGCTTTTGGTGTTTTAGACATGAAGTCCTTGCCCATGCCTATGTCCTGAATGGTATTGCCTAAGTTTTCTTCTAGGGTTTTTATGATTTTAGGTCTAACATTTAAGTCTTTAATCCATCTTGAATTAATTTTTGTATAAGATGTAAGGAAGGGATCCAGTTTCAGCTCTCTACATATGGCTAGCCAGTTTCCCCGCACCATTTATTAAATAGGGAAGCCTTTCCCCATTGCTTGTTTTTGTCAGGTTTGTCAAAAATCAGACGATTGTACATGGGTGGTATTATTTCTGAGGGCTCTGTTGTGTTCCATTGGTCTATATCTCTGTATTGGTACCAGTACCATGCTGTTTTGGCTACTGTAGCCTTGTAGTATAGTTTGAAGTCAGGTAGCATGATGCCTCCAGCTTTGTTCTTTTGGCTTAGGATTGACTTGGCAATGCGGGCTCTTTTTTGGTTCCATATGAACTTCAAGGTAGTTTTTTCCAATTCTGTGAAGAAAGTCATTGGTAGCTTGATGGGGATGGCATTGAATCTATAAATTACCTTGGGCAGTATGGCCACTTTCACCATATTGATGCTTCCTATCCGTGAGCATGGAATGTTCTTCCATTTGTTTGTGTCCTCTTGTATTTCGTTGAGCAGTGGTTTGTAGTTCTCCTTGAAGAGGTCCTTCACATCTCTTGTAAGTTGGATTCCTAGGTATTTTATTCTCTTTGAAGCAATTGTGAATGGGAGTTCAATCATGATTTGGCTGTCTGTTTGTTTGTTATTGGTGTATAGGAATGCTTATGATTTTTGCACATTGATTTTGTATCCTGAGACTTTGCTGAAGTGTGTATCAGCTTAAGGAGATTTTGGGCTGAGATGATGGGGTTTTCTAGATATACAGTCATGTCATCTGCAAACAGGGACAATTCGACTTCCTCTTTCCCTAATTGAATGCCCTTTATTTCTTTCTCCTGCCTGATTGCCCTGGCCAGAACCTCTAACACTATGTTGAATAGGAGTGGTGAGAGAGGGCATCCCTGTCTTGTGCCAGTTTTCAAAGGGAATGCTTCCAGTTTTTGCCCATTCAGTAAGATATTGGCTGTGGGTTTGTCATAAATAGCTCTTATTATTTTGAGATATGTCCCATCAATACCTAGTTTATTGAGAGTTTTTAGCATGAAGGGCTGTTGAATTTTTTCAAAGGCCTTTTCTGCATCTATTGAGATAATCATGTGGTTTTTGTCTTTGGTTCTGTTTATATGATGGATTATGTTTATTGATTTGCATATGTTGAACCAGCCTTGCATTCCAAGGATGAAGCCAAATTGATCGTGGCGGATAAGCTTTTGGATGTGCTGCTGGATTCAGTTTGCCAGTATTTTATTGAGGATATTTGCATCAATTTTCATTAGGGATATTGGTCTAAAATTCTTTTTTTGTTGTGTCTCTGCCAGACTTTGGTATCAGGATGATGCTGGCCTCATAAAAAGACGGGGATTCCCTCTTTTTCTATTGATTGGAATTGTTTCACAAGGAAAGGTACTAAATCCTTTTTGTACCTCTGGTACAATTTAGCTGTGAATCCGTCTGGTCCTGCACTTTTTTTGGTTGGTAGGCTATTAATTATTGCCTCAATTTCAGAGCCTGTTATTAGCCTATTCAGGGATTCAACTTCTTCCTGGTTTAGTCATGGGAGGGTGTATGTGTCCAGGAATTTATCCATTTCTTCTAGATTTTCTAGTTTATTTGCATAGAGGAGTTTATATTATTCTCTGATGATAGTTTGTATTTTCTGTGGAATCGGTGGTGATATCTCCTTTATCATTTTTATTGTGTCTATTTGATTCTTCTCTCTTTTCTTCTTTATTAGTCTTGCTAGTGGTCTATCAATTTTGTTGATCTTTTCAAAAAACCAGTTCCTAGATTCATTGATTTTTTGAAGGGTTTTTTTGTGTCTCTATCTCCTTCTGTTCTGCTCTGATCTCAGTTATTTCTTGCCTTCTGCTGGCTTTTGAATTTGTTTGCTCTTGCTTTTCTAGTTCTTTTAATTGTGATGTTAGAGTGTCAATTTTTGATCTTTCCTGCTTTCTCTTGTGGGCATTTAGTGCTATAAATTTCCCTCTACACACTACTTTGAATGTGTCCCAGAGATTCTGGTATGTTGTTTCTTTGTTCTCATTGGTTTCAAAGAACATCTTTATTTCTGTCTTCATTTTGTTATGAACCCAGTAGTTATTCAGGAGCAGGCTGTTCAGTTTCCATGTAGTTGAGTGGTTCTGAGTGAGTTTCTTAATCCTGAGTTCTAGTTTGATTGCACTGTGGTCTGAGAAACAGTTTGTTATAATTTCTGTTCTTTTACTTTTGCTGAGGAGTGCTTTACTTCCAACTATGTGGTCAATTTTGGAATAAGTGTGATGTGGTGCTGAGAAGAATGTATATTCTGTTGATTTGGGGTAGAGAGTTCTGTAGATATCTATTGGGTCTGCTTGGTGCAGAGCTGAGTTCAATTCCTGGATATCCATGTTAACTTTCTGACTTGTTCATCTGTGTATTGTTGACAGTGAGGTGTTAAAGTCTCCCATTATTATTGTGTGGGAGTCTAAGTCTCTTTGTAGGTCTCTAAGGACTTGCTTTATGAATCTGGGTGCTCCTGTATTGGGTGCATATATATTTAGGATAGTTAGCTCTTCTTGTTGAATTGATCCCTTTACCATTATGTAATGGCCTTCTTTGTCTCTTTTGATCTTTGTTGGTTTAAAATCTGTTTTTATCAGAGACTAGGATTGCAACCCCTGCTTTTTTTGTTTGTTTGTTTGTTTTCCATTTGCTTGGTAGGTCTTCCTCCATCCCTTTATTTTGAGCCTATGTGTGTCTCTAAATGTGAGATGGGTCTCCTGAATACAGCACACTGATGGATCTTGAGTCTTTATCCAATTTGCCAGTCTGTGTCTTCTAATTGGAGCTTTTAGCCCATTTGCATTTAAGGTTAATATTGTTATGTGTGAATTTGATCCTGTCATGAAGTTAGCTGGTTATTTTCCTCGTTATTTGATGCAGTTTCTTCCTAGCATCGATGTTCTTTACAATTTGGCATGTGTTTGCGGTGGCTGGTACCAGTTGTTCCTTTCCATGTTTAGTGCTTCCTTCAGGAGCTCTTGTAAGGTACGCTTGGTGGTGATAAAATCTCTCAGCATTTGCTTGTCTGTTAAGGATTTTATTTCTCCTTTACTTATGAAGCTTAGTTTGGCTGGATATGAAATTCTGGGTTGAAATTTCTTTTCTTTAAGAATGTTGAATATTGGCCCCCACTCTCTACTGGCTTGTAGAGTTTCTACTGAGAGATCCGCTGTTAGTCTGATGGGCTTCCCTTTTTGGTAACCCGACCTTTCTCTCTGGCGTCCCTTAACATTTTTTCCTTCATTTCAACTTTGGTGAATGTGATAATTATGTGTCCTGGAGTTGCTCTTCTTGAGGAGTATCTTTGTGGTGTTCTCTATATTTCCTGAATTTGAATATTGGCCTGCCTTGCTAGGTTGCGGAAGTTCTCCTGGTTATTATCCTGCAGAGTGTTTTCCAAGTTGGTTCCATTCTCCCCGTCACTTTCAAGTACACCAATCAGACTTAGATTTGGTCTTTTCACATATTCCCATATTTCTTGGAGGCTTTGTTCGTTTCTTTTTACTCTTTTTTCTCTAAACTTCTCTTCTCACTTCATTTCATTCATCTGATCTTCAATCACTGATACCCTTTCTTCCACTTGATTGAATTGGCTACTGAAGCTTGTACATGCATCACATAGTTCTCATGCCATTGTTTTCAGCTCCATCAGGTCATGTAAGGTCTTCTCTACACTGGTTATTCTAGTTAGCCATTTGTCTAATCTTTTTTCAAGGTTTTTAGCTTCTACACGATGGGTTCAAACATCCTCCTTTAGCTCGGGAAGTTTGTTATTACCAATCATCTGAAGCCTTCTTCTCTCAACTCATCAAAGTCTTTCTCTATCCAGCTTTGTTCTATTGCTGGCGAGGAGCTACGTTCCTTTGGAGGAGAAGAGGCACTCTGATTTTTAGAATTTTCAGCTTTTCTGAACTGGTTTCTCGCCATCTTTGTGGTTTTATCTACTTTTAGTCTTTGATGATAGTGACGTACAGATGGGGTTTTGGTGTAGATGTCCTTTCTGTTTGTTAATTTTCCTTCTAACAATCAGGACCCTCAGCTACAGGTCTGTTAGAGTTTACTGGATGTCCACTGCAGACCCTGTTTGCCTGGGTATCACCAGCAGAGGCTGCAGAACAGCAAATATTGCAGAATGGCAAATGCTGCTGCCTGATTGTTCCTCTGGAAGCTTCATCTCAAAGGGGCACACAGCTGTACGAGGTGTCAGTCGGCCCGTAGTGGGTGGTGTTTCCCAGTTAGGGTACTCAGGGGTCAGGGACCCATGTGAGGAGGCAGTTTGTCCATTCTCAGATCTCAAACTCTGTGCTTGGAGAACCACTTCTGTCTTCCAAGCTGTCAGACAGGGACGCTTAAGTCTGCAGAATTTTCTGCTGCCTTTTGTTCAGCTATGCCCTGCCCCCAGTGGTGGAGTCTACAGAGGCAGGCAGGCCTCCTTGAGCTGCAGTGGGCTCCACCCAGTTCGAGCTTCCCAGACTCTTTGTTTTCCTACTCAAGCCTCAGCAATGGTGGACGCCCCTCCCCCAGCTTCACTGCTGCCTTACAGTTCAATCTCAGACTGCTGTGTTAGCAGTGAGCAAGGCTTCATGGGTGTGGGACCCTCCAAGTCATGTGCAGGATATAATCGCCTGGTGTGCTGTTTGCTAAGACTGTTGGAAAAGTGCAGTATTAGTATGGGAGTGTCCTGATTTTCCAGGCACCGTCTGTCATGGCTTCCCTTGGCTAGAAAAGTGAATTCCCTGACCCCTTGCACTTCCCAGGTGAGGCAATGCCCTGCCCTGCTTTGGCTCACACTCCATGGGCTGCACCCACTGTCCAACAAGCCCCAGTGAGATGAACCTGGTGCCTCAGTTGGAAATGCAGAAATCACCCATCTTCTGCATTGCTCACACTGGGAGCTGGGAGCTGTAGACTGGAGCTGTCCCTATTCAGCCATCTTGGATGGTCACAGGCATATTCTGTAGGAGAATGTCCCAGTCATCATAAAGTCAGTCCCACATGGCTTGCATATGAAGCATATCAACTGCTTCACCTGGGGAGCTCCACTTGATATTTTTTAAGAAGAGTCAGGCAGTCCCCTTCTCAGGGTAACAGACCTTACTGTGGTGTAAATCCAGTCTACTAGCCTGGGTATTCTCTCAGGAATAACCACCTGTGCATTCATATTATATATGTTCATCAGTAATTGTTCAATGGTGAGCTGTAGGCCCTGCATCAACTCAAACATGCTGTTTCGTTCTGCAACACTTAAAATTGAGAATTCTGTCCTTAAAGTGTTTATTTTTACAATCCATTATAGTAAGGGTTTCTCAAGAAGCTGATGATATCTGATATGGTTTGGATTTCTGTCCCCACCCAAATCTCATATCAAATTATAATCCCCAATGTTGGAGGAGGGACGTGGTGAGAGGTAATTGTATCATAGGGGTGATTTTCCTCCTTGCTGTTCTTGTGATAGTGAGTAAGTTCTCTTGAGATCTGCTTGTTTAAAAGAGTATAGCACCTCCCACCATGATTGAAGTTTTCTGAGGCCTCCCTAGCCAGGCTTCCTGTACAGCCTGTGGAACTGTGAGCCAATTAAACCTCTTTTCTTTATAAATTACTGAGTATCAGGTAGTTCTTGATAGCAATATGAGAACAAACTAATACCAAAAAATGGTACTGGGAAGGGGGGCATGACCATAAAGATGCCTGAAATTGTGGAAGCAGCTTTGGAACTGGGTAGTGAAAAGGTTGACACAGTTTGGAGGGCTGAGAAGAAGACAGAAAGATGAGAGAATGTTTAGAACTTCGTAGAAACTTGCCGAATGGCTGTGACCAAAATGTTGATGGTGATATGGACAGTGAAGTCCAGGCTAAGGTAGCCTCAGATGGAGATGCGTAACTATTTGGGAACTGGAACAAAGGTCACTCTTGCTGTGCCTTAGCAAGGAGACTGGAAGGATTGTGCCCCTGGTCTAGGGATCTGTGGAGTTTTGAACGTGAGACAGATGATTTAGGGTATCTGGCAGAAGAAATTTTTAAGCAGTAAAGAATTAAAGATGTGGCCTGAGTGCTTCTAACACTATATTATCATATGTGTGAGCAAAGAGATAATCTGAACCTGGAACCTATATTTAAAAGTGAAGCAGAGCATAAAAGTTTAGAAAATTTGCAGCCTGACCATCTTGTAGAAAAAAAAGAAAGAAAAACCTGTTTTCAGGAGAGGAATTCCAGTCAGCTGCAGAAATTCACATAAGTAGAGGAGCCAAATATTGATAGCCAAGATAATGGGGAAAATGCCTTGAAGGCATTATAAAGACCTTTGTGTCAGCCCCTTCCATCACAGGATAGGAGGCCTAGGAGAGAAGAATGGTGTCCTCAGCTGGGCCCAGGTCACCAATGCCCTGTGCAGCCTCAGGAAATGTTGCCCTGCATCACGGTTGATCCAGCTCCAACCATGGCTAAAAGGGGCCAAGGTACAGCTTAGGCCATTATTTCAGAAGTTGCAAGCCATAAGCCTTGGTGGCTTCCATGTGGTGTTAAGTCTGCAGGTGCACAGAGTGCAAGAGTTGGGGCTTGAGAGCCTCTGCATAGATTTCAGAGGATGTATGAAAATGCCTGGATGTTCCAGGAAGAAGTTTGTTGCATGCAGCCCTCATGGAGAACCTCTACTAGAGGAGTGTGGAGGGAAAATGTGGGCTTGGAGCCCCCACAGAGAGTCCCCACTGGGGCACTGCCTGGTGGAGCTGTGAGAAAAGGGCCACCATCTTCCAGACTGCAGAATAGTAGATCCACCAGAAGCTTACACCATGCACCTGGAAAAACCACAGGCACTCAACGACATCCCTTCAGAGGAGCCATGAGAGCTGAGCCCTGTGGAGGCAGAGCTTCCCAAGGCCTTGGGAGCCCTCCCCTTGTATCAATGTGGCCTGGACGTGAGACATGGAGTCAAAGGAGATTATTTTGGGGCATTAATATTAATGGCTGCCCTGCTGGGTTCAGACTTGCCTGGGGCCTGTAGCCCTTTTTTTGGCTGATTTCTTCCTTTTGGAATGGGTATATTTACCTGATGCCTGTACCTCCATTGTATCTTAGAAATAAATAACTTATTTTTAATTTTTCAGGCTCATAGGCAGAAGGGACTTGCCTTGTCTTGATGAGACTTTGGACTATGAACTTTTGTGTTAATGCTGAAGTGAGTTAAGCCTTGGCAGACTGTTGAAAAGGGATAATCATATTTTTCAATGCGAGAAGGATATGAGATTTGGGAGGGGCCAGAGGTGGAATGATAAGATTTGGATTTGTGTCTCCACCCAAACCTCCTTTTGAATTATAATCCCCAGTGTTGGAGAAGGAGCCTGGTGGGTGGTGACTGGATCATGAGGGCAGATTTATCCCTTCCTGTTGCCATAACAATGAGTGAGTTCTCACAAGATCTACTTGTTTAAATGTGTATAGTGACTCACCCTTCACTCTCTTCCTCCTGCTCTGGTCATGTAAGATGTGCCTGCTTCCTCTTTGCCTGATAGCATGATTGTAAATTTCTTGAGGCCTCCCGAGCCATGCTTCCTGTACAGCCGGAAGAACCATGAGCCAATTAAAACACTTTTCTTTATAAATTATAGTCTCAGGTAGTTCTTTATAGCAATATGAGAGCAGACTAATACAATACCAATCTACAAAATGGAAAAATTCCTTTATATTATTGCCTCTGATTTTAATAGTTACTTGGTTCTGCCCTTCCCCGACAAACTATCTTATTGGTAACCACATGTCATAGAGGTAACTTTTGTTGCCCTGGTTTAATTTTTCCTTTTACCCATTTAGTTTTCTTTATATAATTTTTTATTTAATTTAAATTTACTCTTAAATATCTCTTAACTAGGAAAAAAATATATTTTCTTCAGCAAAAACCACATCCTTCTGTTTTATAACTTTACCAAAAACAACTATTATGCTCCTACTATTTTAATTCTTAGTAACCCAAATTCCCAGTGCCAGGAAATGAAACTCAGGTTACTTAATTTAACATAATATGACTTTAAGATTTTAAAATATTGCAGAGAATTTTGAAATTAAATTTACCTAATTAATCTTACCAAAGATTGCCAAAGTCATCTGAATTAAAAGGCATCTTAGCTAGCTTTTATCAGTCTGATAAGCCCTTAATTTTAAGTCAAATGATTTGAGCTCTGTCATAGAGTTTAATAGTGAAATATTACTTTAACATGACACATAAACATAGTTATAACAGACATGCAGACAAAAGCAGATCCAAAAGATTTTTTACTTGCCTGTTTTTAAAAATTTCCTTATTTACTTTGGATTATTAATAAATAAAATGTTACAATAAAAGTTGAAGGGGAGAGTTACCATCCCAGGTCTTCTCAAGAGAGACAAGGAGCTGAAGCAGCACATTACAGTTTGTGAGAAGTAAATCTGAATATTTTCAAGAAGAAACAGATTATAGAATTTAAAATTAAAAATTTCTTGCATTAAAAATAACTCCATTTTTTTGAGACAGAGACTCACTCTGACACCCAGGCTGGAGTGCAGTGGCGTGATCTTGACTCACTGCAACCTCTGCCACCTGAGTTCAAGTGATTCTCCTGTCTCAGTCTCCTGCATATCTGGGATTACAGACATGCACCACCCTGCCTGGCTAATTTTTTGTATTTTTAGTAGAGATGAAGTTTCACCATGTTGGCCAGGATGGTCTTGAACTCCTGACCTCAGGTAATCTGCCCACTTTGGCCTTCCAAAGTGCTGGGATTACAGGCATGAGCCACCACACCCAGCCAAGAATAACTCAATATTTTTAATGAAGTCTTTTTTCTAGCAGTTATTTGGTTTTTGTTTAAGTGTATTTTTAATACTATAGTCCAATATAATAAATAGTGCAATTATTTATTATAAATTCCTTAATTGTAGCCAATTAATCATGTAACATTTTCATAAATTACTTCTTTTACTAATCTTATTATGACTTAGACCATTCACGTCATGCTTGGACTTTCTCGTTTATCCTAAATATCCTGTTCTTTAACAATCCAGTCATTTAATTTTAGGAAAAAATTCACCATACAGACTCTTTCTCATATAAATTACTTTTTTAAAGCTTTCTTACCAAAAATACCTCTTTAATTCTGTAACTCTCTTTATATCTCTCTTATTTCCTGGTTCCTTTTGCCCTGTTTTATACATAAAATTTAAATAAGCTTCTAATTACACAAAATTATTTAACTTTTAACAAGAACACACAATTTTTAGAAAGAGTGTTTTTCTACAATATATTTTTTATTGGAATATGCCAAGGCATTTAATGAAATATTTATTAATTATATTTATTAATTTAATATAACTTTATGTACTTTTTTTTGAGACAGAGTTTTACTCTTGTTGTCCAGGCTAGAGTGCAATGGCATGATCTTGGCTCACCACAACCGCCACCTCTGGGGTTCAAGTGATTCTCCTGCCTCAGCCTCCCGAGTAGCTGGGATTACAGGCATGCACCACCATACCCAGCTAATTTTGTATTTTTAGTAGAGATGGGGTTTCTCCATGTTGGTCAGGCTGGTCTCAAACTCCTGACCTCAGGTGATTCACCTGTCTTGGCCTCCCAAAGTGCTGGGATTACAGGTGTGAGCCACTGCACCCGGCCTAGATTCTAAATTATGACAAGTTTGTCTGCAAGTATTTATACCATTACATTTATCTAATCATTTTATTTTAATAGTTTACCTAGACTATTTATAAAAACTTCAATAGTTATCATTTAAACTTATTTCCCTTTCAACCATTTTATAGCCTGAATTTCAGGTGCTTACCTAAGTAAGACCCTTAAGTATATGATTTTTTAACAAATAATTCAAGATTTACTTGTTTTCATTAAACCAATATTAATGTCTTATTTATCAAAAATCACACAAGCAAAGATTATTCTGTTTTGGGCTGCATTTATAGTTTAACAACCCTTATGCCAAATTTTGACACCTTCTCATATTTGGCAGGAATAAGTATGAAATCTCATGATCAATAAATGCAAACAAAAATGTATGCTGAAAATTCTTAAGAAATTTATAATATTACTTTACCAATAATTTTAAAGCTAGCTTATTAAAGATTTTACTTAAGTCATGTGAACTTGGAAAGCATCTGAGCTTATTATTTAATTTATGAGTACTCTTTAAGCCAAATTTCGTACCTTGTGACCAAAAACACGTAACAAAATACATATGTGTACATATAAACAAACACATACACACTCATACAAACAAAGATTCTATAGCTTTTACTTCAGAATTATGGCCATGAGATATAAATACAAATTCATTGGTTTTCAAAAGCAGTAACCAGAAATAGGTTGAATGCAAGCAGTGGATTTTATCTCAGTAGAAAAGTAACCACAGACTTAAAGCAACCCGAAAAGAAAGCAGAGAGAGAAAGAACTCAGGAGCTTTATAGCTGCAGGTTAACCTTTGGACTCTGAATTTTCCTCGATGTAATTTTGCACAAAAAGTCCATAATATGACCACTTTATACAAACACTTGAATGGAGAGTTGCCACAAAACCAACAGAGCCCCTGAAATGGAGTCATTCTCCTTGAATTTTCTCATTCTTAGATTATTAGCATTCTTTATTTCTTACCTTTTCCTTTTTTTAAAGGAGAAACTATGCTGTGGCTTAGGGTTTAGTGGAGTGAGTTGAAGTGTACTGGTTGTGAGTGGGACTCCCTAGTATATCATCACTGAGTTATTTCCACCTTCTTATGTGTCTCAGTTTCTATCTCTGGAGGACTAGCACCTCTGAGAGGGCTCAAAATGTGGAATGACCAGCTCCTATATCTGTTCCCTGGATGAGCCTTTTAAAACTAACTTTGCTGGGGGATCCCTGTAGGGCCACTGCACATCATGAGGGGGTCAACCCCCCAGACACTCCTACTCAGCCCCCAGTCACACAGGGTGCCTTTCATCTGGGAGGCACAAAGTTCCCTTTCTCTTCAGAGCTGAGAAAACTCAGTCTCTCATTTATCTATGAAAACAACGGTTGAGTTCCACATACAAATGCACAGAGAAGCCAATTGAGATTCATTTCAGGAGGAAAGACAATGGAGAAGACTCTTTAGAATGCACCTTTAAATTAGAGTTAAGATCCTAAACAACAATTTCCTAGGAGGAAAAAAGACCACTTCCTGTAAACTGTCAGCAGCCACCTTTAACTTTGCAGTTCACGTCCACAATTACACCAAGGTCAAATCATCTTATATACAAGGTCACCTCTGGTACCTCCAAAAGCCAAAGAGGTCAGGTAATGCAATACAGAAAAGCAGAGCTGTAGACCTAAGAAGAACCTGCCCGTGACTCTTAAAACTCCACAAGGAAAATGGAACACCCTTAAAAGGGCCAAAGTGAGTGGCACATTTGTCTCAGTTCTTTAAGAAGATCAAGTCATTAGAAGTCTTCTCTAGATTTTTCTTGGTACCAAAGATAGCAAAAGGCAAAGGAGACATAGGGTGGAAGAAAAGTAAATGAGAGAACATTTTTTTTTAAACGGGAAGCAAATACAGAAACCTAGTGCGTAGTTTTGTTTGTTTTGTTTTGTTTTGTTTTTCTCTTTTGCAGCTGTGAGGAATTTTAGCTAATTCAGAGAGTTCTTGTTCCCCATAATTTGGAATTCTCATTTAGATTTGGCCAAGTCAGGTAAAGTTGGTCAAGCCTAATGGGAGAAAAAACAGAACAAATAACCCCTACAAGAAACACCTACAATATGATTACTGAGCACTCTAATGGTAAGAATAAATTAAGTCCAGCTGGTTGTTAATTGTAACTTTAGCCAAAACAAAACCCCAATTCAGCTACTTACCTAGGAATTGGTCTCAGGCTGAAGAATCCTCTCTACCATTATAGGAGCAGAAAAATCTCAAACTCACCTTCACTGTTGGAAGTGAGCTCAAATTCCAGAAAGAAATTACCTGCCTTCCATCATCATGGAAGCAGGAAAACTTACCTTCCTTGTTAGAAGCAAGCAAAATTCCAGAAAAGGAGTTGGACAGCACAATAAACTTTAGATCTCAACCAAATTTTGGGAGATCAGGGGTTCTCTGAAAGGAAGAGAGCTCCCAGGCCTCAGAAAAGTGTCCCACTGGTTTGAGTCATAAAGATAGCTCAAACTGGTATCAAGCACTAATAGGATATTTGTCAAAAGTCAGGGCCACCTCCACTCAGTCACTTTGTGGTCACGAATTTGTAAACCAAATGTTTCTGAGACAAATCTCAATCAATTTGGAAAGTTTACTTTGCCAAGGTTAAGGATGTATCTGTGACACAGCCTCAGGAGGGCTTGATGACATGTACCCAAGGTGGTCAGAGCACAGTTTGGTTTTATACATTTTAGGGAGATATGAGACATCAATTACTATATGTAAGATGAACATTCATTCGGTCCGGAAATGTGGGACTTGCCAAACCCAGAGAAGACTACCTGAAGGCATTTAATAATCAAACTCCCAAGGTCAAGGATAAAGAAAGGCTTCTAACAGCAGCAAGAGAAAAATAAATAGCATACAATAGAGCACCAATATGTCTGGCAGCAGACTTTTTAATGAAAATCTTACAGGCCAGGAGAGAGTGGCATGGCATGTTTAAAGGGCTGAAGGATAAAACATTTTACCCTAGAATAGTATAACTGGGAAAATATCCTGCACGCATGAAGGATAAATAAATAGCTTCCCAGACAAATAAAACCTGAAGGATTTCATGAACAGTAGACCTGTCCTAAAAGAAATGCTAAAGGGAGATGTTTAATCTGAAATAAAAGGATGTTAATAAGCAATAAGAAATTATCTGAAGGTACAAAACCCACTGGTAAAAATAAGTACTCAGAGAAATGGAATATGATGACACTGTAGTGGCATTGTGTAAACTACTCTTACCTTAAGTAGAAAGGCTAAACAATGAACAAAGCAAAAAGAATGGCTACGACAATTTTTCAAGACATAGTATAATAAGAAATAAAGTGAAACAAAAAAAGTTTGAAAGTGGGGTGATAAGTTTAAAGTGTAGAGCTTTTAGTAGTGTACTTTCTGTATGTTTGTTTGTTTGCTTGTTTATGTAATCAGTGTTAAGTTGTCATCAGTTCAAAGTAATGGGTTATATAATAATATTTGCAAACCTTGGGGTAGCCTCAAATCAAAAAACATACAATGGGATACAAAAAATATATAAAGCAAGAAATTAAAGTATATCAGCACAGAAAAAATACCTTCATTTAAAGGAAGACAGGAAGGAAGAAATGAAAAAAAGAGAAGACCACAAAACAACTAGAAAACACATTTCAGAATGGCAGAAGTGAGTCTCTACTTATCATTAATAACATTAAATATAAATGGATCTCCAATAAAAAGATATAGAGTGGCTGAATGAATGATAAAACAAGACCCAATGATCTCTTCTTTGCAAGAAACACTCTTCTTCTATAAAGATATACATAGACTAAAAATAAAGGGTTGAAGAAAGATACTCAATGCCAATGGAAACCAAAAGAGAGCAGGAATATGTATACATATATTAGAAAAATAGATTTCAAGACAAAACATGTAAGAAGAGACAAAGAAGGACATTACATAATGAAACATCCTGAAACATTATATGATTGTGGGTATATATGCACCCAACACAGGAGCACCCAGATATGTAAAGCAAATATTATTAGAGCCAAGGATAGACCCCAGTATAATAATAGCTGGAGAACTCAAAACCCAATTTTCAGCATTAGACAGATAATCCAGCAGAAACTCAACAACAAGAAAGAAAATTGGATTTAATCAGCACTATTGACCAAATGAACCTAATAGATATTTACAGACTATTTCATCCAACAGCTGCAGAATACACATTCTTCTCCACAGTAGATGAATCATTTATGACATGGTCACTTCTTCCTTACAGGCCAGTAGAGAGTGGTGTGGCATGTTTAAAGTGCTGAAAGAGAAAAAACATTTTATCCTAGAATAGTATAACTGGGAAAATAATCCTGCAAGTATGAAGGAGAAATAAATATCTTCCCAAACAAATAAAACCTGAGAGATTTTATGAAATGTAGACCTGTCATACAAGAAATGCCAAGATAGACCAAATGTTAGGCCAAAAAATAAGTCTTAAACATTCCAAAACCTTTAAATAATACCAAGCATCTCCTCTGATCACAATAAAATAAAACTAGAATCAACAACAAGAAAAATGTTAGAAACTATACAGATACTTAGAAATTCAATGATATGCTCCTGAATGACCATGAGTCACTAAAAAAATTAAGAAGAAAATTTAAAAATTTCTTCAAATAAATGATAATGGAAACACAACATACCAAATCCTATTGGATACAGTAAAAACAGTACAGGGAAATTTGGTGTTGGCTGTGAGTTTGTCATAAATGGCTCCTATTATTTTGAAGTATATTCCTTCAATACCTAGTTTATTGAGAGCTTTTAACATGAAGGGTGTTGAATTTTATCAAATGTCTTTTCAGCATCTATTGAGATAATCATGTGGTTTTTGTCTTTAGTTCTTTGTATGATGGATCACATTTATTTATTTGCATATGTTGAACCATCCTTGCATTCCAGAAATAAAGCCTACTTGATCATGGTGGATTAGCTTTTTTATGTGCTGCTGGATTTTATTTGCAAGTATTTTGTTGAGGATTTTTGCATCCATGTTTATCAAGGCTATTGACCTGAAGTTTTTTTTTTTTGTTTTATCTCTGCCAGGTTCAGGTATCAGGATGATGCTGGCCTCATAGAATGAGTTGGTGAGGAGTTGCTCCTCCTCAATTTTTTGGAGTAGTTCCTGTAGGAATAGTATCAGCTCTTCTTAGTACATCTGGTAGAATTTGACTATGAATCTGTCTGGTCCTGGGCTTTTTTTGGTTGGTAGGCCATTTTGTCACTAATTCAATTTCAGTGCTTATTATTGGTCTGTTTAGGAATTCGGTGTCTTCCTGGTTGAGTCTTGGGAGGGTGTATGTTCCAGGAATTTATTCCTTTTTTCTAGGTTTTCTAGTTTGTGCACATAGAGGTATTCATAGTAGTTTCTGAAAGTTATTTGTATTTCAGTGGCATCAGTAATAACTTTCCATTAATTATGTCTGATTGTGTTTATTTTTATTTTCTCTGTTTTCTTCCTTATTAGTCTAACTAGTGGTCTATCTATCCTATTAATTTGTTCAAACAAAAAACTCCCAGATTTATTGATCTTTTGAATGGTTTTTGTGTCTCCATCTCCTTCAATTCATCTCTGATTTTGGTTATTTCTTGTCTTCTGCTAGCTTGGGGGTTGGCTTACTCTTGGTTCTCTAGTTCTTTTAGTTGTAATATTACATTGTAAACTAGAGGTCTTTCTAACTTTTTGATGTGTACACTTAGTGCCATAAGTTTATCTCTTAAGACTGCCTTGGTTGTTTCCCAGAGATTCTGATATTTATTATCTTTGTTCTCATTCGTTTCAGAGAACTTCTTGATTTCTGCCTTAATTTCATTATTTACTCAAAAATCATTCAGGAGCAGGTAATTCAATTATCATGTATTGCATGGTTTTGAGAGTTTTTTAAAGTTTTTATTTTTATTTTTATTCTGCTATGGTCCAAGAGTGTGTTTGGTATGATTTTGGTTATTTTGTATTTGGTGGTGATTGTTTTATGTCTGATTATGTGGTTCATCTTAAAGTATGTGCCATGTGACTATTAGAAGAATGTATATTGTGTTGTTTTGGGGTGGAGAGTTGTGAAGATGTGCATCAGATCCATTTGGTCCAATGTTGAGTTCAGGTTCTGAATATCTTTGTTAATTTTCTGCCTTGATGATCTGTCTGATACTGTCAGTAGAGTGTTGAAGTCTCCTACTGTTTCTGTGTGGGAATCAAAGTCTTTTTGTAGGTCTCTAAGAACTTGATTTATGAACCTGCATGCTCTTGTGTTGAGTGCACATATACTTAGAATCGTTAGGCATTCTTGTTGAATTAAACTCTTTACCATTATGTAATGCTCTTCTTTGTCTTTGTAAACATTTATTGGTTTAAAGTCTGTTTTGTCTAAAATCAGGATTGCAACCCCTGCTTTGTACTGATTTCCATGTGCTTGGTAGATTTTTCTCCATACCTTTATTTTAAGTCTATGTTGGGGGGGTGGTCATTGAATGTAAGATGGGTCTCATAAAAACTCCATATCCTTGGGTATTGCTTTTTTATCTAGCTTGACACTCTGTGCCTTTTAAATGGACCATTGAGCCTGTTTACATTCAAGATTTGTATTGACATGTGTGGATTTGATCCTGTCATTTTGTTGTTAGCTGGTTATTATGCCAGCATGTTTGTGTGTTTGTATTATAGTGTCACTGTTCTGTGCAATTAAGTGTGCTTTTGTATTGGCTGAAAATGGTCTTTCCTTTCCATATTTAGTTATTCTTTCAAAATGTCTTGTAGGGCAGATATGGTGATAACAAACTCCCTCAGCATTTGCCTATCTGAGAAAAAAAAATATTTCTCCTTTGCTGAAGAAGCTTTGTTTGGCTGGCGATATGGTTTTGATCTGTGTCCCCACCCAAATCTCATGTTTGATTTTAATTCCCAATGTTGGAGCTAGGGCCTGGTGAGAGGTGATTGGATCATGGGGGTGGTTTCTAATGGTTTAGCACCATTTTCTTGGACCATTGCTGTTCTTGTGATAGAGTTTTCATGCGATATGGTTATTTAAAAGTGTGTAGCACCTTCTCCCTCTCTCTTTTCCCCCTGCTCTGGCCATGTAAGATGCTGCAGCAGGAGGAAGAGATTCAACTATCACCATGATCGTAAGTTTCCTGAGGCCTCCAAGAAGCTGTGCAGAAGCCATCATTCCTCCTGAACAGCCTGTGAAACCATGAGCCAATTAAATCTCTTTTCTTATAAATTAGCCAGTCTCAGGTATTTCTTTATAGCTATACAAGAACCAACTAATACAACTGGACATGACATTGTCGGTTGAAGATTTTTTTTCTCTTTAAGAATGTTGAATATAGGCCCCCAATGTCTTCTGGCTTATAGTGTTTCTGCCGAGAGGTTCATGGTTAGCCTGATATGGTTCCTTTCCTAGGTGATGTGCCCTTTTAACATTCTTTTTTTCATTCCAACCTTGGAAAATCTGATGACTGTTTCTTGGGGATAATCTTCCTGTGTAAAATCTTGCAGGTGTTCTCTGTATTTTCTGAATTTGACTGTTGGCCTCTCTAGCAAGGTTGGGAAAGTTTTTATAGATAATATCCAGAAGTATGTTTTCCAGGTTGTTTACATTCTTCCTGTCCATTTCAGGGATGCCAATGATTCATAGATTTGGTCTTTTTATATAATTTCATTTTTTCTCATGGATTTTGTTTGTTCCTTCATTCTCTTTTTTTTTTTTTTTTTCTGACTGTCTTATTTCAGAGAGCCAGTCTTCACATTCTGACATTCTTTCCTCAGCTTGGTCTATTATGCTATTAATACTTGCAATTGCATTGTAAAATTCTTGTAGTGTAGTTTTCAGCTTGATCAGATCAGTTAGGGTCTATATTGTACTGGCTATTTTGTCTGTCAGCTCCTGTATAATTTTATTATGATTCTTAGTTTCCTTGGATTGGATTTTGCCATTCTAGTGAATCCTCATGATCTTATTCCTATCCATATTCTGAATTCTATTTCTGTCATTTTAGCCAACTCATCTTGGTTAAGAACCCTTGTTGGAGAACTAGTCCCACTGTTTGGAGGACATAAGACACTCTGGCATTTGAGAGCCAGAGTTCATGCATTGGTTCTTTCTCACCTCTGCATGTGGATGTTTCTTTAACTGCTGGGCTGGGTTTGTTTGTGGTTTTTGAGATGAAGTCTCACTCTGTCACGCAGGCTGGAGTGCATTGGCACGATCTTGGCTCAGTGCAACTTCTGCCTCCCAGGTTCAAGCGATTCTCTTGCCTCAGCCTCCAGGGTAGCTGGGATTATAGGCATGTGCCACCATGCCTGGCTAATTTTTGTATTTTTTTTTTTTTAGTAGAGATGGGGTTTCAACATGTTGGCTAGGCTGGTCTTGAACTCCTGACCTCAAGTAATCCACCTGCCTCAGCCTTCCAAAGTCCTGGGATTACAGGAATGCACCACCATGCCTGGCTAATATATATATATATATATATATATATATATATATATATATATATATATATTTTTAGTAGAGTTGTGGTTTCACCATGTTGGCCAGGCTGGTCTCGAACTCCTGACCCCAAGTGATCCATCTGCCTTGGCCTCCCAAAATGCTGGCATTACAGGCATGAGGCACCACACCCAGCCAAACTACCGAGCTGTTTCTGATTGAAGTGGTCATGTAGGGGCAGAATGGTTTTCCTGGCGTCCCAGGTCAGGCAGCCCTGCCCAGTGAGGAGAATTGAGGACTGGAAACTGTGTGGAGAACAGTCTGACCACTTTTCCATGAGGTGGGTGCTCTTCTGGGTGTCCAGAAAAGCCCTTGGGCCTGCAGACTCTCCAGAGCCTGGAAACATCAAGGGCAAGAACTGCAAGACAGCAAAGATGGCAACCCACCTCTCCCACTGGGAGTTCTGTCCCAGGGAATTACAGAAATGCTACCGGCTTGATAGTCCCAGGGGGTGGGTGAAGACCCAAGCCACAAAGATCCTCCAGTGAGAAGATATGGGATTCGGGACCCTCATAACAAACAGTCTGGCCAGGTTTTTTGTAGGGCTGCTGCAGTATGCTGAGGATCTGCTCTAGTTCCTAGTCACCTGGGATTTTTCAGTACCTGAAGGTATCAACAATGAAGGCTGCAAAACAGCAAAGACTATAGCATGCCTCTCCATCCAGGAGCTCTGTCCCAGAAAGGTACGAACCTGTTGCCAGTCCAAACACACTGATGGGAGTGGCTGGGGACCACGGTCAGGAGATCCCACCCCATGAGGAGGAACGGGCCCAGGGACCTGCATTAAAAAGCAGTCTGGCTGCATTTTCATAGAGCAGCTGTGCTGTGTTGGTTGTCTACTTCAGCCCCCCAGTCACCTTGGACCCTCCAAAGCTGAAAGGAAACTACTGATAAGGCTGCAAAACAGCAAAGATTGTGGCCTGCCCCTCCCTCTGGGAGTTCTGTCTCAGGGAGTTTTGGAACTACTGCTGGCTGGAAAACACCAGCGGGGGTAGCTCTAGACCTTGGTCAGAAGGTTCTGCCCAGTGAAGAGAAATGGGATCCAGGACCTAAGTGAAAAAGCAGTCTGGTTGCCTCTTCGTAGAAATGCTGCACTGTGCTAGGGGGCCACTCCAGTCCTTAGTCAGCTCAGACTCCCAGGAGCCTGAAGGCATCAATGGCTAAGGATGTAAAACAGCAAAGATGATGGCCTTTCCCTCCCTCTGGAAGCTCCTTCTCAGTGGGGTGTAACACTGCTACCTATGGCTGGCTGGAGTCCCAAGTCAGTGGGTCTTATCCTTAGAGATGCCATGGAAGTGGGGCTGGCAGACCATCACTGCTCAGCCCCCTGGGTTCAGCACCTTTTTTATAAGTATGTATTCAGCCACTTTTGTTGGGAAGCCTGGGTATCTAAAGCTTCCAGGGCTTTGTACTTGCCTAAGCTGATGCTCTGCCAAGACTCCATGCAGCTCTGCACGTCAGACTGAAGGCCCTGGTGGGGTGGGATCGCAACAGGATCACCTCACCCAAGGGTTGCAAAGATTCATGGATGAAGCATGGGTCCCTGGGGTCACTCCCTCACCACTTACCTGGGCAAGGGAGACTTCACTGGCTTTGTGTTGCTCCCAAGTGGGCAATTATTCAGCCTTGCTTTCTCTGTTCTCCATGGGTCGAGTTGTTTTCTTAATTAATGCCAATGCATGTAACTGGGTGTTTCAGTCGAAGGTGCTGTATTTACTTGCACCTTTTATTTCTCTCCGTCAGAGTGGCACACACTAGGTGCTTCTAGTCAACTAATTTGGCCAGTAATTGGTCTTTTTAAAAAGATGAACAAAATTGACAAACCTTTAGCTATTCTAAGAAAAAACAGAGAGGAACTAACTAACTAAATGAATACAGAGATTAAAAAGAAGACATTACAACTGATATTGCAGGAATTCAAAAGATCATTAGTAACTACTTTGAGCAAGTATATGCCAATAAATTGGAAAACCTAGAAAAAAATAGATAAATTCCTGGACACCTACAACCTACAAAGATTGAACTGTGAAGAAATCCAAAAACTGAACAGACCAATAACAAATAACAAGATCAAAGCTGTAATAAAGAGTCTTTTGGTAAAGAAAATCCCAGAATCCAATGGCTTCAGTGCTGAATTCTACCAAATATTTAAGAAGAACTGACACCAATTCTACTCAAACTCTTCCAAAAAATAAAAAAGGAGGAAAGTTAAAAAGCTTCTGCACAGCAAAAGATATAATCAACAAAGTGAAGATACAGCCCATAGAATGGGAGGAAATCTTAGCGAACTATCCAACTGACCAAAATATAGAAGGAGCTCAAACCAGTCTATAGGAAAAGAAATTCAATAATCCAATCAAAAATGGGGGAAAATTTGAATAGACATCTCTCAAAAGAAGACATACAAATGGCAAACAAAGCATAAGAAAAGATGCTTAACATCATTAATCATCAGAAAAATGCAAATCAAAACTACCATGAAACATCATCTCAACCCAGATAAAATTGTTTATATCCAAAAGACAGGCAATAACAAATGCTGGTGAGAATGTGGAGAAAACGTAATCCTCATATACTGGTGGAGGGGAGTAAATTAGTACAACCACTACAGAGAATAGTTTGGAAGTTCCTCAAACATCTAAAAATGAGCCACCATATGATCCAGCAATCCCACTGCTTAGTAAATACCCAAAAGAAAGTAAATCAGTATATTGAAGAGATATCTTTACTCTTACGATTGTTGCAGCACTGTTTACAGTAGCTAAGTTTTGGAAGAAACCTAAGTGTCTGTTGACATATGAATAGATAAAGAAAATGTGGAACAGACACACAATGGAGTACTATTTAGCCATAAAAAGAATGAGATCCAGTCATTTGCAACAACATGAATGGAAATGGAGATCATCATGTTCAGTGAAATAATCCAGGCACGGAAAGACAAACATTGCATGTTCTCATTATTTGTGTGATCTAAGAATTAAAAGAATAAAACTCATGGACATAAAGAGTAGAACAATAATTACCAGAGGCTGGAAAGGGTAGTGGGGTCCTTGGGTGGGGGACGGAGGAGTGAGGATGGTTAATCAGTACAAAAAAATAGTAAAAATGAATAAGACCTATTATTTGGTAGCATAATAGAGTGACTATAGTAAATAATAATTGTACATTTGAACACAGTTTAGAGTGCAATTGGATTGTTTATAATTCAAAAAATAAATGTTTGAGGGGATGAGCACCCTATTCTCCATGATGTGCTTATTTCACATTGCATGCCTGCATCAAAATATCTCAGTTACCCCATAAATATATACACCTACTATATACGGTACACACAAAAACTAAAAATTAAAATTAAAAAAAAAAACAAAACTGAATGTATCACATTACCTGACTTCAAATTATACTACAGAGCTATAGAAATCAAAACAGCATAATACTGGCATAAAAACACACACACAGGTGAACAGAACAGAGAACCCAGAAACAAATCTACACACCTACAGTGAACTCATTTTTGACAAATGTGCCAAAAACATACACTGAGGAAAAGAAAGATTCTTTAATTAATGGTGTTGGGATAACTGAATATTCATACGCAAGAGAATGAAACTATGAGCCTACCTCTCACCATGTATAAAAATCAAAATAAGCTGGATTAAAGACTTAAATCTAAGACCCCAAACTGCGAGGAAACATTGGGGAAACTCTCCAGGACGTTGATCTGGGCAAAAATTTCTTGAGCAATAATTCTCAAGCACAGGCAACCAAGGCAAAAATGGACAAATGGAATCAGAAGATATTGAAAAGTTTCTGCACAGCAAAGAGCACAATCAACAAATTGAAGAGACAACCCACAGAATGGGAGAAAATATTTGCAAACTATCCATCTGACAAAGAATTAATAACCAGAATATATAGGAGCTCAGACAACCCTCAAGAAAAAAAATCTAATAGTCCAATTAAGAAATGGTCAAAAAATCTGAACAGACAGTTCTCAAAAGAAGACATACACATGGCAAACAGGCATATGAAAAGGTGCTCAACATCATTGATAGTCAGAGAAATGCAAATCAAACCTACAATATCATCTCACTCCAGTTAAAATGCCTTATATCTGAAAGACAGGCAATAACAAATGCTGATGAGAATATTCAGAAAGGATAACATTCATACAGTATTGGCAGCAATGTAAATTAGTACAGCTACTATGAAGAATGGTTTAGGGATTTCTCAAAAAACTAAAAATAGGGCTACTATATGATACAGCAATCCCACTGCTGAGCATATAATCAGGAGAAAGGAAATTAGTATACCAAAGAGGTATCTACATTCCCATGTTTGTTGCAGCACTCTTCACAATAGCTAAGATTTGAAAATAACCTAAGTGTCCATCAATAGATGAATGGATAAGGAAAATGTGGCACTTATACACAATGGAGTACTATTCAACCATAAAAAAGAATGAGAACCTGTCATTTGCAAGAACATGGATGGAACTGGTGGTTATTGTTAAATGAAATAAAGCTGGCACAGAAAGACAAATGTCACATGTTCTCACTTATTTGTGGGATCTAAAAATCAAAACAATTAAACTCATGGAGATAGAGAGTAGAAGGATGGCTACCAGAGACTGAGAAGGGTAGTGGCAGGGAGAAGGTGGAAATGGTTAATGGGTACAGAAAAAAATAATTAGAAAGATTGAATAAGACCTAGTATTTACTAGCACAACAGTCACCTGACTTAAATTATTATAGTCAAAATAATTTAATTTCACATTTTTAAATAACTAAAAGTATAATTTGATTGTTTGTAACACAAAGGATAAGTGCTTGAGGGGATGAATATCTCATTTTCCATGATGAGATTATTATGTATCACATACCTGTATCAAAATATCTCATGTACCTCATAAATATATACACCTATTATGTACCCACAAAAATTAAAAATAACAAAATAAACTTAAATCCTTTCTGAGACTTCTCCTGAACCCATCATGTACAAACAATTCTAACAAATTTCCTCTCTCCCACCACATATTTATTCTCTACCTCAGTATTTGCTTATGTTTATAGCACTTCAAATTTTGTACATATGTTTAATTTATTCATTTGTTTACTTGCATATTCTCTCTTTTCCCTACTAGACTATAAACTCAATAAGGACAGAGATATTTTCCCACTCACAAACATACACTCAACTTCTGACATATTTCTGTCATATTCTAGGCTGACAACTAATGCTTCTCAAGGGATTGAATCAGTTCAAATGTCATCATTGCTCATCTACCCAGGTGAGAGAAAGAACTTGTAGTCTAAGGATCCTTCCTATTCTCACGTGCTATGACACTGTAATTTTGTTATTACATTCCATTAAATTTTCTAGGCTCTTTGGTGTGAATTTATTTAATTATGTTTATTCCAAAAGGAATTGACCCAAGAACTGTGATTGCAGACATATACCACTGGGTAGGTAGCCAGAGCTTCCCTGCTGTTAGATATCAACTCTCAAGCTAGAACTTATATTCCTTACTCTCTATTATAAAACCAAGAAGAAAAACAGCAGAAAAGATCATTACCTACCATTTTTTCAGCCACATGCTGGCCATATTCACATCCAGAATTTCACTTGATCTCCCCAAATGTTTTTCATTCTTCACTGGAAGGGAGATTTTTCTCTAATATTCCCCAATTGGCTAATTATCCTCTGGATAGAGCCCCATTCAGAAATGTATGAATCCAGTCTTTTCTCTTTCCAGGGAAAAGACATGGGGAAGAAAATTTTTTTCATATTTATTCTTCATGGAGATAGATGGCTGGATGTTGACTTATTCCAGCAGTCTGCCCCGCTATAACTGGTCAAAGTAAAGCTGTGGCAGCACTTTGGAGTTTATGAAGTACTTTTACCTGTGGTTCTTGTCACAGCCCAGTGAGATAGATGAGCTGAGCCTTATCATCCCTGTTTCTTAAGTTGAAGGAACTGAGGACCAGGAACCATAAGGGATTCCAACAAGCAGCAATGATAACTACCTTTTATTAGTTATGTATTTTTCTAGACACTTTGTGTACATTACCTCACTTGAGCCTCACAACAACCCTAGAAAGTGAGTATTACTAGACTCTTCATTGCACAGATATTAAAACTGAGGCTCTGAGAAACTTGCCAAAGCTCACACAGCTACTAAGCTACTAAGCCAGGACACCATGTTGTGTCTAATTATAATCCCATGCTCTTAAAATCACTCTACAATAAGAAAGGTTAAGATTGGAATTCAGACATCCATCCTGCCAAATCATTGTTCAGTCTTTCCTTTTATACTAGATGGCCACTCTGCCCCAACTCTGGGAGGACAAGTAGGGCCAGGTCCTGCCATCATTGCTTTCCCAGTCAGTGTTGCCCTCCACTCTCTACTATGGGGAGTGAACTCCTCTTTACATTGTTGCCAATTGCTTGTTTCATTGCTGGGAGTGTAAAATGTTTTACAATTATGAGCCTTTGATGATAGACTTCTAAACGGCCTGTCTGAGGGAGAGGTGTGGGGAAGCTGGTAACCATAAGGGGGAAGTAAGATCATGCAGGAACATTCACTGGAATAGGCAGGTAGTGACCCTCATATGAGAGAGGCAAGAGCCTAACAACTCTGAAGCAGATACACAGAGTATAAGGAAGAGGCTGTAAATTCAGCCTAGATGCTGTGCTTTAAAATCAGGTCATCTGAGCCCAGGCTGACTAGGGACCTCACAGGGATGTCGTGGCTGGGTAAAATAATAAAAGTAAAATAAGATCAGCTCATCTTACCAAGGAAAAGAAAAAAACAAGGCCAACCCATCCATAAAACTATCAATAAAATGAAACTTGGACACTACTGTGATCCCATTCAAGGCCACTATTTTGCCCTCTTATTTTATTTTTGCCATCTTTGCTTGTGACTCCCTTATAGAGCCTATCTGGCCTATAATTTTTTGTCTTTTCCTCTCATCACTGGCTTGTGCTCATTCATTGGATTTCATGATAGAATATGTCTTCCCACATGTATGCTTGAGGTAATGGATATCTCAATTATCCTGTAATGATTTGATCATTGCACATTGTATGCACATATCAAAGATATCACACGCACCCCATAAATATGTACAATTATTGTGTATCAATTAAAAAATCAAGAATATATCTTTCCAGGTTTGACTGCTGGCCTTTCTCAGGCGAATGTGGTGCTTGCTTTTCTGTGGCTTTTCTCCTTGAAGCTGTAGTAACATGCTAGGCAAACCAGCTCTTCTCTAGGGACTCCAGACCAATATTTGTAGCTTTCCATGGAGGATGTCTTGGTTACAAAGTTAGAAAGGGCAAACCCATCAGCTGCAATCAGCAGGTGAAGGAGTCTAGTTTCACAAAGGGACAGCAGAGCCTTAATACAAAGGAGTTAATGTATATCAGGCAAATGGAGAGCCCCCTAAAGATCTGGCCCCAGACACAAAATCAGGTTTCTGGGAAATGAAGCCTTTTAGGCCCTCCAGAGGAAGAGCAGCAGGAGCTGGATGCCCAGTCAGTAATGGTCATCCACCAAGATCCCAAGTGAGAGAAATATCTCTCTTGAGGGTGAGGGTAGTCTTGGGTCATAGCAATTGCAGGACAAGAGGGTAGCACAAGCCTCAAACAAAGGGGACTGACTAGTAATTGGGGCTAATTTCCAAAGACCTAGCACAACAGCCTGCATGAGTCTACCTTGGGCTAAATTCTGGACATCTTTGGCACCACTACTATCCAATATTTCCATCTTGAGGCAAAGAATGAGAATTGGGACCAGATGCCTTGTAAGCTGTGAGTCAGCCAGGCCATGCAGCAGATAGATTGAATTTAAAACTATGTTCTCTATTAACACCACTCTGCTTTTGTGATTGTTTCCTCTTCCTTTAATTTCCTCATAAATGTTTCTTTTGGAAAATTTCAACCCTGCCATAGCTGAGCTAAGGGGAAAGGGATTTGGACAGATTTCAACTGACCAAAGAGAGGGATGAGACCAGATGTTCAGCATCTTGGAAAGAACTAGTGAACTTGGGTACAGAAAGAAGTGTAAATCCAGGAGAGGTAAAACTGTGAACATCAATTCCATCCTGTCCAGGGTTTTCCCTCCCAACAGTCCTTAGTAGTTGGCTATATGACTCTCTTCCTGAGCCCGATGATCCACATACACCTTATGTGTCCTACTTGGAGGTGGGGCTGTCAGAACCACTAAGAATAAAAGATGACCTGAATGTTAGTCTTTCAAAATGCATAGGGTCTCAAATATCAGAATTGGAAGGCTTCCATAGAGATCAATTAATTTAGTGGTTCTCAGCCCTGATTTAACAGCAGAATCTCCTGGGGGTTGGGAGGGAGGTAGTAAACCTTTACAAAAATACGAGTCCCCTTGGCCTTATCTGCAGAGATTCATATTTAATTGCTTATGGGTAGGCCCAGGCATCAGTAGTTTTAAAATCTCCCCAGAAAATTCCAATATGCAGCCAGGGTTGAGAAGCATGGTTTTAATCCAAACTTTTCATTGTATAGATGGGGAAAATGAGGTTCACAGAGCAGAAAGAAGTGTTCCAGGTGTCATAACAGGTCAGTGAAATAATCTAGAATATGAGCCTTCTGATTTCTAATCTCATATTCTTTCTAGTGCTCCACACTCTTTCTCAAGGTAGAAAGCTAGGATGGTTCTGAGTTCCCTCTAAACATCAAACATATCTAGTTCTGTGTGGCATAAAGTCTACCATTACCATTTCACTTAACCATCTTCATACACATTCTATATAACCCTTGACTAGGAAAACTGTTAAAAAGATATTAAATGTAAGGGTTGCTTCTTATGTAAAGTGAAATACCATTGTGTCTCGCCACTCCAAAGCCAAAAAATCCTTAACATCAGCTCATGAAAAACATCTTTAATGGGATAATTCTGGACATTTATATCTGCTTTTTATGAGTATTTTCCTCAGTAATTGAATATGGCTGCAGAGTATACTTATTAGTAAATCTGATTTAATTAACAATCCCACACTATTATAAACACAGGTGGTTTCCAGTTGTTTTGCTATTACATACAGTACTTCAATGAACAACTAGCAGTTAAATGTTGGCTGACACATATGATAATTCCTTCTGGAAGTATAAAAGCAAACTATAATAATACAAATGATAATATATTTTTAAGCTCCGACTGGTCCTTCAGAATGAATGTGCTGATTTATACTATCATGGAGTGAATGTAGAAATGACCAATTCATATTCTGCCCAATACTGTACTATCAAAGAGAAAAATGGTACCTTTAAACTTAGTGGGTTTAAAATATTTTTGTTGTTTTTATTTTTCCATACTTTATTGGGGTACATGTAGTGTTTGGTTACATTAATAAGTTCTTTTTCTCTTTTTCTTTCTTTCTTCTTTTTTAGATGCAGTCTCACTCTGTCACCCAGGCTGGAGTGCAATGGCGTCGTCTCGGCTCACTGCAACCTCTGCCTCCTGGGTTCAAGCAATTCTCCCACGTCAGCCTCCCGAGTAGCTGGGACTACAGGTGTGTGCCACCACACTTGGCTAATTTTTGTATTTTTAGTAGAGATGGGGTTTCACTATGTTGGCCAGGCTGGTCTCGAACTCCTGACGTCGTGATCCACCCATCTTGGCTTCCCAAAGTGCTGGGATTACAGGTGTGAGCCACCGCCCAGCAGAGTAAGTTCTTTAGTGGTGACTTGTGAGATTTTGGTCCACCCATCACCTGAGCAGTATACACTGCACCCTGTTTGTAGTCTTTTGTCCCTTGCCCCACTTCCAACCTTCCCCTCAAGTCCCCAAAGTCCATTTTGTCATTCTTATGCCTTGGCATCCTCATAGCTTACCTCCCACATATCAGTGTGAACATACGATGTTTGGTTTTCCATTCCAGAGTTACTTCACTTAGAATAATAGTCTCCAATCTCATCCAGGATGTTGTGAATGCCGTTAATTCAATGCTATTTATGGCTGAGTAGTATTCCATCATATATATATATATATGCACACACACACAGTAGTATTCCATCATCTATACATACCACAGTTTCTTTATCCACTTGTTGAGTGATGGGCGTTTGGGTTGGTTCAATGATTTTGCAATTGCAAATTCTGCTGCTATAAACATGGATGTGCAAGTATCTTTTTTGTATAATGACTTCTTTTCCTCTGGGTAGATACCCAGTAGTGGGACTGATGGATCAAATGGTAGTTTTACTTTTAGTTCTTTAAGGACTCTCCACACTGTCTTCCAAAGTGGCGGAATTAGTTTACATTCCCACCAGCAGTGTAGAAGTGTTCCTTGATCACTGCATCCACACCAACATCTACTGTTTTTTTAATTTTTTGATTACAGCCATTCTTGCAGGAGTAAGGTGGTATTGCATTGTGGTTTTGATTTGTATTTCCCTGATCGTTAGTGATGTTGAGCATTTTTTCATATGTTTGTTGGCCATTTGTATATTCTCTTTTGAGAATTGTCTATTCATGTCCTTAGCCCACTTTTTGATGGGATTGTTCCCTTTTTTTCTTACTGATTTGTTTGAGTTCGTTGTAGATTCTGGATATTATTCCTTTGTCAGATGTATAAATTGTGAAGGTTTTCTCCCACTCTGTGAGCTCTCTGTTTGCTCTGCTGACTGTTCCTTTTGCCATGTAAAAGCTCTTTAGTTTAATTAATTCACAGCTATTTATCTTTGTTTTTATTGCATTTGCTTTTGGGTTCTTGGTCATGAAATCCTTGCCTGAGCCAATGTCCAGAAGGGTTTTTCAGTGTTATCTTCTAGAATTTTTATAGTTTCAGGTCTTAGATTTTAAGAACTTGACCCCTCTTGAGTTGACTTTTGTATAAGATGAGACACGAGGATCCAGTTTCATTCTCCTACATGTGGCTAGCCAATTATCCCAGCACTATTTGTTGAAAAGGATGTCCTTTCCTCATTTTATATTTTTGTTTGCTTTGTCAAACATCAGCTGGCTGTAAGTATTTGGGTTTATTCCTGGGTTCTCTATTCTGTTCCATTGGTCTATGTGCCTATTTTTATACCTATACCATGCTGTTTTGGTGACTATGGCCTTATAGTATAGTTTCAAATCAGGTAGTGTGATGCCTCCAGATTTGTTCTTTTTGCTTAGTCTCATGTTGGTTCTGTGGGCTCTTTTTTGGTTCCATGTGAATTTTAGAATTGTTTTTCCTAATTCTGTGAAGAATGATGGTGGTATTTTGATAGGGATTGCATTGAATTTGTAGATTGCTTTTGGCAGTATGGTCATTTTCACAATATTGATTCTACCCATCCATGAGCATGCGATATGTTTCCATTTGTTTGTGTCATCTATGATTCCTTTCAGCAGTGTTTTGTAGTTTTCCTTGTAGAGGTATTTTGCCTCCTTGGTTAGGTATATTCCTACATATTTTATTTTTCTTTTTTTGCAGCTATTTTAAAAGGAGTTGAGATGTTGACTTGATTCTCAGCTTGGTTGCTATTGGTGTATAGAAGAGCTACTGATTTGTGTACATTAATCTTGTATCTGGGTCAGGCATGGTGGCTGACACCTGTAGTCCCAGCTTTGGGAAGCTGAGGTGGGAGGATCACTTGAGGTAAGGACTTTGAGACCAGTCTGGCCAACATGGCAATACCCCATCTCTACTAAAAATACAGAAATTAGCTGGACATGATGGTGGGCTCCTGTAATCCCAGCTACTCAGGAGGCTGAGGCAGAAGAATTGCTTAAGCCCAGGAGGTAGAGGTTGCAGTGAGCCGAGCTTGTGCCACTGCACTCCAGCCTGGGCGACAGAGCAAGGCTCCATGTCAAAAAAAAAAAAAAAAAAAAAAAACCTTGTATCTGGAAACTTTGCTGAATTCTTTTATCAGTTCTAGGAGCTTTCTGGAGGAGTCTTTAGGGTTTTTGAGGTGAACAATCATATCATCAGCAAACAGTGACAGTTGACTTCCTCTTCACTGGTTTGGATGACCTTTATTTCTTTCTCTTGTCTGATTGCTCTGTCTAGGACTTCCAGTACTATGTTGAAGGGGAGTGGTGAAAGTGGGCATCCTTGTCTTTTTCCAGTTCTCAGAGGGAATGCTTTTGACTTTTCCCCATTCAGCATTATGTTGGCTGTGGGTTTGTCATAGATGGCTTTTATTATATTGAAGTATGTCCCTTGTATGCCAATTTTGCTGAGAGTTTTAATCATAAAGAGATGCTGGATTTTGTTTAATGTTTTTTCTGCATCTATTGAAATCATCATGTGATTTTTGTTTTTAATTCTGTTTATGTGGTGTATCACATTTATTGACTTGCATATGTTAAACCATCCCAGCATCCCTGGTATGAAACCCACTTGATCATGGTGGATTATCTTTTTGATATGTTGTTGGATTTGGTTAGCTAGTATTTTGTTAAGGATTTTAACATCTATGTTCATCAGAGATATCAGTCTGTAGTTTTCTTTTTTGGTTATGTCTTTTCCTGGTTTTGGTATTAAGGTGATGCCAACTTTATAGAATAAATCAGGGAGGATTCCCTCTTTCTCTATCTTGTGGAATAGTGTCAAAAGGGTTGGTACCAATTCTTCTTTGAATGTCTGGTAGAATTCTGCTCTGAATCTGTCTAGTACTGGGCTTTTTTTTTTGTTGGTAATTTTTTAATTACCATTTCAATCTTACTGCTTGTTATTGGTCTGTTCAGGGTATCTAATTCTTCCTGATTTAAGCTAAGAGGGTTGTATTTTTCCAGGAATTTATCCATCTCTTCTAGATTTTCTAGTTTATGCCCATAAAGATGTTCATGGTAGCATTGAATAATCTTTTGTATTTCAGTGGTGTCAATTGTAATATCTCCCATTTCGTTTCTTAATGAGGTTATTTGGATTTTCTCTGCTCTTTTCTTGGTTAATCTTGCTAATGGTCTACCAATTTTGTTTATCTTTTCAAAGAACTAGCTTTTTGTTTCATTTATCTTTTGTATTTTTTGTTTGTTTGTTTCAATTTCATTTAGTTCTGCTCTGATCTTGGTTATTTCCTTTCTTCTGCTGGGTTTGAGTTTGGTTTGTTCTTGTTTCTCTAGTTCCTTGAGGTGTGACCTTAGAATGTCAGTTTATGCTCTTTCAGTCTTTTTGATGTAGGCATTTAGGGGTATGAACTTTCCTCTTAGCACTGTCTTTGCTGTATCTCAGAGGTTTTGATAGGTTGTATTATTATTTTCATTCAATTAGAAGAATGTTTTAATTTCCATCTTGATTTTGTTTTTGACCCAGTGATTATTCATGAGCAGGTTATTTAATTTCCGTGTACTTGCATGTTTCTGAAGGTTCCTTTTGGAGTTGATTTCCAGTTTTTTTCCACTGTGGTGTGAGAGAGTGCTTGATATAATTTCAATTTTCTTAAATTTATTGAGGCTCATTTTGTGACCTATCATATGGTCTGTCTTGGAGAAATCTCCATGTGCTGTTATATAGGTTACCTGGTGCTTTTGTCTCACAGCTTTTAAGATTTTTTCTTCATCTTAACTTTAGATAACCTGATGACAATGTGCCTAGGTGATGATCTTTTTGCAATAAATTTTCCAGGTGCTTCTTGTATTTGGATGTCTAGGTCTCTAGCAAGGTCAGGGAAGTTTTCCTTGAGTATTCCCCCAAATATGTTTTCCAAACTTTTAGATTTCTCTTCTTCCTCCGAACACTAATTATTCTTAGGTTTGGTCATTTAGCATAATCCCAGACTTCTTGGTGGCTTTGTTCATATTTTCTTTTTCTTTGTCTTTGTTGGATTGGATTAATTCAAAGACCTTTTCTTCAAGCTCTGAATTTCTTTCTTCTGCTTGTTCAATTCTATTGCTGAGACTTTCCAGAGCATTTTGCATTTCTGTAAGTGTATCCGATGTTTCCTGAAGATTTGAATGTTTTTTCTTTATGCTATCTATTTCCTTGAATATTTGTTCATTCACTTATTGTATCATTTTTTGGATTTCCTTGCATTGGGCTTCACCTTTCTCTGGTGCCTCTGGTTAGCTTAATAACTAACCTCCTGAATACTTTTTCAGGTAAATCAGGGACTTCTTCTTGATTTGGATTCATTGCTGGTGAGCTAGTGTGATATTCTGTGGGTGATAAAGAGCCCTGTTATGTCATATTAGCAGAGTTGGTTTTCTGGTTCCTTCTCATTTCTGTAGGCTCTGTCAGAGGTAAGGTCTAGAGCTGAAGGCTGTTATTCAGATTCTTTTGTCCCACAGGGTTTCCCCTGATGTAGTATGCTTCCCCTTTTCCTATGTATGTGGCTTCCTGAAAGCCAAGCTGCAGTGATTGTTATCTCTCTTCTGGGTCTGGCCACCCAGCAAGTCTACCAGGCTCTGGCTGTTACTGGGAGTTGTCTGCACAGAGTCCTGTGATGTGAACTAACTATGGGTCTCTCAGCTGTGGATACCAGCACCTGTTCCAGTGGAGGTGGCATGGGTGTGAAATGGACTCTGTGAGCGTTCTTAGCTTTGGTGGTTTAATGTTCTATTTTTGTTCTGGTTGGCCTCCTGCTGGGAGGTGGCACTTTCCAGAGAGCATCAGCTGTGGTAGTATGGAGAAGAGCTGGTGGTGGGCGAGGCCCTAGAACTCCCAAGAGTATATGCCCTTTGTCTTCAGTTACCAGGGTGGGTAGGGAAGGACCACTGGGTGGGGGCAGGGCTAGGTGTGTTTGAGCTCACTCTCCTTGGGTGGGTCTTGCTGTGGCTGCTGTGGGGGATGGGGTGAGGTTCCCAGATCAATCGAGATGTGTCCCTAGGAGGATTACGGCTGCCTCTGCTGAGTCACGCAGGTTGTCAGGGAAATGGCAGAAAGCTGGCAGTCACAGGCCTCACCAAGCTCCCACGAAATCCAAAGGGCCAGTCTCACACTCACCATGCTCTCCCTAACAGCACCGAGTCCATTTCCAGGCAGTGAGTGAGCAGGGCTTGAGAACTTTCCCCAGGCTACCTGCCTCCCAGCTGTGAAAGAAAAGGGCTTTTGGTTCTTCCCCCACCTGTGGAGTCTGTACACTGGATTCATGCCCTCCCCAAGTTCTGGTCAGGAGGTTTCTTGCCCAGTTCAAATTGTTACAAAGTTCAGCTGGAGACTTTCTTCTCCCTGTGGCATTTTCCCTACCCCTCTGGCCACCCTCCTGAAGGATCCCTGTGATGCCAATCAAGAATGACCTGCTTGGGGACCCAACAAGCTCCCAGGGCCTTTCCTGTTGCTTCCCCTACCCCTGTATTTCTCTTGGCTCTCTAAATTGACTCAGCTCCAGGTAAGATCAGAAACTTCTCCCTCAAACTAGACCTTCAGTTTCCCTAGTGGGGGTGTGTGTTCGGGAGTGGAAGATCTCCCTTTCCCACTTCCCCAGCTTGGGTACTCAAAGTATTTGGGGTGCCTCCCAGGTCCTGCAGGAACAGTCCACTTCCTCCGGATGGTCTGTGGGTCCTCTTGGGATTCCTAGTTTGAACTTGCAGTTGTTCTGGAGCTAAAATTCATGATGCGAGCCTCCACACGCAGCTCTGTCTGTCCGAGTCAGGGCTACAATCTAGTCCTGCCTCCCATTCAGTATGATGATCAAGTCTCCTAAACTTAGCTGTAAATTGAGTTTAATTTTATTTTTTAATATCATTTTGCATGTATTTAGTGGCCATTTGTATTTCTTATGGTTTCCCTGTTCATGCCCTTTGCCCACTGTGATAGGCAATATTCTAAAATGACTTTGAAGATTCCCAACCCCTGGTGTACATGGTCTTCCATAGACTATGGCTAGAAGTTATGAATACGATGGGATAGTTACTCTTGATTATGTTATGTTATAAGGCAAGGGTGGGATTGACTATCATGACCGCGTTATGTTATATAAGACTTTGACATAAAATACTGAAAGCAATTATCCTACTTTGAAGAAGTAAGCTACCATGTTATGAGAGAACCACTTAGCTAGGACCAGAGGGTGGTCTCTAAGAGCAGAGAGCAACCCATCCTTCCCCAGTTGAAAGACAGAAAGAAAATAGAAACTAAGTCCTATGATCTCAAGGAAATGAATTCTGCTAATAACCTCCATGACATTGGAAGAAGACCCTGAGAGCCAGTGAAAGTGATATTCTAGGACTTCAAAAGCTAAGTAATAAGAAGCCTTGGCCGGGCGCGGTGGATCACTCCTGTAATCCCAGCACTTTGGGAGTCCAGTGTGAGTGGATCACGAGATCAGGAGTTCTAGACCAGCTTGGCCAACATAATGAAATCCCCTCTCTACTAAAAATACAAAAATTAGCTGAGCATAGTGGCATGCACCTGTAGTCCCAGCTACTCGGGAGGCTGAAGCAGGAGAATCACTTGAACCCAGGAGGCAGAGGTTGCGGTGAGCCAAGATCATCCGAGTGCACTCCAGCCTGGGCAACAGAGTGAGACTCTGTCTCAATAATAATAATAATAATAATAATAATAAAATTTTGTGGCTTCTACCTGGGTTTCTTGCAATGCTCTTTTTTTGGACTCTTCATCAAACCCAGTCTCCAGGCTGAAAGAAGCCCAAGCCACATAAACTATGTGTAGCCACTCCGATGACAGCTTCAGCTGTTCCAGCATCAACTACCAGCCATATTAGTGAGCTATCTTGGACATTTCAGGCCCAGTGTTCTCCCAGATGAATGACATTCCAATGTGTAGGAAGAGAACTATTCCACTGAGCCCAGATAATTACAAGACATGATAAAAGTGACTCTTGTTTCAAGCCTCTAAATGTTGTGATTTTTTTATGCAGCAACAGATAACAGGAACAAATTGGCACTTGGTGGGTTTTAAACCAAAGCAAATATATGCCTGTTGGATTTGTTATGCAGCAATAGATAACCAGAACATATATTAATATATTTAATCCTCTTGATAACAAAATGGAATAGGTACTATTATTATCTCTATTTTACAAATAAGAAAAACAGAATGTTAAGTAATTTGTCTAAGAGCACACTGCTAATAAGTGATTGAGCCATAATTCAAACTCAGGTAGTTTGACTTCAGAGTTTATATTCCTGATTAATATGTCGTACTGCTGACTATGAATGCAAAAACTTTAAATAGAATATTGACAAATTAAATCCAAAAGCATATTTAAAGAATAGTACAGCATAACGAGGTGGAGTTTATCTCAGCAATGAAAAATGGCACATTAGAAAGCCTTTCTTGAACAGATTAAGGAACAAAATATCATATAACCATCTCACTAGATGTGGAAAAAGTGGTTGGTAAGAACCTCACATCCATTATTTCATGGAAAAAAAAATCTTAGCTAACTAGCATTATCAAGGAACATCCTTAAGTTGAAAAATATTCTTCCAGAAACTTGCAGGACATAAAATACATAATTTTAAGATAACAAAATCATTTCCATTAAAGTCAGGAAAAAATATCTAAATAAACCTAAAGCACAAATCTTAATGGTGAAACAGTGGAAGCATAACCATCAATGTCAGAAAGAAGACCAAGATGCCCACTATCACCACTACTACACAACATTATTCTGCCAATTTTAGGCAATAAAATAACCCAAGAAGACAAAATAAGAGACATAAAGATTGAAAAAGAAGAAAGATATGTCTTAAGAGGAAAACTATTATTAAATTAAGAAATGACAACCACAAAATACTACTTTAATAGCCTTCCTACAAATCATTTATCACCAAATTAAAAACATAACAGCAAGCCCAGAATGGTCTAAGTACCCACTATAGGCCCAGTTACCTGGGAGACTGAGGTGGAAGGATCTCTTGAGCCCTGGAGTTTGAGGCTATAGTGAGCTATGATCACGTCATTGCCCTCCAGCCTGGCCCACAGAGTGAGACTCCATTTCTAAATAAACAAATAAATAAAGTACATAAAAATGTTAGAGGAACATAAATTATGTCACAATAACAACGTAAAAATAAAACACTTAGAAATAAGGATAATAAAAAATATTCATGACCTTTGAGGAGAAAACTATAAAATTTTATTGATGGATATAAAAGATGACCCAGATAAATGGAGGGATATACCATGCTCATGAATGAAAAACTAAATATTTTAAAGTTATTCTATATACATATTAATTCAAATTCATTAATTATTTCAAACCATTTTGTGACATATCTATTTGGACTACTTGCTATGAAAATTTTTAAACTTAATATTTGCACAATTCAGTGGGTCCTGGAAAACAATATTTAGTCTCTGCTTATAGGGTAAAAAGCTCAATATATAATTTATTAAATTGTTCCTCATAATTATGTGGCTCACAGAAATACTATTTGACCCAGCAATCCCATTACTGGGTATATACCCAAAGGTATATAAATCATTCTACTATAAAGACACATGCACACATATGTTTACTGCAATACTACTTACTTTCTTCTCAACAGGAGAAGAAAGACATGGAACCAACCCAAATGTCCATCAGTGATAGACTGGATAAAGAAAATGTGGTACATATACACCATGGAAAACTATGCAGCCATAAAAAGAATGAGATCAGGCCCTTTGCAGGGACATGGATGAAGCTGGAAACCATAATTCTCAGCAAACTAACACAGGAACAGAAAACCAAACACTGCATGTTCTCATTCATATGTGGGAGTTGAACATTGAGAACACATGGACACAGAGAGGGGAAAAACACACACCAGGACCTGTTGGGGGCTGGGTGGTCAGGGTAGGGAACTTAGAGGACAGGTCAATAGGTGCAGCAAACCACCACGGCACATGTATACCTATGTAACAAACCTGAATGTTCTGCACATGTATCCTGTTTCTTCTTTTTTTTTTTTTAGAAAAAATAAAGAAAAAAGGCTCACATAAAAATTAATAATAATAGTTATGTGGTTCAAAGCCTCTGTATTCTTAATTACATTTGCCTACTTGATCTGCCAAAAAATGAGTTATAGTAGAATTTCACAGTACAATTTTTTTGGGGAAGTTTACTTTTAAAGAAATTTTGCTTTATGTACTCGAATACATTAGGAATTAACATGTAAACATTACTGATAGTTATATCTTCATCTACTAGTAGAAGAATCCATTAAAAATGCCTTCACACAGTGAAGAGGGTAGGAAAGACAGTCTTGAGTTGCATACGCCATCTCTCCCCCATTCTCAGCAGTGGCTGCATGGTAAAGAGAGTATGTGTGCTTGAGGGAGAGAGAGTGTAGTGGTTGTGGGACTTTGCATTGGAACTCAGTACTGCTTTGTCACAGTGGAAAGCATGGGGCAGAATTCAGCTGGTGACCATGGAGAGAGCATTTAGACCAGTCCCAGGCAGAGGCAAATTGTACATCTCAGTAATTGGAAACCTGAGTTCTGGCAAGCTCTGCCACCATGAACTAAATTGTTCTGGGGTTCTAAATGAACTTGAAAGGCAGTTGAGGCCACAGGACTGCAATTCCTTGGCAAGTCCTGATGCTGTGCTGGGTTCAGAACCAGTGGATTTGGGGTACATGCAACCTAGTGAGACACCAGCTGGGGTAGCCAAGGTGCTTGCATCACACCTCCTACAACCCCAGGCAGAAGCGCTCATAGCTCTGGGAGACACTCCTTCTTTCTGCTTGGGGAGAGGAGAGTAGAGAGTAAAGAGAATTTAAGTCTTGCAACTTAATACCAGCTCAGCCACAGTAGAACAGGACATCAGACAGAGTCCTGAGGTCCTCCATGTCAGGCCCTAGTTCCCAGATGATATTTCTAGACATGCACTGAGCCAGAAGGGAAACAGCTGCCTTGAAGGAAATAACCCAGTCCTAGTAAGATTCATCATCTGCTGACTAGAGAGCTCTTGGGTCTTGGTTAATCAGCAGTAGTCGTTGGGCAATACTTGCCATGGGCTTTGGGTGAGACTCAGAGCCATGCTGGCTTTCGGTGTGACCCAGCACATTCACAGCTATAGTGCTTATGGGTAGAGACTCCTTCTGCTTGAGCAAAAGAGAGGGAACAGTAAAGGGGACTTTGTCTTGCAGCTTGGAAACCTGCTTGGCCACAGTAAGGTAGAACACCAAGCAAGTTCCTGGGGTCCCAGATGCCTAGCCTTGGCTTCTGGGAGGCATTTCTGGACCTGTCTTAGGTGAGGGGAGAGCCCCCTCTGCCCTGAAGGGAGAGACTCAGGACTGGCAGAGATCACCACAAGCTCACTGAAAATTCCTTGGGCCTTCAGTGAACATCAGCAGTAGCCAGGCAGTACTCACCATGTGCCCAGTGTGGTAGTAGTCATGGAGAGAGATGCCTCTGCTTGATGAAAGGGGAGAGAAGAGTGGGAAAGGCTGTCTTGTGGCTTGTGTGTCAGCTCAGCCACAGTAGAATAGAACTCCAGGTAGATTCCTATGGTTCCCATCTCAAGGCCCTGGCTCTGAGACAGCATCTACAGACTCACCCAGACCTGGAAGGAACTTGCAGGGAGGGGAACATCACACACTGGGGCCTGTCTAGGGGTGTGGGGCAAGGGGATAGATAGCTTTAGGAGAAATACCTAATGTAGATGGCGGGTTGATGGGTGCAGCAAACCACCATGGCACATGTATACCTGCAGTTCTGCACATGTATCCCAGAACTTAAAGTATAATAATAATAATAAAAAGTTTGGGGAAAAAAAGGATCCTCCAGAGAATTAAGCAATAATTAACCTGTTAATTTTCTGAATTTTAACTTTCATTTAAATGTGTAGAGATGGCCTGACTTTTTTTAGCCCAGTTAAGTTTTTCTATGCTAAGCTTCACATTTCCTGTTAGAAGATCATTTGGGTTCTGTTGAAAAAAAAAAACTGTTCAAAGGATGAGGATTTGTACTGCCAATCACATATATTAAAAACAATAACTTTATAAATATTTAAAATCAAATAAATAAATAAATAAGAGCTCCAATATGTCTGGCAGCAGACTTTTTAGTGAAAACCTTATTGACCATGAGAAAGTGACTTGACATATCTAAAGTGCTAAAGGAAAAAAATCTTTTGTACTGGAATAGTATATCCATCAAAATATCCTTCAAATGTGATAGAGAAACAAAGACACTCTCAGACAAACAAATTCATCAACACCAGACCTGTCATACAAGAAATGCTAAAGAGAGTTCTTCAATCTTAAGGAAAAAGCTATTAACGAGTAATAAAAAATCATTTAAAGGTACAAAACCCACTGGTAATAGTAAGTACACAGAAAAACATATAATACCTATAACACATTAATTATCATGTGCAAACTGCTCATATCTTGAATAGACAGAACAAAAGATTAACTGCTCAAAAATAGCTACAGCAAATTTTCAAGACACAGACAATATAATACAATATACATAGAAACAACAAAAAGCTAAGAGATAAATTATAGAGCTTATATTAGTTTTCTCTTGACTTGTTTGTTTGTTTATGCAGTGTTAAGTTGTCAACAGTCTAAAAAATGGGTTATGAGATATTATTTGCAAGCCTCAAGGTAACTTCAAATCAAAAAACATACAACAGAAACACAAAAAATAAAGAGCAAGAAATTTAACATAGCACCACAGAAAATCACCTTCACTAAAAGGGAGACAGCAAGGAAGGAAAGAAGAAACAGAGGACCACAAAACAACCAGAAATCAGCTAACAAAATAGCAGAAGTAAGTTTTTACTTATAAATAACAACATTGACTGTAATGGACCAAAGTCTCCAATAAAAAGACATATTTGGCTGAATGGATAAAAAACAAGACTCAACAATCTATTGTCTATCAAAAACATACTTCACCTTTAAAGACACACAAACTGAAAATAAAGTGGTAGAAAGATATTCCATGCAAATAGAAATTAAAAAGGAGCATTTCATTAAAAGTGAAAGCCCTATATGAAGACCCACAGCTAGTATCATACTAAATGGGGAAAAACTGAAAGCCTTTTCTCTAAGGTCTGTAATACAACAAGGATGCCCACTTTCACCATTATTATGAAATTATGATATTATTATGAAATTATATTATTATGATTTTAGCAATACTTATATCAAACAAAATAGATTTCAAGCCAAAACTATAAAAACAGAGGAAGAAGATTGTTATACAATGGTAAATGGGGTCAACTTGGCAAGAGAATATAACAATTGGAAATATATATACACCAAACACTGGAGGACACAGATATATAAAGCAAAGATTATTAAAGGTAAAAAGGGAGATAGACCTCAATACAGTAATAGCTGGAGACTTCAACACTCTACTTTCAGTATTGGATAGATCACCCAGACAGATGATCAACAAAGAAACATTGAACTTAATCTGCACTATAGACCAAATAGACCAAATAGATATTTATGGAATATTTCATCAAACAACTGCAGAATACAATTTTGTCTCATCAACACATGGATCATTCTCGAGGATAGACCATATGTTAGGCCAAAAAACAAGTCTTTAAAAAGTCAAAAAAAAAATTGAAACAGTATTTTCTCTGATTAGAGTGGAATAAAACTACAAATCAATAGCAAGAAGAATTTTGCAAACTATGCAAACATATGGAAATTAAACAATATGCTCCTGAATGACCAGTAGATCAATAAATAAATTAAGAGGAAAATGTAAAAATTCCTTGAAACAACTGAAAATGGAAAGACAAAATACCAAAACCTATGAGGTACAACAAAATCATTACTAAGGGGAAAGTGTAGAGCAATAACCATCTACATCAAAAAGGTAGAAGAACTTCACATAAACAATTTAATGATGCATCTTTAAAAATTAGAAAAGCAATAACAAACCAAACCCAAAATTAGAAGAGGAAAAGAAAAATAAAGACCATAGAAGAAATGAATGATATTAAAATTTAAAAATAAAAAACAACTAAATAAAAATTGGATGTTTAAAAAACATAAACAAAGTTGACAACCTTTAGCTTGATTAACAAAGAGAGAAGATACAAATGAATAAAATGAGAGATGAAGAGAGACATTACAACTAATACTGCAGAAATTCAAAAGATCATTAGTAGTTACTATGAACAACTATATGCCAATAAATTGGTAAACCTACAAGAAATTGATAAATTCCTAGACACATACAACAAGACTGAGCCATGAAGAAAATATGAACAGATCAATAATAATTTGATTAAAGCCATAACAACAAGTCTCCCAGAAAAAAAAAAAAAAAAGCCCAGTGGGGGTTTTACAGGTGAATTTTGCCTTACATTTCAAGAAGAACTAATCATAATCCTACTCAAACTATTCTGAAAAATAGAGGAGGGGAGAATACTTTCAAACTCATTCTATAAGGCCAGTATAACCCTGATACCAAAACCATAAAAATATACATCAAGAAAAAAAAAAAGAAAAATGACCATTGAATATCCCTGATAAACAATGATGCAAAAATCCTCAACAAAATACTAGCCAACCAAATTCAACAACACTTTAGAGTGATTATTCATCATGAAAAAGTGAACTTTATCCCTGGGATGAAAAGATGGTTCAATATATGCAAATCAATCAATGTGCTACGTCATGTAAAAAGAATGAAGAACAAAAAAATATGATTCTTTCCATTGATGCTGAAAAAACATTTGATAAAATTCAACATCCCTTCATAATAAAAGTCCTCAAAAACTAGGAATAGAAGGAACATACCTCAACACAATGAAAGCCCTATATGAAGACCCACAGTTAGTATCATACTAAATGGGGGAAAAACTGAAAGCCTTTTCTCTAAGGTCTGTAATACAACAAGGATGCTCACTTTCACCATTATTATTCAATATATTACTGGAAGTCCTACTTAAAGTAATAAGATAAGAGAAAAAATTAAAAGGAATCCAAATTGGAAATAAAGAAGCCAAATTATCCTAGTTTGCAGATGGTATGATCTTATATTTGAAAAAACTTAAAGACTCCACCCAAAAACTATCAGAACTGATAAACGAATTCAGTAAAGTTTCAAGAAGCAAAATCAACATACACAAGTTAATAACATTTCTATATGCAAGTAGTGAGCAATATAAAAATGAAGTCGTAAAAGTAATTCCATTTACAATAGAAAACACAATGTCAAAAAATAAACTTAACCTAAGAAGTGAAAGATCTCTGCAATGAAAACCGTAAAACATTGATGCAAGTAATAGAAAAGGACATAAAAAAATGGAAAGATATTCCATGTTTGTGGACTGGAAGAATTAATATTGTTCAAATATCCCTACTACCCAAAGCAGTCTGCAGATTAGGTGATATTCTTATCAAAGTAACAATGACATTCTTCACAGAAATAGACAAAAAAAATCCTAAAATTTATATAGAATCACAAAAGACACAGAGTACCCAAACTGATCCTGAGCAAAAAGAACAAAAACACATTATCTTCAAATTATCCTGCAAAGCTGTAATAACTAAAACACCATGATACTGGCATAAAAGTAGACGCATAGACCAATGAAATAGAGTAGAGAACCAAGAAATAAATCAATACATCTACAGTAAATTCATTTTTGACAATAGTGCCAGGAATATACATTGGGGAAAGGACAGTCTTTACAATAATTGATGCTAAGAAAACTAGATATCCATATGTAAAAAAGTGAAACTAGACCCCTAGCTCTCATTATATACAAAAAATCAAATCAAAATAGATTAAAGACTTAAATCTAAGACCTCAAACTGTGAAACTACTTAAAGAAAATACTGGGAAAATTCTCTAGGACATTGGACTGGGCAAAGATTTCTTGAGTAGTACCCCACAGCATAGGCAAACAAAGTAAAAATGGACAAATGGGATCATATCAGGTCAAAAAGCTTCTGCACAGCAAAGAAAACAATTAAAAAAAAAGAAGAGACAACCCACAGAATGGGAGAAAATATTTGCAAACTACCCATCTGACAAGGGAAAACTTAAAGACTCCACCAGAAAACAAAATATCGGGAGTGATAAACAAATTCAGTAAAATTGCAGGATACAAAATCAACATACACAAATCAGTAACATTTCTATATGCAAACAGTGAGAAATATAAAAAGGAATATAGAATGAGCTCAAACAACTCTCAAAGAAAAAAATCTAATAATCTAATCAAAAGAATAGGCAAAAGATCTGAATAGACGTCTCTCAAAAGAAGATATACAAATGGCAAATAGGCATATCAAAAGGTTCAACATCACTGATCATCAGAGAAATGCAATTCAAACCTACATAAGATGTCATCTCACCCCAGTTAAAATGGCTTATATTAAGAAAACAGGCAACAACAAATGCTGGTAAGGATGTGGAGAAAGGGGAACCCTCTTACATTGTTGGTGGGAATGTAAATTATTATTACAACTACTATGGAGAACAATTTGTCTGTTCCTTAAAAAACTAAAAGCAGGTCGGGCCCAGTGGCTCCCGCCTGTAATCTTAGCACTTTGGGAGGCTGAGGCGGGTGGATCACCTGAGGTCAGGAATTTGAGACCAGCCTGGCCAACGTGGTGAAACCCCGTCTCTACTAAAAACACAAAAATTAGCTGGGCATGGTGGTGGGTGCCTGTAATCCCAGCTACTTGGGAGGCTGAGGCAGGAGAATCGCTTCAACCCGGGAGGCAGAGGTTGCAGTGAGCCAAGATCATATCATTGCACTCCAGCCTGGACGACAAGAGCAAAACTCCACATAAAAAAAAAAAAAAAAAAAAAAAAAACCTAAAAATAGAGCTACCATATGATCCAGCAATCCCACTGCTTGGTATATAACCAAAAGAAAAATAATCAGTGTATCAAAGGAATATCTGTACTCCTATGTTTGTTGCAGCATTCTTCTCAACAGCCATAATTTAGAAGCAACATAAGTGTCCATCAACATATTAATGGAAAAAGAAATTATAGTAGTTATACACAATAGAGCACTATTTAGCCACAAAAAGTAATGAGATACTATCATTTGCAACAACATGAATGAAACTGGAGGTCATTATGTTAAGTGAAATAAGGCTGGTACAAAAAGACAAACATCACATGTTTTCACTTATTTCTGGGATTGAAAAATCAAAATAATTAAACTCATGGACATAGAGAGTAGAAGCATGGTTACCAGAGCCTAGGAAAGGTATTGGGGTTGAAGGAGAGGTGGGGATGGTTAATGGGTACAAAGAAAATAGAAAGAATAAAGGCCTGGTATTTGCTAGCACAGCAGGATGACTATAGTCAATAATAATTTAATTGTACATCTAAAAATAACTAAAAGAGGATAATTGGATTGCTAGTAACACAAAGGATAAATGCTTGAAAAGGTGGATACCCTATTTTCCATAATGTGATTATTATGTATTCCATGCCTGTATCAAAACATCTCGTGTACTCCATAAATAAATGCACCTACTGTGTATCCACAAAAAATTAAAATTAAAAATAGAAGATATACAAATGGCAAGCAGGTGTATGAAAAGGTGCTCAATGTCATTGATCATAAGAGAAATGCAAATGAAAACCACAGTATCATCTGACTCAAGTTAAGATGGCTTATATCCAAAAGACAGGCAATAACAAGTGCTGAAAAGAATCTGGAGAAAACGGAACCCTTGTACACAGTTGGTGGGAATGTAATTTAGTACAACTATGGAGGACACTTTGGAAGTTCCTCAAAAAAATAGAAAAAGGACTATCATATGATTCAGCAATCACACTGCTAGATATATACCCCAAAAAGGAAATCAGTATATCTAAGGGGTATCTGCATTTCCATGTTTCTTGCAACATTATTCACAATAGCCAAAATTTGGAGGCAACCAAAATGTCCATCAACTGAAGAATAGACTATATTTGGTACATATGCACAATAGAGTACTATGGAGCCATAAACAAGAGTGAGATCCTGCCATTTGCAACAACATGGATGGAACTGGAGATCAGTGTGTTAAGTAAAATAAGCCAGGCACAGAAAGACAAACATTGCATGTTCTCACTTATTTGTGGGATCTAAAAATTGAAAAAATTGAACCCATGAACATAGAAAGTAGAAGAATGGTTATCAGAAATTGGGAAGGGTAGTAGGTAGGTGAGGAGGAGGTGGGAAGGTTAATGAGCACACAAATAATAGAAAAAATCAGTATGAGCTATTTGATAGCACAACAGAGGGAGTACAGTCAAAATAATTTAATTGTACATAATAAAATATTTAAAGGAGTATAAGTGGATTATTTGTAACATAAAGGTTAAATGCTTGAGGGGAAGAATACCCCATTTTTCATGATGTGATTATTACTTATTTCATGCCTGTATCAAAGTATCTCATGTACCCCATAAATATACACATCAACTATGTATCCACAAAATAAAAAGTAAATTAAAAAACGAGATTCTGCCATTTACAACAATAAGAATGGAACTGGAAGTCATTCTTTAAGTGAAATAAGCCAGGTACAGAAAGATGAACTTCACATGTTTTCAGTTATTCCTGGAGCTAAAAATTAAAACAATTGAACTTAGAGAGTAGAACAACGTTTACCAGAGGCTGGGAAGGGCAGTATGGGGTTGGCGGGGAAACGAGGAAGGTTAATGAGAACAAAAGATAGTTAGAAAGAATGGATAAGATCTAATATTTGATAGCACAGTAGGATGACTGCAGTCAATAATAATTTATTGTACATTTCAAAATAACTAAAACAGTATAGTTGGATTTTTTTGTAACAAAACAAAAGGATAAATGTTTGAGGTGATGAATTCCCCTATTTACCCTGATGTGATTATTATGCATTGATTACCTGTATCAAAATATCTCATGTACCCAATGAATATATACACCTACTATGTTCCCACAAAAATCAAATATTTAAAAATATCTTACATCGCAAAACAAGTCTTAAAACATTCAAAAACTAAAATAACATCCAGCAACTTCTCTGACCACAATGGGACAAAACTAGAAATCAATAACAAGAGGAATTTTGGAACTATACAAATACATGGAAATTAAACAATATGCTCCTGAATGACAAGTGGGTCCATAAAGAAATTAAGAAGGAAATTGAAAAATTTCTTGAAACAAATAATAATGGAAACACAACATACCAGAATCGATGGGATAGAGCAAAAGCAGCACTAAGAGGGAAGTTTAAAACAATGAGTGCCTGTATAAAAAAAAAAAGAAGAAAAACTTCAAATAAACAATTTAATAATGCATCTCAAAGAACTAGAAAAGCAAGAGCAAAGCAAACCCAAAATAAGGTGAAGAAAAGAAATAATAGAGATCGGAGCAGAAATAAATGAAATTGAAACAAAAAAATCAATGTAACTAATGGTTGGTTTTTTTAAACGTTAAACGAAATTGACAAAACTTTAGCCATACTAAGAAAAACAGAGAGAATATCCCAATAAATATTATCACACATGAAAAAAGAGACATTACAAATGGTATTATAAAAATTCAAAGGATCATTAGTGTCTACTATGAGCAACTATATGCCAATAAATTGGAAAATCTAAAAGAAACAGACAAATTCCTAGACACATATAACCTAACAAGATTGAACCAGGAAGAAATCCAAAACCTGAGGAGACCAATAACAAGTAACAAGATCAAAACTGTAATAAAAAATATCCTGGGAAATAAAAGCCCAGGACCCAATGGCTTCACTGCTGAATTCTAACACATTTAAAGAACCAATCCTACCCAAACTTTCCCAAAAAATAGAAGAGGAGGAAATACTTCTAAACTCATTCTACAAGGCCAGTATTACCCTGATACCAAAACCAGACAAAGACATGTCAAAAAACAATCAAAACAAAAGAACAGACAAACACACACACAAAACTACAAGCCAGTATCTCTGCTGAATATTGGTACAAAAATCCTCAACAAAATACTAGGAAACCAAACTCAACAATACATTAGAATGATCATTCATAATGCCTAAGTAGGATTTATCCCTGGCACACCAGTCAATGTGATACATCATATCAACAGAATGAAGAACATAATCTATATAATAATTTCAATTGATGCTGAAAAGCATTTGATAAAATTTAACATTCCTTCATAATAAAAACCTCTAACAAACTGAGGATGGGAGGAACATACCTCAACAAGATAAAAGCCATATATGACAGACCCACATCTAGTATCATTGAATGGGGAAAAACTGAAAGCCTTTCCTCTGAGATCTGGAACATGACAACGATGACCATTTTCACCACCATTATTCAACATAGCACTGGAAGTCCTAGCTGGAGCAATCAGACAAGAGAAAGAAAGAAAGAAAGGGCATCAAAATAGGAAATGAAGAAGTCAAATTATTCTTAATTACAGATGATATGATCTTATATTTGGAACAACCTAATGACTCTACCAAAAAACAAAAAAAAAAAACTAGAGTTAATAAAAAATCAGTCAAGTGACAGAATACAAAATCAATACATAAAATTAGTAGCATATCTATATGATAAGTAAACAATCTGAAAAAGAAATAAAAAGTAATCCCATTTACAATAGCCACTAATAAAATTAAATACCCAGGAAATAACCAGAGAAGTGAAGGATCTCTATAATGAAAACTTTAAAAAGCTGATGAAAGAAATTGAAAAGGACACCAAAATGTGGAAAGATATTCCATGTTCATGGATTACAAGAATCAATATGGTTAAAATGTCCATACTACACAAAGCAATCTATAGATTCAATGTAATCCCTATCAAAATGCCAATGACATTATTCACAGAAATAGAAAAAAAAATGTAAAATTTATATGGAACCACAAAAGACACAGAATACCCAAAGCTATCCTGAGCAAAATTTTTTAAAACTGGAGGAATCACATTACCTGACTTCAAACTCAGAGCTATAATAACCAAAACATCTAGTACAGTCACAGAAACAGACACACAGACCAATAGAACAGAATAGAGAATCCAGAAACAAATCCACCCACCTACAGTGAACTCATTTTCAACAAAGATGCCAAGACCATACACTAAGAAGAAGAGAGTCTTCAATAAATGGTGCTGGGAAAACTGGAAATTCATATGCAGAAGAATGACACTAGAGCTCTATTTCTCACAATATACAAAAATCAAATTAAAATGGATTAAAGACTAAAATCTGAGACCTCAAACTATGAAACTACTAAAAGAAAACATTGGGGATACTCTCCAGGACATTGGTCTGGCTAAAATTCCTTGAGCAATACCCTGCAAACACAGGCAACCAAAGCAAAAATGAACAAATGGGATTACATCATGTTCAAAGGCTTCAGCACAGCAAAGGAAACAGTTTTAAAAGGGAAGAGACAACTCACAGAATGGAAGAAAATATTTGCAAACTACCCATCTGACGAGTGATTAATAACCAGAATATAGAAGGAGCTCAAATAATTCTATAGGAAAGAATCTAATAATCCAATCAAAAATAAGCAAAAATTTGAATAGACATTTCTCAAAAGAAGACATATACATGGCAAACAGGCATATGAAAAGGTGCTCAACATCATTGATCATCAGAGAAATGCAAATCAAAACTACAGTGAGATATTTCATCCCTGTTAAAATGACTTATATCCAAAAGATAGGCAATAACAAATGCTGGTAATGATGTGGAGAAAAGGGAACCTTCATACACTGTTGGTGGGAAAGTAAATGAGTACAACCACTATGGGAAACAGTTCAGGGGTTCCTCAAAATCTAAAAATAGAGCTACCATATGATCCAGCAATTCCACTGCTCAGTATATACCCAAAAGAAAGGAAATCAGTATATCAGAGAGATATCTGCACTACCATGTTTGTTGCAGCTCTTTTCACAATAGCCAAGATTTGGAAACAACCTAAGCATCCATGAACAGATGACCAGATAAAGAATATGTGGTACATATACACATTGAAGTACTATTCAGCCAGTAAAAATGAATAAAAGTCTGTCATTTGCAACAACATGGATGGAACTGGAGATCATTGTGTTAAGTGAAACAAGCCAGGCAACAGAAAGACAAACATTGCATGTTCTCATTTATTTGTGGGATGTTAAAATCAAAACAATTGAACTCATGGACATGGATAGTAGAAGAATGGTTACCAGAGGTGGGGAAAGGTAGTGGGAGGTTGAGGGGAAGTGGGGATTGTTAACAGGTACCAAAAAAATAGTTAGAAGAATGAATAATAATAAGATCTTGTGTTTGGCAGCACAGCAGATTGACTATAGTCAATAATAATTTAATTGTCCATTTTAAAATAACTAAAAGACTATAATTGGGTTGTTCGTAACACAAAGGATAAATGCTTGAGGGGATAAATACCTCATTTTCATTATGTGACTATTACAGTTTCCATACCTATATCAAAACAACTCTTGTACCTCATAAATATATACACCTACTATGTACCCACAAAAATTTAAACAAATAATTTTAAAATTTATTTTTAAATTAACATGGGGAAATTCTCAACATCGTTAGTGGTCAGGAAAATAGAAACTAAAACAATGTTTCCATTTCTTACCTGTCAGATAGACAAATACTACAAAAACTACCATTTCAAGTGTTGGCAAGAATGTGGGGAATTGGAAACCTTCATACACTGCTGGTGGAGATGTAAATTACTATAACCACTTTGGAAATCTATTTGACTGTAACTGGAAAAATTACAAATCAACATGTCTTAGGATCCAGAAATTGAATTTCTTTATTCCTTAGCAAAACTCTTGTGCTCTAAGACACACATAAAAATATGTTTATTCCAGTAATATTTGTAATGGAGAATACTTGGCAACAATATAAATTTTTACCTATAGATGTGATATATTTATATAGCAGACTATGAAATCATGGTAGAAAAATAAATGTAGTATAGGTTTATAAACATAAAACCATTTCAACATAGAAATACATCATATCAATAGATCTCAATAATATAACATATAGTCATCCCTTGGTATCTGTGGGGGATTGGTTCCCCCACAGACACCAAATCTCAAGAATGCTCAAGTCCCTTATATAAAATGGTGTAGTATTTGCATATAACCTACACACATCCTTCCGTTTACTTTAAATCATCTCTAGATTACTTATAATACCTAATGCAATGTAAATGCTATATAAATCGTTGTTATGGTGCATTGTTCAGGAAATAATGACAAGAAGTCTAATCATGACCAGTACAGATGCAACCATTCTTTTTTTTCTAATATTTTCAGTCTGTGCTTGGATGAATCCAGGGGTATGGAATTCATAGATATAGAGGGCCAATTGTAAATCAAATGATATTATTTGTGTACATTTATAAAGTACACACAAAACATTATTTATTTTCATAGATGCATAGCTATTAATATAAAAAGCAAAACCAGGAAAGCATACATATTAAATTGATTATTGTAGTTCCTTCTGGAAAGGGAAAAGTGAAACTGGAATGAGGATATAGAGAAAGAAAAATTTAACTTCACCTGCAATAATGTACTTTAAGTACTTCTTAATAAAAAATTCTTGAAGCAAATATGATGAAATATTAATATGAAATATTCATTGCTACAGAGGTGTTTGTTCTATTGTTCATGTAGCTTTAATTTTTTCCATTAAGTATTCCATAAAGTTAATTTTTCCTAAAAGTTATAACCAAAAAGCCTACAATATGTCGTTTTAATATAACACAACAAAGAATTAAAAGAAGATCAACCTAACTCAAAGTCCATTCTTTTTGCTTTTTCCTTCTCTGTGACAGGTTTAGTCCTTCAGTGAGTACATGATACCCAGAGGATATAGAGAATAGCAGAAGGTAGTAACCCAAATAATCAATTGATTCCAAAACGTCCAGCAGTTTGTAATGGAAGGGCTACTGGGCAAATGCAATGCAGTGATGGAGAGACCTGGAATAGGACTTACCCAGAGATCCAGGCAACATCTTAGAGGTCTGTCCATAGGCAGCAGGGAATCACGGGTAAGAGTGATTGTGAGGATCAGTGAACCTATTGGGAAGTGGGCTGGGATCTGAACAGCTGAGTTCTCAATATCCGTGACCCTTTCCTATACTGTTCAACTATGGTGGACACATTTCTGAACTTCGAGATAATCACTAAAAATAAAGTGAATGTCTGCCCACATCTACCAACAATTAAATAGATATTGGCCCTGACTATAATTTTGCTTCTGATAAGAAAATATGTTGGCTGGAACCCCAAAACACTGATTTCTTGGAATAGCTGCAGACCATGATGCTAAGTCCTCAAAGAACATACTTCTCAGAGGACAGACAGACACTCCAGGCTTTCATGTCATAGGTCTAGACCCAAGCCCCTGTGTTGCTTCTTAATCCCAGGATGAAGCTGGGACTGTCAGGAACCAGAGACAGTGCTATGCAGCCTACCCTAAGGCCTGTTCCCACATTGGTTCCTCAGAATCTTACAGAGATTGTGGTCCTCTCGATCTTATTTCTCCAATTGCCAGCTGGGCCCCTGAAAACTAAGCCTAAAGAAAGACCCTCCAATTCATATATCCTTGATTTTCTGAATCCAGTAACTTCCTTTTTGTGTCTTAGATGGCTCCATTTTGCTCTTGTCTTTTTGATGAAAAAGGGAAGAGTAGTAGTCTTAGATTGTCCCTAATGGTTAGAGAGTGCCACTACTACTCTTAACATCATGTGGAGCTCCTACTGGACAGGGAATTTGGAGCTACTTCATTTGGGTATTTGAGTGCTTTTTGGATTACACTTTATTTTAAAAATATGGCCATGTGAGATGTAAAAACAAGGGAACCAATATTTCTAGAGTATCTTCTTTGTTTTTAAAAGCCAGAAAAGCAACATTCTGAGAATGAGCTAGAGTATCCCAGAAAGGCATGAGACAAAAATATATAAAACACCAGCAGCAGTGGACATCTCCTTCCTCCATGAAAAAGGCCAATGAGCAAAATCAAGGCAATGAGCTTCAATGAAAACCCAACAGGTATCATGATCCAAAGGGGTTTAGTGTGGTAGAATGCCACATGAATGGGGAAAGGAGAAAGATGCTATCAGCCACTAGTCGTTCTAAGAATCAACTGAAGCCCAGGTTTCTTTCCAAAGGAGAGAGAAGAGGGCTAAAAAGAGCTGAGCCAAGATTTTGGCCCAGCAGCTAACTGAAAGAACTTCACTCATCTCAGACATTTGGCTAAGTATGTGAGGGCTTAAGAAACTGAGCATCATAGGCCTGGTCAGAGTTCAGATTCAACATCAACATACATCAGCAGTTATTAATTTTAAAATGTTACAGGAAAAAATATAATACTTGTTAACATGGAACAAAAGCTGAAAAAAATATTACTTATAAATATTTTTAAATCTGAATAAGTGGAGATATATGCCATTGACATGGATAGAATGATGCAGTATTAGACAGATGACCATTCTCTCCAACTTGCTCTATAAATTTGAAGGGACTGCAATAAAATCTAATATGTTTTATGTAAACAAAAATAAGAAGCTTATTTTAAAATTTATTTAGAAAAGAAAATGCACAAATACAGCCAAGGTATTTTTGGAAATAAAAACAACAAAGAAAGGTTTGTCCTACCAAATATCAAAACATGTTATGAAACTATAATTTTTGAAATTACATAATTGGTATAAGAATAAAAAAAGTAATGGACAAAATGGAGACCAGGAACATACTATAGATACACAGATGTATAGATATAGATGCAAATGGATATATGACAATAGTGATATTTCATATTCTTGTGGAAAGGATGGTTGAGTTTAATGCATAGATAGGAAACAATTGGCTATCCTTTTAGAAAGAGGATAAAGTTAGACCCCTATCTGACAGTATTTACAAAAGTAAATTTGACATTAATTAAAGAGTTAATTAAAGAGTTTAATTAATTAAAGAAATGAGGCTCAAATGTCACTTATAATCTTGACAATTCTAATTGAATAAAAATGAGATTTTTTTCTATCAAAATGGCAAAATTTTTAATGCTGATAATACCAATGTTGAAGCCGTGAAGAAAAATTCTTTCATACATTGTTGATGAATATATAAATTGGTAAAGACTACTTTGGAATGCAATTTGCATTCAAAGAAATTCAAAATAGATGCATAACTTAATGAAATAAGTAATTGTGCTAATTTACATTCCCACCAGCAGTATATAAGAGTTTCAATTATTCCACATCACAACCAACACTTAGTATATTCAGTCTTTTTTATTTTAGTTATTCTAATGGTTAAGTGGCTTTTCATGGTGGTTTTAATTTGCATTATCTTGATGGGTGGTGATAATGAGTGTCTTTTCATGTGCTTATTGGCCTTTCATATAAAGTCATATGCTACATACACTGTTTCAGTCAACGATGGACCACATTCTTAAAGGTTATTTTCACTATAGATCTCTAAATTAACTACTTTTCCTTAGCACTTTAATGATGCTGTCCCACTCACTTCTGGCCTTCGTGAATTCTGATGAAAGTGTAGGATAATTTGAATTATTCTCCTTTATATAAGGTATCATTTTGCATGGGCTGCTTTCCAGATTTTTTCAATCTTCTATTGCCAGCACTTTGATTTTGATGTAATCAGGCATGCTTTTGTTTATCCTCTTTAGAGACTGATGTGGTAAATGAATCTGTAACTCGACGTGTTTTACCAAATTTTGAAAGTTTTCAGTCATTTTGTATTCTAGTAATTTTTTCTGTCCAGTTTTCTCTCTCCTCTTCTTCTAGAACTATCATTACCCATCTGTTAAAATTTTTGTATTGTTTTACGGTCCCAGAGGCTCTGTTCATTTTTAAATATCTGTTGTTTTTTTTCCTCCTGGTTTTCATATTAGATCATTACTATTGATCTTTCCTCAAATTTGGTCACTTTTTATTATATCACTTCCATTTTACTATTAAGTCACCTGTATAGTGTGTTTTATGCTGCTGTGTTTTGCTTTATGACAAAACACCTGAGACTGGGTAATTTATAAAGAACAGAAATTTATTTCTCACAGTTATGCTGCTGTGTTTTGCTTTATGACAAAACACCTGAGACTGAGTAAATTATAAAGAACAGAAATTTATTTCTCACAGTTTTGAAGGCTGAGAAGTCCACAATCAAGGCTCTGGAATCTTGTGAGGACCTTCTTCTTTGTCCTCACATGACAAGAAGCAGAAAGGGGCAAATCCATTCCAGCAAGCCTTGTTTATACTGGCATCAATTCATTCATGAGGGCAGAGTCCTCATGACTGAAATCTCCCATTGGGCCCCACCTCCCAACACTGTTGCATTGAGAATTAACTTTCTAACATATGAATTCTGGGGGACATATTCAGACCACAGCATCTCTCTAGTGATTTCTATTTAAGAAATTGGGTTCCCCAATAAATTTATTATTTAAGAGCTTCTTTACATTTTCTAATTCTCTGCTAATATTGCCTAGCTTACCATTTATTATAAGAATGCATACTTTTTAAAACTCACCAAGCATAGTTATAACAGCTGCTCCAAAGTCCTTGTCTAATAATTCCAACATCTGAGTCATCTTGGAATTGCCATCTTTACTCTTGAGAGTGGCTCACATTTTCCTGGCCCTTTATATGTAGAATAATGTTAGGTTGTTTCTTGGACATGGCAAATGTTATGTTGTAGGGACTCTGACCTCCTTTATATTCCTCCTAAAAGTGTTGATGCTTTTTTTTTTAGCAGCCAATTAACTCAGTTAGACTCAAATTTTAAGCTCTGTCATACCTGCGGTGGGAGGCAGCTCAATCTCAGTTCAGGTTGCTTTCAAACTGTTTCACACATGCATAGCTTAGCCAGTGACTTGGCATAGTTTTTACACAGAATGTAGGGTTTGCCTTTTCTGGATCTCTTCTTTTTGGATCCCCTCCTCTAAGTCTCTATAGCCCTCATTACCCTGAGCTCCTTTCTCTAGCCCTTCTATCCAGAAAGACAGCAGAATTTTGATGAGAATTTTCTCTATCCCATGCTGTGACACAACTGTGGCTTTCCCCAGGGAAAAGTAATAAAAATGGGAAACTTACCCCATGTTGGTCACTTCTTCCAAATCTAGATTCTCCTACAAAATATAACTTTTTTTTAGAGACAGTGTCTCACTCTGTCACCCAGGATGGAGTGCAGTGGCATGATCATAGCTCACTGCAGTCTCAACCTCCTAAGCTGAAGCAATCCTCCCATCTCAGCCTCCCAAGGAACTGGGACTACAGGTGCATACCACCACGCCGAGCTAATTTTTAAAATTTTTATAAAGACAGGGTCTCATTATGTTGCCCAGGCTGGTCTCAAACTCCTGGCTCAAACTCAAGTGATCCTCTTACCTCAGCATCCCAAGTAGCTAGGATTATAGGTGTGAGCTACCATACCTGACCAAAATAACACTTCTTTTCTTTGCTTCCCAGAGACTTTGGGAGTTGTTCTATTATATTTTGCTCAGACCTTATTGTTGTTACTTCAGGAAGATTGATTTGTTAGAAACGTATTCCTCCATAAATGTATTAGACCATTCTTGCACTGCTATGAAGAAATACTTGAGACTGAGTAATTTACAAAGAAAAGAGGTTTAATTGGCTCACAGTTCCACAGGGTGTACAGGAAGCATGGCTGAGGAGGCCTCAGGAAATTTACAATCACGGCAGAAGGTGAAGGGAAAGCAAGTACATTTTATACAGTCAGAGCAGGAGGAAGAGAGATGGGAGGAGGTGCTACACACTTTTAAACAACTAGATGTCGTGAGTACTCACTCACTATCATGAGAGCAACATCAAGGGGGAAATGTGCCCCCATGATCCAATCACCTCCCACCAGGCTTCACCTCCAACATTGAGGATGATAATTTGACAGGAGATTTGGGTGGGGACAGAAATCCAAACCATATTATTCCACCCCAGCCCCTCCCAAATCTCATGTCCTTCTCACAGTACAAAATACAATCATGCCTTCACAACAGTCCCTCAAAGTCTTAACTCATTCCAGCATTAACTCAAAAGTCTAAAGTCTCATCTGAGACAAGGCTAATCCCTTCCACTTATGAGCCTGCAAAATTAAAAACAAGTTCATTACTTCCAAGATACAATGGAGGTATAGGCATTGGATAAATACACCCACCCCAAATGGGAGACATTGGCCAACAGAAAGGAGGTACAGGCCCCATGCAAGTTCAAAACCCAGCAGGGCAGCCATTTAGTTTTAAAGCTCCCAAAATAATCTCCTTTGACTCCATATCTCACATCTAGGGCATACTGGTGCAAGGGGTGGGCTCCCAAGGCCTTGAACAGCTCTGCTTCTCTGGCATTATAGGATACAGCCCCTGTGGCTGCTTTCATAGGCAGCTTTTCCAGGTGCACAGTGCAAGTTGTCAGTAGATCTACCATTCTGGGGTCTGAAGGATGGTGGCCCTCTTCTCACAGCTTCACTACGTAGTGCTCCAATGGGGACTCTGTGTGGGGACTCCAACCTTACATTTCCCTTGACACTGCCCTAGTAGAGGTTCTTCATGAGGGACCCACCCCTGTAGCAGGCTTTTGCCTGGACATCCAGGGATTTCCAAACATCTTCTGAAATCTAGGTGGGGGCTTCCAAGCCTCAACTTTTACACTGTGTGTGCTTGAAGGCTTAACACCACATGGAAGCCACCAAGGCTTATGGTTTGCACGCTCTGAAGAATCAGCCTGAACTGTACCTTGGCCCTTTTTAGCCACAACTTGAGCTGGAACAGGTGGGATGCAGGGCACTGTGTCTCAAGGCTGCACAGAGCAGCAGAGCCCTGGGCCTGGCCAAGGAAAACTTTCTTCCTTCACACGCTTCCAGGCCTGTGATTGGAGGGGCTGCTGTGCAGAGGTCTCTGAAATGCCTCTGAGGCTTTTTTCCTATTGTCTTGCACTGACTCCTGTCAATTAGCAATTGACTCCTCTTAGGCAAATTTTTGCAGTCAGATTGAATTCATCCACTGAAAATGGGTCTTTCTTTTCTACCACATGGCTGAGCTGCAAATTTTCCAAACTTTTATGTTTTGCTTCCCTTTGCTCACATATGTGAGAATATGCTGTTAGAAGCAACCAGGCCACATCTTGAATGCTTTGCTGCTTAGAAATTTCTTCCACCAGCTCTCTTGCTCTTCTGCCTAATGCTATATAAGGATAGAGCTTTTCTCTCCTTCAGAGGATATAGCAAGATGCAATCTTAGAAACAGAAAATGCCCCTCACCACATAACTGAGCCTACCAGCACCTTGATTTTGGATCTCCCAGCCTCCAAAACGATTCAGGGGAGAGGAGCCAAGATGGCCGAATAGGAACAGCTCTGGACTACAGCTCCCAGCATGAGCGATGCAGAAGAGGGGTGATTTCTGCATTTCCAACTGAGGTATCGGGTTCACCTCACTGGGAAGTGCAAGACAGTAGGCGCAGGACAGTGGGTGCAGCACACCAGGCATGAGCCAAAGCAGGGTGAGGCATCACCTCACCCAGAAAGCACAAGGGGTCAGGGAATTCCCTTTCCTAGTCAAAGAAAGGGTTGACAGATGGCACCTGGAAAATTGGGTCACTCCCACCCTAATACTGTGCTTTTCCAACGGGCTTAAAAAATGGTGCACCAGGAGATCATATCCCACACCTGGCTCGGAGGGTCCTACACCCACGGAGTCTCGCTCGTTGCTGGCACAGGAGTCCGAGATCAAACTGCAAGGCAGCAGCGAGGCTAGGGGAGGGGTGCCTGCCATTGCCGAGTTAGTTGTTTGATTAGGTAAACAAAGCAGCTGGGAAGCTCGAACTAGGTGGAGCCCACCACAGCTCAAGGAGGCCTGCCTGCCTCTGTAGGCTCCACCTCTGGGGGTAGGGCACAGACAAAAAAAGGACAGCAGTAACCTCTACAGACTTAAATGTCCCTGTCTGACAGCTTTGAAGAGAGTAGTGGTTCTCCCAGCATGCAGCTTGAGATCTGAGAACGGGCAGACTACCTCCTCAATTGGGTCCCTGACCCCCGAGTAGCCTAACTGGGAGGCAGCCCGCAGTAGGGGTGGACTGACACCTCACACAGTTGGGTACTCCTCTGAGACAAAACTTCCAGAGGAATGATCAGGCAGCAGCATTTGCGGTTCACCAATACACACTGTTCTACAGCCACAGCTGCTGATACCCAGACAAACAGGGTCTGGAGTGGACCTCTAGCAAACTCCAACAGACCTGCAGCTGAGGGTCCTGTCTGTTAGAAGGAAAACTAACCAACAGAAAGGACATCCACACCAAAAACCCATCTGTACATCACCATCATCAAAGACCAAAGATAGATAAAACCACAAAGATGGGAAAAAAACAGAGCAGAAAAAACTGGAAACTCTAAAAACCAGAGTGCCTCTCCACCTCAAAAGGAATGCAGCTCCTCACCGGCAATGGAACAAAGCTGGATGGAGAATGACTTTGAGGAATTGAGAGAAGAAGGCTTCAGAAGATCAAACTACTCTGAGCTACAGGAGGAAATTCAAACCAATGGCAAAGAACTTAAAAGCTTTGAAAAAAAATTAGACGAATGGATAAGGAGAATAAACAATGCAGAGAAGTCCTTAAAGGACCTGATGGAGCTGAAAACCAAGGCATGAGAGCTACATGAAGAATGCAGAAGCCTCAGTAGCCGATGCGATCAACTGAAAGAAAGGGTATCAGTGATGGAAGACGAAATGAATGAAATGAAGTGAGAAGAGAAGTTTAGAGAAAAAAGAATAAAAAGAAACGAACAAAGCCTCCAAGAAATATGGGACTATGTGAAAAGACCAAATCTACATATGATTGGGGTACCTGAAAGTGATGCAGAGAATGGAACCAAATTGGAAAACACTCTGCAGGATATTATCCAGGAGAACTTCCCCAATCTAGCAAGGCAGGCCAACATTCAGATTCAGGAATTACAGAGAACACCACAAAGATAGTCCTTGAGAAAAGCAACTCCAAGACACATAATTGTCAGATTCACCAAAGTTGAAATGAAGGAAAAAATGTTAAGGGCAGCCAGAGAGAAATGTCGGGTTACCCATAAAGGTAAGCACATCAGACTAACAGCGGATCTCTCAGCAGAAACTCTACAAGCCAGAAGAAAGTGGGGGCCAATATTCAACATTCTTAAGGAAAAGAATTTTCAACCCAGAATTTCATATCCAGCCAAACTAAGCTTCATAAGTGAAGGAGAAATAAAATTCTTTACAGACAAGCAAATGCTGAGAGTTTTTGTCACCACCAGGCCTCCCCTAAAAGAGCTCCTGAAGGAAGCACTAAACATGGAAAGGAACAACTGGTACCAGCCACTGCAAAAACATGCCAAATTGTAAAGACCATCAAGGCTAGGAAGAAACTGCATCAACTAACGAGCAAAATAACCAGCTAACATCATAATGACAGGATCAAATTCACACATAACAATATTAACTTGAAATGTAAATGGACTAAATGCTCCAATTAAAAGACACAGACTGGCAAAATGGATAGAGTCAAGACCCATCAGTGTGCTGTATTCAGGAAACCCATCTCACATGCAGAGACACACATAGGCACAAAATAAAGGTATGGAGGAAGATCTACCAAGCAAATGGAAAACAAAAAAAGGCAGGGGTTGCAATCCTAGTCTCAGATAAAACAGACTTTCAACCAACAAAGATCAAAAGAGACAAAGAAGGCCATTACATAATGGTAAAGGGATCAATTCAACAAGAAGGGCTAACTATCCTAAATATATATGCACCCAATACAGGAGCACCCAGATTCATAAAGCAAGTCCTTACTGACCTACAAAGAGACTTAGACTCCCACACAATAATAATGGGAGACTTTAACACTCCACTGTCAACATTAGACAGATCAAAGAGACAGAAAGTTAACAAGGATACCCAGGAATTGAACTCAGCTCTGCACCAAGCGGACCTAATAGACATCTATAGAACTCTCCACCCCAAATCAACAGAATATACATTCTTTTCAGCACCACACCACACCTACTCCAAAATTGACCACATAGTTGGAAATAAAGCACTCCTCAGCAAATGTAAAAGAATAGAAATTATAACAAACTGTCTCTCAGACTACAGTTCAATCAAACTAGAACTCAGGATTAAGAAACTCACTCAAAATCGCTCAACTACATGGAAACTGAACAACCTGCTCCTGAATGACTACTGGGTTCATAACAAAATGAAGGCAGAAATAAAGATGTTCTTTGAAACCAACGAGAACAAAGACACAACATACCAGAATCTCTGGGACACATTCAAAGCAGTGTGTAGAGGGAAATTTATAGCACTAAATGCCCACAAGAGAAAGCAGGAAAGATCTAAAATTGACACCCTAACACCACAATTAAAAGAACTAGAAAAGCAAGAGCAAACACATTCAAAAGCTAGCAGAAGGCAAGAAATAAATAAGATCAGAGCAGAACTGAAGGAAATAGAGACACAAAAAACCCTTCAAAAAATTAATGAATCCAGGAGCTGGTTTTTTGAAAAGATCAACAGAATTGATAGACCACTAGCAAGACTAATAAAGAAGAAAGGAGAAAAGAATCAAATAGACGCAATAAAAATGATAAAGGGGATATCACCACCAATCCCACAGAAATACAAATTACCATCAGAGAATACTATAAACACCTCTATGCAAATAAACTAGAAAATCTAGAAGAAATGGATAAATTCCTCAACACATACATCCTCCCAAGACTAAACCAGGAAGCAGTTGAATCTCTGAATAGACCAATAACAGGCTCTGAAATTGAGGCAATAATCAATAGCTTACCAACCAAAAAAAGTCCAGGACCAGATGGATTCACAGCCGAATTCTACCAGAGGTACAAAGAGGAGCTGATACCATTCCTTCTGAAATTATTCCAATCAATAGAAAAAGAGGGAATCCTCCCTAACTCATTTGATGAGGCCAGCATCATCCTGATACCAAAGCCTGGCAGAAACACAACCAAAAAAGAGAATTTTAGACCAATATCCTTGATGAACATTGATGCAAAAATCCTCAATAAAATACTGGCAAACCGAATCCAGTAGCACATCAAAAAGCTTATCCACCGTGATCAAGTGGGCTTCATCCCTGGGATGCAAGGCTGGTTCAACATACACAAATCAATAAATGTAATCCAGCATATAAACAGAACCAAAGACAAAAACCACATGATTATCTCAATAGATGCAGAAAAGGCCTTTGACATAATTCAACAACGACCTTCATGCTAGAAACTCTCAATAAATTAGGTATTGATGGGACATATCTCAGAATAATAAGAGCTATCTATGACAAACCCACAGCCAATATCATACTGAATGGGCAAAAACTGGAAGCATTCCCTTTGAAAACTGGCACAAGACAGGGATGCCCTCTGTCGCCACTCCTACTCAACACAGTGTTGGAAATTTAGGCCAGGGCAATCAGGCAGGAGAAGGAAATAAAGGGCATTCAATTAGGAAAAGAGGAAGTCAAATTGTCCCTGTTTGCAGATGACATGATTGTATATCTAGAAAACCCCATTGTCTCAGCCCAAAATCTCCTTAAGCTGATAGGCAACTTCAGCAAAGTCTCAGGATACAAAATCAATGTACAAAAATCACAAGCTTTCTTACATACCAATAACAGACAAACAGAGAGCCAAATCATGAATGAACTCCCATTCACAATTGCTTCAAAGAGAATAAAATACCTAGGAATCCAACTTACAAGAGATGTGAAGGACCTCTTCAAGGAGAACTACAAACCACTGCTCAATGAAATCAAAGAGGATACAAACAAATGGAAGAACATTCCATGCTCATGGGTAGGAAGAATCAATACCGTGAAAATGGCCATACTGCCCAAGGTAACTTATAGATTTAATGCCATCCCAATCAAGCTACCAATGACTTTCTTCACAGAATTGGAAAAAAACTACTTTAAAGTTCATATGGAACCAAAAAAGAGCCCACATCACCAAGTCAATCCCAAGCCAAAAGAACAAAGCTGGAGGCATCACACTACCTGACTTCAAACTATATTACAAGGCCACAGTAACCAAAACAGCATGGTACTGGTACCAAAACAGAGATATAGACCAATGGAACAGAACAGAGCCCTCAGAAATAATGCTGCATATCTACAACTCTCTGATCTTTGACAAACCTGACAAAAGCAAGCAATGGGGAAAGGAATCCCTATTTAATAAATGGTGCTGGGAAAACTGGCTAGCCACATGTAGAAAGCTGAAACTGGATCCCTTCCTTACACCTTATACTAAAATTAATTCAAGATGGATTAAAGACTTACATGTTAGACCTAAAACCATAAAAACCCTAGAAGAAAACCTAGGCAATACCATTCAGGACATAGGCATGGGAAAGGACTTCATGTCTAAAACACCAAAAGCAATGGCAACAAAAGCCAAAATTGACAAATGGGATCTAATTAAACTAAAGAGCTTCTGCACAGCAAAAGAAAATACCATCAGAGTGAACAGGCAACCTACAGAATGGGAGAAAATTTTTACAATCTATTCATCTGACAAAGGGCTAATATCCAGAATCTACAATGAACTCAAACAAATTTACAAGAAAAAAACAAGCAACCCCACCAAAAAGTGGGCAAAGGATATGAACAGACACTTCTCAAAAGAAGACATTTATGCAGCCAAAAAAACACATGAAAAAATGCTCATCATCACTGGACATCAGAGAAATGCAAATCAAAACCACAATGAGATACCATCTCATGCCAGTCAGAATGGCGATCATTAAAAAGTCAGGAAACAACAGGTGCTGGAGAGGATGTGGAGAAATAGGAACACTTTTACACTGTTGGTGGGACTGTAAACTAGTTCAACCATTCTGGAAGTCAGTGTGGCAATTCCTCAGGGATCTAGAACTGGAAATACCATTTGACCCCACCATCCCATTACTGGGTATATACTCAAAGGATTATAAATCATGCTGCTATAAAGACACATGCACATGTATGTTTATTGCGGCACTATTCACAATGGCAAAGACTTGGAACCATCCTAAATGTCCAACAACGATAGACTAGATTAAGAAAATGTGGCACATATACACCATGGAATACTATGTAGCCATAAAAAATTATGAGTTCATGTCCTTTTTAGGGACATGGATGAAACTGGAAACCATCATTCTCAGCAAACTATTGCAAGGACAAAAAACCAAACACCGCATGTTGTCACTCATAGGTGTGAATTGAACAATGAGAACACATGGACACAGGAAGGGGAACATCACACACCAGGGACTGTTGTGGGGTGGGGGGAGGGGGGAGGGATAGCATTAGGAGATATACCTAATGCTAAATGACGAGTTAATGGGTGCAGCACACCAACATGGCACATGTATACATATGTAACAAACCTGCACGTTGTGCACATGTACCCTAAAACTTAAAGTATTATAATAATAAAATAACAAATATATAAAATGAAAAAAAGATTCAGGGGGTACAAGTTCAGGGGGTATATTATGTAATGCTGGGTTTTGGGCTTCTAGTGAATCCATCATGCAAATATTGAACATAGTACCCACTACATAGTTTTTCAACCCTCATAACCCTTCCAACCTTTTTTTTTTTTTTTTTTTTTGGAATTCCCTGGGTCTTTTGTTTCCATCTTTCTGTTCATGTGTACCCATTGATTAGCTACCACTTATGAGTGAGAACATGTGGTATTTGATTTCTGTTTCTGAGTTATTTCACTTAGGATAATGTTCTCCAGCTGCATCCTTGTTGGTGTGAAGAACAGGATTTCATTTTTTATGGCTCTGTGGTATTCCTAGATGTATATGTCCTAAATTTTCTTTATCTAATCCACCAGTGATGGACACTTGGGTTGACTCCATGACTTGGTATTGTGAATAGTGCCACGATAAACTTACCAGTGCAAGTGTCTTTTTGATAAAACAATTTATTTTTCTTTGGATATATACTCAGTAGTGGGATTTTTAGTTCTTTGAGAAATCTGAGTACTAATACAGAGGAAATTAAAGTTTCACCTAAATTTTTATTTTCGTCTTTTATTTTTTATTTGAGACAGGATCTCTGTCATCCAGACTGGAGTGCAGTAGCATAACCACTTACTACACTCTAGACCTCCTGGGCTCAAGCAGTCCTCCTACAAGAGCCTTCTGAGTAGCTGAGACTGAAGGCTTGCATCACCACACCAGCTAATTTTTAATTTTTTGTAGAGACGGGGCCTCCTTATGCTGCCCAGGCTTGTCTGGAGCTCCTGGGCTCAAACAGTTCTCTCATGTTGACCTTCCAAAGTGCTGGAATTACAGGCATGAGCCACTGTGCCAACTCGTCGACCTAATTTTTTAAAGCACAGGAATATAATGCTACTTTCATCATTTTCATTCAGTTAGAACAATTATGGTAAACAAGGTCTGAAACTTAGACATTTCTCAAAAACCTAAACCATTTAAAATGACATTTACATTTCATACTTTTTTCTTTTTCCTAATAGTTTCCTTTCCTTTGTAATATTATAGCTGAAAAGAATTTAATTGAATAAAATCAGATTCTTCTATAGTCATAAAAGGCATAGTTATGATTTTCCGATTTAAAATTAACAATTTACTTTTGGCAGCAATTAAATATTGAAGCTTTATTATGTACCAACTAAAAAAAAAAAAAAGAAATTTCTTCCACCAGAAACTCTAAATCTTCACTCTCAAATTCAAAGTTCCACATATCCCTAGAGCAGGAACACAATCCAACTAGGCTCTTTCCCAAAGCATAGCAAGAGTGACTGTTACTTCATTTCCCATAAGCTCCCATTTCCATCTGAGATCTCTTCAGCCTGGACTTAACTGTCAATATCACTGTCAGAATTTTTGTCACAATGATTCAACAAGTCTCTAGAAAGTTCTAAACTTTCTCTCACCTTCATGTCTTTTTCTGAGCCCTCCAAACTGTTCCAACCTCTGCCCATTACCCAGTTCCAAAGCTGCTTCCACATTTTCAGGTATCTTTATAGCAATGTCCCACTCCTTGATACCAATTTTCTGTATTAGTTTATTCTTGTACTTCTATAAAGAAATACCTGAGACTGGGTAATTTATAAAGAAAGGAGGTTTAATTGGATCACAGTTCCACAGGCTGTATGGGAAGTATGGCTGGGGAGGCCTCAGGAAATTTAAAATTATGGTGGAAGGCAAAGGGAAAGCAGGCGCATCTCACATGGCTGGAGCAGGAGGAAGGAGAGAGGAGGTGCTACACCCTTTTAAACAACTAGTTCCCATGAGTCCTCAATCATTATTATGAGAGCAGCACCGAGAAGGAAATCTGCTCCTATGATCCAATCACCTCCCACTAGGCCTATCCTCCAACACTGGGGATGATATTTGACATGAGATTTGGTTGGAGACACAGACACAAAACATATCAATACGGAAAGCAGTACTGAATAATTAGAAATGAATTTTTATAAATGAAGGCTACACTTAAGGTCATGTATTTATTACATGGCACTGCCCTCAAAAACCATTCTTTTTTCCATGACACAATATTTATTTTTTTCTTTTTTGGGTTCATGATTTTTTCTTATATTATTTTTAGTTTTATTTTATTTTTGATTGACACATAATAATACTACCTGCTAATTACACTGATTTGATAATTACACAATGTATACACATACTGAAGCATCAAATTTTACCCCATATTCTTTCTTTAATTTTTTTAACTTTCATTTTAGGTTCAGGAGTACATGTGCAGGTTTGCTATATAGGTAAGTTGCATGTCACAGGAGTTTGGTATACAGATTATTTTGTCACCCAGGTAATAAGCATAGTACCTGATAGGTAGTTTTCTTTATCCCCTCCCTTCTCCCATCCTCCACCCTCAAGTAGACCCCAGTGTCTTTGTTCTATTCTTTATGTCCATGACTTCACAATAATTTTCAAACAATACTCACAAAGAGGAATATACACTATTGCTATTAAAATGAAATTTGAAGTAAATTTTCATATTTCTATCTTGAATGAATTTCTCAAATGTCTTCTTGAGACCTTCTGGGACAATGCCTGCCACTGAGTACAGTAAGGTGGTCAAGCCATGGCTGAACTGCCACTAAATTACTTTCCCTTTGGATAACACATCCATCCTGAGAGCTTGCCTTTAAGCTCTATAGATTCATAAACATCATGGCCTCAGCTTCCCTGGGGGTGAATTGCTCGGAATAATTGATTTATATTCACTGAGGCACCAGAGACTAATTTATAAACTGTCATTTATTAATTTTCTGTAAGCAATACCACTCCTGAGCAGACTGAGGACTCATGTCAGCTTATTGTCTTCTCAGTAGGAAAACACACTTGGGAAAGCAAATCAAGATCAGAAGTCCCTGAGTGAACAGTCAGGGCAAAGAGAGCACATGCTTTGAAGGAGAATATTCATCAAATCCTAATAGCTGTTATCTTCTGTCCTTTCTAGCCACTTCTAGCTGAAATCATAAATGCCTTCTGCCTACCTTGCCCAGTCCTGAACTGGGGATAAAAATTTCAATTCGGCAGTAGGTTGGAGTGTGAGATTAGTCTTCCTTCTTGCATTGGTTTTGATAGTTTTTAGTCCAGTTTCTTGTTGAATCTGAGACTCTGCTCAGACTGACTCCTGATCTGTCTTGCCATGCCCCTGCTCCAGAGCTTTCCCTACTGTTCTTTTCCCCACCCCAGCCATATAGAGCCTTGATGATATGACCTGTCTGAAACCTAGGTTCTCACTACTGGCAACTATCCACTCATCAACTGAGACTACACAAATTATGTTAAAGGTCTATTAAAACATCTTTCTCCACTGTCATCATCATCATCATCATCATCATCATTCCATGCTAGGAGTTTCAGTAAAAAGGCTTTTACTTCCTGCGAGGTAGAAAAGGCAGGTATAATTATTTTCACTTTATAGTTGAGAAACTTGGAGCTCAGAGAAGTTATTTTGAAAACAGAACTGGGATTCACATTTACATTCCATCCTCAAACTCTTTTTCCTACAATAGTGTTTCACCCAAGATACTCATTATAATGCAGATTCTTAAGCCCCAACACAGACTTCTTTTATCAGGTTCCCCAAGGATGAATTTTTGTAAATAATTTTTAAAGGTCCTCCCAGGTGTTTCTTATGGATTGACAAAATGGCAAATACCACACAATACCCTGGCTACCTATAAGAGTTGGCCAGTTAGTATTTGATCTCCTCTGTATAGTGCTGGAAATATCCTGGAAAAATGTTGTCTTCATCTATTTTGTGCTGCTATGACAGAATACCATAGACTGGGTAATTTATAATGAACAGAAATTTATTGATTCACATTTCTGAAGACTGGGAAGTACAAGATTGAGGGGCCAGCATCTGGCAAGGACCCTCTTGCTGCATCATCTCATGGTTGAAGAGCAAAGACAGGGGAAGAGAGAGAAAAGGTGAGCATACCTGTTCTTGTATAATGGACTCACTTGTGATAATAAATGCACTCCTGTGATAACATTAATTCATTCATAAGGACAGAGCCCTTGCAGCCTAATTACCTCCCATTAGGTCCCACCTCCCAATATTGTTGCACTGTGAGTTAAGTTTCCAATACAGGCTTTTGCAGGGAAACATTCAAACTATAGTGCATGTTCATGTGGTCCTAGGTCTTTGCATCATGTCATTTTAGGAGCTTCTATTTCTTGAGATGGGCCACTTCAGATAGGGAATCATACCAGGTTGAATGTTAATTCCAGAGGTATTTGCCTACAATTTTTATACACTTTACTTCCTGCAACTTTACTTCTAGGAAACTCTAACCCTTGTGATTCCTTTAAACTTTGTTTTTATATTATTTTTTGAGTCTTGCTCTGTTGCCCAGGCTGGAGTGCAGTGGCATGATTTTGGCTCACTGCAACCTCCACCTCTCAGTTTCAAGTGATTCTCGTGCCTCAGCCTCCCAAATAGCTGGAACCACAGGCGTGCACCACCGTGCCCGGCTAATTTTTTTTTTCTTTTTTAAGTAGAGATTGGGTTTCACCATGTTGCTAGTCTCAAACTCCTGGCCTCAAGTTATCTGCTTGCCTCACCTCCCAAAGTGCTGGGTTTACAGGCCTAAGCCACCACACCTAGCCCCCTTCAACTTTTTGTTTTACATGAGTCCCAAATAATTCATAGTGTTGTGTCTTTTTTTCCACCAATACAACGCTAATTTTCACTCCAAATGTAATAGGTATTGCAGCTAACTGTTGTTTTGTCATGCAAGGATTTGGTTTCTCTGTAAAACTAGGGACTTTCCATTGCTTCCATGGGTTAAAAAAAATGCAGAAAAGTTAGAATAGCTGCCATCACTTTAGGGAGAATCTGCATATCAGCAATTGCAAAACATTGCTTGAAGTCTCCTTCAAGTCTGGATGTTCTAGCTTTACAGCTTCTTCTTTAAGGAAACATATACTCTTCTACTTTGGAAACCAGTTGCTTATTCCGACTCTTTTAGAAAGCCAAGTTGGGAACTAGCAACAGGACTATGGGAAAGGAGGCTACTTAGATCTGCCTAGTCTAGGGAAAATACAGAGTCCTCTTGGCTCTGTCAGGTTTAGCCTAGCTCACTAGGACTAGAGTTCAACAGTAAGATTTCGTCATCAGGCCTTTCATTTCCTCACACTACTCCCTCTGCATGTATTTCCCTCTTGGACTTCACAGGCTGAGAATAGGATTTTAGGATCTTGTGTGTAGGCTCTCCTCTGTTCTCTTCTCTTTTATCCTTTTCTCTTCCTTATTCCATTTCTTTCCCTTCCCTGACATCTCCTCACCTCCCCTCCCTTCCACACTTCTCCTTTCCTCATTTTTCTTCTCTTTCCTTTTGCTCTTTCACCTTTTTCTCTCTGCTCCTTTCTCTTCCATTTGTTCTGATTACAGCAGTGGCATGTTAACACATCCTTGTCTTGAATAGAGATCCTTGACTTCTTGAGACTATTCTCCAAAAATAGAACAGATTCCAAGATCCTATCACTCCCTTTCTACTCAGTACCATGGCCACATCTTTCCAACTCCTAAAAATAAATTCCCCAGTGGTAGATCCCTGCACTCTGTGGCTCAAGGAGGCAGCTGGCTAAACTGAGGTCTAAGCTAAACTTTACATTAATGAAGAATGGTCAACTGGTGAAGGAGAAAATGGATAAAATTGACTATGCCATTTTCTAAATCTGTGACCTTAGCTGTGTCACTTAACCTTTCTGGATCTTACTTTCCTCATATGATAGATGATAGATAGATAGATAGATAGATAGATAGATAGATAGATAGATTCCCTATACTTCCTGAATCTATGACCTTAGCTATGCCACTTAACTTTTCTGGATCTTACTTTCCTCATATGACAGATAGGGAAGGGGGATTTGGCAACAACAACAAAAACCTCTAAGTGGTTTTCTAACTGTAGTCTACAGATCTCTGAAGCCAGCACACTTCACTTCAATTTGTTTTTTGTTTATCTGTTGTATAAAGAGGTTCTAAGTAAAACTACATTGGAACCAAACGTATAACCACTAAAAACATTTTTAACTACTTACCCAGATAGTTTTTGAGGGCCAATCCAATCCTAACATGTTTTCATCAGGGAATAGAAGCTGATTTCAGAAGAATGAGCACATTTTTGGTTGACTTACCCAAAGGATAAATTTAATAAGTGGGAATTTCCGTCTGAGTAGCCCAGTCAAGCCATGACTGGAACGACTGGTGAGAAATATATTTGAGGGTCACTCTGTGGTCATTAACAAATCATCCTAAGCCTATGACCTCTCTTGCCCTTGTGTCATGCATTTCATAGATATTGAGCTGATCATAAGTTGTCTCCCTCACATTGGATAGTCATTTGTGAGGGCCTCATATGTGATAGGCTCATGGGTCAGGGGTAGAGGTGATATTACAAAAAGTTCATAGATTGACTCAGTTATTAGAAGAACACTTTGAGGTATCACATTCTTACTTTACAGTAAGAAAAGTAAAGCTCAGAGGGATGAAGAGATTTGCCTAAATCACATTTATTCCTTTGTAATTTATTCAACACAAAAATTCATACAACTGGTAAGTGGTGGATCTGAGATGCAAATCTATTTCTGCCTTGCCTAACAATATCATTTGTTACCTGATAAGTTCTCTGATTTTCACTTGCCTAGATCTCTTATCTATCCCTTTCTCCCTGTTCCTACAGCTACTGTCTTAATTCAGACTCTCATAATTTATCTTCTGGACCCTTCCAATTGCCCATTCCAAATGCCAAACAAGAGTTCTTGGCATCTTGTCTCTCACTTCTCCAATCTATTCTTCACCTAGTTCAGTAATCTTTATATAACAAAAAATCTAACCATGTCACTTCCCTACCTAAACATTCCCAAAATCTCCCATTGTCTTTAGAGAGAAGTCCAAACTCAACGTGAAACATAATACCACCCAGTTGTTTTAATGCCCAAAGCCTTAGAGTCATTCTTGATTTCTCTTCTTCCTTTACCACCATATCCATCAGTAAGTTCTGTCAACTGGATATTTAAAACATATTCTGAATCTGTGCACATCACACCACATTCACGGCTATGACCTCTGGCTGAGCTGCTACAATATCTGCCGCCTAGACTGTTGCAATAGCCTCCAGACTGGTCACCCTGCTTCACTCTGCCTCCTTACCATCTACTCTGCACACAATAGCCAGAGTAGTCTTTTTATTATTTTTAAATGTTTTACAGAGTATTCTTTTTAAAATGCAAGCCAGATCATGATATTCACTGGCTGAATACCTCTAATGGCTTCCTTTTAAATTCAGAGAAAATAAACTACAAGATCTTAAATAATATGCCCCCTCTTCCTGCTCTCTCTTTGCTGTTCCTCAAACACACTAAGTTTACTCCCATCTTAGGGCTTTCCCTAAGCAGTTACCTCTGCCAATAAATGGTATTATAATCTAGTGTCCTATGACTGGTTTCTTTTCATCATTTAGGTCTCAGCTTAAATGTCACTTCCTCAGAGTCCTTCCTGGACTATCCAAGTTAAGGTTCGCCCAGTCAGTCCACCATGTCACATGATTTCATTCTTTGAACGTTTTCCACTACAGAATTTGCCAGGAGTAGTTAACTATTCTTCTCTACCAGAATTTCTTCTTCCAAGCAACTGGAGACTCACTATTTATGGTTGTGTAAAGTTAGCAGATGTATTCAAGCCTGTAGTATATCAGATCCAAATATCTAACGGATGACATAGATCCAGCCATCTTCCATCACTTCCTTCTTTGCCTGGCCCACCAGGACCTTGTTATTCACTCCATAGCACCATGCCCAACCCCATAAATATAATAAGGAATACTGGACCACATTGTGGAAGAACTTCTCTACTTCTATAAGCATCCATGGGCAACACCAATATCCAGTTCAATTGATATATGTAGAAGAATGATCATGGAAAGCTGTCCCCTCCCAACTCAACAACACCCAGAAAAATGTTAAGACTTTCCAATAGGTAAATTCAGGGATACCCCTATCTTGATCCTCCAGAGGAATAGAGTAATTGTGGTGCAGTAGTAGAGAGATGTGTTTATTCTACCTCAAGTTCTTTAAGCTGGGTCATCCTATCCATCCATCATATACCCCTACATATTCTGAATCTGTGCACATCACACCACATTCACAGCTATGACCTCTGGCTGAGCTGCTACAATATCTGCCGCCTAGACTGTTGCAATAGCCTCCAGACTGGTCACCCTGCTTCACTCTGCCTCCTTACCATCTACTCTGCACACAATAGCCAGAGTAGTCTTTTTATTATTTTTAAATGTTTTACAAAGTATTCTTTTTAAAATGCAAGCCAGATCATGATATTCACTGGCTGAATACCTCTAATGACTTCCTTTTAAATTCATAAAGCAAACTTCCAGCCCAATTTGGTTCTAAGAAATCACTCAGCACTTAATACTGTCTCCTCTCCACTGTTTCTGAATTGGTCTCATGTTCTGATAACTTCAGTACCTGCTCTGGCCCTCTTCACCCGTGGTAATAAATTTCTATAACCAAAGAAACCACATCTTCTGCCAGGCTAGCCCCTTTTCATTTTCAGATAAATTGGGCTGCAAGGTTTAATTTATAAATTATGCCTGGGGCTTGGCCACATATAAAGTGATCAGCAATCTGCATAATTAACTTGACTTCCAAATCATGCTAACCTCGCATTCCCTAGAATACTATATAGCCTTATGGTCAGACTGAGCTGAGTTCAAATTCTTGCTCTGCCACTAACTAGCCATGTGCCTGTGGACAAGTGACTTAACCTCTCTGAGCCTCAATTTATTCATCTATAAGATGTGAATTCAATAGAAAAACAAAGTTGAACTGTGTTGTTATGCACTATAAGCCTTCCTTCCCCTCATGCTAACCATTGACTTGACAGCAACTCTATTTAATATACACAACTGGGTCCAGTAATGGCAACTCTCATCCAGCCCCAGGAGGCTGGTATCAAACAGACCCTGGCTCATTATTCTCCTCCATCTCTTCCCGCAATCAGTTTGTGAATTCTGAGCTCTGAAGACAATAACCCTGAATTACATCTAGGAACCAGAATTCACCCCTAACTTTCCAAATAAGACCAGCCAAAGATGCTCCTATCTCACACACAATATAAGGAAATTATCAAGGGTGACCATATCTACCATCTATTTGACAATTGTTCTTCTGACCTGTATGTATTTTTAGGTCTAGATGCTGGGACTTCAGCATGTGAGAGGCCCTGTGGCACACTGAGAAGATCATAGAAACTTTAGAGTAAGAGAGCCCTGATTAAAATCCTGTCCTAATAGCTATAGGACAAGAAGCAAGGGTAATTTCTTACCCTCTTTAAAACTTAGTTTCCTCTAAGATTCCAGTGATTTAGCCCATAATGTGTTCTTAATAAATACAAGGTTTCTCCTCATCCCTCCTCTCAAGGAGGAAATGGTTGGCATTAATCTAAATTTTGGAAGATGGGGTGATGGGAGGTGGTTGGTGAATTTGCCCTTAGAAATATAAGGAGAACTTCTGGAATTCAAAGAGGCTGCCAGAAGTATTACAATAGGAGTCAGAGTGTGAAACAAGGACCCAGGTATACACAAGACAATTAGATTCCTTTGGCCCTCTTTGCATAATTCCTTTCTGGTTTCCTTGCAGTGTCCCTTCTTTCTTTTTCCTACAGTGTTCTCTCATTTTGACTCCCTGTTTCCAAACAACACCCCGCCCTCCCCCACCCACACACACATACAATGAATAACAGTAAAACCCTACAAGCACAAAAAGTTTCTCTTGAAGAAAGCAACAAAGAGAAGGATCATCTCACTCCCAACTCTGGGAGAGTGGTGTCTTGAGAGACAGAGTGGTAGGGGAAGTTTGAAAAAGAGAAAAGCAAGCGAAGTCCTTAGGGCCTGTGACAAGGAAGAGAAGGGGAATTTGACCAAGGAAGTGGTGGCTGAGGGCAGTCAATCTGATTTAAAATATGTTGTGTCCTCCCTGCCTACCTGTGGACCACAGAGCAACAGACCAAAAGATACTCATATCTTTGGCCAGAAACCACAGTTTAACATATTTATGCATATTCATGAGGCAAAACCACTCCTCAACACACTGTATTCTTATTCCTATTGGAGTAGTAAGTACGTGTTCCTTTCCCATTTCTCCTGCTGATACCTCAGCCAATTCCTGAGCCTTTTTCCATGCTACAATTCAACCCAGAAAGACAATTTTAATTGCCAATTTATCTCAGACAACATCTCTCTACTCAGCTATAGAAGGCAACAACATTTAGTGAAAATATTTGAATAATGGGACTTTGCCTCAAATCTAAGTTTTGCTACTTAATAGGTATATAAACTTGGGCCAGATCCTTCACCTCTCTAAACCTTCATTTCTGGGTTTATAAAATTGGAATTTTGGTATATTCTTTACAGAGTTCTTGTAAGGACCGAATAAAATGGGGCTTATAAATGATTTGGCAAATGATGAATGACTGAATGAATACATGTTAATTTACCTCTCCATCACACAAAGGAGTTGTGAAACTTCAGAACACAGGCTACCATAGTTTGTGACTCAATCAGTCAAGCCCTATGGTTAAAGCATAGCATTTGCACCCAGTATACCTGGGTTTGAATCCTAACCCTATTGCTTATTAGTTTTTTCAACTCTTAAACAGGGATGATGATTATGATGATAATACTAGTAGCTATCCCATGTGAGATTTAAATGAATTAATATGTGTTAATGCTTAGAATGGTATAAAGCACATAGTATGTAATCAATAATTGTTACTGTTCTCATTCTCCTACTAGAATGTAAACTCCATAAGAGTAGGAATTTTGGTCTGCTTTATTCACCACTGTTTCCCAGCAAATGAAACATCGTGGGTACTTGGTATATATTTATTGAATGAATGAGTGAGTCAAACTCACTTAATCTCCTCCACGCCCTCCCAAGTTTGTTGACTAGATTTCAGTATTTGATACAGACTAGTAATATGAAAGTTCAGAGCAACAGAAGGCATCCCAGTCCCTAGCCCTTTTCTCACTTCCAGCTTAGCCAACATGCACCTGTCCACATCCCTCACTGGGTCCTCTTTTTGACAAGGTAGATTGCTTCTAGTTTGAGTATCAGGATATTTCAAAAGCTATTGTGTTTCCCTTTCTCTGGGTATTAACTGGGAGTTAGTAGGCTAAGACTCTGTCCTGGACATATCAATTTTAATGTCTCTCACACATGTAGCCTTTCTTAAGAAAACTGCCTTGCTGAAAGCCTTAATGAGGGGCATCGTTAGGCAGCCATGCTTTGAACTACACGATGTGCCCCCTCCCACTTCAGCCACAAATAATAGGACAAAAATAAACACTTAGCTAAGGGAAGACAATCCATACATAGTCTGACTGGTGACAAGTCATTAATGATGTAATCTAGAATTATGAGATAATCTAACACAATCACGTTCTCTCATAGGAATTTGAGTTGAGAAGTTCCTGCTGATACCTGCCATTTTGCTCTGCCTCTCCATCACTCACAGTTTCCAGAATCTGCTTCTGGCGAGGGCTTCATGAAGCTTATAATCATGATAGAAGATGAAGGGGAAACTGGTATATCACATGACAAGAGAAGGAGCAAGCAAGACAGGAGAGAGGTGCCATAATCTTTTAAACAACCAGATCTTGTGTGAACTCATTACCACTCATTACTCCAAGGAGGGCACCAAGCCATTTATGAGGAATCCACCCCATGACTAAAAGACCTCCCACCAGACCACACTTTCAACACTGGGAGTCACATTTCAACATGAGATTTGGAGGGGACAAATACCCAAACCTTATTAAGAGAAGAAAGCAGTCAGCAGCAGGAACTAAGGATGAAAGGTCATTGTGTAGACAGATTCAAAGGGCTATGGCAGGCCAAGTAATCTAGTTAGGAGAGAGTACAAAATATGAGAAAGTAAAAGCTAGTAGTAAAGCAAATGTGTAGATAAAAGGAAAATGGAGCAGATACTAGGTCATATTCATAGCAGCACACAGCAGATCATATTATCTAGTGCTTCTATAAAGAATGACTAGAGAAGGTAGTTAGAACAAAATCATCTGTTTGAAAACAACAGAGAACTGCTGAGGCAACAAAAACTAGAGGTGCTAATACTACAGAGGAAAAAGTACTTTGAAGAGGTAAGCAGAATTTGTTATCTGCTTTTATCTCGAGATAAATTTGTTTTATCCCAAATTTGTTATCCACTTTTATCTTGGGATACATGCCTATTCTGGACATGCACAGAAGAATGGGAATCCAGGATTTTCATAGTAGGGAGTTTCTTCTAGACGTGATATGGTTTGGATATTTGTCCCCTTCAGATCATGTTGAAATGTGACTCACAGTGTTGGAGGTGAGGTCTGGTGGAAGGTGTTTGGGTTATGGGGGTGGATCGCTCATAAATGGCTTCATGCCCTACCCAGAGTAACGAGTGCTAATGAGTTCGTGCAAGAGCTGTTGTTTTAAAATTATGGCACCTCCCTCCTCTCTCTCTTGTTCCCACTCTCACCATGTGACACGCCAGCTTCCTGTACAGCTTTCAAAACTGTGAGTGATGCAGAGGCAGAGCAAGATGGCATAATATAAGGCTTCACCTCTTGTCACCCCCCACCCTGTAAGGACACCAGTTTAACAATGATCTACACACACACACACACAAAAACACCTTCATCAGAACCAAAAGTCAGGAGGGCACTCACAGTACCTGGTTTTAACTTCACATCACTGAAAGAGGCACTGAAGAGGTAGAAAAAAGAGTTTTAAATTCCTAGTTCTATGCCTCCCCCACCCCCTAGTAGTGACGGCATGGTGCAGAGTATCTCACTGTGCTGAGGGAGGGACAGTGCAGTAATTGTGAGCATTGAATTCAGTGCTGTCTTGTTAGAACAGAAAGGAAAACCAGACCAAACTCAGCTGATGCCTGCCCACAAAAGAAGCATTTAAGTCAGCCCTAGCCAGAGAAAAATTGCCGATTCCGACAGTCCAATATTGACTTTCACAAGCATCACACTGTGGGCTAATGAGCTCTGGGGCTCCAAATAAACACAAAAGGCAGTCTAGGCCATAAGGACTACAACCCCTTGGTAAGTCCTAGTGCCAAACTGGGCCCAGAGACAGTGGAATGAGGGGCACAGAGCCTATTGAGAGACAAGTTGGGGCTGCTAAGACAGTGATGGCATCACCCTTCCCTAACTCCAGGCTGCATAGCTTGCAGCTCTAAAGGAGACCCTTCCTTCTGCCTGAGGAAAGGAGAGGGTAGAGTGGGGAGGACTTTGTCTTACCTCTTGGATGCCAGCTCAGCCACAGCAGGATGGGACACCAGTTAAATCCTTGAGCCCCTGTTCCAAGCCCTAGTTTCTGGACAATAATACTAGACACACACTGGGACAGAAGGGAAACCACTGCCTTAAAGGGAAAGAATCTGTCCTGGCAGCATTCATCACTGCAAACTGAAGAGCTCTTGGGCCCTGAATAATGAGCAGCCATATCCAGGTATTACATCAAGGGCTTTGGGTGAGAGCCTGAGGCTTCTGGCTTAAGGCGAGACTCAGCACATTCATGTAAGTGCTGGCTATGGGATGAGACTCCTTCTGCTTGCAAAAAGCAGAGGAAAAAGTAAAAGAGACTTTCTATTGCACCTCAGGTAACAGCTCAGCCATAGGGTGGTAGAGCACCAAGAGGGCTCTTGGGATCCCTGATTCCACGATTTGGTTCTTGGATGGTATTCTGGACCTACTCTGGGCCAGAGGGGAATCTATCATCCTGAAATGGGAGTCCCAGGCAAGGCATCATTCACCACAAGCTGATGGAAGAGCCCTTGGAAGTATTCCTTATTGGCCTGTGGTGGTGGTTCTGCCTTCAGAAAGGGGAGAAAAGAGTAGGAAGGACCGCATCTAGTGCTTTAGTGTCAGCTCAGCCATAGTACACCAGGTATACTTCTATAATTTTTGAATCTAGTCCCTGGCTTGCAGACGTCACCAATGGACCCACCTAAGGACTTGGGGAACTCACCAGTCTAAAGGGAAGGACAGGCCTGGCCAGCCTTGGAGCCTTGGAACCTGCTGGTTGTAGAGCCCCAGGACCTTGAGAAAACATAGGTGGTAACCAGGGAGTATTTACAGCAGACCTTTGGCAAGACTTGGTGCTGTGCTGGCTTCAGGTCTGAACCAGTGCAGTCTTAGTGGTGATGGCCACAGGTGTGCTTGTTTCACTCCACCCACAGGTTTAGGTGGCTCAGAACAAGGAGAGAGATGACAACTGGAAGAAAGCAAGGGAAGAGAATAAGAGTCTCGGCCTGGTAATCCAGAGACTTCTCCTGAATCCTGTCCAAGACAATCAAGAGAGTACCGCCAAGGGTCTGCAAGAACCACTGTGTTACTGGGCTGAGGGTGCCTTCTAAAGCAGATACCGTTTAGATTACAGCACCCAAGTCCTTTTGAATATCTGGAAAGCTTTCGCAAGTAGGATGAGTATAAACAAGCCAAGACAGTGAAAACAACAGTAAATACCTAACTCTTCAATTCCCAGACACTGAAGAACATCTACTAGTAGCAACACCATCCAGGAAAACATGGCTTCACCAAATGAACTGAATAAGGTGCCACAAATGAATCCTGGGAAATAGAGATAACTGACCTTTCAGATAGAATTCATAATAGCTGTTTTGAGGAAATTCCAAGAAATTAAACATAACACAGAGAAGAAATTTAGAATTCTGTGTGATAAATTTAACAAAGAGACTGAAATAATTAAAAAGAATCAAGCAGAAACTCTGGAGCTGAAAAACTGAATAGGCTTACTGAAAAATGCGTCACAGTCTCTTAATGGCAGGATGGATTAAGCAGAAGAAAAAATTAGTGAGCTTGAAGACAGGGCTATTTGAAAATGCACAGTCAGAGGAGACAAGAGGAAAAAAAGAATACCAAACAATGATGCACACTAACAGGATCTAGAAAATAGCCTCAAAAGGGCAAATCTAAGAGTTATTGGCCTTATAAAGGAGGCAGAGAAAGAGATAGGGTTAGAAAGTTTATTCAAAGGGATAATAACAGAGAACTTCTCAAACCTAGGAAAAAATATATCAATATGCAATTACAAGACAGATATAGAACACCAAGCAGATTTAACCCAAAGAAGACTACCTCAAGGCCTTTAATAATAAAACTTCCAAAGATCAAGGATAAAGAAAGGATACTAAAAGTAGCAGGACAAAAGAAACAAATAACATACAATAGAGCTCCAATATTTCTGGCAGAAGACTTTTCAGTGGAAACCTAACAGGCCAGAATAGAGTGGCATGACATATTTAAAGTACTGAAGGAAGAAAACTTTCTCCCTAGAATAGAATATCTGGCAAAAATATCCTTCAAACATGAAGGAGAAATAAAGACTTTTCCAGCCAAACAAAAGCTAAGGGATTTCACCAATATCAGACTGTCCTACAAGAAATGCTAAAGGGAGTACTTCAACCACAAAGAAAAGGACATTAATGAGCAGTAAGAAATCACCTGAAGGTAGAAAACTCACTGGTAAGTAACAGTAAGTACAGAAAAACACAGAATACTATAACACTGTAAATGTGGTGTGTAAACTATCTTATTGTAAGCAGAAAGACTAAACACTAAACCAATAAAAAATAACAACCACAACTTTTCAAGAAATAGTACATTAAGATATAAATAGAATCAACAAGAAGTAAAAAGCAAGATGATGGTGCTAAGTAGTAGATTTTTTACTAGTTTTTCTTTTGCTTCTTTATTTGTTTGTTTGTTTAGGCAAAAGGTGTTAAGTTGTTATCAGTTAAAAATAATAGGTTATAAAATAGTATTTCCCCAACCAAAAAAAGTCCATGACCAGATGGATTCGCAGCCGAATTCTACCAGAGGTAGAAGGAGGAGCTGGTACATTTCCTTCTGAAACTATTCCAATCAATAGAAAAAGAGGGAATCCTCCCTAACTCATTTTATGAGGCCAGCATCATCCTGATACCAAAGCCTGGCAGAGAAACAACAAAAAAAGAGAATTTTAGACCAATATCCCTGATGAATATCAGTGCAAAAATCCTCAATAAAATACTGGCAAACCGAAACCAGCAGCACATCAAAAAACTTATCCACCATGATCAAGTGGGCTTCATCCCTGGGATGCAAGGCTGGATCAACATACACACATCAATAAACATAATCCAGCATATAAACAGAACCAATGACAAAAACCACATGATGATCTCAATAGATGCAGAAAAGGCCTTTGACAAAATTCAACAACACTTCATGCTAAAAACTCTCAATAAATTAGGTATTGATGGGACGTATCTCAAAATAATAAGAGGTATCTATGACAAACCCACAGCCAATATCATACGGAATGGGCAAAAACTGGAAGCATTCCCTTTGAAAACTGGCACAAGACAGGGATGCCCTCTCACCACTCCTATTCAACATAGTGTTGGAAGTTCTGACCAGGGTAATCAGGCAGGAGAAGGAAATAAAGGGTATTCGATTAGGAAAAGAGGAAGTCAAATTGTCCCTGTTTGCAGATGACATGATTGTATATCTAGAAAACCCCATTGCCTCAGCCCAAAATCTCCTTAAGTTGAGAAGCAACTTCAGCAAAGTCTCAGGATAGAAAATCAATGTACAAAAATCACAAGCATTCTTATACACCAATAACAGACAAACAGAGAGCCAAATCATGAATGAACTCCCATTCACAATTGCTTCAAAGAGAATAAAATACCTAGGAAATCCACTTACAAGGGACGTGAAGGACCCCTTCAAGGAGAACTACAACCCACTGGTCAATGAAATAAAAGAGGGTACAAACAAATGGAAGAACATTCCATGCTCATGGGTAGGAAGAATCAATATCGTGAAAATGGCCATACTGCCCAAGGTAATTTATAGATTCAATGCCATCCTCATCAAGCTACCCATGACTTTCTTCACAGAATTGGAAAAAACTACTTTAAAGTTCATATGGAACCAAAAAAGAGCCCGCATTGCCAAGTCAATCCTAAGCCAAAAGAACAAAGCTGGAGGCATCACACTACCTGACATCAAACTATTCTACAAGGCTACAGTAACCAAAACAGCATGGTACTGGTACCAAAACAGAGATATAGACCAATGGAACAGAACAGAGCCCTCAGAAATAATGCTGCATATCTACAACTATCTGATCTTTGACAAACCTGACAAAAACAAGAAATGGGGAAAGGCTTCCCTATTTAATAAATGGTGCTGGGAAAACTGGCTAGCCATATGTACAAAGCTGAAACTGGATCCCTTCCTTACACCTTATACTAAAATTAATTCAAGAGGGATTAAAGACTTAAATTTTAGACCTAAAACCATAAAAACCCTAGAAGAAAACCTAGGCAATACCATTCAGGACATAGGCATGGGAAAGGACTTCATGTCTAAAACACCAAAAGCAATGGCAACAAAAGCCAAAGTTGACAAATGGGATCTAATTAAACTAAAGAGCTTCTGCACAGCAAAAGAAAATACCATCAGAGTGAACAGGCAACCTACAGAATGAGGGAAAATTTTTGAAATCTACTTATCTGACAAAGGGCTAATATCCAGAATCTACAATGAACTCAAACAAATTTACAAGAAGAAAACAAACAACCCCACCAAAAAGTGGGCAAATGATATGAACAGACATTTCTCAAAAGAAGACATTTATGCCGCCAAAAGACACATGAAAAAATGCGCATCATCACTGGCCATCAGAGAAATGCAAATCAAAACCACAATGAGATACCATCTCACACCAGTTAGAATGGTGATCATTAAAAAGTCAGGAAACAACAGGTGCTGGAGAGGATGTGGAGAAATAGGAACACTTTGACACTGTTGGTGGGACTGTAAACTAGTTCAACCATTGTGGAAGTCAGTGTGGTGATTCCTCAGGGATCTAGAACTAGAAATACCATTTGACCCAGCCATCCCATTACTGGGTATATACTCAAAGGACTATAAATCATGCTGCTATAAAGACACATGCACATGTATGTTTATTGTGGCACTATTCACAGTAGCAAAGACTTGGAACCAAGCCAAATATCCAACAATGATAGACTGGATTAAGAAAATGTGGCACATATACATCGTGGAATACTATGCAGCCATAAAAAATGATGAGTTCATGTCTTTTGTAGGGACATAGATGAAGCTGGAAACCATCATTCTCAGCAAACTATTGCAAGGACAAAAAACCAAACACCGCATGTTGTCACTCATAGGTGGGAATTGAACAACGAGAACACATGGACACAGGACATCACACACCGGGGCCTGTTGTGGGGTGGGGAGAGGGGGGAGGGATAGTATTAGGAGATATACCTAATATTAAATGAAGAGTTAATGGGTGCAGCACACCAACATGGCACATGTATACATATGTAACAAACCTGCACGTTGTGCACATATAACCTAAAACTTAAAGTATAATAAAACAATAAAATAAAATAAAATAAAATAGTATTTCCAAGCCTCATGGTAACCTCAAGCAAAAAAAAATAAAAAACATACAATGGTGCCAAAAAAACTGAAAAGTAAGAAGCTAACTTCTATCACCAGAGAAAATTATCTTCACTAAAGAAAGACAGGAAGCAAATAAAGAAAGAAACGAAAAACACAAAACAACCAGAAAACAAATAACAAAATGGCAGGAGTAACTCCTTACTTACCAACAATAGCACTGAATGTAAATGAACTAAACTCCACGTAGACAGGCTGAATAGATGAAAAAAAAAAAAGATGCATTGATTTGTTGCTTTCAAGAAACACACTTTACCTATAAAGACACCCATAGACCAAAAATAAATGGATGGAAAAAGATAGTCCATGTTAATGGAAACCCAAAAAAGTAGGAGACATTATACATATATCAGACAAAATGGATTTTAAAACAAAAACTCTAAGAAGAGATAAACAAGGTCACTATACAATGATAAAGGGGTCAATTCAGCAAGAAAGTATAACAATTTTAAATATATATGCATCCAACACTGGAGCACCCAGATATAATAAGGAATTATTATTAGAGCTAAAGAGAAAGATAGGCTCCAATGCAACAGTAGCTGGAGACTTCAACACTGCACTCTCAGCATTGGACAGATATCCAGACAGGAAATCAACAAAGAAAGATGAGATTTAATCTGCACTATAGACCAAATGGATCTAACACATATTCACAGAATATTTCATACAATGGCTACAGAATACACATTCTTTGCCTCGGCATATGGATCATTCTAAAGGATAGACCATATGTTAGGTCACAAAACAAGGTATAAAACATTCAAAAAATGTAAATAATATCAAGCATCCTCTCTGTCTATAATGGAATAAAACTAGAAATCAATAATGAGAGGAGTTTGAAAACTATAATAAATACATAAAAATCAGACAATATGTTCCTGAATGTCCAGGGAGTCAATGAACAAATTAAGAAAGAAATTTAAAAAATTCTTGAAACAAATGATAATGGAAACATAACATACCAAAACCTATGATATACAGCAAAAACAATACTGAGGTAACCTTATAGCTATGAGTACTTACATCAAAAAACAAGAAAAACTGCAAATAAAGAATCTAATGATGCGTCTCAAAGCATTTGACAAAGTTCAACATTACTTTATGATTAAAACTCTCAGCAAAATTGATATACAAGAGACATATCTTCAATGTAATAAAAGCCATCTAAGGAAAACACACAGCCAAGATAATACTGAATGGGGGAAAGCTGAAAGCATTCCCTCTGAGAACTGAAACAAGACAAGGATGCCCACTCTCAACACTTCCCTGCAACATAGTACTGGAAGTCCTCCCCAGAGCAATGAGACAATAGAAAAAAAGTGAAAGGCATCCAAATCGGTAAAGAGGAAGTGAAACTGTTACTGTTTGCTGATGATATGATTGTTTACCTAGAAAACACTAAATACTCCTCCAGAAAGCTCCTAGAACTGATAAAAGAATTCAGCAAAGTTTCCAGATACAAAGTTAATGTACACAAATCAGTAGCTCTTCCATACACCAACAGCACCAAGCTGAGAATGAAATAAAAAACTCAACTCCTTTTAAAATAGCTGCAAAAAAAAAAAAATACTTAGGAATATACCCAACCAAGGAGGTGAAAGACCTCTAAAAGGAAAACTATAAAACACTGCTGAAAGAAATCATAGATGACACAAACAAATGGAAACACAGGCCATGCTCATGGATGGGTAAAATCAATATTGTGAGAATAATCATACTGCCAAAAGCAATCTACAAATTCAATGCAATCCCCATTAAAATACCACCATCATTCTTCACAGAGTTATGAAAAACAATTCTAATATTCACATGGAACCAAGAAGAGCCCACAGAGCCAAAGAAAGACTAAGCAAAAAGAACAAATCTGGAGGCATCACACCAATTGATTTCAAACTATTTATAAGGCCTTACTCACCAAAACAGCATGGTACTGGTATAAAAATAGGCACATAGACCAACGGAACAGAATAGAGAACCCAGGACTAAACCCAAATACTTACAGCCAACTGATCTTTGACAAAGCAAACAAAAACATAAAATGGGGAAAGGACACCTTTTTAAACACAAGATGGATCAATGTCTTAAAATCTAAGACCTGAAACTATAAAAATTCTAGAAGACAACATTGAAAAACCCTTCTAGATATTGGCTTAGGCAAGAATTTCATGACCAAGAACCCAAATGCAAATGCAATAAAAACAAAGATAAATAGCTGGGACTTAATTAAACTAAAGAGCTTTTGCACAGCAAAAAGAACAGTCAGCAGAGCAAACAGACAACCCACAGAGTGGGAGAAAATCTTCACAATTTATACATCTGACAAAGGAATAATATCCAGAATCTACAATGAACTTAAACAAATCAGTAAGAAAAAAATGAACAATCCCATCAAAAAGTGGGCTAAGGACATGAATAGAAAATTCTCAAAAGAGAATACACAAATGGCCAACAAACATATGAAAAAATGTTCAGCATCACTAATGATCAGTGAAATACAAATCGAAACCTTACAATGCAATACAATGCAATACAATGCAATACAACCTTACCCCTGCAAGAATGGCCATAATCAAGAAATCAAAAAACAGTAGATGTTGGCATGGATGTGGTGATCAGGGAACACTTCTACACTGCTGGTGGGGATGTAAACTAGTACAGCCACTGTGGAAAACAGTGTGGAGATTCCTTAAAAACTAAAAGTAGAACTACCATTTGATTCAGCAATCCCACTACTGGGTATCTACCCAGAAGAAAAGAAGTCATCATGCAAAAAACATACTTGCACATACATGTTTATAGCAGCACAATTCACAATTGCAAAAATGTGGAACCAACCCAAACGCCCATCGATCAATGAGTGGATAAAGAAACTGTAATTATATACATATGAAACTGTAATATATATATGAAACTGTAATATATACGCATATGTATACACATATATATGGAATATATATATGTGTATATACACGCACACAATGGAATACTAATACTACTCAGCCATAAACAAAAATGAGTTAATGGCATTGACAGTGATCTGGATGAGATTGGAGACTATTATTTTGAGTAAACTAACTCAGGAATGGAAAATCAAACATCAAATGTTCTCACTCATAAGTGGGTGCTAAGCTATGAGGATGAAAAGGCTTAAGAATGACACAGTGAGGCCTGGGACAGTGGCTTAGGCCTGTAATCCTAGCACTTTGGGAGGCCGAAGCAGGTGGATCACAAGGTCAGGAGTTGGAGAGCAGCCTGGTCAATATAGTGAAACTCCATCTCTACTAAAAATACAAACATTAGCCAGGCATGGTGGCATATGCCTGTGGTCCCAGCTACTCAGGAGACTGAGGAAGAAGAATCAGTTGAACCTGGGAGGCGGAGCTTGCAGCGAGCCGAGATTGCACCACTGCATTTCAGCCTGGGCAAAAGAGAAACACCCTGTCTCAAAAAAAAAAAAAAAAAAAAAAAAATAGACACAATGAACTTTGGGGACTCAAGGGAAAAGGGTGGGAAAGGGGTGACAGATAAAAGACTACACATTGTGTGCAGTGTATATTGTATATTGCTCAGGTAATGGGTACACCAAAATCTCACAAATCACCACTAAAGAACTTACTTATGTCACCAAACACTGCCTGTTCCCCAATAGCCTATGAAAATTAAAAAGTTTTTAAAAAGAACTAGAAAAGCAAGAGCAATCCAGATTCAAAATTAGTAAAAGAAAAAGAAATAATAAAGATCACAGCAGAAATAAATGAAATTGAAATAAAAAATACAAAAGATCAATGAAACAAAAACTTTTTTGAAAAGTTAAATAAAATTGACAAAACTTTAGCCTGACTAAAATATCAGAAAGAAAATTGGAATAAATAGGATCAGATATGAAAAAGGAGATATTACAATTGAGGCTGCAGAAATTCAAAGGAATATTAGTGGCTAGTGGCTACTGTGAACAACTATATGTCAATAAATTGGAAAATGTAGAAAAAATGAACAAATTCATAGACACATACAACCTAACAAGATTGAACCAGGAAGAAATCCAAAACCTAAACAGACCCATAACAAGTAACAAGATTGAAGCCATAGTAAAGTCTCTGCCAGGAAAGAAATGCCCAGAACCCATTGGCTTTAATGCTGAGTTCTACCAAACATATAAAGAACTAATAGCAATTTCACTCAAACTATTCCAAAAAATAGAGGAAGAGGGAATACTTTCAAACGCATTCTATGAGGCCAATATTACACTGATATCAAAACCAGACAAAGGCATATGAAAAAAAAACCCACAGGCCAACAATATCTCTGATGAATGTTGTTATGAAAATTCTCAACAAAATACTAGCAAACTGAATTCAAGTATACATTAGAAAGATCATTCATTTTGACCAAGTGAGATTTATCTCTGGAATGTAAGGATGGTTCAACATACATAAATCTGTCAATGTGATACATCATATTGATAGAATAAAGGACAAAATCCATATGATCCTTTCAATTGTTGCTGAAAAGCATTTGATAAAATTGAATATTTCTTCATGATAAAAACCCTCAAAACTATCTCAAGGACAAAAAACCAAACACCACATGTTCTCACTCATAGATGGGAATTGAACAACGAGAACACATGGACACAGGAAGGGGAACATCACACTCTGGGGACTATTGTGAGGTGGTGGGAGGGGGGAGGGATAGCATTAGGAGATATACCTAATGCTAAATAACGAGTTAATGGGTGCAGCACACCAGCATGGCACATGTATACATATGTAACTAACCTGCACGTTGTGCACATGTACCCTAAAACTTAAAGTATAATAATAATAAAAAAATAAAAAAGAAGAAAGAAAAATAAATAAATAAATAAATAAAATAAAAAAATAAAAAACCCTCAAAACCTGGGGATAGAGGGAACATACCTCAACATAATAAAGGCCGTATATGACAGATTCATAACTAGTATCATGCTGAATGGGGAAAAATGGAAAGTCTTTTCTCTAAGATCTGGAACATGACAAGGATGCCCACTTTCACCACTGTTATTCATCATAGTACTGAAAGTCCTGGCTAGAGGAATCAGACAAGAGAAAGAAATATAGGAAATCCAAATTAGAAAGGAAGAAGTCAAGTTATCCTTGTTAGCAGATGATATTATCTTGAATTTGGAAAAATCTAAAAACACCATTAAAAAACTATTTAGACAATGGTTGAAGGATCTAGCACCAGAAATACCATTTGATCTAACAATCTCATTACTGGGTATATACGCAAAGGATTATAAATTATTCCACTATAAAGACACATGCACATGTATGTTTATTGCAGCACTATTCACATTAACAAATACTTGGAACCAACACAAATGCCCATCAGTGATAGACCAGATAAAGAAAATGTGGCACATATACACCATGGAACACTATGCAGCCATAAAAAAGGATGAGTTAATGTCCTTTGCGTGGACATGGATGAAGCTGGAAACCATCATTCTCAGCAAACTACCACAGGAACAGAAAACCAAACACCGCATGTTCTCACTCATAAGTGGGAGTTGAGAAATGAGAACACATGGACACAAGGAAGGGAACATTACACACTGGGGCCTGTCAGGGCGTACAGGGCTAGGGGAGGGATAGCAATAGGACAGATACCTAATGCAGATGATGGGTTGATGGGTGCAGCAAACCACCATGGCACATGTATACCTATGTAACAAAATTAACTACTTCTATATGACAACAGTAAATAATCTGAAAAAGCAATAAAAAAAGTAATCCCATTTACAATAGCCATACACAAAATGAAATAACCAAGAATTAACCCAAAAAGAGAAAGAACTCCACAATAAAAACATTAAAACAGTGATGAAAAAAATCGAAGAGGACATCAAAATATGAAAACATATTTCATGTTCATGAATTACAAGAATTGATATTGTTAAAATATCCATACTACCCAAAGCAATCAACAGATTCAATGAAATTCCTATTAAAATACCAATAACATTCTTCAGAGGAATAGAAAAAACAATCCTAAAATTTGTATGGAACTACAAAAGTCACAGAATAGCCAAAGCTATCCTGAGTAAGAAGACCAAAATTCGAGGAATTACATTTCCTGACTTCAAATTATACTAAAAAGATATAGTAATCAAAACAGCATGGTACTGGCATAGAAACAGACACATAGACCAATGGAACAGAATAGAGAATGCAGAAACAAATCCACACTTTTACAGTGAACTCATTTTTAACAAAGGTGCCAAGAACATACACTGGGGATAAGACAGTCTCTTCAATAAATGGTGCTAGGAAAAGTGGACATCCATATACAGAAGAATAAAACTAGACCCCTATCTCTGGCCATGTACGAAAATCAAATCAAAATGAATTAACGATTTAAATCTAGGATCTCAAACTATGAAACTACTACAAGAAAACATTGGGGAAACTCTCCATGCCATTTGTTCTGGCCAAAATTTCTTGAGCAATTTCCAACAGGCACAGGCAAACAAAGCAAAAATGGACAAATAAAATTACATCAAGTAAAAGCTTTAGCCTAGCAAAGGATACAATCAACAAAGGGAAGAGAAAACCCCCAGAATGGGAGAAAATATTTGCAAACTACCCATCTGACAAGGGATTAATAACTAGAATATAGAGGGAGCAAAAACAACTCTTTAGCAAAAAATCTAGTGCTCCAATTTAAAAAATGGGCAAAAGATTTTAATAGACATTTCTCAAAAGTAGACATGGACATGGCAAACAAGCATATGAAAAAGCATCAACATCGTTGATCATCAGAGAAATGCAAATCAAAACTACAATAAGGTATCATCTCACCCCAGTTAAAATGGCTTATATCCAAAAGACAGGCAATAACAAAGGTCGGCAAGGATGTGGAGAAAAGGAAACCTTCGTACACTTTTGATGGGAATGTAAATTAGTACAACCACTATAAAGAACAGTTTGGAACTTCCTCAGAAATCTTGAAATTGAGCTACTATATGGTTCAGCATTTTCACTGCTGAGTATATACCAAAAATAATGGAAATCAGTATATTGAAGAGATATCTGCCCTTTTGTGTCTGTTGCAGCACTCTTCACAATAACCAATAATTGGAAGCAACCCAAGTGTCCATCAACAGATGAATAGATTAAGAAAACATGGTACATATACACAATAGAATACTATTCAACCATAAAAAAGAATGAGATCCAGTCGTTTGCAACAATATGGATGGAAGTGGAGATCATTATGTTAAGTGAAATAAGCCAGGCACAGAAAGACAAACATGGCATATTCTCACATATTTGTGGGATTTAAAAATTAAAACAATTGAACTCACGGAGATAGGGAGCAGAAGGATGGTTATTAGAGACTAGGCAGAGTAGTGGGGGAATAGGGTAGGTGGAACAGTTAGTGGGTACAACAAAAATAAAAAAAATGAGTAAGACCTATTATTCAATAGTACAACAGTGTGACTATAATTAATAATAATTTAATTATACATTTTAAAAAACTAAAAGTGTAAAATTTCATTTTTTAATATAAAGGGTAAATGCTTGAGAGGATGGATATCTCATTCTCCATGATGTGATTTTTATGCATTGCATGCCTGTATTGAAACATCTCCTGTGCCCCATAAATATTTAAGCCTACCATGTACCCACAAAAATTAAAAATTAAAAAAAAATCTGTGAGCCAATATAAACCTCTTTTCTTTATAAATTACCCAGTGCCAGGTATTTCTTCATAGCAATGCTCAAGAAAGGAGAGGGAAAAGTAATAAAAAATAGATTTTAAAGAAGAATTTCTCCAGATATTTGAAATAGATAAAAAAGAATCACAAGGAAAATTTAAAACTGAAAAATATAAATCCTAAATATACAAATGAATTTGATGGGTTTAGCTGAGGATCCCTTGTACATGATATGACAACTGGATATCCATATGAGCTATAGTTTGAATGAGTTCCCTAAAGTTCATGTGTTAGAAACTCAATCTTCAACAATATTGAGAGATGAGACCTTGAAGGGATGAGGAGGTCATGAGGGTTCTGCCCTCATGAATGGATTAATGCCATTATCCCATTATCATAGGAGTGTGATAGTTATCATGGGAGTGGATTTCTGATAAAAATAATGAGTTTGGCTGCCTTTCTCTTTCTCATGCACATGCTGTCTTGCCTTTCTGCTTTCCATAATGGGATGGTGCATAAAGAAGGTCCTTGAAAGATACTGGTACCATGAAGTTGGACTTCTCAGCCTCCAGAACTGTGAGAAATAAATTTCTCTTCTTTAAACATAAATTACTCAGTCAGTGATATTCTGTTATAGTAACACAGAAAAAAATAACACAATATGCAAAAGCATACCTGACTATAAGACAAATTATTCTCATGCTGCTCTCAAGATTTTCTCCCTGTCTTTGGCTTTCAGCATTTTTACTATGATGTGTCTGTTTGTGGATATCTTTTTGTTTATCTTACTTGGAGTTTGTTGAGCTTTCTGGATGTGTAGGGAAACTCAGTAAGATTAACAACTGACTTCTCAGCAGAAATAATTGAAGCCAGAGGGATTGGGATAACATATTCAAAGGCTAAACGGGGAAAAATTGTCAGCCAAAAAATCTGTGTTCAGAAAAGCTACTTCAAAAATGAAGTCAAAATAATGACATTCCCAGGTAAACAAGTAGTGAGAATTTATTGCTAACAGACCAGTAGTGAAGCAGATTCTTCAGGCTGAGAGCAAATGGTAATTCAAACACACACACACACACACACACACACACAAATAAAAAGCACTAATAAATGTAACTATGTAAATAAAAATGATAGTATGAGTGCATATTATTTTCTTCTTTCTTCTATTGACTGATGTAAGAAAAAAATTGATAAAACTATGTATATAATGTATTCTTGGGACTGGACATGGTGGCTCACACCTATAATCCCATCACTTTGGGAGGCCAAGACAGGAGGATTGCTTGAACCCAGGAGATCAATACCAGCCTGGGCAACAAAGTGAGGCCCCATCTCTACCAAAAATCTAAAAATTAGCTGAACATGGTGGCATGCACCTGTAGCCCCCACTGCTTGGAAGGCTGAGGTGGGAGGATCATTTCAGCCCAGGAGTTTGAGGCTGCAGTGCGCCATGATCATACCACTGCACTCCAGCCTGTGTGATACAGTGAGACCCTGTCTCAAAAATAAATAAAAATAAGAAACAAAAAATAAAATGTATTGTTGGGCCTATAACATATGGAAATGTAATACATTTGACAGTTGCAGCACCAAGGAGGTGAGTGGGTGAAAAATGTGTATTGAGCTAATTAATTGTAGATGGTAACTCACATACAAAAGAACAAATGAGGAGAACAAAAATTGATAAAATTTAAAAGTTAATATAACAAAAACTAAAACTATATACTTGTTCTTCAATTCATATGAGACATAAAATTATACAAAATAACAATTATAACCAATGCAATGTTGAGTTTTAAACACTTATAGGTATAATATGTATAACAATAATACCACAAAATGGGGGAAAGTGAAACAGTGCTATGTAGGAATAACATTTTTCTATCTCGCTGGAATTAAATTGGTGTAAAACCAAGCTTAACTCTGAGAAGTGTAAATGTACATTGTAAGCTCTAGAGCAACCACTAAGGAAATAATTTAAATATGCATAGTGAAATAATCATTAAAGAAATTAAAATGCTACATTAGAAAATATTTATTTAGTTCAAGAGAAAGCAGAAAAGGAGGACTAGAGAAAAAAGGCACAAAAACATGGAACACAAAAAATAAAATGGCAGATAAAAATCCAACTACATCAATAATAACATTAAAGGTGAATGGATTAAATAATCCAGCCAAAAGGCAGAAGTTGTCAAAGTGGATAAACAAACAAAAAAATGACCCAACTATATATTGCCTGCAGGAGATACATTACAAATTCAAAGATACAAATACACTGAAGATAAAAAAGTGAAAAAGGATGTGTCACACATTTAGCAAACAAAAGAAAACTGTAGTGGCTACACTAATATCAGCAAAATAGGCTACAACAAAAAGTATTACTAGACATAAAATGTTACATTTTATAATGATAAAAGGGTTAATTCATCAATAAGATATAGCAATTATAAATATATATTCATCTAGCAATTGAGTATTAAAGTGCTTGAAGCAAAAACTGACAAAAATGAAGCAAAAAATAGGCACTTCCAATGAACTAGCTGGAGATTTCAATACTCCACTTTTAGTAATATGTATAAAACTACACAGAAGGTGACCTAAGGAAATAAAAGACTTGAACAACCCTATGAACCAACTAGAACTAACAGACATCTATAGAACACTCCACCTAACAACCAAGGTCTATATATTCTTTTCAAGTACACATAGAACATTCTATGTGATAGACAATATGCTAGGCCATAAAGTGCATACCTCAAAAAAATGTAGAACAGAAATAATACAAAGTATATTATTCAATCACAATGGAATGAAATTAGAAATCAGTGAGAAAGAAATATGGGAAATTCACAAATATGTGAAAATTAAACAATATCCTCTCGAATAACCAATAAGCCAAAAGAGAAATCAAAACAGAAATTAGAAAATATTTTCAGAGGAATGAAAATGAAGACACAACATACTTAAACTTATATGATGTGGCTAAAGCAGAACTTAGAAAACTACAGCTGTACATGACTATATTAAGAAAAAATAATTACTTCAAATCAATAACCTAATCTTCCACAAAACACACTGTAAAAAGAAATGCAGATCAAACCCAAGGCAAGAAAACAGACCAATAATACAGAATATGGAAGAAATTAACTAGTAGAACATACAAAAACAATAGAGAAAATCAATGAAATCAAAAGCTGGTTCTTGGAAATGATCAACAAAATTGAAAAAAACTTTGGTTATATTGACCAAGAAAAAAATAAAGAAGACTCAATTACTGGAACCAAAAGTAAAATAGGTGATATTACTACTGGCCTTATGGAAATGTAAAGGATTATAAAGGAGTATTATGAACAATTTTATGCCAATAAATTAGATAAATTAAATGGAAAAAATTCCTAGGAAGACACAAACTAGCAACACTGACTCAAGAAGAAATAGAAAATCTGAATAGATGTATATAACATGTGAAGGTATTGAATTAATTTTCAAAACTGCCTACAGAAAAACGCTCAGGCTCATATGGTTTTGAATTCTACCAAATGTTTTAAAAATACAGAACATCAGTGTTTCACAACAATTTTCAAAATATAGATGAGAAGGGAACACTTTCGAACTAATTCTATGAGGCCAGTATAACCTTGATACCAAAAGCAAAAACATCACAAGATATGAAAACAAAAACCAGTATCTCTTACGAATATAAGTGCAAAAACTCAACTAAATATTAATAAACTAAATCCAGCAACATATAAAAACACTGTACAATATGACCAAGTGGGCTTCATCCCAGGAATTAAAAGTTGGCTCAATATCTGAAAATCAGCTAATGTAATCCCCATATCATTAGAATAAAAAACAAAAATCACACGATCATCTCAATACCTGCAGGGAAACATTTGACAAAATCTACTACCCTTTCCTTATAAAAATACTCAATAAACTAAGAATAAAAAGGAACTTCCTCAACTAGATAAAGCACATCTATGAAAATTCCACATCTATGAAAATTCTCTCTCCTCTTTCTCCTCCTCCTCCTCCACCTCTCTCTCTTTCTCTCTCTCTCTCTCTCTTTCCTCCTGTATCCACAGCCTTTCTTTCTACTTATTTCTTTTCCTCAGCCTATAAAAAAAATCAAGTGCCTTCCATTCCTTCTAACACATAAGTCATGTCATTTCTTTGCTCAGAAACACTAATGGCTTCCCAACCCACTGCAGAGGAAAGTCAAAGTTATTACAATGTCCACAGTAACTCTCTGATCTCATCTCCTACTATGTTCCCCCTCACTCACTCCATTCTAACCACACTGTCTTGTTTTTTGGTCTTCACCAAGTATATGCCCCACTCAGGGTCTTTGCATGGATCATTCCAGGTTTTTTCTACCTGGAATTACCTTCAATACCCATGTCTTACTCTTTCACTTTCTTCCCATCTACACTCAAATGTATTCTTCTTATAGAGGACTTCCCTGGTCACTCTATTTAACATAGTACTGCACCCTCATATTTCCTCTTTTCCTTATCCAGCTTTATTTCTGTGCCTATCTCCACCACAGAAATTTGGGCTCCATGAGAATGGAGACTTTGTTTATCACTATGTGCCAGCATATTGAATAATACATGGCACTGATCAAGTAAAAGCTGACGCTGATGTCCAGAACTGATCTGATATTCACAGTTAGGCCTCACTCACAGCCAGGCCATTTTGTTATCCTGTTGGACATAAACAATGTCACAGAAAACAACCTCAGACAAGGTTACTCTGAGATTATGACAAGTGAATCAAACAAAACAAGGCTTCCTTCATAATTTTGTCTAAGTGCAGACAAAATCTAGATGACTGTGCCACCCATAAGACACCCAATCACAAAATTACCTCTGCTTACTGACAGCGTTTAATCTAAAGCTAACCTCCACTTTCTTTGACTGTCTCCAAAATAATTCAAAAAGCCCATATCCTATAATAGATTATCTTTAACATCCTCTTACTGAGACACCCAACAGTTCCCCATGGTGTATGTTTTTTCATGCTGTGATGAGCAATAAACTCAACTTGTTTAACTAAAATGTGTCCTTGGTGGTCTTTGGTTGAAGGGTCTTGACAGAATTGGAGATTCGAGTAAGGTTCAGTTGAGACTCTCACTGCCTTGGACTGGGATCCTTAGTGAGTAACAGTGTGCACATCTGAGATCCCTTGTATCTCTATATGCTTAAGTTGCCACATGCCTGTGGCTGAAAAGGAAATTTATGCTGAATTGGGCTCTTACTACTTCACTGAAGCCCATCAGGATTGGCTTTATTTTGTTTTCCTAGAAATAAATTCCTTTGAGAGATTTTTGGTTATCTGAACAGATTTTTATTATTCTTTGGTGAATTTTTCTTCTAGTATCTAATACCTGCTTGTCTAATTCATTGTCTATCTGTATGCTTGTCTAGTTTCATCAATGTTGTTTGTTTGTAAGATGAAGGGTCCACAGGGAGGGAAGGGACATTGGCTCAATAAGTCTGTCCTCAAGCTAGCCTTGGGAGCTGAGACGCTCAGAAAGTTTGTTATCAGACAAGTGCCCTTAGGACAAACTTTCCCCCAGGTCATTATAGGGCTTCTTCAGTCTTGTTTTTGTGTCCTTGAGAACTTCTGGTATTTTAGTTTTTTCTGCCCAGCATCAGGAGGTTTCTTCAGCCCCTAATCAGGGACTACTGGTCCTTTAACCAAACTCTGGAGACACAGATCATACAAGCACCATTTTTACAGACATATTGCAGTTCTCATGGGGTCTTTTTGAGCTAAAATGGCACCTCTTTCAGGAAGAACACCCATTTTATTTTTGTTTTCTCATTGTAATGTTAACTCCTTGCATACCTTTCAAACTGGCACACTCTCACCAAGAAAAATTGGGAATGATGGTGGCCACATTGGGGAGCTTTGATATGGACAAACTGTTTTTTAAAAGATGCCTTAAAACAAAAGAAAACAAAATTCTGTTTATAGTCTGCTCTGATTAACTGGTGTGAAGAGGCTTCTAAATGCAAATCAAACTAAAAAATTGCTTCCCTAAAATGTTCTTTAGTAAAACAAATGCAAAACATAAGAAACTGTCTCCTTAATCAGCACTTTCAGACAATACTTAAGATTAGCTTCTGATATTGACATACTCAATGTCCTTTCCACATTTTCATTGATTATTGAAAGTCTGAAATTGTAGATATGAGATGTAAGCAAAAACTGATTCAGAGGTTGCCCCAATATATGAACTCCAACTTTTGGCTGAACATTTTAAAGATAATGTAGATACTGGAAGATAGAAAGAACAAAACCTCATTAAAAAAAAGTGTTACCTAAAAGAGAGATTATTTGGTTTAATGTGAAAAACATCCCCTTCTTTGTTGTTTTCATACTTTGAGGTTTAATAAGTACAGGCTTTTTTATTATACAACTTGATAAAATTGTCAAGGACCCAAATTATATCAAAATGTGTATGATACTCTCTCTTTTATGCATATGCATCAAAGTATCTTTTATTGCATCTAAATTTTCTTCTCTTTCCTTACAGAAGGCAAATAATTAGCTATTTCTTCAAAGCTGGCTCCCTCTCATTTTTCTATACTATTTTCTCTTTTTCCCCTCCCTTATAGGGCTTGAAAGATTAACTGATTTAAAAATCATTCAGTTGCTAGGTGCATAGAGTAGAAATATTTAGTTTAGATAGTCAAAGTTGTTGAAAGAAAGAAAAGTAGATTGAACTATGCTTTTCATGTGTATTTATATGATAGCTTTTATAACTATAGCTATGACATCATAAGAAAATACTTCAATTTCAAGATAAAATTTTATATGACTTCATCAATAATTGAATTACAAAAAAAGTTACCATAATATTTTGGTTTGTTTAGGACAAAGGTTAAATTATTCAAATTTTGTAATAGCCCAGATTTAGTTTTGAGTTAAATTAGTTCTCAGTGTTTCTACAGTTTTTTTAAATTAAAAATTCTATTTTTAAAATTATGTTTACCAGACTACCTACAGGCTTTTCTGTGTCCCAGAACTTCTCGCTTGTAGAAAGTATCTTTCAGCAAAGGCACAGACACAGTGCTGGGCTCAGTGGGGAAGTCTGTGGTTCTGTCTCAGCAGTTGAGCAACCCAAGTGCTTATGAAGGGACTTGGAGAAAGTGACTTCTTCTCCCCCTTGCCCACCACTGCAGACACAGCTAGGGCTTCTCCCACAGGACCTCAGCCCAGGTGCACCTGTAGACAACTTTTTTGGAGCACTTCAGGATGACTGCATCCCCATGGGAGGCATAACCCCTGGGTTCACGCCTGCAAGAGAGATGTAGTTCCACTCTTTATGTACATAGAATGTTGGCATTATTTCAGATGGACAGATATATCTCTCTAATCTAATATCTGGAACAATAGGACAGGGGCATGATGGGGGAGGTGGAATGCTTTCCTTCCAGCTTGGTAGTGGAGCTGAGGGGGCTCCCTCCCTTCCTTCTGTGAAAACTGCAGCACATTTCACTAGGAGCTCCCCCAGCTACCTCTGTAAGGGCTGGGACTTTTGCCCACCATTGGGGTATTGAATATACCCATCTGCTTCAGCTACAGCCAGTTCTTACTTGTGAACACCTCCTACTTGCCTGAAGACTGAATTGTTTAATCTAGTGGAAAAAAATACTGGGGAGGAAAAAGTGCACACAATTGGGGAGTGAGACCTCTGCCATTCTGACCCCACAAGAGACAGTGAATCTGCTGTCACACCCAGTACATCACTACTACAAGCAGCATCTGACAAAGCCATTGCACAAAAATTCTCTATAACCAAGGAATTTATGCAGACTTCCACTGAAAGAACCCAGAGTCTAACCTAGGTGATCATAAACTATATATATTAATGTCACATCTTCTTCAATGGGAAAACACCCCAGCTGAAAAAAATGATTTCAAAAATAACAAGAAATAGTCTATGTAGGTGAGAAGGAAGCAGAAAAATAATTCTGGTAATATGAAAAAACAAAGCTTTACAATACCCCTGGAAGATCACATAAATTCTCTAGTGATGAATTCAAACCAGAATGAAATCTTTGAAATTCAAGACAAAGAATTCAAAAGATTGATTATAAAATTGCTCAGGGAGATCCAACAGATAGCTGAAAACCAATATAAAGAGATCAAAAAAATGGCCAGGCGTAGTGGTTCATGCCTGGAATCCCATTGCTTTGGGAGGCCAAGGTGGGAGGATCATTGGAGCCTCCAAAATAAATTTTAGAAAAATTAAAAAATTCAGAGTATGAATAAAATTTTTTCCAAAGAGATCGATTTAAAAAAAAAATAGAAATTCTGGAAATTAAAGACTGTTTTAGGGAATTACAAAATGCAGGGGAAAATTTTAACAATAGTCTAGACAAAATAAAGGAAAGAATTTCAGAGCTTGAAGACAAGTTCTTTGAATTAACCAAATAAGACAAAAATAAAAACAATAAAATAAATGAACAAAGTCTCTGAGAAATATGGGATTCTGTAAACCATCCAAACCTAAGAATCATAGATGTTCCTGAGGGAGAAGAAAAAGCCAAAATTTGAAAAACCTATTTGAGGGAATAATTGAGAAAAACTTCACTGGTCTTGCTGGAGATTTAGACATCCACATACAAACAGCTCAGAGAACTGCTGGCAGATTCATTGTAAAAAGAATCTTTACATTGAAAAAAGAATCTTTACATTGTAAAAAGAACCTTTACATTGTAAAAAGAGTCTTTGGTGGCTTAAACATCATCAAAGCATATAGTTATCAGGCTATCTAAAGTCAATGTAAAGGAATGAATTCTAAAAGCAGTGAGACAAAAGCAACAAATAACTTATAAAGAAAAACCTAGCAGACAAATAGAAGACTTCTCAGCAGAAATCTTACAAGCCAGAAAAGATTGGGGGCTTATCTTCAGTCTCTTCAAACAGAAAACCTGTCAGCCAAGAATTTTGTATTTTGCAAAACTAAGTGTCACAAATGAAGAAGAAATAAAGTCTTTCCCAGACAAAAAAAAAAAAGAAAAGAAAAAGTTGATGGAATTTGCCACCACTAAACCAAACCTACAAGAAATAATCAAAGGAGCTCTAAATATGAAAATGAAAGATTGATACACACCAATATAAAAAATGACAGGGCTTAGAAAACAGTAACACAATGGGAAAAGCAAAGGACATACATAATAGCAAACTTGATGACTGTAACAGTACCTCACATATAAAGATTAACTTTGAATGTAAATGGTATAAATGCCCCAATTAAAAGATATAGATTGATAGAATGGATTAAAAACCATAATTCAAATAGCTGCTGACTTCAAGAGAACCACTTAACTCATAGAGATTCTTACAGACCCAAGGTAAAGGAGTGGAAAAAAATATTCCATACACATGAAATCAAAATTAAGCAGAAGTATCTATTAGACAAAACAGATTTCAAATTTTAAAAAAAGACAAAGAAGGTCATTATATAATGATAAGTAAATAAATTCAACAAGAAGATATAACAATCCTAAGTATACATAAACCTAACACCAGAGTTCCAGATTTACAGGACAAATACTGCTAGACCTAAGAAAAGAGATAGATAGCAAAACAATAATAGTGGGGGACTTCAAGACTCCACTGACAACACTGGATGGATTATTGAAGCAGAAAATTAACGAATAAAAAAATGCTGGACTTAAACTTGACTCTAGTGAGGGAAGAGAGAGACACTCTCATATTGTTTTATATTGTTTTATACTGTTTTATACTCAATGCTTGTTTTAAGAAAAAAACAAGGAAGTGAAATCAAAGACAGGCAGCCCGGCGCCAGGCCCAAAACTGGATCTGGGCCTGCCTGGCCTAAACCTAGTAGTTAAAAATCAACTCATGACTTAGAAACCGATGTTATTCATAGATTCCAGATATTGTATAGAAGAACATTGTGAAACTCCCTGCCCTGTTCTGTTTCTCTCTGACCACCGGTGCATGCAGCCCCTGTCATGTACCCCTTGCTTGCTCAAATTAATCACGACCCTTTCATGAGAAATCTTTAGTGTTGCGAGCCCTTAAAAGGGACCGAAATTGTGCATTTGGAGAGCTCGGATTTTAAGGCAGTAGCTTGCCAATGCTCCTAGCTGAATAAAGCCCTTCCTTCTACAGCTCGGTGTCTGAGATGTTTTGTCTGCAGCTCGTCCTACTACACTAGAACAAATGGACCTAACAAACATTTATATAACATTCTATCAAAAAAATTGCAGAACATACATGTCACAGACGTCCATGTGAAGAGACCACCAAAGAGGCTTTGTGTCAGCAATAAAGCTTTTTAATCACCTGGGTGCAGGCAGGCTGTGTTCGAAAAAGGAGTCAGCGAAGGGAGATAGGGGTGGGGCCGTTTTATAGGATTTGGGTAGGTAGTGGAAAATTACACTCAAAGGGGGTTGTTCTCTTGTGGGCAGGGGCAGGGGTCACAAGGTGCTCAGTTGGGGAGCTTCTGAGCCAGGAGAAGGAATTTCACAATGTTAATCAATCAGTTAAGGTGGGGCAGGAACAAATTACAATGGTGGAGTGTCATCAGTTAAGGCAGGAAATGGCTATTTTCACTTCTTTTGTGATCCTTCAGTTGCTTCAGGCCATCTGGATGTATACCTGCAAGTCACAGGCGATATGATGGCTTAGCTTGGGCTCAGAGGCCTGACAATACATTCTTCTTCTCATCATCACATAGAACATTTTCCAAGATACGTCATATGATAGGTCATAAAACTAGTCTCAATAAATTTTTTAAAAATGATATCAAGTACTTTCTCAGACCACAGCAGAATAAAATTAGAAATCAATTCCAAGAGGAACTCTCAAAACTATACAAATATACAAAAATTAAACAATCTGCTCTTGAATTATCTTTGGGTCAGTGATGAAATCAAGATGAAAATTTAAACGTTTTTCAAAATCAATGATAACAGCAACATGAGTTATCAATATATTGGGGATACAGCAAAAGCACTGATAAAAGCAAAGTTCATTGTACTAAGTACCTATGTCAAAAAGACACAAAGGCTACAATTTGACAACCTAACATCACATCTCATGGAAATAGAAAATAACAAAACAAACCCAAAGTGAGCAGAAGAAAATAAATAATACCAGAGCAGGACTAAATTGAATTGAAACAAAAAAATTACAAAAAACCAACTTTTTAAAGTTTGTGTTTTGAAAAGATAAACAAAATTGATACACTACTAGCTAGATTAGCCAAGCAGAGGAGAGAAAATTCAAATAAGCTCCACTAGAAAGGAAAATGGAGACATTACAATCAATACCACAGAAATACAAAAGATCATCCAAGACTTCTATGAATACAAATTAGGGAATCTAGAGAAAATTGATAAATTCCTGGAAACACACTCCCAGGCTTGAATCAGGAGGAAATTGAAATCCTGAGCTAAACAAGAAGTAGTGAGATTGAATTAGTAATTAAAAATATTCCCACAAATAAATGCCAAGTATCAGATAGATTCACAGCCAAATTCTACCAGACAAGCTACTTACCAACACTACTGAAACTATTCCAAAAGATAAAATAGGAAGGAATCCTCCATAATCAATGTAGCCAGTATCACCCTGACACCAAAGAAGGAAAGGATACAAGAAGAAAAGAAAACCGAGATCCCTGATGAACATAGATGCAAAAATTCTCAACAAACTACTAGCAAACAAAATCCAACAACACATCAAAAAGAATTCACCATGATCAAGTGGGCTTCATTCCAGTGTGCAATGATGACTAAACATACACAAATCAACAAACGTGATTCCCCACATAAACATAATTTAAAAAACAAAAACCATATGATTTTTCAATAGATGCAGAACAAGGATTTTATGAAATCCAGCCTCTCTTCATGATAAAGACAAAAAGCCCTCAACAAATTAGGCATAGAAGGAACATATCTCAAAAACGGAAAGCCATATATGAGAAACCCACAGCCAACATCAAACCGAATGAAGAAAAGTTGAAAGCATTCCCCTTTGGAGCTGGAACAACATAAGGATGCCCACTTTCACAACTCCTATTCAACATAGTACCCGAAGTCATAGCCAGAGCAATCAGGCAAGAGAAAGAAATGAAGGGCATCCAAATGGAAAAGTGAAAATCAAACTATCTCTCCTTGCCAAAGATAAAATCTTATACCTTGAAAACCCTTAAGATTCCTCCAAAAGACTCCTAGGTTTCACATATGAATTAAGTAAAGTCTCAGTTACAAAATTCAAATACAAAAATCAGTAGCACTACTATATACAAATAACAACCATGCTGAAAATAAATCATGAACTCAATACCATTTACAATAGCTAACAATAAAACAAAATACCTAGGAATATACTTAACCAAGGACATGAAAGATCTATATAAGGAGAACAACAAAACACAGATGAAATAAATTATAGATTACAAAAACAAATGGAAAAACATTCCATGCTCATCGATTCAAAGAGTTAATATTGTGAAAATGACCATACTGCCCAAAGCAATCTAAGATTCAATGCAATTTTTATCAAAATACAAATATCATTTTTCACAGAATTAGAAAAAAAATTCTAAAATTTGTATGGAATAGAAAAGAGCGCACACAGTGAAAGTAATCCTAAGCAAAACAAACAAATAAATATGGAAGCATCACAATACCTGACTTCAAATTATGCTACACAGCTACAGTAACCAAAATAGCATGGTACTAGTATAAAAGTAGACACATAGACCAATGAAACAGAATAGAGAACCCAGAAATGAAGCTAAATGCCTACAACCAACTGATCTTCAACAAAGCAGACAAAAACATAAACAGGGAAAAGGACACACTATCCAATAAATGGTGCTGGAAAAATTGGATAGCCACATGCAGAAGAATGAAACTTGATCCACGTCTTTCACCATATACAAAAATTAACTCAAGATGGATTAAATACTTAAATCTAAGACCTGAAACCCTATCTAAAAGAAAACCTAGGTAAAACTTTTGTAGACGTTGGCCTAGGCAAAAAATTTATGAAAAAGACCCCAAAAATAAATGCAACAAAAACAAAAATAGATGAATGGGACTTAAACTAAAAAGCTTCTGCATAACAAAAGAAATAATCAACACAGTAAACAGACAACCTACAGAATGGGAGAGAATACTCACAAACTATGCATCTGAGAAAAGAGTAATATCCAGAATTTACAAGGAAGTCAAACAAATCAACAAGAATAAAAAGCAAATAATTCCATTAAAAACTGGGTAAGTGACATGAATAAATATTTCCTAAGTTATACGGATGGCCAACAAGCATACGAAACAATGCTCAACATCACTAATTACAAAAGAAATACAAATTAAAACCAAAGTGAAATACCACCTTACTCTTGTCAGAATGACCATTTTTTTTAAGTTAAAAAAAAAAAAAAGGTGTTACCACAGATGCAGAGAAAAGGCAACCATACAGGTATACACTGCTGGTGGGAATGTACAACCTCTATGGAAAGCATCATAATTTCTCAAAGAACTAAAAATAGAACTATCATTCAACCCAGCAATCCCCCACTGGATATCTATCCAAAGGAAAAATAATCGTTAAACAAAAAAAGACACTTATATGTTTATTGCAGCATAATTCACAATTGCGAAGATACAGAATTGACCTAAGTGCCTCTATATATATATATTCATATGTTGATATTTATATGTACACCTATATATGTATGTGTATATGGAGAGAGGTATATACATATAGGTACCTAAGTGCATATATATATGTGTGTGTACACCTATATATGTACACACACACACACTAAACACACACATATACACACCATGGAATACTACTAAGCCATAAAAAAGAATAAAATAAATTATTTTGCAACAACCTGCACGGACCTGGAGGCTATTATCCTAAGTGAAGTAACTCAGAAATAGAAAACCAAATATCACAGGTTCTCACTTATAAGTCAAGACTAAGCTATGGCTATACAGAGGCATACAGAGTGGGGTAATGAACACTGAAAACTCAGAAGAGGAATGGAGGAAGTGGAGTGAAGGATAAAAAAGTCACCTGTTGGGTGCAATGTACATTATTCAGATGATGGGTACACTAAAAGCCCAGAATTTACCACTGTACAATTCATCCATGTAACCCAAAACCACTTGAGCCCCTAAAGCGATTGAAATTTAAAAAAAAGAAAAAGAAATTGTATTCAACTAAATAAAATAAGGGCTATTGTTAACGGGTTTAGTTATAAAATTCATACAATGCTGCACTTCATAAAGATTTAATGTGTGAATTAAATTTTATTGTCTAGCTTTTTAACTAACTTTAAACACTTAGACCCAAGTTAATTAATAAGTAACCTTTAAATGTCAGTATAGTTTCCAAAAAGAAAAAATATATATGTGCAAAAACATATTATTAAACATAATTTATATTTGTCTTTAATTATTAAAATGCCAGTAGATAAAATATGCAAATGCTTTGGGATAACAATGCATGTATATCTAATTTTGCTTCTCAAATTTTTAAAATAACATGAGATAAATGCAGCTGGAAAAAAATAACTGGATAGTTTTTAACCTCCTGTCTTCTGGGTTTCTTTTGTGGGTAAAGAAAAAAAAAAGAACAAATTGGTTTCTACAAAGGGAGGGGGATGAAGACAGTTGGTTATTGGGTACAAAAATACAGTTTGAAGAAATAAGTTCTTTGGCCGGGCACAGTGGCTCAGGCCTGTAATCCCAGCACTTTGGGAGGCTGAGGCAGGAGGATCACTTGAGGGTAGGAGTTTGAGACCAGCCTGGCCAACATAGCAAAACCCCATCTTTACTAAAATATATTTTAAAAATTAGCCAGGTGTAATGGTGTGTGCCTGTATTCCAGCTACTTGGGAGGCTGAGTGGGGAGGATTGCTTGAGCACAGGACGTGCAGGCTGCAGTCAGCTGTGACCCCACCACTGCACTCCAGCCTGGGTGACAGAGCAAGACACTGTCTCAAAAAAAAAAAAAATGAAGAAGAAGAGAAAAAAGAAGAAGCAGAAGCAGAAGGAGGAGGAGGAGAAGGAGGAAGAGGAAGAGGGGGAGGAGGAGGAGGAAGAAGAAAAGGAGAAAGAAATGAGTTCTAGTGTTTAATAGCACAGTAAGCTAATCATAGTTAAAAACAAATTATTGCATGTTTCAAAATAGCTAGAAGTTTTGAATTGTTCCCAATGCAAAGAAATAATAAATACTTGAGGTGATGTATACCTTAATTACCCTGATTTGTTCATTACACACTGCGTGCATGTATCAAAATAATAAATACGTGCAATAATCTGTGTCAATGTTTAAAAATTAATTTAAAAATTGGTTACTTCTTTCAAACACTCCTCAGCAAATGCAAACGAATGGAAACCATAACAAACCATCTCTCAGACCACAGTGAAATCAAATTAGAACACAGGATTTTTTTAATGATCGTCATTCTAACTGGCGTGAGATGGTATCTCATTGTGATTTTGATTTGCATTTCTCTAATGACTACAGATGATGAGCTTTTTTACTATGTTTCTAGGCCACATAAATGTCTTTTTTTGAGAAGTGTCTGATCATAACCTTCACCCACTTTTTAATGGGGTTGTTTGGTTTTTTTCTGGTAAATATGTTTACGTTCTTTACATTAAAAAATCTGGAAACAACAGATGCTGGAGACAATGTGAAGAAATAGGAACGCTTTTACACTGTTGGTGGAAGTGTAAATTAGTTCAACCATTGTGGAAGACAGTGTGGTGATTCCTCAAAAATCTAGAACCAGAAATATTATTTAACTCAGCAATCCCATTATTGGGTATATACCCAAAGGATTATAAATCATTCTACTATAAAGACACAGGCACACATATGTTTATCGGAGTACTGTTCACAAGTACTTGGAACCAACACAGATGTCCATCAATGATAGACTGGATAAAGAAAATGTGGCAAATATATGCCATGGAATATAGTACAGCCATAAAAAAGGATGAGTTCATGCCTTTTACAAGGACATGGATGAAGCTGGAAACCATCATTCTCAGCAAACTACCACAGGAACAGAAAACCAAACACTGCATGTTCTCACTTACAGGTGGGAGTTGAACAATGAGAACACATGGGCAAAGGGAGGGGAACATTATGCACTGGGGCCTGTAGGGGGCTGGGAGATAGGGGAGGGTTAGCATTAGCAGAAATAACTAATGTAGATGATGGGTTGATAGGTGCAACAAACCACCATGACACCTGTACACCTATGTAACAAACCTGCATGTTCTGTACATGTACCCCAGAACTTAAAGTATAATAATAATAAAATGTCATTGCCTCAGCCATCCCCAATTCCTCTGAGTTATAGAATTCCCACATCCTCTCAGAATTTCTCCAATACCATATGTAACCAACAAAGAGGGAGTGAAGCAAGTGTCAAGCTGCTTATTAAAATATAACACTTTTTTTAAGGAACTAAGGATTAAGAAACTCAATGAAAATCGCACAACTACATGGAAACTGAACAACCTGCTCCTGAATGACAACTGTGTAAATAACAAAATTAAGTCAGAAATAAATAAGTTCTTTGAAACCAGTGAGAACAAAGGAACAATGTATCAGAATCTCTGGGACACAGCTAAAGCAGTGTTAAGAAGGAAATTTATAGCACTAAATGCCCATATCAGAAAGTGGAAAAGATATAAAATTGACACCATACCATCACAATTAAGAGAACTAGAGAAGCAAGAGCAAACAAATTCAAAAGCTAGCAGAAGACAAGAAATAACTATGATCAGAGCAGAACTGAAGGAGATAGAGACACAAAAAATCATTGAATCAAGGAGGTGTTTTTTTTTTTTTTTGAAAAGATTAACAAAATAGATAGACCACTAGCTGGAGTAATAAAGAAGAATAGAGAGAAGAATCAAATAGACACAATAAAAAATGATAAAGGGAATATCACCACTGATCCCACAGAAATAAAAACTACAATCATAGACTACTATAAACACCTCTATGCAAATAAACTAGAAAAATCTAGAAGAAATTGATAAATTCCGTGACACATACACCCTTCCAAGACTAAACCAAAAAGAAGTCAAATCCCTGAATAGACCAATATCAAGCTCTGAAATTGAGGCAGTAATTAATAGCCATCCAACCAAAAAAAAAAAAAAAAAAAAAAAAAAACCCAGGACCAGATAGATTCACAGCCGAATTCTACCAGAGGTACAAAGAGGAGGTGATACCATTCCTTCTGAAACTATTCCAAACAATAGAAAAAGAGGGACTCCTCCCTAACTCATTTTATGAGGCCAGCATCATCCTGATATCAAAACCCGGCAGAGACAAAACAAAAAAAGAAAATTTCAGGCACCACTCCTATTCAACACAGTATTGGAAGTTATGGCCAGGGCAATCAGGAAAGAGAAAGAAATAAAGGGTATTCAAATAGGAAGAGAGGAAGTCAAATTGTCTCTGTTTGCAGATGACATGATTGTATATTTAGAAAACCCCACTGTCTCAACCCAAAACCTCCTTAAGCTAATAAGCAACTTCAGCAAAGACTCAGGATACAAAATCAATGTGAAAAAAATCACAAGCATTCCTATACACTGATAATAGACAAACAGAGAGCCAAATCATGAGTGAATTCCCATTCACAATTGCTACAAAGAGAATATAATATCTAGGAATACAACTTACAAGGGACGTGAAGGACCTCTTTAAGGAGAACTACAAACCACTGCTCAAAGGAATAAGAGAGAACACAAGCAAATGGAAAAAAAATTATATTCATGGATAGGAAGAATCAATATCATAAAAATGGCCATACTGCCCAAAGTAATTTATAGATTCAATGCTATTTCCATCAAGCTACCATTTACTTTCTTTACAGAACTAGAAAAAACTACTTTCAGTTTCATATGGAACCAAAAAAAGAGCCTGTATAGCCAAGACAAACCTAAGCAAAATAACAAAACTGGAGTCATCATGCTACCTGACATCAAACTATACTACAAGGCTACAGTAACCAAAACAGCATGGTACTGGTACCAAAATAGGTATATAGACCAATGGAATAGAATGGAGACCTCAGAAATAGCACCACACATCTACAACCATCTGATCTTTGACAAACCTGCCAAAAACAAGCAATGGGGAAAGGATTCCCTATTTAATAAATGGTTCTGGGAGAACAGGCAGCCACATGCACAAAACAGAAACTGGACCCCTTTCTCACATCTTATATGAAAATTAACTCAAGATGAATTAAAGACTTAAATGTAAAACCTAAAACCATAAAAACCCTAGAAGAAATCTAGGCAATACCATTCAGGATGTAGGCACGGGCAAAGACTTCATGACTAAAACACCAAAAGCAAAGGCAACAAAAGCCAAAATTGACAAATGGGATCTAGTTAAATGAAAGAGCTTCTGCACAGCAAAAAGAAATGATCATCAGAGTGAACAGGCAACCTAGAGAATGGGAGAAAATTTTTGCAATCTATCCATCTGACAAAGGGCTAATATCCACAATCTGCAAAGAACTTAAACAAATTTACAAGAAAAAAACAAACAACCCCATCAAAAAGTGGGTGAAGGGTATGAATAGACACTTCTCAAAAGAAGACATTTATGTGGCCAACAAACATATGAGAAAAAGTTCATCATCACTTGTCATTAGAGAAATGCAAATCAAAACCAAAATGAGATACCATCTCAAGCAAATTAGAATGGCGATCACTAAAAAGTCAGGAAACAACAGATTCTGGTGAGGCTGTAGAGAAATAGGAACACTTTTACACTGTCGGTGACAGTGTAACTTAGTTCAATCATTATGGAATACAGTGTCGAGATTCCTCGTGGATCTAGAACCAGGAATAACATTTAACCCAGCAATCCCACTACTGGGTATATACCCAAAGGATTATAAATCATTCTACTATAAAGACGCATGCACATGTATGTTTATTGCAGCACAATTTACAATAGGAAAGACTTGGCACCAACCCAAATGCCCATCAGTGATATACTGGAAGAAGAAAATGTGGCACATATATACCATGGAATACTATGCAGCCATAAAAAAGAATAAGAGTTCATGTCCTTTGCAGGGACATGGATGAAGCTGGAAACCATCATTCTCAGCAAACTACCACAGAAACAGAAAACCAAACACATGTTCTCACTCATAAGTGGGAGTTGAACAATCAGAACACATGGACACAGAGAAGGGAACATCACACACTGGGGCCTGTTGGGGGGGTGAGGGACAAGGGGAGGGAAAACATTAGGACAAATACCTAATGCATGAGGTGCTTAAAACCTAGATGACGGGTTGATAGGTGCAGCAAACCACCATGGCACATGTGTTCCTATGTAATAAATCTGCACATTCTGCACATGTATCCCAGAACTTAAGGTAAAATTTAAAAAAAAATTGGTTAGTTTTTTCCCTCTATTGTAGGTTCAGGGGTATATTTGCTGGTTTGTTACATAGGTAAATTGCATGTCGCAGGGATTTGGTGTACAGATAATTGCATAGCCCATGTAATAAGCATATGCAAACTATAGAAAGCATAGTACCTGATAGGTAGTTTTTCAAAATTCACCCTCCTGCCTCCCTCCACCCTCAAGTACATTCCAGTGTCTACTGTTCCCTTCTTTGTGTCCATATGTACTCAATTTTAGCTCCCACTCATAACATGCAGTATTTGCTTTTCTGTTCCTGCATTAACTCACTTAGAATAATGGCCTCCAGCTCCCTCCATGTTGCTGCAAAGGACGTAATTTCTTTTTCATGAATGTGTAGCATTCCATGGTACACATTCCCTTTATCCAGTCTACCAGTGATGGGCATTTATGTTGATTCCATGTTTTTGCTATTGTGACTAGTGCTGCGTTGAACATACACATGCATGTGTCTTTATGGTAGAACTATTTATATTCCTTTGGGTATATACCCAATAATGAGATTGGTGTGTTGAGTAGTGGTTCCATTTTAAGTTCTTTGAAAAACTGTCAAACTGCTTTCCACAATGGATTAACTAATTTACATTCCCACCAGCGGTTTATAAGCATTCCTTTTTCTCTGCAACCATGCCAGCATCTGTTATTTTTTGACTTTTTAATAATAGCCATTCTTACTGGTGTGAGATAGTACTTTATTGTGGTTTTGATTTGCATTTCTCTAATGACTAGTGATGTTGAGCATTTTTTATATGCCTGTTGGCCACATGTATGTCTTTTGGAAAGTGTCTGTTCATGTTCTTTGCTCACTTTTAAATGGGTTGCTTTGCTTCTTGCTTATTAATTTAAGTTCTTTATGGTTTCTGGATATTAGACCTTAGTAGGATGCATAGCTTGCAAATATTTTCTCTCATTCTGTAGATTGTCTGTTTACTCTGTTCATACTTTCTTTTGCTGTGCAGAAGCTCTTTAGTTTCATTAAGTCTGTTTTTCAACTTTTGTTTTTGTTGCAATTGCTTATGCCAACTTCGTCATGAACTCTTTGCCAGGCCTATGTCCAGAATGGTATTTCCTAGGTTTTCTTCCAGGGTTTTTATAGTTGTAGATTTTACATTTAAGTCTTTAACCCATGTTGAATTGATTTTTGTAGATGGTGTAAGGAAAGGGTCAGTTTTAATCTTGCATATGGGTAGCCAGTTATCCCGGAACCATTTATTTAATAGGGAGTCCTTTCTTCATTTCTTGTTTTTGTCGACTTTGTGAAAGATCAGATGGTTGTAGATGTTCATCTTTATTTCTGGATTCTCTATTCTGTTTCATCAGTCTATCTATCTGCTTTTGTACCAGTACCATGATGTTTCAGTTACTGCAGCCTTGTGGTATAGTCTGAAGTCAGTTAATGGTGATACCTCTAGCTTTATCCTTTTTGCTTAGGCTCTTTTGCAATAGGCTCTTGGCTATTTGGGCTCTTTATTTGTTCCATATGAATTTTAAAATAGTTTTTCTAATTTTGTGAAAAACGTCATTGGTAGTTTGACAGGAATAGTATTGAATATATAACTTGTTTTGGGCAATATGACTATTTTACCAATATTGACTCTTCCTATCCTTGAGCATGAAATGTTTTTGCATTTGTTTGTGTCATCTCTATTTTCTTTCATCAATGTTTTTCATTCTCATTGTAGAGCTCTTTCACCTTCCTGGATAGCTGTATTCCTGGGCATTTTATTGTTTTGTGGTTATTGTAAATGGGATTATGTTCCTGATTTGGCACTCAACATGGATATTGTTGATGTATAGAAAGGCTACTGACTTTTCTTGCTTGCTTGCTTGCTTGCTTCTTTCTTGATTTTATTTTCTTTCTTTTTTCTTTCTCTTTCTTTCTTCTTTCTTTCTTTCATTCTCTTTCTCTCTTTCCTTCTTTCCTTTTTCTGAGACAGGGTCTCACTTTGTCACCCAGGCTGGAGTGCAGTGTCACAAACACCAATCACTGTATCCTTGACCCCCTGGGCTCAAGCAATCCTCCCGCCTCAGCCCCACCAAGTAGCTAGGACTACAGGCATGCACCACCAGACCCAGACAAATTTGGTAATTTTTGTAGAGATGGTGTTTCACCATGTTGCCCAGGCTGGAGTTCCTGAGCTCAAACAATCTGCTCACCTCAGCCTTCCAAAGTGCTGGGATTACAGGCCTGAGCTACTGCGTCTGTCCAGCTACTGACTTCTCTACTTTGATATTGTGTCCTGAAACCTTGCTAAAGTTGCTAGGAGCTTTTGGGTAGAGACTATGGGGTTTTCTAGGTAAAGAATCATATCATCTGCAAAAAGAGATAGTTTTACTTCTTCTCTTTCTGGTTGGATGCCTTTCATTTCTTTCTCTTGACTGATTGATCTGGCTAGGACTCCCAGTACTATGTTGAATAGGAGCTGTGAGAGAGGACATCCTTGTCTTGTTCCAGCTCTCAAGGGAAATGCTTTCACCTTTTCCCCATTTAGTACAATGTTGGCTGTGGGTTTGTCATAGATAGCTCTTATTATTTTGAGATATGCTCTTTCAATGTAGAATTTGTTGAGGGTTTTTAATGAACAATGAAGAGATGGTGAATTTCATCAAAAACGTTTTTTGCATCTATTGAGATAATCATGTAGTTTTTCTTGTCTTAGTTCTGTTTATGTGATTAATCACATTTATTAATTTTCATATGTTGAACCAACCTTGCATTCCATGGATAAAACCTTCTTAATCATGCTGGAATAGCTTCTTCATGTGCTGCTGGATTCAGTTTGCTAGTATTTTTTGAGGATATTTGCATCTATGTTCATTAAGGATATTAGCCAGAAGTTTTCTGTTGTTGTTATGTCTCTACCAGGTTTTGGTGTCAGAAAAATGCTTGCTTCATAGAAGGAGTTAGAGAGGAGTCCCTCCTCATTTTTTTTTTAGAATAGTTTTAGTAGGAATGGTATCAGCTCTTCTTTACATGTCTAGTGTAATTTGGCCGTGATTCCAGCTGGTTCTGAGATTTTTCTGGCTGGTACACTTTTTATTACAGACAGATTCAATTTTGGAAGCCGTTATTGGTCGGTTCAGGGTTTCAGTATCTTCCTGGTTCAATCTTGGAAAGTTATATGTTTCCAGGAATTTATCCATTTCTTATAAGTTTTCTAGTTTTTTTTTGCATAGAGATGTTCATAATACTCTCAGGGTTTTTTGTATTTCTATGGAGTTAATGATAATGTTCCCTTTGTCATTTCTGATTGCTTTATTTGGAACTTCTCCCCTTTTTTTCTTTATTAGTCTAGCTAGTGGTCTATCAATCCTATTTATTCTTTCAAAAAATCAACATAATATTGTTGATCTTTTGTATAGTTTTTTGTGTCTCAATTTCATTCAGTTCCATTCTGGTTTTGGTTATTTCTTGTCTTCTGCTAGCTTTGGAATTGGTTTGTCCTTTTTCTAGTTCCTTTAAGTATCATGCTAGGTTGTTAATTTTAGATCTTTCTAACTTCCTGATGTGGGCATTTAGTGCTGTAAACTTTCCTCTTAACAATGCTTAGGCTGTGTCCCAGAGATTCTGGTAGTTTGTATCTTTGTTCTCATTAATTTCAAAAATATTTCTTGATTTCTGCCTTAATTTCATTATTTGCTCAAAAGTCATTCTGGAGCAGGTCGTTTAATGTTCATGTAATTCTATAGTTTTGATTGATATTCTTAATATTGATTTCTATTTATTGTGCTGTGGTCTGAGAACGTGGTTGGTATGATTTTTTTAAATTTGCTAACCATTGTTTTATGGCCGATTGTGTGGTTGATTTTAGAATATGTGACATGTGCATATGAGAAAAATATATATTCTGTTCATTTTGCATGGAGAGTTCTATAGATGCCTGTTAGGTCCATTTGGTCAAGTGTCAAGTTCAGGTTCCTTGTTAGTTTTCTGCCTCAATGATCTAATGCTGTCAGTGAGGGTGTGATTATCTAAGTCTATTCATAGATCTCTAAGGTCTTGTTTTATGAATTTGGGTGCTCCTATGTTGGGTCCATATACATTTAGGATAGTTAGGATAGTTAATTCTTGTTGAATTAAACTCTTTGTCATTATTAATGCACTTCTTTGTGTTTTTCTCCATTGCTGGTTTAAAGTCTGTTTTTTTAATCTTGAAATTAGCAACCCTTGCACTTTTTTGTTTTCTGTTTGCTTGGTAGGCATTTCTCCATCCCTTTACTTTGAGTTTGTAGGTGTCATTGCTTGTCAGGTGGGTCTGTTGAAGACAGCATACAGTTGTGGCTTGCTTCTGTACACAACTTCCCACCCTGTGCCTTTTAATTGAGGCATTTAACCTGTTTACATTCAAGGTTAATATTGATATGTGCAGATTTGGTCCTCCCACCATGTTGTTGGCTGGTTGTTATGCAGACTTGATTGTGTAGTTGCTTTGTGGTGTCAATGATCTACGTATCTAAGGGTTTTTGTGGTGGCAAACCCTCATCTTCATTTTCCATATTTAACACTCCCTTGAGTACCTCTTGTAAGTCAGGTCTGATGGTAACAAATTCCCTTAGCATTTGCTTATCTGTAAAGGATTTTATTTCTCCTTTGCTTAGGAAGCATAGTTTAGTTGGATATGAAATTCTTGGTTGGAATTTCTTTTCTTTGAAAGTGCTTAATATAGGCCCCCATCTCTTTTGGCTTGTAGGATTTCTTCTGAAAGGTCCACTGTTAGCCTGATAGGCTGCCTTTTATAGGTGACTTGTCCCTTCTCTCTAGCTGCCTTTAATATTTTTTCTTTCATTTTGATGTTGGAGAATTTGATGACTATGTGTCTTGCAGATGGTCTCTTGTATCATATCTCACAGGGGTTTTCCACCTTTCCTAAATTTAAATGTTGGCCTCTCTAGCAAGGTTGGGAAATTTTTCATTGATAATATCCTCAAATATGTTTTTTGAAGTTTCTTGCTTTCACTTCTCTTTCAGAGATGCCAATGAGTTGTAAATTTGGTCTCTTTACATAATCTCATATTTCTCAGAGGTTTTGTTCATTCTTTTTTCTTTATTTTTGTCTGAGTAAATTTGAAGAACTTGTCTTCAAGCTCTATGAGTCTTTCCTCAGCTTGGTACATTCTGCTGTTAATACTTGCAATTTTGTTATGAAATTACCATAGTGAGTTTTTCAGCTCTACCAAATCAGTTTGGTACAATGGTCATTTTTCTTTTAGCTCCTGTATCATTTTATTGTGTTCATTAGCTTCTTTGGCTTGGGTTTTGAATATCTCCTGAATTTCCATGATCTTCATTCCTATTCATATTCTGAATTCTATGTCTGTCATTTCAGTCATTTCAGCCTGGTTAAGAAGCATTGCTGGGAAGGTAGTGTTGTCATTTGGAGGTAAGAAGACACTGGCTTTTAGAGTTTTCAGAGTTCTTGCACTGGTTCTTTCTCATTTATGTGGACTAACATTCCTTTCATGTTTGAAGTTGCTGTCCTTTGGATGGGGTTTTTTGCTTTTATCTTCTTTGATGTCCTTGGATGTTTGATTGTGGTATAAGGTGGGTTCAGTCAATTGGGTTCATTTATGGAAAATTTTAGGGGGCCAAGACTCAGCTGAGCACTCCTGGGCTGCACGCTCTAACACTGAGGGGCTAGTACTGAGCCCTTGGCTTTGTTCTCTGGCCCTTCAAGATTAGGAACCTGCTGTGCTGGAGAGGCTGATGTGTCTAATCCTCTCGCTACAGCACTCCGATGGAAGATGCTAGCCAAAACACTTTGTTAGGGCAGTGGCAGCAGGTTCTGTGCTCATGTGCATATGCCATTATCCACGGTGTTGCAGCAGAGTGCAAACACATCAACTGGGACAGAGCACCAGTGGAAGCAGAACAGCAGCATCCATACACGCATTTGTACCAGTGGTGGTGGCAAAAAAAAAAAAAAAGGTTACTTTAATTAAAGATAGTAACTAATGTAGATGATTGATTGTGTTGAGTACAGTACTTGAGAGTTACATGTATGAAAACAAGAAAATAGATGTGATTTTCTATTTATTTTTTAAGTTTTAAAAAGTTATTATGGTTCATTCAAATGATAGATTAATTATGGGTATTATTTTTAATCTACCAAGAAGATAATTATATTTAAAGCTATAAAGCTTTACTTTATTACCTATTTATATACTTTTATGTCTGAATATGCCTAAATGCATTTAAAAAAGGTTTATTAAAAGAGCTTTTGCTATTATTTTTAAATAAATAATGTACCAAAAGAAGAAAAATAGAATTTGGATTTTTTCTATAAAATGTCTATGTTATTTTATGCCCAAATTAGTAGAGGTTCCTTTTTGTCATTACATGATTATATTAACTCTCAGTGCTTTTAGCATAGTCTGAAATCATTTTTTTGAGATTCCCTTAGATAGCACTGACCTAGTTTTTTGTGCTCATTTTAAAAACCGCAATGAAAGACCTAAATTCACTCTTAAAATATAAGCCATTGCCAGAAATTAAATTATCTCAGATGACTAAAATAATTACTTTTACCCTGGCCTAGAAGCTGGGAGAAATCAAAAGCAAATATTTACATAGACAGTAGATGATGGTAGATATAAATATTTATATAGATAGTAGTTCACTGATATGGTTTGGATTTGTGTCCCTGCCCCAATCTCATGTCAAATTGTAATCCCCAATGCTGGAGGAGGTCCCCAGTGTTGGAGGAGGGACCTGGTTGGAGGCGATTGGATCATGCAGGCAGATTTTCCCCTTGCTGTTCTCATGATAGTGAGTTATCACAAGATTTGGTTGTTTAAAACTGTGTAGCACCACCCCTCTTTGCTCTCTTCCTTCTTCTCCAGCCATGTAGGATGTGCCTGCTTCTCCCTCACCTTCCGCCTTGAGTGAAAGTTTCCTGAGGCCTCCCCAGCCATGCTTTCTATACAGCCTGAAGAGCCATGAGCCAATTAAACCTCTTTTCTTTATAAATTACCCAGTCTCAGGTAGTTCTTTATAGCAATGCTATAAAGAACAGTCCAATACATCCACCAATTTGGAAATCTAAAATACTTTGGAAACAAAAAAGTTTTTAACCTTGATTAAAAGCAAAAAAATAAAAATAAGACAACCAGTTGAAGTACTTTTAGGTGCTTTGTTGTTTTCAAAATAGTTATTATTAACTGTGAGAGGTAAGTCTCTGATTTAAAAAAAAGGAAATGAAAAAAGTTAAGATACTCATCACACAATATAATATTTGGCTCTCTCAGGATATCCAACTGATAGCACCAAATAATTTAAAATGAATTTAGCAAAAATGTTTCATGACATTACCTATAATAACAAAGATAAGCTGGCAACAATATTAAATTATCATTGTTGGGGAAATTTTAGAGGTGTTTCAGAGCTTGTTCCAAAATATGTCCCACCTGCCAACAACGTAATTCTGGTAAAACTGGAGAGGTGAAATATGGACAGAAAACAACCTTCTGAGGGCCTATTAAACACCTTCAAAAGGACTTTATATAAATGCCTCCTGAAATAGGTTGTTAATAGGTTCTGGTTATTACTTGTTTATTCTCTGGACATTATTTGTTTATTAAAACTTTTCCTTGCTGGAGAGCTACTATCTTATTGACCACTTCCGTTTCCCAAAATGTTTAATTTCCTTTTCCAACCTGAGATACTCTCATTTATCTCTCTAATGACAGAGATGCCCATTTTACTAGTAATGTTATTAAGAAATTCTATAAATTTGGCCGTACGCGGTGGCTCACGCCTGTAATCCCAGCACTTTGGGAGGCCGAGGTGGGAGGATCACGAGGTCTGGAGATAGAGACCACCCTGACTAACACAGTGAAACCCCGTCTCTACCAAAAATACAAAAAATATTAGCCGGACGTGCTGGCGGGTGCCTGTAGTCCCAGCTACTCAGGAGAATGGCTGAACCCGGGAGGCGGAGCTTGCAGTGAGCCGAGATCGCACCACTGCACTCCAGCCTCGGCGACAGAGCGAGACTCCATTTCAAAAAAAAAAGAAAGAAAGAAATTCTATAAATTTTTGCCTTTTACCAGAATATTCGCTATTTTATCTACAGTTTTAGAAAAAATAGAAAGGACTAATAGAATTCTAAAACTGAAATTAAAAACACTCTCAGAAACCCTTGAATTCTCATGTCCTAAAGTATTACCATTACCTTTAATATACTAACAAAATTAACCTCCTCTGGGATCCACAAGTTATCTCCTCATAAAATAATAATGGTCCACACTATGCATTTGATATTACAAGCAGATATAATTAATCACTTCAAGGGACTCATATGATACCTCCACCTTTACCATCAAGTACAAGCTACATTTTCAAAACAGTCACCTAAATAGCTTCTACATGATCTGCAGCCTTGAGAGTCAATTTCTTGGAAAAGACTACAGAAAACTGTGCCCTTGAGCCCTGATGAATATGATCTTATCAGATACTGTTAACAACTGACACAGCAATAAAACTCCAAGGTATAGATTCTTAGCTTCATCATCTTTCACAGGTCAAAAATATCTGTATTTTTTTTCTCCAGACTACTAAACATTCATTACATCTAGAAATCATAAACTGAGAATTCTTAGGAATCCCCTGGAATCTACTGACTTCAGAAATAGACAGTTTCTGCCCAGGACAATGAAAAAAGATTAATTTTCTGATTCTTCAACATTTTTCCTTTCCCTCTACTACTAATCCGTCTTATTCTTCCACTTTTGTATCCTTTAAAATACTAATGGGATCTCCCTTATCATCATCCTATTACCTCCAACCACTATGATCTCCTACCACTTAAGAGAAAGCAAAACCCACTTACATATTTTTCACAGGCTATAGCTACTGCTCTGAATCTAATACTTTGCTGGACTTGTCATTCTTTATTTTACTCTCTAGACAAAAATTTAATGGCTGTTCTTTTAAATATTTCAAAAGACAAATTGCCCTTAACAAACTCCTCCTGCTACTTATGTTTTCCTCACATCATTAATCCCAAATTTAATCTTGTAAAAATTAAAGCTTGACCTCACATGGACAAAATGCTGAGGTCATTACAATCCTATAAGCAAGACCTAGTTTGTCAGAAATAGGTGCAAATGCTGAGATTTTTAAAAATTTAATTTATTATACTTAAAGTTCTGGGATACATGTGCAGGATGTGTAGGTTTGTTACATACGTATACAGGTGCCATGGTGGTTTGCTGCACCCATCAACACATCATCTACATTAGGTATTTCCCCTAATGTTATCCCTCTTCTAGCCCCTGACAGGCCCTGGTGTGTGATGTTCCCCTCCCTGTGTCCATGTGTTCTCATTGTTCAACTCTCACCTTTGAGTGAGAACATGTGGTGTTTGGTTTTCTGTTCTTGTGTTAGTTTGCTGAGAATGATGGTTTCCAGCTTCATCCACGTCCCTGCAAAAGACATAAATTCATCCTTTTTATGGCTGCATAGTATTCCATGGTTTATATGTGCCACATTTTCTTCATCCAGTTTATCACTGATGGGCATTTGAAATGGTTCCAAATCTTTGCTATTGTGAAGAGTGCCACAGTAAACATACATGTGCATGTGTCTTTATAGTAGAATGGTTATAATCCTTTGGGAGTATACACCCAGTAATGAGATTGCTGGGTCAAATGTTATTTCTGGTTCTAGATTTTTGAGGAATTGCTACACTGTCTCCACAATGGTTGAACTAATTTACCCTCTCATCAACAGTGTAAAAGCGTTCCTATTTCTCCACATCCTCTTCATCATCTGTTTTTTCCTGACTTTTTAATTATCGCCATTCTAACTGGCTTGAGATGGTATCTCATTGTGGTTTTGATTTGCATTTCTCTAATGACAAGTGATGATGAGCTTTTTTTCATATGTTTGTTGGCTGCATAAATGTTCATTAGGAGAAGTGAACTTTTTGAGAGGTGTCTCTTTGAGAGGTGACACTTTTTGAGAAGTGTCTGTTCACATCCTTTGCCCACTTTTTGATGGGGTTGTTTGTTTTTTTTCTTGTAAATTTGTTCAAGTTCCTTGTAGATTCTGGATATTAACCCTTTGTCAGATGGATAGATTGCAAAAATTCTCTCCCATTCTGTACGTTGCCTGTTCACTCTGAAGATAGTTTCTTTTGCTATACAGAAGCTCTTTCATTTAATTAGATCCCATTTGTCAATTTTGGCTTTCGTTGCCATTGCTTTTGGTATTTTAGTCATGAAGTCTTTGACCATGCATATGTCCTGAATGATATTGCCTACGTTTCCTTCTAGGGTTTTTATGGTTAGGTTTTTATGTTTCAGTCTTTAATCCATCTTGAGTTAATTTTTGTATAAGGTATAAGGAAGGGGTCCAGTTTCAGTTTTCTGCATATTCTAGCCAGTTTTCCCAATGCCATTTATTAAATAGGGTATCCTTTCCCCATTGCTTGTTTTTGTCAGGTTTGCTGATGATCACATGGTAGTAGATGTGTGGCATTATTTCTGAGGTCTCTGTTCTGTTCTATTGGTCTATATATCTGTTTTGGTACCAAGACCATGCTGTTTTGGTTACTGTAGCCTTGTAGTATAGTTTGAAGTCAGGCAGTGTGATGTATCCAGCTTTGTTCTTTTTGCTTAGGATTGTCTTGGCTATATGGGCTCTTTTATGGTTCCATATGAAATTTAAGATAGTTTTTTCTAATTATGTGAAGAAAGTAAATGGTAACTTGATGGAAATAGCATTGAATCTATAAATTACTTTGGGCAGTATGGACATTTCCATGATATTGATTCTTCCTATTCATGAGCATAAAATGTTTTTCCATTTGTTTGTGTCCTCTCTTATTTCCTTGAACACTGGTTTGTAGTTCTCCTTGAAGAGGTCCTTCACGTCCCTTGCACGTTTTATTCGTAGGTATTTTATTCTCTTTGCAGCAATTGTGAAGAGGAATTCACTCACGATTTGGCTCTCTGTTTGTCTATTATTGGTGTATAGGAATGCTTGTGATTTTTTCACATTGATTTTGTATCCTGAGACTTTGCTGAAGTTGCTTATCAGCTTAAGGAGTTTTGGGGCTGAGATGATGGGGTTTTCTAAATACACAATCATGTCATCTGCAAACAGACAATTTGACTTCCTCTCTTCCTATTTAAATACCCTTTATTTCTTTCTCTTGACTGATTGCCCTGGCCAGAATTTCCAATACTATTTTAAATAGGAGTGTTGAGAGAGGGCATCCTTGTCTTGTGCTGGTTTTCAAAGGGAATGCTTCCAGCTTTTGCCCATTCACTATGATATTGCCTGTGGGTTTGTCACAAATAGCTCGTATTATTTTGAGATATGTTCCATTGATACCTAGTTTATTGAGGGTTTTTAGCATGAAGGGTGATGAATTTTATTGAAGGCCTTTTTTGCATCTATTGAGATAATCACATGGTTTTTGTCATTGGTTCTGTTTATGTGATGGATTATGTTTATTGATTTGCATATGTTGAATCAGCCTTGGATTCCAGGGATGAAGCCGAATTGATCGTGGTGGATAAGCTTTTTGATGTGCTGCTGGATTTGGCTTGCCAGTATTTTATTGAGGCTTTTCATATCAAAGTTTATCAGGGATATTGGCCTGAAATTTTCTTTTCTTTTCTTTTCTTTTTTTTTTTTTTTTGTTATGTCTCTGCCAGGTTTTGGTATCAGGATGATGCTGGTCTGATAAAATGAGTTAGGGAAGAGTCCCTCTTATTCTATTGTTTGGAATAGCTTAAGAAGGAATGGTATCAGCTCCTCTTTGTACCTTTGGTAGAATTCGGCTGTGATTCCTTCTGGTCCTGGACTATATTTTGTTGGTAGGCTATTAATTACTGCCTCAATTTCAGACTTTGTTATTGGTGTATTCAGGGATTCGACTTCTTCCTGGTTTAGACTTGGGAGGGTGTAACACAGACTGAGATTATTCTGGCTCTGACTCAGTTTGTTCTCTTCAGACAAATAAGCTTTTTTTTTTTTTTAACAAAAACTGCTTGATTTGAAATCTGCACACATTGAGAGACACAAAATTCATTCTCTTCTATTATAACAAATGATACTTATGCTCTCAATACAAACTATGCTCCATTAGGATACTATATCTTACATGGATGTCAGGCTTACACCTGTCCACCACACACTAACTTATTCTGTGTATTAGCAGCAATTGTTAGAGATGTCTAGATACCTAAAACAGATTTCTACTCTGGGAGCCCAAAAACAAATCTAAATTCATTAACTGGGAGCAGGATAAAAGAAAAAGCACCTGGCATTCTAAAACAGACCCTGCTGGATTTGGGGACGTGTTTTCAGTGACTGGGTGTCATATCATAGCTACATGGCTTCAAGACCTGTTACAAGGACTAATAGTCATTTTGTTTCTGACAACTGCCTGTGTTACAGTTGTCTAATATATCTTATCCAGAATCTTAAACACTACTAAGCAGCCATAGTCATGTCTGATGGTTCAGAAATTAATTCCACAACAGACGGAGAACAAAGATTCACCCCAGTTTAACTATAGATGACATTCATTGGATGTTCTTCTTATTTTATCAACAAAATATTGGTAATGATGAAAATCTGCATATCATGGATTAATATCCTGCATCCTGACTTCATGTGTCTTTGGCCATAAGGGGGAACTGAGAAAGAAAATAACCAAACCCTAGCATCCAGAACTAACCCGACATTCACAGCTATATCTCAAAATTATTAAAAACTAATCTGACATTATAACCAGGCCATTTTGTCCTCCTGTTGGGCATAAACAATCTCAAAGAACACAACCTCAGACAAGGCTACTCTGAGACCACAATAGAATGAAACAAAAAAAGGGCATTTCATAATTTTGTCTAAGCAAAGACTGAAACAAAGTCATAAAATTGTCACCACTTTCTAACAGCATCCAATCTAGGCAAACCCCCATTTCCTTCCACCCTCCTTTAAATCACCCAACAAAGCCCAAATCCTATAATAGGTTCTTTCTAACACCCTCTTACTGGGACATTCCCTGGCCCCTATAGTGTTTATCCTTCCTAACTGCAAGGAGTAATAAACCCTAGCATCACATAGTAGGTTCTCAATGAATATATGTTGAAAGAAAAAATCATACAATCTTCCTTCTTTTCCCACTTCCTTTACTCAAGAAGACCTTGGAGTTGCCAAATCCAGTGGCTTTTCTTAGATTAAATCCTCTTCAACCTAACGAAACCCATCAAACTGTTGACTGCTCTCTTCCACCCTTCCTACTATCCATGATGCTACTCTTTCCAGGTCTCTTATCTTTCTAATTCCTTCGGTGCCTTCTATTGTCATTCCTTTCTTAGATATTGGAAATTTATAAGATTCTACACACTCTGCTTGGAGGATTTTATTTATTCCTAGGGCTTCAACTACCATGAATTTTGAGTGATTTCAAAATTTTTATTTCCTCCCAAGATCTTTCTTCTGCCTGCCCACTAACTCCACCTGGAGACACCAACCAACAACTGGAAAGCCATTATCCTCTTCACTTTTTTTTTTTTACAATACTTGCTTGGAATTCATTGCTTAAGAATTATATCCTTCTGTGCTGGAACATCCCTGCCTCTTACAACTCACGTCAGTTAGATACCATTACCCAATAAGGACCACCATCTAAAACATGATGTGCCACAGTCTGAATTTTGTTTTGGCTCAAGATAATTCTTTTTATAAACTCAATTCTGAAAAATAGAAATGCTGAAAATCAAACATTATCTGCAGTGGTAACAGTCTGACTTCTAAACTGCTATGTAATAGAAGAACAATAGACCTTGATATTTAAGGGAGAAATGCCCCAAAACCTTTATAAACTCCCAAATTATAAATACTTTTTAAAATTTTATTATTATTATATTTTAAGTTTTAGGGTACATGTGCACAACGTGCAAGCTTGTTACATATGTATACATGTGCCATGCTGCTGTGCTGCACCCATTAACTCGCCATTTAGCATTAGGTATCTCTCCTAATGCTATCCTTCCCCCCTCCCCCCACCCCACAACAGTCCCCGGTGTGTGATGTTCCCCTTCCTGTGTCCATGTGTTCTCATTGTTCAATTCCCACCTATGAGTGAGAACATGTGGTGTTTGGTTTTTTGTCCTTGCGATAGTTTGCTGAGAATGATGGTTTCCAGTTTCATCCATGTCCCTACAAAGGACATGAACTCATCCTTTTTTATGGCTGCATAGTATTCCATGGTGTATATGTGCCACATTTTCTTAATGCAGTCTATCGTTGTTGGACATTTGGGTTGGTTCCAAGTCTTTGCTATTGTGAATAGTGCCGCAATAAACATACATGTTCATGTGTCTTTATAGCAGCATGATTTATAATCCTTCGGGTGTATACCCAGTAATGGGATGGCTGGGTCAAATGGTATTTCCAGTTCTCGATCCCTGAGGAATCGCCACATTGATTTCCACAATGGTTGAACTAGTTTACACTCCCACCAACAGTGTAAAAGTGTTCCTATTTCTCCACATCCTCTCCAGCACCTGTTGTTTCCTGACTTTTTAATGATTGCCATTCTGACTGGTGTGAGATGGTATCTCATTGTGGTTTTGATTTGCATTTCTCTGATGGCCAGTGATGATGAGCATTTTTTCATGTGTTTTTTGGCTGCATAAATGTCTTCTTTTGAGAGTGTCTGTTCATATCCTTCGCCCACTTTTTGATGGGGTTGTTTGTTTGTTTCTTGTAAATTTGTTTGAGTTCATTGTAGATTCTGGATATTAGCCCTTTGTCAGATGAGTAGGTTGCAAAAATTTTCTCCCATTCTGTAGGTTGCCTGTTCACTCTGATGGTAGTTTCATTTGCTGTACAGAAGTTCTTTAGTTTAATCAGATCCCATTTGTCAATTTTGGCTTTTGTTGCCATTGCTTTTGGTGTTTTAGACATGAAGTCCTTGCCCATGCCTATGTCCTAAATGGTAATGCCTAGGTTTTCTTCTAGGGTTTTTATGGTTTTAGGTCTAACATGTCAGTCTTTAATCCATCTTGGATTAATTTTTGTATAAGGTGTAAGGAAGGGATCCAGTTTCAGCTTTCTACATATGGCTAACCAGTTTTCCCAGTACCATTTATTAAATAGGGAAGCCTTTCCCCGTTTCTCGTTTTTGTCAGGTTTGTCAAAGATCAGATAGTTGTAGATATGCGGTATTACTTCTGAGGGCTCTGTTCTGTTCCATTGGTCTATATCTCTGTTTTGGTACCAGTACCATGCTGTTTTGGTAACTGTAGCCTTGTAGTATAGTTTGAAGTCAGGTAGCGTGATGCCTCCAGCTTTGTTCTTTTGGCTTAGGATTGACTTGGCAATGCGGGCTCTTTTTTGGTTCCATATGAACTTTAAAGTAGTTTTTTCCAATTCTGTGAAGAAAGTCATTGGTAGCTTGATGGAGATGGCATTGAATCTATAAATTACCTTGGGCAGTATGGCCATTTTCACGATATTGATTCTTCCTACCCATGAGCATGGAATGTTCTTCCATTTCTTTGTATCCTCTTTGATTTCATTGAGCAGTGGTTTGTAGTTCTCCTTGAAGAGGTCCTTCGCATCCCTTGTAAGTTGGATTCCTAGGTATTTTATTCTCTTTGAAGCAATTGTGAATGGGAGTTCACTCATGATTTGGCTCTCTGTTTGTCTGTTATTGGTGCATAAGAATGCTTGTGATTTTTGTACATTGATTTTGTATCCTGAGACTTTGCTGAAGTTGCTTATCAGCTTAAGGAGATTTTGGGCTAAGACAATGGGATTTTATAGATAGATATACAATCATGTCATCTGCAAACAGGGACACCTTGACTTCCTCTTTTCCTAATTGAATACCCTTTATTTCCTTCTCCTGCCTGATTGCCCTGGCCAGAACTTCCAACACTATGTTGAATAGGAGTGGTGAAAGAGGGCATCCCTGTCTTGTGCCAGTTTTCAAAAGGAATGCTTCCAGTTTTTGCCCATTCAGTATGATATTGGCTGTGGGTTTGTCATAGATAGCTCTTATTTTCACATAGTCCCATATTTCTTGGAGAACAAAGCCTCCAAGAAATATGGGACTATGTGAAAAGACCAAATCTACGTCTGACTGGTGTACCTGAAAGTGATGGGGAGAATGGAACCAAGCTGGAAAACACTCTGCAGGATATTATCCAGGAGAACTTCCCCAATCTAGCAAGGCAGGCCAACATTCACATTCAAGAAATACAGAGAACGCCACAGATATACTCCTCGAGAAGAGCAACTCCAAGACACATAATTTTCAGATTCACCAAAGTTGAAATGAAGGAAAAAATGTTAATGGCTGCCAGAGAGAAAGGTCGGGTTACCCACAAAGTGAATCCCATCAGACTAAGAGCTGATCTCTCAGCAGAAACTCTACAAGACAGAAGAAAGTGGGGGCCAAAACTCAACATTCTTAAAGAAAAGAATTTTCAACCCAGAATTCCATATCTAGCCAAACTAAGCTTCATAAATGAAGGAGAAATAAAATACTTTACAGACAAGCAAATGCTGAGAGATTTTGTCACCACCAGGCCTGCCCTAAAAGAGCTCCTGAAGGAAGCACTAAACATGGAAAGGAACAACCAGTACCAGCCACTGTAAAAACATGCCAAATTGTAAAGACCATCAAGGCTAAGAAGAAACTGCATCAATTCATGAGCAAAATAGCCAGCTGACATCATAATTACAGGATCAAATTCACACATAATGATATTAACTTTGAATGTAAATGGGCTAAATGCTCCAATTAAAAGACACAGACTGGCAAATTGGATAAAGAGTCAAGACCCATCAGTGTGCTGTATTCAGGAAACCCATCTCACGTGCAGAGACACACATAGGCACAAAATAAAGGGATGGAGGAAGATCTACCAAGCAAATGGAAAACAGAAAAAGGCAGGGGTTGCAATCCTAGTCTCAGATAAAACAGACTTTCAACCAACAAAGATCAAAAGAGACGAAGGCCATTACATAATGGTAAAGGGATCAATCCAACAAGAGGAGCTAACTATCTTAAATATATATGCACCCAATACAGGAGCACCCAGATTCATAAAGCAAGTCCTTACTGACCTACAAAGAGACTTAGACTCCCACACAATAATAATGGGAGACGTTAACACTCCACTGTCAACATTAGACAGATCAAAGAGACAGAAAGTTAACAAGGATACCCAGGAATTGAACTCAGCTCTGCACCAAGCGGACCTAATAGACATCTATAGAACTCTCCACCCCAAATCAACAGAATATACATTCTTTTCAGCACCACACCACACCTACTCCAAAATTGACCACATAGTTGAAAGTAAAGCACTCCTCAGCAAATGTAAAAGAACAGAAATTATAACAAACTGTCCCTCAGACCACAGTGCAATCAAACAAGAACTCAGGATTAAGAAACTCACTCAAAACTGCTCAACTACATGGAAACTGAACAACCTGCTCCTGAATGACTACTGGGTACATAACGAAATGAAGGCAGAAATAAAGATGTTCTTTGAAACCAATGAGAACAAAGACACAACATACCAGAATCTCTGGGACACATTCAAAGCAGTGTGTAGAGGGAAATTTATAGCACTAAATGCCCACAAGAGAAAGCAGGAAAGATCTAAAATGGACACCCTAACATCACAATTAAAAGAACAAGAAAAGCAAGAGCAAACACATTCAAAAGCTAGCAGAAGGCTAGAAATAAATAAGATCAGAGCAGAACTGAAGGAAATAGAGACACAAAAAACCCTTCAAAAAATTAATGAATCCAGGAGCTGGTTTTTTGAAAAGATCAACAAAATTGATAGACTGCTAGCAAGACTAATAAAGAAGAAAAGAGAGAAGAATCAAATAGACACAATAAAAAGTGATAAAGGGGATATCACTACTGATCCCACAGAAATACAAACTACCATCAGAGAATACTATAAACACCTCTAGGCAAATAAACTAGAAAATCTAGAAGAAATGGATAAATTCCTCGACACATACATCCTTCCAAGACTAAACCAGGAAGAAGTTGAGTCTCTGAATAGACCAATAACAGGCTCTGAAATTGAGGCAATAATCAATAGCTTACCAACCGAAAAAAGTCCAGGACCAGACGGATTCACAGCCGAATTCTACCAGAGATACAAGGAGGAGCTGGTACCATTCCTTCTGAAACTATTCCAATCAATAGAAAAAGAGGGAACCCTCCCTAACTCATTTTATGAGGCCAGCATCATCCTGATACCAAAACCTGGCAGAGACACAACCAAAAAAGAGAATTTTAGACCAATATCCTTGATGAACATTGATGCAAAAATCCTCAATAACATACTGGCAAACTGAATCTGGCAACACATCAAAAAGCTTATCCACCATGATCAAGTGGGCTTCATCCCTGGGATGCAAGGCTGGTTCAACATACACAAATCAATAAATGTAATCCAGCATATAAACAGAACCAAAGACAAAAACCACATGATTATCTCAATAGATGCAGAAAAGGCCTTTGACAAAATTCAGCAACCCTTCATGCCAAAAACTCTCAATAAATTAGGTATCAATGGGACATATCCCAAATTATAAATACTAAGATGTAATATAAGATGCAAAAGAAAAAGCACCCATCGATCACTGGCTATGTGCCTGGCGTGGTGTCAAAATCTTCTATACGCACCATCTTCTTTAATCTTCATAACAACTCTATGAATCCCTAGAAGCAGTGGAACTACTTCTTAACCCTAGAGAGGTTAAGAAACTTACCCAAGGTTATATAGATAGAAAGTAGTGAAACCAGTATTTAAACCCAAGCTGTCTTGGAGGAGGCAATGATCTTTTAAACAGAATACAAAACGTGTTAGCCATTAAAAAAAATACATTAGAGCATGTTATGATTAAGGAATTCTGTTCATTAAAAGAGATCAACAATCATTACATATTTTATGCTTGTATCAAAATATTACATGTACCTCATAAATATATACAACAATTATGTATTGTTCTTCTATTACATATAGCAGTTTAGAAGTCAGACTGTTACCACTGCAGATAACGTTTGATTTTCAGCATTTCTATAAAATTTCCATAAAAATTAAAAATTTTCTTAAAACAAATTAAAGATATCAATAAGTAAAAAAGTATATATTTGCAATGCATATATTTGACAAAAGATTCATATCCAGAATACATAAAGAGCCCTTACAAATCAATGACAAAAGACATCTAAAAGACAAACAAAACAAGATGTACAATGGCCAGTCAACATATATTGAAAAGATTCTCAATTTCATTAGTCATCAGAGAAATGCAAAAGGAAACCATAATGAGAGGTCACCACATGATCACCACATTGGCTAAAATAAAAAATACCAAAATGCCAAGTGTTGGTGAGAATTTAGAGCAACTAGAACACTCATACACTGCTGGTGGAAATGCAAAGTGGTACAACCACTTTGAAAAAGTGTTTGGCAACAACTATTATATTTGAATATATGCACACAAAATGACACAGCAGTTTCATTCCTAAATATATAACAACAGAAATACATGCATGTTCACTACAAAGAATATAAAGAAATGGTTATAGCAGCATTATTCATAATTGCCAATAATTGCAAACTAATAACCATGAATAGTACAATGAATTGAATAAATAAATTTTGGTATATTTACACAATGTAATACTATACAGCAATGAGAGTTAACCAACAACAACTATTGTAACAATACGAATGGATATCACAAACATAATGTTGAGTGAAAATAATCACGAAGAGTAGATATGGTGTGATTTCATTTATATAAGTTACAAAACCAAGCAAAAGTAATCTGTGATGTTAGAAGTAAGGATAATAGTTTCTACTGGAGGGGGTGTGGTTACTGGAAGGGATCCTGGGGGTGGTCCTTCTGGGGGTGCTGCTAATGTTCTGTCTCTTGATCTGAGTGCTATTGCATGGGTGTATTCATTCTGTGAAATTCAGTGAGCTCTGCACATATGATTTGTGCATTTTTCAGTATGCATGCTATATTTCAATAAAAACAAAACAAGACAAAAAAACAAATAGTCTTCCTCTACACACCACACACTTAACCACAACACCATTCTTCCAATAAATAGAAAATGACAGAGCCAAGCTGAAATGCAGGTGCTGATCTTGCTCATTAGTAAGTAACTAATGCCAACACACCACATTTTAGTTATTTTCCTTTTTGATAGTGACAAATGACTGCAAATCACTGCAAATAGCTGAACTCTGGTTGTTGAATTTTCAAAATCAAGAGTCTTATCCCAGCCATCTGGTTAATGAGGCAGGGGTGCTGGCTTTTCTGAAACCCAAAGTAATTGTGACTATTCAATTCCAGTGACACATTGCTTGGCAGGGGCAGGAGGGAAGAGGTAGTCTGAGCTAGACATGGTTCTCTATAGAAATAGAAAGTGAAGATTGTAGAGATTCTGTAACAAGTCAACTGACTTAAAGTAGAACACAGAGAAACTTCCTTGAAGTCCATCTCCCTTGGTGGGTGGAACTCTCTTCACAGCACTTGGAGGGAGATAGATGTTAAATAAATAATCACAAAATTGAAAGCATAATTATAGATTATGAAAAGCATTATTAAGTAAATAATGGCATGATAGATCACAATGAGGAAATTGCCTGGCTTAGTTTGGGGCCTCGAGGCAAGATTCTCTGGGAAATTCACATTTAACCAGACAGCTGAAAGATAAGAAGTGACACATGCAAAGAAATAGAGGGAAAGTGTCCAAGTCAAAAGGATGTGTGCTAAGATCTTGAGAGGGAAACAGGAGAATAGGATGTTTGAGGAAAAGGAAGAAGGCCAGTGTAGCTGGAGTTTGAGTATGAGGAAAATAAGGTCGTGAGATGAGTTTAGAGAGATAATCTCTGGAGATAGTGCAGAACTTTGTAGGCCATCTTAAGGGATTTGGATTTCAAGTGAAATGGGAAACCATTAAAAGATTTAAACAGGGGAGTGGTATGATCTGATTTACATTTTTAAAAGGTCAATCTGGTTGCCCTGTGGTGAGTTTATAATAGGATGAGATGAGAGAAAATGAAGAGACCAGTTAGGAGGCTATTAAAATAGTTCAGGCAAGAGATGGTGATTGCTTAGGCTTAAATGATAGCCATGGGAAGGACAGAGTGCACATTTTTTAAATAGACTTTGCGTGAAAAGAAGTGGTGAATGAGAGAGAGGAAAATGTCCAGATGGTCTCCAGGGCTCTTGGAATGAACCATTAGGTTGATGGAGCTACCATTTCCTGAGATAAGAAAGATAAAGGAAGAGTAGATTTGGGCTAGGAGAGTAAAGAATAAATCAAGAGCTTAGTTTTGAATATGTTGAGTTTGAGATGTCAGGGAGACAATGAGATGGAGATGTCAAGCAGGTAGTTGAATTAGTATAGCTGAAGCTCAGAAGATAAGAATGAGCTAGAGAGAGAAATTGGAGAGTTTGTTGCGGGAAGTCAGGGACCCCAAATGGAGGGACCGGCTGAAGCCATGGCAGAAGAATGTAGATTGTGAAGATTTCATGGACATTTATTAGTTCCCCAAATTAATAATTTTGTAATTTCTTATGCCTGTCTTTACTACAGTCTCTAAACATAAATTGTAAAGATTTCATGGACACTTATCACTTCCCCAATCAATACCCTTGTTATTTCCTATGCCTGTCTTTACTTTAATCTCTTAATCCTGTCAGCTGAGGAGGATGTATATTGCCTCAGGACCCTGTAATAATTGCATTAACTGCACAAATTGTACAGCATGTGTGTTTGAGCAATATGAAATGTGGGCACCTTGAAAAAAGAACAGGATAACAGCAATTGTTCAGGGAATAAGGGAGATAACCTTAAACTCTGACCGCTGGTGAGCCAGGTGGAACAGAGCCATATTTCTCTTCTTTCAAAAGCAAATGGCAGAAATATCACTGAATTCTTTTTCTCAGCATGGAACATCCCTGAGAAAGAGAATGCACACCTGGGGGTGGGTCTCTAAACTGGCCCTCCTGGGCATGGTCATCTCTTATGGTCGAGACTGCAGAGGTGAAACAGACTCCAGTCTCCCATAGTGCTCCCAGGCTTATTAGGAAGAGGAAATTCCCGCCTAATAAATTTTGGTCAGACCCGTTGATCTCAAAACCCTGTCTCCTGATAAGATGTTATCAATGACAATGGTGCCCGAAACTTCATTAGCAATTTTAATTTTGCCTCAGTCCTGTGGTCCTGTGATCTCGCCCTGCCTCCACTTGCCTTGTGATATTCTATTACCTTGTAAAGTACTTGATGTCTGACCCACACCTATTCGCACACTCCCTCCCCTTTTGAAACTCCCTAATAAAAACTTGCTGGTTTTTGTGGCTTGTGGGACATCACAGAACCTACCGACATGTGATGTCTCCCCCGGATGCCCAGCTTTAAAATTTCTCTCTTTTGTACTCTGTCCCTTTATTTCTCAAGCTGGCCAACGCTTAGGGAAAATAGAAAGAACCTACACGAATAATGGGGTAGGATCCCCGATAAGAGTTGTTGGCAAAAAAAAAGGGCTGTTTAAAGCCATGAGTGTGTAAGAAGTCCTTGGGAAGATTGTTTATAGAAGAGGTAGAAGGGGCCCAGAATTGAGCCCTGAGGAAAGTTCAATATTTTTGAAGTTACAAAGAGAAAAAGGAATCAAGCTTCAGAATCAGGAGGCAGAGCAAGATGGTAGAATAGAAGGCTCTACCGATCTTCACAACAAGAAGGACACAAATTTAACAAGTATCTACACAAAAAAAGCACCTTCATGAGAACCAAAAATCAGGTGAGCACTCATAGTATAGTACCTCGTTTTAACTTCATATCACTGAAAGAGGCACTGAAGAGACAGAAAAAAAAGGTCTTGAATTGCTGGCACCACCCCTGACAGAAGCAGCATGATGCAGAGAGCATTTCTGTGTGCCGGAGGAGAGAGAGCACAGCAATTGTGAGGCATTCAACTCAGTGCTGTCCTGTTAGAGCAGAAAGGAAAACTGGACCAAACTCAGCTGATGCCCACACGTGAAGGGAGCATTTAAAGCAACCCTAGCCAGAGGGGAATTGCCAATCCCAGTGGTCCGAACTCAAGTTCCCACAAACCTTGCCACTGAGGGTTAAAGTGCTCTAGATCTCTAAATAAACGTGAAAGGCAGTATAGGCTACAAGGACTGAAACTCTTAAGCAAGTCCTAGCGCTGAACTGGGCCCAGAGACAGTGGACTGGAGGGGGCATACTAGGACACCAGCTGGGGTTGCTAAGAAAGTGCTGGCATCAGTACAAAAATTAGGCATGGTGGTGCATGCCTGTAATCCCAGCTATTCAGGAGGCTAAGGCAGGAGAATTGCTTGAACCTGGGAGGCAGAGGATGCAGTGAGCTGAGATTGCGTGACTGCACTCCAGCCAGGGTGACAGAGGGAGACTCCAGCTAAAAAAAAAAAGAAAAGAAGAGAAAAGAAAGAAAGAAAGTGCTGGCATCACTGTCCTTTAACCCCAGGCTGCACAGCTCATGGCTCCAAAAGACTGCCCTTACTTCTGCTTGAGGAGAGGGAAGAATGGGGAGAGCTTTGTCTTGAATCAGATAGCAGCTTAGGCACAGCAGGATAGGGCACCAGTCAGAGTCCTGAAGTCCCCTTTCCAGACCCTGCCTCCCGGATGACATTTCTAGACATGCCCTCGGCCAGAAGGGAACTCACTGCCTTGAAGGGAAGAACCCAGTCCTGGCAGCATTCATCACCTGCTAACTGAAGAGCCCTTGGGCCCTGAATAACCAGCAGCACTACCCAGATACTAGGTTGAGGGCTTTGGGAGAGCCTCTGAGACTTGCTGGTTTCAGGTGAGACTCAGCACATTCTCAGCTCTGGTGACTACAGAGTGAAACTCCTTCTGCTTGAGAAAACTAGAGGGAAAAGTAAAGTGGACTTTGTCTTCCACCTTTGGTACAAACTTGGCCACAAGGGGGTAGAACATCAAACAGGTTCTTGTGGTCCCCGATTCCAGTACTTGACTCTGGCATGGCATTTCTGGACCTGTCTTGGGCCACAGGGGAGTCTACTGCCCTGAACGGTGAGTCTCAGGCCAGGCAACATTCACCACAAGCTGACTTGGGAGCCCTTGGGACTAAAGGGAGTATCAGCAGTAGTCTGGCAGTACTCCGCATGGCCATGTGGTGGCAGTGGCCGCAGGATGAGGCTCCTCTGCCTTTGCAGAGGGGAGAAAAAAGTGGGAAGAGCTGTGTCTTGTTTGAGGGCCAGCTCAGTTGCAGTACAATAGAACACCAGGTAGATTTCTAAGGTTTTTGACTCTAGCCACTGACTGCCGGACAGCACCTCTGGACCCACCTGGGGCCTTGGGAACTTCATCACCCTGAAGGGAAGAACACAGGCCCGGCTAGTTTTGCCACCTGCTGGTGATAGAGCCCCAGGACTTTGAGCAAACATAGGTGGTAGCCAGGAAGTGGTAAGAGCAGGCCTTGGACAAGACCCAGAGCTGTGCTGGCTTGAGATCTGACTTAGTGCATTCGTAGTGGTGGTGGTGACAGAGGTGCTTGTGTCACTTCAACCCCAAATTTAGAAGGCTCAGAACAGAGAGAAAGACTCCATTTGATTGGGAGAAAGTAAGGGAAGAGAACAAGAGTCTCTGCCTAGCAATCCAGATAATTGCCCCAGATTGTTTCCAAGATCATCAAGGTGGTACCTCTATGAGTCTGCAAGAACCACAGCATTACTGAGCTTGGGGTGCCCCCTAAAGTAGATACAGCTTTTATCCCAATATCCAAGTCCTTTCAAATATCTAGGAGGATTTCCCAAGTAGGATCAGACTAACAGCAGATCTCTCTGAAGAATCCTTACAAGCTAGAAGAAAGCAGGGGCCAATATTCAACATTCTTAAAGAAAATAATTTTCAACCCAGAATTTCATATCCAGCCAAACTAAGCTTCATAAGCAAAGGAGAAATAAAATCATTTACAAAAAAACAAATGCTGAGGGATTTTGTCACCACCAGGCCTGCCTTACAAGAGCTCCTGAAGGAAGCACTAAATATGGAAAAGAAAAACCAGTAGCAGCCACTGCAAAAACATACCAAAATATAAAGACCAATGACACTATGAAGAAACCGCATCAACTAATGTGCAAAATAACCAGATAGCATCATGATGACAGAATCAAATTCACACATAACAATATTAACCTTAAATGCAAATGGGCTAAATGCCCCAATTAAAAGACACAGACTGCCAAATTGGATAAAAAGTCAAGACCCATTGGTGTGCTACATTCAGGAGACCCATCTCACGTGCAAAGACACATAGGCTCAAAATAAAGGAAGGGAGGAATATTCACCCAGCAAATGGAAAGCAAATAAGAGCAGGGGTTGCAATCCTAGTCTCTGATAAAACAGACTTTAAACCAACAAAGATCAAAAAAGACAAAAACGGGCATTACATAGTGGTAAAGGGATCAATGCAACAAGAAGAGCTAACTATCCTAAATATATATGCACCCGATACAGGAGCACTCAGATTCATACAACAACTTCTTAGAGACCTACAAAGAGACTTAGACTCCCACAAAATAATAGTGGGAGACTTTAACACCTCACTGTCAATATTAGACAGATCAACGAGGCAAAAAAGTAATAAAGATATTCAGGACTTGAACTCAGCTCTGGACCAAGTGGACCTAATAAACATCTACAGAACTCTCCGCCCCAAATCAACAGAATATACATTCTTCTCAGTGCCACATCACACTTATTCTAAAATCAACCACATAATTGGAAGTAAAACACTCCTCAGCAAATGTAAAACAACTGAAATCATAACAGTCTCTTAGACCACAGTGCAATCAAATTAGAACTCAGGATTAAGAAACTCACTCAGAACCTCACAACTACGTGGAAATTAAATAACCCACTCCTGAATGACTACTGGGTAAATAACAAAATTAAGGCAGAAATAAATAAGTTATTTGAAACCAATGAGAAAAAAGAGACAATATACCAGAATCTCTGGGACACAGCTAAAACAGTGTTAAAAGGGAAATTTATAGCACTAATGTGTGTGGCCAGATTTTCTTCATTTTCTTCAAACAAAACAGTATATCCTAGCAGATTGAATGCAGAAGCAGCTACAAGAATCTGGTTATTTTCTATTAAGCCCAATAATCCAGTTTTGAAAATTCAAAGATAATAACATTTATTTTACTATCTCGTATTTTTGAAAAATATAGATATTCTCCACAAAAAATGTTTTATATGTTAACACATCATTGACCTATTATTGTTAATTGTTAATTAATTTTCAAAAAATTCTCAGTTTTAATTTGCAATTTGGTAGACATCAATAGATATAAACCACAAAAACAAAGCCTCTTTGAGGTCCTCAATCATTTTTAAGAGTTTAAAGTGGTCCTGAGACCAAAAAATTTGACAGCAGTTCCTCTACACTAACCATGTCACCTCTGGTTCTTAAGCACCAGTGGTCTACAAGCATTTAAAGCCCTTCAGAGACAGGCCTAAAGCTTCCTTTCAAGTCTCATCTCCTATCACTTCTCTCCGCGTACCCTACTTGTCAGCTACATCTGCATTAGTTAACTTGCTAATCCTTCAACCTGCCAAGCCCATCCTAACCTCTATACCTAGCCTATTTGGTCCTATAAACATCACATTGTCTCTGGAGTCTTTCTTCCTGTTTGGCAAATTTAGTTGATCTCTTCTTCTTTTTCTGCAATGCAGTCTATGAGGTTGAGTTCAGAATGGCCATTAGCTCCATTTTTTAAGTAAATAAACTGAGGTCCAGAGAAAGAAAGAGACTCAACTAATTCCCATAGCAAGTGAGCAGCAGAGCTAGTGTCTAAATTCCCAGCATTATTTTTATACTTCCACTGAAGAGACTCAGAAAGTATTGGAGACACTGTAAGAAGGGGCACTTAATTGAGCTAAAACAAAGTTCTGGATTGGAACATTCTTGAAAGAAGTAACTCTTGACTTTGCCCGGGTATAAGAGCAGCCAAGCAATCCTTGCACATATTGACAGTAGATGAAAAGCAACCCATGGGAAATATCTTTGTCCTTTTTTTGCTTCTGCAAATGGTAGAGTCTATCCCACTCCAGCCAGTCATTATTCTTAAACAGAATAGCCGAGGAGCCTTCAGGCACTCTGGAGGCCACCTGAAGAGTACTGTCCTCATTTGAAGAAGGCTGCTTGAGCTGATGTTTTTGTGACACAACTGCCCACTGCCCCCACTGCCCTCAGTTGCCTCCCTAGGCTAGGATAAAAACTCTAGGCAAGGCCTTAAGCAACATTCAGACATTGGTGGAAAAATGCAACTGCCTGTTTCAGAGCACTTTGCCTTTCCTGTAATTTGTCAAATGGTGGGTATTTGGATTTTTCTTTTCAGAGAAAACTGGTTTTAAAAGCTTTTGGGAAATGCTAAGAGACAGTTTCTGCGAGGCCTCCAAATGAAGCTAACTCTAAGGGATGCTGCTTGTGCCACAGCATCTGGCTGGTTAGAAAAGGCTGCTGTCAGGGACAGAGGCCTAAGGGATATTGATGAAAATTTAATGGATGTCTGGAAATCTTGAAAACACTGCTCCACAGGAAAGCTTTTAGAATAGGGATGATCAGTTCAGTGTATCCCACGTTATTGGGGCACACCTGAGTCAAATCCTGTAATAAGGGCTTGGAACACAGAGTTGAATAAAACTCGGCTCCTTCCCGATAAATTCATGGCCTCTTCAGAAAAACAAGCAGAAATACACACAGATGCAACACAGTGTTACCAATGCTAGAATAAGTATGACTAGGGAAGGAGTGATCACAATGAAATGGAGAAGGTTTTCTTAGGGCCATGATATGTGAGCAAGCCCTTAATGTGAACAGGTGCTCATCTGTTCACAGGTCACTATAGGTTTCGGGAACCAAATATGAAAAGGATGGCAGTAGAAAAGATGAAAATATTGGTCATTTTCTGGCTATCATCCCCACCCCCAGATCCATTCCCTACCCTTCTCTTCCCTGCTCTGTTTCCCAGCAAGCTGACCTTGTAGACTGTATCAACTGGCTGCCCTTGTCTGCTGGCTTCTGGCTGGGTTTGGCTATTGGGAGGCACTGGCATATCAGAGTGGGAGGAGAGGACGGTCCTGGTATTTCTTTCCTACTCCTTCTCTGCTTTGGGCCTCATTTCTGGCACTTACTGGAATCTTCCCTGGCTACAGCTCTTAATAGAGACTTCTTCACAGTTTCAGCTCTCACTGAGCTCTGGTAATACTATCCCATGCCTTTACCCCTCCAAACCAAGGGTGTAATGGCTTCTTGCTATTATTAGACATTGAGTGCTTCATCGTCTCTTGTTGGTACCTTTAATCCTGCCCAAACTTCTGAAAACTGTCAATTTTATTTCCCACAAGGACCTTTATAAACATAAATTATAACATCCACAGGTCCAATTTTCACAGAATGTAAAGTATGTGGCTGTGGATGAGGTGATGAGGTACAGGAAGGAGCTGAGACAAGGGCTGCATAGCAAAGCGTCTTATATGACCCTTCATATGAAAAACCTTGTATAAGCTGGTCATGAGTAGCCTCTACAAATCGATTTTGTTGGAAGAGGAGAACTCCTGAAGGTGTGTTTGTCTTCCGTATAGATGATGTTCAAATTAATAGCTACCATTCTTGAACATTTATTATGTGTTAGATACCTTATTTCATTGAATTCTCACAACAATCCTCGAAGATGAGCACTTATATCAACTGTACAAGTGAAAAAATGAAGGCTCAGAGAAGAAATTTGCCCACTTATCACTAATGAATAAAAGAGAGAGGATTTGAATCCATGTCTGTCTGAGTCAAGAACTTGGGTGTTTCACAATGCCCAGTTAGATGGTGAATCTGTATACATGACTTTTAGGTATCTTTCAGCTCTAGGATTCCATACATCTGTGAGATAAGAAGCCATCTCCAACTAAGTCCACCGGCCCGTCCATTAACAAAGGGTGATGGTGGCAGACTTGTGGCCAGAGGGCTCCTTCAGCAGTGCATGCAGGGATATAAATGAGAATTCTTGGCTGGGGACAATGCTGTCCTTTCGTGCAATTATACCTCCTACTGGCCATGTCTTCCCAATGGGTGGAGAAAGAACCATATGGCTGATTAATTCTGATAGAATTCCATCTTCAGAAGTGCCATCCCCATCAGTTCCTCGGGTAGAAATCTGGCACTCCAGTAGGACTGAATGCCACCCATAGTGCCAACTCATGCATGCTGAGCACTGGCACAAGCTAGGTTGACTTGGCCACTGAATCTAGACACTAATCATAGTTTGATACCAAGCCTAAGGAAAATAAAAAGAGTCACCAACTTTGTTTTTATTCTTTTTTTTGAGACGGAGTCTCGCTCTGTCGCCCAGGCTGGGGTGCAATGGCGGCCGATCCCGGCTCACTGCAAGCTCCGCCTCCCGGGTTCAGGCCATTCTCCTGCCTCAGCCTCCTGAGTAGCTGGGACTACAGACGCCTGCCACCACGCCTGGCTAATTTTTTTGTATTTTTAGTAGAGACGGAGTTTCACCGTGTTAGCCAGGAAGGTCTCGATCTCCTGACCTCGTGATCTGCCCGCCTCGGAATCCCAAAGTGCTGGGATTACAGGCGTGAGCCACCGCTCCCGGCCATAAGAGTCACCAACTTTGAATACCTATTCCAGACAAGGCACTGAAGTATGTGTTATCACTGTCATATTACACTTGAGGAAACGAAGACTTAGAGAAGGGAATGACTTGCCAGAGTATAACAAAGCTATCAAGTGTCAGAACAGACACTGGAATCCAGGCTCTCCCTGACTACCAAAGTTCATATTCTCTGCTACCATACTATTTGGGTAGTATAATACAGTAGTTAAAAGCTCAGAATTGGCAGCTTGGGTTTTAATCTGGCTCCACCACTTCTTAGCTATATGACTTGGGCAAGTTACTTAACCTCTCTGTGCTTCAATTTCTTCATCTTTAAAATAAGAACAGGGGTTGTCATGAGGTTTAAATGCATTCATATTTGAAAAGCACTGAGAACAATGCCTGACACAGAGTGAGTGCTATATGTTTGTTAAATAGATGAAGGACCCTTTCTACCCCTTCAACATTGAATTCTTCCTTTTGCAGACCTGGAAAGGAAAAGAAAGGAACTAGCTGAGGAGAAATGCTCTCCTAAAAGGAAATAAGCTTTTCTCCTGATGCTGGAAAAAGGATAAGGCCATTGATTAACCTTTAGAAAAAGGACAACCTGTAAAGCTTGGGAAGGTTGACAGAGAAAGTACATGATGTCTGTGTCCTGGGTTGGATCCCTGTGCCCACACTCCCTTGCTCCCTCACTGCAACTGGATGTTGCTTGGACAGCTCTCTCTGACCTCCCTTCCGTCATCAGATCTGGAGACTGCTGCTGAGATAATAACAAGAATTGAGATGGTTATCTGAAAGACTGGGACCTTCACCATAGATTATGGAAGCTGGGCATAGCACTGCCTGGCTCAAAACAAAAGCTACGTCTTGGTTTCAGAAGGTAGCAAGGGAAAAGAGGGGGTTCGTGGACCACATATCCCTGACCTGGAACCAGGGAAGATATATATTATGTATAAAAATTCATATGTGTGTAGATGCCTTACAGTTTTCTGGAAGTCTGGGGCAGGGGGACAAGTGGACAATGTGGTCTCCACTTCCTGCCAAAGACACTTGCATGAGTGGGGCAAAGCTGATGGTCACCTGGAAAACCCTGGTTGCACATATGTGCCCTGTGTATTCACCATGGCCTAGGTATTGGCTATTACTCTTTACCAAGCCAGAAAGCATGAACCCTTGAATATGAGTTTTGCAGCTCTGTTTTCTCCAAGACTCTGCCACCAGCCTAGTGCTTCCAATAGACTGATTGAACACACACCCAAACACCCAACAGTTATGTTATGTTGTGAAAGTGTGATGGTTAATTTTATGTTTCAATTTAACTGTGCTATAGAGTGCCCACATTAAACATTATTTCTGGGTGTGTCTGTGAGGGTGTTTCCAGATGAGATTGGCATTTGAATCAGTGGAATCAGTAGATTCCTACCCCAATGTGGGTAGGTATGATGCAATCCGTTGAGGGCCTGAATAAAACAAAAAGGCAGCAGAAAGAGGAATTTTCCTCTTTCTCTTCTTGCCAGATTGCTTGAGTGGGGACATGGATCTTCTCCTGCCTGTTGCACTCCTGGTTCTCAGGCCCTTGGACTCAGACTGAATTACACCACCAGCTTTCTTGGATCTCCAGCTTACAGATGATAGATCATGAAACTTCTTGGCCTCCATAATTGAGTTAGCCAATTCCTTAAAATAAATTCTTTCATGTATAAATCTATCTATCTATCTAGCTATCTATCTATCTATCAATCAATCATTCTGTTGGGGTGCCACAAACTGTATATATATGCATATATATATACACACACATACACATGGTGGTTACATGGAGACATATGTATATATATGCATATATATACACATGCAAACACAAACAGAATTATGCCTCCTTTTATTTCACTTCACATTATTGTGCTTAGCAGATATTGTGTTTTTTTACAAATTGAAGGTTTGTGGCAACCCTGCATTGAACAAGTCTATCAGCACGATTTTTCCAACAGCGTGTTCACTTCGTGTCTCTGTCAAATTTTGGTAATTCTTGCAATATTTCAATTTTTTCATTATTATTATACCTGTTATGGTGATGTGTAATCAGGGATCTTTGGTGTTACTATTATAATTCTTTTGGGGTGCCACAAACCACTCTTATGTGACAGTGAGCTAAATGAGTAAATGTTGTGCTGTTCTGACTAATCTACTGACCAGCAGTTCCCTTTCTCTATCCCTTTCTTTGGGACTCCCTATGCCCTGAGGTACAACAATATTGAAATTAGTCAATTAATAACACTACCATGGCCTCTAAATGTTCAAATGAAAGGAATAATCACACGCATCTCTTAATTTAAATCGAAAGCTAGAAATAATTAAGTTTAGTGTGGAAGACATATCAAAAGCTGAAAAAGGCTGAAAGCTAGGCCTCTTGCACCAAACAGCTAAGTTATGAATGCAGCAAAAAGTTCTTAAGGGAAATTTAAAATGCTACTCCAGCGAACACACAAATGATAAGAAAGCAAAACAGCTTTATAGCTGATATGAAAAAACTTTTGGTGGTCTGGATAGAGGATCAAACCAGCCATAACATTCACTTAAGCCAAAGCCTAATCCAGAGTGAGCCCCTCTCTTCAGTTCTATGAATGCTGAGAGAGGTGAGAAAGATATAGAAGACAAGTTTGAAGTTAGCAGAGGTTGGATCATAATGTTTAAGGAAAGAAGCCATCTCCATGACATAAAAGTGAAAGGTGAAGCAGCAAGTGCTGATTTAGAAGCTGCACAAGTTATCCAGAAGATCTAGCTAAGATAATTGATAAAGGGGCTACACTAAACAACAAATTTTCAATGTAGATGAAATAGTCTTATATTGGAAGAGATGCCATGTAGCTATGTAGCTAGAGAGGAGAAGTCAATGTTTAGCTTCAAAGATCAAGCTGACTCTCTTGTTACAGGCTAATGCAGCTGATGATTTTAAGTTTAAGCCAATGCTCACTGGCCATTCTGCAAATACTAGGGCCCTTAAGAATTATGTTAAATCTACTCTGCCTATTATCTATAAATTGAACAGCAAAGTCTATATGAAAACACACCTGTTTACAGCATGGTTTACTGAATGTTTTAAACCTATTGTTGAGACTTACTGCTCAGAAGATTCCTTTCAAAATATTTCTGCCCATTGACAATGCACCTTGTCACCTAAGAGCTCTGATGGAGATGTATAAAAAGATTAATGTTGTCATCATGACTGCTAACATAACATTCATTCTGCAGCCCCTGAATCAAGGAGTAATTTTGATTTTCAATTCTTATTGTTTAAGAAATACGTTTTGTAAGGCTATAGCTGACATAAATATTAATTTCTCTGATGGACCTGGGAAAATATATTGAAAACTTTCTGGAAAGGATTCACCATTCTAGATGCCATTAACAGCATTCTTGATCCATGGGAGTAGGTCAAAATACCAACATTAACAGGAGTTTGGAAAAAGTTGATTCTGACCCTCACGGGTGACTTTGAAGGGTTCAAGACTTCAGTGGAACAAGTAATTGAAGGTGTGGTAGAAATAGCAAGAAAACTAGAATTAGAAATGAAGTCTGAAGATGTGACTGAATTGCTGCAATCTCATAATAAAAGTTTAATAGATAAGAAGTTACCTTTTATGGATGAGCAAAGAAAGTGGTTTCTTGAGATGGAATCTACTTCTGGTGAAGATGCCATGAACATTGTTGAAATGACAACAAAGAATTTAGAACATTATGTAAACTTAGTTGATAAAGTGGTGGCAAGGTAATATGATTACCTCCAAATTAGAAAGAAGTTCTACTGTGGGTAAAATGCCATCAAACAGCATTACATGCTACAGAGAAATTTTTTCTGAAAGGAAGAGTCAATTGATGTGGCAAACTTCATAGTTGTCTTATTTTAAGAAATTGACACAGCCACCCCAGCCTTCAGTAACCATTAGCCTGATCAGTCAGCAGCCATCAACCTCCACACAAGACCTTCCACCATTAAAAAGTTATGACTTGCTGAAGGCTCAGATGACTGTTAGCATTTTTTAGTTACAAAGTATTTTTAAATTATGGGATGTACATTGTTTTTCTAAACATCAGGTTATTGCACTCTTAATAGACTACAGTATAGTGTAAACATTACTTTTATATATACTGGGAAACCAAAAAATTCATGTGACTTGACTTATTGCAATATTTGCTTTATTGTGGTAGTCTGGAACCAAACCTGCAATATCTCTAAAATAGGAGATATATATATATATGTGTGTGTGTGTGTGTGTGTGTGTCCTCTTCTCTGGTTCTCTGGAAAACTGGCTAACACAGAAAAGGGAAAGCACTATTTTTGGTGTTAGACACAACTGAGGTCAAATCCCAACACCATCAATTAATATCTATGTAATCTGAAGTAAATTATTTAACTTTCCAAAGACTCAGTTTCCTCATATCTAAAATTGGATAACACTATCTCTCCCAAGGCTTTTATGAGGATTGAGAAATTAGCAGAGGTCTCTTCCCTCCTTTATTGACTATTTCTTTTCCTCAGCTGCCAATCAGCATCTTAAAGATTTTTGGGGGATTTGAAAATGTAAGTTAGTATATTTCTAATTTGAATTAAAAATCCAAAGCCCCTCCTTCCCACTAAGCCTCCATAACTCCTTCCTGAGTCACATGGGCTTTGATCTATAGAATGACCTTCTAGACCTTAGATAGATCTGAGGCACGCTCATTAATGCCCCAGTTAGTCCTATGATTATTTCACCTCCTTTGCTCTTCTGAGCATCTTCCAATGAATACACTTGTGATGGTCACATCTAGGAGTGCCTCTCACATTTCTATTGAAGATATATATTTATTACAATTATCTGGCAGATGCCCATAAAGTGTCTTGAGCAAGGAGTGTCTTTTCCAAATAACATAAAGGCTCCATATAGGCTGGAGATGGCCCTGTACCTTCCCGATTCCCAGCTTGCTTTAGGCACTGGGCACACTCTTTATAGATAGAGATTGAGATCCAGAAAGAGTATTACTTGTCCAAAGTCACATAGTCAATAAATGGAAAAAGCCAAGATAGCCATGGAGGCCTGTGAGACTCCTTAGCCTATGCAAAGATGGCATATTTTCATTACTGAAAACTTTTCTAATACCCAAAGCCCCCAAAACCCAGGGTTGAGTTGGTATTTTGGAATGCAGCTTTTCACTGGGTGTGCTATGCTGCTGAAGGTGGAGCAAAGGGAGTGTCTTAGTCTGTTTTATGTTGCTCTAACAGAATACCTGAAACTGGGTAATTTACGGTGAATGGCAATTTATTGGCACACAGTTCTGTAGGCTGGGAGGTCGAAGATCAAGGAACTGACATCTTGTGAGGATCTTCTTGCTGTGTTACCCCATGGTGAAGGTGAGAGGGCAAGAGAGGGTGACAGAGAGTAAGGAATCAAACTTACAAACTCAAGCCCTTTTATAATCAGCATTAATCCATACATGAGGGTGGAACCCTCATGAACTAAATACTTCTCATTAGGCCTCACTTCCCAACATTGCTGCACTAGAGATTAAATTTCTAACACATGCTTTTTTGTTTGTCTTGTTTCGTTTTGTTTGTGAGACAGAATCTTGCTCTGTCACCCAGGCTGGAGTGCAGTGGTGCAATCGTGGCTCACTGCAACCTCCGCCTCCCGGGTTCAAGCGATTCTCATGCCTAGGCCTCTCAAGTAGCTGGGACTACAGTTGTGTGCCACCATGCCCAGCTAATTTTTTCATATTTTTGTTACAGATGGGGTTTTGCCATGTTGGCCAGACTGGTCTCGAACTCCTGGCCTCAAGTGATCTGCCCACCTTGGCCTCCCAAAGTGCTGGGATTACAGGCCTGAGCTGCTGCACCTGGCCTAACACATGCTTTTTGGGGAACACATTCAAACCATAGCAGGCTAAGTCCCCTCCCCACTATGTCACAGTAGGAGTAGCCTACCTACTTAGCTGCCTATGCTTTATTCCCAGAGCTCAAATCCATTTAAAGGATCTTTAGACCCATTTCTTAAGATATTTTGTGATTTCTTCCTCACTTAAGGAAAAATAACATGATTTCTTGCTGAATATAAATATACCTTGGACAGTCAAGAGTCTAAGGTTAATTTCCAATTAAGTGTGAAATCAGCCAGTAGGAGGGTAGTGCTTCTGTCTCCTACAGGACCTACACACCCCCTCACTGAGTACCTTTGAAGTAACTCCCATAGCACAATTGTAATGACAGCAGGAGTACAAAATGTAGGAGAAAAAGAGGGTAAGAGTGTGGAAGAGATAGCCGCTCCCCAGGATAGCAAATGAGTTCTCAGGAGGGTGAAGGCTCCCAAGCCACACTACCAGGACCTGAACTATCATAAAAAGAAGGAACACTTCTCAGACCTCAAAATATAAGCATCTTCCAGGCCTCACTGTCGGCAAATGCACAGAGCAAAGTAGCTGGGCCTGGGTTTTGGCATTAAACTCCCACATGAAAAGAACAACGATGGAGGGAACTGGCCCAGGTATAGGAACAGCTTAGATAGGGTGGTGGGGGCAGGATGGCTAGTCACAGGGCCAAGGGACATGACATTTTCCAGTCAGACAGGTTATATCATATTGAGGAATTTAAGAATCAAGTTGTGGATAACATTTGGAAAGATCTTCTTTGGTAGAGTTCAATCCACCAGTCCTGAGTGGATAAAGAGAAGATTCCATTCCTGGATAGCAGATAAGGCAGTTGCTATCACTACCACAGTGGCTGCTGTTGCTGCCACCTACTACTACTACTACTACCACCACTACTGGTTAGTATTGAGTAGTTATTAAAGGCCAACCATGGTTATTTGGGTGAAGTAATTTGCCCATATTGATATAGCTCCCAGGTATATCAATATCAGCTGTCTCTCCCACACTCCCTTACCCTCCTTTCCTCCTACATTTTGTACTCCTGCTGTCATTACAACTGTGCTATGGGAGTTCCTTCAAAGGCACTCAGTGAGGGGGTGGGTTGGTCCTGCAGGAGACAGAAGAGAGAAGCAATATCCTGCTGGGAATTGTAATAAATTTACACATTCTGTCTCTAGGTCCCTTGTTCTTAAACCATGGAAATCCACAGTAATATGAGGAATAAGAGCAGAAGTTATAACCTGTGGACTGAGGCAAAAATGAATATAATAATGCTGCTCAAGTTCCTTCCAAAGAGGTTAGAGGCCAAGGTCTGATTGGCAGTGGCTAGTAATACACAGGGAGCAATAGAGGTACTCAGTCTCTATTAAGTCCTTCTGGATCTCAAGCCCACAAGGAGACATAATTCTGACTCCCACAGGATGATAGTAGGGGTGGGAAAGAGGTGAGGGACAGTCAGGACTGAGGTTGTCCATACTCACATCCTGATGGCTCTGGGAACTACAGTAGGATGGCACCTGCCAGCATCATGGGACCTGTATGAGAGTAGCTGAGGAAGCAGAAGCTGCAGTAATAAATCCAAGGCTGACAAGACTAGTGGAAAGTCAGTTCCCACAGGCTTGCCAAGAACTAGGAAACAGCAGGTATAGAAAAAAAACTACTGTGTAGCTCTGTTCTCCAGGACCAGAAAAGTCATCTTTTGAAGTCTTACTTCTAGGTACCTTTTTTGGGCATTCTAAGAGCCTAGGTATGCTGAGAGCCTGGGTATTCAGACTTTATAGAAGTTCAGAGAAATGCACACCAGAATAGAGAAATTCTGAGAGAGTTTCAAGATGGCTAACTAGAGGCACAGGACACCTGCCTCCTCCAAAAAGAAGAACCAAAATAGTGAGTTGATAATCAGATTCACACCTTGAATCGAATATCTAAGAGAAAATGCTGGAATTAAGCAGAGAAGTACCATATAACACCTGGGGCACTGATGAAGAAGGAGGCAAGGCAGATGGCCTGGTTAGGATAAACCAGGATCCTAGAGAGTGCCCCAGGCACAAGGGTGAGGGAGCCAGTGCCAGGAAATGGTAAGTGAGAGATCCCCAGTGGTCCACACTCACACGATGACTCCTGCAATCCTGAGCACAGACGAGTAACTCGACCCTTATGGGCCCTGGGACTGGAATAGGGAGTTCCCTGAAGCCCAAATGACATCTCCTTATATCCACCCAGAGGGCTGCAGCAGCACAATTAAGGATGAACCCATTGGGGCAGCAGGGTCCCCAGCACTCTAGCCCACATGCCATCCTGTACACTAGGAAAAGGGTGATGCAATACACTGGGGAGACTGCCCCTGGGACAAAGGGAGCCAAAGCACACACTCCCCAGAGCCTGAAACCCACCTGCCTGGGACCACTATCACTGACAGTAACCTGGCACCAACCAGCAACTGAATCACAGTACATTTGTATGTGTCCTGAGGGCAGGCTATCCCTTCCCCTGCTGCTGTCACTGCTGGTGGCAAGTGACACCCAGATGTCACCCAGATGTGTGCCCCCCAGAGCTAGAGAGCCTTCTGCCCAGGGTGGCTGCAGCAGACAGCAACCCTATTCCCTCAGCAGCAGTACTACCACACACTTGCATGCACCCTGAGGATAGATTTTACTCACCAAATGCCATCACTGCCGCCTCCATCTAAGCACACCTCCCAAGGTCTGGAGATTGCCCCATCCTGCTCACCACAGCCTGCACCTATGCACACCCCCAAGGGGTATGAAAACAGGCCTGCCCCACCTGGCACTCTCCCCCTCCCCAAGTGCCTGAGTTCATCAACTTGGGTTCTGGGGATCACTCCACCACCTCAATCTTCTGGGAAGGCATGCACTCCACAATGGGAGCCTAATAACAGGGCCAGAAAACCTGCTGCTGGTACCCGAGCATGCTGTCCAGAGGCCTGGGGATTGTTCTGCCTTATCCACCACCACTGGGATCTGCACAATCTTCCTGTGGGCCCAAGGATGGACTGGTCAGCCTGCCGCCACCAGAACTGCTGGCACCCATCCACACACTCCATTTGGGAACCTGGGGAATGGCCCACCCGGCTCAGAGCAGCCACCACTAACATTAGTGAGTGCTACCTGAGAGCCCAAGGGCTGCCCTGCCACCACAATGACCATTACCCACCCTATGCATGCTGTTCAGGGGCCCAAGGACTCACTGATCTGCCTGGCCCATGGCTGTAACTACTTGGACCCAAGCAAGCTGCCTGAGGCCCCAAAATTAGCCCACCTGGATTTGCTAACACTAACGCCCATGTATACTGCTTGGGGACCCAATGACAAGCACACTTGGCCTACTGCTGCCACCACTGGGACCTGAAGACTGGCTTACCTGGCCTCCCATCTCCAGAAGCCTCCATTAACAATTGTAGCCTAAGCTGCTGACGAAATCACAGATACCACTGACAGTGTTCATAGCCCATACAGAGACTACATGATATGGTTTGGATGTATTGTCCCCTCCAAGTCTCATGTTGAAATGTGATCCCCAGTGTTGAAGTGGGGCCTAGTAGGAGGTATCTGGGTTATGGGGGAGGATCCCTCATGTATGGCTTGGTGATAAATGAGTCCTCACTCTATTAGTTCACATGAAAGCTGGTTGTGTAAAAGAACCTGGCACCTCCTCCTCTTTCTCTCTTGCTCCCTCTCTTGCCATATGATATGCCTGCTCCCCCTTTGCCTTCTGTCATAATTGTAAGCTTCTTGAGTCCTCACTGGAGGCAGATGCCAACACCATGCTTCCTGTACAGTCTGCAGAACCATGAACCAAAATAAACCTCTTTTCCTTATAAATTACCTAAACCCAACTATTTCTTTATAGCAACACAAAATGGACTAACACACTACACTAGTGCACACACTCGGAATCAAACCTAAAGCACCATACCCAACATCATAAATACATCTACAGAAAAAGTCTTCCTCTATGAAAGCCAATACAAAAACCTGGAAGAAGCAATTGTTACACCAGTTGCACAGATATCAACAAAAGGATATAAGAAATAAAAAAAGCAAGGAAACATAACACCTCCAAAAAAAAACATAATAATGCACTAGCTAGCAACAGATTCCAATGAAAAATAAAGTCATGAAGTCCCTGAGAAAGAATTCAAGATATTGATATTAAAGAAGCTCAATGAGATACAACAGAACACAGATAAATAATATAAAGAAATCATAAAAACAATTTAAGATATGAATGAGAAATTCACCAAAGAGATAGGTATCATATAAATGAACCAAACGGAAACATTGGAACTGAAGAATTCAACAAATGGAAAAAAATACAATCTAGAGCTTCAATAAATGGAAAATACATAATCTAGAGCTTCAATAACAGACTAGATCTAGGAGAAGAATTTCAGAAATTGAAGACGGGTCTTTCAAAATAGCCCAGTTGGGCAAAAAGAAAGAGAGAGACAGGAGAAGGTTTTTGTAATATATGGGACACTGTAAAGTGACCAAATGTTGAAATTTTGGGTGTTCCAGAGATGAAGAGGAGATTAGTGGCATAGAAAACCTATTTAATGACATAATAACTGGCAATTTCCAAAGTCTAGCAAGAAATTTAGACATCTAAATACAGGAAGCTCAGAGATCCCCAAATAGATACAACCCAGAAAGGTTATCTCCCTGACACATTATACTCAAACTGTCAAAAGTCAAAGACAAAGAAGGAACTCTAAAAACAGCAAGATAAAAGTATCTAGTTGTATATGAGGGAAGCCCAACCAGACTAACAGTGAATTTCTCAGCAGAAACCTTACAGTCCAGGAGATAATGGAATGATATATTCAAAGTGCTGAAAGAAAAATATAAAAACCTGTCAGGCGAGAATACTACATCCAGCAAAGTTATCCTCCATAAATGAAAGAGAAATTAAGACTTCCTCAATAAGCAAAAACTGAAAGATTCATCATCACTAGACTAGCTCTATAAGAAATGCATAAGGGAGCCCCCTGGAATCCAAAGGTTGGTATCATGTAGACATACAAAGGTATAAAACTTACCGGTAAAGCAAACACACAAATGAGGAAGAAAATGACTCAAATGTTACCACTACAGAAAACCACCAAACCACAATGATAAAAAAGGGAGAATGAATGGAAGAAAGGATATACAAAACCATCAGATAACAACTAATAGAATGACAGGAATAAGAACTTGCATATAAATAATTACACTGAATGTAAACGGATTACATTTTCTACTTAGAAGATATAGACTGGCTGAATGGATTTAAAAACTGTCCCAACTATATGCTGTCTACAAAAAAACTGACTTCACCTGTAAAGACACATACAGACTAAAAGTAAAGGAATGGGAAGAAATATTCCATGAAAATGGAAACCAAAAATGAGCAGGTGTAGTGATACTTACATCAGATGAAACAGACTTTAAGTCAAAAACTGTAAAAAGAGACAATAGAGACCAAAAGTTCACTATATAATGATAAAGGAACCAATTCAGCAAAAGGATATGATTCTAAATACATATGTACCCAACAATGGAGCAACCAGATAGATAAAGCAATTATTATTAGATCAAAATGGAAAGATAGACTCCAATATAATCATAGTGGGGGATATCAACACCCTACTCTCAGCAACAGATCATTTAGACAGAAAATCAACAAAAAACCTTTGGATCTAAACTGCACTTTAGACCAAATGGACCTAACGGACATTTACAAGACATTTTATCCTACAACTGCAGAATACATTTGCTTTTCATCAGCATGTGGGACATTCTCCAAAACAGACCATATCTTGGGCCACAAAACAAGTCTCAACAAAATTTAAAAATCAAAATTATATCAAGTATCATCTCAGACCACAATGGAATAAAACTAGAAATCAATAACAAGAGAAACTTTGGAAATCATACAAATACGTGGAAATTAACTAATATGCTCCTGAGTGACCACTGGGTCAATGAGGAAATTAAGAAGGAAATATTAAAATTTCTAGAAACAAATGAAAATGGAAACATACCAAAACCTATGAGATACAACAAAAGCAGTGCTATGACAGAAGTTTATAACAATAAATGCCTATGTCAAAAAAGGGAAACATTTTAAATATAAACAACCTAGTGATGTACCTCAAGGAGCTAGAAAAGCAAGAACAAACCAAACCCAAAATTAGCACAAGGAAAGAAACAATAAAGGTCAGAGGAGAACTAAACAAAATAGAGACTAAAAAAGTAGAAAGGATAAACTAAATGAAAAGTTGGTTTGTTAAAAAGACACACAAAATTGATAAACCATTTGTTAGACTAACCAAAAAAAGAGAGAGGACCCAAATAAATACAAATGAAAAGGGAGACATTATAACTGATACCACAGATGTACAAAGAACAAACAATCACCAATCAACTAGAAAACCTAGAGAAAACTGATGAATTCCCAGCCACAGACAAGGTACCAGGACTGAATTAAGAAGGAATAGAAAACCTGAGCAGATCAATAACAAGATTGAATCAGAAAACAAACAAACAAACAACAACAACAAAAAAACTCCCAACAAAGAAAATCTCAGGACCTGATGGCTTCACGGACAAATTCTACCCAACTTATAAAGAAGAGCTAACACCAATTTTCCTCAAACTATCCCAAAAAAATAGAAAAGAAGAAAATTCTTTCTAACTCATTTTATAAGGCCAGCATTACACTGATACCAAAATCAGACTAAGATATAACAAAAGCATTAAACTAAGAGCCAATATCCCTGATGAATATTGACATAAAAATCCTAAACAAAATACTAGCAAATTGAATCCAACATCACATCAAAACTATAATACACCATGAACAAGTGGGATTTATCCCAGGAATACAAGGGTGGTTCAATACACACAAATCAATAAATGTGATACGTCACATCAACAGAATGAAAGACAAAATCCATATGATCATTTCAAGAGATGTAGAAAAAGTATCTGATAAAATTCAACATCTCTTCATGATACAAACTCTCAACAAACTAGGCATAGAAGGAACATACCTCAACATAATAAAACATATGTCAAACCTTCAGCTAACATCATACTGAATGGGGAAAGGCTGAAAGTCTTCCTGCAAGAACTGGAATTAAACAACGATGCCCACTTTCACCAGTCCTATTCAACATAGTATTGGAAGTCATAGCAACAACAATCAGGCAGGAGAAAGAAATAAATGGCATCCAAATTGGAAAAGAGGAAGTCTAATTGTTTAATTTGGAGATGACACAATCTTATATTTAGAAAAATTGAAAGACTCCATCGAAGTAAAAAAACCTCTTAGAACTGATAAATTCAATAAAGTTACAGGATACAAAATCAACATACAAAAGTCAGTGGTATTTCTATACACCAATAAAGAAAGAACTGAGGCTAGGCGCAGTTGCTGTAATCCCAGCACCTTGGGAGGCTGAGGAAGGCAGATGGCTTCAGCCTAGGAGTTTGAGACCAGCCTGGGCAACATGGCAAAACCCTGTCTCTACAAAAAATACAAAAAATTAGCCAGCTGTGGTGGCACATGCCTGTAGTCCCAGGTACTTGGGAGGCTGAGGCAGGAAGATTGCTTGAGCCCAGGGAGGTTGAGGCTGCAAGGAGCCATGATCACACACTGTACTCCAGCCTTGGTGACAGAGTGAGACCCTGTCGAAACGAAGAAAGCAAGAGAGAGAGAGGAGGGAGGGAGGGAGGGAGGGAGGGAAGGAAGGAAGGAAGGAAGGAAGGAAGGAAGGAAGGAAGGAAGGAAGGAAGGAAGGAAGGAAGGAAGATAGGAAGGAAAGCGAGCAAGAGAGAGAGAGAAAGGAAGAAAAAGAAGAGAAAGAAAAGAAAGAAAGGAAGAAAGAGAAAGAAAGAAAGAAAGAAAGAAAGAAAGAAAGAAAGAGAAAAAGGGAATAGCTGAAAGAAAAATCAAGGCACTATTCACAATAATCAAGATATGAAATCAACTTAAGTGTCCAGCAATGGATGAATGGATAAAACACAGTATATGTACACAATGGAATACTATTTGGCCATAACAAAATGAAATCCTTTCATTTGCAGTAACGTGGATGGAACTTGAAGTCATTATGTTAAGCCAGACAAAGTAAGACAAATATCGCATGCACTCACTCAAATGTGGGAGCTAAAAAAAGTTGATCTCATGGAGGTAGAGAGTAGAAGGATAGTTATCAAAGGCTGAGAAGGATGGTGAGGGAGAGGAGGATGAAGAGTTTGGTTAACGGGTACTAATATATGCTAGATAGAAGGAATAAGTTCTAACGTTTGATAGTAGAGTAGGGTGAGTAGTTAACTATGTATTTTCAAACAACTAAAAGTAAGGACTTGAAATGTTCTCAACACATCAAAATGATAAATGCTCAAGCTGATGGATATCCCAAATACCCTGAATTCATCATTACACATTTTATGCATGTAACAAAATATCACAGGTACCTCAAAATATGTAAAAAAAATTATGTATCAATACACAGAGAATAACCAACACTTATGTTTGAATTTTATACCAATATTAAAAACTATTAGGAAGATCCCATATATCATGGGAAGCCCCCAAGTGAAAATACTGCTCTAAAGAGGGCATTCCTGGGACCACCTCGCTTGCACTGACCGTCTCCTTTTCTTCCAGCCTCTGAGAAAAGGTCTGTCACCTTCACTTTGCATTCCATTAGCCTTATAAAACCCAGCTAGTCTCTAAATTTAAAATAATCTTTCAGTAGGCTCAGCAGTGCTGATTTGTGCTGCCAGAATGCCAGGACCCCAAGGGCAAGCTTGGAAGATTAAAGGTATGAGGAACTATGAAATCAACCTGGCTTCAATCTGTCGTCTAGGAGAATTTCCCCAGGTTGGTGGATTAAGATTTTCCCAGGTGATTAGGTAAGGGAATAGCCTGGATTTGAATCCTATATTTCACATTTCCTGACTACAAGTACTTGGACAAATGACGTAACAGTGCATGTCTTTTCACCTATAAAATGGGGCTAATACCAGTACCTACCTCATAGGAATGTTACTAAAATAGAACAAATTCAGTAAACCCATGAAAAGCACTTAGAAACACATCTATCCTGTAGTAGACACCATGTATTAGCTGTAATGGCCAAGAGATACATCAATGGGAAGCACACTTCTCATGTTGGGCCTTTGGGGAAACTGTTTCTCCCCCTTTCCCCCAGTACCTAAATAGAAGGAGACTAATTAAGTGACTGGTCACCAGCATCAAGGTACTATCTAGGAATACCATCAGCTGTTAAAGATCCCCCCTTACACTCCTGCTACCACTTCCTTTGATGTGCTGCTGAATTGTCTCTGTGTGTATTTGAGAGATGGGAGAGGTTGAACAACCCTGGGGTTTCTAACTGCCCATGTAGGTGACATATAAATGATCATTTTATCCTTCCCTAAAATTAAGGTTTCACAACCATGTGTCTTCAGACTGAAATGCAGGGCTTCTGTTGGCAGCTAATTCATGCCTGTTGTAAGCAGCTATTATGGCCCCTAAGAAGATTCTATGTCCTACTCCCCATGACTATGATTACATGGCAAAAAGAATATCGAAGATGTGACTAATGTTACTATTGACCTTAACATAGGAAGCCTATCCTGTATTATTGGGGTGAACCCAATGAAATCACCCCAATGAAGGGGCAAGGCCTTAACAGCAGAAGCAGAAGAGGGGAAGTCAGAGAGATGCAAGAGAGAGAAAGCAAAAGGACTGAAATATTGCTGGCTTTAAGATAGAGATGTCTGAGAAATGGGGACTTTAGTCACAGAACAACCAGTGAGCTTGGAAGAGAACCCCAAGCCCCAGATAACAACCACAGGCCTGGCTGATACCTTGGCTTTAGCTCAGTGAAACCATAAGCAGATAATCCAGCCATGCTATCCCAAACTTTTGACCTACAGAAATTGTGAGATAAATACATGGTGTTTTGAAAAGCTACTAAACTTGCGATCATTTGTTATAGCAGCAATAGAAGGCTAATACAATGCCTCTGGCCTCAACTTGTACATTCTTCAAATTGGGGCAAAAATACCTTGTGCTCCCTACCTCAGGGGGATATTATGAGGACAAAATAAGGGGCATTAAGGATGCTCTGCAAAGTTTGAAGTCATACACTGTTATATCCTCCAAAAGGAAAAAATAATCGGTTTCGAAGTAATTGAATCAAAGCAATTAAGAGCTGAGAGTTTGGAGTGCTGCATCTCCTCCCCTAGAGAAGCAGGGTAGCATAGGAGAAATCTGACAACCTAGGGCACAGTCTTATTTCTCAGCTATGTGATCTTGGGCAAGTTATGTCACCTTTCTGAGCCTCATTAAAATGTGGATAATCATCTTTGCTCTGACTAGATGATATGGCTGTTAAGGTTCAAATGAAGCGATCAGCATGAACATGGGATGAAAACAAAGCACCCAGATGGGAAGCCTATCAGTCCTCCCCACTGTGTGCCCTGCCACTGGAAGCAGGTATCTTGATACTGGTGATCACCCAAAAAAGTAGTGTTGAAAAACCCTTGTGCTAGTAGTACTCTGAGCACCTGTTTTCTGCCCCTGGCTCTGGTGTGTGGCCTTAAGCAAGACCCTTACCCCCCTCAGTATGTTTCTCCATCTCTAATTGATTAGGTTATAGTCAGTGGTCCTTAACTAATGGACATCAGAATCACCTGAAGATGAGTGGCAGATGCAGGGAGTGGTAGTATTCCCTGTTTTGTAAGTCCCTTTTGCCCCCTCAAAAGACCCAAGTCAGAGGAATTCATGAATCGTTCAAAGTAAAGCTTATTTAGAATACATAAATTGATTCATCAGCGTGTGATATGAAGCAGCAGCTTGTTCAAAGCAGTTTGGATGCCTTGTTATACTTTAATTAAAATACTGGCCAATTTCAAGCTGGCTACCTAGATCATGCCCCTTCTAGTTCCCTGTGATTTCCATTCATGTTGCTTTGCCATGACTGTGAACTTTCCTCCTGAATTACCCCTTCTTATGTAAACTGAATATGTGAAACTAGGGCCAGAAAAAGGCCAGTGGAGTTGCCCATGTTTTCATTACAATGTAGGCTGTGGTATAATTAACATCACAAAATAACAGAATATCAAAGCTGAAAAGATCCTTTGAGAGTACCTGGTTTAAAGGCAGAGAATTTGAGGCCTAGAGAGGGAGAGGGATTTGCTCAACATTAAGGGGAGGCAATGATAGCGCTGATTCTGGACCATGAGGGCTCCTGAAAGGAGCTCTTCCCATGGCCTCATGTTGTCTTTCCACTGCTTCTACTGCTCAGAGATTTGAAAGCCAAGTACTTTTCACTCTTCTTATTCCCCAGGCTGGTTTCACTATTCTTTGAGGTGGAGAAACTTTGTCATCAAAGCACAAGTATAAAGGAATGCAAAAAAGCAGGCAACTATGACTTAATCTTTGTACCCACTCCCAACATACCAGATCATCCTTATCCACCACTTTTGGTCTTTGTCTCACCAAAGGGACTCCTTCCTCAAGCTGCTTTGCTGTCTCAAATACCTCATATCAGTGCTTGTCATACTTTAATGTGCATAGGAGTCTCTTGGGGATCTTGTGAAAGTACAGATTCTGATTCCACATGCTGGAGTGGGTTCCGAGAATCTGCATTTCCAGTAGGCTCCCAGCTAATGCTTATGCCAAGGCTGATGACGAACCACATTTTGAGTAGCAAGACTTAAAGATGTTTATCATTCCTATTTCTAAGAATCTTCTCCATTTACCCTAGGGATTTCTTTTCTTTACTACTGGGGGCTGTGAATTGTATTAGAAATGGAAATGGGAAGGCCTCTGTAGTTTCCAGTTAACCTAGCTGTGTAATCTTGGACAAATTATTTCTCAGTTCCCTAAGCCTCAAGTTTCCTTATCTGTAAAATGGGCCTGTCACCTGTCACAAAATGATGTTGTGAAGCCTGAGGGAACTGCGAGGCCATTGTTCAAAGTAGACTGTAAATGGAGACTCCTAGGTGCAAAAGAACTCTTTACTTAGGTTTCCTTAGATTTGTAGAAGTCAACACAAGCAGTAGGTAGTGAGTGGTTCCATGTACCATCATGCCTCAATGATATGCTCAAAGATTGTTTCCATGACAAAACTGCAGATGGAGGCCACTTATATTAGACAGTCTACATACTTTATTGAAAGTCACATGAATGAGCCCCAGGATCTCGTTTGTTTTATTATTTGGATATAGCATATGTCTTTCACACAGGCAATCTTTCTAGCCCTCTACTAATGTCCTTGGCATCAAGTGCTTCATTTCCCCCAGGAAAATGAAGGCTTTTCTTTATCGAAAACTTATCTTTAAGGTATCTTGTCCTTCGCGAAGGACATGAACAGACACTTCTCAAAAGAAGACATTTATGCAGCCAAAAAACACATGAAGAAATGCTCATCATCACTGGCCATCAGAGAAATGCAAATCAAAACCACTATGAGATATCATCTCACACCAGTTAGAATGGCAATCATTAAAAAGTCAGGAAACAACAGGTGCTGGAGAGGATGCGGAGAAATAGGAACACTTTTACACTGTTGGTTGGACTGTAAACTAGTTCAACCATTGTGGAAGTCAGTGTGGCGATTCCTCAGGGATCTAGAACTAGAAATACCATTTGACCCAGCCATCCCATTACTGGGTATATACCCAAATGAGTATAAATCATGCTGCTATAAAGACACATGCACACGTATGTTTATTGCGGCACTATTCACAATAGCAAAGACTTGGAACCAACCCAAATGTCCAACAATGATAGACTGGATTAAGAAAATGTGGCACATATACACCATGGAATACTATGCAGCCATAAAAAATGATGAGTTCATATCCTTTGTAGGGACATGGATGAAATTGGAAACCATCATTCTCAGTAAACTATCGCAAGAACAAAAAACCAAACACCGCATATTCTCACTCATAGGTGGGAATTGAACAATGAGATCACATGGACACAGGAAGGGGAATATCACACTCTGGGGACTGTGGTGGGGTCGGGGGAGGGGGGAGGGATAGCACTGGGAGATATACCTAATGCTAGATGACACATTAGTGGGTGCAGCGCACCAGCATGGCACATGTATACATATGTAACTAACCTGCACAATGTGCACATGTACCCTAAAACTTAGAGTATAATAAAAAAAAGAAAAAAAAAAGAAAAAAAAAGGTATCTTGATTCTCTCTGAAATTTTTTATTATTTCTGATGTTTTTTTCCAGGCTTGTAATGTGTCAAGGCCACTTATCTGCAGCTACCTTAGAAGTAGTATAATTGATCTATGTTCTCTCAAAAGCAATTTTTTCCTAGTCACAGAACTATTTCTTCTTTTACTACTTTATTTGTTCTAGTTATTACAGAATCAAAGAACTTCTTGAAAAGAGAATACTTTCCCATGATAACCAATTACTTTAGAAATACTCTGCATGACACTATAATTGAAATTAGATGCTAAGTTTTGTCCCTCAGTGGCTGAACACCCCCAACCTTTTAAAAAACAAAAACTTCAAAAATAAAAATTCAATATTTCTTTTTGTAAGCCATCTCTTGATTTTGCTATCACCACAGAAAAATTTGTAGAGATTTGACCCCAATACATCAAGTACTGCAGAGGCACCAAGACCTTTTCTGCTTCTAAAACTGCATTTGTGGATGTCACCAGTCTCTTAGGCTGAAACTGAAACTGCCCATGCTACAACCTTGGCGAAGTATGGAGACACCTGTGAGGACCTTTTTACTTTTTGAAAAATGGCAAGCCAAGGACTTAACAACTGCCAACTAAAACACAAATCCTTCACTTCACAAAATAAAATTAGATGATCATCTTAAAAACATTACCAAATGTGCAAGCTGAATATGAAGAGAAAGCCTAACTCAGGAATATCTTCCAGCCCAGTTTGCATTTCCATATAAACTGAACCTGCACCCCCTCCCTCCTTCAAATGTTTGCCTTTCAATATTTTGTTAGGCAGGCAAGAGTCAAGAGTCATGCCAACTCTAGTAATGTGGCCTCTGTTCAAACACCTACCACAGTGTGGCAAAGGGAAAACAGCATGGGCTAAGAGTGGCCTGGATTCAAATCACAGTCCTTTTATTTACTTTCTATGTGCCCTTGAGTTGTTTACTTTAGCCCCCTGGGCCATAATTTCTTTCTCTGTAAAATGAGAATACTTGCATGAATATGAAACACTGAGCAGTTAATAAATACGTGCTTAATAAATGTTAGGTTCTTTGTTATCCCTGCCAGTTCATCACTTTCAGTTCATCCATTGCCAGATTCTCTAACTTGCTGGCCAAGGTATGTTGATAATTTCCTATAGCTGCCACTCTTCTATTATCACCCTCTTCCCATAGCCTCTGCAAAATGACTGCCCATCCATTAAGCCTAGGGCAAGCCAGTCTCATTCCATGATAGCATGCCTCGCCACAGAAGCTTTTTGCACTTTAAGTCAGAGTGCCAAAGGCAGGCGTTGAAATTCATTCTTTGGCATTCTTAAGGTATAGACCAGAGCAAAGGCAGAGCTACTCAGCCACTGCTCCCTGGCCTCCAGGCAGACTGCTGGTCCCCAGCTCTCCAAGATAGGCCCTTGATCTGTGTCCCAGGCAACACACAGCAATCTCATGACATTTCTGGGACATATTTTCTACTGGGATCACAGCAGCTTTCTAGGGCTCTCAATAATCTTCCAATGTTTGCATCGGTGATTGTGGTATTTTCCCCCAAGAAAACCAGAGTCAAACCATGTTTCTTTAAAGGGACTGTGGCCCTATTAGCCATGCTTTCATGGCCAAAATCTGCACACCTGTCTGCTTTATTCAGGATAGAGCAGGGAGGCCACAGCCCTGAAACAAGGGCTCAAAAATCACTTCCTAGGTGAGGTCAGTAAGGCCTCACAGAGACTACTATTGGGGGCAAGCAGCAGGTGAAATGATGGTCACTTGACTCTTTTACTCCTGGTTTCTTAGCAACCTGGCCTTTGAGACTGGGTACAGTGGAGTGAGTTCAACCGGGCCACCTGGATATGCCTTGATTTAGAATGGCATCAAGTTTCCACTCAATTACTTTCAAAAAGGCTCTCAGTGTACTTGGCCTTACATGTTCCTAACTCACCAATAAACCATGTTTGGAATTCAGTCTTGAAAATGACTACTGCCTTTCAGTAGCACTGTTCCAAATGCATCTCTGAGTGGGTTTGCACATGAGTGTGCATGTACTCACTCTCTATCTCTTTATCTAGGTTTATCTGTCAGTACTATAATCAGTGCACTAACAGGGCCTTGGTAGAAGAGTGCAAGTAGGAAAGCTCTTTCCCTCACACTGGGCAACATTATAATTATACAGACGCTACAGACAAGCTACGGCCCAGGCATCTGCATAGAAACAAGTACTGATGCTCTTTCCAGCAACTTCCCTTCAACAAACAGGAATTAGAAATGTCCATTCCTCAGATTTCTGCCCCATTACACCAATTTTTAGGTCCTTTCCAATAATAGAGATAGCAAATGAAAGGGACCTGGCAAGGGTTTATGTCCTAACATTTTTCACTTGGTGGCAAATATTCAAGAAAAAGGGTAAAAGCCAACCCCCAGAAATGATGGCCACTAAAGCCACAAACCACAAGGTCCCTTGCTAGATAAGTGTGATATAATGGGGAAAAAAAACTTGCATAGGAGCCTGGGACCTGAGATCTTGTACTGGTGTGATCACTACCTTGCTCTGCCTCAGTTCCCCCGACTGGAAACTGGGCAGTTGTTAGACTAAATGATTTTGAAAAGCCCTTCCAATCAAGGGCTTATATGGATTGTAAAAAGAGTATTTTACTCAAGTGCTGTGGTTCTTGACTTTTTTGGGTCACGAGCCCATTTGAAATTTAGCAGAACATTATGGACTATCTCCCCAGAAAGGGCATATTGTCATGGAATTGTGCATACCATCTCAGGGGCATCATGGAGTTTCTGAGTCCATGGACACTGGGTTAAGAACTGCTTTTTTCAGGAGATAAAAGAGTTTATGTGCAGAAGGCAAACATGAAGCAGCAGTGACAGCTGCCTGGCCTCAATCCACCTTAACAATTTTTCTAGCATTTGACCCCAAAATAGAACTCCTACAGGACCAAACACAGTCTCCTTTTTTTAAAAAGAAATGTGTTCAGCTTTTGTTTGTTTCTTGATTGCTTGACAGGAAGCTGTCAAAAAAAAGGAGAAAGAATAATCCAAATAGACCTAGGCTTTTACATGCAAAACATGCTTTGCAGATTTGTCCTAAGTGGCTGCATGTAACAGCAGGAAGGCCACCTTCCTAAGTCCACATGGAGGTGCTGTGGGGGCATCACTCATCCCACTCATAGCCTCGCAGGAGCAGACGGGCTCTTGGCAACATACTGCAGCACCAGAGCGCTGACATGGCACCAGTGTCCATATCCTCAGTAGGAGACATGTTGAGATTCTCCAATGTTCAGCAAACATTTCTATTCCCTTCCAACCAAGGTAAGCAATGGCCCCAACTCAAGTGGCCTTCAGTTCAAGGTAAGACCCCTGAGATCAGTCTTTAGCCCCAAATCTCTCAGAGTTCAATGGCCCTCTGAGGAAGCAGGAAGTTCAGGGAAGAGTTGAAAACTGAGCTCCCCTCTTCAACTCAGGTAAGTGGATATCTTGGTTTTGGCAGAGTCTGGCTTGAGGGAGTCCAGCTCTTCACAGTGTTATAGGAACTCAAAACAGACCTTCTGAGGGGATGAAGACAGAATACAAAGGAGATATAAACACCTGTCTAGGACATATGCTCCTTATTTTATGGCCTCCCAGAGAGAGTCTGAAAGTGCAAGGCTAGGAAGGAGCTGCTCTTCAACACAAAATGACTCCGCACACAAAGGTTTGAAGAAGAAAGACTCTTTCAGAACCTGGAAAGGGTCCTCTGAGGCCAAGGCTTTTAAAACCTGAAAGAGAAAGAAGAGAGTAGGGAATTAGCGAGGACTGGTCAAGTACTTAACAGCCACTGATCAGTGGGGCTTCTCTTGGTAGGTAGCTAAGCCTATAATTGGTAGCTCATCTTCTGAGCAACAGCGGATTGCTGGGCAAAGGCTCTTACAAGTCAAATCTCATGAAACAGGCCTAAGATGGTGCTATGACCAGGGCTGGACACTTTGTGCCTTTGACCTCAACTCAAACTCCCCAAAATCTACATGGAGAAATAGAAGCCTGATACTAGAACCTCTGAGATTTCTTCCCACATCATGCCCACTGCCTTTATGGTCATACAATAACTATAAACTTCCTTTTAACAGGGACTTCACCTCCATAGGGGCTGATAAGGAGAAGCTTATCTACCCACGGACCTCTGAGGACTGGCAGTGACAGGGAAAAAAAGAAGGTTAGGGAGCACATGAAAAGCCAAGCTCCAGATACTTGGATCTCATTTATGTGTGTTATCAGGTCACATCATGCCAGCAATCTGATAGTCAAACAATCAGAACTCCTATGATAGAGAAAGGAATTTCCCTGACCTCTGAGTCTCCTGTGACCTTTGCAAGTCACTTATCCCCTCTGAACTTCAGTTCCTTTATTTGTTGAGTTAGAACACATATTATCCTCCCTTCTCCTGGCATGTGATATGCATCAAATGAAATAATGAATGTGAAAGTGCTTTGCATTGGACAAACATAAAGGACTAAGAATGAAGGTTCAGGTGGGTAAGACTGAAATAATGATTTGGTCTGCAGGAATGAATCCATCTACAGACACTAAGGTAGCCTCTTGGCATCTGTTATAATATCAGAAAGCATGTTCCTGGTTTCCTTAAAGGCCCGAGAGGTGTCAGAGTTAGAAGGTTCCAACCTTCTCATTTTAGAAACTGGGAAACTGAGGCTCAGAGAAGTAAATGTACTTTCCCAAAATGTCACAGCCTAGGATTCTTAATAAATTTGATTCAAAGGCAATCTGTAAAAGCGTGCCATAGTTTGGCTAGGAGAAAAAGAAATGAAAGAGGAAGGTTACTTAAAATCACACAAAACCTTGGAATTGAAAGTCACTAAATTTAAGGGTCAGGCAGTGATAGAGTAATGAACTGAGGCGTAGAAGTGAGTTCCCACCCTTCTGATCTACATGTTATTCCAGTCCTCAAAATATCAGATCCCGTAATGAAGGCTTATGTGGAACAAGATTTTGTAATCAGGGATGGGGACTGCATACCTGTAGCCTCAACTTTCATCTCCAGGAAGTCTGCCTTGAGAACTGTGGATAAAGAAAGACGTTTCACTAAGATTCTAGAAATCAGGACTGGAAAGGTAAATTGGGGGAATGGGGGACACTTCTAGGCCAGTGCTAAAGAGGCCATTTGAAAAATGGAGAAGTGATTCAGCCCAGATGTTTCAAAACATTTAGCTCCATGCTTATAGTTGGGGCTCCTTCTCTGGCAGGCTTAAAGAGATGTGAAGACATCTTTCAGGTGCCAGAACAATTCTCTGAGTACCAGACTATGTGAAGCTTGGAGAACCCAGGGAAGCTGGCTGCAGACCACGAACTACATTCTGTGATGATCTCTAACAGGGATAAGGGTGAGGACACAGACAAGTACCATGTGAAAGATGAATCCTCCTTTGCCTAGAAGACCAAACCAACCTTGTCCAGCCTCTTGATGTGCTTGGATTAGTTCTAAATTACCCATGTCTGGGGACAGCTTGGGGAGGAGAAAATCTTGGCAAATGAAACCCACTCTAGTGTGGCCAGAGCATTACGTACAACAGCTGGTCCCCAGGGCTATGTCCTCAACCTTCTGTTTTTCTCTTCTCTCCAGTCTGTTTACACTTACTCCCTGGAGGATCTTATTCCCATCCATGGCTTCAATTGCCACCAAATACTAGGGACCTCCCCACAACAGGCTACTATTCACATTGTAGCATATGTGACTAGCCCCACTCCCCAGACTTATATAGTGGCTATACTCATATTTCTAACCCCCAAATCTATGTATACATACATCCAGCTCCAACTGCTAGCCTAAGTTGCAGTTACCCACTGAACATCTATCTCTACCTAAGTCTCAAAGTGTCTTTAAAAAATTTGTATAAATTTAACAACTGTGTCTTCAAAATCACTGTGTCCAAAATTGAGCTCAGCATCTTTCCCATAAAACCTGCTTCTCCATGATTAATTATTGTACCATCTACTTAAGTGCCCAAGTTAGACTTTTCTCTTTCTCGGTTCATCAATGTTCCATGTTTGAAAATGTAGCAAGGTCTTATTGAGTCTTTCTCAAATCTGTCCCTTCTGTTCCATTCCCACTGGGAATGCCATAGGCCAGGGCTTCCCCAACTCTTGCCAGGACAATTAGTCTCCTTAACTGGTCTCCAGTCTTTACTCTCCCATCTATCTTTCCCACTACCAAAGTGATCTTTTTACAACTTGGTCAGCTCAGAATGTGACTGTCATTCTTGAAATTCTTCCCCCCTTTCTATGACTCATCCGCATATGGACTGCAGTATAAAGACCAAGCACCTTAGTATGTTATACAATGCCTTCACGATCTGGCTCCAATCCATCTTTCTGGTCTCACCCCCAGCTAAGTTTCCCTCTTTTCACTCCCACATTCTAGCCAAAGTGGAACACTAATAACTTCTGAAACCATAAGCTGTCGGGCCTCTTTGAAATGTTCTCACCTCCTTTATGTTCTTGATGAGCCACTACTCATTTTCTTCTTAGTTATTTATGTTTAAATTGTGTAAGGGAAATGAATAAGGGGGTGATGTCATTCAAACGCTAGGCCGTAGTCAGGTATACAAATGGGGACCAAAAAGGGGCAAGACAAAGTTTAAAAAGATCATCATTTTCATTAGAGATGAGAGAAGAACTTAGCAACAATGACCATAGACGGGACTGACTATGTGACTGGTCTGAGGATCTTGATCAGAGGCCAACCTGTGGAAGCACTGATGCAAGTGGTGGTTACAAGGTGGAGGCCTAGATGGAAGGGATGCTTTCCCTATGTGGATGCTGAGTGGGAGGAGCCTGTGGGTACTCAGGATGGTAGTTCATGACATACTGGAGAGCAAGTGTACCTACTTTGGTCTTACCTACATTCCTGCCAAAATGGAATCTAGGAATAAAGAACAGGATTAAATCTAGGTTCTGGAAGCCCAGACATAGGGTGGGTAGAGTGATATTCTAGCCTGAAGTGCCTGCTTTGGCCATAGCCCTTGTAGGTTGTGCTTGATCTAAGGCTTCCTCGAGCACTGGCTGACAAAGCCCAGCCCATTGGTAGTGGCTACCAATCTTTTCACACTCTCAACACCAGTTTGGCTATAGCTTCCCTCTTGTAAGTCTACCTGCCTTAAAAGTTCTATTGGACTTTCTTCATGCTTCTTACATATTTCCTTCTCAATGCCTTGGTTTCCTGTCCAAGCTTGCAGATCAATAACTGCCCCCACAGCATTTTTTCTGTCTAGTTCTATTCTTTTTTCAAGCCCCAACTCATATATCACCTCCTCTAAAAAGCTTTCCTGTAGACATATCCAGTTCATTCCAGTTTACATCGTTCTATTTCCTTGTTATTTATTTCTCAAGTGGCTTATTCTAGGAAGGCATAGGCCACCTTATTAAGAATATTTGAGACTCTCTTCGTCTCCCTTCTTCTTTTCTTTTTCTTTTCTCAAGAGAGATATTTGATTAAGCTTACTTAAAAAACTTCTGAGGTGAAAACTTTTATCTTCATGCTATCAGTAAGAGAAATCTGGGGCCTTGATCTGACTTTCATCTGCTATGGTAGAATGAATGGTAAATTATTGTCTAAGGAGAATTTGGCCCAGCCTGAGGTTCCAGGTGGCTCACTGACAATCAGAGCTAGAATGAACTGCTGTGCAGAATCATGTCCTAGTGTGTCAGTTCCCATAGTTTTGACTAGAGGATGGAAAATCTACCCCAACTCCACTGCTGGGAAAGGTATATTGTTCTGCTTTTAACTGACCACCTAGAAGAGTTCTGCTCCTGTCACCTGTTAGGAGGAACAATTTCAAACTCTCTGATAACCAAGAAGGAACAAACTCACAAAAGAGTCCCTGAAGGCTAACCAAATATCTCTCCAGATGTTCTAGTCCAAAGGGTCCTAAATTCCAGGCCTTGGACAGTCTGTACCAGCACTTGAGAAGTTTTAATAACAAACTAATGGAAAAGAAGAAAGGGAGGGAAGGAAAAAACAAAATAAAACAAAAAAATCATATTCCCAGGCCCCACTACTAGAGATTCTGTTTTAGTGGGTCTAGAATGAAATCCAGGAATATGTGACTTTTTTCTCCATGTTTCCAGGTGACTTAGATGTGCAGCCAGTTTGAGAACCACTGCCTAAGTCCAATGTTTACCTTTGAAATGGGGGCCCTAAGGCTGTTTATCTTAGAGTGTAATATTCTACATATCCCTGTCAGCTGCCCTTTGAGTATATAATGGAATCTAAATAAGTAAAATAACAAAAAAGTAAACTAAAAAAAAAAACTAACAAAAAATATTGGGTGTAAAGTCTTTGAGATACTGCTTGGTGTGTGTTCACATGCACATGCACACACAAGTGTGCACAGACATATGTGCTTGTGAGAGAGAAAAGGGAAAGATGAGCAGAGAGAGAGATGAAGAAATGAAGAGGCAAAGAGACAACAGATACAAAGAGACACAGGAAGAGAAAAACAGAGACATATAGAGTGACATGAACAGAGAAACAGACAGATAAAGACAACTATGGGGACACAGGCAAAGAAACACAGACAGACAGAAAGAGATTGAGAATGACAGAGACACTGGCTGGGTGCAGTGGCTCACGCCTGTAATCCCAGCACTTTGGGAGGCTGAGGTGGATGGATCACCTGAGGTCAGGAGTTCGAGACCAGCCTGGCCAACATGGCAAAACCCTGTCTCTACTGAAAATACAAAAATTAGCTGGGCATGATGGCGTGCACCTGTAGTCCCAGCTACTAGGGAGGCTGAGGTGGGAGGATCACTTGAACCTGGGAGTTGGAGGTTGCAGTGAGCCAAGATCGTGCCACTGCACTCCAGCCTGGGCAACAGAGTGAGACACCATCTCAAAAAAAAAAAAAAAAGGACAGAGACACCAAGTGAGAAAAAGAATATGAGAGAAACAAATAGACACACAGGTGAACAGGTGACAGACAGATAGGGATGGAGAGACAGAATTGGGGAAGAGAAAGTGACAGACAGAGACAGAGCTGTAGAGAAACAAAAAGAGAAAGATGTTAGAGTGAGCACAATTGTATGCTAAGGATGCAGTTATTAAAAGGCGATTTGGTTTTTCTTTTGTCACCTCCATATCTTACCTTCCTGTTTTCCGGGAAGCTGTTTCAAAAAACCTGGTCCTGGAAGCCACCCTGCAAACAGAAGCCAACCAAGTCCCATAAGTTGCTTTGGTATACACGTGAGAACCAATGGCCAACAGAAAGGACAGGAGACTCTGAACCAGATGGGACACCAATGCCAGCCCCTGCCTTTGCTGGCAAAGGCCCTACACATACAAATGTGAAATGGCCCAGAGCCCATAGGCACCCCTAAGGCCATAGCTGACACTCTTTATCCCCATTGCTTCAGAATGGTCTGAGTATGTTGCTGAGTCAGGCTCTTCTTGGGGGAAATAAATGAAACCAGTCTTGATTTCAAAGTATAATTGTTGGCTTTTTGTAAATATAGTAAGCTAATTAGTCAAAGCTGTGGAGGCTTTGTTCTTCTTTTTCTCCAATTTTACAATTATGGAAAACAAGAAAGACAAGAAAAAGGAAGACCAGGAGGCAGTATACTGAGAATGGTCCCAGTCGATAAAGAGAGGACAGGCAAGCGCGTTGTGGCCAAGCAAAGCTGGTCCCTGAGCACTGCTGTGGTCCCACCCTAGCTGCTCCTTCCTTGGTTCCTTGGCTTGCGGCCCAGCCTCAGGAAGGTCTGTTGCACATCAGCTCAGCTCCCACCCTGTAAGAGACTCTCTGGAGAACCAAAGTCATTTTGAAAAAAAATTTAAATCATACCCTTTGCTTAAAATAAAAGCCTCAAGCATAAGTACAGTGAATGAATCTGTTCATTAAATTACTTTTAAAACCAGTAGAAATAACAAGAAATTTTTTTAAAAAATATCCTGAGCCAAGGAAGCTAAAATCAGAAGGTAATAATATCACCATACAGAGATAAAGGAAGCTAAGAAAAATGGGTCTCCTAGCAGGTACTAAGAATCAAAGGTTTCAGCTTTAGAGAAATCCCTCAGCTTTGAGCATTGAGTGGAATACTCCCAACAGGGCTGGCCTATGATATTTCCCTAGACTATAAAGTGAAGGATGCCCCAGGGCTGTGCACTGTATACCCTTAATATGGTGATCCTGAAAGCATTCCTAGTGGCCTAGTACAGGACTTCAGTCAACTTTGAGGTACAACCCTACTTACACAGATGATGTGATTTCCCCCGCATTGCCAGCCACAATATCTGGCTTTGGTTCTGGCTTTTGGGGAGTAGCTGCCCGGCAGGGAGGATCTGGGGGCCTCACTGGGGGGCGGATGATGGTTGGCTTTTCTCCTGGAGGCCGCACTTTGCTGAAACTGTCAGCATCCCCTGGAAGAGAAAATGATACCAGGAACTTGGATGGTTAGCCAAACAGAACACTACTCATGAGCAGGCACCCAATATGAGAGTTACCTGGGCCAACTTCCTTGGCCTCCATTTCTTCTTGGTGACTAACAACTCTGGCTATTTTTTTTTTTTTTTGTAATTTTTCTGGCAACTGTCCCTTCAGAAAGTCTATATTTGAACCCCAGCTCTGGAGTTTCAGATATCTTGGGTGTGTCATATCCATTCCCTAAGTCTCAGTTTCCCCAGCTATATAATAAAGATCCACAATATATTATCTTACAGAGATAGTGGGAGGATTAAATCAGGTACTAATATGTTTAGTGCAGGGCCAGGTACATAGTAGGTGCTTACTAAATGTCTGATGATGATGAATTTGAATTGCTTAAATTCATCATCACTGATATCCAGGTCCTTTTCACTTAGGCCTTGACTATTATAGTTGTTTTCTAACTCACTTTCCTGCCTCTGTGTCTTTAGTTTCCTTGTCAGTTAGTACAAAATAAATATAAACACTTTTTAAATAAGATGGTTCTAGTAGGACTATAGTGAAACAGGTAAACTCACACATTGCTGGTGGCAATGTGAACTGGGCTTATTTTATCTAGAGGGCATCAAGGATTCTGGAACAATGTGGATGAAGTACAAAATCATACATATGAGACGGTTCATACTCGTTGATCCAGTAATTTTGCTTTTGGGAACAGGCCCAAATGGACTAATCCAAGAGGCAAAAAAACAAAAAAACAAAACAAAACAAAAAAAACACTTAAGAAAAAGCAATTGGCACAAAAACATGCATCTTATCAGAAAAAAAATCAGACTTAACCATAAAGGCTAAACAAACAATTCAATTCATACAAGCATTTAACCAATACATATTATGTGTGAACTGCCAAAAATTTAGACCAGGTCAAAACAAAAACAGGCATACAAAATAATATCAAGTGAAAAAAAAGTCCACAGAAAGTGCTCATGGCCTGATGAAGACCATACTGAAATAGACATGTACATAACTATGCAAGGGTGTCAGTGGATCTTTATATTCATCCATTTTTTTCTACAAAAATATTTACAGTAAATGTAAAAACATACTAAATTGAATCTACATATACAACTATAAAATTTAATTTAAGTATTTTTACACTGTTTTTCTGCTCTTTAAAGACTTTCCCAACAGCTCTAAAATGTAGAAGATAAAAGTTTAAACTCCTTCACAGAAAATCAAGGCCCTCCTTGAGCTGGTCCCATATTACTGTCCCAAGCAGTAACCCTGGATTTTAACTATCAGTTCTACTCTAATCAAATTGGTCTGCCTACTGCCCCATTAAGGCAAACCCTTGACTCTTACTTCTAAGTGAGACAGAGTCTGGAGTTTTGTAGACCTGGCTTTCAGATCTTGTTCTGCTGCTTCCAGGTTGTAGGACCCTAGACAGGTACTTCACCTCTACGACTGTAAATTTCCTCATCTGCGAAATGAGTATAAAAACCCCTCCTCTTCATGCAGCCAACAGACACATTAAAAAATGTTCATCATCACTGGTCATCAGAGAAATGCAAATCAAAACCACAATGAAATACCATCTCACACCAGTTAGAATGGTGATCATTAAAAAGTCAGGAAACAACAGGTGCTAGAGAGGACGTGGAGAAATAGGAACACTTTTACACTGTTGGTGGGAGTGTAAACTAGTTCAACCATTGTGGAAGACAGTGTGGCGATTCCTCAAGGATCTAGAACTAGAAATACTATTTGACCCAGCCATCCCATTACTGGGTATATACCCAAAGGATTATAAATCATGCTACTATAAAGATACATGCACACATATGTTTACTGTGGCACTATTCACAACAGCAAAGACTTGGAACCAACCCAAATGTCCATCAATGATAGACTGGATTAAGAAAATGTGGCACATATGCACCATGGAATACTATGCAGCCATAAAAAAGGATGAGTTCTTGTCCTCTGTAGGGACATGGATGAAGCTGGAAACCATCATTCTGAGCAAACTATCTCAAGGACAGAAAACCAAACACCGCACGTTCTCACTCATAGGTGGGAATTGTACAATGAGAACACTTGGACACAGGAAGGGGAACATCACACACCAGGACCTGTCATGGGGTGGGAGGAGCGGGGAGGGATAGCATTAGCAGACATACCTAATGTAAATGATGAGTTAATGGGTGCAGCACACCAATATGGCACATATATACATATGTAACAAACCTGCACGTTGTACACATGTACTTCAGAACTTAAAATATAATTTAAAAAAAAAGAAAGAAAAACCCTCCTCACAAGGTGATTTTAAGGACTCAATTAGATGACCTATAGACAATGCCTAGTATACAGCAGAGGTAAGTAAGCGTCAGACTCTGTCCTGCTTCTTGCCCTATATGTGTCCCTATTCTTATGTCTCCTGTGTATTATAATCATTCCTCAAGACCCAGCTAAAATCTCAACCCTCTGAACACCCTAGTAGGTATATGTAATTCACATCCATGTAAATGTTCGTGAAGTTCTTATATATTAATATGTACGTTTTTTAAAAAATTCATCCATCTAGCCATTCTGGTGAGCAAGATATATATGTAAAGAAATAATGATAATACAGTGTGATTGGTGTTCTAATTAAGGAAGAAACAAAACACTATTCATGTGCACACATATGAATTGTCTCTCCATTTAGTCTGCATCTTACGTTCTGGACATGTCATTCCCCTTAACATCAGACTGGGTATACAGCATTGCAGCAGAAAAAATTAACCAAAATGATAATAATAATCCAATTCTTCTAATATACTTTATACTATTCAAAGCACTCTCCCAGACGATAACTGCTTAATGTTTACAATAAGCTTGAGAGAGATGAATAAATAGGTCTTATTATCCCCATTTTACAGAGAAGGAAACTGAGGTTCAGAAAAGTAAACTGATTCATCCACAACCATAGGTTAAATGGTAGAGTGAGGGCTGAAACCCATACCTCCTGTTTCCACACCCACTGCCTTTCCAGTTGTCTGCTGTTTTGTTATCATTGGTAATATAAAAATTATAAATTATAATAATAATAGTAATGGTAATACAATAGTACTGGCAAAATTTTTTTAGCTAACCTTTATTGAACAGTTGTTCTGTTCCAGGTACTGTGATACTGTACTCAGTGCTTTATGCACATTTTCTCATTCAACACTGGCCACAATCTTGCAAGACAGAAAGTATTATCTCCGTTCTACAGCTGAGGAAACAGAGACTCAGAGATGAAAAGTAACTTCATAGTTGATCAGTCCATCTGATTTCTGAAACCTATGTAGTCCCAACTACCACTGTTCTTCAACCCTAGTGAAACATTAGAAATATGTAAGGAGCTTTAAAATTGTAAAGTACCTGGACCCCACCCTCATACGTCCTAGTTTTATTGATTAGGATGGATCCTGAGCATGGGTATTTTTAAAAGCTTCCCAAGTGATGCTATGTGCAGCCAAGATTGAGGACCATTAAGCCATATGATGTTGCTTCCTCACTGCACCCCACAGAGTAGCAGAGCTGAGAGTGCTGCCCCATTTCCACTGGTTACTGCTGGGAGGCGGAGTTGTGGAGGGGAAGGCAGTAATTGTAAAGAAATGATATGCTGGACTGTTAGAGCTGGAAAACATGTCTACCTGAAACCATGCCTTGATGAGTGAACCAGATGACATCCCTAAAATATGAACCCTATTCATTCCCAAGTTATAGCCACATCCTAATGAACATGAACCTAGGGCCTTGGAAAACAAACATCATTAACCTCATTTCCTCTTGGGCCCTTTATTGCTACCTCCAAATGATTATTCATTACAAGTAAAGCTTTGAGGTAGCAGCAAAGGATTTTCTTGGCTGAAGACACCGATGTTGTTCTCTCTTGCCTCTAATGTGTCTCAGTCACAGTTAAGCCACAGTATCAAACTGGTGAGGCAGAAAGGGGAGAGTAATGTAACTGGTAGTCAAGAAACCTGGATTCTATGATTAATACTAAAACTAACTTTCTGTGTGACCTTCAGCGGATCATTTCCTTACCAGTATAACATGGGGATTGGACTGTTTTTCCAGATGAATGAGCCAATGATCTAAGTCTATAAGCCTCTATCTCTCCCAGCTGACTTTTTATTTTTTAAAAATATACTTCAAGTTCTAGGGTACGTGTGCACAATGTGCAGGCTCGTTACATAGGCTCGTTACATGTGCCATGCTGGCCTGCTGGACTGACTTAAATGTTAGACCCAGCTGACTTTTATAGGCTGTTTTTGAAGTACTCTACATGTACTTAACCTGCTTTAAAATAATTAATCCCTCTGTCTCTCTCTTTTTCTCTCTCTGAAACCTAAATTGAACGGTATTCAATATGGGGGTTTTGTGAGGGCTTTTGTGCCCAACCCTACACTCTAACACACACACACACACACACACACACACAAAGACACACAAATGACCCCTGCCCTCTAGGAGCTCAAAACTGAGTTGGGGGATATAAGTCATATTCATGGGAAACAAGTGTGAATACTATAAACTAGCATCCACATTAGAGGGTCAATCTTGGGTGCCAAAATATGTGAATCAAGGGAGAGCTAACTGGGGTAGGATTGTCAGAAGGCTTCATGGACAGAATGAGACTTGAGTTAGACCTTGAGGTTAGTTCGCCTCTTCCTAGGTGTTTGGCATGGTAGGGACAGGTTGTGGGTTGAAAATATAACTCTGAACTCTTTTATGCCATCTACATTTTAGGCTTGAGGCTTCTCAAAGGGCCTCGAATACAGAAGAGTAGACACCCCATCTTCCATGTCTGCCATTTCCTAAGAGGTTGTTACCTAGTAATACTACCACTTCTTAAGCCTCTATTATTTTACCAGATTCTTTGTATACCTAATCTAATTTAATCCATGCAAAATCCTTGCCTTCAATGGTGGTATTGTCCCCACTTACAGTTGAGAAAACTGGCTCAAAGAAGTAAAGCTGAACTAACTAAGATCAAGTAGCTAGTAATAGTCTCCTATGAAAGCAAAACAACTGCTATCATTTACTGAGTACTCTTGATGTGCTAGGCATGTAGAGGACTCACTTTGTTGTTATAGCAATCCTATGGGCGCAAATACTATCCTCATTATACAAATGAGAAAACTAAGGTTCAGAGAGGTTGTAACCTGCCCAAAGTCCCACAGCTAGGAAGAGGCAGAGCCAGGATTCAAACTCACATCTGGAAGATTCAGGAGCCTGAGCTTTTAACCACTAAGTCACTTGAGCCTATAGGCTTTCCACCAAGCTGTACTTCTTTTTAATTTCTTTTCAACTTTGGTCCGAAACCTGGCTTTTACTACAAACTTGATCTCCTTCTCAAGCCCCACCTGTTCCCTCTCTCTCTAATCTCTGTCAAATGACCATAACCAAAGAATCTTAACATTTGCAGAGTTCTTGGGACCTGATGGTCATCAGTATTCAACCTTAGCAACTTTTTTCCACCTTTCCTTATATTCCTCTATACCCAACCTGAAGGCACAGAGTAGGAGGAGGTTGATTCCTCTTGTAGATTCCCCCAGTCACCTAGAATTACCTCTTTTTTTCTATGACACTCCTCCATGCTCACCTTAAAGCCTTCCTGCTTCCTTAGCCATTATTTATCCTTATAAAACAATTTGGCGTTAGGCTCCAAGAAAAGTAGAGAATAAAAACCAAACAGTAGATTATTAAAGCATAAGTCCAAACAAGAAAATGTGGATAATGGCCAGCAACACCCATTACTGCAAGAGCAAGTCTGTTCCTAATACTTTTAGAGTAGATGCAAATGCCACTCATAACATTAGTCACCTCAGTGGAGAATTAATGGCTCTGTGACTGAGCAAGGCCTTACAAGCCCAAAAGCATGCCACCAGATGCAATCTTTCCTTTCCAGCCAAGACAGAGGAAAGGAGCTAAGAAGGGCCCCTCAACCCATATGTCATAAAGTCCCAGTCCATGGTGTGCTCTTCACTTTCATCTCAATACCTCAGGTAGAATGAAGGTCTCCTTGCTCCATGCTCCTACTAGAATTTCTTCTCACCCCTACTAGAACATTAATCACATTGGCTGGGACTGACTGCTTGCATGCCAGTGTCACCACAAACCTTTGGAAGGCAGAGACAATGGCTTTTCATTTTTGTCTCTCCCTTTGCATATGATTATACCTGATTAAATAAACAAATACATGTAAAGTAGATGGGATATAGCCCTCCTCCCTCTTCATTACCCAAAGGAAAGTCCTAAATCCCTTTGCGGTAGCTACATGCCTGCCCTTTGCAAAGCCAGGACACCTAAGAGGCAGTAAACTCAAATGAAGGCAGAAAAAAATAGGCTTGTATAATTTTGTACCCCCCCAAAAGTAAGTGGTCCTTAGAAAAACAGAAAGGAGAAGATGGCCAACGCTGCTGAAGAAATATGGTATAAAGAAAAAGAGTCCCAATCTTGAACCCAAGAAGCTGAGGTCAAGCCCCATCTCTGCACCTTACAACCTAGGTAACTCTGAGCAAGTTGTTTTGTGTCTGTGAGCCTCTGTTTCTCCATCTATAAAAAGGGGAGGGTAAATCATACCTCACAAGGCCTATCACAATGATTAGACGCAACAGAAGAGTGAAAGTATCAAGCTCATGTCTGGAACAGAAAAGGATCCTTGATAAAATTCCATCAGCAAACACTACTGATTCTTATTTTAAAGTTGACTGTCATGGAAAAAAGCAATTTAACATGCACCATGCTTTTGTTATTTTTAATTGCTGAGAAAAAATGTGAAGAATGTTAAGGCCACTCAAATGTTAAGTCAATGCAAGGGGTGAAGATGGGGGCAGGACTGTGGCACAGCTGGCTCACTAATGCAATGGAGCCTGTGTACTGATCCTCAGGATGGCAGGCAAAGTCCTAAACAACAGAGCTGAAATGGGGTGACAACTGCAAGGTACAGACTGGGCTGGCTGAGGTAACAGTTCCCTCCCTCTAATACTGCCATTCAGGCTACTGGCCAGTACCAGGAGCAAACAACTACCAGTTATAGCACAGGGTCAGAGCTGTGTGTGGCTTTTGCTTAACCGATAACTCTTCAGATGCCAGGGAATCTACTAGGAGAAGCAGCCAGAATCAGGAGGGGAGCAAGGAGGAAGTAAGAAGTGAATAGATAGTGTAGGTTAGGTTCAAAGAGGCAACTATACCAGAGGTTTGGGGGGTTCTCCACCAAGGCCAAAACCACCTCAGTTCTGCTTTCTGTAGCCAAAGCTGGAAGCATGGGGTTTTGAAAAAAAGCTGCATCGTGCCAGCCTGTTGCTAACTGATTGAAAGCAGAAAATGAAGCCAGGCAAAGCTGAGGCCCAGATTTAGATAGTTAGGCTGATACTGAACAAGTCAGATCAGTACTTACATTAGCTGAGACCATTAGATCAGAGTAGCTGCCGCCAGCAGCCCAGGGTAGGACTGGAGGAAGGGGAAGAGGGGAATGCCACTGGGATTGAACTTTGCAGGAGGGAGGGAAGGAGGGCTGAGTTACTGTGTGCGCTGAGCTGATAGAATCTGGCCAGTCTCAAGGCTTGGCAACAGACAAGACAAATTTTACTGTGACGAGTATAAGTTGAGTTACCCAACCTTCTACCCAGATTGATAGGAAGGTCACGACATGACTTAAAAACAGAAGCAGAGGTCTACATTAAAGTTTTCCTTTTCTTGGCTATGTCTCAGAAGAGCCAAGTCATAGTGAGAAGAGGGACAGGGGAGGGAAATCAATATCATATTTTGAATGCTGATTATACGCCAGATATTTTGTCATTCCTTTTAATCCTAGCAATAATAATTCTAACAGGTGAACTGTTTTCCCATTTTACAGATCTGGAAACCAAGGTACAAACAGCTTACATAAATTAACTGTGATCGCATGAGTGATCACATCAGCATCAGTGGATCAAACCAGAGCATTCAGAGTCAACTACTTGTGGAAATTGTACTGGACTTGTAGAAATTGTACTGGACCCCCTCCCATCCGCACACTGAATAGCTTTTACTAAATTGTGCTCTGAGACAATGCCATTGGTTCATACTGAGGTTGTTATATGAAATAATCCATGGAAGAAATTTTTCCCTGGCCTCAAAACCAGAAAAGTTATGGCTTACCTGAACAATTGGCTTGCTTTTACCTTAGGAACTTAGTTATATAACCATTGGTTTCTCTCTTTTTGTTTTCTCTAGAAAGTTTGGAACCAAACCTGTGACACTGCTCCACCAAGTGTTTAAGTATTCATGGCAAATATTTTGTATACTAACTCCATTCCTGCCATTTCCTTGCTATCCTACCTTCTCCCAACCTCCCGATTCCCATTCTGGGCCTCATGTTTTCTTATCAGTACTCTAGAATCTAAGGTAAAGGCCAGCAAACTTTTTCTGTAAAGTGTCAGACAGTTAATATTTTAGGCTGTGCAGGCCATGAAGTCTTTGTTGCTACTACTCAATTCTGCTGTTGTGGCATGAAAGCAGCCATAGACAACATGTAAATGAAGGGGTGTATTTATGTTTATGGACAAAGTTTGAATTTCACAACATTTTCATGTCAAAAAATATTATTTCCTTTTTAATTCCAAACATTAAAAAATGTAAAAAAGAATTCTTAGCTTACAGGCTATATAAAAAGAGGCAGTGCAGTGGGCCCAATCGGGTCCACAGGCCATAGTCTGCCAAGCCCTCTTATCTAAACCTCAAGAGGACAGGGACTTCATAAGTCTTATTCATTTCTATGTCTTCGGCATGTAGAATGGGGCCAGGTACATGGTCAGTACTCAATAAATATTTGTCAAATAAATTATTCTTAACCATTTTTTAAGGTTTTACATTTTGCTATATTGTGAAATTCCTTAAAGCTACAAAGTAAAAGAGCTAGGATTTAGATCCAAGCCTTTCTGATACTCAAATCCTTATTTTGTCCATTATATCTTACTATCTTCATAGAATTGTGTCCCCTAAAACTCCCCTCTGGATTAGCCCCAGTCTCTCAACATAAGTCTCAACATGCAATAGTTAATTAAATTTGCTGAAGTCAGCCACACCTTGAATTTGCAATAATTTCAAAAATCCAGAGTTTGGCAGAAGTTGTGCCCCTTTGTCCCTATTTCTCCCAAACTGGAAAGGGAGAATGAGAAAACAAGGGTTCACAGATTCATAGCTTCTTATAGGAAGGTAAAGTGATAGTTCTGCCTCAGTGGAAAGAACGCAGGCTTTGGTGCCTGTGAGACATGGTAAGATTTAGATCCCAGCTCTGCCAGTTATTAGCTGTGAATCTTTGGCAAGTCACTTATCTACAGCAGCCTCCATTTCCAAATTAAAAAAAACAAACAAACAAAAAAAAAAACAGGAATAATACATTCTTGGCCAGGTGTGGTGGCTCACGCCTGTAATCCCAGCACTTTGGGAGGCCAAGGCAGGTGGATCACCTGAGGTCGAGAGTTTGAGACCAGCCTGGCTAACATGGCAAAACCCTGTCTCTACTAAAAATACAAAAATTAGCCGGGCATGGTGGCAAGTGTCTGTAGTCCCAGCTACTCAGGAGGCTGAGGCAGGGAAATCACTTGAACCTAGGAGGCGGAGGCTGCAGTGAGCCGAGATCACGTCACTGCACTCCAGCCTGGGTGACAGAGTGAGACTCCGTCTCAAAAAAAAAAAAAAAGAAAATATTAAGAATAATACATTCTTTACAGTGGGATTGTGAGGATAAGAAATAGTATATCAGCAATTAGTACAGTGCCAGGCACATAGCACTTGGGATATAGAGGTCAACAAAACAGGTAAAAAATCCCGGCCCTCATGGAGCTTACATTCTAGTGATTATTGTGACTGATTATTGTGATCTTGCCCACTGTTCCAATATTAGTGGTAGTAAACTGGAACATATTTCCACTTAAATATATCTCCAAACTCAGAAGGATCTCAAGGTGAAAAGTAGTTAGGGTCAGCTCTGGCTCCCATGGGATTCCCAAGCACTTACCCTCCTTGTGGTGGGCCAGGGGCCGGGGAGCTGGTCTCTTTATGTGGAAAGAGGGGGTCTTGGTGGGCCCAGAGCCTGGCATGGGTCCATTGGTGGCCTTTGGGGTGATCTTGGTCCCTCCATCCTGCAGCCTAGACACCAACTTCCCCACGTCCACCTCTGGGCAGGGCTCCAACTTGCCATCCAAAATAGGCCTGCTTGGGGACTTCCTCCCAGGATCAGTTTCCCCACTCCTCTGAATAGGTAGTTTGGGGTGTTGTGGTGGCTTGGGGGGTTCTATGCTGCTGGTGATAGTACCATTCGGTGTTTGATGTTGGATTTCATCTAGGAAAAGTTGGTGCCAAGAGGGAAGATTAATGATAACTTTTAAAACCTTTTCATTTTGATACATGCATACATACTTAATTTTGAAAATTTGTATACATTTTCAAAGCAGTTATGTCACTGTGGCACAAACCAACTATATCCCACAAAATCATTCTCTACCCTTCCCAGTTCATGTAAAGCCACAGATCCAATCCAAATAGGGAATTCAAGATCCGCGTATGATTTTCACCACCACAATTCAATAAGCCACAGTAAACCAAGAGGTTTTATTAAAGGAATATGTCACTCAAAAAAGACTTAAAGTCCCCAGTCAATGGCATATTCTATTCTTTGCAAATGAAGACATCATCAGTTAATTCTTAACCACTTCTCTGAAAAGTATTTTGTTAAGGTCTCTCAAATTTTAAGTTAATCAACATAACATACTTTAACTTCGTTCTCCAACCCGGAAGGAAACCTCCAACTGTTCTTTCCCCAGCTTTTGTGGTCTACAATTTCCTCTGACATTAGTACATGTCTTTCAGTGGTTCTGAGACTTACTTAAAGCTTTTGAGACCCTAATGAGACCTAGGGACCATCTCTCTAGAAAAATTAACCCACACAAATATAGCAAAAATTTTGAAAACTAATTTTTTAGTGATTCACAGAGCCTTCTGAAGCTGTCAATAAACCCCAGATTGAGAATGCCTGCTGTAAAGAAATTGTCACCTTCCATAGTCATAAAAAACTTCGAGTGCAGTGGTTAAGAACAGAGGTTCCAATGAGAACACTTGGACACACGAAGGGGAACATCACACACCAGGGCCTGTTGTGAGGTGGGCGGAGGGGGGAGGGAAAGCATTAGGAGATATACCTAATGTAAATGATGAGTTAATGGGTGCAGCACACCAACATGGCACATGTATACATATGTAACAAACCTGCACGTTGTGCACATGTACCCTAGAACTTAAAGTATAATAATAATAAAAAAAAAGAACAGAGGTTCCGGCCAGCAAATTGAAACCTGAGATATATATCAACCAATTGCAATACATGGATCTTATTTAGATCTTGATATTTTTTTTAACAAAATGAGATAATAGGAGAATGTGGATACTGACTGGATAGCTGATCTTAAGGAATCACTGTTTTGTTTTATTTTAAGTATGATGATGATATTGCGGTTTTGCTTTTAAAAGAGTTCCTTTCTTTTAGAGATATACACTGAAACATTTACAAATGAAATGACATGATGAGTAGGTTGGGGGAACGGGTAGGGGTATAGATGAAATAAGACTTGATATATGTTTTTAAATGCTGAAATGTGGGGAGTTCAATACGTTTGTTTCCAATTTCTGTTTATGTTTGGAATTCTTCGCAATAAAATGTTAAAAGAAATGCAGGCTCTGAAGCCAGGTGGCCAGGTCTGAATCTCAGTTCTGCTTCTTACCGACTGTGAGACCTCGTACAAGTTCCCTATTCTCTCTGTACCTCAAATTTTCTCCTCAGTAAAACGGGAATAATAAAGAATACCGGTCTCATGAGGTTATGGTGAGGATTACAGGAGATGGTAGGTATACTTATTTCAGTGCCTGGCACATAACAGACACTCATTAATTGGTGGTTATTATTTACACTATTATGTGGTGGGTGGGCAGTGAGGCAAAAGTTTCCATGGGGGAAGTCTTGCTGCAAAGGTTTTTGTCCCCTAGACAGTTTTATTCTCCTTGGGAATTTGCCACCACTGATGCCACTGCCAAAGGGGCCGGAACCAAGGGGAGTTCCCCTATAGTCTCCCTAATTTTGTCCCAAAGTAGACACATAGCCCTTTATTTATTAACCCTAGCATAAGTGCAACCAGACAGAGGCCATCAAACAAAAAACTACCAAAGGCTCACAAATAATGGCATGAACATGAGCACAAGAGCGCCAAATAACTAGAGCCTCTGGCTTCCAGGACGTGCCTTGTGGCAGAGGCCATCTTTAAACACAGCACTCAGGAGTAACTCAAGCACATCTACTCTCTCCAAACAATAAAGTGCATGGTGACATAAATTCTTTCCCTCACATGCTTTAGCCCAACATCTCAGCTGCATGTTCCTATCTGAATACTTTCTTCTGGACAAGTGACTCCATCTCTGCTCTCCCTTAGGGAAATAAAGGTTGCCTGTGCCCTACAGGCCATAGAGTAACATCACCATCTCAAGAGAGCCAATCTTCATAAAGAGGACCCACATACACAGCCTCAGAGAGGCTGCTACCTTCCACTCAGGAAAGTATCTTCTGCTGGCTCGGGAAAATAGGAAATGTAATGATAGAAGCCATGATGACTTCGGAGCCAGGCCTTTCAGCAGGGAAACTATTTCTAGGTTCTGGGGTATGGTGAATAAAAATAATGATAATAGTGACAATGACAGTAATAATGAGAATAATACTGATAAAGACAACACATACCATTACTTGAGCACTTATACCATGGCAGACCCTGTTCTAAGTGCTTTACCTGGATTATCTCATGTAATCCTCAAAACAGCTCTATAAAGTAGTACATTGTTACTAGCCCCATTTTACAGATAAGGAATCTAAGACACCCGCAGTCTCCATGTCACAAAACTACTAAGTGGAAACGCCAAATTTCAAATCTTGAAGTCTGCTTCCAGAGTCTACTTACTCTTTCTGAAGAGAGTTCATTGCTCTGTCAGGTAATAAAAGTTCGGTGCCATCCCCTTTCCCTAACCAGCCACCCATTTCTACAGGAAAACACACAGACAAGTCTCAGGGACTACGAAGAACTGGGAGTGAATCAGGATGAGACAGGGAGGCCTCATAAATAGGCGTGGGGCCAACCCTTAAAGTGGAGGCCTCTCTTCCATGGGTGGGTAAGAGGTGGGGAGAAGCTTTGAGAGGATACACACTGGTACAGTAATAGAAATAAATCAATTATTATAATACATGTAGATTCATGCAAATAAGTGCTAGGAGTAAGACAGTACTAATACTGACTGCAAGGATTAGAGAGGGTCTTTATAAAACAGGTAACTTTTAAGCTGGGCCTTGAAGAATTCCAAAAGGTGGAGCAAAGTAGAAAGGGCATTCAAACAAAAAACAACTTGGAGGAGTGAAAGACCATGCTTTGCCTAAGAAAATATAATTAAAAGTTTGGTTTGGCTTGAGCATAGGGACCAATTACAGATGAAAAAGTGTGGGTAGCTGGAGGTGAGGTTGTTGCAATAAGTTGGGGCTATATCATGAAGTCCATGAATGCCATGCTCAGGAATACAAACTCTGCCTTTGAGTCACAGAAGACAATGATTTTGGGGGGCAGAGGGCTGTGGGTGGGGAGAAGTGGCATTATCAAATATGCATTTTTAAACATCCCTTTGGGTTCATTACGAAAAGTAATGAAAAATAGGCTCGTTCCAATGAAAAGTAGCTTGGACCAGAAAGACTGGTGGCAGAAAGACAAGCTAGGGGACCGCTGTTGAGAAGGATCCAAACTAGAGCTGCGTCAGAAAAGAGAGGCAGATTCAAGAGAGGTTAAAGAAGTGGAATAATCAGGGCTTAGTTATGGAGGTGTGATGGAGTCCATGACGAGGGTGAAAGGAGTCACTGACATACTATATACAAAAGGGATATCAAATTTCAGAGTGAGATAATGAGATGCTACTGGTGAGCAGGATTGGTTCCTTCTCAGAACAGTGTTCAGACAGGTTATAGGAAGTGTGATATTATAGTAAATAAATAAGCTTTAGGATAAGATAGATGAGTGCAAATTGTTCTGTCATTTAGTAGCTGTGTTAGTTGGGAAAACTACTCATCATCTTTGAGCTTCCAGTGCCTTCACTATAAAACAGAATTCAGCATACCTACCTCGCATGGGAGTGCTGAACATTAAATGAGATTATGGATTCACACTCACATAGGATGGCTAGAATAAATAAGACAGACTATACAAAGTATTGGTGAGGATGTGGTGAAATTGGAGCCTTCATTCATTGCTGGTGGGAAAGTAAAATGGTGCAGCTGAGGCCTGGTGCAGTGGCTCATGCCTGTAATCCCAGCACTTTGGGAGGCCGAGGTGGGCGAATCATGAGGTCAGGAGTTTGAGACCAGTCTGGCCAACACAGTGAAACCCCATCTCTACTAAAAATACAAAAAATTAGCCTGGTGTGGTGGTATGCACCTGTAATCCCAGCTACTCGGGAGGCTGAGGCAGGAGAATCACATGAACCTGGCAGGCGGAGGTTGCAGTGAGCTGAGATCGCGCCATTGCACTCCAGCCCAGGCGACACTGTGAGACTCCATCTCAAAAAAAAAAAAAAAAAAAAAAAGGTACAGCTGCTTTGGAAAACAGCCTGGCAATTCTTCAAAAGTTTTAATATAGACCGACCATATAACCTACAATTCCAGTCCTAGGTATATACCCAAGATAATTAAAAACAGACATCCACACAAAATCCTGTGCATGAATGTTCACAGCGGCATTATTTATAATAACCAAAAAATGAATACAATCCAAGTGTCCATCAACTGATCAATGGATAAATAAAATGTGCTACATCTATACAAAGGAATATTATTTGTCCATAAGAAAGAATGAAGTACTGATACATTCTACAATGTGGATGAACCTTGAAAATATTATGCTAAGAGTAAGACGCCACCCAAAAATGTCCACATATTCTATAATTATATTTCTATGAAATGTTCAGAATAGGCAAATCCGTAGAGGCAGAAAGTAGATCAGTAACTGTCAGAGGTTGGGGGAGAAGTAAATTTAAAAGTATTGGGATTCTGGGATGATGAATATGTTCTGGAATAAGATAGTTGCACAAAATTTACTAAAAACCATTAAACTGTACGCTTTAAAATGGTGCATTTTATGGTATGTGAATTATAGCTCAGTTTTTAAAAAAGTTAAAAATAAAAAATGTCTAGACTGGGTAACCTCATTGGAGATCTTCTGTCCCAAAGCCCTCATCACCACAGAGGGGCAAATTGAGGTCCAGAGAGGGGAAGTGACTAGCTCAAGTTATTCAGCAGGCTAGTAGCCAAGATTAAATTAGACCTTCTATCTACTGACACACAGTTCATTCATTTTTTGCACTCATTTATTAAGGAATTACTATATGCCTGGCACTGTGCCCATGCTTTGGATATAGTAAAAAAAACAAGTGGCCACTGGCATAGAGTTTATATTTGGGGAGACTGTAAATAAACAAACCCATTCTGTAAAAATGAGACTATGGAACAACAGACAGGCATCCAATGTTCCCCTCCACTTTCTCCTGAATGCCAGCTCACCTCCTCTGTCAAAGAGTTGATCCCTTAACCTAAGTGATAATCTCTTCATCATTCCTTATACATCCACTCATTCATTCTTAGAATATTTACTAAATACATGATATGTATACCAGGAGTTGTTCTAGGGCCTGGTAATCAAATAGATTTTACATTCTAATGGGAGAGAGAGATAATAAACATGTGAACAAACAGAAGCAGGGGATATGAGTTGCATTAAGCCATATAAAGGGATAGGGAGTGATTGGAGGAGGAGAAAGAACTATTTAAGTAGAATGTTAAGAAAAGGTCTCTATGAGAAGAAAGCATTTAGTAGACACCTGAATGAAAGAGTGAGCCTTGTGAAGTTCTGGAGGAAGAATGTTTAGGGCCAAGAGAGTAGCAAATGCAAAGGCCCTTAGGTAAGTTTGACACAAGTAAGGACCTGCAAGAACAATGAGATTACAGTAGAGAGCAAAAGAGACAGTGAGAGAGCAAAGTTCAGAAATGAAGGTCACAGAAATAAGCAACAGTCATATAATGAAGAATAAAATGCAAATTTTATTCTAGGTATGAAGGGAGGTTACTGAAAATTTGGCACAGAGGGAATGATGTGATCTGATTTCCATTTTTTTCATGGTTTCAATGGACACTTTTATTGTCTATTTAATGGATCATCAATTTCGTCTCCCTACCTACAAATGGAATTTCATCTTGTTTCCACGCTGAGTAGTGAAACAGTGACAAAGCTAATCAGGATAAGCTACATCAAAAGAGAACTAAGCTAACACAGCTCACTTTTTTTTTAACAGGCAAAATATGCATATATGCATTCTAGAATGCACAATGGTTTAGTCACTAAGAAATTCAAATGGGATCTTGAAGAATGTAGGCAAATCCAGGGTGCAGTAAAGATGAGCTGAGATGCTGTGCAACTGTTTAAGGGTTCCTGGCACTGCATCTCTTGGCCACTAGCTGAATCTTGACATGGAAGGTTTTAGCTAATGCCAAGTGGAGATGCAGAAAATGCTAAGTTGACTTAGGGGCTGTGCACAGGAACTAAAAGGCAGAAAAGTACTAAATATTGCCGAGAGCATCCACCCCAGGAAGGACTTTACTGTCCAGGAGCTCTAAACTGGCACCACCCGTAGTGCTCACATGTCTGATTTTATCCTCTGTGTTCCATTTGGCACAGCAAGTGGCAGTGTTTCCACCACCTATGATGGTAATGCAGCCCCTAGAAGTGGCTTTCACCACCTCATCCATGAGGGCTTTGGTTCCCTGGGCAAAAGCTTCCCATTCAAATACCCCCCACAGGACCATTCCACACAATCTGCTTAGCCCAAGTGACAGTCTCAGCATACTTCTTGCTGCTTTCAGGACCACAGTCCAAGCCCATTCAGCCAGCAGGTATGCCAGAAGCCACAGTGGCTTGGCCAGTCTTGGCATTCTCATCAAATTTCTCAGCAGTGACAAAGTCAATAGGCAAGGTAATCTTCACACCATTCTTCTCAGCTTGGGACATTAGGTCTTTGACAATCTTGGCTCCCTCTTCATCAAACAGAGAAGTGCCAGTCTCCATGTTGTTGAGCACCTTAAGGAAGGTAAAAGCCGTTCCACCACCAATAATCATCTCATTGACTTTGTCCAGCATATTATTGATCAGGTGGATCTTGTCTGCAAATTTAGCTCCACCCAGAATGGCCAGGAAGGGTCGCTATGGGCTCTCCAAGACCTTCACAAAGTAGTTCAGCTCCTTCTTCATCAAAAAACCACCAGCCTTCTGTGGCAGACTGACTCCTACCATGGAGCTGTGGGCTCTGTGAGCAGTGCCAAAAGCACCATTGACATGCACATTCCCTAGCTTGGAAAGTGAAGCTCGGAAAGCTTCTATTTTGGCGGGCTCACTTTAACCTTGTTCCCAGAGTTTTCCCTTCCCTTCTTCTTCCACATGAAAGTGGAGGTTCTCCAGCAGGATGACAGACCCAGCAGCTGGGTTGGCACAGGCTTTCTCCACTTCTGGGCCTACACAGTCTTTCAAGAACAGAACATCCTTGCCCAGCAGAGATTTGAATTCTACAGCAAATGGCTCTAAGGAGTATTGTCAGGCATAGGGACACCATCAGGCTGGCCTAGGTGGCTCATAAGGACTACTGACTTGGCTCCATTGTCCAAGCAGAATTTGATGCTTAAGACAGTAGCCTTAATCCTCTGGTTGTTTGTTATCTGGTTATTCTACACAGGAACATTGAAGTCCACTCTCATAATGACCCGCTGCCCTTTGACGTCTGGTTTGTCCAATGTCAGCTTGTTAGAAAGCGACATTTTGGAAATGGAGAGAGGTCGATGATTCAGACAGTAAGGGAGCCGGCTGCTGATGTGTGCTTGGGAAGCTTGCAGAATCCTGATTTCCATATTTTAAAGGATGTGCTGTTACTGGCTGCCGGGGAGAATGAATTACAGGCAAGGAAGAAGGCAAGCAATGATACCAGGTAAGAGATAATAGTGGCTTACAGTGATAGAAGCAGTGGGCAGTAGTAGAAGTTAGCATATAATGTGCAGGTAGAGCTGACAAGAATTGCCAATGGATTCAATATGAAGGAAAAAGGGAAAGTAGTAACCAAGGATGATTCCAAAGTTCTTGACCTTAGCAACTGGATGACTGCTGCTGCCAATTACTTAGATGGAGGAGACCAGAGTAGGAGCAGGTTAAGAAAGAGTCAGGCATCAAGTTATGTTTTGCACAGTGTAAACTGAGATGCCCATGAGTCATCCAAGGAGAACTGTTGAGCAGGAAATTTGATATGACAAAAGAGGCAAGATATCAATCTTAGATAAATTTGGAAATCATCTTTAGCATTTAAATGATATGTAAAACCATGAAATTTAATGAGATCACACAGGAAAAGAACATGATCAGAGAACAGGACTAAGAAAAAAGCTCTGGGACCTTCTAACATGTAAAGTTGGGAAGAGAAGGAAAACCAGGAGAGAAGACTGAGATGGATTATCTGGTGAGATTAAAGGAAAATCTGGTATCCTGAGAGCCAGGTGAATAAAGTGTTTCAAGAAGGAGGAGTTAGTCAACTGTGTCAGATGCTACTCACAAACTGAGTATGATGAGAACAATGTTGTAGCTATTTGGTTTGGCCTCATGGAGATTATTGGCAAACCTGACAAAAATGGTCTTAGTGGAGTAGGAGGGCAGAGGCACATTTAGAATGGGTGTAGTCTCCACACTAGCAATTATTCCACTGAAGGCATTTATTTCTTCACTTATCTATGTCTCCATTTCTTCTGTGAGGGCAAGCAATGTATCTTAATTTCACCTAGCACAGTACCTGGCACATAGTAGTTATCCAATCCGTGTTTGCTATATTTGAATTTAAAATTTCACAACATTCACCTTGCTCACCCATTTCAATATATTGGGGGCATAAATCTAAGAACACCTTGGATCCTGCACTGGCCTTATAGGGATCCTCCACGTGGTAACTTCCTTTACAAGCTCATCACCATCCTATCTGCTGTCAAAGGCTTAATCCCCTCTCTGAGCACAAACTACAAACCCTGGCTGCTTTTAAGCTCAGGAGCCAGGAAAGGTCTACTTTTATAGAGAGAAAAATGGTCATGCCACCGCTTCTGCCCTTCGATATCCTCTTTGTGTCTAATCACCATTCAGAAGCTAAAGGTGAACCTCAGTACTGACCTTCGCTTTCATCCAGGGAAGAAGTATAGAAAACCGTCCTTTCTCGCAGCAAGCGCTTTGAAATCGTGATTGGTTTGTGCCTTCTTGCTGTCACCCGAGGCGGAGGCACTGGCGGTGCAGCGCTTTCCTCAGGTGGACCTAAATAGATCTGTGGAGAAAGAAGGAAGATATCTAGAGAATAATTAGATCAAGTTTTTGTCTTCTGAATGCTACCCACCAGTTGATGCTTGTTGGCCTTATATCTAGAGTTTGTAACGTGAATACTAACATGACTCAAAGAATCAGAGATTTTCTTAATCACTCTAGCTACAGGTAAATGTTTAGGTATCTCCTACTATGCTCAAGGCACAGAACCTGGCACTTCTCAGTTTGGAAGAAAAAATGCCTATAAAAGATGGCATTAGTCCTGGATTTTCCATGTCCTTCCTGGGAGACCTTAGGCAAGTCACCTCACTTCTCTGAGCCTTGGCTTTCTCATCCGTAACATAGGGACAGCATCACCCACTTCACAGAGTGTGGTAAGAAAGAAATTAAAGGAGCTGTCAAGGTGCCTTCTATGGGTGGGGGTAGGACATGGAAGGAGACTAAACACAATTACATGCCCATATGCCTTAAATAGTTCTGAAGGGATACCAAAGAATCTGATTACATTGTTTGTCTCAAGGTAGGACTAATGATTGGCTGGGGAATACAGGGAGAACAACTGTGTTTTCCCTCCTATGTCACTTTGTTCTTTTATAATTTCATGCCATGGTACATTATCTATTCAATAAAAAGTAAAATAAAATTAAAAAGCAACAACACAGTGCCTTGGATGCTATAAGAAGTGCCGAAGGCATGCAGAAGGAGCTGTGATTAGAATTTTTATATAATGTCTCATGTGTACTTAAGGATTTTCCAGTCTCCATGGAGACCAACCTTTTAGCCCAAGTGCATACACTATGGGATGATACACATATGTGATGGAGAAAGGAGACCACTGTCTAGCCAGTGAGACTAACAAAATCAACCCCAGTGATTAGTGTAAAGAGAAATGTCAGAGCCCAATATCCCATCAGGCAAGGGTCAACACAGACTACATGGGCATGGAAATAACATGATTGAGAACACAAGGCAAGCTGTGTAAAAGGTGGACAATGATAAGAAACAATGCATGAACAATCACAAACCGTGAGTATATGCCTCATGATTGTAAGGAAGACAAAATGTAACTTAACAGCAAGCAGATTAATGTTGAGGCCATACGGTTCTAGGTCATATTCCTAATTCCACCATCATTAGTAATAATAGTCTAAAGAGCCACCATTTTGTGAGCTCAAACACTGTAGTAGTTGTTACAAATATTCCTTGCTATTTTTCGAATACATGAGGTCGTTGCACTGACTGTTTCTTCCACCCAGACTGATCTTCCTTCAGATATCCATTCTTCTAGGATTCTAATCAAACATACTCTGCTCAGTAAGCCCTTCCAGGTCAATATATTTAAAACAATGACATGCCTCCCTCTACGCAAGCATTCCTATCTTCCTTCCATTTTAATTTTTTTTCTCTTCAGCATTTCCTATCACTTTCTAACATATAACACGTTTTACTTATTGATTTTGTTTGCTGTCTGTCTCCAAGCTAGATTTTACACAACATAGAAGCATGTCTGTCATGTTCACTGCTCTATCTCCACCACCTAGAAGAGGGACTGGAATTGCTGAGGCAAAAAACAAATACATTTGCAATTCTAATGTAAAAGGCCAAACTGTCACCTGAAAATACTACTACTATTAACAGCTACTAACTACTACTACTAAAATACTACTACAAACAGCTACTATCTTATTCCGGCCAAGATAGGGCACAGAAACTAGTTTTACTCATTTAGCCTGAAACAAGTAAAAACAAAACAAAACTAGGAAAAATACATGCAACAGTAGTTTTAAAGGCATTGGAAATCCAGCAGTGAAGGACAGTGAATGCTGAGAGACTGAAAAAAACAAATGAGGTCAGCCCTATGAGTTTCCCAGCTTAGAGTTTTGCAGGCTGCAGTGCAGGAAGGGGAACCCAAGTGGAACCCAGTAGTATCCCTACGTTGAGAAGACTGAATTGGGAGTATGGGAAAGACAAGGAAGTGAGAATTTGCAAGGCAAAGTGCCAGAGAGATTTTGTACACTAAAATCTTCAAAATATTGCTGAGAAATATTAAGAAAATCTAGATAAACTGAGATATATTTTGTTTGCAGGTATAAAGACTCAATAGTGTTAAGATGTAAATTCTCACAAAATTGATCTACAGACTGAACACAACCCAAATACCAGTAAGCTTGTATGTAGACATTGACAAGCTGATTCAAAAATGTATAAGGACATGCAAAGAACCTAGAATAGCCAAAACAATCTTGAAAAAGAAAAACAAAGTTGGAAAGCTAACACTACCTGATTTCAAGTCTTATTATAAAGCTACAACAATTAAGACAGTGTGGCACTGATGTCAAGATAGGTGAATAGATCAATGGAACAAAATAGAAAGCCCAGAAATAGACCCACATCTATACAGATAAATTTATTTATTTATTTTACAAAGGCAATTCAGTGGAGAAAGGACAGCAATGGTACTGGAACAATGTGATATACATAGGCAAAAAAAAAAAAAAAAAAAAAACTTCAATTCGTATCTTATACCACAGAAGAAAACTAACTCAGAATGGGCTATAATCAAATTTAAAAGCTGAAACTATAAAATTTCGAGGAGAAAAATCTTTGTAATCTTAGGTTAGCCAAAGATATCTTAGATACAATGATTCATAAAATAATCAATAAACTGAACATCAAATTTGAAAACTCATGATTTTCTAAAAGACACTGTTAAGAATGAAAAGAAAAACCACAGACTGAGTTAAAATATTTGTAAATCATATGTCTGATAAAGAACTTGTATTATATATATATTATATAAAGAACTCCCAAAACTCAATAACTCAATAATAAGAAAACAAGTAAATCAGTTTTTAAAGAATAAGCAAAATATTTGAATAGACACTTTACCAAAGAAAACATACAAATGGCAAACATAAAAAAAGTTCAACATCATTAAGTCAATAGGGAAATGCATGCTAAAAACATGATGCGATGCCACTGAACACCTATTAGAATGGTTGAAATTTTTTAGACTGACCATACCACATGTTGAAAAGAATATGGAGGAACTGGAACTTTCACTGCTGATGGGAATGTAAAATCATACAATGTCATAGTGAATTAAAAAAAAAAACCACCCAATGAAATAGATCATCTGAATAGTCCTATAACCATTAAAAAATTTCAATTCATAGTTTAAAAACTTCCAAAGAAGAAATCTCTAGACCCAGAGAGTTTAGCTGGAGGATTCCACCAAACATATACAGAATTAACATGAGTTTTACAGTCTCTTCCAGAAAGTACAATGATACAGTTACTTAAGAAAAATGTTTTACGTTTTCTTTAAAAATTAAATGTATAATTACTATGTGACTCAGTCATTTCTACTCCTTCATGTTTACTCAAGAAAAAAGAAAACATATAGTCGTACAGACTGTACACAAATGTTTGCAGCAGACCCAAACTGAAACAACCCAAATGTCCATTAACTAGTGAATAGACAACCAAATTTTGGTATATATGATGGAATACTACTCAGTACTAAAAAGGAATGAACTATTGACTCACTATAACAACTTAAATTAATCTCAGAATAACTATGCTGAACCAAAGAAGCCAGACCAAAAGAAAAGTATATACTGCATTATTCCGTTTATACAAAACTTTAGGAAACACAAATTATACTAACAGAACTGATTAGTGGTTGCCTTAGGTGAAGAGTTTAGTGTGGGAGTGGCCTGGAGAGGGGAGGATTTTGAAGCGACCAGCCACTGAAAAGGACATACAAAGGAAAAGAAAATGAAATAGCTTGTGAACATAAAAATCAACTTCACTAATAATTATAAAACTACAATTCAAACAAGATATCACATTTTGCCTATTAGACTGATAAATTAAGAAAAATCGATATTGTCCTAAACTGACAAAGAAGTGGGTAAAAACAGTCACCTTTATAAGCTGTTATTGGGAGGATGATTTGGTTTATCCATATTGGGGGTCAATCTGGTAGTAGCAATCATGATTTTAAATAGGCAAGACCTCTGATCTCCCTACTTTTAAAACCCCTATTAAGCAGAAATCCTGACACATACACACACTGATATCTATGCAAGTTCCATGTACCATAAAAAAAATAAAACTACATAAATATCTATTAACATGGGAAAGTTACATAAATTGTGGTTCACTCACTGAGGAATATTACACAACTGTTAAAAGGTGGTGATGTAGATTTGTAAGAACTGAGGTGGAAAGATTAAATATTTTAAAGTAGCTTATGGAATAGTATATATAGTATGATGTCATTATTCAAAAATAGTTTTGTGTGTGTATGAATGCACTGTCCTTTGTCATTTATAATTGCAAAGAAAAGGGTCTAAAAGCATACACATTAAATTGTTAACAATCACAATCATAACCTCTAGGAAAGTGAATAGGATTACAGAGGAATGTCAACAGATACATTCCTGTTTTAGTCTATACACTTCTATATTATTTAAATTTTTGTGCTGAATTTTAAGTTTAGTTTGATTTTTTAAAACATAATAAAAATGAAAACAAGGACACCCTCTAAAATATTTTTTATTGTTGCTTAAGAAAGAACCTAAATTGTAGGGATCTAACACACATGAGTTCAAACCCCAGCTCTATCACTTATGGCCTCTGTCATGTTAGGCAAGTCATTTAACCTCTCTGAGCCTCAGTTGTCTAATTTGCCAAAAGAAGATCATGTCTATGAGTATAGTTGTCATGATCAACTGATAAATGTACATGAGTATTTGTCTAGCTTAAATCCCCCTTCTCTCTCTCTCTCTCCAGGGCCCTTCCATTTGGTTTTGAATACAACCTCTTAAATGGGGCCAATTCTATTTTCCAGGGGACATTTCATGACATCTGTGAAAATATTTATTGTCACAACTGTGGAAGGGGGGTTGGCATCTAGTGGGGAAAGGCAAGGAATCCTGCTAAACATCCAACAATGCCCAGGGCAGTCCCCACAACAAGAATTATTGGCCCAAAATGTCAAAATAATACCAAGGCTGAAAAATGTTGGTCTAGAATAATGAAGAGGAATAACAAATGAGAATATACTTACTTAATGCAGATGGGATTCAAGAAAATTTTAACCCTGAACTAAACTTCTAAAAAAACGTTTTGAAAACATTGAGTGGAGGAAAACAGAATACATATTTATTATGTTTATAGGCATCCATCCATGCATCTGTCCATCCAACAATCTCTTCCGATTGAACCCAAGTGAGTGTTATTAATGGAGATAAACGCATCATATATTATTTCCCTTTGCTCAGTTAGAAGACATCCTTGCTGAGCCATTCATAATATACCAGACCATAGACACCCTCCCTCACAGATGGCGTCACCTCATACTTCAGAGAAAAGGGAGGTCATTAGAAGTAAACTTCTTCAGCTGGGCGCGGTGGCTCATGTCTGTAATCTCAGCACTTTGGGAGGCTGAGGCAGGCGGATCCCTTGAGGCCAGGAGTTCAAGACAAGCCTGGCCAACATGGTGAAACCCTAGCTCTATTAATAGTACAAAAATTAGTCAGGCATGTTGCAGCATGCCTGTAATCTCAGCTACTCAGGAGGCTGAGGCAGGAGAATTGCTCAAATCTGGAAGGTGGAGGTTGCAGTGAGCCCAGATTGCACCACTGCACTCCATCCTGGACAACAGAGCAAGACTGTCTCAAAATAAATAAATAAATAAATAAATAAATAAATAAATAAATAAAGTAAACAACTTCAACTTTCTGTCCCCATACTGACAAACTCATTGACATCCACACTTATAAACCTACTTTATCTCTCCTCACTTTCTAAGGAGAATGCCTCTACCTATGCTCTGGATCCCATCTCATCTCTTCCTGTTTCTCAGGGACCTTCCTCCATCATTCATCTCCTTTCTTACAATACTGTTTCTCAAAAGCATTTAAATGAACTTAAGTCTCTCCTGTCTGAACCCAAGCTACTCTCCACTGCCATCACATTCATTTTCTTCTACACTTTCCAGACAGTTAAGTCTCCATTTCTTCATCCTCCAGTTGATCCTCAACCTTGTCTCTGCCCACATCACTCCTCTGTAACTGTTTTTACAATGATCACCACTGGCCTGCTGATTGCTGACTCCAACAGGTACTTTTTCAATTTTTATTTTGACTGTGCTCCAACATTTAACACATTTAACCAATCCATTTCTAAAAATTCCTCTCTCTTTACCTTTCTGCTTCTCTGAACACTGTCGTCTCTTTCACTGGCTCTCTCTGAAATTTAATGTTCTCCAGGATTATGTCCTCAACCTTCTAATGATCTCACTTGTCTGCACTCATTCGCTTTCTCAACCGTGTCATCCACTCACATGGCTTGCACTACCAAGTTTCTCTACTGGTTTCTATACCAATATATCTAACTAACTGCTCAATGTTGCCTTCTGGATATCCCAGAGGTATCTCAAATTCAACATTTCTAGAATTAAACACTTTCGTCCCTTAAAATTTTTTATTATCTAAAACAATGCCAATGTCCAAGCCACAAATCTGGACATTATTATCTTAAAATCCTCCCCCTCTCTCACATCCCACATCCATTTAGTCACCAAGTTCTATCAATTATACTTCCTTAATGTCTCTCTAATCTGTCCCCTCTGCTCACTACCACTGACTTGGTTGAGTCTCATCATGTCTCTCTATGATTATAATAGTCTCCTAATTGTTCCTTCTGTCTCCAGCCACTCCTGTCTTTAATCTGTCTACCCAAGTGCAGGTAGAGTGATCTTTCTCAACTCTAATCTAATTGTGTTACTCCACTGCTTAAAATGTTTCAATGACTCTTCACTGTCTTCGGGACAAAGGCCAAATTCCTTAGTTAGCACACAAAGTACTCAATAATCTGGCCACATCCTGAAATCTCCAGCCCCATCTTCCCCATCTTCCACTATTCCCCTACATTCACCCTCCACTATAGCCATGCTGAATTATTAAAGTTCTTTAGTCTCTTAGTTATTTAGTTCTTTGGTTATTTTATGGAACTTAATTTCTCTGGTGTCTCATTCCTGTATGTATCCAGAGTGATCTATACACAGAACACTTTCACTCTTACCCTTTATGGAAGAGACTGCTAATTGCTTACTGGTACCCACCTTCCCCTTCTTACTTTTACTAATGGAAGTCACTGAATGGTAGCTGGGCACCCATGCCTACCTTTCTTAGTCTCCCTTGCAGCTAGGTAAGGACATGTGATTAAGTTTTAGATAACAGAATACAAGTAGAAATAATGCATGAAAGCCTCTGGGTCATGCTTTTATGAAGAAGCTGTCTGTATTACATTCTGTCTTTTTTTCCCTTTCTCTCTGGCTAGTAAATGGGGACAAATGGAATAGCTATCTAGGATCAAGAAACTGAAGCCAAGTGGTGAGGATGGCAGAAGTATGTCATTGATCTTGGACTATTCACTGCTAGACTTTTATGTGAGAGAAAAATGAACTCCTCTCCATCATATTTAAGCCAAATAATTTGCAGTCCTCTGTTATAGGAGGACTTTTCTTACAGAAGGTTAATCAATTAATCTACTCCTCTGATTTTCAGGACTCACATCATGCATTACCCACTGTATGAAGACTTCTCTGATTCCCAATAGAGAGGTAAGTTCCCTTTCCATGGGCTCCCACAGCATCCAATGCACATCTTCACCACAGTCTTTATTACACTGCATCCTGAGTGTTAGTTGGTTCCAGATACCCCCAAGTCCCATAACTTTTCTGACAGCAGAGATTTTTTTTCGTGATTCCTCTCTAGAGACTAGGGCTGAGTAGGGCACGAGGCAAGATAAAGCAGCTCAATGACAGTTTTTAAAATGAATGGATGAATTTTGGCTACCAGGCCCTTTAGAGCATATTAAATAATAGAACTTTTTTTTTCATTTATTCCTTCACCAACTATAATTGGGAAGAGAGAGTACAAAATAGAGGTGAGAGAGTACAAAGTAGAGGTCAAAGAGTCAGGACAGAGTCAGAGTCAGTTGTGTTGGAGCTTTGCTATGTAACCAGGGGCAAGAAACTTAAACTATATGAATCTCAAACTTGAAGCTCAGTTTGCATTTTGAAAATGTCAGCTGCAAAATGAGAATAGTGATACCATCTACCTCATAGGGTTGTTGTGATGGTTGAATGAGGTAACATACAGACATACCTAGGAGATAGTGTGGATTTGGTTCCAGACCACCAGAATAAAATATGTATCACAATAAACTGAGCCACACAATTTTTTCTGGTTTCATGGTGCTTATACTATACTGTAGTCTAGTAAGTGTGCAATAGCATGATTCCTAAAAATAAGGTATACATCCCTTCATTAAAAATAATTTATTGCTAAAAAATGCTGACAATCACCAGAGCCTTTGGCAAATCATACCCTTTTTTGCTGGTGGAGGGTCTTGCTTCTATGTTGATGACTGCTGATTGATCAGGATGGTGCTTACTGAAGGCTGGAGTGGCTATGGCAATTTCTTAAAAGAAGACAACAATGAAGTTAGCTGCATCAATTGACTCTTCCTTTCACAAAAAAAAATTTCTCTGTAGCATGCCATGCTGTTTGATAGCATTTTACCCTCAGAACTTCTTTCAAAATTGGAGTCACTCCTCTCAAACCCGGCCACTGCTTTAGTAAACCAAGTTTATGCAATATTCTAAATCCTTGGTTATCATTTCCACAATGTTCACAGCATCTTCACCAGGAGTAGATTCCACCTCAAGAAACCATTTTCTTTGCTCATCCATAAAAAGTAACTTCTCATCCATTGAACTTTTATCCTCATATGGCAGCAATTCAGTCACGTCTTCAGGCTCCACTTCTAATTCTAGTTCTCTTGCTATTTCTACCACATCTACAGTTACTTCCTCCACTGAAGGGTTAAGCTCCTCAAAGTCAGCCATGAAGGTTGTAATTAACTTTTTCAAACCTCTGTTATTTTGTTGATATTTTGACCTCCTCTCATAAATTATTAATATTCTTAATGACATCTAGATTGGTGAATGCTTTCCAGAAGGTTTTAAATTTACTTTGCCCAGATTCATCAGAGGAATCACTATCTATGGGATCTAAATCCTGATGAAATCTACTTCTTAAATAATAAGACTGGAAAGTTACTTTATTCCTTGATCCATGGGCTGCAGAATGGATGTTGTATTAGTAGGCATGGAAACAACATTCATTAATCTCCTTGCACATCTCCATCAGAGCTGCTGGGTGATTACTACATTGTTAATGGGCAGTGATATTTTGAAAGAGAGCTTTTCTTTTGAGCAGTAGGTCTCAAGAGTGGGCTTAAAATATTCAGTAAAACATTCTGTAGACAGATGTGTTGTCACTTAGGCTTTGTTGTTCCACATATGGAGCATGGGCAGAGTAGATTTTGCATAATTCTTAAGGGCCCTAGGATTTACAGAATGGTCAATGAGCCTTGGCTTCACCAGCTGCATTAGTCCTTAATGAAAAGAGTCAGCCTGTCCTGTGAAACTTTGAACCCAGGCATTGACTTCTTTGCAGCTATGAAAGTCCTACATGGCATCTTCTTCCAACAGAAGGCTATTTCATGTACACTGAAAATGTGTTTTTTAGTGTTGCCACCTTCATCAATGATCTTAGCTGCATTTTCTGGATAACTTGGTACAGCTTTTACATCAGCACTTGTCGCTTCACCTTGCACTTTTATGTCATGGAACTGGTTTATTTCCTTAAACATCATGAACCAACCTCTGCTAGTTTCTTTTTTTTTTTTTTTTTTTTTTTTTTTTTGAGACGGAGTCTCGCTCTGTCGCCCAGGCCGGACTGCGGACTGCAGTGGCGCAATCTCGGCTCACTGCAAGCTCCGCTTCCCGGGTTCACGCCATTCTCCTGCCTCAGCCTCCCGAGTAGCTGGGACTACAGGCGCCCGCCACTGCGCCCGGCTAATTTTTTGTATTTTTAGTAGAGACGGGGTTTCACCTTGTTAGCCAGGATGGTCTCGATCTCCTGACCTCATGATCCACCCGCCTCGGCCTCCCAAAGTGCTGGGATTACAGGCGTGAGCCACCGCGCCCGGCCTCAACCTCTGCTAGTTTCAAACTTTTCTTTTGCAGCTTCCTTACTTCCTCAGCCTTCACAGATTGAAGAGTTACAACCTTCCTGTGGATTAGGCTTTGGCTTAAGGGAATGTTGTGGCTGGTTTGATTTTCTATCCAGACCACTAAAAGTTTCTCCCTATGAGCAATAAGGCTATTTTGGTTTCTTATCATTTGTGTGTTCACTGGAGTAGCACTTTTAATTTTCTTCAAGAATTTTTCCTTTGTATTTACAACTTGGCTAACTGTTTGGCACAAGAGGCCTAGCTTTCAGCCTATCTCAGCTTTCAACATGCCTTCCTAACTAAGCTTAATCATTTCTAGCTTTTGAGTTAACATGAGAGACATGCAACTCCTTCTTTCACTTGCATACTTAGAGGCCTTTGTCGGGTTTTTAATTGGCCTAATTCCAATATTGTTGTGTCTCAGGGAATAGGGAAGCATGAGAGGGAGAGGGATGAGGAATGGCTGATCGGCGGAGCAGTCAGAACATACAACATTTACTTATTAAGTTTGCTATCTTGTCTGGGTGTAGTTCATGGAGCCGCAAAACAATTACATAGTAACATCAAAGATCACTGAACGCATATCACCACAACAGATGTAAGAAAGAAAAAAAAGTTTGAAATACTGCAAGAATTTTCCTAATGTAACACAGAGACAAGAAGTGAGCCCATGCTGTTGGACAAATGGCTCTGATAGACTTGCTTGAAACAGGATTGCCACCAACATTCAAATTGTTTTTAAAAATAAAATATTTGCAAAGAGCAATAAAGTAAAGCACAATAAAGCAAGGTATACCTGATGTAAAGAACCTAGCCTGGAACATACTGAGCACTCAGTAAGTGGTAGTTATTGCAATTATCATGAACCCTAAAAAGAACTTAAACCTATGTTTCCTTAGAGAAAGAGAAAACACAAGACACACAAAGAGGTGGGGAGGGGGGAGGGAGAGAGGGGAGAGGGAGGAACGGGGGGAGAGGGAGGAACGGAGGGAACGGAGGGAGAGAGAGTGAAAGAGGGGGACAGGGAGAGGGAGAGGAGAGTGGTAGAGAAAGGGAGGGAGGAACAGAGAAATTTTCAGACCGGAGCAATAGGGAGTGAAGCAGTTACATGCTATGCAAATCAGGTGATATGAACTTAATTGCTCTTCAAGCTCTCTGTCAGATTAAATGATCTTATTTCCCTGCTCCAGTTATAAAAATTATTCACTTCTCATTGAAAAAAAAAACCCTTCCTCACAGGTTGTTCTTCTTCAAGAAGCTACCCAGGCCTTAAGATAGATATGGGCTCACTGACTTCTACGATTTATAATGAGAGCTGACAATTCCACCTGGACAGGGTGTTGTCCACATGCCCTGTCTCCTGAAAATATACTGAAAGGCTCATTGGTAAGGAGCTGGTTGAGAGCAGTTTTGCCAATGTGGCAGTAGGCAGAGCTCAGAGAAGGTGCTTGGTAGGCTTAAAACCACACTCTCTTTAAGTGAGAAAAGTCTAGAAAAGCAAAGGGGAAACTTCCTGTTGTGTGTCTTCTCTAAAATTAAAATGTGGCCTGAATAACCCTGCAGTCATCACGGATTGCAACATCCTTCCCAAAGCTGGCCTACAGATGCAAACATTCAAGCCAAACTTTAATGTGGAAATATTGGCAATTGCTGTAGTAAGAAGAATCCACTTACCTCTTTTTCTGGTCTGTGGCCCTCCAAAGGCCTCACTTCAAAACTCTTTTTTAACAATGGGCATTAACCTGTGTGTTACTGCTATTCCTTTTGGGAAGAGAAATGGAGCAGATTGTCATCCTTGCTCCCAGACACTCTGGTTTCTTTGCTGTTCAACATGCCAAGCACACTGCTGCCTTGGGCCTTTCTACTAGGTTTTCCCTATTCATGGAATTGCTCTTCCCAAAGATATCTACCATACTTTGTACCCTTACTTTATTCAGTTCTCTGCCTAAATAACACATTAACAGTAGCCTTGTCTGACCATCTTCCATAAAGGAACAACCCACTACCTTGCTTTACTTTTTCTTCAGAGCACTTGCCACCACCTGATGTATTGTTTATCTCCAGCAGAACATAAGACCCACAAAAAAGGGCCTTTGTTTTGTTTGTATCCCCAGAGCCTAGAACTTCACCTGTCCATAGTAAGCATTTAGTAAGTATTCATTGAATGAAGGGGTGACATTGGTACCTTAAAAACAGGATTATAAACTACAGATATAACTAGTGGAATTGGGAAGGGCAACTTGCGGAAAACTCCACAGTTTCTATTAAGAAAGGAGGAAGGAAAGAGAATATGGGCCCAAGATCTCTTAACTCACTGTTGGCAGTCCAATATTAATGAGAAAACTTTCAGAGCTGACAAGGGAGTTAGAATAGGTCCAAGAAAAGAAACCTAGCAAGCTCTACCTAATGCCCCAGTGGCTTCTTGTGTATCCATGAAAGGACTTATTCTAAGCAGGTTCTGAGAATGGAATAACAACCTACCCTTTTACAATAGCAGAAATAAAACCAGGCATGGTGGCTCAAGCCTGTAACCCCAGCACTTTGGGAGGCTGAGGCAGGAGGATCACATGAGGTCGGGAGTTCAAGACGAGCTTGGCCAACATGGTGAAACCCTGTCTCTACCAAAAATACAAAAATTAGCCGGGAGTGGTGGTGCACACCCATAATCCTGGCTACTTGGGAGGCTGAGGCAGGAGAATCGCTTAAACCTGGGAGATGGAGACTGCAGTGAGCTTAGATCACGCCACTGCACTCCAAACTGGGTGGCAGAAGTGGAGACTCTGTCTCCAAAAAAAAAAAAGCAGAAATAAATCCTAAAAGAATGGGAAACTCATAGCATATGGAGACTTTCTAAAGGGTCAAATACTAGGTGGCACAGGATGCAAAACCAGTTCCTATGCATCTCATGCAATCATTGTGAAAAGGTAGTGACAGCAGTAATAGAAGGTGGAAATGGTGGTACTAGCTGCTGACCCAGAAGACTGACTAAAATGGCTTTGATGGAATAAACTTTTTCCAAGTTCAAGCCATGGGTCAGAGTTAGTTTTAATGGTCAACTCTTCTACAATGTTTACTACATGTCAGGCACATGTCTAAGTGTTTTATGTATATTAACTCATTTATTGAGTGTTTACAAGTTCCTTTCTCTGAACACAAATTCCTTTCTCTGCAAAGACAACCTGGGCTTGAAGGACATGATTGAACAACTAGCGCATTAGGGTAACCACAAAATAAATCCCTCTATCTACCCCTTTCCACAGGATTAAGGGAGGAAAGAATAATTAGAAAGCTGAATGAATGGAAAGTTGAGAAAATTATCACTAGAACTTGACAGGGTATAGGCCTTCATTTTCCCTCCTCTGGACACTGTAGTGGTTCTTCTGTAGCTGAAAAATTAAGTAGGAATTCCTAACTCATAGACAGACTAGATCAACTCACTGGGGAGAAGACTAGAAAGAGGATGTGAGGCCAAAGGCTTGGCTGGGAATAAAGAATGTGCATTGTCCAAGGCCACCTGATAGTAAGAAGCAGGGCTATGATATGAACTCAGAAGTGTCTGACTTCAAGGCTAACACTCTTTCCACTATAAACCATAGAAGGAAACATTTTAAGTTTAAAAATAACTCCTCGGGTAGAAACAGTATCAGGCAGAACTTATTTTCCCACCCTCCAAAACTCCAGAAAAAGGACAGACTGATTTGGCTTTCTGTGGACTGGTTAAGAACAATTAGGGCTTCATGGTCTCTGATAGTGACTTCAGAAAAAAATCCCAGAAGGTGGCCAAAGTAGAGTCTGGGGGCAAACCAGTGCTTATTTGTTTTCTGGGCATATGGTTGGCACTGAGTGCCATTCTAAAGGCCTGGTCTAAGAGAACTCAATATCCGAGGAATATTATTTCATTCTGATGGGCCTTGGCTGTTGTTTTGGGTTGTATTCAGGAAGGAGCCCAACTCCTGGAATCCCTCTCCTGAAGGCTTCTGGGAACTAAATCTGGATAATTTGCTGGGCTTTGAGACACTGCCAGGAGAGCGATCACCTCCATTGGGAAGAGGGTTAATGAACTGCTTGCCTGAGTTTGGTCACATATTAACCCCCTTACGGATTCTTCTCTGTCATGTCTTTAGGTGTGAAAGAGAGAAGAAATTTAATATAAGATGGTCATTTCCAATTGCCAAAGGCCAAGAGATCCAGACCCATTCTAACTCTTGGAAATCTTGGCAGAAATGAGCAACTATCCAGATTCTTTCCAGATGTCGCTTCAGGGCTGCAAATATCAGATTGTACAAAAAAACATTTTGCCTTTCTATAAATCAAAGCTACAAGACTTGGCCCTGATGAATCCCAGCTTTCCAACTGAGTCTCCATTTACACTCTGGCTAAGGCTATGTTGAGCTTTCTGGGTTCTGGTTATATTAGCAAAAACCATACTCTTAACTACACTAGAAACAAAGGTGGCAAAGGGTCAAAAGTAATGAGCTCTTAGCATTTGGCACAGACCACATTAAACATCAAGTGTGTCACCGAGTTTGCTTAGAGTATGTAGAGAACTTTGAAAGTATCACGTCTGTTGTTACCAAGAGCCAGCTTTTTATAAAAGGGCTGTCACTAAGGCTGTCTTTGGTCTCAGCAACACATAGTCTTTAAGGCCTTTTTAGATGTAACATTCCAGAATCCTGTCTAGTCCTACTCATCCAATATACTTATGGGAAAATCGATGTCCAAAGAGGGGGAAGTGACTTGCCCAAGGCCCCAAAGCTAGTAGGTGGTAGAACTGAGACTAGAATCCAAGAGTTCTAATGCCCAATCGGGTGTCATTTCCCCTAAAAACCAGTACCTCCTGCCTGAAACAGCTGTAGACTTCCACTGATTATATCTAACCGGTCTGTAATCCGTGTTCTAATTGTCTGTTCATTCCCCTTCCCAGTTGTCTTGGGAAGAAAATATCAAGGGGGAGAGAAGATAAAGTCAGATCCTGTTAAGGACATCTCTATCTACTCAGCATGGATTGTGAGTTTTCTACTAAGAATGAGATGGCAGATTCCAAGTGCAGTTTCTTTTTAGATCAACTTAAGATGCGTTTAGGTTGGGAAATTAAAGAGTTTCTCTATCATTTAACAACCATAAACAATGGTGTAACAGCTACTAAGAAAAGCCTCTTTTGACTACAAAGACTTAGTAGATACCAAGGTATTAATAAAAGTATTAGGAGGGAATGCCACCACAAAGACAGAGCTCATCTCCTGTCAATACAGCAAAGGGGTGGTGGTATAGGGCAGGGGCAAGTACTAAAATTTAGTGGCCAATGTACTATGTACAAAGTACTTGAAACATTTATCTCAATGACTCCTCCCAAAAACTCTATGAAGTATGTCTAATTATTGGTATCATTTTTTTTTAATGAGGGAAACAAGGCTCAGGGGGGTAAACTGGCTTGTTTAGATGACCACCCAGCTAGTAAAGGATAAAGTTGGGATGTAACCCCTGGGCTGTCTAGTTTAAAGCTATTTTTCCATTCTTTCCATTATTCTCACTCTAGGGATATCTGAAGAGCTCACAGAGGTAGCCTGGACATTTTCAGAGTTCTTGGTAAGGAGTCTTAATCTAAGAAAGTAGCAATGACCCAGTTTTCACTCTCCAAATCTCAGAGCAAAGAAAAAGTCCACCCGATCTCTCATTGCTCCTCAATTGATTCCTGTTTTCTGAAATTCCTATTGGCCTATCACCAGACTGCTGAAGCTCAGTCTGCTTTAAGTCTAGCTGCCAAAGTACACCTATCTGGCCCTCTGGCACACTGGCCCCAGTCTTACTGTATTATCTAGACTCTGGTGTTCCAACCTGAGACCTCAGGCCACTCAAAGGAGAACAGCAAAGGAAAAAATATATGATACAAGAAAATCGCTGGCCATTGAGGGGAATGGACAATATGACCTTGGAGATATTTTCGATTCTCAAAAATCTCTGATTCTATATTCTTCCCCACCCACACACACTCGAAGCCTCCAAAAAGAAAATAAAAACAGATATTTGATTTTGATAGTCCATAGAAACTTAACCTCTGTAGACCGCAGTTTACCTGTAAGTAAATACTACATAAAGTTGTGAGAAATCGAGGAGATGCTTTGTGTCAAATGTATAGCACCATGTCTGACACATAGCAAGCTGTCAAAAAATGCTATCATTTTTACTGTGATAATTATTATTACAGCCCCAGCTAGAGAGAGAAAAAGGGAAGGAGTGGATATTTTCACCTCATTCTGAATCATCGGCATAATTCCCAGAATCAAAAGGGGAATCTTTTCTGCTCTCTGAACATTGGAGCAAACCTCAGATCACAACTGCATCCTACATTTATCACCCTATCTCATTGGGTTTGGACATGCTTATTCACCTCAAACAGGGCCTGACTTCACTTCAAAGCTATAAGTAACTGGGCATTTGAAGAATGTGTGAAAGACCTCCACTTAGCCAAGGTGGAAAACTTGAAGCTACGTTTTCAAAGATTCATTGTAACTAATAAATACATCTGAAATCTCCCAATCTTAATAATTCTCTGCTCAAAGATATTTTTTCTCCAGGTTACGTTTTGATCTTAATATTCAAACTTAAAGATATTTTTTCTCCAGATTCAATTGAGAATGTTTGCCAAATTCCAAGCTAAATACATATTAGATTCACATGTAGAGACTAATGAAAATATCCTTACATGTACAGATAATAAAAATGTTATTTTCAATAACCTTTAGCTTAACCTTATCATTTCAGAAATTAAATGTGAAGTAGAGTCTTGGCTTAATTAGATTCTCTCTCTTTACACATACTGACGCCCACCCCCCACCAAGTGTGTGTGTCTGTGTGTGTGTGTGTGTGTGTGTGTGTGTGTGTAGGTAGGTAGATATAGAGATACATTCTAAAATACAAATGTATAAAATATAAATCTATACAGTAAAATCTATAAAGTATAACTATATATTTACATTTACTTATATTTTAAAATATCTATCTATCTATCTTATTCCAGAAATCAGTTGGAGGGACACATTCATCTGTTCTCTTGCTACCCTCTGGTGGCAGACTGAAATTCACAAACACCACCTTTTAGAGAAAGGAGAGACAGACCAGGACTGGAAGGGTCTGTTTCCTCTAGGTTGCTAGACTGGGTGTCTGAAAAGTATATAAATCAGAGCCATTTCTTAACAGGGTCTCTTGTTTGCCTTCTCAAATCCATTACATTGCTACGACATGGGCTTTTTTCCTGGATGAGGTCCCATTTGGCCATTTGGGAACATAGGCAACACTGGAGTTCCCACAAACTCCACACTGAGAATAACCCAGCTTTCTCCGGCCAGTTTATAGGAAGAACTGCCTTCAACCATCCATGTCTGCAGAAAAGACTATACCATTCAGTCTTCCATTTCCCTGAACCATATATCTTAAGCAGTAAGACTAAAATCCATTTTGACATACACCGATAATAGATTTTCTAATTATCTCAAAAATAATCAACTATTCTCCCAGAAAACTATACTTAACACAGTTAGGCAAGATCCTTCCTGTATGATTAAAAAGCAGATGCCCACCCACTAAAAAGGAAAGACTGGAAATAAGGAGGGAACTCAAGAGTAGCTAGAATAGCTAAGTCATCATCAATGATGCAAAGAAAAGCACAGCTCACATCTCAATAAAACAGGTCCCCCTTTCCCTGAGGGGCAGCCTTAACCTGATAGACCTAAACTTAAGTCTCAGCTTTGCCACTTACTACACTCAATGCCTCCATTTCCTATCTCAGAAATGGAAATACGATCCATCATTCACAGAGTTAGAAAAAGGACTAAACGAGCTGGAAATACGCTGTCCCACACTGATTCCATGTTCACTGAATACAAATCTAAGTCTACAGGGGCAGAACCACTGCTTTCTAGCTCTTTGAGAGTGGTCTTGGGAGCAATAAAGGAGGAAAACAGCTGATGCCAGGTTGTGTAGGTGAGAAAATGAGTTTGCAAAGCACAAGTTAGACAACTGGTAAAAGTTTGTGGCTGGTATCCGAGTTCTTTTATAAACTAGTTGGGAAGAACTGTGGGGGAGAGCTGATGTTCCAAACAGTAGACAAGCAGGAATGGAGCTGCAGAAATGCAAACCTGTTACCACTACCATGGCATGCGAAAAGAGGCTTCATATAAAATGAAAAGCTTGGACCTGAAGGTCTTTAGGGCCCCTTTCCAGTTCTAAAATTCAAATGGATCTACCCTATATTTTGTCCCCTTAGGTGAAATAGCTCTGTCCTCAAAACTAAATTGCTAAGAACCGCCTTCAGAGATGACCTCTCTCTTCCCCACTAATTCCTGGCAGCTCCCCAAAACAAAATGTTCGGAAAACAGAAGTCAACCTTCCTCTGTCAGTCCAAATTACCTCTATGCCTCAAGCCAACAACATGAGGTTCAGGCACCCTGATACATACTGCTAAGTGAGATGGGAAGAGAGAGAACTTCAGAATAATTGGCAATGTTGTTCTAGGGAATCAGTGTAGAGGTAGATCTTCCCCTATTATTTACCTACTTTCCAACTTAAAAAAGAAAAAAATTAGAAAAGATCATTCAAGTTGTTAAAAAAAAATTTTAAGCAAGACTTAGTAATAGACTCCTTTAAGCATCAACTCTTCTGATTCACTTACACTGTATTTACAGACCCTGGATGCTCTTAAAAGAGAGACTGAAAGAAAGGAGTAACAAAGAAAACTTAAAACCAATGTGTTTAAGCCCTTTTCTATTAAAGAGCAAGTGTAAATGGAAAAAACACATTACTGAAATTATAATATATTTCAACTGAAAAATCATACCCCATTAACTGAACAACTTGCCAGGAACATATAATCCCTATGTGTGAAGCAGCAACAGCTCTCACACATATTATCTCTTTTAATCCCACAACCACCATGTGAGGTTACACCTACATAAGGTCTAGAATTTCTGGAACATTCTCACCCATATATCATTCTGCTATTTTTCAAAAAAGGTAACTTGATAAGTATTTAATAAACTGGGATTTCATTTCATATCTCCATGTAAGATGTTTCATTTGAAATAAATTCATAAATCAGAAAAGATCCTTGGTTACCATGTCTTTGTTTGGAAAACATGGTCAGCGTACATCTCTGGTATCACACAAAGGTCAGAACTTCGACTACTTAACACATATTAACAGGTTACAACGGTGTGAAAATCTCACTTAACAGCTGACCACTAGTTAATAGAAATGGCCTCCTATTATATCCTGGGAATAAGAGATAACTAGCATTTAATTGCTTTTCAAATCATGCCACATAATATGCTTTGGACATAGCAAAATCACACTTTTATGAACTAGATTGGGATTGAGGTCATTTGCCAACCAACACATTTTCTAATAAAATTTAAGTTGGCATTTGCCCCTAAAAATGCATAGAATAAAAACAAAAGAAAAATTATTTTGTTATACTAATGATGAGATGCTGTGTCACTCCTTTATCCACTTATAAATGAATTAGGACATTTAAGATGCAATGAATCATCATATAATGAATGTTCAGAATATGCTTCCAAGGCTCCCTACTGCCTTCAGGATAAAGACCAAACTCCTTAGCCAAGCATACAAGACCCATGATCTGACCACCAAATGCTAGGATTAGAAAATTATTTTCTATCAAAAATCTTTACTATGTGGATGACCCTTCAGCAACTCTTGCCTCAAAGTTCCTTAGCTCTCTCATCTATAATGACCCTCACCTTCACTTACTTCAGGTACCCATTTGCAAAACACATAACAAAGATCTAGAGGTGGTAAAGTATACATTTGAACTGCCTGATTTCAAATTTGAGCTCCAACATTTACTTACTCCATGACCCTGGACAAGTCACTTAACTTCTCTGTACCTTGGTTTCTTCTTATGTGAAATGAGGTGTAAATGTGCTAATATGTGTAAAATGCTTTAAATAACTTTTTTTCAAATATTAATTAACATCCCTATAAAGGTTTTGTGTGGACATGTTTTCATTTCTTTGGGATAAATGCCCAGGAGTGTAAATGATGGATCCGATAGAAGTGCATGTTTAGTTTTTAAGGAACTCCAAAACTGTTTTCCAGAGCAGCCGCCCCATTTTATATTCCTACCAGAAATGTGTGAGAGATCCAGTTTTTGTGTACCCTTGTCAGCAGTTGGTATTGCCACTATATATTTTTTTAACGTTACCTATTCTAATAGGTGTGTAGAGATCTCTCATCATGGTCTTAATTTGTATTTCCCTAATGGCTAGTGATCTTGAACATCTTTTCATATACTTAATTGCCACGCATACGTCATGTTCATGTCTTTTGCCCACTTTCTAATTAGATTGAATTTTTGTGCTGTTGAGCTTTGAGAGTTCTTTGTATAGTCTAGATATTAATCCTTTGTCAGATACGTGGTTTGCAAATATTTTCTCCAAATCTCGGTAGCTTTTTTTTCCATCTTATTAATAGGGTCATTCACAGAGCAAAAATTTTTAATTTTGATGAAGTCAATTTATTGATTTTTTTTCTTTAATGGATTATGCTTTTGGTATCATGTCTCCTCAATAAGTCCTAGGCTCTAACAGTTTTCTATATTATCTTCTACAAGTTTTAGTTTTATGATTTATATGTAAATGTATGATCCTTTGTGAGCTCATTTTTATATAAAATGAGAGGTTTAGGTTGAGGTTCACTTTCATTACCTATAGAGCTGCAATTGCTCCAATACAATTCATTGAAATGACTACCCTCTCTCCCTTGAAATGCTTTTGTACCTTCATGAAAAATAATCAGGCCATACTCTGTAGGGCTATTTGTGGATTCTCTATTCTGTTCTATTTGTTTATGTAAGAAGTAGACAAGAGGACTTATCGGGTTACCTCTGCCAATTGTACACTGTCTTGACTACTGAAGCAATACAGTAAGCATTAATATTATTAATACCTACCTCCAGTTTATTATTTTTCAAAATTGTATTAGCCCTTACAGTTCCTTTCCATTTCTACATATATGTTAGTATTATCTTGTCTTTATCTACAAAAGCTCTTGCTGGGATTTTGATATTGATTACCTTAAACTTATAATTTTTAAAGAATTGACATCTTTATCATGTTGAGTCTTCCACTCCATGAACACAGTATGTATCTCAATTTATCTAGATTTTCTTTGACTTCCTTCATATTCTCCACATTGCAGCCAGAATAAGCCTGTTAAGCCTAAATCAAATCCTGTCACTCCCATGCTCAAAACCCCCCTTCTATCTTACCCAGGCAGAGCAAATCTAAAATTCTTCCAGTGGATTATAAGACTCCACTACAGGATCTAGTCTGTCCCTCTCCATTATCTCTTCGAGCCCATCTTTTTCTATTTCATCTTTTGCTTAATCCACTCTAGCTAGTCTGGCCTCCTTGTTGTACCGTGAATATGACAGGCACACTTCTGCCTCTGGGATTTTGCACTTACCATTTCCTCAGCCTAGAATCCTTTCTCTCTGGATAGGTGAATGAATCATTCCTCTACTCCCTATCGATCTCTGCTGAAAGGTCATCTTCTCTGTGAGGCCCTCCTCATTTCCTTATTTTCTCCTTTCCTATCTGTATTTAAAATTGCAAAACCACTTTCCAACCCTTCCTATTTCCCTTCTCTGCTTTTCTCCTTAATGTTCATTACAATCTAAAATATTATATACTTTACTTACTTTGAATACTATTTGTTTACTTTTTCTAAATATAAACTCTATGAAGATGATATCTAGAGTTCCTGAAACAGTACCTGGCATAAAGTGGGTACTCGACACATATTTGTTGGATGAATCAATTGATTTATCAATTTATCACATCTGGGCTCTAGAACAGGGGTCAGCAAATTACAGCCCACAGGCCTGTTTCCCATTTTGTAAATAGAATTTTACTAGAACACATCTACAACCATCTGTTTCCATATTGTCTATGGCTGTTTTCTCACTACAATGGCAAAGCTAAGTAGTTGTGACAGAAATCCATGGCCTGCAAAGGCTTAAGTATTTATTATACGGTCCTTTAAGGAAAAGCTTTCTGATCCCTGCTTTAGATTCACATAGTCAACTGCTCGCCAGGCATTGCTCCCTGGATGTCTTTCACAAATCTCAAATGCGACCTGTTCCAAACTGAACTTTCCTCTATCTCCCTCAAACTTTCCCATTCTGAATTTCTTATATGTATAAGGACAGCCCCATCCACCCAGTCAGCCAAGTCAGAAAATCAGGATTCAGAAATCTCCCTCTCCCCCATCCTTGGTGACTTCCAGTCACCAAGTCCTGCTGCTTTTGCCTCCCTGTGCTTCTTTATTGAATTATGCTTTTCCCTAGGATGGCACTAGCTGCTATGAAGCTTATACCCCAGTGTGCAGGGCCATCTGTTGCAAGTGTACAAGAATTTGTCAATAAATATTTGTCTTAACCTCATTCTGGGCATCATTTTCTGACTCTACCTTTGTTTTACCTTTTGTACTTGACCTGATTATAATGTATGATGCCTTATATTTTATGTGCAATATAAAATATGCTACCATATATACTTTTGGAATGAGATGGGGTTCGAATAAGTGTAAGCATTGATTTCTTTTTAGTTTTGATGGAGTTCAGGACCTGCTATCCCAAAATATGGCACTTTGGCGTTTGTGGAAACAGCAGAAGCAAGAAGGTTTCTCTACCTTCTCCCCTGGAGCAGGCCATAAAAGAATTCTCTGACCTTCCTCTGAAGTAGGTCATTCCAGAGGTACCCTCCCTATAACTGAAGGAAAAGAACATCCCTATCCTCGAAGACACAGAAACACCAAGAAGAATCTGAACAAACAAGCCTTGCTAAGATCCCCCTAAGTTTATTACCATTAGATCATATCCTTCTGTCTTCTAATCACTAATCTTCACAACGATCCATTTCATCAAACTTAGTATAAAAAATGCAAGAGTTTACCTGCTTCTTTGGGTCTTCATTTCTAAAGGTTCTTGTGTCATGTAAAACTTATTAAATAAATTTGTATGCTTTTCTCTTGTTAATCGGTCTTTTGTTATAGGGATCTCAGCCATGAAACTAGCAATGGGTGAGAACATAAATATCTTCTCCCCTACAGTTTCATTGTATATAGACTACTTTTATACTATCATTTTCCTATTTACCCATCTGTCTCCATACTACACATTGTTAACACCTTAAAGGCACAGACAGTGACTTTTTCTTCTTCATTACCCCCAGTATTTAGCATGGTGTCTGAAAATAATATAGTTATAAGCTTAAGCAATGTTTGCTGAATGAATGAATTTCCCAGGGTCAGAGTTGCCATTAAATGTCATTGTGTCATAATGGGATTTCCTTTCACTGTCAACGTGAGCCAAGGAGGAAGACACAGCACTAAAAGGCAGTTGGGGGAAAGTGTCACATGTTTGGAAGACAGGTAGTGAGAATAGAAAATGCATACCTTGCCAAAGTGCTCGATTAGTATTTCCACCACTATGTTCTGGAATTTGATGTTCATCATGGCGGCCACAGTGTCCTCCTGAGCTCTCATCAGGGTGGGCCCAAAGATTACTCCCATGTTGGAGGGGGTCATAAGATTCTCTTTGCTGTGCTCACACACACTGCCAGAAGAAAAGGGGCAAGATTAACAAAATTTGCTCCAGTATCCCCTTACAACCAAGACTGTTTTAGGTGCTGTAGAGGGTAAGAGAAACTAAAATGTAGAAGGAAAGGAGCACCTAAAGTATGTATTGGAAGGCAAGATTACAAAGGAAACAATCAGCAAAGAATACAAGATAGTATAAAATTAGGAATCAAAGTGGTTAGACATAGCTAACCTAGCTAACAGCATTGAAGGAATTAAGAGACAGACAGGGATGTGGGGAGGGACTAAAGCTAGTGGGATACTATTTGGAGAGGCAGGAGGGAAGCAAGAGGACATTCAAAGCAAGAGGAACAGCCCATATAAGTATAAAGCATGTACAAAGAACCACAAAGCACATTGAGAGAATGCCTACTAGTCTCTTAAATCAGCCCCTTCCTGACCCCCGTTAGAGAAGCAAAAACCTGAAAGAGCTGAAAGGGATCATTAAGACTTGCCCTTGATCATCTTCCTTATTTTACAGATGAAAAAACATAGGCCCAAAGAAGGAAAGGAATTTGCTCGAAGTCACAGTCAATTAGCTGTAGAGTAGAACGTGCAATCCCAGATTTTCTGATCCCTAGTCACTTTCATTGCTTAAATTCCCTTTAGTGGCTTCCTACTTTGGGATAGGGCCAATTCTCTTCAAAGTGACAAATGAGGCCTTCCATAACTTGAGTAACTTGACCCCTATTTCCAATCCCTACTCACTGCTTAGGCTCTGAAGCTGGGTTTGAATCCCAACACGGCCACTTACCAGCTGCGCAACAGTGAGTTCACTCACTCTAACCTCTCTGAACTTCAGTTTTCCCACCTGGGAAAATAGCACCCACTTCAGAGAGTTGTTGAATAAATAAAGATAAATTGCTTCAGCATGGTACCTGGCACCCTGGGAAGTATCTGTTGTTATTATTACCTCTCCAGGAGCCTTCAGGTACTGCTGACCTCTGACACTCTTGTTATACTAAACTGCTTAGATTGGGGTTGTCTGGTTATACCACATTGTTTCAGACCCCCATACCTCTCTGCTCATGTCGTTCTCTCTACCTGGAATATCCCCCCTCTCCCTACATCTACAAAATGTCTATCTATCCTTGGAGATGCACATAACGTTACATCTCCTTCAGGGAGACCAGAGCCCACTGTGCTCATCTTAACTAAAACCACTGGCAAGCAGAGTAAGTTGCAATTTTCCGTTTACTTATCTGCCTCTCCTACTAAATGATAAACAACTTCCAAGTGTGTGTGCCTGCCACACAGCAGGTACTAATGAATTATTTGTAAAGGAATTGAGCTCCCTAGTGCTGTTTCAAACAGTCCTGGAGGCAGCCAAGTAAAAGGCAAGAATCTCTTTTGGTCAGTTTGGCTGTAGGAACAGCCCAACTGACTACCCGAAACACTCACTCTCCACACCTACCAAGGCTAAGGCCCAGAAGAGAATGGCAGGTTCTTAACACTGAGTGGGTAATTGAGGAGGACAGAATCCTTAGACAAATCTTAATGTGAAGTCTGTTAAGCCCTAGACAAAGCTGAGTACCATTCAGATGGAAATGAACAGCAACCATTCATAGCTTTTGATATTGCTGGGCTGGTGATGTGTTCCTTTTAACAGTTTCAATACCCCTGCAATTAATCTTTATTCTTTAGTGACGGAAGTTTTTTTCAGATATTAAAATGGAAAAGTATCTCCATGCTAACACCAAGTGACCCTAAAAGGCTAAACCACAAGGGCACTTGTGTATCTCCTTTTGTGAACTTTGAAAGGAACTGATCTTTGTTCAGTGTCCCAGCAGCTCACAGAATCATCACAACTCCAAAAAGCAGAGTATTTTAGCTTTGAAGCCTAGGTTTACCAAGAGCAAAGCACTTGGCAAGGTCATATGGCAAGGCAGAGATTCAAGCCCATATTTGTTGCTCCCCAAGTCTTATAGTTATCCCATTGCATCCCACTGCCTGCTTGTCTAACTTTTCTGGAGAAATCAAAACTCATATGTGAGCTCTTCTAAGCTAAAGCCACCTTCTGATTCTCTGAGGGAGTTACTTGGCATCCCATTTAGGATACTCTTCCTTCTTGGCCTTCTTATGAGATTTGGAAGTTCACCTATTCTTTGGGGAAATTGCTTTGCATTTAGTGTCTCTCTTTTTATTATATATTTTGAAAATCAGTATGGGGGATAAGTAACATTCCAAATTGTGGGTTAACAAGATGAATGAAACCAAAAACAAGAGTATGTGATGTTATTTGACAGCAAAGGAATCTTGAACTCTCTAGTCCACTGAGGTTGGTTGTGAGAAGCCTCCAGTACAGAATAAAATGATTCTGATTGCATGGTTTAGATTAGAGGTCATAAATTTAAATGTCTAGAGGGGCAAGGCAGGTAACTTACATGAGAGAAATGGGCCTGGTGAGAAGTGGCTGCCACATTTAAACAAGCAGACATTCTTTAGACCACCATTTTCCCGCCACTCACTTAGAGACACACCATCAACAGAATAACTTCTAGTTTTAAGAAAGGGAAATTCCTAGGTCACATCTAATGTAACTCTAATATAATATTTGTTAAAACACTTGGGAGTGGTGAGGGCTATGGCAAATTAGAAGCTTGTGCCCATTCCAAAGCAAGAAACCATTACTCAACCCCAACTGATTGCTGCCACGTGGGCATGCAGATCCAGTGTGCTAACATCCTCTTTTTTTCCTGAAATGTATATTTTGATGTGAACTATCTGGATTTTTTAAATGTTGAAGCCAAATCACTTTTTTCCCAAAACACTGCAGGACAAATAAAATATATTTCTGGTCTGGACCTTGTCAACAGATTGCCAGACTGAGACCTCTGGCAGAATGAGAGGCTATCTGTATGAACTTTTAGGTCTCGCCCAGCTTTAGCATCCAACAATTCTAAGAACTGTGTGCCCTCTGACTCCTAAACAAGGAAGCTACCTTCAATATTTTTTGGTTCTTTTACTAAAGTATTGTGTCTCTGGGCCTATCTTTTTCCATCCTTAGGTATCTGTTCCCTCATCTGTAAAATGAAGTTATTAGGTGATCTAAGGGGACTTCCAGCTCTGACAATTAAGTGAATCTCAGAAAGTAGTGCTCTCGAAAATAATTGGGGGCAAAGACAACCACACACTGTGTGTCCCCTGTTAGAAGAACATAGAACCATCTATTAAGTATGCTTGCCTTTCCCACCCTATACATACATACATACACGCACACACACGCACACACACATACACACACACACACCCCAGAAACACAAAACTAAAAAGGAAGCAGAAATCTGAACACAGAATAATGGATAATATTATTACATTATTACTCATTTCTTTTTAGATGTGATGTTATGTTTATAAACAGTTCTAATCTTTTCAAGACAAACTGAAATATTTGTGGATGAAATAATATGATGTCTTAGATTTGATTCAAAATAACATGGGAGGAGGGGAAATGGGTGGGGAAATAGATGAAACAAGATTGGCCATGTGTTGATTACAGTTGAAGGAGGGGTGATGGACACATAATACTTCCCTATACTGTTTCTTCTATTTTCATATATACTTGAAATCTTACATAATAAAAAATTCTTCAAAAGGAAAAGACAATAGTGAAGGCGAGAGTGAATCAGTGTCACAAGCAAACAGGTCCCTATCCCCAAGGATGGTGCCTTTTTTTTATTTTTTATTTTTATTTATTTATTTATTTATTTTTGAGATGGAGTCTCACTCGGTCACCCAGGCTGGAGTGCAGTGGCGCGATCTCGGCTCACTGCAACCTCCGCCTCCCGGGTTCATGCCATTCTCCTGCCTCAGCCTCCCGAGTAGCTGGGACTACAGGTGCCCGCCACCATGCCCGGCTAATTTTTTGTACTTTTAGTAGAGATGGGGTTTCACCATGTTAGCCAGGATGGTCTCAATCTCCTGACCTCGTGATCCGCCCGCCTCGGCCTTCCAAAGTGCTGGGATTACAGGCGTGAGCCACCGTGCCCAGCGAAATGGTGCCTTTTTTTAAAGGGCTGACAGCTTTGGCTTCCTCCACTGGTGTTATATTATCTGTCATTTACTTTAAATACTTCAACAAAGTCCATACGATGTCATGAATTTCATCAGTCATCAGTTACGAGCACATTATTTATGTACCACTAAGAAAGAAAAGTAATTTCATTGTCATATCATCATGTAATATTTTTGAAGACATTTTAAATAGAAAATAAACTCAACAATGAACATAATTTAACTTAAGTGACTATAATATGAGCAGCTATTACAAGTTCATGCATATGGAGGCCATGATAATTACATCAAAACTGCTGCCTGATAAGTGTAATTTTAAGAAACCATTGATTTTCAGATGTGTACAGAATTCAGATTACAATTTGAGAAAAAGTGTTATTAGAACTGATGAAATTTGGTTTATGTGCTTGTTAGTTTTCATGTATACTCTAACATGTATAACGTATTAGTTATAATTGTAGTATTCTAATTGTGAATACACGCATACTCTAGGGGTGATTAATGAGTATTTAAAGACTCAGGTAAAAGTCAGAGGGGCTCCTGTAAGTTTCAGCTAACATTATCTCCAACCAACACCAAAGGCTTTGTTAATGAGCATAACATAAGGTAAAAATGAATTATCATTGCCTAGATGTATTAAAGACATATGGACTAGCTGAAAATATTGTACAGACACTCTCAGCCCTGCATTGACAGGGTAGAAAAATATAGCAATGGTTAATCTTAACATCAGTAAGGTGAATCAACCAATCTTATGCATCTTCAGATGTGATGCAGCATATGGTGTATACAACATCACATGTGATTTGTTCCAGCCAACAAATAGTTAACTGGAATCCATCTAGCCTTTAGATATAACCTCTACTTTACAAAACATACAAGAAGTAGAGTAATTAGCTGAAATATATGACAAAGAAGAAAGCAGACAAAACTAGGAAGTAACATTCTACAGGACAATTGGTCTTCTCTTGTTGGTAAAACAGTATCATAAAAAAAGGCACTGGGCAGGGGCCATGCTAATCTTCTCTGTATCGTTCCAATTTTAGTATATGTACTGCCAAAACACTCCTCAGCAAATGCAAAATAACAGAAATCATAACAAACAGTCTCTCAGACCACAGTGCAATCAAATTAGAACTCAGGATTAACAAACTCACTCAAAACCACACAACTACATGGAAAGTGAACAGCCTGCTCCTGGGTGACTACTGGGTAAATAACAAAATTAAGGCAGAAATAAATAAGTCCTTTGAAACCAATGAGAACAAAGACACAAAATTCCAGAATCTCTGGGACACAGCTAAAGCAGTATTCGCAGGGAAATTTATAGCATTAAATGTCCACAGGAGAAAGCGGGAAAGATACAAAATCGAAACACTAACATCACAATTAAAAGAACTACAGAAGCAAGAGCAAACAAACTGAAAAGCTAGCAGAACACAAGAAATAACTAAGATCAGAGCAGAACTGAAAAAGATAGAGACACAAAAAATGCATTAAAAAAAATCAATGAATCCAGGAGCTGGTTTTTGAAAAGATTAACTAAACAGATAGACTGCTAGCCAGACTAATAAAGAAGAAAAGAGAGAAAAATCAAATAGACACAATAAAAAATGATAAAGGGGATATCACCACTGATACCACAGAAATATAAACTACCATCAGAGAATACTATAAATACCTCTACACAAATAAACTAGAAAATCTAGAAGAAATGGATAAATTCCTAGACACCTACACCCTCCCAAGACTAAACCAGGAAGAAGTTGTATCCCTGAATAGACCAATAACAAGTTCTGAAATTGAGGCAGAAATTGATAGCCTACCCACCAAAAAAACCCCAGGACCAGACGGATTCACAGCCAAGTTCTACCAGAGGTACAAAGAGGAGCTGCTACCATTCCTTCCAAAACTATTCCAAACAATAGAAAAAGAGGGAATCCTCCCTAACTCATTTTGTGAGGCCAGAATCATCCTGATACCAAAACCTGGCAGAAGACACAACAACAACAAAAACTTTCAGGCCAATATCCCTGATGAACATTGATGCGGAAATCCTCAATAAAATACTGGCAAACCGAATCCTGCAGTGCATCAAAAAGCTTATCCACCACGATCAAGTTGGCTTCATCCCTGGGATGCAAGGGTGGTTCAACATATGCAAATCAATAAATGTAATCCATCACATAAACAGAACCAATGACAAAAACCACATAATTATCTCAATAGATGCAGAAAGGGCCTTTGATAAATTTGAAAATCACTTCATGCTAAAAACTCTCAATAAACTAAGTATTGATGGAACATATCTCAAAATAATAAGAGATATTTATGACAAATCAACAGGCAATATGATAGTGAATGGGCAAAAGCTGGAAGCATTCCCTTTAAAAACCGCCACAAGACAAGCATGCCCTCTCTCACCACTCCTATTCAACATAGTATTGGAAGTTCTGTCCAGGGAAATCGGGAAAGAGAAACAGAAACAGAACCAATGACAAAAACCACAGGATTATCTCAATAGATGCAGAAAAGGCTTTTGATAAAATTCAACACCCTCCATGCTAAAACCTCTCAATAAACTAGGTGTTGATGGAACGTATCTCAAAATAGTAAGAGCTATTTATGACAAACCCACAGCCAATATTATATTGAATGGGCAAAAGCTGGAAGCATTCCCTTTGAAAATAGGCACAAGACAAGGATGCCCTCTCTCACCACTCCTATTCAACATAGTATTGGAAGTTCTGGCCAGGGCAATCAGGCAAGAGAAAGAAATAAAGGGTATTCAAACAGGAAGAGAGGAAGTCAAATTGTCTCTGTTTGCATATGACATGATTGTATATTTAGAAAACCCCATGGTCTCAGCCCAAAATCTCCTTAAGCTGATAAGCAAATTCAGCAAAGTCTCAGAAAACAAAATCAATGTGCAAAAATCACAAGCATTCCTATACACCAATAACAGAAAGCCAAATCATGAGTGAACTCTCATTCACGACTGCTACAAAGAGAATAAAATACCTAGGAATACAACATGCAAGGGACGTGAAGGGCCTCTTCAAGGAGAACTACAAACTGCCACTCAAGGAAATAAGAGAAGACACAAACAAATGGAAAAACATTCCATGCTCATGGATTGGAAGAATCAATATCATGAAAATGGCCTTACTGCCCAAAGTAATTTGTAGATTCAATGCTATCCCCATCAAGCTACCATTGACTTTCTTCACATAATTAGAAACAACTACTTTAAATTTCATATGGAACCAAAAAAGAGCCCATATAGCCAAGACAATCCTAAGCAAAAATAACAAAGCTGGAGGCATCATGCTACCTGACATCAAACTATACCACAAGGCTACAATAACCAAAACAGCATTGTCCTGGTACCAAAACAGATATATAGACCAATGGAATAGAACAGAGGCCTCAGAAATAACACCACACATCTACAACCATCTGATCTTTGACAAACCTGCCAAAAACAAGCAATAGGGAAAGGATTCCCTATGTAATAAATGGTGTTGGGAAAACTGGTTTGCCATATGCAGAAAACTGAAACTGGACCCCTTCCTTAGACCTTATAGTTAACACAAGGTGGATTAAAGACTTAAATGTAAGACGTAAAACCATAAAAACCCTAGATAAAAACATAGGCAATACCATTCAGGACATAGGCATGCGCAATGACTTCATGACTAAAACAGCAAAAGCAATGGCAACAAAAGTCAAAATTGACAAAGGGGATCTAATTAAACTAAAGAGATTCTGCACAGCAAAAGAAACTATCATCAGAGTGGACAGGCAACCTACAGAATGGGAGAAAATTTTTGCAATCTATCCATATGATAAAGGGCTAATATCCAGAATCTACAAGGAACTTAAATTTACAAGAAAAAAACAAACAACCCCATCAAAAAGTGGGCGAGGGAAATGAACAGACACTTTTCAAAAGAACACATTTATGAGGCCAAGAAACATATGAAAGAAAGCTCATCATCATTAGTCATTAGAGAAATGCAAATCAAAACTGCAATGAGATACCATCTCACGCCAGTTAGAATGGCAGTCATTAAAAAGTCAGGAAACAACAGATGCTGGAGAGGATGTGGAGAAATATGAATGCTTTTACTCTGTCGGTGGGAGCATAAATTAATTCAACCATTGTGGAAGACAGTGTGGTGATTCCTCAAGGATCTAGAACCTGAAATACCATTTGACCTGGTAATCTCATTACTGAGTATATACCCAAAGGATTATACATCATTCTACTATAAAGACACATGTACACGTATGTTTATTGCAGCACTATTCACAATAGCAAAGATTTGGAACCAACACAAATGCCCATCAGTGATAAACTGGATAAAGAAAATGTGGCACATATACACCATGGAATACTACGCAGCCATAAAAAAGGATGAGATCATGTCCTTTGCAGGGACATGGATGAAGCTGGAAACCATCATTCTCAGAAAACTAACATAGGAACAGAAAACCAAACACCACATGTTTTCACTCATAAGTGGGAGTTGAACAGTGAGAACACATGGACACAGGGAGGGGAACATCACACACTGGGGCCTGTCGGGGGGTGGGGGGCTAGGGGATGGACAGCATTAGGAGAAATACCTAATGTAGATGATGGGTTGATGGGTGCAGCAAACCACCATGGCACGGGTATACCTATGTAACAAACCTGCACGTTCTGCACATGTATCCCAGAACTTAAAGTATAATAATAATAATAATAGAAACAAGCACTGTGCTAGATTAAAAACACAATAAGGACATAAATAAAATGTGTTCCTATATTGAATACCAGATTGGACAAACACCTATAAAAGGCCACTTTTGGGTCAAATGGGAAAAAGTTAATATGGTCTGGAAAAGTCAAAATTGTTAAAATGGAAAAAGTAGACTAAAGAACAGCATAATCTCATTTTGGTAAAAAAAAATGCAAACAGGTATGTGTATACAAAAATGCATGCACACACACACACAACGAGAGAGAGAAAAAGAGGGAGAGAGAGAGAGAAGAGAGAGAGAGAGAGAGAGATCCGAAAAAACCTGAACTATATTAACAGTAATGATTATTGAATGTTGGGAATAGAAAGCTTTTCCTTTTTTTTTTTTTTTTTGCTTTTTAAAAATTTTCTAATTTATACAATGCACAGTATTGCTTCTCAAATAAGAGAAGTATTATTACAAAAGTAAAAAGAACCTAGTAAGCTAATAACCCATACCCTTCAGAATGGTAGCCCAGGCCTAAGGTTACATAGGGGTACTAGATGGTAGGATTTTATTGTCTGACTCCAATCTTATCTGCCTCCAGTGAACCTTTCATCCAAGATGTTGTCAGGCAGGGCATCTGAAAGGACAGAGAGCTGGGACTTCATTTGAGTTTGCAGAACAGGTTGTTCAAGTCTTTTTTCGTCTGCCTGCTGATAAATAGCTATAAGAATGGCAGAATTAGGCCTGGAGCTTGCTTCCATTGTAATATTCCACTGGTAGTAAGATTGCCAGGGAGGTGGCCTTAGAGTTCTCCTACTTCTGACTAATAGAAGCTACAGATACTAACCAAAAAGAACTGGATAACTGAGAACCTCAAATTGGCTAAGGTCAGTTTGGTTCTGCCTGTTATTAGCCTAGAAAACAGGCTGTCAGTGGAAACACAGTACAAAGGCATAGATGTACTCATCATATAGATGATGAAAGCAGCAGTTGACAGGCAAGATAATTATGTGCATTTTAAAAACACTTGAATTTTCTTCTCCTGTGTAAATTTCTCTATTGAAACTAAGCCTATTTTTTATTTACATTTCCCTACAATTTTCATTATAAACATTTTCAAACATACAAAACAGTTGAAAGAGTGGTACTAGGAAGACTCATACTGTCTATACCTAGACTCAAAAATTAACATATTGCCATATTTGCTTTTATTCTGTCTATATTTTTTCTTAATCCTCTGAAAGTACATTGCTTCAACCCTAAATACTTCAGCATTCATCATCAAAGAATAAGCACATTTTCCTACAAAACCACAATAACATGTTTGCATCTTAGAAAACGTAGATTCTATATCATCTAATATCTAGTCCATATTCAAATTTTCTCAAATGTTATGGGAGAAAAAGTCTTTTATAGCTGCGTTTTTCAAATTTGGATCCAAACAAAGCTCTTATACTGTATTTGTTTGTTTCTTTAGTCTCTTTATGTAGAACAGTACCTCTACCACTTTTTCCCACAACATTGACTTTTTGAAAAGTCCAAGCCTTTTCAAAAGCTTTATAGACTGTCAAATACTGTGTGTTTTTCTATACTCTTTATTTCCTGCAAATTGGAAAGAATTAATTTGATTCAGGCTACGTATTTTTGGCAAAAATATTTCACAGTTAATGTTTTATAATTTTTATTATGTCTAATTAGGAGGTACATAAGGTGGTTTGTTCCATTATTTACAATGGCACAATCTCGGCTCACTGCAACCTCTGCCTCCCAGGTTCAAGCAATTCTCCCACCTCAGCCTCCAGAGTAGTTGGGATTACAGGCATCCACCATCATGCTCAGCTAATTTTTGTGTTTTTGTGGAGACGGAGTTTCACCATGTTGGCCAGGCTGGTCTCGAACTCGTTACCTCAGGTGATCCACCCGCCTCGGCCTCCCAAAGTGCTAGGATTACAGGCCTGAGCCACTGCACTTGGCCTGTTCCGTTATTACTGATGCTAACTTTGATCAATTACTTAAGGTGGTGTCTGCCAGATAGGTTCATTGTAAAGATACATTGTTTTTTATTTGTGATTAGTAAGTAACTTGTCAGTAATACACTGGAATAATGTGAACATCCTATTCCTCAATACTCTTGCCCAATAGTTTTGATTCATGTCTAAAACAGATCACTTAGATTGCAAACTAATGATTTTTCTAATTCTGTCATTCCTCCTATGTTTATTAGCTGGTATTCCTTCTGCAATAAAGAGATTTCCTTCCTCTACCCACCTCCAGGAGTTTTGTTTTTCAACATGTAATAATCAAATACATTATTTATTGTTATTGATGTTCAGGTTGGCTCAAACATCATCAGTGTCAGCCCTTTCAAGGTTTCTACGTCCTTTGGACATGACACTATTAGTGTGACTCTGTTCTTTCTTGCTTGGTGGTACTATTTATCCAAGACTAACTTTGTATTTTCCTTGCTCCAGACATGCAATCAGCCATTTCTCTAAGCACCCCTGATTCCTTTGAAAAGGAAATGCTATTTAAAAACAAAAAACTGGGCACTAAGTGTATTCACTTCTTTTTGGGTAGAATCCCTTCGACACTGTTTCAGTGGATAAAGTTTTTTCTTCTTGTTGCTTTCTCTTTAAATCATGAATTCATATTAACATTCTTAATTTAATTTTAATGTTAAAATTTTTTTTCCTTATGTCTTTTTTATCAGTATCTCTTTTGTACACTATAAACTTAGCTTGTGATAACATTAACATATTTACTTTTTTGCTTTATCTTTATAAGATCTGTGTGTTTGTTTCAAGTTAAATTATATTACTACTATTAATAAACCTACTGAGTGTTGCTTAAAATTTTGCTCTTCTTGTTTCTAGAGTACATCTCATTAAGGATGAGTCAGAGGACTGTGTTGACACGTTAGTTGAAATAATTGCTTTCTCTCTGTAATTATGCTATCAAGTTGATAAACACTTAGGTTCATTAAAGTCATTTGCTTTTATTGGTGTTCAGTTTTACGGTTTATAATTTTTGATTTAATTTTCTTTTTTGGATATGTAAAACATTAATATGGCTTAATAGTCATAAGTATATAAGGAGGTATACTTAGAGGAATCTAGCTCTTACCCCTATCACCTCCACCCTACTTACCACACCTATCCAGTATAATAACCACTTTCATTAGTTTATTTTTATAATACATTTATTGAAATATATTTTACATATCAGAAAATTCACCTTTTTAAAGGTTATAATTAAGTGGTTTTTAGTATATTCACGGAGCCGTGCAACTGTCACCCCTTATATAATTCCAGAAATTTTCATCATTCCAAAAAGAAACCTCATACTCATTATCAATTACTCCCCATTACTTCTCATACCCCCACTTCCCAGACCTTGCCAACCACTCATCTACTTTCTTTCTCTATAGATTTGTCTACTCTGAACATTTCATATCAATGAAATCATATAAAATATGTACTTTTGTGTCTTGTTTTTTTTCACTTAGCATAATGCTTTTAGTGTTTATCCATGTTGTGGCATGTATCAGTACTTCATCCTTTTTTATGGCTGAATAATATTCCATTGCCTGTATATCACATTTTGTTTACCTATTCATTAGTTAACAGACATTTGGGTTGTTTCCACTTTTCAACAACTATGAAATAATGCTGCTATGGACATTTGTGTACAAGATTTTGTGTGGAGACATGTTTTCATTTATCTTAGGTATATACCTAGGAGTGGAGTTGCTGGATCTATGGCAACTCTACATTTAACTTTTGGAGTCATTAGTTTTTTTTAAATTTATCTTAGTGTATGCTTCATTTGACAAATTTTTTTAAATGTGTGTGTATTCTTACATATTCTTATTTTCCTCTTTTTTCTTACAAAAGAAAAGCTAGCATATTATAAACCTTGTTTTACAGCCAGAGATTTTTTATGATGTTTGTTTTACGTGCTGGAAAATTGTAATATATCCCAGAAAATCACCACAAAACAAAGTTCATAGAGATCTTCCTCATTCTTTTCTTAAATTACTGCATAATACTACACTGTTGAATACACCCTTATTTACTCGACTAGTCCCCTATTTTCAGATACTTGTGTTGTTTCCAATCTTTTGCTTTTGAAAATTGTGCTGCAATGAGAAATCTTGTGCATGTGTTGTTTGTATTGGTGGAGGTGTATCTTTAGAGTATACGCCTTAAAAAAAAAGCTAACATATCATATACCCTGTTTTACGCTGTTTTGCTGGGTCAAAGGATAACTGAATGTGTAGATTTGTTAGGTACTGCCAAATCCCCTCTTCTGGAACTGTACTGCATTAATACAATAAATGTATTAGAGGACAGTTTCCCCATAGTCTAATTAATAAGCATTAGGATTTGACAATAAATGGTAGCTCAGTATAGGTTTAATTTGTATTTTTGTTACTATGAGTGAGCTTGAGCATATTACCACATACTTAAGAGTATTTGCCATTCTATTTCTGTGATCTATTTGTTCATGTCTTCTTTTGATTTCAAGATTTTGAGGACTAAGATTCTTAAAGTAAGCCAAGCAGCCAGCCTTTGGGCAGATAGAGGCAGGCACCCTGATGCTCACTAAGCACGGGCATCCTCAATTGAGTCCTTGGGTCTCGTCACATGTTGAGACTCTCAGAAAGTCAGAGCTGAGAAAACCCTTTGAGATTAGCTGCTTCAGTCTCTTCGTGTTATAGATGCACAAACCTGTGGCCCAGAGAGTGGGAGGAACTTTCTCTAGGTCACACAGCATATTTGTGACAGATCTGGAACTTGGACTCAAAGACTCCTCCAGGGCAACTTTAAATTAACATGCAAATAGCTTCTTTGCTGATTTTTGTACATTTACTGAGATGATCACAAACTACTTTTTGGAGACCACATGCCTCTTAATGTTCTCTATTAGCTCAAATTGCAAACACTGGCAATAAATATAAAAGCCATTCTCTCTTGTTAATTCTGCTTATTACCTACATCAGTGTCCACAATATTCATTTGCTATAGAAGTGTAGAAAACAGTCTTTGAAAGTCAGAGCTGAATCAGATCTTGGAGATCTCACATATAATAGGAAAACTCGAGGTCCAGATAGGCAAAGCACTCAGGATTTATTACAGGGGGAGGCCAAAAGAGCCATTAACCTGGAAACTCACCTTCATTAAAGGCCTCAATTTTAGGTGTTTCAGAGCCTCTCCAAATGAGGTTAAAATGTATCATTACTGCATCTTTTGAGTATGCAGACAACTGCACTTGCTAAATATATACACTTAAAATACATTACAATTTTTTAATATATATACCAAGAGAGGCCTCAAGAGTGACCTGTCCCTGGTCACAAAATGAACTAATAGCAGAAAGCAGAAATGAAACTAGAGCCCAGGTCTGCTGGCTCCTGGACAGAATGCTTTCCGCCTTTTTTAAGCCAAGTAAATTCATCTTGATTCACAATATTAAATCTTCTGGCCAGGAAGCACCACTGTGGGACACAAGTGCCCCTTTCACCTGCCTATCTCAGTGCCTGTCACCAGGACTATTCTCCAGGATCCCGCTGTCTGTTACTGCCAGCCACACCATGGCAAGAAGTTGACCAGAATCTTAACAAAAAGTGCCATTTCTTGAGAGCCTCTCATGTGACATGCATTTTACCTGTGTTCATCCTAATCCACACAACTGGCCTTCATTGTAGGGATTGTGCAGATGACCAAACAGACTCAGAGAGGTTTGCCTGAGATTATACAGCAAATAAGTTGGAGAGCTTCAATTCAAAACCAGGCTCATCTGACAGCAAAGCCTGTGTCCACCCCACTCTACCTTGCTGCTACCTTTCAACTGAGACAATCCACATGCATGATGACTCTAAGAGGATATGTACATGGGTCAAGGCAAAATAGCCTTCCTCACAGAGCATTCAGCTTCCAAGGAAGCACTTAAGGGCTGGGGCTGAAAGAGCTGAGAGGCAGTTTCTGTGTAGTCCAACCACATGGGCCAGTCCTCTAATAGGAACTTTTTCTGAAAATCCAGCAGTTACTTACTTGACCAAGTGTCTTATCAGAAGTTCCAGCATCTCTCGGTTCTTTTCTGGTAGCTTATATACCAGGGAGTGAATAGCTCCTAGGCGGTAATCCAGGTTGTCAGACTCTGGGATAGAACAGTAAGAGATAAATGGTTTGGCTTTCTGGGCAACTGGATTGAGCAAAATTCTCACATATATATGCACAAACACACACACATGCACACATGCACACACACACACACACACACACACACAGAGAGAGATTCGGAGAAAGACACCCAGAGACACACACAGAGAGAGAGATAATCAATGAGATGAAAAGAGACAGAGAGATAAATAGGCACTGAAATACAATAAAAATTAGAGACCCAGAAACAAAGACAAAGACATAAAGAAAGAAAAAAGGCAGAAAAAGAGAAAAAAAACACACACAAAGAAACAGGTCTAAAAAGATGTAGAAAATAGAAGATAGAAAAGAGAAGGATGAGAAGAGAAGACTGTCTCAGAGGGAGTCAGAACTCTGAGCACAGCAGGTTGTTCCTGAAGTCTCACAGATAAACTTCCAGCTGGAAACCTATTCCCATCCACCTTCCTTGTGGTACTGAGAAGTGTGCTGCTGCCTCTGGATTCCTGTTAAAATCACTGAGAGAGCCCAGAAGTAAAGAACAAAGCTCCCTTGTTTCAACAAAGACGCATTATGATGTTAAGTCCCCTGAATCTTTTTCCTCTACACCACACAGGATATGATGCAGAATAAGGGTCACATTGAGGTGGAGAGGGGCACTCATACAGTGGCCTCAGCCAAAACTTTCAATGCTTCTTTAATCGCCAACTTTTGGGAGTGATTCTCTATGCCTTATTTCCTATGTACTGACGCCCTCTCCCTCAGTTTTCTCATCTAGAAAATGTGATGCTGGCACTAACAGATTAAGGACAATGGTTCACAACACAGTCGAAAAGCATTTGAACAGGCAAAATGCTGAAGGAAGTTGAAACGGCAACTGTCGTGTAACCATTTTTCTGTCCCCTGGTAATGTGAGCCAATGTTCTTGTTCTGATGGAAGAGGCAATGAATACATATATAAATAAAGCCTTTATATTCACACAACCCTCAAGTTAACCAATTTTCTCAAGCCCACTTAAGTAACACTAATTATGAAAAATAATAGAACTCTTGAGTTAGACAGCAAGCAAGAATACTTTCATTTGGCAGTTGTGCATAATTTGTGTATGTGTTTTAGGTTTCTGTGCCCTCAATCACTTCCCCTCAAACAATTTTCTAGGCTTATTGCAGTAAACATTAAGAAACTAGGACAACACAGTTAATTAGTAACATAAATACTTACTGGCAGCAGAGACCAGCTCTTTGTGAAGTCTATAGGTCATGACAGGTTCAGAAAGATTCCTGAAATGAATGAAAATTGTCAGTTGCTTTGGGAAGAAAGCAGCTGGGTATTGGATTCTTAGTTCTGGGGACAGCAAGGCTGAAGTTCCTGAGCCCTACAGCTTAGTGGGATTATATACATTTTTCTCTTCACCTGAAGCTTCGTCAGGGAATCCAAGTTGCTAGTAATTCAACAAAAGACCTGCAAAAGCATGGGCTGAGCCCTCTAGCAAGGTCTCCAACTAGCTCCCAGAAGTAAAAAGAGGCACAAACCAGTCCTGCAAAATTCCAGAGGGGACCCATGCTGAATGCTACCATGAATCCCTTACGATTTGATAGATCCTTAGAATTTCCGAAGTGCTTTTGCAATTGTCCTCCCAATAATCCTGTGAGGTGGAGCAGTTATTCAAATCCCCATTTACGGGAGGAGGAAACTCAGGCTCAAATGGGTTTACTCATTTAGTCAAAAAACATTCTCAGTAAACTATCGCAAGGACAAAAAACCAAACACCGCATGTTCTCACTCATAGATGGGAATTGAACAATGAGAACACATGGACACAGGAAGGGGAACATCACACTCTGGGGACTGTTGCGGGGTGGGGGGAGGGGGGAGGGATAGCATTAGGAGATATACCTAATGTTAAATGACGAGTTAATGGGTGCAGCACACCAGCATGGCACAAGTATACATATGTAACTAACCTGCACATTGTGCACATGTACCCTAAAACTTAAAGTATAATAATAATAAAAAAAAAAAGAAAAAAAAAAACATTGGCTGAGCATTTACTTGTACCTGGCATTGTGCCAGGTACTGGGGATCCAGAGATGAATAGAAATAGTCCAAACCTCCAACGAGCTAATAGTTTAGTAGAAAAGAGCACCATACACAAAATTTGCAATGCAGTGGGACAAGTACGATGACAAAATAAAGGTATATGGTAGGTGGCTCAGAGGAAGTAAGTAATCAACTAATAATTATAAGAATAGCAAACTCTGTACTGCTCTAAGTGATTTACATGTATTAACCCATTTAAACCTCATAACAACTCTGTGAGGTAGGTACCATTTCCAGTTCATCGATGAGGAAACTGAGGCCTAGAGAAGTTAAAAACTCATCCAAAATTACACAGCTAATAAGTGGCAGAAGCAGGAAGTCTGTCTCCTGAGTCCATGCTCTTAATTACTATACTATACTGCCTGCCACTGTTGTTACTGTAGTAATCCAAGCAAAAGATAATAAAAGACAAACAGAGGGGCTAGTCATGGTGGCTGACATCTGTAATCCCAGCACTTTGGGAGGCCAAGGCAGGAGGATCACTTAAGCCCAAGAGTTCGAGACCAGTCTGGACAACTGAATGAGACCCCTACCTCTTAAAAATAACTTAAAAACAGTAGCTGGGCATGGTGGTGCGTGCCTGTAGTCCAGACTACTCAAGGGGCTGAGATGGGAGGACTGCTTCAGCCTGAGAGAGAGAAGGGTGTGGCGGGAGGGCAAGCCTGCAATGAGTCATGATCACAACACTGCACTCCAGCCTGGGTGACAAAGCATAGAAAGAATAGGTGAGGAGACTGTTTTGAAAAATATTAAAGAAAGAACTCCTTCTTTGATTGGGTATGATGGCAAGGGAGCAGTTTGGTTTGGGTGAGTGAATAGAATAAGAGTTGATTAAGAGGGAAGTAGAGATGCTAAGTCAGGGAGGCCTCAGGAAGGTGATATCTACTAAGAAGCTGGATGCAGGGCTCTGCTAGATCAGAGAAGCAGATGTGAAAATCAGGAACCTAGAGAACAGATGACGAAACCACAAGAACAGATGCCACTTCTCCAGGGGAGCTGGCAAACTGGCAGTCAAACAGCTACATGAGGTCTTCCGATATTTCTTCTTTGTCCAGCACAGTGTATAAAAGTGAAATGGAATTGAATCAATGATCAAAATATTTTAAAATGAGATATTTCATATACAAACCCATATCCCCTGTCCCTGTTGAAAAATGCAAAGATCTGGCTCTATTGGTTCTTTGTAGAAGTAAACAACACTGCTGTTTGTATGTAAACAAAGGGCTTGTCATACAAATAAAGGTTCAATGTGCAAAGTGTTTAATATGAAAATAGTCTACTTCATTCAGTTTTATTTCCTGGTCCCTGTAGATATTTCAGTTTTCAGTTGTTCTACTATAGTAAAATGAGCAGAGAGCCCAGGAAAATACCAAATAGAAAGCCCATAAAGGAGATTGACTAAAATGACCAAAGAGGTTAGAGAAAAACAAAAAGCAAGTGATTCAGCAGAATCCAAAACAGAAGAAAGTATCAAAGAAGGCTTGTTAACAACTTCAAATGTTACAAAAAGGTCAAGTAAGGTAAAGACTGACAACTGTGCTTTGTGTGCAGCATTGAGGGTATCCCTGGTGACCCTGGCAAAAGCAGCTTCATTGGAGCAGAGGGGGTAAGAGTTAGATTACAATGAGTTAAGAAGGAACTGGGGAGTTAAGAAGTACAGACCAGGAGTGTATATTACTTGACACAGAAGCTTGGCTGATGTTGACAAAAAGAGTGAAACTGTGTACAATATTTTAAGAGATTTATTCTGAGCCAACTATGAGTGACCATGGCCTGTGACACAGCCCTCAGGAGGTCCTGAGAACTTGTGCCCAAGGTGGTCAGGGTACAGCTTGGTTTTACATATTTTTAGGGAGGCATGAGACATCAATCAAATACATTTAAGAAATACATTGGTTTGGTTCAGAAAGGCAGGACAACTCAAAGTGGGGGCTTCCAGGCTATAGGTAAATTTAAACATTTTCTGGTTGACAATTGGTTGAGTTTATCTGACGACCGGGATCAATGGAAAGGAATGTTCAGGTTAAGATAAAGGATTGTGGAGACCAAGTTTTATTGTGTGGAGGAATCTCTCAGATACCAGACTTTAGAGAGAGTACGTTGTAAAATGTTTCTTATTAGACCTAAAAGGGCACCTGGCTCTTAGTTGATTATCTCCTGGATCTGGAAAGAAATGAAGGAAAACAATGGGGGAAGGGGATTCTCTATAGAATGTGGATTTTTCCCACAAGAGACTTTGCAGGGCAATTTCAAGGTATGGCAAGAAAATATATTTTGGGATAAAACATTTTCATTTTCTCCCTTGTTATGCCAGAGTCAGATTGGAAAGTAAGTCATGATATACAAGGTTAAATAAAACCCATCTGATGAGAATTTATGGCTTGGAGGGCATGACTCCCCAGACCCCTTAGAAAGGAATTTGGGCAAGATGAAAAATCAGAGTTTAGTCCTCACCGAGTAAAGTATCTCATTAGGCAATCTTGTTTAAGTTCCTGGCTGTAACTATCATCTATATGGTCAATGATCACCAATTTTTTAGTTCAAGCCCTGAACTCATCACTGAGTTTCAGACCTATGTATTCAATTGCCTGCTTAATATTGTGCCCTGATTTCTTCAAAGCTACCCAAATTCGACATATCCAAATTCCAACTTATTGCCTCCCTCAAACTTAGTCTTCTTGTGTTTCTCAAATCAGTAAATGCATGACCATCATTTGGTTGTATGGGCCAGAAACATGGAAGTCACCTTTTTGTCTCCCTATCCCTAATCCTCATATCCAATTCATGAATTGTACTTCCCAAATCTCTTGAATATGCTTACTTCTAGGAATATCTACTGCTACTCCCTAGTCCAAGCATGAGCATCATCTCTTGCCTGGACGACAGCCATAGCCGGCTAACTGATTTCCACATCTCTGCCCATTTTATATCACTGTAATCTAATCTCCATCCTTTTTTATTTCAAAATACAAATCTCAATATGCACCTCATGTTTAAAATCTTTCAATATAGTCCCATTACTTTTAAGATAAATTTAGACCCTAATTTTTAAAAGATCCTTTAAAGCCATGAATGATATGGCCCTTACATACCTCTCCCTCCCTCTCTACACTCAATACTCCCCCTATACTGATTCATGTAGTTTGTTGAAGGGGCCTTCTTCCCTCCTGCCTCAAGTCTTTGCGTATTCATTTCCCTCTGTCTGGAACCCAACTCCTACTTAGTTGATTCCAACTTACAGTTCAAACCTCAGTTTAAACCAAAATGGGTGACGTCTTCCTATTAAATGCCTTCATAGCACGTTATACCTTTCCTTCAGAGTACTTATTAGAGTTTATTACATTTGTATGATTATTTGTCTTCTGACTGTCCCCTTTACTAGGCTATAAGTTCTTTAAGGTCAGAGACCATATCTATACACAACTGTTTGCCTAGTGCTTAACATCACACTGGGCATAGAATAAGCAGTCAAGATATTTTTACTGAATCATTTACTGATTTAAAGATGTATGTGGCTGGAGCATAATTACATACTCGGAAAAAGAGCCAGTTGAATGAGAGAGGATAAAAATAGGGGAGAGAGAAGGGATGATTTTTAGAGGACTTCTCTGGAAAGGTTAGAGATAAGGGGTGATTTAGTTACCTAGAACAGAGTGTGGAGACCTGTCCTGGAACACAGCTATCTTTGAGAATTCTATAGGGTATTTACTGGCTGGTATATATTACAGAACCATGGATGAGAGTCTCGAGAACAAATATCACTTACTGGGGGTGCCGCCCACTCGCACTTTCAGGCTTGACCCTCTCATCTTTGAAAAGGGCCACCCTGCCTATTATAGGATGAGCTGGGAATAATGCAATGTGGGGAAGGCCTTACAAATCTAAGAAAATGTTGAGACTCCTTTGAAGGAAGCTAGAGATACAGAATCACTTATTCCCACTATTCTCATCACAACAAGTCTTCTTAAAGTATTTGTAACAGATTGCTCTCTGTCTTTACTAAATTACCAAGCCATCCAAAGAAGGCCAAAGCTCCTGGGAGTAGGGGGCAGGAGAAGAAGATGCCCCAGTACCAGGGGCCTTATAAGTCAGAGACACTGAGATTTAAAAAATACAAGCTGGGACCATGGCTATTACTTAATGGAGAAAGTGGTGCACCTTGGTTTCCTCATCTGCAAAACGAGTCAAGTACCACCTAGTACACTCGGTTAATGGGAGAAAAAAACAATGACACTATCAGTGTAAACAACTAGCCGTAGCCTAGTACAGAATAAACCCTCCAATAACAGTTCTTTTCTTTATCAGCAGATGCAGGAGAAATATTCCTGGAAAGAACATTCAAGTTTATGGAAAGCTCTAAGATGATGCTACAGTAGCAAAATATTTAACAGTAATATCTGAAACCCAATCTATTTTAGATTAATGAGATTTCCCAGAACTTATGTATCAATCTTAATGGCTCAAGAACACAATCATTGAAAAGAAGAGGCTTTTGCACATAAAGTATGATACATACTATGAGACATAAAGAGTGGTAAGAAATCAATGTGTTTAAAAAATATATATGTCTTAAGCACCTTTTGCATAATATAAATTTATGCCAATAAACTGAACAATATATTCATTAATATTGCACATTCCCAAATTTTGTTGGTGAGCTAACTTTTTTCCATACTGCTGACAGTTCATTTAGCTCCAATATTATTACAGTTGTATTTTCTTGGTTTTTATTTCCATTACCTGGATTAAGACATGATACGTAGCACATCACACACATATACCATTTTTGCCCAAATGCAATTTGACATTTCAAAATGGTTATTATCCTCTAAAACATGTTAGCCACCCTGAATAGTCCCAGCTCCTGATTCTACTAGTGAATCCATCACAACATCACTCTATCTGTGAAGAGCAAAACGTATTCAATTATTTCAAGTGCATGTTTTTTGAACATAATCTTTTTAGCCTTTTTTCAGTAACAATTCTATTATTTTTATGCTTCTCTTGCTTAAACTCTCAGATTTAAAAAACAGTCTTTGCACATTCTTGGCCAGAAATCCTCTTCACATGTTTTTTCTTAAGCAATTCTATCCAAACTCCTGGAACTGAGACCACGTTAACTCCGCTCAACACCCAGAGAAATTTCACCAGCTATGAAAAGCAAACTCCCAATTCAAATCAGGCATACCTGAGGTAGAATTTCAAGGAGCTGGTGATTGTCTTAATGTCCCAGTCACTATTATGAAAATCAACATCTCCTGGGCATTTAGGATCTATTTGAGAAAAGTAAACAAAAAACAAAAGTTAATCATCAAAAAAATCTTACATTTTCCCTCTTTTAAAAGAAAAACAAAGTATATTACCCTAAGTAGTTTTTAAGAGATCAAAACTTTAGAAGAAGCAAATCTTTGATATTTCAAAAACATGACTGCATTCTGGTCTGCCATATAAGAAATAAGAAAGTAATCTATCCAATTCACACAACAAGAAAAAACTGAACAAACAAAATCAACTCTTCTTAGATTCATCAGATAACTGGGGTCATAGGGTAAATGGCTGTCCCCAGAAGTGAGGAGATAGATAGAGAGAACCAAATCTTACAGTAACAGAAGGCCAGGAGTAGAAAACTCCTTGCGAACCAGCACTGGGATAGGATAACCTAATCTGTAATTTACAAATTGCTGGAGGCTTAATATGCTCGGATTTGAGAGGTAAAAACTCCAATAGGGCCCAGTCCAAAAGGGGCTCCCAAACTTTTGTGAGTTTTACCTACAAGAGTCCTATCAAGTTTTGATGGTGAAAAATCCCCTCATGCTTCCAGCAGGGGGGAAAGATAAGTAGTCATTTAAAAATATTCACAGACCCTTCTCTTCTTCTTAACAAGGTCTTCCCTCAAGAGAAACTATTTTTACCAGATCAAAACCTCCTGGAGTTTTATCAGAACCTAAGCGAACGAGGTGAAGGGAAATACCGAATTCCAGACCCAATTTGCCTTCCCATCTCTCCCAAGAGGGGGAAAAAAAATTCCTGAGAAGAACTTAAGTAAGTCACAGGCCAGGGGCACAGCTCACTAAAAGACAGAGACATAATCTTATAGAAGACCTCCCCACCCATGACACCTTACCACCGTATCAACTGGGCTCATATGTAACCACGGAAATATGACTAAAAGAACTGTGCTTCTCAGATGATATTTAAGTCTTTAGGCCAAACCAAAAATAACAGAGGAGGCAAAAACAAGAACATCAGAGTAATGTTTAGCCTCTATCAGTCGCATTTCTACAGACTAACAATGAACTATTTGAAAAAAATTTCAAAAACAATCCCATTTACAATAGTATTAAATAAAGAAAAAACTTAGGAATAAATTTAGTCAAGGAAGTGAATAACTGCTATACTAAAAACTATAAAACACTGATAAAACAAACTGAAGACACAAATAAATGAAAAAATAGTCCATGTTCATGGATTAGGAGAACTAATCTTGTTAAAATGTCCATACTTCCCAAAGCTTTCTCTGGGTTCAATGCAATTCCTATCAAAATTCCAATGTCATTTTTCACAGAAATAGAAGATAATCATAAAATTCATATGAAATGACAAAAGACCCTGAATAGTCAAAGCAATCTTTAGCAAAAGGAAAAAACATGAAGGTATCACATTCTCTGACTTCAAAATATATTATGAAGTTATTATAATCACATATAAACAGCATGGTACTGGCATAAAAACAGACCAATCAACCAATAGTACAGAACAGAAAGTCCAGACGTAAACCCAAGTACTTAGAGTTAATTGATTTTTTGACAAAGGTGTCAAGAACACTCAACAGGGAAAGGATACTCTATTCAGTAAATGGTGCTGGAAAAACTGGATATCCTCATACGGAAGGAAATTGGACTCTATCTTACACTGTATACAAAAATCAACACAAAATGAATAAAGACTTAAATGTAAGACCAGAAACCATAAAACTACTAGAAGAAAACATAGGTGAAAAGCTCCATGACATTTGTCTGGGCAATGATTTCTTGGATCAGACTCTAAAGACACAAGCAACAAATGCTAACGTAGACAAATGGAATTGCACCAAACTAAAAAGCTTCTGCAAAGAAATGGAAACAATTAACACAGTGAGGGGACAACCCACGGATTGGGTAAAAACATTGGCAAACCATAAATCTGATAAGGGGCTGATATCCAAAATATAGAAGTAACTCAAACAACTAAATAACAAGAAAACAAATAACCCAAGTAAAAAATGGGTAAGAAAATATGAGCAAACATTTCTCCAAAAAAAGAGACACTGGAATGTGTGCACTTCAGAAAGAGAGAGTGCAGCAATTGTGAGACACTGCATTGAACTCCGTGCTACCCTGTCACATGGAAGAAAGCAAAATCAGGCTGAACTCAGCTAAGGACAACCCACACAGGGAGCATTTAAACCAGCCCTAGCTAGAGGGGAATCACACATCCTAGTTCTAAGCCTTGACACTGCAGGCTAAAGTGCTCTGGATCCCTAAATAAACTTGAAGGGCACTCTAAGCCACAAGGACTGCAACTCTTATATTAGTCCTAGTGTTGAACTGGGCTCAGAGCCAGTGAATTTGGGAGGCATGCAACCTACTGAGACACCAGCCATGGTGGCTATGGGAGTCCTTGCACCACCCCACACAGCACAGCTCAAGGCTCCAAAAGATACCCCTTCCTTCTGCTTGAGGAAAAGAGGGGGCAAGAGTAAAGAGGACTTTGTCTTGCATCTTGTATATTAGCTCAGCCACAGTAGCCTAGAGCACTCATCAGAGTCCTAAGGCCCCTTTTCCAGACTCTAGCTCCCAGACATTTCTACACACACCTGGGGCCAAAAGGGAACCCACTGCCTTGAATGGAAGAACCCAGTCCTGGCAGGACCCATCACATGCTGACTAAAGAACCTTTGGACCCTAAATAACCAGAAGCAAAACCCAGATAGTACTCATTGGGCCTTAGACGAAACTTTGTGGGCTTCAGGTATGACTCAACACGTTCCCAGCTGTGGTAGCTGTGGGGAGAGACTCCTTCTGCTTCAGAAAAGTAGAGGGAAAAGTAAAAGTGGACTTTAAAAGTAAAAGGAGAAAGTAAGGAAAGAAAACAAGAGTCTCTGCCTAGTAATCCAGAGAAGTCTTCCAGATCTTATTCAACACCATCAAGGTGGTACCGCTACAAATCTGCAAGAACCACAGAATTACTGGGTATGGGATGCTCTCTAATGCAGATATGGATTGGATGAAAACACTCAAGTCCTTTCAAATATCTGGAAAGTCTTCCCAAGAAGGACAAGTACAAACAAGCCCAGACTAAAAAGACTACACTACTTAACTCTTAGATGCCCAGAAACAGATGAACATTCACAAGCATCAGGACCATTCAAGAAAATATGACCTTCCAAAATGAACTAAATAAGGCATCAGAGACTAATCTTGGAGAAACAGAGGTATGTGACATATAAGACAGAGAAATCAAAATAGCTATTTTGAGAAAACTCAAATAAATTCAATATAATATAGAAAAGGAATTCAGAATTCTATCACATACATTTAACAAAGACATTGAAATAATTTTAAAAATCAAGCAGAAATTCTGGAGTTAAAAAATGTAAGTGACATGCAGAAGAATGCATCAGAGTCTTATAATAACATAATTGATCAAGCAGAAGAATTGATGAGCTTGAAGACAGGCTATTCGAAAATACACATTTAGAGGAGACAAAAGAGAAAAGAATGAAAAACAACGAAGCATGACTACAGGATCTATAAAATAGTCTCAAAAGGGCATATATAAGAGTTACTGGCCTTAAAGAGGAGGTAGAGAAAGAGACAGGGGTAGCAAGCTTATTCAGTGGGATAGTATCAGCGATATCAACTTTGAAGTACAAGACGGTTATAGAACACCAGAGACATTTAACCCAAACAAGAATATCTAAAGGCATTTAATAATCAGATTCCTCAAGATCAAGGATAAAAAAAGGATCCTAAAAGCAGCAAGGGGAAAAGAGACAAGTAACATAAAAAGGAGCTCGAATATGTCTGACAGCAGACTTTTCAGTGGAAACCTTACAGGCCAAGAGAGAGTGGCATGACATAAAGTGCTGAAGAAGAAAAACTCTTACCCTAGAATAGTATATCTGGTGAAAATGTCCTTCAAACATGAAGGAAAAATAAAGACTTTCCAAGACAAACAAAAGCTGAGAGATTTCATCAATAGCAGATCTATCTTACAAGAGACGCTAAAGAGAGTACTTCATTCAGAAAGAGAAGAACAGTAATGAGCACTAAGAAATCATCTGAAGATATAAAACTCACTGGTAATAGTAAGTACACAGAAAAACACAGAATATTATAACACCGTAACTGTAATGTGTAAACCACTCTTAAGTAGAAAGACTAAACAATGAATCAATCAAAAATAATAACTCCAACAACTTTAAAGACATAGAGAGTACAACAAGACATAAATGGAAACAACAAAAAACTGAAAAGTGGGCAGAAAAAATTATGGTGTAAAGTTTTTATTAGTTTCCTTTTTTCCTTGTTTGTTTGTTTATGCTATCAGTTATAAGTTGTCATCAGTTTACAATAATGGGTTATAAGAGAGAATTTGCAAACCTCTTAATAACCTCAAATCAAAAAAGATACAATGGATACACAAAAAATAAAAAGGAAGAAATTAAAATCATACCACTAGAGAAAATCTACTTCACTAAAAAGACAGGAAGAAAAGAAGGAAGACAAGACCACAAAACAATCAGAAAACAAATAATAAAATGGGACGGAGTAAATCATTACTTATCAATAATAACATTGAATATAAATAGACAAAACTCTCTAATCAAAAGACATACAGTAGCTGAATGGATAAAAAAAAATAGATCAAATGACTCTTGCCTACAAAAAACACATTTATCCTGTAAAGACACACATAGACTGAAAATAAAAGGGTGGAAAAAAGATACTCCATGCCAATGGAAACCAAAAAAGAACAGAGTAGCTATACCTATATTAGAAAAAATAGACTTCAAGACAAAAACTGTAAGAGACAAAGAAGATCATCTGTCTTGTAGGACAGATCTCGTATTGATGAAATCCCTCAGCTTTTGTTTGTCAGGAAAGTCTTTATTTCTCTTTCATGTTTGAAGGACATTTCCACTAGACATACTATTCTAGAATAAAAGTTTTTTTTTTCCCTTCACTACTTTAAATCTTCAGAAGATCATTATGACCCCATAACGATAAAGGGGTCAATTTAGCAAGAGGAAATAACAATTTTAAATATAATACACCCAATGCTGGAGCACCCAAACATATAAATATTATTAGAGCTAAAAGGAGAGGTAGATTTCAATAGGATAATAGCTAAACACTTCAACACCCCTACTTTCAGCATTAAACAGATCTCCCAGACAGAAAATCAACAAAGAAGCATTCGACTTAATCTGCACTATGGACCAAATGGATCTAGTAGATATTTACAGAACATTTCATCCAATGGCTACAGAATACACATTCTTCACCTCAGCACATGGATCATTCTCAAGGACAGACCATATGTTAGGTCACAAAACAAGTCTTTTTTTTTTGAGACAAGGTCTCACTCCACCACCCAGGCTGGAATGCAGTGGCTCACTGCAGTCTCAGCCTCATAGGTTCAAGCAGCCCTCCCATCTCAGCCCCCACTAGTAGCTGGAACTACAAGCGTGTGCCACCACACCTGGATAACTTTTTGTACTTTTAGTAGAGACAGGGTTTCACTATGTTACCCAGGCTGGTCTTGAACTCCTGGACTCAAGCGATCTGCCCACTTCGGCCTCCCAAAGTGCTAGGATTACAGGCGTGAGCAACTGCACCCACCCATAAAGCAAGTCTTAAAACATTCAAAAAAACTGAAATAATATCAAGTATCTTCTCTGACCACAATGGAAAAAAAAGCTAGAAATCAATAAGAAGAGGAATTTTGAAAACTATACAAACACATGGAAATTAATATCCTCCTGAATGATCAGTGGGCCAATGGTAAAATTAAGAAGAAAACTGAACATTTTCTTAAAGCAAATGATAATGGAAATGTAATATACTAAAACGTATGGGATACAGTAAAAGCAGTACTAAGATGGAAGGTTATAGCTATAATGCCTACATCAAAAAGAAAAACTTCAAATAAATAACCTAATGATGTATCTTAAAGAACTAGAAAAGCAAGAGCAAACCAAATCCAAAATTAGTAGAAGAAATAATTAAGATCAGAGCAGAAATAAAATGAATTTGACATGATAATAATACAAAAAGATCAATAAAACAAAAAGTTGGTTTTCTGAAAAGATACATAAAATTGACAAACCTTTAGCCAGATTAAGATAAAAAGAGAGAATATCCCAATAAATAAAATCAGAGATGAGAAAGGAGACATTACAACTGATACTGCAGAAATTCAAAGGGTAATTAGTGGCTACTATGAGGAACTATATGCCAATAAATTGGAAAACTAGAAGAAATTGATAAATTCCTAGACACACACAACCTACCAAGATTGAACCAGGAATAAATCCAAAACCTGAACCGACCAATAACAAGGAACAAGATCAAAGGCATAATAAAAAGTCTAACAGCAAAGAAAAGTCTGGGACCCAATAGCTTTACTGCTGAATTCTACCAAACATTTAAAGAAGAGCTAATACTAAACCTATTCAAACTATTCTGAAAAAATAGAGGGGGGAGGGAGTACTTCCAAACTCACTCTACGAGGCCAATATTACCCTGATACCAAAACCAGACCAAAACACATCAAAAAAACAAACTAACAAACAAACAAAAAGCTATTGGCCATAACCACTGATCAATATATATATATATATATATATATATACATACACACACACACACACACATATATACCCTCAACAAAATACTAGCAAGCCAAATTCAACAAATTTTAAAAATCCTTCATCATGACCAAGTGGGATTTATCTCAGGGATGCAAGGATGGTTCAACATACACAAATAAATCAATACAGTACATCATACCAATAAAACGAAGGACAAAAACCATACTATAATTTCAATTGTTACTGAAAAAGCATTTGACAAAATTCAATATCCCTTCAGGATAAAAACCCTCAAAAATCTGGGTATAGAAAAAGCATGGCCCTGCCCAAGGCCTGTTCCATTCTCAGTGAAAATAAACACCAATTTAGCCATGTGTCTGTTTAGGATCCCTAATATTCACAAGACACTGTCAACTCCAATTTCAGCTTGATTGTATAGCATATTGGTCTACATTTATCTGACTAGATGGTGATTTGTACATTATAATTACTTCTCAGAGAATGGCAATTCCAGATTTATAGTCTGCAATTCAATTTTTTTTTTTTGAGACAGAGTCTCACTCTGTTGCCCAGGCTGGAGTGCAGTGGCGCAATCTCGGCTCACTGCAACCTCTGCCTACCAGGTTCAAGCGATTCTCGTGCCTCAGCCTCCTGAGTAGCTGGGATTACAGGTGCGTGCCACCACACCTGGCTAATTTTTGTATTTTTAGTAGAGGCAGGGTTTCACCATATTGGCCAGAATGGTCTTGAACTCCTGACCTCAAGGGATCCACCAGCCTTGGCCTCCCAAAGTGCTGGGATTACAGGCATGAGCCACTGTGCCCGGCCATAGTCTGTAATTCTTACATACATCTTTGTGACAAGACAGTATTCATAGAGGATTGCCTGAAGAACATGCAGTCCATCTTTTCCTCTAGGTTGGTCACTGTGAACCACTCTTTTCCACCCAAACACCCTACCTTCTGAATCCGTGGCTCACCACAGCAGTGATTATTAGAAGAATTTTAAACTTTTTTACTCATTTGTATCTGGAATTTTTATGCAAGAACTCACACTGATATCTTACAAACTCAAATTTGACTCTTGCTTGTCTATAAACCAACCAAAAGAACAAACTAAAAAGGTTCTTAGGTCTGTAGATCTCATGAAGATAGAGAGTAGACTGGTGAGTATCAGAGGACAGGAAGGGTAGGAGGAGGGAAGATGAAGAAGAAAAAAAGTTTCCTCCATAAAAAGAGTTATTAGGTTTAGGAAAAGTCAATGTAGTTTAATAGAAGGAAAACTCTCTGAAGAATCAGAATACAGGAATCCCTCTGGAAAAAAGCATTTACAGTGAGAAACACAAGGTTTTAGAACGTGGCTGATATAAGGTGACAATGTGATTAAAAGGTGGTTGCAATGAAATGCAAATGATAATGAAGGACAAAAATTATTCATAGCCTAATAATAAAAGAATACTTCTTATTTTTTTCTTTTTTTTAAAAAAGAATACTTCTTTAAGCTAATAAAGATCTACTGTGATGTGCTGGCAAATAATGAACAGGTTGACAGAGAAGGTGGGGAGCGCTGATTTTAGCATTTGTCAATTTCCATGTGAATCAACCATGGCTGATTTGAAGTGATCAACATAATGTCAATGAATGTGAAGTTGGGAAAATATGTGTACAGTTACACCTTTTGAGCAGGTACCAGCTGCCTCCAACACACCACTGAGTCAATCTCAAATGATCAGCTCATATCACCATTAATGGTGCAATACTAGAAGCTTATGATCAGAAGCCAGAAAAGGATGTCTGCTATCACTAGTACTACTTATCATTTGGTCAGAGTGTCTAGAACAATGATTCTCAAACACAGCTTCTAGAAACATCTGAGAAGCTTTTAAAAATGACAATACCCACATTCCCCCTACATCAGGTAAACCAGAATCTCTGATTCAGGTGAGTCCTGATACTTTTTAAAAAACTCTTCACCGAGTTTAATGAACAGCAAAGGTGGTGAGGAACTGGGTTCTCAATGTAATTTTAAAAAGAAACAAAAACAGAAAAGTTAAACCTATTGGAAAGGAGATAGAATAATCATTATTTACCTATCATATAACTGTCTAACTGAAAAATGCAAGAGAAATTACTGATACTTTTTTTTTTTTTCCAGAAAGGGTCTCACTCTGTCACTCAGGCTGCAGTGTAATGGTGTGGTCATGGCTCACTTCAGCCTCAAACTCCTGGGCTCAAGGGCTCTTCCCTCCTCTGCCTCCCGAGTAGATAGGACTATAGGCCCGCACCACCATGCCCAGCAATTTTTGTATTTTTAATTTTTGTAGAGATGGGGTCTCATTATGTTGCCCAGGCTGGTCTAGAACTCCTGGGCTCAGGCGATCCTCTCGCATTGGCTTCACAAAGTGCTGGGAATACAAGCATGAGCCACCATGCTTAGACCTATTGATAATGTTTTTAACATTAACAAGGAAGCCTGTTAAAATTCCTGGTCAGTGAATGAAGATATAAAAATCATAAGCATCCTATATATTAGTAACAGACACTTCAAAATTGTAATAGAAAAAAACAGTTGCACTGTATGTGTGTGGGAGAGAGAGAGAGGAGAGTGATTTATTTAAGTCTCAGAATTAATATAAATAAAAGTATTACACACACAAAAAGACTTCCGTAAATGAAAAACAAAATTTTGTGATCCTGGATAGAAAGACTAAATATTGCATGTTGTCAACTTCATTCCAATTAATTAATAGATTTAGTATAATTGTAATCAAAATGCCAACAAGCTAATTTTCTGGAATGTGATAAAATAATTCTAAAGTTTACATGGAATAATAAACTAGCAAAATGAGTGAAACATTTTTTAAACAGAATAATTATGGAAGGTTTGTGCTACTCAAAAGGAAAATGATTATGTGGCATGGTCATAGTAGTATAAGAATAGTTAGGTCAGTGGAAAAAATGAAAGCTCACGATAAGACCATCGTATAAATGTAAGAACTTAATGTACAATAAAAGCGGCATTTTAAATTGGTGGAAAAAAAGCAGAATTGTTCAAAAAATGGAACATGGACAATTAACTATTTGGGAAAAAAATAAGTTAGATCTCTATTTCACAACCAAACAACATATTCAATTTCAAGTGCATGGAGGAGATAAAATGTAAAATAAAACCACTAAATAATACAAATAAAACATAAGTGGATTTTAATAGGTTATTGGGTTAAGGAATGACTTCTAAACATATGTAGAAAATAACGCTTTAAATGCACCCTGGAGCATGCCATGTATATACAGCAAGGGTGACAAGCTCTAAAAACTAGCACAGAGATGACCACTTAAGAGGTGCACTGGGGTCATGATTTGGTAGGGTATGCATTAAACTTTGCATCTCAAAAATAAGTCTACAGTCAGGTACCAAACTGCATGAGAGTCACTTGGGCAGATGTTTAAAATGCAGATCTCTGGATCCCAATGCAAGAGATTAATTCATTGGGTCCATGATGAGGCCTGGCAGTTTGCATTTAAAAAAATAATAATGTCTCAAAGGTGATTCTAGGATGAAAGTGGTTTGTGGAATTACTGTCTAAATATTGCTAAGCCATCTACCATGTAATGTGATGAATAATAAGATTGAAAGTAAAAATAATCATAGAAAATATATTGGTAAAGACCCTAACCACCACTCTCAAATGTGTTCTCACACAATGCTATTTTTACATTCAGAGGCAAACCAAACAAAACAACTATAGAAAGTTACAATGGCTTACCTAAAGTACACAGATCATGTCAGAGTGTCTCAATTAATTCAGGAAATGGTAGATAATATAATATTACTGAGAAAAATCTAGTTGCATGAATAGGAAGCCCAGCTTTGATTAACTGAAGTTGATAAAACAGATCAAGTGAGAGGAAAAACAAGTGACTAACAGAAAGCGTGAGCAGAAATAAGCCCATCATGCTCTGACATAAGCCACAAAAGCAGTAATGACTAATGTGAGGATTGATTAGTTTCTCCAAGTTAAGGTCTTGCCAGTTGTATTTTGGGCTCTTAAATATCACCCCTCTTCTTCAATTATAAAATCCAGGGATGCCAGACTAAAGGACAGCTGAAAGAAAGGCCATTGGTTCTTTTGTTATTGCTGAATATAACACAAGTGTGTGTCCTAAGTAAAGAAAATCCAACCACAGAATAACAAATGTTATAATCTGTGGAGGTGGAAGATCTCCAAATACTTAATAACTAATATTGGCACAAAGTTCTATCACTCAACAGAGATGCTGGCTGTAAACACCAGAAACAGCCACACTGGTACCTACTAGCTATTTCAGGCCAGGCTCATGATATATATGTAAAAGAGGAAGGTGCTACCTGAAAAAAGGATGGAGGCTACCCTAGTTAGCAGCTTAATATAAATCCATATGCCAATTGATTCTCCCTGTATTCAAACTATGTCAAGATTATTAATAATATTTATAACCTTGAGGCAAAAATTATATTTTGGCAAATCTACCCAAAGTATGTAGTGGAATTAACTTATGCACAAATACGTCATCACATAAAAGGAAAAAACTAACATACTAAAGAGGGAAATTATTGGAAAAATTTGGTATATTTTTGTATCATAGTATATAGCCATTAAAATATTTACAAAGTATTTTTAACCATATGGAAAATATTATGTTAAGACAATGGTGACTATGTAAATCAAAATTTCCAAACATATCCTCCACAAAACAATATAGAGCCACCAGAACAACATAAAAGTACATAAAGCCATGCCCTTCACATAACAAAAAGAAAGAAAACACCCACATAATAAAAGACTTAACTATTAAATTGTAAGTAGAAAAAAAAAGAAATCTCAGCAAGATATCACTCATATTCCCTCTTCAAGTCTTTCCAGGGAGCAAGGACAATGCTGAAACAGGAGAGTTAATGAGAAAAGAAGGGGCTAGTAGCCTAAGAGTAATCTAAATCACAACCAGAAAGACAAAGTCCACACAAAGCGTAAAAATAATGACAAACTGGTAGATTCGAGCCTTGGGGAAGAGCTTTCTATGCAGTTGTCAAAAGGCAGACTTTGAAAGGTATCATTTGTAAGAGAGAAGATGGCAAAAAATAAGGGAGAGATACCCTGTGAAGTCTGGGAGTTTAAAGGAATGTGAAGCAAAAGAGGAAAATTTAGGAATGGTCAAAAGTCTACCAGGCAAATGGAATCAATATCAGACAAAATAGATTTCAAGCCAAAAAGCATTAAATTAAACAAAGAACACTTTTATTTATTTATTTATTTATTTATTTATTTATTTATTTATTTATTGAGAGGGCGTTTTGCTCTGTGGCCTAGGCTGGAGTGCAGTGGTGCAATCTCGGCTCACTGCAACCTCCGCCTCCCAGGTTCAAGCGATTCTCGTGCCTCAGCCTCCCGAGTAGCTGGGACTACAGGTGCCCACCACACCCCACTAATTTTTGTATTTTTAGTGGAGACGGGGTTTCACCATGTAGGCCAGGCTATTCTTGAACTCCTGGCCTCAAGTGATCCGCCCACCTCGGCCTCCCAAAGTGCCGGGATTACAGGCATAAGCCACTGTGCCCAGCCACAAAGAACACTTTAAATGCTAAAAGCCATTCTCCAAATAAAGATATGGCAATTATGAATATCTGTGCATAAAGTAATACAGACACCACCTTTATAAAGCAAAAATACAGGCGATGTATATAAAAGCACACTAAAAAGAAACTTTAACACATCATTTTCATTAAACAACAAATCAAGTGGATAAACAGTAAGTAAAGATGTAGAAGACTTAAATAACAATCTTACAGATATATATCATATTTTATGTCCCGGTAATAGAGACTATACTTCTCAGTTGCACATGAAATACTCACAAAAAGTGATCATATATTAGGTTACAAAGAAAACATCAGTAAGTTCCATAAAGTTGACATGTTATAAACATTGTCTAATAATAATACTACGATAAAGCTAGAAATCACTTTTTAAGTCCATTCCGCATGGAAAATTATAAGCTTTCTCTTAAATAATTCTTTAAAGAAAGAAATACAAATTAAAATCACAGAATGTCTTTAAAACATGATCATGAAAACACTACATATCAAAATCTGTGGGATACATTTAATGAGGCGATTAGAGGAAAATTCAGTTTTTGCCCATTCAGTCTGATATTGGCTGTGGGTTTGTCATAGATAGCTCTTATTATTTTGAAATACGTGATCTAGAACTAGAAATACCATTTGACCCAGCCATCCCATTACTGGGTATATACCCAAATGACTATAAATCATGCTGCTATAAAGACACATGCACACGTATGTTTATTGCGGCATTATTCACAATAGCAAAGACTTGGAACCAACCCAAATGTCCAACAATGATAGACTGGATTAAGAAAATGTGGCACATATACACCATGGAATACTATGCAGCCATAAAAAATGATGAGTTCATGTCCTTTGCAGGGACATGGATGAAATTGGAAACCATCATTGTCAGTAAACTATCGCAAGAACAACAAACCAAACACCGCATATTCTCACTCATAGGTGGGAATTGAACAATGAGATCACATGGACACAGGAAGGGGAATATCACACTCTGGGGACTGTGGTGGGGTCGGGGGAGGGGGGAGGGATAGCATTGGGAGATATACCTAATGCTAGATGACACGTTAGTGGGTGCAGCGCACCAGCATGGCACATGTATACATATGTAACTAACCTGCACAATGTGCACATGTACCCTAAAACTTAAAGTATAATTAAAAAAAAATAATAATAAAATGTTGAGATACTAAGTGTCAAAAAAAAAAAAAAAAGAAAAAAAGAAAAAGAAACAATAGGGCTTGGCTGGCGAGCCCCACTGAGGAGCCGGAGCTTGGGCCGCACTTACCCGAGTCCGCTCCCGGTCCCTGGCCCGTCAGCGACCTGGCGAACCAGGCGACGCTGAAGCGGCCCATGGACTTCGGTACAAAGCTGCTGAGTCCCTGCTTCCCCGAAGCAGCCGTGCTGCACCCCTCTGCCCAGCCCCACTCCGGGCCTCAGGCCCCCGGACGCCAAGCCGCCGCCGCTTCAGACGCAGACCCTACCGCCAACTCTGCAGCAGTCCGCCCCACTCGGCAGCAAGCGGCGCCTTACAATTCCGGAGAAAATTTTTCAGAACATAAAACTAGAATACAGTCGTTATCAGAGGTGGAGACATTTAGAAATTGTTCTTAATCAGAGTGAAGCTTGTGCTTCAGAAAGTCAACCTCACTCCTCAGCACTCATAGCACCTAGCTCTCCAGGTTCCTCATGGATGAAGAAGGACCAGCCCACATTTACCCTCTGACAAATCGGAATAATACGTGAGTGTGTCTTAGACTATGAAGACAAGATTCAGGAGGAGTATGAGCAAATCCTCAATACCAAACTAGCAGAACAATATGAATGAATCTTTTGTGAAATTCACACATGATCAGATTATGCAACGGTATGGGACAAGGCCAACAAGCCATGTGTCCTGAAGCTTTGTTATGTATCTGGGTACCAGGTTTAACCTCAAGAGATGCCTGCTGTACACTTTTTGCAACTGGTTTGACAACACATTTCAGCTTCAATTTTGCATCCTGAGAACACTTAAACGTTTCTGTAGGTCCATTTTATACAACTTGAAAGACCTTAAAACTTTTTGGTTGCCACAAGCATATCTCCCTTTTTCTGCTCATCCAGTAAACAGCTGTGCCCTACTGTGATAGATTTTCCAAAACAAAATACTTGGAGAAGCAGTTTAGCAAAATATGCCTTCAGTGGCACTCAACAAATGGAGCTTCCCCAAGCACAGTTCTGTAAGAAGTGTGTATGAGAGCGTGTGTATGTATATTTCAAGTTATTATTTGTATAGTGCAATTTTTTTTTGATCTTGGGGATTCTGGCTGAGCTTGATTCATGACAATTATGGTTAAAAACATTTGCTTGGCCGGGCGCTGTGGCTCACGCTTGTAATCCCAGCACTTTGAGAGGCGGACGTGCTTGGATCACCTGAGGTCAGAAGTTTGAGACCAGCCTAGCCAATATGGTGAAATCCCGTCTCTACTAAAAATACAAAAATTGGCTGGGCATGGTGGCAGGCACCTGTAGTTCCAGCTACTCAGGAGGCTGAGGCAGGAGAATCACTTGAACCAGGGAGGCAGAGGTTGCAGTGAGCCAAGATCGCGCCATTGTACTCCAGCCTGGGTGACAGAGTGAGACTCTGTCTCAAAGAATAAATAAATAAATAAAAACAAAAAACAAAAAAAAAATTGCTTGTTCTACAGAAGATCATTTACGTTTTGTGACCATATAAGTTGCAACAGTGGATTGTTTTTATGTGTAGGTTTTATTGTTAAATACAGGGACTGTTTCCAGGCATAGAATATGAATCATAAGTTAGGATGGACATTAGCTGTGATTATGATAATACAGCAAAGGTCTGTGGTCCTAGATCTACAAATGTGTGGTGAGAAATATCTACAAATGTGTGGTGAGAAATTAGAACAAACTGGAGATGGGCCATTGACACATGGACTCTGCCTAAGCGTGTTAGAAAAATACTTTGACTCCAAGCCTTAAAATACTCACATGGAGTCGGCGCTCACCTCATTCACACAATCATAGAGCTCCCTGGACACTGAACCTCTAAAGGGAAAAGGTCTGCCCTGGAGCAGAAGGATCATGGTTTGCTTGGGAGCATAGCAGGTAAGCTCAGAGCTGGGCCTGGGCCTGGGCCAGGGCCAGGCCCTGGCAGCACTGCTACTTGGGAAGAGCCACTTCACCTTTGTATCAGTTATTAAAAATAGAATTTGGATCCTTTGGTGAGGTTCTCCCAAATTCATTTGAGGTGTCCATGGTCAACTGCTTGAGCTGTTTTGGCAACCGCCTGCCCGAAGTCACATTTAGGCTGTTCTTCACCTTGTTTCCAAGACTGAGGAAAAGAAAGTAGCCTCTGTTTTGAGCAGGTAGAAGTATACATTTATTTTTTTACTGCAACTTGCTCAGGACCATATTTTACAAAATGCCTTGTTTCCTTTATTGTTTCTGGAAAGGAAAAGTTCTATTTATATTCTTTTAGTTTGAATATAGAATAGTTTTTTTAATCAGGACTTATTTTGAAAAAATCTGAGTTTAATTCAAATGCATGCCAATACCTTACAAAGTAAGGTAATACTCAGAGACAGTTGTTCTGATCAGATGGCTTAGAGAAATTTCTGGAATATTCACGTTCGAAGATTCCTTATTAATGAATATCTTTGACTTAAATCTAACCGAAAACTGCAACATTATTCTTTGCACATTTTCATTATATAGTGTTAACAAGCTTAGTTGCAAACAAATAAAAATACTTAAGCTATTTGTTTACCTTGCCTTCTTAAAAAAATAAACAATAAGGAAGCCAGTGAAAGTAAAGTGGAATAAAGAAGGGAGAGTATTAAAAATGATGAGACCAAGAGAGAGAATAGGGTATTGGACAGGGGAGCGGGAGCTATTATATAGGCCTTTTGGGTTATTGGAAGGACCTTTGCTTTTACTTTGAATGAAATGAGAAACCACTGGTGAGTTTTAAACAGAGGAATGGTCTGCTCTGACTTGGCCTGAATACAGAAGAACAGTCTAGCTGCTGTGTAGACAACAGTAAGAGCGTAACTGGGACAGCAGAGAAAAGAGACATATAAAAGGTCTATTTCAATAACATGGAACAAAAATGGCTGTGGCTTAAATTTTAGTAAAACTGGTGGAGATGACTAGAAGTGGTCAGATTATGTATATAATTTGAAATAAGACCCTACAGAATTTGTTGGTAGATTAGCTGTCAAAAATCATACATGACAAAAGTTTTTAGTCTGAGAGAGTAGAAGAAACTGAAATGGAGAAGCTTATGGATGGAGTATGCTTGGAGAGAAAGATCAATAGTTCATTTTGGACATGAACTATTTGGAAATGTCTTTGGAACTGTCTAATAGATGGTTTGAAAATGTCTAATAGAAATTCAGTGAAGGTGCCAAATAAGAAATTACATACATAAGTCTGAAGGTCAAGGGAAAGATCTGAGCTGGAAAAATAAATCTGAGAGTCATTCCTTCCTTAAGCAAATATGTATTGAGTGTCATCCCTAAGTTACGTGTTGTGCTGGAATCTGTGCTGTCCAATAGGGCCACTACTGGCTACATATGGTAATTCAAATTTTAATCAAATTAAATATTATTAAATATAAAGTTATTAAATATATGTGTGTGTGTGTGTATAACAAAGAAACAAAGGCAAGTGTAACAAGTCACAATTTTAGTAGTAAAAATGGCAGTGTTTAAGAGCACAGATACTAGTATCAAAATATCTTTTCTTTTTTTTTTTTTTTTTTTTTTTTGTTTTTGAGATGGAGTCTCGCACTGTCACCCAGGCTGGAGTGCAGTGGCGTGATCTCGGCTCACTGCAAGCTCCGCCTCCCAAGTTCATGCCATTCTCCTGCCTCAGCCTCCCGAGTAGCTGGGACTACAGGTGCCCACCACCACGCCTGGCTAATTTTTTGTATTTTTAGTAGAGACGGGGTTTCACTGTGTTAGCCAGGATGGTCTCGATCTCCTGACCTCGTGATCCGCCCGCCTCAGCCTCCCAAAGTGCTGGGATTACAGGCGTGAGCCACCGCGCTTGGCCTAGTGTCAAAATATCTAAATTCAAATTCAGGGTCTACTTTCTGAAATTTACTTAAATTTTGTGCATTACTTTCTTCATCTGTAAAATGGAATAATAATAACACCTAACTCATAAACATGATGTGAGGTTTAAATAAGCAAAAATTTACAAAGTGCTTATTATAAACCATGGCATATAGTATCAGTGGTATGTTTCTGTGTTGTGATTAAACCACAGTGACGAATTTGTTGGTTATAGTATTTTGAATAAGAAATTAGATGGACAAGTAAATATGTGTAAAAATATTTTTGCTGTACATAAAGTTCTTGAATACTATATGTATTATGAATATGAGGAAGTGCATATGGGAAGACTGATACAATATGAGGCAGGATGGGCCAAGATGTTACAGTGACTTCTGCATTTGCCAGGACCAACTCTGCCAATTTACACTGTATCAGCAAAACATAACAGCAATCTTTTATACAATGAATGGTTATAATATTAAATGTGCCTGTATCAACAAAAACATGAGTTAAATCATAGGAAAGGAAATACAAGGGGTTGATTTATGAGGAGCATTTTATATGTCTGCTTTGGAAACACATATATAAAGAGCAATCTGAACTTGCATTTCTTTACCTGAAAAAGCCTGGGTAAAGACGTGTTGGGCTTGTGACCCATCTGCCAACTCTAGTCAACAATATGGGGACCTTGGAAGATACAGATTAACAAATGTGTACCTGTCTCTATCCCCATATATAATACACAATAATAAATGTAATTATTTTTCTGAAAACCTGAAAAAACAATGACTTCTATCTCGAAATCAAGTATTTCTGGCCCAACCTGACATTGATGGATAAAATATATTAGCCAAGAGAAAAATGAAATCATCAGAGAGAGCTGAGAAAGTTGCTTGGGCTCTGACTAAAGGCTCTTTGAAGTCAGACCTTCCTAAGCACATTCCATCTAAACTACTCCATGAGCTAAACCTGCTACTGGTTTGATTAAGACTAGAACGGACATCTTGTAAAGGATTACTATAATTATATATTGTTTGGCTAGTTGGGCATGTATGTATGTATATGTGTACATATGAGTGAAATAGTTGTGCATTAGAAAACTTTAAAAATCGGGATTCTGTATTATTTAATTCCCTAGTGTCACATCTGTAGAAGTTATATTGACTTATTAAATTAGAAAGGATATGAGTACCATTTTATTAATGACCTAATCTCTTCTCCCCTGTGCACAGGCCTACCACCTCTCAAGTGCAGCATAGAAAGGTATACTTTTCCATGAATGCCTTCTATGTCAGATCTAAGGAGGAGACACACACACAATATTATTTTTTTTCACAGAGAAACTATTAAACTTGACAAAAATGATGTCCAGATTATCATGGGTCACCCCATGGGGTCCTAATTCTGGAAATATCTATCTCATATTGATTAAAATACCAAGAACCTTGGCCAGATCCCAAGGACAGATCATATAACAACATGAGGTTTGTGGGCATGTCTACACAGTCCCCAGGCATGCTGCTAATCGATTCACTTCCTTTTTGTTGGTAGCTGGCTGATAGCCTCAACTCTCCATAGATGTGTTAAGTGGAAACCAGCATAAACTACATAATCTTCACATCACTCAGTTGGAAGAGAGGTTGTAAGAGGAATACTATTTAGCTTTGACTTTGAAAATGCATGTGGTGTGTATCTATGGGCACAAACACATGTATATTTCAAGGAAGAGGGGTACAGAAACAAAAAGGCAATGTGATATATGAGTTTGCGAATAAGAAATCCAGATAGACACTAAATCCTGTTTATAAAATAGTAGTGCTATGAAAAACATAAAAGAGCTGAACAACACAAGTTCATGTATTGTATGACTATATGGGCTGCTACATATGGCCACACGGACTACTCATTGTACAGCACCATAAAAAGTATCATTCAAAAGCCTACAAGATAAACAGTGAACCCTGGCGTAGAACAATACAGCAGCCCTGGCTATACCGTACAAGACAATGGAGAAATAAAAATATAGTACCACAATAGTTAATGTACACTGAATACCTACTCAAAGACAGACACTGTTCAAAATGCTCTACACACATTGGATTTGGTTATTCCTCACAACAGTACTATGAATTACATGCTACTATGATCCACAATCTACAAATAAGGAGAAATGCAGTGAGTTTGATAGGACTTGCCCAAGGTCATACAGCTACTAAGTTGTGGAGCTGGAATACAAACCCAGATAGTCTGACTATAGAGCCCGTGTACTTAAAAACCATGTTGTAAACAAAACAAAACAAACAAATGAAAAATAACCAGGAACTTACCTGGCTTAATCTGTAAAATTAAAACTGAATACCACCTCTAAAGTATTTTTGCCAAAAAATTAAACCTACAACTGATTAAGCGTCTAGATCAAAATACCAATGTATAGAAAAAACAGTCACCAGACTATATTTGGTAACAGAATCAGAAGAACGCGGAATAATTCTACAGAATAAACAACTCAGTTATTTCCACAAATAAATGAAAAAAAAGTGAGGGGAGCTATAGATTAAAAGAGGCTCGAGACTTAACAAAATGCAATGTGTGGACCTTGTTTGGATCCTGATTCAAACAACCAAACTGTAAAAGAAAAGAAAATACATCATTGAAAAATTTTAAATGCAATGATATTAAGGAATTATTTTTGCTTTTTAGTGTGAAAATGGTATTATGGCTATATGTTTTTTAAAAGAGGCACTATCTTTTAGTTATGATGTCTGAAACATCATATGATTTTAGTATGAAATCCACTTCAAAATAATCCAAGAAAGTGGGTGGGAGTAGAGTTAAACAAGATTGGTTATTTTTTGATAATTGTTGGAGCAACATGATGGATACCAGGAGGTTCTTTATATTATCCTCTTCCATATACATTTTTGATTTTACATAATAAAAAGTTATTTTTAAAAAATACTGGAGCTAGAGAAACTGGTAACTATGGTTGCTTCCTGGGATGGCAATGGGGTGGCTGGGAGCCAGGTGTAAAAAGTAGACTTTCTTTTTATTGTTTACCTTTTGTACTTTTTAAATTTTGTGCTAAGTACATTTATAATCTATACAAAATTAATTAAATTTACTAAACAAATGCAAAGTTCAATGCGGGCAAGGCCCTACCAAGAGAGTGCATGTTGGCTACCTGCAGTCCATTGGGGAGTTGGTTATAGATTCCAGCAGCGAATGCTAAGAAAACAGGTAGGGGACTAAGAAAACTCTAACCCAGACACCAACCTCTTAAGAATAACTAAACATAAGAAATGAAATAACAGCTTCACTGTAGGCTTGAGCAAGTGCCAGCTGACACACATTCCCAGTGGAATCTTCCCTGGAGCTGTATCAAATAATCACTGAGTAAAGAGGGAAACTAAACCCTAAGGCAACTCCATTTAGACTTGCTATACATAATTCATTGAAAAGTTTGACAAAAACAGATGCAACGTATTGGATACAGGCAGTATGAAGAAAACCTCTGAGAAGTAAATGATGAAGGCATGAAGGAGGTAAACCACCTTCAAGTAGTCAACCCAAACTGTTACTCTACCCATACAGGGTCACTGGATACAGAGTCCTAAATGATCACCCAGAATGGCTCCTTCCTTATGTAACATGGAAACATTAAGAAATCTAGACACCACAGGAACAACAGAATGATCTGGCCTATGATTGGGCCATTTTATAATGCTAATGGTTAACACTATTTTAGAAGAGTCTATAATCAGAAAAGCAAAGACCATGTACGATTTTGCTCATCTTTCTCTCCAGTAGTTACCACAATTCTTAGCACACAGTACATATCCAATAAAGATTTAACTGAAAGACTCATGAGAGGCCAGCATAAGCAGAACCACTTGCAGGTCAGCATGAAGCAACCTGGTGAGGGTGATACAGAATGGCTGGGCTCCTGGCTAAACCCCACCCTCAAGCCTGGAACCTTGGCCATAAGTGAAAACAGCTGACCCCTGAAGGGCTGGGCTCCCGGCTAAACCTCACCCTCAAGCCTGGAACCTTGGCCCTAAGTGAAAACAGCTGACCCCATTTTTCCACCCAAATAATTGCCTTTTTGTCCTACCCCGCCCCCTATCCAGTGCCCATAAAAACTAGATCAGCTGGCAGGGAAAAAAAAAAGAGCAACACAAGCAGCTGATGCAAGTGGTTGGGGATGCAAGCTGCTGAGCCTCAGGGATACATGTGGCTGAGCATCGAAGACTACTGATAGATGCAGCTAACTTCAGACAATGAGGCTTCAGGGAAAGATCACCTTCTTCCCACACCATCCCCTTTCCAATTCCCCATCCTGCTGAAAGCCACTTTTATCGCCCAATAAATCCTCTGCATACACTACCCTTCAAATGGTTTGTGTGACCTGATTCTTCCTGGACACCAAACAAGAACTTGAGTGTCAAAAAGGGCAGGTGCAGGAGCCTGTCACTCTGACCCTTTACTGGGCTGTTAACACTTGGCCATCCACAGACTGCAGGCTGGGTGAAATGAGCCACTCCAGTTCCTGCCCACAAAGGGGGTAAAGGTCAAGGGAACAAATCCCATCTCAAGGGCAGGAAAGAAGAGAAGGACTACATGCAAACAAAACTTCTGTGTGTGAAGGTTACCAGTCAGACTTTGTAAACTTTCTTAAGCCTCAGCTACTTAAGTAAAAAGTAAAAATCTAAGTTGCCTTTAATTATAAGTCCCATCATTATCATTTTTATAATACTAAGGAAAAAGATTCACCAATTATACTGTGAGATACTATGAAGTATAAGATGAATCCCAATTTAAGAGATGTTAAAATGTGGAAAAGTGTATCTTAGAATCAATGAAATGTGATGTTTATGTTCACTTAGGCAGGCCCTTCCCAACTAGGTCTATAGTACCTTGGCCACAAGATATAAACTTTAAGTTGTTTTAAGAAGTTTCATAAATCACAAAATATTTAAGTTATAGTTCAAGTCTTTTTGAATCAGCTATTACCTGAAGTTTGATAAATAACAATGAAGTCATAAGGTGCCATAAAAATACAATTTTTAGAGTTGCAAGGATTGTTTGGTTTTAATAAAATGTAAATTCTATTTCAAAAGAGAGAGAAAGTGAAAGAGAGAGAAACAGAGAGACAGAGAGGTCAAAGGCTGAGATTTATGGAGATTGGATGCTCCAAAAGAAACCAGAAGTACACTCTGGCCGGGAAAGTAAAGGCCAAAAGAGGGAGAGAAGATCAAGATGGTGACAGTTTAATAGCAGAAAAGATGGTGATGTTAATTAAAGAAAGAAAGAAAGAAAGAAAGAAAGAAAGAAAGAAAGAAAGAAAGAAAGAAAGAAGAGAGGCAAGAGCCAAGACGGAAAGAGTCACAAATGACAGGGAGTTGCCCCTGTGTCTGGACAGTACTGAAAATGATGTTCACAACCGGGGCCCCTGGCAAACAGGCTTCAAGTCCCACCATCATCACCTGCCGTTAATTCTCCCACATAGTTTCTCGAATGTTGATTAAACATCTACTCAGATGACTGAAACCTAAGAGTGCCTAGTCCATGTTTTAGATGGAATTAACAAAGGACAAAAGCAGCAATATTTCAGTCTGTATGACCCTGGAAAATTACGAGCATGCTCACATAGGTGTTATATAAATGTAAAAGACAAAGAATAATTCAAAGTCTTAAAGAACATACAGTGTAGTGGAGACAGACTAAAAATAAAATATTACTGTATAGTGAGATAGGGACAAGCATGTAATTACTAGTTAAAAAGAATGACTTTTTTCCCAGCGGGCTTTATGTTGGGATAGGATGGATATTCTGTTAGTAAACAGCATCATTATTGTGGAAGCTTATGAAATCAAATCTTCAGATAACTTATCAACGTCTGCTTGATAATTTGTGACGAAGTACCAGTTATTAAGGAATGAAATTATGTGAAAAATATGGATCTGGCAATCACTCTAAATAGGACTCCTCAAATAAAATCTATTATGTTATACATTTCCCTATTCTCTGCTTTTGTTTGACTTAACCTCTGGGATGTTGACACAGGTGATTAGGGATTATTTGCAACAATATTGAGAATATCTCAGACATGGTATGTGTGTGAAAGGTTTGCTAGGATAGGTTGCAGTCAGCACTCGAATTGTGGCTATGCTTTATTTTATTTAAATTATAATCTACGATCAAATTCAATCTATAAAGAATAAGTGGTCAAATGGAAATTACATAGCTTAAAAAACTTGGATGAGAGTTAGGTACTACTACTGGTATATATTCTCCAGCAAGGATCTTTTTGTTACATCTGATTGAAATTTCTCAGTTTCTACAAATTTGATTTCATTATTTGTAGCCTCTTATCTTCTATTTTAAGACTCCTATAGAACAAGCTTTTCATTTGAGTTCCTGTATCCTGGATTCAGACTTGAAAAACCTCTTTTGCTAAAGAAACATGGGCTCTTCAGGAGGATTCTGGAACCCCCAAGGGCACTTCAGATAACAAAAACATACATTAATTCTCTTTGGAGTCATGCCCCATCTCTGACAAGTAACCTGACTGCAGGGAGAAACTACCCAATGTCAGGCCTCAGTACAAATGTTTTAAAAAACATGTTGCTGTTTAATAATTTACTAAATATAAAACCAACAACCTCCATACAGGGTTAGGAGGTCAGAAAAGAAATTTTCCAATTAGTTACAGAGAGAAGCTCCCTAGAAGTTTGAAACTATGCTTGGTGGTAAAGGCATTAGAGTTGAAGATGTCCAGGAGAGGAAAAATGTTTTTATGTTTTTGACACCAAGAGACAACAAAATGAAATCAAATTTCTTCATCTTTGGGAAACGGGTACCTTGGTGATGACAAAGGCCCATCCACAGCTGTTAATGGGGCTAAGTGAGGAGACAGTGACTACTAGAACTGACAACATGACTCACTATGCCTAGAATGCCTGTACAATGTGGTTTATGCTGAATACCTGCATTCCTTCTGGGGGTCTAGCATTTTCATATGTGCTGGACAGAGGTTGCCTTCATAACTAGCCCCCAATAAACCTGTGCCAATTAATAATTTAATAATATCCCCCGGTAGACAACACTTCATATGTGCTGTCACAAGCAATACTGGAGGAATTTTGTACATCCTGAGTGACTCCACTAGAGAACTCCTGGAAGCTTGTGTCTGGTTTCCTCTGAACATCGCTCTATGTGCCTTTTCCCGTTGCTAATTTTGTGTTGTATCCTTTGACTGTAATAAATCACAGCCCTGAGTAACAATATATGCTGAGTCCTATGAGTCCTTTTAACAAATTACCAAACTGGGAGGTTATCTTGAAGATCCTCAATGCATATGGGAAAGACATTTCAGGACTTGTTCAGGAAGAGCTACAATTTTCTTTTCTTTTCTTTTTTTGAGATGGGGTCTCATTCTGTCAACCAGTTTGGAGAGCAGTGGCATGATCACAGCTCACTGAAGCCTTGACCTCCTGTGCTTAAGCAATCCTCCCACCTCAGCCTCCCAAATAGCTGGGAGCCTCCCAAGTACAGGAGAATGCCACCACACCTGGTTATTTTTTTTAATTTTTTTATTTTTTTGGTAGAGACCGGGTTTTGCCATGTTGCCCAGTCTGGTCTCAAACTCCTGGGCTCAAGCAATCCTCTCACGTTAGCCTCCCCGAGTGCTGGGATTATCGACCACGATTTCCTTTTTAATCTTTTGGTAACTCAACTGACTAGGCCATGTTGTACCATAAAGGGTAGCAGTGATAGAAAGTGAAGGACTAAGAACAACACTGAAAAAACAATAGCACAGATAATAAGCATTAAGTATAAAGAAGGTTTGCATAGTCACACAAATAAGTTTCAGTTGAGAAAAGGAACCATAGTTGGAATTTAGACATTAACGTTTATGAAAAAAAGTAAAAAGAAAACATCAGGAACTTAGAAATCAAATTATATTAATGTAAGAAGTAAAAACTTAGGGAACACAGGGTGAAACTCCAAGTTAATAAATCATAAACTCAGAATTCTGAAAGTTTCCTTCTGCCACTGCAATGTCTAAAGCTGCCTTTGGAATAACACCACATTCCACCAGAAACCATGTAAAATTATATCCTCTGAAAAGAATAATGGCATTCATTTATTTATTAACTCAACACAAATTTATTGAGTAGCTATTCTGTGCCAAGCCCTGTTTCAAGGTGCTAAGGATACAGAAGTAAACAAAACAAAACCTCTGCCCTTCAATAAAGCTCAATATATGGATCATTTCATGACTCGTAACTAAATGAGTTTGAGATCAACAGAAAAGTATGCCATCCTTGATCTTGGCACAGGAAAAACAATAATTGTGGAAGATCATATTATTAGAAATGTACAATGCTTTGCAGGTTTTCTAGGACAGTACTGAGGAAAGTCTTCGATGATGAGTAGAAATGGTAAATTGGATTATGAAATAATTAGATCTAATAAGAACAAGCTGACACTGTATAAAACTCTGAGAAACCTCAGAGGGAACAGAAAGATACTATGAGGAATGCTAGATAACAAGGTCATTAAAAAGTAATTATAATATATGTACATTGTCAAGAAGTTATGCCTGATTTTGTAAACAGAAATAAAAGAAATGATATAGGTTGATGAAAACCAGCTTACATCTTGGTTATCATTCATATCACCTATCACAAACTGTTATTGCATTGAAAACCTCCAAATATATGGGTAGTAGATTCCAACTTGTTGACATAAAGACTCATCATTTTCTACAAAGCTGATATCCTTAGAATGCTTGCACGCATGAACAGCAGAGGTTGTTCAAAATGATGGCATCTGAGTCAAATTAAGTCTGCAGACATGTTTTGATTGCCTTGCATACTAATGTTTTTTATTCGTAAAGTATTTCAAATATAAAGACAAAAAGGTGGGGGGAAGCAAACACCCATGTACTAATCATATTTTAATATCATGCTGTATTTCCATCAGATCCTTTTTATAAAGAAATTAAATACTGTAATCAATTCCTCTCTGGACCCACATCCTTCCCTCTCCAGAGACAACCACTATCATAAATTCAATCTTTATCATTCAAATACATGCACATACCCATAAATGCATTTTTTAGCAGGTTTTTACATTTAATCCAAATGGTAATAAAATGTTTGAATCCTTCTACAGCTCACTTTGTTTAGTCAAATTATGTTTCGATACTTACACATGTTTGATACATCTTATTTTAGTTCAGAGGTTGGCAAACTTACCACCACTGGGCCAAAATAGGCCTTTACCTGTTTTTGTAAATATTACTGGAACACACCATTTTCATTAGCTTATTGTCTACAGCTGCTTCCATATTACAACTGCAGAACTGAGAACTTGAAACAGAGACCATACAGACCTCAAAGTCCAAACTATTTACTAACTGACCCTTTACAGAAAAAAATTGTCAACTCCTATAATAGTTTATTCATTATATGGCATCGTATTTTAAAAATTAGAATTAACTGCTAGCATTGAAAAATTAGTTTTCATACAAATATCTGGATTCCAAACGTTTCTTGAAAAATCAGAAGCTCTGGCAGCATAAAGTCCACATTCTAGTAAGGCTAGTGTGTGGAAATTTTTAAGACATGGCTGCCCTCTTTAGGCAGAGTATATGCTCTACAGATCACTACAGTCCTTAACCAGCTTAAGTGATTCATTCACTTGCCTGTCCTGTGGAGGCCTGTGATATCCACCAGTTTTCCTTTTGTTGTGTTAATAATATAAATATTAGTTAATTAGTGAGATAACTGGATTACAACAAGTGAATCTTTATCAGGAATAGAATAAAAAGAAAGACCAAACAACATACCAACCTTATCTGAGAACCTGACTTTGTACTTTATTTTATATAAAGCTGGCCAAGAGTTAATTTGTATACTCTGGGATATGGATTAATACATCTGACCCTTATCCCAAATTTAAAAGTATCCTGGCTCCACCTGACGGTGATAAAACAGATTACCCCGATAATTAGGTCAGCAGAGGGGCCTAGGAAAGCTTCTTGAAACTTTCCATAAAAGGGCCTTGATATTGAGAGTTCTTGGGATTAATGTATTTGCCATGCCATAAATGGAAAGTACACTCCTCTTTACAAAGACCTCAGATGCTTACCACAGAAAGATTATGGTTACCTCAAACTATCTTTGCAGGTGTGTGTGTTTGTGTGTGTCTGTGTGTGTACACAAAGGCGTGTGTCTGTGTGTGTACACAAAGGCAAACATGTTCACAAGCAGGCATGCATCCACACACAAGTCTGTGTACATATATGTACATATGGCAACTGAAAATTGGAATACTGTATGATTAAAAACAGAAATTCTATGTTCATTAGTACTTCTCCTAAGATCTCCATAAGGCCTCATAGTTCTACAAAGTATATTTAAGAAGATGACTGAAAGAACATGAGTAACATGTTAGAACTGCAAGACCCCTTCACCCTCCAAGCCCATGCCTGTCCACTCAGGATAAGTAAGCTACAACGGTTTCAAGGTGTTGTGGGAGAGGTCTTTCTTCATAAATGTCCTCCCTAACTAGATCTACTCTAACAGTAGGAATTAGAAAGGATGTCATTCAAGGAGATCCCCAAGTTGGCAGGAATCAACCCCAAGGATAACCTTAGTGAAGGAAATGGGATAAGGAATCATAGAATTCAGTGTGATTGGGAGAGAGTCATATAAAAGCAGTTCCCAGTTTGCCTTGATCATACACTTGATATGAGGAACACAGTTCTTGATTTCTATGTCTCTGCTGAATATTTGTTTGTAACAGGTTTTCCTGATGTGCTAATAATATGAATTAGCCTTCACAGAATAAAACTGAGATTTCTTAAGCTTCCTGAAATAGAAAACAGCTTACAAGATGAACAGGAGATGATAAATCCCCACTTACTTGCTGAGTGACTTAGGGCAAATTATTTGATTTCAATGACATGAGGTAAAAAATAGCACCCAGTTTATAAGAGTTATGAGAATTAAATAAGTTCATAAATGCAAAAAGCTTAGACTTTGGTACTCACTAAACACTATATAAACATTTGTTACTATGAATGATGATAATAATGTTGCTATTCCTGTTATCATAAAAATGTAAAGGAAGTTATGATGATGAAATAGAGCCTAAGAATCAATGCGTGGATAGTCAATGCCTTAAAAGAATCGTTTTAACATCAATTTGATTAAGCTTCATGGCTAGCTCCAAAAATTAATGGTTTAACATGACCTGTGGCCTGTTTTCCTGTAATCAAGGATCTCTAAAGAATTTGCTTTCTATGTGAGCTCCTATGCTTTTGACTTGAGCACCATCTCTCAGTAAGGGAAATGAAGGTTTCCTGAGAGATCTGTTATTTCCAGTTATGAGAAAGGAAGAAGAAAGGCTTAGTGCTATGGACTGTGGCTTGAATGAGGAAGTGGGATTTTAAATGACATTGCTAGAAGACACTAAGACTGGCTTATGGGAAAGGAGAAAGCAGATCATTAATAAAAAATGCCAGTGATGGAAGGAAGATGATGACAGGCAATGAGATTTGGAAAAGTGAACATGGAACAAGAAAAAAACCACAAAGGATGTTAAAGGATACGATAATATGATAACACCATAAAAAAGAAGAGTTAGCAATAAACTTGTATACTATCCCAAAGCTAGTCTGTTCTCCTTGCTAGTATCAGGGTTGTTTATGCCAACACTGTACAGAATGCTCTTTATGAAATTGGAATTTTTCTTTTCCAGCCTGTGTTATCATATCTCCTCAGGGCTGCCAGTGGAGACCAAATGAACACTAAACTTCACCTTCTGAAACCAATTTAGTGAAACCTGTTATCCCCAAAGACCTGCTCTGGGAAGGGCTTTCCAGCAGCTGAGAGCTCAAATGGTAACAAGCAGAATATGAGGAGGAAAATGCAAATAAAATTGAACAAGCTGAGACGGCTGAGCCCATAATGAAAATGAGGAAAAAGGGCAAGTTTATTATGATCTGAGTTATATGAAATGGACATTTCAAAGTAGCCGTAAAGAGCACATTATTATTAGGAAGTAATCACAGTAACTGTTAAGAACTCACACATCAATGATAATAAAAATCACAAAGGGCTAAACAAAATCATGATAGATATCTTCAGATATCCAGGGCCCACATCCCACTGCACAAAGCAAGCATAATGCCTTGGGCCCAGGATACTGTTAGAGGTTCTGTAATGTTTTAATTTCTTTTAAAATCAGAAGAAAATATGAATACAAGACAGCCTGTAAAATATTCATCTCTATAGCAATGTAGACAGAAAATAGAATTATAATATTTTCATGGAAATTTTTAGTATTTCTGAAAGATATTTTAATATCTTTTATGTAGCAAAATTTTTCATGGCCCACAAAACAAAAGTACCTATTGCCCATGAAAGCCATAATGTGGTCCTGCAGATACTTTGTCAGAATTCCCAAATTCAGAAATGTCATTATGAAGAATAACAAAGCCATATCTGAGATATGTATTTTAAGGACTCTGCAAGACTCATTCCAATAAATGACTCCTTGCTCCTGCAGCTTTCATAATTCAACCAACCAAATGAAAAATCACCACATACACTGACCTTTCCAAATCCCTTGCAAATAGTCAAAATAACAATTATCACATCTTTGAGTGGAAGGCTCTAATGAATATGAAGCAAACCAATTTATGAGAAGTTTTACCAAAGTTTTAGCTAACAAGCATTAAATTAACCTCCATGGTAGATATGAAGCTACTGACCTGAAGTCTCAAGATTTTCCATGACTATGATTTTTCTCATAATTAGTATCATTTATATATACCCTGTCTTCTCCAGTTGTGAAGGAAAAATAAGATGAACAAGAACATATCAGCAAAGAAGATATACAAATGGCCAAAAGCACATGAAGAGATGCTTGACATTAATCTGTAGGGAAATGCAAATCAAAACCACAAATAGATACTGCTTTACACACACAAGGATGGCTATAATCAAAACACTAGAAAATTAGAAGTGCTGGTGAGGATATGGAAAAACTGGGATCCTCATACATTGCTGTTGGGAATGTAGAATGGTTCAGCTGCTATGAAAAACAGTTTCATGGTTCCTCGAAAACTTAAATATGAAATTGTCATATGATCCTGTAATTCTACTCCTAGTTATATACCAAAAAAAAAAAATTTAAAACAGACACTCAAACAAGTACATGGACATTGATGTTCATACCAGCACTATTCACAAGAACTAAAAGGCGGAAACAGCTCAAATGTTCATCAATGGATTAATGGATAAACAAAACATGGTATATATAAACAAGGGAATATTATTAACTATGACAAAGCATGAAAAACTGAACATGCTACAATATGGACAAAACTCATAAACATTATGCTCAGTGAAAGAGGCCTAACATAAAATATCACATATTACACACCACACAGAATCATCTAGATATGGGTGAGATATCCAGAACAGGGAAATTTACAAAAAAAGAAATAAGACGGGTGGTTACCAGAGTAGGAGAAAAACAGGAATGAGGAGCAAATGCTTAAGAGAAATGGAGTTTCCTTTTAGGGTGAGGGAAAAGTTTTAGCATTAGATAGAGGTGGCAGCTGCACAACACTGTAAGGGTATGATATGCCACTGAACTTTTACTTGAAAATAGTTAATATATGAATTCCACCTCAATAAAAAAAGAATGTCACACTGAAATATGTAAGAATCATTCTGTACAGTAATCTTGAAGAAAGGGTACATAATGTACGGTTGAGTGGGAAAAAATGGAACATAATAATAAGTTGTGAGCACAAATCTAACCTATCATTATTTTAATATTAAAATTCAACAGCAAAAGCTTGTACAATAATGAATAAGATATTAACAATTAAACCTACATCTGAGTATCTGAGAACATGAACTGGCATTTGTTTACTTAAGACTAAAGTAGATGAAAAGGTAATAGACAGATGAGTACACTTGGGCTTGCCAAGTGTTGACTAATGAAATGGATTAGCAAATATAATTAAGCAAGTAGAGTCAGCAAAGTAAAAAGATTCTAGGACTTTGAGGAATAGTTGTGAAACTATAACTTTTTTAAGCCATTTCATCTAAATTACCTCCCAAAGAGGTGAGGCCAGGAGAAATTAAGTAACTCAGAAAAATTTGTACGGAAGAGTACCTACATATTTGTCAGTAATAGAATTTTGTGATTAAAAAATGAGTCTGAAATTGGAATTCTATGTCCATTATTATTATAACACTTCTTATTTATTAATTCACATTGGCAGAACTTATTGAAATATACATGTCTCTCTATCTCTCTGTGTGTATGTAAAATTTATTTAGTGGAAGAAAAGAAAGTACTTGAATCATATTTAAGTAAGGAACTAGATTAAGAAGCCAAAAATGCAGGACTATGACACCACCTAAGGGAAAAAATGTCAGTAAACAGCACACAGTGTAACAGTGGCTTCAGGATTCAGACAGCTGCCTAGAGGCCAGAGGTTGGCAAACTTTTTCTGTAAAGGGCCACATATACACTTTAGATTTTGCCCGCCATATAGTTTTTATCACAATTATTTACCTCTACCATTGTAGGAGAAAAGCAGCCATAGACAACAAGTAAAAGAATGGGTGTGGCTATGTTTCAGTAAAACTTTTATTTTACAAAAACAGGCAGCAGATAATAGTTTGTCATCGTATATTCAAGAGGTCAGCTGGCTGGAGAGCATGCCTTTCCAGTCTTAGTAGGTATGAGTCAATTGAGGCTGAAAGACATATCGAGACCCATCCTCCAACAAACCATCATGAAAATAAAATGATGCTGAGCAAGGAAAGACCTTAAACTTCATAGGCAGTAACATTCAACCTGTTATGATTTTATCAACAGTTTTTAGTCCACCCCTGGATGAGGTGAACCCAGCATTGACAAGTCCTGCACAGGGGCAGCTAGATGCTGCTAAAAAAGTCACACAACAGGTAAGACTGGTGTCACCATATACTCACAATCAACAATCTCCCCTGGGCATTTAACACCTTCTAGCAAGTCTGTGTTCTCAGGTCAATGTACTCCTTCCCTCCCTTGAAACGGTTATTTCAAACTTCCTCCAATTTCCCAAGACCTGAAATCCCTCACATCTTTACTTCCTTGTATTAGTCTGCTCTCGAACTGCTATAAAGAACTACCTCAGACTAGGTAATTTATAAAGAAAAGAGGTTTAATTGGCTCAGGGTTCCACAGGCTGTACAGAAAGCATGGCAGCATCTGCTTCTGGGGAGGCCTCAGGAAACTTATAATCATGGTGGAAGGTGAAGGGGAAGCAGGCGTGTCTACATGGCCAGAGCAGAAGAAACAGGGGTGGGGTCAGGGGGTGCTACACACTTTAAAAACAACCAGATCTTGCGAGGACTTACTCACTCACTATCACAAGAATGGCACTGAGGGGATGATGCTAACCCACTCATGAGAAACCATCTCCATGATCCAATCACCTCCCATGAGGCCCCACCTCCAACATTGTAGATTACAATTCAACATGAGATCTAGGTGGCAACAAACATCCAAACCATATCACCCCTCTCAGCAGGTAGCCTTACCATACACTTCATAGAGAAGGCAGAAACCACCATACAAACACGTCCTTCTCTTTTCTTTCCCAAATTGACAAAGTTTCTTGTGTTTACTAAAACCTCTCCTCTTAACCTCCTGTTACAATGAAAGAGGAGGCCATCCTCCTATCAAAGGCTCATCTCTCAATAAGTGCTCCACATCTCAGACCCTTTCTTCATTGTCCTCAGAACCTTATCCTATTTTTTTATTCTTTTTTTTTTTTGAGACAGAGTGTAGCCCCGAGACTGGAGTGCAGTGGCAAAATCACAGCCCACTGCAGCCTCGACCTCCCCAGGCTCAGGTGATCCTCCCACCTCAGACTCCCAAGTAGCTGGACCACAGGCACATGCCACCATGCCCAGCTAATTTTTGTATTATTTGTAGACACAAGGTCTCACTATGTTGTCCAGGCTGGTATGGAACTCCTGGACTCAAGTGATCCACCTGTCTTGGCCTCCCAAAGTGCTGGGATTACAGGTGTTAGCCACCCCACTTGGCCTGACCTTACCCTATTGATTCCCTCTTAATATCTCCATCCACTTCTAATCTGCTAGCTCCTTACGGTCAGCAAGTAAACATGCTCATGTTGACTTATTGAAGAATGTACATGTATAGAGAGTAGGGGAGGCTATAGGGCAGACAATAGCTGTTAACAGAATGTTGTAAATTAGAAAGTAAATACACAGGCCGGCTGTGGAGGCTCACATCTGTAATCCCAGCACTTTGGGAGGCCAAGGCAGGTGGATCACGTGAGGTCAGGAATTCAAGACCAGACTGGCCAACATGGTGAAACCCCATCTCTACTAAAAATACAAAAACCAGCTGGGTGTGGTGGCGGGTACCTGTAGTCCCAGCTATTTGAGAGGCTGAGGCAGGAAAATCACTTGAACCCGGGAGGCGGAGGTTGCAGTGAGCCGAGATCACGCCACTGCACTCCAGCCTGGGTGACAGAGCGAGACTCCATGTCAAAAAAAAAAAAAAAAGAAAAAAGAAAGAAAGAAAGCAAATGGGCAAATTATTAATAGCTTGTTGTACCAGAAAAATCTCAAACCAACTTAAATATTTTGACACCAATAGTAAATAAGCTGTCTTGTGGCACCAAACCTCAGAAAGCCATACCAATCAGGATTACTTATGTAAGTGGTGAGTTTTGGTAGAGCTGAAAATAGGAGAAATGACTGAAATTCTGTAGAAGAAGCAGTTAGACCACCAGATACCCTCTCAAGCACTTCAAATAATATGACTGAATACCTTCTTTTATCTGTAATTGTGGTAAGTATGAGGCAGAGAGTGTGACCAGCCCCCAAGGAAAACCCTGAACATTGAGTGTCTAATGGCCTTCCCTAGACAGAAACATTGCATGTGTTGCTTTCTTTTTGTTACTGGGGTAAGAATGTGCTTTGTGTGACCCCTTGTTGAAGGGAGAGAGCGTAAGGAAGCTTGCACAAGGATTCCTGCACATGCCACCTGTGTCTTTTTCCCTTATGATTTGGCTATATGTTCTCACTTATGCCATTATAATAACCCTCAGCCACTAATACAAGTATATGCTGAGACCCCGTGATTCCTTCTAGTAAATTTATGAACCTGAGACAGGTCTTGGGGATTTATGATATAGTGGTCATACACTGTAGCCCTGGACTACTATTTTGTTTCTATTACCATTAAAGAATAATATTAACATTTTTCAAAATTATATGTATACAGGTTATAGATCTTTGATTTTCATTCCATAATATTAAAGGAGGAGTTACCAAATGTTCGTTATAAGAGAAGGACCTTATGTCTAAAAAGGTTAAGAAACACTGCTGTAGACAAAGAACAACATTGGCAGCAATTTTATTAACAATCATGAAAATAATAGCAGCTAATATTTACAGAGTGCTTACCATATGCCAAACATTGCACTAAGTGCTTTCTGTGAATTATTTCAGATGTTCCTCACTATAACTCTATGACATGGGCACTATTATTTTCCCCTTTCACCTGTGGAGAAAGAGAGGCTCAGACAGGAGAGCCAACTAGACTAGCAGCATAACTAGCAGATGGCAGGGACAAGGTTTTAAGGCAAGTATCTAGATTCCAGAGCCCCTTTCACCTATTCAGGCATGGTGTTGCCACCAAAACAACACAGCAGAATCCAAATAAATATATCACCTAAGGACAGCTCATAATTTGTGAGGACTGATAAGCAAATATGTTAATAAATTCTGCCAGCTAAAATTATATCGATTCTTCCTCATCTCTCTTGGAATAATTCTCTCATATTTAATGTTTGACACAGAATGCAAATACCGGGATCATAAATGTGAAGCATACCTTTTTAGATAGTGCATTTTATAACTGGTCTACTATGATTCTTATTTTGAAGTCACAGTTCTTAGTCCTTTCTTTACAAATAGAATATAAATTCCCACAACTTTTCAGATTGCTGGAAAAGGTTAGAAGCCATAGCAATTTAGAAATGGTCAGGTCAATACGTCTATGTATTTCATATTTTCTGTGAAAGGTCAGAGGTTACAGGTATTTAAAATTGTAATACTGTTATCCCTATGGTTTTATGGATTTATAAGAAGGACCAAAGCATAAAAGAACATTAGCAGAACAATAGTACACACCACACACACACACACACACACACACACACACACATAAACGGAGTAGCAGAGATTTTTTTTAAGTCTATTAAAGGTGAAGTCTATGCTGACCAAGTTAAGTAGTGTAGAAATCGGGAGTAGAGCCAGGTGACAAAAAGCATGCTAGAGGGTGCAAAGCACAGTTTTTATTAGACAAGCAAGATCAAGTAGAGAGGCAAAAATCAGTTTCAAGTGAAACTGCAAAATTCTACCCATCCCAAGAAAAGCAAATATAATGACCAAGTTAAGGAAGAATCAGAATGAATTTTAAAACTGTTCTGAAGTTGTGTATTAGAGAACATAAAGGCACAGATCACTACATAAATCAGTGGTTCTCTCATCTACAGTTTTGGCACACAAAAAAAGGAAAATGAAAAATTTACGTCAGTTGCTCTCAGACTTCAGTGGACATGATAGTAACCTGTATACTCAAGCTACCTGATATGATTAGCCTTTGTGTCCCCACCCAAATCTCATCTTGAATTGTAATCCCCATACTCCCCACATGTCTAGAGACAGACCTGGTGGGAGGTGATTGGATCAGGGGGCAGTTTCCCCCATGCTGCTCTCCTGCCACCATGTGAAGAAGGTCCTTGCTTCCCCTTTGCCTTCCGCCATGACTGTGAATTTCCTGAGGCCACCCTAGCCATGTGGATCTGTGAGTCAATTAAACCTTTTTCTTTACAAATTACCCAGTCTCGGGTAGTATCTTTACAGCAGTGTAAAAACAGACTAATACACTACCTCTTCAGAAATTTTGATTCTCAGATCCCAGGATATTTAACAAACATTCCAGATGATTAAGACACAGATTGCCCACCACCACATGTTGGACATACTCTGCCCTGTGTAGGCTGTGCTTCTGATATCTTACTAGAAAACCCAACCTGATAAGCAGCTTACAAAATGTGAAGACTGGGATAATGTAGAGAAAGAGTTCTTGTTTCTCTACAATAGGTTTCAAAGTAATGGTAAAACAGTTGTAATAACAGAGGTTATGGTATGGCAAGTACCAAATCTATTTTTTAAAGAAAAATACAAAGAATAAGAAGAAATTTCAACTGATAAGATAAAGCCATCTGAGTACCATACAGCAATTGAGTGTCCTTATATGTCTAAAATAGCAATGGCATGCCAAATACAGAGAAAATGTGTCAGCATCATCAATAACTACAAATTTCAGTTCAAAATATAACCATGGTATCAGGGAGGCCAGGATATTCATATATAATTAGGGGAAAGATATGCATTTCCCTACTTTATCAGAAATTTCTTAAAGAAAGATTAATAACATCCTTGCCTAAAGCATTGTTTCTTAAAGAAAAAAATCTTTTGGCAACCTAAATCAGAATCACTTGGATTGCTTGTTTAAAATGCAGATTATCATCTTAGTTCTGATGAATCAGAATCTCTGAAGGAAGAGGTAAAAAAAAAAAAACACATCTCAGATTCTGGGTAATTTGAAAAAAAAAAGATAAAAAAAGAAAAAAGATAAAATAAATATAAAAATATAAGACATGCATACACACACAAACATACTGAAATATGAAATTCAGAGGCTTTTAGTATATTCACAAATTGTACAACTATAACCATAACTAATTATAGAACATTTTCATCATGCAGAAAGAAAGCCCAAACCCTTCAGCAGTGAGTCCCCATTTCCCCTATTCCCCACCAGCCTGGGCAACCACTAATCGACTTTCTTTCTCTGTAGATTGGCCTATTATGGAAATTTCATATAAATGCACTCAAACAACATTTGATCTCCTATCACTGCCTTCTTCCATTTAGTATAATGTTTTCAAGGTTCATTCATGTTGTTATGCATCAGTACTTCATGCCATTTTATTGCAAAAACAATATGACTTGAAAAAATTTACAAAATGTATCACATATGAAAGAAGAAATGAAGAGACAACTAGATGCTTATTTCCAAAATCAAGCAAAATTAAGGATGTAATTTCATTTGTAGACAAATCCCGATAATTGAACTCTTGTTTATTGACAGCAAGTATAACCAAAGGGAGTTTCTATAAAGACCCAAGATGCTTACAGTGCACATAGTATGTAGTAAAAATGATGACAATACCAGCAATGCTAGAAGTAACTCCATGAATAGGAATAAAAGGTAAAAATTATGCCTTGAAAAGATGCCATGGTAAGGCGGACGACTTTTTGGAGTTGTGCTGTAAAGTAACCATATGCACACTTGGCCTAATTTAATCTGAATTTATATTAAATAAAATTTAAAATATATTTCCTCAGTTGCACTAGCTATCTTTCAAATCCTCAGTGACCACATGTAACTAGCATCTACCACATTGGATAACTCAGACAGAGAACATTTCCATCATAATAGAAAGTTGTATTGGACAGTGCTCCTCTGGGGATAGATAAAATTGCCATACTGTAACTCATTTATTCACTCTAAAAATATTTATTAAAAGTATACCATCCAATAGTATGTTGGATAAAGAAACTGTAGTACATATACACCATGGAATACTATGCAGCCATAAAAAGAACAAAATCATGTCCTTTGCAGCAACATGGATGCAGCTGGAGGCCATAATTTTAAGCGAACTAATGCGGGAACAGAAAACCAAACACCACATGTTCTCATTTATAAGTGGAAGCAAAACATTGAGCACACCTGGACATAAACATGGGCCCAATAGACACTGAAGACTATTAGACGGGGGAAGAAAGAGGAGGGCGTGGGTTGAAAAACTAGCTACAGATACTATGCTCACTACCTGGGTGTAACATATGCATGTAACAAACCTGCCCACGCACCCCCTGTATCTAAAATAAAACTGGAAATTTAAATAAATAACAAAATAAAATAAAATAAAAAGTCTACTTTGTGCATGGCACTGATCTACATACTAGGCATACCACAAAACACAAAACAGACAAAATTCATACCCCTATGGAGCTTAAGTACTAACGATGGCAAAGAAAGGATAAACAAATAATTAAAATATATGACAAAATACATTAAGTATTGGTAAAATGAAATATGAGGGATCAAGAGAGATAAAGAGGTGCTATTTTCTTTTCTTTTTTTTCTTTTTTTTCTTTGAGACGGAGTCTCGCTCTGTTGCCCAGGCTGGAGTGCAGCGGCACAATCTGGGCTCACTGCAAGCTCCACCTCCCGGGTTCACGCCATTCTCCTGCCTCAGCCTCCCAAGTAGCTGGGACTGGGACTACAGGTGCCTGCCAAAGAGGTGCTATTTTCTATCCAGTGATATGGGAAAGTTTCTGCAATAAGGTGAAGTTTATGTTGAGATCTGAAGAAAATGGAGAAAGAGCCTTGCGCAAAAGCAGTGTAGAAAGAGAAACTAGCTAGTGCAAAGGCCAAAGGCAGGTATAGGCTGGACCTGTTTTCAAACACAGGTAGGTACTGTGGCTGCAGGGCAGTGACATATACAAGAGTACAAACAAAATATAAGCAACTGTGTATCAAACACAGATGTTGGAGGAAAATCCTGCTGTTGTCTGGAAAGTTTGGTTAGACTGTTATTATTACAGTATACTTTTTGTATGTCAAATGTTTCTCCACGTTAGAAGAGATACATGTGCAATGGCAACATGAGGAGCTCCCAGCAAAACAACCACAACTGGGGAAAATTATTTGTTTGAAAAATAACCATTTAGAGTCTCTAGAATCTGTCCTGATGGTATACGGCAAATGGAGAAACATTTTTAGTAAAATCTATGAAATCTCAGTAAGAAGAGCAAGAGTCTGTGGCATCTGAGCCACAACCTGCTCCCTCCCCCTTCCCCTGGATGGCTTAGCAGGATAAAGTTTTGCTTATGGCTGGGGCAGCCAAAAACCAAGGGCATGCACTTTTCCCTCTAGCAGGTGATTGGAATTTTTCATCCTACCCTCAGCTCTAGGTTACAAAAGCTCTATGGAGGCAATCATGTTATAGAGGTCTGGAGCTCCTTTCCTCAATCAAGTGACCAGTCACAGGACGGAAGCTCTACCCTAGGAAAAGTAATCTGAGAATACTAGGCCCCAATCAGCCCTGCTCCAGCTAATTCACAAGGCAGAGGTTCCATGCAGGGAGGGGGAAGCCAAGAAGACCACGGGTTACTGTTTTTACCCAATGTCCTCTTCCTAGAGCATGGATGCCATTCTGAGAGAAGGATGACACTGTCCCCACCCCTACCTCCCAAAGCTTTAGTGCATATGTTCTGCCCACGGGGAGAGGCAGGCTATTAAAAAACAGGTCCAAGGCTCTCTAGAAGGGAACTGATTTTTATTTAAAACAGAGTGTAAGGAAGTTTGAGCCTAAGGGAGTCCCTGAAAACAGTGTAGATTTTTGTGGTAAGCAATTATGAGGAGGTTAGTAGTTTAATGAGCTCTTTAAATCATAGGCCAGCCAGTTTACAAGTGAGAAACAAACACATAGCTGAGAAAAGCCCACCTATGGCTGGAGCAAGCATGAAACACTGGCCTCAAAGACTATTCCTGCAAAGGGGTCCAAAAATAAATGTATCACTGTGGAGCAGATTATGTCCCAGGAAACTGTCAAAGTCAATGTAGCAATCGGTCAACAATTACTCAGGGATAACAGCTGGGTATGATACCAAGAAATGAAGAACATTAGAAATAGTAAATGAGAAGTTTAATCAACAAGTTTTTAAAATTATATACTTGCTCTCCATTCCTCTCTCAGGTTCAGTAAAAGACAAAAAAACTATCAAAAGTAATCATTGTAATAATGTATTGTTGGAGTTACATAACGTATTTAGACGTCATATGTGTAATAACAGCACCAAAAAAGGGAGAAGAAATAGCTACAGCTCAGGAAAATTTAACATCTGAAAGAAATTCTGGTAAGTTCTCACATAAATTGTTAAGTCCTAGAGCAACAATTAAGAAAACGAGTAAAATAAGAAAATACCATTAAAGGATTAAAATGTTACAACAAAAAATTTCCATTTAATACAAACGAAACCAGTGAGAGGAACAGAGGAACAGAAAAGATTATGCATATAGAAAACAAAGAGACAGACATAAGTGCACCCATGCCAATAATGACATTAACTATTAATTGATTATACAAATTAATCAAAAGGCACATATTTTCAGACTGGAAAATTAAAAAAAAAAACAAGATCCAGTTGTATGCTTTCTATAGCAAACACATGTTAGATTTAAACATATAATTATGTTAAATGTAAAAGGGAGACATATATTATACAAATAGCAAGCATAAGAAAGCTGGAGTGGCAATGCCAATATAGAAAAAAATGGACTTCAAACCAAAAAATATTAGTAGAAACAAAGAGGAATATTTAATAATAATAATAAGGTCAATCCATCCAGAAGACATATAAAGTATAAACACACATACAACTAACAACAGAGTACCAAAGTACATTAAAGCAAAACTGACAGAATTGAAGGGAAAAATAAATAATTCCACAATAATAGTTGCACACTTCAATACCCCACTTTAAATGATGAATAGAACAACTAGGCAGAAGATGAATAGGAAATAGAAGACATTAATAGGCCTATAAACTAAGTATACATAACAGATTATCTATAGAACATGCCATTCAAAAAAAGCAGAACACACATTCTCCTCAAATACACATTGAACATATTCCAGAATATACCATAAGCCAGGTCATAAAACAAGCATTAATAATTTTAAAGGACAGGAATAATACAAAGTATGTTCTCTGAGCACATGGAATAAATTAGAAATCAATAACAAAGAAATTTTGAAAATTCACAAATGTGAACATTAAACAATATACTCCTAAAAAACCAACACATCAAATAATATTACAATGAAAATTAGAAAATATTTTCAGATGAATAGAGATGAAAACATACCAATACTTCTGTGATACAGGTAAAAGCAGTGTGTTTCAGGGAAATTTAAAGCTGTAAATGCCTATATTACAAAAGAAGAAATATCTCAAATCAATCACCTAACTTCTTACCTTAAGGCCCTGGGAAAATAGCAAAGTAAACCTAACAGCAAGAAGAATAAAGGAAATAATAAAATTAATGAAATAGAGAATCAAAAAATAAACATAATTAACGAAATATGAAAAACATATGACAGTTCAACAAAATTGACAAATCTTTGGCTACAGTGACCGGGAGAAAAAAAAGAGAAGACTCAAATTAGTAAAATCAGGAACGAAAAAGAGAACATTACTACCAACCTTACAGAAGATCAAAAAGATATACCAACTGTATGACACTCAATTAGATAACCTAGATAATATGGACAAATTCCTAAAAAGATGCCAGCTAAGAAAATAGACTCAAAAAGATATAGAAAATCTGAATAGGCCTGCAATGAGTAAAGAGATTAAATTACTAATTAAAAATTATTAATTTGGTGAAGTCTACCAAAAACTTCAAGAATTAATATGAATCCTTCACAAACTTCCAACAATTGAAAGGAAAGAACACTTCCCAATTCATTCTATGAAGCCGATATTACCCTAATACCAAAACCAGAATACGACATGAGCAGGTCATTCAAAATGGAGGAAAAATGAATGGATAATAAATGTATTTAAAAATATTCCACTTCATTACTTCATTAATAATTAGAACCTTAATTAGAACCTCAATTAGATACCATGCAAAGTCAAAGGTCAATTAAATACCACATAATATCCACCAGAGGAGCAAATATTAAAAAACAGAAAATAAAAAAATGATAAAGATTTAGTACAAAGGAACAATCTTTACACTGATGGTAAAAGTATACTTTTGGTCAATTACTTTGGAAAATTAGTATTGTTTATAAAAATTGAATATGTATATGCCCTAGGTCTCTGCAATTTCACTACTTTATATACCTACCTAGAGACACTTGTTGGGATATGTGAAAAAAGAAGTATGGCAGCATTACTTATAAAAGTCAAAACACCAAAAACCTGAAAGCAGCAATAAACGTCCATAAACAAGAAAATTTATAAAGTAATTGGGGAATATTCATATAACGGAATACTATATGGCAGCACAAATTTATTAAATAGAGCTTTGCACAGCAACATGAATGAATCTCTAGGTGATAATGTTGAGTAAAAAAAGAAAGTAGTGGGAATACTACACTGTAACATCACTTATATAATGTTCAACAACAGGCCAGTGTGTTTGGGAGTGTGCATGTGTATGTGTGTACTCAGCTGAACCATATAAAATTCCTATAATTATAGACCAAAAATGGTTGAGTAGTGGCCATTTCACTTAGCACAAACTAAAACATATAGTAAACCTATAAAAAGAAAAACAAGTAAAGGAATGTTAAATACTAAATTCCAGATACTGGTTATCTGTATCAGAACAGGAAAGCAATATGATCTGGGAGGGTTATGTGAAGGGGTATGCAGGAGGCTTTCAAGCTATTGAAAATGTTCTGTTTTTTATGCTGAGTTCTTATAGACTCATTATATTATTGATTATACCTTATATATGTTATTTAAGATCCTTCATATAAACCAAATTTTATTATAAATTAATAGTAATAAAATAATAAAAAAACTAAATGAAGAGATTATTTTTTGAAAGCGTATGACTGAGCAATATATATCCATGTCATCAAAGGCAAACAGCCTAAGCCTCTGGATAGTATAAAAAACGTAAGTAACACTGCAGGAACAGAAGAAAGAAGTAGACAACATTAGAGTACATACAGAGTAGGAGGGAAGAATTGTCTCTCTATGGAAATTATTCTACTTAAATTGCCAAGAACCTTAAAAATATAGAGGTATATAATTTTAAATTATGCTTTCTAAAATGTAAATTCACATGTCATTATATGGAAACAGTGGCATTTGAAATTTCAAAGCTGAAAAGGGTTTTAGGAATATGTTTTATATTGTAAATCAGCTAATTATGTTACTTAATCAAGTGAAAAAATAGGCTCATGTAAGTCATAAACTATTATTTTAGAATACGGACAAGCTGATCACATAATAAAATGTATTTACCAGGCATTTAGCTTGAAGAAACAACTTCTTTTATTATTAAATAATAAAACATATTTTTAAGTTAAAGGATATTTTATGTCTCAGTTCAAAAACAAGAAAATATAATAAATCATGTATTATTTAAAACCTGCTAGTACTTTAGTCTGAATCTTTGCAAAGGAAGACTTTGCCTAAATAATAGGCTTTCGCGAACTCCAACTATTTTTGTTAACAGATAAATGTACTTGAAAAACATGCACCTCTCTCATAAAAAAGAATAAAAATTAAGTTACAAAGGGCATTTTGATATCTAAAGGTTGTAGTTCCAAACTGAAGAAAAATAAAAATGGTTCTTAAAATGCACAGTTAGAAATATCTTGCTAATTTAAAGTACTCTACCTTGGATCTTCTATTGTACTAATTTACACAAAAACCACTGAATTTTTTTTTGTTGTTTAAATTCCACATATAAATGAGATCATGCAGTATTTTTCTTTCTCTTTTGGGCTAATATCATTATGATGTTCATCCATGTTGTCGCAAATGGCACATCTCTTTCTTTTTTAAGGCTGAATGAAAATCCATTCTGTGTGTGTGTGTGTGTGTGTGTGTGTGTGTATATATACCACAATTTATCCATTCATTTGTCAACAGACACTGGTTATTTCCATATATTGACTAATGTGAATAACAATGCAACAAAAACGGAATGCAGACATGATTATGAGGTGCTGATTTCATTTCCTTTGGGTATATAACCAGAAGAGGGATTGCTGAGTCATATGGTCATTCTATTTTTAATTTCTTTAGAAATGTTCATACTATTTTCCACAGTGGCTGTACTAATCTACCTTCCTACCAACTGTATAGAAGGTTTCCTGTTTCTCCACACTCTCAAAAACACTTGTTATCTTTTGTCTATTTAATAACAGCCATTCAAATAAGTGTGACGTGTATCTCATTGTGGTTTTGGCTTGCATTTCTTTAATGATTAGTGCTGTTGGTATAGGTATTGAGAAGAAATGTGGTTATATCCTATAAAGGGTGATGCTGAGGTAAAAAAAATCACAGGATAAATTATAAAATGAAATTAAAACATAGAATCATAAAGATCATAATGGTGATTATACCAACAACATTTTTTAAAAAACTCCTTCCATTTATGGACGGTTTACTGCAGACATTTTCCATATAAAATGTCATCTAATCCTCACAACGGTCATATGAGGTGGGTACTACTGTGATTCCCATTTTATAGATGGAGATCAGGCTCTACATTAAATAATGTGTCCAAGGTCAAAAAGCTAGATAATCTAGCCAAAAGCACTCATAGTGTAATAGAATTCATTGAACTGCTCATGTTCCCATGAATCACAAATGTTCTTAATGGCATCTACAATGGTGAACCCTTTCCAGGTTTTCAATATACTCTGCCCATATCCATTAGAGGAATCACTGTTTATGGCAGCTATGGCCTTACAAAATGTATTTCTTAATAAGACTTAAAGGCAAAATTACTCTTTGATCCATGAGCTACACAGAATGGATGTTGTTTTAGGAGGCAGGAAAACAACGTTAATCTCCTTATATATCTCCATCAGAGCTCTTGGGTGACTAGGTGCATTGCATATGAGCAGTAATGTTTTGATAGGAATCTTTTTTTCTGAGTAGCAGAGGTTTCAAGAGTGGGCTTAAAATATTCAGTAAATCGTGCTGTAAACAGATGTGTTTTCATCCAGACATTGCTGTTCCATTTATAGAGCACAGGCAGAGTGGCTTTAGCATAATTCCTAAGGGGTCTAGGATTTGCAGAATGGTCAATGAGCACTGGCTTTAACTTTACATCACAAGTTGCATTAGCCACTAACAAAAGAGTCAGTCTGCCCTTTGAAGCCAGGCATTGACTTCTCCTCCTCTCTAGCTATGGAAGTCCTACATAGGACTTTCACTAGAAAGCTGTTTCATCTACATAGAAAAGTTGTATTTTACTGTAGCCGCCTTTGTCAATGATCTTAGCTACACCTTCTAACTACACCTTCTAGACAACATGCATCTACATTAGCACTTGCTGCTTCACTTTGCCCTTTTATGTTATAGAGACAGCTTCTTTCCTTAAACTTCATGAACCAACAACCTATGCTAGCTTCAAATTTTTCTTCTGAGGCTTCCTCACCATTCTGAAGCTTCAAAGAATTGAAGAGTTAGAGTACTGCTCTTTATTAAACTTTGGTTTAAGGGAATGTTGTGGTTGGTTTGACCTTCTATCCAGACCACTCAAACTTTCCCCATGTCAACTATAAGGCTGTTGTTCTTTCTTATCATTTGTGTCTTCACTGGAGTAGCACTTTTAACTTTTTAGCAAAAAACAGTTCCTACAAGGATTTCTCATTTGCATTCACAACTTGACTATTTTGCACAAGAGACTTAGTTTTTGGCCTATCTCAGCTTTCGACATGCCTTCCTCATTAAGCTTAATCATTTTTAGCATTTCATTTAAAGTGAGAGATGTGTGACTCACTTGGACCCTAAGAGATGATGGTAGAGTTATTCGTTGCCATAACTGCAATATTGCTGTCTCAGGGAACAGGGAGGCCCAAGGAGAGGCACAGAGATAAGGAACTACTGATTGGCAGAGCACAGCACAACATTTACAGATTAAGTTTACCATCTTATATAGCGTGGTTTGTGGCACCCTAAAGCAATTACAATAGTAACATCAAAGATCAATGATCACAGATCACCATAACAGATATAATAAAAATTGTAAAGTTTGAAATATTCCAAGATTTACAAAAATGTGACATAGAGATAAGAAGTGGGCACATGCTGTTGAAAAAATGGCACCAAGAAACTTGCTCAGTACATCGCCACAGTGCTTCAATTTATATAAATAATTGTTTAAAAACACAATATCTGCAAAATGCCATGAAATGAGGTATGCCAGAATAAAGCTAAGTGTACTAAAGTGAAGTATGCCTATATAGAGTTAGTTATGAAGATGGTGTAAACCAGGCATAAGGAAAGACATATAAATCAGTATGATAAAATTCAAAAACTACATTTATAAGTTCATTGAATTCTAGCAAAGGTGCCAAAGCAATTCACTGGAGAAGGGAAGCCTACTCGAGGAATTGTGTTTTATATAATCACATGAACAACTGCAAAAAGATGCATTTAGATCCACAATGCATGCCATATACACACATTAACTCAAAATGCATCAAACACCTACATGAAGGGGTTAGAAGATTTAAATTTTTACAAGAAAACATATTGGTAAAAATCTTTCAGATGTTGGGTTAGGCAAAGATTCATTAGATATGAAACCAAGGGTGTAGTGAATACTAGAAAGAAATAATAAATTATGTCTTGTCAAAATTCAAAACTTTCACACCTAAAAATAAGCCATTGGCCAGGCACGGTGGCTCACGCCTGTAATCCCAGCACTTTGGGAGGCTGAGGCGGGTGGATAACCTGAGGTCAGGAGTTCAAGACCATCTTGGCCAACATGGTGAAACCCCATCTCTAATAAAAATACAGAAATTAGCTGGGCGTGGTGGCGGGCGCCTGTAATCCCAGCAACTCGGGAGGCTGAGGCAGAAGAATCGCTTGAACCTGGGAGGCAGAGGTTGCAGTGAGCCAAAATTGCACCACTGCACTCCAGCCTGGGCAACAAAAGCAAAACTCCATCTCAAAAAAATTAAAAATAAAGAAGAACTAAATGAGAAAATGAACAGAAAAAAGACCTAATCTAAAAGAACAAAACTGGAAGAATCATATACCTGACTTCAAATTATACTACACAGCTATAGTAACCAAAATAGCAAGGTGCTGGTGTAAAAACGGACACACAGGTCAGTGGAACAGAATTGAGAACCTGGAAACAAATCCATACATCTACAGTGAACTCATTATTGATAAAGGTTTCAAGAACATACATTGGGGAAAGGACAGTCTCTCCAACAAATGGTGCTAGGAAAACTGGATATCCATATGCAGAAGAATGAAACTAGAACCCTATCTCTTGCCTAAATCAAATTAAAATGTATTACAGACTTAAATCTAAGACCTCAAACTATAAAACTACTAAAAGAAAACATTGGGGACATTCTCCAGGACACTGGACTGGGCAAATATTTCTTGAGTAACATTCCACAAGCACAGGCAACCAAAGCAAAAATGGACAAATGGGATCACATAAAGTTAAAAAGCTTCTGCACAGCAAAGGAAACAATCAACAAAGCAAAGAGACAACCTACAGAATGGGAGAAAATATCTGCAAACTATGCATTTGACAAGGGATTAATAGTCAGGGTATATAAGGAGCTCAAACTACTGTGTAGAAAAAAAGTCTAATAATGAACAGACATTTCTCAAAAGAAGACAAATGGGTATATGAAAAGGTGCTTAATGTCACTGATCATCATATAAACGCAAATCAAAACTACAAGGAGATATCATCTTATCTCATTAAAATGGCTTTTATGTAAAAGACAGGAAGTAACAAATGCTGGCAAGGATGTGGAGAAAAAGGAAACCTTTGTACACTCTTGGTAGGAATGTAAATTAGTACAACCACCATAGATAACAACTTGGAGGTTCCACAAAAAATCTCAAAATTGAGTTACCATATAATCCAGCAATCAAATTGTTGGATATATATGTGTGTATATATGTGTGTGTGTGTGTGTATATGTGTGTATATGTATGTACAGGTATATATATGTACATATGTATATCTGTATACATATACACATGTATACATATCTGTATACATGCGCGCATGCATGCATATATATGCATACATATATGCATGTATACATATATATGCATACACATGTATATATGTATATATACACATATGTGTATATGTGTGTGTGTATATATATATATATACACCCAAAAGAAAGGAAATCTGTATACTGAAGAGATATCTGCCCATCCATGTTTGTTGCAGCACTGTTCACAATAGCCAAGATCCTGGAAGCAACTTAAGTATCCATCAACAGATGAATGGATAAAGAAAATGTAGTACTTATACACAATGGAGTATGATTCAGAATGAGATTCTGTCATTAGCTGCAACCTGGATGGAACTGGAGATCATTACGTTAAGGAAAATAAGCCAGGCACAAAAAGACAAACATCATATGTTCTCAAGTTATTTATGAGATCTAAAACTCAAAACAACTGAAATCATGGACATAAAGAATAGAAGGATGCCACCCCACTGTCAACATTAGACAGATCAACGAGACAGAACGTTAACAAGGATACCCAGGAATTGAACTCAGCTCTGCACCAAACGGACCTAATAGACATCTACAGAACTCTCCACCCCAAATCAACAGAATATACATTTTTTTCAGCACCACACCACCCTTATTCCAAAATTGAACACATAGTTGGAAATAAAGCTCTCCTCAGCAAATGTAAAAGATCAGAAATTATAACAAACTGTCTCTCAGACCACGGTGCAATCAAACTAGAACTCAGGATTAAAAAACTCACTCAAAACCACTCAACTACGTGGAAACTGAACAACCTACTCCTGAATGACTACTGGGTACATAATGAAATGAAGGCAGAAATAAAGATGTTCTTTGAAACCAACGAGAACAAAGACACAACATACCAGAATCTCTGGGACACATTCAAAGCACTGTGTAGAGGTAAATTTATAGCACTAAATGCCCACAAGAGAAAGCAGGAAAGATCTAAAATTGACACCTTAACATCACAATTAAAAGAACTAGAAAAGCAAGAGCAAACACATTCAAAAGCTAGCAGAAGGCAAGAAATAACTAAAATCAGAGCAGAACTGAAGGAAATAGAGACACAGAAAACCCTTCAAAAAATTAACGAATCCAGGAGCTGGTTTTTTGAAAGGATCAACAAAATTGATAGACCACTAGCAAGACTAATAAAGAAGAAAAGAGAGAAGAATCAAATAGATGCAATAAAAAATGATAAAGGGGATATCACCACCAATCCCACAGAAATACAAACTACCATCAGAGAATACTACAAACACCTCTACGCAAATAAACTAGAAAATCTAGAAGAAATGGATAAATTCCTCGACACATACACCCACCCAAGACTAAACCAGGAAGAAGTTGACTCTCTGAATAGACCAATAACAGGCTCTGAAATTGTGGCAATAATCAATAGTTTACCAACCAAAAAGAGTGCAGGACCAGATGGATTCACAGCCAAATTCTACCAGAGGTACAAGGAGGAACTGGTACCATTCCTTCTTGCAAAAATCACAAGCATTCTTATACACCAATAACAGACAAACAGAGAGCCAAATCATGAGTGAATTCCCATTCACAATTGCTTCAAAGAGAATAAAATACCTAGGAATCCAACTTACAAGGGACGTGAAGGAACTCTTCAAGGAGAACTACAAACCACTGCTCAATGAAATAAAATAGGATACAAAGAAATGGAAGAACATTCCATGCTCATGGGTAGGAAGAATCAATATTGTGAAAATGGCCATACTGCCCAAGGTAATTTATAGATTTAATGCCATCCCCATCAAGCTACCAATGACTTTCTTCACAGAATTGGAAAAAACTACTTTAAAGTTCATATGGAACCAAAAAAGAGCCCGCATTGCCAAGTCAATCCTAAGCCAAAAGAACAAAGCTGGAGGCATCACGCTACATGACTTCAAACTATACTACAAGGCTACAGTAACCAAAACAGCATGGTACTGGTACCAAAACAGAGATATAGACCAATGGAACAGAACAGAGCCCTCAGAAATAACGCCACATATCTACAACTATCTGATCTTTGACAAACCTCACAAAAACAAGCAATGGGGAAAGGATTCCCCGTTTAATAAATGGTGCTGGGAAAACTGGCTAGCCATATGTAGAAAGCTGAAACTGGATCCCTTCCTTACACCTTATACAAAAATTAATTCAAGATGGATTAAAGACTTACATGTTAGACCTAAAACCATAAAAACCCTAGAAGAAAACCTAGGCATTACCGTTCAGGACATAGGCATGGGCAAGGACTTCATGTCTAAAACACCAAAAGCAATGGCAACAAAAGACAAAATTGACAAATGGGATCTAATTAAACTAAAGAGCTTCTGCACAGCAAAAGAAACTACCATCAGAGCGAACAGGCAACCTACAAAATGGGAGAAAATTTTCACAACCTACTCATCTGACAAAGGGCTAATATCCAGAATCTACAATGAACTCAAACAAATTTACAAGAAAAAAACAAACAACCCTATCAAAAAGTGGGCGAAGGACACGAACAGACACTTCTCAAAAGAAGACATTTATGCAGCCAAAAAACACATGAAAAAATGCTCACCATCACTGGCCATCAGAGAAATGCAAATCAAAACCACAATGAGATACCATCTCACACCAGTTAGAATGGCAATCATTAAAAAGTCAGGAAACAACAGGTGCTGGAGAGGATGTGGAGAAATAGGAACACTTTTACACTGTTGGTGGGACTGTAAACTAGTTCAACCCTTGTGGAAGTCAGTGTGGCGATTCCTCAGGGATCTAGAACTAGAAATACCATTTGACCCAGCCATCCCATTACTGGGTATATACCCAAAGGACTGTAAATTATGCTGCTATAAAGACACATGCACACGTATGTTTATTGCGGCATTATTCACAATAGCAAAGACTTGGAACCAACCCAAATGTCCAACAATGATAGACTGGATTAAGGAAATGTGGCACATATACACCGTGGAATACTATGCAGCCATAAAAAATGTGAGTTCATGTCCTTTGTAGGGACATGTATGAAATTGGAAATCATCATTCTCAGTAAACTATCGCAAGAACAAAAAAACCAAACACCGCATATTCTCACTCATAGGTGGGAACTGAACAATGAGAACACATGGACACAGGAAGGGGAACATCACACTCTGGGGACTGTTGTGGGGTGGGGGGAGGGGGGAGGGATAGCTTTAGGAGATATACCTAATGCTAAATGACGAGTTAATGGGTGCAGCACACCAGCATGGCACATGTATACATATGTAACTAAACTGCACATTGTGCACATGTACCCTAAAACTTAAAGTATAATAATAATAAAATAAAATAAAAAGAATTGAAGGATGGTTACAAGAGTCTGGGAAGAAGCAGGGGAGTGGAGATGGTTAATAGGTACAAAAATATGGTTAGAAAGAATGAACAGACTTAGTATTTGCTAGCACAACAGGGTGATTATAGTTAGTAATAATCTAATTATACATTTTAAAATAACTAAAAAATATAACTGGACTGTTTATAACACAAAGGATAAATGCTTGAGGTGATGGATACCCTATTTCCCATGATGTGATTATTATGCATTGCATGCCTGTATGAAAAGATCTCATGTAACTCATAAATATATATACCTACTATGTACACACAAAAATTAATAATTTTAAAAAAAATTTAAAAAAATGAAAACATATATATTGATTTTTAAAAAAAGAAAGAAAGAGAAAATGAAAAGGTCAGTTACAGACTGTGAGACAATATTTGGAAAACACTTATCTGATAAAGAACTTCAAACCAGAATTTAGAAAGAATCTTTAGAAGTCTACAGTAAGAAGATATGGCTGGGCCCGGTGGCTAACGCCTGTAATCCCAGCACTTTGGGAGGCTGAGGCGGGCAGATCACTTGAGGTCAAGAATTCAAGACTAGCCTGGCCAACATGGTGAAACCCTGTCTCTACTAAAAATACAAAACTTAGCCAGGGCTGGTGGTGCATGCCTGTGATCTCAGCTACTTGGGAGGCTGAGGCAGGAGAATCACTTGAACCCGGGAGGTGGAGGCTGCAGTGAGCCAAGATCACACCACTGCACTCCAGCCTGGGCAGCAAGAGCAAAACTCTATCTCAAAAATAAAAAAAAAAGAAAAGAAAAAACAGAAAATAAACAGTCCAATCAAAAAGTGGACAAAAGATATGAACAGACATTTCATAAAAGAAGATATATATATCTGGCTAATGAGTACATTAAAAATGTCCAAGACCATTAGTCATAAAGGAAATGCAAATTATAACCACAACACATTATCATTTCAGACCCTCGTAAATAGCTATAATAAATATAAGACAGAAAATAATGAACGTTGGTGAGGATGTGTAGAAACAGGAACCCTCTCCTCATGCATTACTGGCAGGAATGTAAAATAGTGCAGTCATTTTGGAACAGTTTTTCAGTTTCTCACAAAGCTAAACATAAATTTAATATACAAGCCAGAAATTTTATTCCCAGGTACATACCCAAGAGAAGTAAAAATATATGTTCATACAAAGACTTGAACAAAAGTATTCATGATGATTTATTATTCAAATGAGACAAAACTACAAATAACCCAAATGCTCAGCAACTCATGAAGGGAAAGACAAGCTGTAGAATATTATTTGGCAATAAAAAGGAATGAATTCCTGATGCATGGGTATATCATGGATGATTTCTGAAAATTATGCTAAGTGAAAGAAGGTGAACACAAGATACCACATAGGTATGGATCATAATTCCATTTTTATGAAATGTCCAGAAAAGGCAAATTTGTGGAGATAGAAAGATAGGAAGATTACTTTGGCTTGGAGCTGGGATAAGACAGGATATAACTGTAAATGTAGCTGAGGGATCTTATTGGGGGCATAAAAATCTTCTATGACAGATTTATCATATGGGTATAACACTCATTAAAGTTGGTAAAAATTACTGAATTGCACACTTCAAATCAGTGATTTTATAATAGGTAAAAAAAAATTACCCAAAGAAAGCTTTTTAGAAACCCAAATATACATATACACCTTGATCCAGCAATCTCAATCCTAGATATATCTGCAAAAGAATTGAATACATATGTTCACCTAAAGACAGGTACAAGAATGCTCATAGCAGTTATATTTGCAGTAACCCCAAGTGGAAACAACACTCATAGTGAATTCTTACAATTTTATGCTGTCTCGGTATCCGTTCTGAATATAAGTTTAACTTTCTCACACCGAGCCAGGCTCCATATTATCCTTGACAGTTTCCAGTTCTCTGTCTCCTCCCAATTCCTTAATGTGTTCCCTCCAGATATGTATCTTAGACAATTGCCTCCTGATGACCACCTCCCTATGGAACACATAGATATAACCTAATTGACTTGGCCCATTGATCCCTTACACCATGCATGGACTGTGCAGATATGCCACGGTGACAACCTCCCCATCGAGACGTTCATCCAGTATAACTCATGCCTGCTTGCTCTACACCCACTAATGAGAACTCATCAGAGGTAACCTGCTTTGGTAACATACTGGACCCAATAAAGGCCTCAACTCATTATCTCTCCACCTGCTGGTTGAGCACATTTCCTCTACAGTATTTCCAACAGCCCCTGTCGGTACCCCTGTTTTCCCATCAACCTGTGAATAATAAACTGTCTACATTATTTCACCTGTTTTTGTTGTGCTGTCTCCTCTGTATAGTATTACCCAACTGACACACCTATATCTCCCCAGACTGATACATTCAGACTTAACTTTTCTCCCAGTTAAGCCTCTCCTACACAGTGGCTATCTTGACAGGAATAAACGGGACACAGGTCTGATAATAGCCACAAGCATCTGCCAGTATAAAATAATTTCTGGTGAGAAAGACACTTGTTCACACCTCAGACAATTAGGCATCATACCATCTGCCAGGATAAAGAAGTATCCTGTGAAAGGCACATTGTAAACATCCACAACCAAATCCCTTGGAACCTGTTGGGGAATAAAGTTTATAGCTACTTTCCAGAGACAGACTGCAAGACCAAATTAGAAAAAAAAAAATACAACCCTAATATCCATCAACACAAAATGAACAAATATGGTACATTAATGACTCAGAATATTGTACAGCATTGAGAATGAGTGAACTATAACAACACTATAACCACCATGGCATGGATGAATCTCACTTAATGAATTTCACTTAATGTTAAGTGAAAGAAGCCAAAACAGGAGAGCATATACTATTTATATAGAGTGTAATTTTATTTCTATATAAAAAAACTAATCTATCCTGTTAAAAGTCTTGATAAAGGTTAACCTTTGGTGGGATTGTGATGGGAAGTGTCAAAAAAGGACTTTTGGGGTACCAAGAATGATCTGAGTGCCGGTTACATGGGTTAGTTCATTTTTTGAAAAATCGCTGAGATTTCTGCACTTTTGTGAATCAATGAACAAATGTCTTGAAGTTTCCCTTAAAATGCACAGTTAAGATCTTTACATTTCACTGTGTATTAATTGTACTTCAATTAAAAAATGGGGCAAAAATGCCCAAAAGAAATAAGCTGCCTTACTTTGCTCTGAAAGAAAACCACAAACCTGAAAAAGATCAACACAAAGCCACCCTTTATAACAAGAGGCAAAATTCAAGAAAAATTTAAATGAGAGGGCTGTAACAAAAGAATATGACTGCAGAGTTAGCAAATATGTTTTCAATAGGAAAATACAGTCAGCCCTTCTTGATAGTAAAAAAGAAGTTTCAATAATTCAAAAGTAGGAAAAAATTAAAACTCTAATATTTAGGATGAGAATTTAAGGCCAGTCTTCCCAGGAATGTTTAGTTTATTAACTTATTCTTTTTTTTTTTTTTTTTTTTGAGACAGAGTCTCACTCTATCACCCAGGCTGGAGTGCAGTGGTGCAATCGCAGCTTACTGCAGCCTCGACCTCCCGTGCATAAGCAATCCTCCCACCTCAGCCTCCCAGGCAGTTGGGACTATAAGCCCAAGCCACCACACTCAGCTAATTTTTTTATATTTTGTAGAGACAGGGTCTCCCTACATTGCCCAAACTGGTCTTGAACTCCTGGGCTCAAGCAATCCACCCACCTCAGCCTCCTAAAGTGCTGGGATTACAGGTATGAATCGCTCAGCCCAGCCTGGAATGGTTAGTTTAAAATCCAAAAAAATGGCCGGGCACAGTGGCTCACACCTGTAATCCCAGCACTTTGGGAGGTCAAGGCAGGTGAATCACCTGAGGTCAGGAGTTCAAGACCAGCCTGGCCAACATGATGAAACCCTATCTCTACTAAAAATACAAAAATTAGCTGGGCGTGGTGATGGGTGCCTGTAATCTCAGCTACTCAGGAGGCTGAGGCAGGAGAATTGCTGGAACCTGGGAGGCGGAGGTTGCAGTGAGCCGAGGTCGCACCATTGCACTCCAGCCTAGCGACAGAGCGAGACTCTGTCTCAAAAAAAAAAGAAAAAAAATCCCCCAAAACCTGTAAAATATTCAGAATTGTGTGAAAGAATTACAAATTCTTCCCTACAGAGAGTAGATATAAGCATCATTATGTGTAAGATTGTTTCAACTATAAAAATGGAAAAAGTTTTAGGAGCAAATTTATACTGCATACCTAATAATTATGTTCCTTTAAGTATATTTTTTAAAATGTCTTCTGAGTCACAAAGTATTATTTTGAAAGGCAGAGAGAAATTTGAGTACATAATTGGTTATATTTATAATATGTGTGGTGGGAAAAATAAATTGTAGAGTTGCTGGAAAAGAAATGTAACTACTTAAACCAAACAAGAATTTTTTTTCCTATTTAAATCTTCGAAAAAGGAAAAAAAAATCATTGTCTATTCAAAGTCCAGACAAAAAAAGTTTACTAAACTGTAGTGACCATGATGAACTTCACTTGAACCCTGTGCTCCAAGGAAGCATCAATGGTTTAGAAATACCACACCTCCCCGATCTTTTTGTGTCCTCAGAAACAAGTAACTTCAAAAGTCTACCCTGTCTTTGCATATAGGACACATCTCCATCCTACCTCATGACTCATGTAAGCCTCATGATGACTCTCTTGTAATCTGCCTCTAAAAAGCCTTAAATCTCCTTCTCCTGGGAAATATTCCTCAATAATGAAGGTTCTCCCTATTGCAACAGTCTAAATAAAGACATTCCCTAATGGTCTGGAACATCTTGTCTTTGACAAAGCAATCGTACTCAAAACAATGTGGTACTGGCATAAAGACAGACCTGCAGTCCGGTGGAATAGAACAGAGAGCACAGAAAGAATCCCTAACATATATGGTGCAATAATTTTCAACAAAGATACCAAGACCATCTAATGTGTAAAGGACAGTCTTTGAAACAAATGATGCTGGAGAAACTGGATATCTACATACAAAAGAATTAAGTTGGATCCTGACCTTATACCATATCAAAAATTAACTGTAAATGGATCAAAGACCCAAATGAAAGCAAAAGCTTGAAACTTTTAGAAGAAAACATAGGGGAAAACTGTATGACATTTTATTTAGCAATAATTTTTTGAATATGCCACGAAATGCACAAGAAAGAAAAGGAAAAAATAGATAAATTGGGCTACAACAAAATTAAAGACTTCTGTGCATCAAATGGGAGAAAATATCTGTAAATCGTGTGTGTGTTAGAGATGAGGGGTTAATACTGAAAATATATAAAGACCTCCTAAATCTCAACAAAAAATAAACAAACTGATTCTAAAATGAGCAAAGAATTTGAATAGACATTCCTTAAAAGAAATAAATAGCCCGTGAGCACATGAAAAGATATTCAACATTGTCACATGGAAAATGCAAATCAAAACCACAATGAGATACCACCTCACACCCATTAGAATGGCTACATATCAAAAATAAATAAATAAGGAAAATTCAAAGTGTTGGTGAGGATGTGGAAAAACTGGAACCCTTGTGCACTGTTGGTGGCAATGTGAAATGGTAAAGCCACTATGCAACATAGTATGGTGGTTCCTAAAAAACTAGAAACAGAATTACTATATAACCCAGCAATTCTACTTTCTCGACATATACTTAAACCCATTTATGCTGGCAGTTGCAATTTTTTTGAATTTTTGCAATCAGACCTTGATGATGACCTTGAGTAGTAAGATATAAATAACTCCTACATGCTTAGCATTCCAATAATGGAACACTAGGCATAAATGGGTTAAAGAAGTAAAAGCAGCTTCTTGAAGGGATATTTGTATATCCATGTTTACAGCAGTATTGTTCATAGTGGACAAAAGGTAGAAGCAGCCCAAGTGTCTATCCACAGAAGAATGAATGAACAATACATATTGTTTTTATATATACATATATATATATATATATATGCATACATACATAGACACACACAGTGGAATATTATTCGGCCTTTAAAATGAAGGAAATTCTAAAACATTCTACAACATGGATGAATCTAGAGGATATTACACCAAGTGAAATAAGCCAGTCACGCAAAGACAAATACAGTTTGATTTCATTTATATGAGGCACTTAGAGTAGTCAAACACATAGAGACAGGAAATAGAATGTTGGTTTCCAAGAACTAGGGAGAGAGGAGGATGGAAAGTTGTTAATGTTGTACAGAGTTTCAGTTTCCCAAAATTAAAAGAGCTCTGCATATTTGTTGCAAAATAATGTGAATACAATGAACATTAATGAACAATAAACTTAAAAATAGTTAAGATGGTAAATTTTGTCATGTATATTTTACCACAATTAAAAATAAAAGTAACAAAAATACTCCCTAAATGGGGGCTTGATTAACCCTATATGAAATTTTAAGAATATACAGTCACAGCTAGATAATCTGGTCAGTTGCTGTATTATTCTTGCATTATTATAAAGAAATACCTGAGATTGCATAATTTAATTAAAAAAAAAGAGGTTTAATTGGCTCACGGTTCTGCAGGCTATACAGGAAGCATGGTGCTAACATCTGCTCGGTTTCTGGGGAGGCCTCAGGAAGCTTACATCATGGTAGAAGATGAAGGGGGAGTTGACACTTCATGTGGCCAGAATGGGAGGAAGAGAGAGAGTGGGGAGGTGCTACACACTTTTAACAGCCAGATGTCACAAGAACTGACTCATTATCACTGGAACAGCACCAAGTGGATGAGGCTAAACCATTCACGAGAAATTCACCCCCATGATCTAATCATCTCCTACTAGGCCCCACCTCCAACATTGGAGATTACGATTCAACATGAGATTTGGGCAGGGACACAGATACAAACCATATCAGCTGCTCATAGAATAGACCTATATTTTAAGAGGAATGTTATGCCAATTGACTGGCAGTGTATATGTTATTTTGTATTATCTCAATTAGAAAAGTTTGGAGATTTTAACATTAATACTTACATTTGGGAGAATTTTATTGATCTCTGATATATCCATGTCAAAATACCCCATTACACACTATATTAGGTAGGTTTTGTTTTCCTATGGCAGCATTTTTATTCCTTTGCCTAGTCTGTGAACATGGTGAATTGACAGAGACAGACAAATATACATTTAAAAATTTCCTAATCATATCAACCCTTTAATTTATTTTTTAAACTAGCTCTTTGTTGAAGAGTTCAAAATTCAAATTGTGCAAAGGGTTTTATAAGGTGAAATGTATACCTCCCCAAATGTATGGCCAGTTATCAACACTATAAACTGAATTAAACACTTCATTCCAAATGATCTGAAATTCTACCTTTATCATACGCTAAATTGCCACATATATTTGAATCTACTTTTGTGGTTTTTTTGAGACGTAATCTCTCTCTACCACCTGGGCTGAAGTGCAGTGGCGTGACCTTGGATCACTGCAAGCTCCGCCTCCTGGGTTCAAGCAATTCTTGTGCCTCAGCCTCCCTAGTAGCTGAGATTACAGGTGCGCACCACCACATCCAGTTAATTTTTGTATTTTTAATAGAGACAGAGCTTCACCATGTTGATCAGGCTGGTCTCAAACTCCTGACCTCAGGTGATCCACCCACCTCGGCCTCCCAAAGTGCTGGGATTACAGGTGTGAGCCACTGCGCCCAGCCCAGGTCTACTTTTGAATTCACTATACTGTTTTCACTGTCTAAGCATGTACAAATTCCAAATTGTTTTTGTCAATTGCAACTTTCTTATATATCTTACTTCTAGGTATGGTTCTTCTATTTCAAATATTTCCTGACTCTCGGCTCAAGGTGATACATACATATAAACATCAGAAGCAGATTGTTTAGTTCCAAACAAATTAATTTCCAGATATTTTTCATCGTGACTGCATTATATTTATACAGTAAGAAACTGACATATTTACCACACTGGATATCCCAATTCAAAAAGTGGCTCTGTGTTTGTATATATTCAAGCCTTCTCTCTAGTTCCCTTTTAGCATTCCAAGCTTTTCTCCATATAGATGTTACACATTTCCTGCTCAGTTTAGACCTAGGTATTTTATGTTTGGTTAATTTCTTCAAAGGGAATTTTTCTTCCATTTTATTATACAATTTATTGTTGTATATAGGAAAGAAATTTCAATCAACTATCTCACTAAATTCTCCTTCTCAGGAATTTTTTAGGTGAAGCTCTTGATTTTTCTAACAAGTATAGCCTCTCTAACATATGGATATTGCCTCCTCCTTTCCAATTTTTATGATTCTACCTTAGTTCTATGTTTCTTTTATTAGTCCTTACAGAATATTATTCTCTGAGAGAGGCAATAATGTATATCTTTGTCCAGTTCTCTGACACTGCTGAGAATATAAAACATTTATATTATGAAAAAGATTCTCTCCTTGAGCAAACTTGAGTCAGATTCCTCTGAATTCTCTTTCTGATTAGGTCCCAACCTTGGGTCCTGTCTTTGGCCCACATAGTCTGGTTTCAGTAAGAATCCTGCTGAGTCAGTTTAGTGAAAATCTCCTACTCTAGGTATCTGATCACTGTATCCGGCTTTGAGCAAGTATCCTATCAAGTCAGTTTACTCACAATCTCTCCTTACTCCTGATGTTTCCTCTTAGCATTTCTCCATCCACTGCTTCCCACTGTCTTAGTCAATTTTCTGCTGCTATAACAATACCACAGACTGGGTAATTTATGAACCAGTTTATTGGCTCATGATTTTGGAGGCTAAGAAATCCAAGAGCATGACATTGTCATCTGGTGAGGGTCTTTATGTTCATCATCCCATGACAGCTGGGCAAGTTGGTGGTCAAGACAGAGTGAAAATTAGGCCAGACTTATTGTTTTATCAGGAGCCCAGTCTCACAGTAACTAACCCATTCTCATGAAAATACAGCCCTCATGACTTAATCACCTCTTAAAGGCTCCACCTCTTGATAACATTATAGTGGCAGATACGCTTCAGTTTGGGAGGGGATATTCAAGCCATAACACCCATCCTGCTCCTTGGATATAAATTTCCTTGTATTTGGAGTTGAGCTCAATCTCTCTTCCTACTATAAAACCCCAATGCAGTAGTCTCTGTTGAAAAAATGTCTACCTTACTATATCCAAGTATCATGGATAATTCTTTCTTCATCAATTATGATCTAAATTTTCTAAAATAGTTTATGTGTATACTCATAGAAATATACTTAGAATAAAGGCCACCAAGTTAAAAAATAAGTATTCCTGGTGAGTAGGATTTGGGGTGAATTTTCACTACGCTTTCTGAACACATTTTAATGCTTAAAATTTTTTAGGATGAGCAGGTATCTTTTTTATTAAAATCGTTATTTTTAATATTAATGTTTCTGAAACATATTCAGCATTAAAAAGATTATAGGGTCATTTAATGACAAGATAAAAATACTTTCAATAAGAATGATATGGCTACTAAGTTGTGTGAATGTGCAAACTTACTAAGTTGGTTCAACTTAATTACTTAATAAATGGAGACGTTAGGTACATCTCTTGGACTACAGATACCCTGGCAAATTACTTAGACTGAAACTAAGTGTGCCATGAACATACAGTTTGTGAAGCTCATCTAAGACTGAAGAATAACCAGCAGAGGCTAAAGAGAACCGGAACCAAAGGCAGGCATACAGTTTACCACCCACATTAATATGACGTTTCTATTTAATACTTTGCATTAACTTCAACTACTATTCCAGGAAATTTCTTCCAGTAAGAGGAAGTTGTGAATAGCTTTGTTTCAGAAACTTCCTGGAAATCAATTTTTCTGAACAATGCTTATCAAGCAGTCCTCATCTGAGTAAACAGCCACTTCTCAGAACATCTCTCAAATGGGTTTATCAAATGACTGATACTCTTCAAAGTTTTACATAAAAACTATTGAAAAAAATATATCACAAACTTTGATATAATTTTGACATAAAATTATATCATGAAGTTTGTCCAATCTCAATCATTCAGGCCCCAACAATGAAAGACCTGCCACAAACCAGACTCCAAAAACCTTATAAATATGAATCCCTCCACATCTGATTTTCCCCTTCTGAAAGGTTATTAAGACAATATTGCAATGGTAGTGGCCTTCCTTAGTGCTGTAAGTAACAAGCCTGAATTTGTTTGATCAGAAGACTATTTTGGTGGCCTGTTCGAATCATTATTTGACAAGATACAAATTCCCTGTTTAAAATCCCTCTGCCGTTTCTCATTGCTATTATACATACTAAGGACTAAAATCCTTCACATGACTGATAAGATCCTGCAAAATCTGGAACCAGATTAAAATTGCCAGATAAAATTCAGAATTTCCAGTTAAATATGAATTGCTTATAAACAATGGCTATTTTTTTCTTAGTGTAAGTGTGTCCTAAATCTGTTTATCTGAATTTGAATTTTAACTGAGCATTCTGTATTTCGTTTTTCACCTGCTAAATCTGGCAACCCTAGGTTTTTCACCTGCTAAATTTGGCATCCCTAGGCCAGGAATGGTGGTTCACGCCTGTAATCCGAGCACTTTAAGAGGCCGAGGCAGGTGGATCACTTGAGGTCAGGACTTTGAGACCAGCCCGGCCAACATGGTGAAACACTGTCTCTACTAAAAATTTAAAAAAAATTAGCCGGGCATGGGGCCAGGTGCCCATAATCACAGCTACTTGGGAGGTTGAGGCAGGAGAATTGCTTGAACCTGGGAGGCAGAGGTTGCAGTGAGCTAAGATTGCGCCACTGCACTCCAGCCTGGGCAACAGAGCAAGACTCCATCAATAAATAAATACATAATAAATAAATTTGGCAACCCTATTCCATCTTTATCTTAGTGTCACTTTCCACTTACATCTAAATCCTGAGTTCAAGTCCATGGTGTTCACAAATCCTATGTCTAGAACTCTGGCCAGAGGCTAGATGGCCAAAGCCATTAAAGCAAGTATTTCATCTCTGCAGAAGGCAAATTAACTATCAAACTCAACAGTTGGCTTGATAGTGGTAGGATCTCCCGGACGACTGGTGGGTACATATGGACATAGAACAATGGCTACACCTTAGGCACCGGAGTGAGGAACAGACTGGGAGTGTACAAATAATTACAATTTGATAAAATCTTGGGACTGACATAGAAGCTCTGTAGTTTTTTTTTTTTTTTTTTTTTTTCCTATGATGGTAGTTTCTCCACTAGGGGGTAGTTGAAACAACCAATACCCACTGAGGGGGTCCTACCCATGTTCCTCTCAGGAACATGCATGGTCCTTGGATAATGAACTGCTGGGGAATAAAGGCCTCTCAGGACAGGAAGACTCTGAAGAGTAAGAGGATAATGAGAGAGAGACAGAGAGAAAGAGAGAGGGGAAGGGAGGAAGGGAGGGAAGGAGGGAGAAGAAAGACTCATAAGAAACAAAGAAGTGGAACTACAAGATCTTCCTTTGGCCTTTTCAGAAATCTAAGAGGTATGGGTTGTTAATGTCTAAAAGGTACCCAGAGATAAGAGCACCAAGCTGAGGCTGTGAAAAGATAATGAATGGGCCTAGGGAACTCCATGGAAATACTGAAGTTGTTGAAAACAGAGGGTCTGGCCGGGCGCAGTGGCTCACGCCTGTAATCCCAGCACTTTGGGAGGCCAAGATGGGCGGATCACTTGAGGTTAGGAGTTCCAGACCAGCCTGGCCAGCATGGTAAAACCCTGTTTCTACCAAAAAATACAAAAATTATCCAGGCCTGGTGGCGGGTGCCTGTAGTCCCAGCTACTCTGGAGGTTGAGGCACAAGGATCGCTTGAACCCGGGAGTCAGAGGTTGCAATGAGCCAAGATTGTGTCACTGCACTCCAGCCTGGGCAACAGAGTGAGACTCTGTCAAAAGATAAAAAGAAAAAGAAAAAACAGAGGCTCTGCCCAAGAAGCTCTGCCACCCCTGCTTTTTACATATCCATTCAGGTAACTTGCTGACAACAGTATCTGTTCCAAATTTCAGACATTTCCAGGAATTTCAGAGGGACATGGAAAATACAAAGGCCCATAATAACACTCCATTAAACTAAACATTCTGGAAATTCTGGATAGGATTGTCAATCAAGATTAAGAAATTCTACTCAAGATGCTGAAGTGTGAAGCAGAACAGATATACCCAGAAGTAACTACATAACAGCAAGAAATCTACAATAATATAAATTACACTAAGTACATAACTGGTAGAGAAGAGGAGGTGATTAACTGTTTTGAGTAAGATGAGGTTTGGCTTCAGAAGATACAATACTATGGAAGGTCATAATATGCCACCCCAAAATACAAAGAATTGTTGACCTGAAGAAAATTAAGAAGCAGCAGGTACAGGAAAGCTCTCTGCCCTCCCTCTATTTGCCTAAAAGCAGAACATAGATTTACAAAGACGAAGGTATCCCAACCCAACACCCCTTTCTACCAGGGAGAACAAAGGTTAAAAAGGTTAACCACTAAAGACAACTTTAGACACTTATTGGCCTAGAAATGGTAGCAGAGGAATTTATATAAACAAGCCTTACTAACTAGCTGTCATCTCTCATTTATTTGGCTTCCCAGATGTTGCTGCCACTAGAGATTCAAAGTCCTTTTACTTTGTCTTGTCACATCTTTAAAAAAAATACAATTAAAAAATTACTATTCTTTGTTGAAGGTGATCTATAACCTGAAATTTAAAGCTACCTCTTTGAGAATTACTCATTTCCTGGGTATCCCCCATGTATGCATGAAATATACGTATTAATTAGCTTGTTTTCTCCTACTAATCTTGTCTTTTGTTACAAGGGTATGTTCTGACTAAGAACTTACGAGAGTTGAAGAAAAATTGTTTTTTACTCTACAACACCTAAACAGAAAATTGACTGATAAGCAGCAATTTACAAGGTGTTCAAATATAAAGGCATAACAAATATAACCTGACTCTAGGCTGTGAATTTTTTTCTTTCTGAAATGGCAATTTCTCCACTAGAGGGAGACCACAGCATGCTTTAAAAGGCAATGAGTCGGAGGGGGGAGGGATAGCATCAGAAGATATACCTAATGCTAAATGACAAGTTAATGGGTGCAGCACACCAACATGGCACATGTATACATATGTAACAAACCTGCACGTTGTGCACATGTACCCTAAAACTTAAAGTATAATAGTAATAAAAAAAATAAAAGGCAATGAGTCAAAAAGAGGAATGGGGCCGGGCGCTGTGGCTCATGCCTGTAATCCCAGCACTTTGGGAGGCCGAGGCTGGCAGATCACCTGAGGTCAAGAGTTCGAGACCAGCCTGGCCAACATGGTGAAACCCTGTCTCTACTAAAAATACAAAAATTAGCCAGGTGTGGTGGCACATGCTTGTAATCCCAGCTGCTTGGGAGGCTGAGGCAGGAGAATCGCTTAAACCCAGGAGGCGGAGGCTGTGGTGAGCTGAGATCACGTCACTGCACTCCGGCCTGGGTGACAGAGCGAGACTCCGTCTCAAAAGAAAAAAAAAAAAAAGGAAGGGGTGGGAAGATGGATCAACACTGTATTCAGATACAAATGTTTTTGTTTTGATTTGTTTTGTTTTGTTTTGAGAGAGTCTTACTGTTGTTGCCCAGGCTGGAGTGCAATGGCATGATCTTGGCTCACTGCAACCTCCGCCTCCCAGGTTCAAGCGATTCTCCTGCCTCAGCCTCCAGAGTAGCTGGGATTACAGGCGCCCACCACCATGCCTGGCTAATTTTGTATTTTTAGTAGAGATGGGGTTTCACCATGTTGGCCAGGCTGGTCTTGAACTCCTGACCTCAAGTGATCTGCCCGTCTCGGTCTCCCAAAGTGCTGGGATTACCGGCTTGAGCCACTATCCCCATGAATGGTTTTAAAGCTGGATGTGATCATCTGGTCAACACAGGAAGCACTGGGGAAAAGATGAAGGCAACAACAAGAAGAAATAAAACATGCCCTCCAACAGAGAAAAGAAGCTACAATTTCCCTTTGCCCATTATCATCTACACAGTTTAAATGAAGAATCACCTCTGACTAGGATGTAGAAATCTTTGAGAAATATGGCTTCCCATGGGAAAATCCTACTGATTTGCTGCTTATTATCGTTATTTGCAAATATTAATTACATGTCAGTTCAGATAACTTGGTGGTCCTAATACTATCTGCAGAGATTAACAAAAGCTATATTTTGTGAAACTACATACAACAGAAACTCTGTGCAGTAGCATAACAAAATACAACCATGTATGGAATGGCTCATGTTTTTGAGAAAAACAAACATTCTCTAGGAAGAGACATGCATCACAAAAAGTATTCATTAATTCCACAAATATTTCCTACGTGTCATCCACTATGCTGAATACCAGATTCCTAGAGATCCAGGCATCTAGTAAAGAAACATGGACAGAGAAATGTCAGAGCATGTACTACCCACCTGGGCATTTTGTAAATGCAGTTTTCCCAGATGACAGCTACATTTGATATAGGGAAGACTAGTCTTTCATTTATGATCACCTTGTCTGGCTACTTGTATCTAGAAGGGTTCCAATGTATGCTCATAGAAAAGATTTTATGAAAGCGGGTTGCTAGTCATAGTATAAGCATGTCAGAATAGGAGGCAAAGGAGATATGTGAAGAATAAGAGAAAAAAAAAGAGAAAGGGAGGTAAGCAGTAGCCCTAAACACTAGCGTATGCAGTGAATAAATGTTGTGTGAATCAGTGAATGAGAGAGAGAGCTGTAAGACAAGGCTAAAGAAAAGGAGAAAGGGGATCATGAGGCAAGGCAGAAGATAAACAATAAGACCTGGAAAAAATTGAAAGCCAATGGAGTTCAAGCAGATGAAATAAGGTATACATTACACATCAGAAAAAGGAAAACTGTTACAGTCTCCCAAAGTTAATATATTCTCCTTATATGCTTTACATTAAGATGGTGAAAGATCTTGGTTTAAGAAATAGGCTGCTTTTTTCCAAGGGGAAGACTATGGTTTCTCTTTTCCAGTTGCCTATACTGCTTCATGTCCTTATGCTGCCAGTGAGGATCAACAGAATCCCAAATCTGGGATATTCCAGAGTTTATTTTGGGAGAAAAATATGTGACTGTATCTATGAACTATAGCTGCTGCTAGACACTAAGTTGCAGGAGGCTGGTGATTTCTTTCCCCATTCTTCACTGTTACATCCCTACCACTTGATACAATATCTGGCACTTAGGAGGTACTCAAGATTACTATGTTGAATGAATGAAAGAATGAACACTGCAGGACATAAGAGATGCTCAGGGCATAGTTCATCTGCCTAACCTGGCTCAAAATGGGGGCTCTGGGGATCCTAGTATTACCAACAGAAATCAAGAGGGTAAATTGGTTGCTCTGGGTCCACAATCCATTTCAGGCAGATCACCTGAAACTGGCTCTGGGATACAGCATGTTTGACAATATTACAGTAAAAAAAAAAAAAAGCTAGTGGCAAAAAGAAGTGCCATAGGAAAAAAAGTGAACAGACTGAGTACAGAACAAGTTTCTCCAGAGAAAAGTGTAAATGATACTCTGGCTGGCAAAGAGCTGAGACATCTTGGAAAACATGGTATCTTAGTCATTTCAGGCTACTATAACAAATTACCAGAGACTGAGTGGCTTATAAACAACAGAAATTTATTTGTCACAGCTCTAGAAGCTGAAAGTCTAAGATAAGGGTGCCAGTATGGTTGGGTTCTGATGAGGGACCTTTTCCAGGTTACATCTTCATATGGTGTAAAGAGAGTAAGCTAGCCCTCTGGCACCTTCTTATAAGGGTATTTATCCCATTCATGAAGGCCCCATCCTTATGATCTTATTCAACCCAAATTACTCCACAAAGGCCCCACCTCCAAAACCAATACCAATACTGGGGAGTCACTTTCAACATATAAATGGGGGAGGAAGTACAAACATTCACTCCCTAACAGATGTCATATGCCAATGAAAGGAATTTATTTCTGCTCCTTTTGAGGAAGTAAGTGAGAACGTCACAATGAGTCATAAGTCAATAAGATAACCACTGCCTAAAGGTCTTACCACAGATTCCAAAAAGGAAGAATCAAGAATGACCTCGGGGTCCACTTAACAGCATCAGAGGGAGTGTCCTAAAACTCTGAATGGAATAGTGTATGTAGTAGGCAGATTTCTGGTTCCCAAAGGTGTCCACATACTAATATCAGGAACCTGGGAATATGTTAAGTCACATGCCAAAGGAGAATTAAGGTTACAGATAGGTTTAAGGTCACTAATCAGATGACCTTGAGATAGGAAGATTATTCTGATGATCTGGGTGGAATGAATGTAATCACAAGGGTCCTTTAAAGCAGAAGAGGAAGGCAGAAGAGAAAGAACCAGAGTGATGGCAGCATGAGAGGGACTCTGCCTGGTGTTGTTAAAGTGGACCATGAGACAAGGAAAGTTCTAGAAGCTGAAAAGGTAAGGGAACAGACTGTCTTCTCCAAAAAAAAAAAAAAAGTAGCCTTGCTGACACCTTGATTTTAGCTCCAGAAGAATGATTTTAGGCTACTGACCTCCAGAACTATAAGAGGATAAATTCGTATTGGTTTTTTGTTTGTTTGTTTGTTTGTTTGCTTGTTTGAGGTGGAGTCTTGCTCTGTCGCCCAGGCTGGAGTGCAGTGGTGCCATCTCAGCTCACTGCAAGCTCTGCCTCCCAGGTTTACGCCATTCTCCTGCCTCAGCCTCCCGATTAGCTGGGACTACAGGTGCCCGCCACCACACCCGGCTAATTTTTTGTATTTTTAGTAGAGATGGGGTTTCACCATGTTAGCCAGGATGGTCTCGATCTCCTGACCTCGTGATCCGCCCGCCTTGGCCTCCCAAAGTGCGGGGATTACAGGTGTGAGCCACCGTGCCCAGCCAAATATGTATTGTTTTAAGCCATTAAATTTGTGATAATTTACTACAGCAGCACTAGGAAACTAATACAAACAATCCCCTGGATCTTCATTCATGGTGACATAGCTGAAAGACTCTCCCCAAGTCAGAAACCCTGCAGCAGGAAGCAGGTGGGATAACAGCATTGCTAGATTCATATGTCAACAACTGAAATTATTTTTGCTAAGTTAAAATACCTTTAAGAGAAAAATTCCTATCCTACTGTTTACATACTTACAAGAATGCTAGGAAATGGCATTATGTCAGGTGAGAACTAAAGATGAATTTGCTATCAATTATTCACATATTGAGAAAATAATAGAAAAGGAACAAATATTCATATCACAAACTTTATTTCTAAAAGTTTTTGAACTCAGTTTCATAGTCAAATGCAAATAGGAAATAATTTGGAAAGGGTAACAGTAAATATCCATTGATAAATTACTTCAAACTCTAGTGGTACTATTTCAAAGCAAGCATGATTTGAGAATAATCAATGTATTTAAAGTAGTAAGTATAGTAATGATTAATGAACCTATATAAAATCTATTTATGACATACATGTATACATATACACACATATACAAGGATCTGGCTTTATGAATAAAGTATCTTGATATGTATGGAAAGCTAAAGATCACATCATACGACAGTATCAGAAAAACGGTTAACATATACAGTTGCTTTAAAGATTAACATATAGAGTTCAAGTTCTGCAACTCCTGAAGTGGAGTGTGGTATATTTTTGTTTTATTTGCTAGGGGACTCTGAATTTCTCATTCAAACAAAGAGGTCACATAACTTGAAAGTATTTCTGATTAATGTATTTATTATCTATTTGTCCGAATATATGTGAATTTAATGCTAAAGTTAAGTCTCCAGATGCTGAATAATTCACATTAATTATGAAAATGGAAAAATGACTGTATGCATATTCCTACTCTATTATCTGTCTATATATATTAGGTATTCCACTTAGTTTCTGAGAAGTCCACGTATCTTATTCTAATGCCATAATGATGAAATAAGAAATTTAAATATCTAAACAGGAAATGAAAATAACATAAATAACATCTTACAAGTGACTTGTTACTTCACTCGTTACAGCAGGTCCTCTTCTGTTTAGATCCATAGGCCTCTGGCATGGTAAGGGGATTGTGAGAACAACACTTTCCTGTTTATGGCTGCCAACCAGGCTCAACTCTATCAAGAGCCCCTGCTGATACAACCAGTCTCATTGCTGTCCATGCCCCATCTCACCCATCTGCTCCATTGTGAAATACTTAAGAGTCTCTGGAGCACAACATGATTATTAAGACTATAACGACAATGGGGGGCATTTTCATTAATAAGATAGTTATAGCTTGATAAAGGAAAGAGAAACAGAACTCTTTTTTTATGATTTAAACTTTTTTTTAATTTTTTTTTTATACTTTAAGTTCTAGGGTACATGTGCACAACGTGCAGGTTTGTTACATATGTATACATGTGCCATCTTGGTGTGCTGCACCCATTAACTCATCATTTACATTAGGTATATCTCCTAATGCTATCCCTCCCACCTCCCCCAACCCCACAACAGGCCCCAGTGTGTGATGTTCCCCTTCTGAAACAGAACTCTTACACGAGGTTCCAAGTTGTCCCTGAGATAATCAGATTGGCTTCTCTGTGCCAAGGTGGCTTACAATGGATCCAGCACCAGTGAAGATTCTAATCCTCACATAAAACCTATTAACATAAAGCATCATACAAAAATCTGGTGTAGGCAAGGAATGTGACCAACCAACCAACAGCGTGATTGAAAATAACTATTGATTATGAATGTATTGCCTTTGACTTTATACTCTGTGATATATTTTATTTCCCAAAAAGACAAACTTTTGTCTAGGGGAAGAAGAAAAGGCTTTAGTAAACGATAGAAGAAAGCCTACAGTTACAAGTTATAGGAGATGTCATAGGGAAAGAAGTCTGAGGGTTGTTTAGGTAAAAAAAAATAACAAGAAGTATCCTTTTGACTAGCACAGAGCATGAGACATAAGAAAAAAAAAAAGAGGGAGAGATGTTACGTAACCAAAAGGCAATGGATGTTCACCCTCCAGGATAAATCATGATGGGTCCACATGCAGCCAAGGCAACAAGCCCCTAGTGGTATGAGACTAGATCAGGAAAGGGTGAAAAGAAGCAAGACAGCTTTGAGGATCCCAGTGAGACACGCCAGAGGACATCACATGAAATAAACTTAGAAGGAAGGTCTCCCCACATAACTAGACATTGAAAGGTAACTGAGAGACAGTTTCCCAGTAGAATGTAAGCCCCACAAAGGTGGAAAACACAGGGAATATGTTCACTTTTCAATCCACTGCCCTAAACACAATGATTGATGCCCGGGTAGGCACACAAATATTTGCTCAATGAATAAATGAATGAGGATCATCACCACATCTGGAGTTTCATACATTTGGGGCAGGGATCGGGGTTGCCACTTTCATATACAAATAAGGAAGTTAACAGTTTTATATTGCATCTATCAATATTTATATCTAGAACTTCCTGGTCTATATTTTAGATATTCCTATGAGAGTTAATATTTGGAGGATGGTTTTGAATAAATGAAATACACCAACTCTACCACTTTCCTTAATACTTGAATCAAATTCTACTGCCGTGTGTGATTTGAAGGAGCCACTTCAGTCCTATTAAAGCCCATAAGAGAATCAGTGGGATGCCTGGCATGGCATTTTTTAGCTTATTATACAACAGATATAAGAGTGATACTGGAAACAGAATTTTCAATAGTTCAATAGTTATCTGAATAAATATCTGAGTTCAATAATTTTTCAGAGATTCAATATGCTGGACCACGATGTCAGCTGATTTACATATGAAAAAGTGTCCTTAGCTAATGAGATGGGTTGCAAATTGACCAGGAATAAGCAATCCAAATTTTTAAAAGTCAAGAATGTAAGGTGATTAATGAAAACAGATGATGAGGTACTAATGATGTAATCTGGAATTCAAAAACCACACCTGCTATGACTGAGTGCTGTAACATCCTCAAATGTGAGTAGGGTTGGTTGTCAGACCTGCAGGCTTGTGAGAGATTAGCTATGCATCACAGTAAGGACCAAAAAATATGTATTTTATCCAAACTGCAGTTTTCCACACTCAATTTGTTCTCTGACACTGTGAAAACTCAGCTTACAAGATGCTTCACTGCCACCCACGAAAGGAAGAAGGGTAGGTTTGCAGGGAGAGAAATGCAGGTAGATACCTGTGAACCATCTATGTAAAGAGAGCTTGTGCAGAGACTCCAATATTGACTCCCTCAGCCTTTAGGGCTTCTTGCCTCAGTGATGTCCATTTACCCGAGCATGCTATATAAAGATGATCATTCTGATATGTGCCATGACCTTAATATGACTGAGAAGCACAAGTGCAGTGGGCAAGTGAATATTTGCATTTAGAACTCATCAGATGATGTCTGGAACAGAGATTTTGTGAGTTGTCAGCATAGAGGTGCTAGTAAAAAGCATAAAGAGAGAATACCACTGCCAGCCATGGTGGACTAACTGGTATCAGACTTGCCTTCCTGCTGTAACAACTAGAAAACTGGACAGTATATAGGAAACTCCTGCATGTAGTTATTGAGCAACAGACAAAACAGGACTATGACTCTGAGAAGAGGGATACAAACAAGATAACTGCTACCTTCTCCACAGCTTGCTTCTTAAAAGCACTTTTTAGATTGCAGCAGATGGAGTGGGAACTCAAGCTGAGCATGGAAGTCTTGCTCAGCTGAAGAGATAAGGATCAAAGTTTAGGAAGGTTGAAGCAGCTATAACTAGCAAGGCACAGTACCAGAGAAGAGTGAGCTATGTGGAAAAAGAGCTCAACAACCTTACCTGGGGGTGGATACTTTATATCTGGCCCAACAAAGCTTAAAAAGAAGACTCAAATAAATCAAATTGATCCACAAATAACTGCCCACAAAACAAAATTCAGTCCTCTTTAAAAGAAATCAACAAAATCAAGACATTCAGTAAGTCACAACATCCAGCAACCAATAAAGATTACAAGAAATGTTTTTTAAGAAACAAAAATGTGAGCCATAACCAGAATAAAAAAAAATCAATCAATAGAAAAACATATTAAAAAAAAAGAAGTAAACCAAGAACAAAGATAGAACTGTAGGAAACACACAGTCAAGGTGTAAAAAACAGAAAGATAAAGGTTCAGCAAGTTATTGAAAAGGAATCCTATAAGATGTTAGAAGAGGTCAGGCATTGTGGCTCATGCCTGTAATCCCAGCACTTTGGGAGGCAAAGGCAAGAGGATGATTGAAGGCCAGAAGTTCAAGACCAGCCTAGGCAATATAGTGAGACCCCATCACTACAAAAAAATTAAAAATCAGCCTGGTGTAGTGGCACACGCCTATAGTCCCAGCTACCCAGGAGGCTCAGGTTGAGGATGCAGTGAGCCATGATCATGCCACTGCACTCCAGCCTAGGCGACAGAGCTAGACCCTGTCTCAAAAAAAAAAAAAAAAGATGTGAGAAGAATCAGAAGAGTGCTGATGTGTTATGGAAGTCACGAAGTCATGTAAGGAGAAAGTTTCAAAAAAGAGAAAGTGGTCAACAAGGAGATCAAGTAAGACACAAACTCAAAAGTATTCACTGGATTTGGTAAGAAGATACCGACTAAGCCTGGCCACACAGTTCCAGTTGAGATGTAGGGAAAGAAGTTGTATTGCTGAGGGTTTCTGGAGTGAATGGGATACGAGGAAGGAGAGATAACAGCCATTTTCAAGGTACGATTGACTCTGCCCAGGGTGGGCAAGTATGTGTATGTTTTACTTTAGAAAATACTTTTTTCAACTATTCTACCACATTTTAGCAGTGTCTCCTTTCTCTTCCAGTCACATTTCTTTGTAACACATAAAGTACTCCCAATAAGAATTATCAAAGTAAAATTGTTACCAAAAAAGGCATTCAGCAGCTTCTGAACCTGAATATTGCTGCCCACAGTGCGGTACAACCCTTCTGTCTTGATCCCTAGTGGAGGAAAAAATCAGGTTAATTTCACTTGTATAGCTAGAGTTGTCATCTCCCCTTGGTACACTAGGGTCAATTCAGATAGGAAGGGGTCACACTACATACTCCAAGTTCTCCAGCCTTCCCTGTAACAGGGGAATAGTCCTACAGCATCTCTCCAAATTATCCATCCTTTCATTTGGAGTGTACCAAACCCTCATTAATCTGAAGAGAAGAAAACAAACTCTATAGTAAATAGAAGCATATGCTTAGTTTGGGCGGCAGCAGAAAGCTGAGAATGGTGCTGCCATCTTAGAAAGAAGTTCATTCAATTGAAAAAGGAGGAAGGATCAACCCTCAAGTTGCTTCTAAGCAGTGATATAAATCACGAGAGGGCTGGAGTAAGGCAGCTGTGAAACAAAAGGCCATTTCCTGCACCAAGAAAGACTAAAAAAACATTTCAAAGAACAAAGAGACTTGATTCACATACCACACTTGCCCACAGTCTAAATATCCTCAGAAGGAAACCAGGGAGTATCGGCAACCAGGAAGAATGCTGATTCCACATCTCCCTGAGTTTGGCTCTGCCCCATCAATTTTCATACCAGTATGTACTGTGGCAGAAATTGAACTCTTGATCATTTAGGATAGAACCATCATGACACTGCTTAAGGAGTGCCAGGTACTGTTTGAGAATACTTTATAAACTTATAAGCTCTTTAAAAGCAGGAATCCAAATTATCCAAATATGCTTGCATACCACTAGTTTAGAATTTTCTGAAATTTTCTAGCTTGCATCTACTACACAAGCTTTATAAACAGTCTTCATTCCTAAAACGCTACTTCAGAGAAATTGCCCAGGATAAAATCAGAGTGACGAGATTCAGACAATGCCAAGACTATGGTTCAGATCTTACCTTTGGTCTCAATAATATTGATGCACTTCCTGACAAACTTGAAGCCCACTTCATTTAGCTCCACTGTTTCAAGCAAAGGAAAAGAGTTAGATCCTGCTGCAACAGGTGTCACCTATTAAACATTTAATGACCATGCAAAGGGACTGCATTGAGAGAGCTAAGGGTTTTTAGTTGCTCATTTCTAGTCACCCTTAAATGGAAAGAGTCATTTTTTCAGGGGAGGTTTAACATTTTAACTCTTATAACACAAAATACTTATATTTAGCCCTTTGAATTGTCTGCTTTCAGCATGAGCAAAGTCATATGTGAAATGTTAGCCTAAAAATACAATTTCTATCATGCTTCCAGAACAGGAAGGATATGTTTCTCTACCCACGATGTAAGCTAACACCAAGTGTCTACCTTAGTTCAATTACCAGACACATTTAAAAAATATATGGCTGAATTTTATTTCACACAAAGGCATCCATATTCAGACTTGCGTTAGTAGTACACATCATTAATGATGGTATTTACTATGAATCGGACAGCTGGCAGTTTATAATGCTAGTAGACCAAAAACTTAAGTGACTCACTTTCTTGCTGTTTTGTTATAGGGCTGTGGTAGATCTACAAAAGAAGATAAACAGAAAGATCCATGGCTATTGTCAATCAATATAGGAAAACAGAGAACATAATATTAAATATCTTTCCCCAGATAGGCATTAAAAATGATTAGAAACTCCAGGATGTTAAAAAGATAGCCAAGTGGGCTAAACATAATTGCTTTGCCAAGATTGCTAGAAAATACTTGAACAGGCCAGGCGTGGTGGCTCATGCCTGTAATCCCAGCAATTTGGGAGGCCAAGGCAGGCAGATCACTTGAGGTCAGGAGTTTAAGACCAGCCTGGCAAACATCATGAAACCCCATCTCTACAAAAATCCAAAAATTAGCCAGGCATGGTGGCGTGCACCTGTAATCCCAGCTGTTTGGGAGGTTGAGTCAGGAGAATCTCTTGAACCCAGGAGGTGGAGGCTGCAGTGAGCTGAGATCACACCACTGCACTCCAACCTGGGCAACAGAGCGAGACTCTGTCAAAAAAAAAAGAAAGAAAGAAAGAGAGAGAGAGAAAGAAAGGAAGGAAGGAAGGAAGGAAGGAAGGAAGGAAGGAAGGAAGGAAGGAAGGAAGGAAGGAAGAAAGAAAGAAAATACTTGAACAATCCCTGAAAATTACACTGAATTTCACACAGTTCACCATAGCTACAGTTTTAGCTAATCCATCTTAGATATTTACTTATGTAACACCTGGGGCATTTTTATGATAAAGCAAGAGACCAGGAAAGTGTTTTCCTCATGGCTATGTACCTGTCTAATGGGCATTATAAAATTTAAATGTTCCTAACACCAATCTCCCACCCTCAAAGACTGGTTGATGAATACTTCTCTGTGGAAAGGCAAATGTCCATCTGAAAGAGATCCATGAATACACCAAGATTTGTCTGTGTTGTCTTGGAGTATGTGCTGTGATAGCTATGTGAGAGACCAGAAAGAAGACTGTTGACTCTTGAAGTCTAGTCCTGGCTCTACCTCTACCTCTTAGGAAATTTTGGGCATGCCCTTTCCATTCTCCAGATCTCAAAATTTATATCAGTAAAGTGATCAGGGTTGGAGTAGACATTCCTTCAAGCCCTGATCTTCTTTGACAGTTTAGGCAAAGGCATGGATGAGATTTGTAAGACTAGTGAACTGGAGTGTTTAGTAAAGGAGCAACAACATTAGTAATGTGAGGTTGCAGGAAATGAGCCCTCTATATGCCATCTGTTAAGAGTCTGTTTGAACAGCCTCTCCTTAAAATAAGTTCTGCATATGTGTGTATGCCCACAGATATTTCAGTGGGAGATATTTTTGTGCCAGCCAGCCTTTTCTGCTACTTTTCTAAACAAGGGATTTGTGGAAAAATCTGCCATGATCAAGTTGGTATGGATCCACATTCAGTGGGCCCATGTGCTCACATCATTCTCCACAGAAAGCCATCTGCATCCTTTGATTCTTGAAAACCTAAAGGGAGAGCAAACTTGGGAGAGGGAATTGAAAGATAAATGCCTTGCTGAGCTTCCCAGCATCTGCCTACAGAAATGTCACAAGCATGAAAGAGTTCAGCAGCAGGTTTCTGGAAGGTGACAGAAGGAAGACAGTGCTGGAATATTTTCTGGATGGCAGTCTTCAGAATACCAAGTCTCTCCTGCTACCTTCCAGTTTACTATAAGTGCAATCTGGGATCTAGTTACCCCTCTAAATTCTCCAGGATACTGAGGACACATAGAAAGAAAAACCTAGAATGCATTTTCCCTCCTAGCCAGTTTTTCACTTGAATACAGCAAAGAAATAAGACTGTATCTGAACACTGCTGGATCTTAGGAGTTTTGTATCCCATCATTCAGATCGGCTAGCACATTGTGGTTTACAAGATGACTTCCATCTGTTTTTTCTAAGCAACCCTGTGAGATAGGTAGAAAGAAATTATTAAAGCCCTTTTACTGAGGAGAAGAAAACTGAATCTCAGAGAGGTGAAATGATTTGCCCAGAGTCACATAGCCATTTAATGGCAGAACTAGTACCTATATCCAAGCTTTTGGAATTCCAACACCAGGAAGCTGATATTATTTAATATGCCACTAAGAAACCAGAATGTTTTTCAATTATTTCCAACTGTTTCTATTGGTCGCTTGATGATAATCAGTAACCCTTTCAAGGGATTGCTTGTCCTCCTGCATAACCGTGTTCTAAATGGAACGGTACATCTTGTGATACAGGATGGCAATGCCATCTCCGCTACCAGCTGTACCCTCAAAGAGAATAAGCTGAGTTGGTGGTATAAGGGTGAGGCAGAAAAATCATTCTGAATAAATGTTTAATAAGTGCTTATTTATAACTATGGCAATTATTTTTCATATTAACACATATTAATTAATTAACACATATTGATTTTATAACCTGAAAAATGGCTTCATTCTTTCTGAAGAAAAGCTCATGGGCATAGCTACATAGTCTAACACTAGAGCAGGGAGCTGAGAGATCTGCATTCTAAGCCCGGTTTTGGTGTCTTCTCTGAGGGTGGTCTCAGAAAAGTCCCTCAACCTTTCTGGAACTCCAGTTGCCTTACCTGCTAAGAGATGTGGAAACAATTCCTTACAGCTCTAAAACTGAGACTAAACAATCCATTACCATTTAATTGTCTGAGACCCACTGATACCACTAGAGGGCACTCATACACTGGCATATGCTGGGGAGGTTTCCCCAGTGTCAGGTAACTTACAGGTTCTTTCCCATCCATGGCTTCCATCCATAGCCTTCTGTTAGCTTCTGAAAGGGCCTGCAGAGTGATGGTTCCTGGCCTGAGGGGGAAAAAAATGGTAAGTATAAAGCAGAAAATTCAACTGAGAGAATGGAGTCTTGTGATCTAGGGTCCCTCTCTGCCCTGGAGTTTGTCACACTGAACAAGCATAGGCTTACAGAATACTAATTTTTCAAAATCTCTTTTACTCAAGAAAACAATAGGCAATTTACAGAACAGTAACTTTGGGAACCATGGAGGCGGGGGTGGTATCTTGGTGGCCTTGTGCCCAGATCCTGCAAGAAATAGGAAGGTAACTGTCAAGACGCCTCCATAATGCACACTTAAATTGGCCCCATTGTGCTTGAACCAAACAAAGGCTCTCACTGCCTTACTCTGTTGGAAGCCAGCCACTTTGTCTGAGCTCTAGGAATGAGCATGAACATCAGAGGCACATTATCTCTCAGTAAAATGGCTTTGCTTCTTCCAGCACCTGCGATGTCCAAGAAACATTTTGAGTTGCAATAAATTCAACAACATGAGTACTGGCTAAGACACAGGGAGGAGGCGTTTTGGCTAATAAGCAATTTTATGACTAATAAAAACAACTAATATTTACTGAATGCTTACTAGGTGACAAATTTTGTTCCAAGTAAACTATGTATATTAACTCAGTTAATATATATAATAAGGCAGTTACAGTAATCATCTCTATTTCACAGAAGGGGAAACTGAGGCACAGAGTAATTATCCAAGGTCATATAGCAGGGAACTACTAGAGACAGGAATTAAATCCAGAAAGTCTGGTCCAGCAGCCATATTCTTCATTACTACAATATAAGGCCTCTTCTGCCTGGCACACGGCTTCGAACCCTGTTTTATTCTATTTATTTGCAGGCTACCTGCTGTGGTCTGAATATTCCCCAAAATTCATAGGTTGAAAGTTAACTACCAATGTGATGATATTAAGAAATGGGACCTTTAGGAGGTGAGTTAGTCATAAGGGTAGAACCTCATGAATGGGATTAGGGCCCTTTTACAAAAACTTGAAAGAGTAGGTTCATTCCCTTCCATCTCTTCTGACATATGAGGACACGGTGTTGGTGCTCTCTGGAGGGCACTGCAACAAGATGCCATCTTGGAAACAGAGACCAGGCCCTCACCAGACACTGAAACTGCTTGGACTTCCAGCTTCTAGAAATGTGACAAATGAATTTCTGTTGTTTATACATTACTGAGTCTCAGGTATTTTGTCATAACATCACAAATGGACTAAGACACTACTAACTACCCAGAGATATCCCAAGCTGTTATGCTCTTTATGGTCTTTTTAGATCTTTGTGACTCATCTGGAATTTTGAGATTAACCATACTTTATGCAAGGTATAAAGTCTCCTTGCATTCTCCTGGCTTGCTGAGCCATTAGGAAAACATTGTTCCTTCCACAAATTCTGTGATAAGATGAGACCTCTCCTAGAGTCATAGAATGATAAAAGCAATGCCAAGAGAGTTCAGCCACCCTGGATAAGTAACTAGGCCTTTCTAGACCTCAGTTTCTTTATCTGAAAGGGTTCTGGAACACAGGAGCTGGGAGGTCCTTTCCATTACTGATATCACAGGAATCCTGTTCTACCTGCTGGAATCATGGGGTTCCTGTCCTACCTTCTCTTACTTCATTAAAGCACCTCTTAATGACAGTCTTGTGGTTACTGGCAACAATATATACTTCCACAGCCATCTTGAATGGGGTCATCCATTGTTAACACAAAAATGATACAGATTCACAAACCAAAATTCAAATAACATCACCTCCCTCATGTGACTGTGGTGACGACTAAAGGAAATTATACGCTTAAATGGCTGATAACAGTGCCTGTCACAAAGGAGGTACTTGGCAAATGTTAGCAATTGTTTTTATTATTATTACAATTATTGTTGTTGCTGTTATTAAAACATTTCAAGCTCTGCCTTGCTATGAGCCTGTCATTTTAAATACTGCTAAGAGCCTAAATTTAGAACCAGGTGCAGTGACTCACACCTGTAATATGAGCACTTTGGGAGGCTGGCACAGGAGAATCACTGCAAGCCAGGAGTTGAAGACCAGCCTGGGCAACATAGCAAGGTCCCATAGCTATAAAAAATAAAAAATTAGCCAGATATGGTGGTGCACACCTGTCAGTCCCAGCTACTCAGGAGGCTCACGCAAGAGGATCACTTGAACCTGTGCCACTGCAAACCAACCTGGGCAACAGAGTAAGACCCTCTCTCTAAAAAATTAAAAGTTAAAAAAATAAAAAATCTTATCCTCTCTTCCTGACATAGAAAAAGTGGCTCCAAGAGCCCTTTGCTCTGTGCTCCAGGGAATGTGAGTACAGCTGCCTGATGCCTGCTAGGAAGCCTGACTCTGTTCCTTATATCAGACTGACTAGCCAGAAAAGCAGATGTCATGTCACTCAAAAGACTCCACATGCAGAGAGGGGCCTCAGCACCTGTTCATTATTATATTTAACGCTCTACTTTGCAGCTTGTTTCTTCTGCTTATAATAGACAATATAAAAAATTAAAAACAGCATGGAGCCAGGCATAGTGGCTCACGCCTATAATCCCAGCACTCTGGGAGGCCGAGGCAGGTGGATGTCTTGAGGCCAGGAGTTCAAGTCAAGCCTGGCCAACATGGTGAAACCCCATTTCTATTAAAAATACAAAAATTAGCTGGACATGGTGGCACACGCCTGTAGTCCCAGCTACTCAGGAGGCTGAGGCAGGAGACTCGTTTGAGCCCAGGAGGTAGAGGTTGTGCAACACTGCACTCCAGCCTGGGCAAGAGAGAGAGACACCATCTCAAAACAAACAAAAAGAAACCAGCATGGGCTTTGGAGACCTACAGACCAGGGTTTGAGCTCAGCCTCACCATTTCCTATGTGACTTTAGTTGGGCAAGTCAGTTAAATATATGTGGGTCTCAGTTTCCTCACTGGTAAAATGGGGGGGGTGTAGATTAAATGAGGGAATGTTTTGTAAAGTGCACAGTATATGATAACTAAAAGTGTAGATGCATCAAAACTTTAATCCCTGGGTTCTAGTGTCGAAAATTCTTCAGCATTCTAGGATAAGAAAAAAACACTTAAAAATAAACATCAAATTTAGTACTTATCATGAGCCATGCATAGCACCAGGTACAAGAAACATAAATTCATCCTAGCCCCTAACCACGGGGACAAACTGTTTGCAACTGCTTGAGTTGGGGATATTATTTGCAAAAAAGGGAAGCCACAGCCAACAATAATTTTCCCCTTCCTACTGGAACTGAGGCTATCAGGAAAATGAGTGACAGTCTCATGGTTACTGGCAACAATACGTACTTTCAGAGCCACCTCAATTGGGATCATCCATTTTTAACAAAGAAATGATATAAATTCACAAATCGAAATTGTGAGGGTCAAATAATAATCTCTCAATTTTGAAATAATGAAACAAGCTAAGTCCTTTATTCCCCAATTTTTTTAAAAATGCCCTCATCATTTAGTCTGATTGTTATGATCCCAGTCACTGCTAGTTTTGTTCACATGATATTGTAATTCACCCTTCAAGTTCCTTTCTAGCAATCTGATCATTTTGCAAAATTCTATTCTATTACTAAGTATCTAACATCTAGAAATAAAAGGTTGAGATAAAATCTAGAAACAGATTTATTCTGTTTATTTTGGTACAACCACCCAACTATAAAGCATGTCTTTCTCCACAATAATGCCAAATGCATTCATTTGAAATTTTAATGGTTAAAATTCTCCTCTGATAAAACTGCTCAGGTTCAAGTAAAAAAAGAGGGCACTGGGGAGAAACAAACACAACGAAGTCCAAAATGTGCAAGCCTTAGCTGTAAGATCTGAAAGGTGATAATCACACTATTTCCAGTTCATTGAGTATCTGTAAAGTAGGGAAGGTCTGCATCATTTTTGCACCAAATGGGGGGAAATGACTTTCTAATAACACCACGACCCTCCACCCCATCTTCCCTCCCTCAAAAATGTGTGCCAATTCATTTGTTCTTTTATGTGATATTAGGAGATTTAACAAAGAATGAGCTTTGTTATCCTTTCCTTCTTGCAAGATCACCAAATGTTGACCTTTTGCACATCTGATAGCAAATTAAATCCCAGGAGAGACTTTTTCTTCCCAGAGCAAGTGAGGCAAAGCTGATAGAAGCTTGCACAGAGAAAAGCAGCACTGGGCCAGGTCTAGCAGGGATCCCTGGGAAGGGCAGCCAGAAGAGCTGGCTTGAATAGACTCACAACAAAGTCCTGAATAGACTTACTCATTGTCATCAACGTGGGATGACGGAGGAAAATAAAAGACCTACCCAGGCTAAGCATCTGGCACGTGGGGACATTGCCAATTCACAGCGGCACAGCTTACCTTTCATTAGTTTCTATGTCAAAACAGAACCTCTTGTCGATAGACTCCGTCTTCCTTCTCACACAGTACTTCAGTGTTAAGTCCAAGGGCCCCTGATATGAAACAAGAATTAACAGGCAATTTTTAAAAAAAGACACAGAAGCTGTTTCTGCTTCCTACAGTGTCTTCAGTGTCACTTGGAAGGCGTCTGGTCAAGGCAGCAGGAGCAATGTGTAGACTCACTGAGAATCTTGTCCCTTCAAACAGTATTTGCAGCAAGATGGCAGATGGTTTCTCCCCGCTCCAAGAATCAATGGCTGAGACCAGGAGAAATTGTTCAGAGTCATCCAGCACTCTTTCCCAAGACGGAAGACTTAATAGGAAGCTCAATACATATCATGTAAGGGGAGTGTAGGAGAAATGGGCTGACTGAATGGCATTAAGTGTACAGAATAAAATTTTCATGAGGCCTCTGGGGAGGGAAATTGTGACGGGGTAAGTGGCTGTCTAAAACCTCCCTTAGAAAGTCAGAGGGTAGCTGAGCAAAGAAGCTTCCATTAAAGTGGCAGATGAAGGAGGGAGAAAAACATTTCTGTCTCCCAACTCTAGACTCTTTAGGATGACAGAAATCACAAATGTAATCGCTCCAAAGGTAGCGCAAAAGTAGAGGAAATAGCAAATGTGTGTATTAGTCATGGTAGCATTTGATATTTCATATGTGCAGCAAGGACAGTGTGGCCCACTTTAGTCCTGTAGGTAATTAAGGGAATTAAAACCCACTGTGTCCACAGACTAAAATTCTAGTCTCACCTTGTTCAGATTCCCTCTCTTATCTCAACAGAGACCATGTGATACAGGAAAGAGAAGTAACATTTATCACTTACTATGTGCCATATATTACGCTACATTTTTTTTTTTTTGAGACGTAGTCTTGCTCTGTCACTCAGACTAGAATACAGTAGTGCGATATCAGCTCACTGCAACCTCCGCCTCCCGGGTTCAAGCGATTCTCCTGCCTCAGCCTCCTGAGTAGCTGGGATTACAGGTGCGCACCATGCCCGGCTAATTTTTGTATTTTTAGTAGAGACGGGATTTCACCATGTTGGTCAGGGTGGTCTCGAACTCCTGACCTCGTGATCCACCCACCTCAGCCTCCCAAAGTGCTGGGATTACAGGCGTGAGCCACTGTGTCCAGCCTATGCTAGGTATTTTTAAGCCACTTTTATTGTTAACAACCATTATAGAGAAGTGACACTTAAAGAAGTAAAGCAGCATACCCAAAGTCATCCAAATTGGTATAGTGGAAATAGCAACACACTAGAAAGTTTAAGACCTAGGGTCTTGTCTCAGTTATGCCATTTACCAGCTATGTGACCCTGGCCAAAACACAGCAGGTCATGCCTGTAATCCCAGCACTTTGGGAGGCCAAGGCAGGTGGATCACCTGAGGTCAGGAGTTGGAGACCAGCCTGGTCAACATGGCAAAACCCCGTCTCTACTAAAAATACAAAAATTAGGCACAGTGGTGGGCGCCTGTAATCCCAGCTACTTGGGAGGCTGAGGCAGGAGAATCGCTTGAAACCGGGAGGCAGAGGCTGCAGTGCGCCAAGATCGTGCCACTGCACTCCAGCCTGGGTGACAAAGTGAGATTCTGTCTCAAAAATAAATAAATAAATAAATCATATTCCATCTCTAAGTCTTAACTTCACAATCTATTAAATGGGAATAACAAAACCCACTGTGGTATCTCAAGTTAGGTAACACTGCCCAGGTGCCTAGATACTATGACATACAAACTGGCCCACGTGGCTCATTACCCAATACTTCTTGCTCATCAGCATACTCAGCCACTTGCAGGCCAATCTTTCCTTGCTCCTGCACTATAACAACTCAACTCTAAATTAATCCTTCAGTATGCCTTCCTACCCCTAAATGTGGGATGTCACACATTAGTCTTTCAAAATGAGAGTTATGAGCAAAGTCACAGACTCACTCTATCTCTTTAAATTCTCAATGTCCTCAGCTTCAATGACATTGCAGCTCAGGGACCTAGGCCCTGCCCACCATTCCAATCTCATCTCCAGTGACTGCTCACCTGTTTAATGCCCCTACAATGCAAAAGTACTCTTATTTCACATACATATCATGCTATTTCATGATTGCATGACTTTGCCTATATTAATCGCTCCACCCAAAATGACCTTGTCTATCTGCTTTGTCTGACTAAACTCTTACTTATTCTGCAAACTGCAGTTCAGCTTCCACTTCCTCAAAAATCCTTCTTCAAACCAACACATTGCCCACTATGTGCTTTGCACGTAATATTAAAATGTCCTGTTTTTATGTTTAATTTCACCACTTGACTAGGAAGTCTTCAAAGACATGAACAGTGTTTTATTCATCTTTATACCTCCAGTATCTTGCAAATACTTAGTGCTCAATGAATGTTTATGAACTACTTTATCATCCTTACCACTTTTCTGATGAGGAAACTAAGACTGAGTAACATTAGGCAATTTACTCAAGGTCAAAAGCTACCAGATCACAGAGCTAAAATTTAAACACAGGTCTGAAGATTCAGAATGCAGTACTCCTTCTTCTGACCACAAATTCCTAACAGGGAAGGGATGAAGATCTAATAAATTATCATTTGAGAAGATGATCAGAAAATTGACCATGAAAACACAGATGAGAGCTGACAGGCTAAAGTAGTGGGACCAACGCTATAGTAAGTGCCATAGTCAGAAAGATGGCCAATTCCTGCATCTTCAACTTGGTCTCACTTCCTACACAAATTGGGGGCACTGACTTCACATAGCTGCTAGGAGGGTAAATGAGGAGCATGAATATGACAGAAGGGTCTAGCTCAGTGTCCGGCACACAGCAGGTATTCAAGAAATAGTGGCTTTTGTAGTGTTCTTATTATTATGGTATCATTTATTTGTAAAATTTATAATTGTAAAATACAAACTAGTATTAAGAAGTGAAACAGAGAACTGACAGGAAGAAATCACTTCCAACTCCAATTTGGGGAAATCCAAGTAACCCCCACCACCTCCCTCTGCCTTGTGAGTAACTAAGTTCTTCTTTCCATTCCATAAGGAATACCACATCAAAAATGCTCAGGCCACCACCATTGCAGTTTTGCAAGCAGCTACTCAATGAAAAGAGAAGAGGGAAAGAAAAACTAAAAGGAGGGCTTGCTGGCATCTGTCAGGAGGATATGAAAGTGGTATCTGCTGACTCTGTCTTGGAGTTTGCAATAAGCACCTCTGAGCAGCCTCAGAGAAAGTGCCTAAATGAAATTACTGCCTACAAAAGGAGCTTTCCTCTCCGGTATTTGAAAAGTAATGTGTGTAGAAAAATAAAAGAAAGAGACTGCAGGCCAGTGTTGCTTATAAGCACTTCCTAGTCAGATTAATCAGCTAAGTTCTGACTGACTTGGAACAAATCAGTGCTAAAACACAGGATGAATTTATTGGAACCACACTGAAAGGTGCTTTGGCAACTGGCGGACTGGAAACTGAGGAGGGTTTTGAATGAGTAACTGGCCCATGATAAAAGCACAGTAACTGGCACCGTGGCTCACACGTGTAATCCCAGCAATTTGGGAGGCCAAGGCGGGAGGATCACCTGAGGTCGGGAATTCGAGATCAGCCTAGCCAACATGGTGAAACTCCATCTCTACTAAAAATACAAAAATTAGCTGGGTGTGGTGGTGCACACCTGTAATACCAGCTGCTCAAGAGGCTGAGGCAGGAGAATCGCTTGAACCCGGGAGGTGGAGGTTGCTGTGAGCCGAGATTGTGCCATTGCACTCCAGCCTGGGCGACAAGAGTGAAGCTCCATCGCAAATAATAATAATAATAATAACAATAATAATAAAGCATAGCCGAGGATTCCAGAAACTCTGTTTGATACAACATCTTTTACAAGTCCATCCCATCACCAAAGCACATTAAAGCAGGGAGCTAAATCTTGTGGTTAAAAGACCACTCTCACTCCAAAAAAATTTCAGTAGCCTGAAAGCACATTTCCATCCTCTCTAATTCAACATGAGCAAGCCACACAAGAGAGATCTTCCATGAAAAGGATCAGCAAGGGAGAGAAACTGTCCCAATTTTTCTCCAAATTCCTCCCTACCTAAATTGGGTCTTCATGTACTACTTTCAGTGCTAACAAATAACCCTTGAAGCACTTCCAACAAACAATTTGTAAAGAGTGCAAATGCTTAAAAATCATGCACTAAGACCCTGTCTGAGAGCCAGTTAAAGGGGAAAGAGGCACATTGAACTACTTTTAGAATATAAACAATCTGTCTAAAGATCAGCTTTTATCTTAAGGAACCCCCATGTGTGTATCTGTGTGTGTGAGTGTGTGTGAGTGTGTGTGTGTGTGTGTGTGTGTGTGTGTGTTTGTAAAAGATCAGGTTCTTCCAGGTAAGTAAACTATTTTTTTCAGTGTGTTAAATTTATCTTGTCATTTTCAGGAGTGAGAGAAGGTTTGGAGGGCAGAAAAAGAGAGATTAACTGCTTAAAGATATTTGAGTAGTACATAGAATGTGAGTATCGGTTATTCCAACTGTGGGCCATAAACACACTCCTGTAAAAAAGGAATTTTGGAATTCAATTCATATTTTTAAAACTTGCTATTTTAAAGAATCCAAGAGTAGAGCATTCTTAAAAGTAATTCATCCATATTTTTACATAGTTGACTGTACAATGTGACTGGCACTTGTAAAAATAACTGGTTTGAAAGACTACCGGCACTTTCAAAAGGCTTGCTCTAATCAACAGAGAAATTTTTCACTCAACTCAGTGCTATCTGACTCAAACTTAGGCCAAGGTGTACATATAAAGTCATGGCCTCACGTAACAGTGATGAACTTGATGATTTGATACTAGGTCAACATATATTCTTTTCTGAGAAACAGTCATAGATCCATTTCCAAAAATATGGTGCAAACAAGAACTGACCTGCTTAGCACCTGGCTTCTGCTCCATAGGCGTCATGGTCAGTGTTTTGGTCTCTTTCTCATACTGGCAATAGTATTTCACCCAGGATATTCCTAAAGCCCCTACAAGGACAAGTAAAAGTGAGCAGACAGAATAACTATTTTAGCTGTATAGGAAGTCAACCCTAAGATGGAAGCTATTTACACATTGCTCTTCAGAGTCAAACTTCAGATCCAGCCCTGCCCTTGCCCTGACCGCCCTCCTTCCATAGCCACCTACCTACTGCACACAGGGAGATTCTAACCTTCACCAACTGCTTCCCACAGCTGCTTCTGGCTTGCTCAAAACCTACTCTCCCTGCCATGTTCCCTATAAATTGTATCACCATATATCCCAGAAGCTGGAGACTATTGTCATTTACTTTGCTGTCTCTATAACTGTTCCATGTCATTGGTCATTGGGTTATGCCCCTTCTAACCTGTACATGACTCTACACATCTCTCTTTTAACTGTCTCCTCCTCTCCATTCCTTTTTAACACCGAATTAGTTAAGAACCCTATCAGTGTTGTTTTTGTTTTAATTTTTTTTTTTTTTTTGACAGAGTCTCGTTCTGTCACCCAGGCTGGAGTGCAGTGGCGCAATCTCAGCTCACTGCAAGCTCCACCTCCCCAGTTCACACCATTCTCCTGCCTCAGCCTCCCAAGTAGCTGGGACTACAGGCACCCACCACCACGCCCGGCTAACTTTTTGTATTTTTTTTAGTAGAGATGGGGTTTCACCATGTTAGCCAGGATGGTCTTGATCTCCTGACCTCGTGATCTGCATGCCTCAGCCTCCCAAAGTGCTGGGATTACAGGCATGAGCCACAGCGCTGGGCCCAGTGTCTTATTTTGTATTTATATTTTATGAAACATATTTTTAAAAAACAAAAATTTACTATCTCACCAATTAATTATTTCATTGGCCTTCTCTGATTTCCCTATTGTCCCCATCTCTGATCACTCCACTCCAATTCATTCTCCACTCTTTTCCTAGATTATTTTTAAAATATATCTCTATTTTTATCATTCCCCTCATTAAAAACCATCCACGGCTTTCCCACTATCTCCACACTCCTTAGCCTGCCTACAATGCCCTTGATAACATGATCAAAACTTACCTTTCTAGCTTTTTCTTTTGGCACCTCACCTCTATGTTCCTGTCTCAATGAATTACTTTTAGTTCCCACATAAAGAGGTAGCCATATAATTTCTAGTCCAAATCCAAGACTTATTTAAGACTGAATGAGGCAGTATTATTAATAATTACATCAGGACAACAGGGGTAAAGCAGGACTATTCTTGGCAAACAAGGGCCCTACAAATCAACTATGTCTATCCACAACCCTGCCTTTACTCATGCAGTGGTATATACCTGGAATTCCCTTCCTCCTTTTCCTTCTTTCTTTCTCTCTCTTTCTTTCTTTCCTTTCTTTCCTTTCTTTCTTTCCTTTTTCTTTCCTTTCTTTCTTTTCTTTTCTTTCTTTCATTCTTTCTTTCTTTCTTTTATTCATTTTTGAGACAGAGTCTCACTCTGTCACCCAGGCTGGAGTGTAATGGCACCATCTCGGCTGAGTAAAATCTCCACCTCCCAGGTTCAAGTCATTCCCCTGCCTCAGCCTCCCAAGTAGCTAGGATTACAGGCAAGCATCACCACATCCAGCTAATTTTTGTATTTTTAGTAGAGACGGGGTTTCACCATGTTGGCCAGGCTGGTCTCAAACTCCTGACCTCCAGTGATCTGCCGTCTCAGCCTCCCAAAGTGCTGGGATTACAGGCATGAGCCACTGTGCCCGGCCATTCCTCCTTTTCTTTACCTATCAAACTCCCACTCATCATTCAAGTTCTAGTTCAAATATCACTTTCTTTGTGAAGCCTTTAGATATATGCCCCAAATACAGTTATCACCACATTTCATTATAATTATTGATATACTTGTCTATCTCTCCCATCACTTTACACTTCTTGGTGAAAGAAATCATGGTTGATTCAGTTTTTCAAGGGTGTCCCCAATGCATTGCACAGTATCTGGCAGAAACAGTGCTCATTAAGCATACATTCAACTGAGTAGCAATGTTATGCCCATATGACAAATCAGAATACTGAAGCACAGAAGGATCACACAGCATACAGCAGTGGTTCTCAACTAGGGGTAATTTGGCCTCCCAGGGGACATGTGGCAATACATTAGAGACATTTTAGGTTGTCACACCTGGAGATTACTATGAGCACAAAGTGAGGAGGCCAGGGATGCTTCTAAATATACTATAATACACAGGACCACTTCCCAGAACTAAAAATTATCCAGCCTGAAATGTCAACAGCACTGAGATCGAGAAATTGTGCGACACACAGTTGAAGAGATGAACCTGACAAGTGGGAGAACACATCTTTGAAAATCATCACAAGTAAACTGCTCTATGCAAAGAAAAGTGTGATAATTTCACTACCGTAGTGTCATGCTTTTTGAATTACAGTGATTTTTGCTACTGGCAGCCTCTGGGTGTGTGTCCTCTGTTTATTCCCCAGATATAATAACTCTGGGCAAAAACTGAATAACAGGTTTGGGGAGTATTGGGTCATAGTTCAAAGGGCAAATAAAATCAAATCACACATACAGGTGTGCATAATGTTACTGAGGAATTAGGAAAGATTGAATGCTCTGCAACATTCAGTGACTAAACAAGTTAACCCACTTTACTTAGTCACCAATGAAAAACAGATACTGTCTTTCCCACTGGAATCATGATGTTCACTAAGTGCTATAAGAGCATCCATGAGCCTGAGCAACATAGTGAGACCTTGTCTCTACAAAAAATTCAAAACTTAGCCAAGTGTAGTGGTAGGTGCCTTTAGGTGCAGCCACTCAGGAGGCTGAGGTAGGAGGGCTGCTTGAGCCCAGGAGTATGAGGCTGTAGTGAGCTATGATGGTGCCATTGCACTCCAACCTGGACAACAGAGCAAGATCCTGTCTTAAAAAAAGAAAAGAAAAGAGCAAACATATGACCCTAATGCAGACGAAGATATAGGGTACTATAGTAGGATCATGGGCTTTGGCATTTCATAGACCTGAATTTAATTTTAGTCCTGACACTTGTTAGTTGGGTGACTTTCAAATGGTGACGTCTCTGAGCCTTAGTGGCCTTATGTGTATGGGTATAAATTGGTTGCAAAGATTAAATGAGGCAGTGTTTTAAATGAACTTAGCACCATGTCTGGTACATAATAAGTATAAGAAATATTATTTTTCTACTTCCTTTCCTCTACTTCCCTTTTTTCCAAAAGAATAATCAGAAGGATTAAAGAACAAATAATACCCATTTTGAATCTCAGAGAAAACCTTAGGTCTTATCACTACACAGCCTTTGTAAGACAAATCTTTAACTTCCTCTCAGTTTCTCCTTTTTTTTTTTTTGTTTTCAGTATTCCCTGCCTGCGTTCCAAGGGAATTTTAGCTATCAGGGGTCTATGAACAGTAAGGGTGCCCAAAATTCACAGCCGACAAGTGGCAGTAGTTCCTGGCTTATTGAAACCCAATGGATACCCCTATGTCCCCACACACATTTCTCTTGTGTATAGAGATAGCCTTCAATAGTTGGCTGTCCTGGAAGTTTGCATGTCTGGGGAGCTTCTTTCATCCTTTTCTTAAGTTCTTCCATCTCTTCCCGGGTACTGGAGAAATGATTTCTTGTCTGTCAAGACATCATCATGAAAATCATTATTATCATCATCATTATCATGAAAAAGTATTTCTTGGTCAGAGACTCAGTACAAAGTTTTCCCTGCTTACAGCATGTGCAACCACAAAGCAAAAAAAGAAATGGTGAATGGCATAGTGAATGGAAAACAAGTTTATAGAGTCTAACGGTCCTAAAGACTGCATAGGAAACAAAAATATAACGAGCAATATACTCATAAAATAACAACTGGGAGGCTTTTTACTAATACGAATCACATAAGGCCCTAATAAATAAGCAATCTTAGAATTCTGAACATGACTGATACCCTGCTTTACAACAAGGGAGATGGCAGACAAGGTTCCCAAAGGTAGCATTCTCATAGCAACTTCCAAATTGTGTCTCAAAGTTACAGCCTAGTTGATACTGAATCAAATTCTGGCCAAGAACATAAAATATACGAGAGGGTGCTCTCTTGGGAGAAGGGCCAACAGTAGCTATGTTTTCATACTCACAAATACCAAAACCTAATGATGAGAATAAATCTATTTAAATCTACACAACTAAAACACAATGGTAAGACATGTGTTGAAATGTGGGTATGAAAATCACTACAGATAAGTTTTTAGTACCCAGTCTTAAAATTATGACATGATGTTAGTGAGAAAGGTGATCTGTGCTGCCCATCTAGTTGGCTCATGTTTATCCTGTAAATAAGTCACCCATATGTACACATTCAAAGGCTTATTGTTACATTTGTACATATCAAGTAATATATAGAGGAAGATTCATGGGATTAACTTGGTTGTAGTAGGAAGATGTTGTAAATCAGGAAATTCTGGAGAATGTGAGAGCCCCTAGTTCCTTTCTGCAAGGAGAGTATATAGAAAGAAAAAATAATAACAACAACTGTAAATCCCAATCCTCCTAAACAACCAAGGGGGGCTTATTTTTCACTATAACTTACCAGCATTTTTCATCTAAAACTACATCTATATATTTCATGCAATTTAACACCCATTCTAAAGTCACCAACTCAGTAATGCCTTCTCTGACTCTACCAGGTAGCCAAATGCTCTGAACTTTTTAAAAACCTTTGGCCTTGATTCTATTATAGCACTTATCATAATGGATTATAATTTATCTCTGTTTATTTGTCTCCTACAAGAAACTGTATGTTCCTTCAAGACAGAAAAACTTGCATGCATCTTCATGGCATGTCCAGTGCCTTTCACATGCCTGGCACAGAGCTTATGTTCATTTTTTCCATAAACATTTGTTTAATGTGGGTTGAATAAAGGAACATGTAAAGGAATATATGTGAAAAGGATGGGAACACTATGCCTACATGCCCATCTGTAAGAACCAGCATGACAAAGAAGGTAGAGAAAACCTTTAAAAGTAATTTATGTGACTCTACTAATAAGTACTGAGAAAAGAAAGAGAAGATAAAATGAGTGTTTGTGGTAATAAAGTCTACAGTGAGAGTGTTTTGACTGAGCAGGGAAGTAGCTTAAGGCCTGGGCTCAAATAAGCCTATAGCTATGTCCTGATCTGAGAGAGATGCAGCAAATTAGCAATACTTAATAAATATTGCATAGATGAAGGTGTTGGTGTGTGGAAGGGTGGGTTTGAACAGCAGTCAGCCTCAAAAACAGGAAAGATGTGAAAGTGGAAGAGCAAGAACAGTCTGATATACTAAATATTTGTGATCCACACCAGTATATTCTAACAAATTGGCTAGGATGCAGTAACCTAGAATTCCAAGAATCAAGGTCGCTAGGGCTGAAATTCAATCGGAATGGAAAGACCGGTGAGAAAAATCCACATGCAAACTCACATTCTGTAAACTGAGTTGGAGCTGTTGTTTGTATGGGAGGAAATCCTGTGTGAGCTCCACAGTCAGGCTGTTAGAAATGAACAGACTATGAAGAAAGGCCAAGACCTAGGGAAAACATGTAAAAATAACTTTATCACCAGCATCTTCTAATAAACTAAATAAAAGAAACATGAACTCACCAAAAAACTCCATGGTGTGGCTGGGTGTGGTGGCTTATGCCTGTAATCCCTGCACTTTGGGAGGCCGAGGCGGGCAGATCGTGAGGTCAGGAGTTTGAGACCAGCCTGACCAACATGGTGAAATCCCATCTCTACTAAAAATACAAAAATTAGCTGGCCGTGGTGGCGCACGCCTGTAATCCCAGCTACTTGGGAGGCTGAGGCAGGAGAATGGCTTGAACCCGGGAGGCGGAGGTTGCAGTGAGCCAAGATTGCATCACTGCACTCTAGCCTGGGACAGAGTGAGACTGTCTCAAAAAAACAAAAAACAAACAAACAAACAACAACAACAAAAAACTCCATGGTGTTTACCCAGTATAGCGCTAAACGCAGTCAAACACAAACCAGTCTACACATCACTGTTTTCATATCAGGTTGAACATTTACCCTTGACTCAGCTTCAGAAAAAAAGAACTATTAACAAATTTATTAACCCTGAGCTTGTTCAGATCTCATATAAAGACATTCATCATTTGAACAGTATGTAAATGAACTGCATCTTTCCTCTATATATCCTCAGCAACCACAAACAATAGGTGCTCAATAAATATTTCTTGAATGAATGAAAGTAAATAGATAAATGAATAAAGCAAGATTTTCTACCTAACTTTAATGAAGACTGTCATAATGCTAAAAGATCAAAGGAGTCTAAACCAACTTTAAAATTAGAAATGTTTCACAGGGTTGCAGAAAAAGACATATAAATGATACACAACATATATTGGTGTAAATTTTCAACCCCATTAAAAATCAAATACACGGGCTGGGTATGGTAGCTCATGCCTGTAATCCTGGCACTTTGGGAAGCCAAGGCAGGGGGATCACTTGGGCCCGGGAGTTGGAGACCAGCCTGGGCAACATGGTGAAACCTTATCTCTACAAAAACATACAAAATATTAGCTCGGTATGGAGGCATGCACCTGTAGTCCCAGTTACTCAGGAGGCTGAGGTGGGAGGATCACTTGAGCCCAGGAGACAGAGGTTGTAGATAGCACCACTGCACTCCAGTTTGGGTGACAGTGAGACCCTGTCTCAAACAAATATATGGAAATGGAAAAATCTACACAAAACGAAGTAAATGGAATGAAAAAACGTGAAATGGGAAAAAACTACACAAGACAGAAGTAAAAGTAGTAGAATGAGAAGTCACTGACTGCAAGAGACATGAGTCCCTAGCATAGTATCTGGTATATGAGAAAGACTTTCAGAAGCTTCTGAAAGCGCAAGAAGAAGGAAGGGAGGGAAACAAAGTAACAGGAAGAGTTGTAGAGAAATTCCGGAAGGGGGGAGGAAAGAGAAAGGAAAAAAAGGAAAGAGAAAGAAAATAGCCATAGAAAAAGAGAGAAAAGGGTTGGGGGGAAAGAGAGAAAAAAAGTATACTAAAGAACAAGAAAAACGTAAGTTAGACTACGTTCTAGACATTTCCACTGATTATCCTTCACGTTCTTTGGGATTCTGTTTTTATGATCAAAGTTTGTACATTTACCAGGCATTTGATAAATATTTTTAGACCATTCATCAACAGAGAAAACTTACAGGCTCCACAATATTGAACTTCTTGGACTCCTGAACTTCCTGGATTTGATAAACATAATCAAGAGAGGACTCGAAAAAATTGTGCCTCTCCTTGTCCACCTGTAGGTCTGCCTGTAGAAGAAGGAAAACAAACATTACATATTGGGATATTCATTCATGAAAGTCAGTACTTAAGGATTGAACAGAATGCTAGAGCTAGATGAGCATTTAGCCACCAACTAGTGATGTTACCTTTTATTTTAGAAATAGAGAACCTAAAGCCAAGAGATAAAAAAGTGACTGATACAGGATTCCAGTTTCTGGTCCAACACATAAAAAGCTTGAAGTCATTACATCCACCCTGACAAAAAGAAAAAAGCTGAACAAGTGTAAAATCCACACATTTTATTATATTCAACAGAGAACTGAAGTCAGAGGAAAATCTGCTCCCTCAAACACTACAGAGACATGAATACAGAGAATAAGAAATTAACAAGGGCCAAAGCCCAAGAACAGAAGCATGCTACTATGGCCAATACTGAGGGGATTACAACAGAAAGAACTGCAAGTCTCAAGTCTTATTTAACAAGAAATGGTAAAATCTGAGCACATAAACAATGATGCCAGAGAAAATTTTAGAGTCAGACAATGACAGCTACAGCAAACTAAGCACAGCCTAGCTCCTAGCCAGTTCAACACAAAACCTCACATTAAAGACCTGTTTCACTCAGTTCCTTTCATCTGAACATCACCGCTAGCTTTCAACAATGAACTACAAGGCATATTAAAAGGCAATAAACACAGTCTGAAGAGAAAAAAGGAGCATCAGAATCAAATGTAGGTAAGGCAGACATTGTAGAAATATAAGACTGTAGGCCAAGTGCGGTAGCTCACACCTGTAATCCCAGCACTTTGGGAGGCCGAGGTGGGTAGATCACCTGAGGTCAGGAGTTCAAGACCAGCTTGGCCAACATGGAGAAACCCTATCTCTACTAAAAATACAAAAACTAGCCAAGTGTGGTGCTGTACTCCTGTAGTCCCAGCTACTCCAGAAGCTGAGGCACGAGGCTCACTTGAACCTGGGAGGTGAAGACTGCAGTGAGCCGAGATCGTGCCACTGCACTCCAGCCTGGGTGACAGAGCGAGACTCCATCTCAGAAACAAACAAAAAAGAAACATAAAACTAAATTTAAAATAATTATAATTAATATGATAAGGGCTCTAATATAAAAAACAGACAGCACCTAAGAACAGATGGGTAATAGTAGCAGGCAGATGAAAACTGCAAGAGAGTATACAGAGAAAACACTAGAAATCAAAAACACTGTAGCAGAAATGAAGACTACTTTTAAAGGGTTCACCAGTAGATTGAACAAGAGTGAGGAAAGAACCAGTAAGCTTAAATACATGTCAAAAAAAATGTGGGAAACTGAAATGCAAAGAGAAAAAAAGAATGACAAACATGGAGTAGAATATTCAGGAACTGGTGAACAATTACAAAAGATGTTAATATACGTATTTTCAGAGTACCAATAGGAGAAGAAAAAGAGACAGAAACAGAAGAAATACTTCAAGCAATAATGACTGAGAATTTTCCAAAATAAAAGACAGGTATCAAACCCACATCCAGAAAGCTCAGGATAAATACCAATAAATACAATAATATAATAAATACTAATAAATACCAATCAGGATAAATACCAAACAATCCCCATGTAGGTATATGATATTCAAAGCTGCAGAAAATAAAATACAAGAGAAAATCTTGAAAGAAGCTAGAGAGAAAAACAAACAACTTACTATACAGCAGGGCAAGGATAAAGAGTTATATCAGACTTCTCTTAAGAAACCATGCAGAAAGAAAAGAGTGCTATAAAATATTTGAAGGTGTTGAAAGAAAAAAAGTTAACTACTTAACAATGTGTAAACTGTGAAATTATCCTTCAAAAGTGATGGTAAAATAAAGACTTCCTCAAACAAACAAAAATTAAAGCACTTTGTCACCACTAAACTTGTCTTGCAAGAAAGGACAAAAGATCTCCAGTAGAAGAAAAATGATATGTCGGAAATATAGACCTAAAAAGAAAGAAAAAAAGAGCACTAGAAAAGAAATAAATGAAGATTAAATATTTTATTTTTCAAATTCTTAATGGACCTAACAGATAAGAATTTGTCTATAATAATAATTGTAATGATACATTTGGTGATTGTATCTTACAAATAAGTAAAAAGAATGATAGTACCATTATAAGGGACTAAATGGAGAAATTGGAAATAGTCTGTTGATCCTGTACAACCCATAACTACGTTACTGGAATTTGAAAAGTGGACATAAACTAACCACAAATGCATATTGCAAGCTCTAAGGCAACCATTAAAAAATGAAAAAGAAGAAGTATAATTTACATGGTAAGAGAAGACAGAAAATAAGATCATATAAAATATTCTCTTAAAAAAGAGAAGTCAAAAGAAGACTGAAAGACAAAAATAAAAACAAAAACAATAAGTAGAAGATGGTAAACAATATAGTAGATACTATTACACCATTATCTATGACCCTTTTAAACGTCAGTGATCTAAAAAAATTAAAAGATAGACTGTCATAGTGCACAAAAATTAAGAGCCAACTATGTTACCTAAAAGATATCATTTTAAATAAGATACACAAAAATGTTAGACCTGAAACCATAAAACTTCTAGACTAAAACACAGAAAAATGCTTCTAGGAATTGGCCTAATAAAAAAAAATTACTAAGACACCTAAAGCAAATGCAACAGAAACAAAAATAAATAAATGAGACTTAATTAAACTAAAATCTTTCTGCACAACAAGATAAATAATCAACAGAGTAAATAGGCAACTTACAGAATGGGAGAAAATATTCACAAACTGTACAGCTGACAAAGGGCTAGTGTCCAGAATCTACAAGGAACTCCAACAAATCAGCAAGAAAAAAAAATCCCATTTAAAAGTGGGCAAACGACATGAACAGACATTTTTCAAAAGAAGATGCACAAATGGCCAATAACATGAAAAAATGCTCAACATCACTAATCATCAAGAAAATAGAAATTGGGGAGGAGCCAAGATGGCCGAATAGGAACAGCTCCGGTCTACAGCTCCCAGCGTGAGCGACGCAGAAGACGGGTGACTTCTGCATTTCCATCTGACATACCGGGTTCATCTCACTAGGGAGTGCCAGACATTGGGCGGAGGTCAGTGGGTGCGCGCACCGTGCGCGAGCCGAAGCAGGGCGAGACATTGCCTCACTTGGGAAGCGCAAGGGGTCAGCGAGTTCCCTTTCTGAGTCAAAGAAAGGGGTGACGGATGGCACCTGGAAAATCGGGTCACTCCCACCCGAATACTGCGCTTTTCCGACGGGCTTAAAAAACGGAGCACCACGAGATTATATCCCGCACCTGGCTCGGAGGATCCTACGCCCACGCAGTCTCGCTGATTGCTAGCACAGCAGTCTGAGATCAAACTGCAAGGCGGCAGCGAGGCTGGGGGAGGGGCGCCCGCCATTGCCCAGGCTTGCATAGGTAAACAAAGCAGCCAGGAAGCTCGAACTGGGTGGAGCCCACCACAGCTCAAGGAGGCCTGCCTGCCTCTGTAGGCTTCATCTCTGGGGGCAGGGCACAGACAAACAAAAAGACAGCAGTAACCTCTGCAGACTTAAATGTCCCTGTCTGACAGCTTTGAAGAGGGCAGTGGTTCTCCCAGCATGCAGCTGGAGATCTGAGAACGGGCAGACTGCCTCCTCAAGTGGGTCCCTGACCCCTGACCCCCAAGCAGCCTAACTGGGAGGCACCCCCCAGCAGGGACATACTGACACCTCACACGGCAGGGTACTCCAACAGACCTGCAGCTGAGGGTCCTCTCTGTTAGAAGGAAAACTAACAAACAGAAAGGACATCCACACCAAAAACCCATCTGTACATCACCATCATCAAACACCAAAAGTAGATAAAACCACAAAGATGGGGAAAAAACAGAACAGAAAAACCGGAAACTCTAAAAAGCAGAGCGCCTCTCCTCCTCCAAAGGAACACAGTTCCTCACCAGCAACGGAACAAAGCTGGATGGAGAATGACTTTGACGAGCTGAGAGAAGAAGGCTTCAGATGATCAAATTACTCTGAGCTACAGGAGGACATTCAAACCAAAGGCAAAGAAGTTGAAAACTTTGAAAAAAATTTAGAAGAATGTATAACTAGAATAACCAATACAGAGAAGTGCTTAAAGGAGCTGATGGAGCTGAAAACCAAGGCTCGAGAACTACGTGAAGAATGCAGAAGCCTCAGGAGCCGATGCGATCAACTGGAAGAAAGGGTATCAGCGATGGAAGATGAAATGAATGAAATGAAGTGAGAAGGGAAGTTTAGAGAAAAAAGAATAAAAAGAAATGAGCAAAGCCTCCAAGAAATATGGGACTATGGGAAAAGACCAAATCTATGTCTGATTGGTGTACCTGAAAGGGATGGGGAGAATGGAACCAAGTTGGAAAACACTCTGCAGGATATTATCCAAGAGAAATTCCCCAATCTAGCAAGGCAGGCCAACGTTCAGATTCAGGAAATACAGAGAACGCCACAAAGATACTCCTTGAAAAGAGCGACTCCAAGACACATAATTGTCAGATTCACCAAAGTTGAAATGAAGGAAAAAATGTTAAGGGCAACCAGAGAGAAAGGTCGGGTTACCCTCAAAGGGAAGCCCATCAGACTAACAGCGGATCTTTCGGCAGAAACCCTACAAGCCAGAAGAGAGTGGGGGCCAATATTCAACATTCTTAAAGAAAAGAATTCTCAACCCAGAATTTCATATCCAGCCAAACTAAGCTTCATAAGTGAAGGAGAAATAAAATACTTTACAGACAAGCAAATGCTGAGAGATTTTGTCACCACCAGGCCTGCCTTACAAGAGCTCCTGAAGGAAGCACTAAACATGGAAAGGAACAACCGGTACCAGCCGCTGCAAAATCATGCCAAAATGTAAAGACCATCGAGACTAGGAAGAAACTCCATCAACTAACGAGCAAAATAACCAGCTAACATCATAATGACAGGATCAAATTCACACATAACAATATTAACTTTAAATGTAAATGGACTAAATGCTCCAATTAAAAGACACAGACTGGCAAATTGGATAAAGAGTCAAGACCCATCAGTGTGCTGTATTCAGGAAACCCATCTCACGTGCAGAGACACACATAGGCTCAAAATAAAAGGATGGAGGAAGATCTACCAAGCAAATGGAAAACAAAAAAAGGCAGGGGTTGCAATCCTAGTCTCTGATAAAACAGACTTTAAACCAACAAAGATCAAAAGAGACAAAGAAGGCCATTACATAACGGTAAAGGGATCAATTCAACAAGAAGAGCTAACTATCCTAAATATATATGCACCCAATACAGGAGCACCAAGATTCATAAAGCAAGTCCTGAGTGACCTACAAAGAGACTTAGACTCCCACACATTAATAATGGGAGACTTTAACACCCCACTGTCAACATTAGACAGATCAAAGAGACAGAAAGTCAACAAGGATACTCAGGAATTGAACTCAGCTCTGTACCAAGCGGACCTAATAGACATCTACAGAACTCTCCACCCCAAATCAACAGAATATACATTTTTCTCAGCACCACACCACACCTATTCCAAAATTGACCACATAGTTGGAAGTAAAGCTCTCCTCAGCAAATGTAAAAGAACAGAAATTATAACAAACTATCTCTCAGACCACAGTGCAATCAAACTAGAACTCAGGATTACGAATCTCACTCAAAACCACTCAACTACATGGAAACTGAACAACTTGCTCCTGAATGACTACTGGGTACATAACGAAATGAAGGCAGAAATAAAGATGTTCTTTGAAACCAATGAGAACAAAGACACAACATACCAGAATCTCTGGGATGCATTCAAAGCAGTGTGTAGAGGGAAATTTATAGCACTAAATGCCCACAAGAGAAAGCAGGAAAGATCCAAAATTGTCACCCTAACATCACAATTAAAAGAAATAGAAAAGTAAGAGCAAACACATTCAAAAGCTAGCAGAAGGCAAGAAATAACTAAAATCAGAGCAGAACTGAAGGAAATAGAGACACAAAAAACCCTTCAAAAAATTAATGAATCCAGGAGCTGGTTTTTTGAAAGGATCAACAAAATTGATAGACCGCTAGCAAGACTAATAAAGAAAAAAAGAGAGAAGAATCAAATAGACGCAATAAAAAATGATAAAGGGGATATCACCACCAATCCCACAGAAATACAAACTACCATCAGAGAATACTACAAACACCTCTACGCAAATAAACTAGAAAATCTAGAAGAAATGGATAAATTCCTGGACACATACACTCTCCCAAGACTAAACCAGGAAGAAGTTGAATCTCTGAATAGACCAATAACAGGAGCTGAAATTGTGGCAATAATCAATAGCTTAGCAACCAAAAAGAGTCCAGGACCAGATGGATTCACAGCCGAATTCTACCAGAGGTACAAGGAGGAACTGGTACTATTCCTTCTGAAACTATTCCAATCAATAGAAAAAGAGGGAATCCTCCCTAACTCATTTCATGAGGCCAGCATCATTCTGATACCAAAGCCTGGCAGAGACACAACAAAAAAAGAGAATTTTAGACCAATATCCTTGATGAACATTGATGCAAAAATCCTCAATAAAATACTGGCAAAACGAATCCAGCAGCACATCAAAAAGCTTATCCACCATGATCAAGTGGGCTTCATCCCTGGGATGCAAGGCTGGTTCAATATATGCAAATCAATAAATGTAATCCAGCATATAAACAGAGCCAAAGACAAAAACCACATGATTATCTCAATAGAGGCAGAAAAAGCCTTTGACAAAATTCAACAACCCTTCATGCTAAAAACTCTCAATAAATTAGGTATTGATGGGACGTATTTCAAAATAATAAGAGCTATCTATGACAAACCCACAGCCAATATCATACTGAATGGGCAAAAACTGGAAGCATTCCCTTTGAAAACTGGCACAAGACAGGGATGCCCTCTCTCACCACTTCTATTCAACATAGTGTTGGAAGTTCTGGCCAGGGCAATTAGGCAGGAGAAGGAAATAAAGGGTATTCAATTAGGAAAAGAGGAAGTTAAATTGTCCCTGTTTGCAGACGACATGATTGTATATCTAGAAAACCCCACTGTTTCAGCCCAAAATCTCCTTAAGCTGATAAGCAACTTCAGCAAAGTCTCAGGATACAAAATCAATGTACAAAAATCACAAGCATTCTTATACACCAACAACAGACAGAGAGCCAAATCATGAGTGAACTCCCATTCACAATTGCTTCAAAGAGAATAAAATACCTAGGAATCCAACTTACAAGGGATGTGAAGGACCTCTTCAAGGAGAACTACAAACCACTGCTCAAGGAAATAAAAGAGGATACAAACAAATGGAAGAACATTCCATGCTCATGGGTAGGAAGAATCAATATCATGAAAATGGCCATACTGCCCAAGGTAATTTACAGATTCAATGCCATCCCCATCAATCTCCCAATGACTTTCTTCACAGAATTGGAAAAAACTACTTTAAAGTTCATATGGAACCAAAAAAGAGCCCGCATCGCCAAGTCAATCCTAAGCCAAAAGAACAAAGCTGGAGGCATCACGCTACCTGACTTCAAACTATACTACAAAGCTACAGTAACCAAAACAGCATGGTACTGGTACCAAAACAGAGAGATAGACCAATGGAACAGAACAGAGCCCTCAGAAATAATGCCGCATACCTACAACTATCTGATCTTTGACAAACCTGACAAAAACAAGAAATGGGGAACGATTCCCTATTTAATAAATGGTGCTGGGAAAACTGGCTAGCCATATGTAGAAAGCTGAAACTGGATCCCTTCCTTACACCTTATACAAAAATCAATTGAAGATGGATTAAAGACTTAAACGTTAGACCTAAAACCATAAAAACCCTAGAAGAAAACCTAGGTATTACCATTCAGGACATAGGCATGGGCAAGGACTTCATGTCTAAAACACCAAAAGCAATGGCAACAAAAGACAAAATTGACAAATGGGATCTAATTAAACTAAAGAGCTTCTGCACAGCAAAAGAAACTACCATCAGAGCAAACAGGCAACCTACAAAATGGGAGAAAATTTTCGCAACCTACTCATCTGACAAAGGGCTAATATCCAGAATCTACAATGAACTCAAACAAATTTACAAGAAAAAAACAAACAACCCCATCAAAAAGTGGGCGAAGGACATGAACAGACACTCCTCAAAAGAAGACATTTATGCAGCCAAAAAACACATGAAAAAATGCTCGTCATCACTGGCCATCAGAGAAATGCAAATCAAAACCACAATGAGATACCATCTCACACCAGTTAGAATGGCAATCATTAAAAAGTCAGGAAACAACAGGTGCTGGAGGGGATGTGGAGAAATAGGAACACTTTTACACTGTTGGTGGGACTGTAAACTAGTTCAACCATTGTGGAAGTCAGTGTGGCGATTCCTCAGGGATCTAGAACTAGAAATACCATTTGACCCAGTCATCCCATTACTGGGTATATACCCAAAGGACTATAAATCATGCTGCTATAAAGACACATGCACACGTATGTTTATTGCGGCATTATTCACAATAGCAAAGACTTGGAACCAACCCAAATGTCCAACAATGATAGACTGGATTAAGAAAATGTGGCACATATACACTATGGAATAGTATGCAGCCATAAAAAATGTGAGTTCATGTCCTTTGTAGGGACATGGATGAAATTGGAAATCATCATTCTCAGTAAACTATCGCAAGAACAAAAAAGCAAACACCTCATATTCTCACTCATAGGTGGGAATTGAACAATGAGATCACATGGACACAGGAAGAGGAGTATCACACTCTGGGGACTGTTGTGGGGTGGGGGGAGGGGGGAGGGATAGCATCGGCAGATATACCTAATGCTAGATGATGAGTTAGTGGGTGCAGCGCCAGCCATGGCACATGTATACATATGTAACTAACCTGCACAATGTGCACATGTACCCTAAAACTTAAAGTATAATAGAAAAAATAAATAAAAATAAATAAAAAGAAAAAAAAAGAAAATGGAAATTAAAACCACAATGAGATACCACCTTACTCCACTCAGAAAGGCCATTATTAAAAAGTCAAAAAACAAAAGATGCAGATGTGGTTAAAAGGGAATGCTTATTCACTTTGGGTAGGAATGTAAATTCATACAGTCTCTATGGAAAACAGTATAGAGATCTCTCAAATAACTAAAAGTAGAACTACTATTTGATCCAAGATCTCACTACTGAGAATCTACCTAAAGGAAAAGAAGTCATTACATCAGAAAAGACACCTGCACTCCTATGTTTATCTTCACACAATTCACAATTGCAAAGACAGGAAATCAATCTAAGTGCCCATCAACTGATTAGTGGATAAAGAAAATATAGTAGGTATATATGTGTGCACACACACACTCACACACAATGGAATACTACTCAGCCATGAAACAGAACAAAATAATGTCTTTTACAGAAACTGGAACTGGAGGCCATTATTCCAAGTGAACTAACTCAAATCAAATACCTCACATTCCCATTTATTAGTGGGAGCTAAGCTCTGAGTATGCAGAGACATGCAGAGTGGTATAATGGACATTGGAGACTCAGAAAAAGGGTGGTGAGAGGGGGCTGAAAAATTACCCATTGTTCGGTATAATGTACACTATTCGGGTGACAGGTACACTAAAAGCCCAGACTTCACCACTATACAATTCATCCATGTAACCAAAAAACACTTATACCCCTAAACCTATTGAAATAACAATTAAAATGTAAAGAAAACAAAGACAGATTAAAAGTAAAGGTATAAAGAAAGATATATCATGCTAACATTAATCAAAAGAATGCTAGAGTAGCTATATTAATTTCATAAAAAGCATACTTCAGAACAAAGAAAACTACCAAGGAAAAATATTATGATATCAAATCATAATATAATAATAAAGATGGCAAGACTCTAAGAAGACATAACAATTCTTAATGTGAATGTGCCTAACAACACAGCATCAAAATACATGAGGTAAAAATTGAGAGAATTACAAGGAGAGACACACCTACTATTAGAGTTGGAGACTTCAATACTCCTCTAATAGTAATGGACAGATCCAGCTAGCAGAAAATCCGTATGGACATTGTTGACCTGAACAGCACCATTGATCAACTGAATCTAACTGACATCTTTGTAACACTTGATACAACAGCAGAATACACTTTCATCTCAAAGTCACACAGAAAAATCACCAAGATAGACCACATTCTGGGACATAAAATACACCTGAAGAAATCTAAAAGAATAGAAATCTTATGAAATATACAATTAGACCACAATTAAATTATACCAGAAATCAATTTTTAAAAGCTGAAAATGCCCCAAATAATTGGAGATTAAACAGTACATTTATAAATGAAACCTGAGTCAAAGACGCAAAGAAAAGTAAGGCTGGGCATCATGGCAAACACCTGTAATCTCAGCAATTTAGGAGGGCAAGGCGGGAAGATCACTTGAAACCTGGAGTTTGAAACTCGCCTGGGCAACATGGTAAGACCTCAATTCTACAAAAAATAAATAAAATAAAATAAGAAATGTTAAGACATTTTGAATTAAATAAAAATGAAAACACAATTTAATATTTGTGGGCAACAAAAGCAGTGCTTAGAGAAATATTTATAGAATGAAATGCATATAATAGAATAGAAGAAAGATCTCTTATTAATAATGTAAGCTTCCTTCTTAGGAAACTAGAAATAGAAGAATAAATCACATCCAAAGTAAGCAGAAAATAAGAAAAAATAAACATTAAAGAAGATATCGACTGAAGGTTCCAAGATGGCTGAATAGGAACAGCTCCAGTCTACAGCTCCCAGTGTGAGCGACACAGAAGATGGGTGATTTCTGCATTTCTAACTGAGCTACTGAGTTCATCTCACTGCGGCTTGTTGGACAGTGGGTGCAGCCCACAGAGTGTCAGCCGAAGCAGGGCAGGGCATCGCCTCACCCTGGAAGCGCAAGGGGTTGCGGAATTCCCTTTCCTGGCCAAGGGAAGCTGTGACAGACAGTACCTGGAAAATCGGGACACTCCCACCCTAATACTGCGCTTTTCCAACGGTCTTAGCAAATGGCACACCAGGAGATTATATACCATGCATGGTGCAGAGGGTCCCAAGCTCACGGAGCCTCTCTTACTGCAAGCACAGCAGTCTGAGAGCGAACTGCAAGGCAGCAGCGAGGCTGGGGGAGGGTCGTCCGCCATTACTGAGGCTTGAGTAGGTAAACAAAGCAGCTGGGAAGCTCGAATTGGGTGGAGCCCACCACAGCTCAAGGAGACCTGCCTGCCTCTGTAGACTCCACCTCTGGGGGCAGGGCATAGCTGAACAAAAGGCAGCAGAAACCTCTGCAGACTTAAATGTCCCTGTCTCACAGCTTTCAAGAGAGTAGTGGTTCTCCCAGCACGGAGTTTGAGATCTGAGAACGGACAGACTGCCTCCTTAAGTGGGTCCCTGACCCCTGAGTAGCCTAACTGGGAGAAACCTCCCAGTAGGGGCCAACTGACAACTCATACAGCTGGGTGCCCCTCTGAGATGAAGCTTCCAGAGGACGGATCGGGCAGCAACATTTGCCATTCTGCAATATTTGCTGTTCTGCAGACTCTGCTGGTGATACCCAGGCAAACAGGATCTGCAGTGGACCTCTAGCAAACTCCAACAGACCTGCAGCTGATGGTCCTGACTGTTAGAAGGAAAACTAACAAACAGAAAGGACATCCACACCAAAACCCCATCTGTGCGTCACCATCATCAAAGACCAAAGGTAGATAAAACCACAAAGATGGGGAGAAACCAGAGCAGAAAAGCTGAAAATTCTAAAAATCAGAGCACCTCTTCTCCTCCAAAGGAACGTAGCTCCTCACCAGCAATGGAAGAAAGCTGCATGGAGAATGACTTTGATGAGTTGAGAGAAGAAGGCTTCAGATGATCGGTAATAACAAACTTCTCCAAGCTAAAGGAGGATGCTCAAACCCAACGCAAAGAAGCTAAAAACCTTGAAAAAAGATAAGACGAATGGCTAACTAGAATAAACAGCATAGAGAAGACCTTAAATGACCTGATGCAGCTGAAAACCAAGGCATGAGAACTACATGACACATGCACAAGCTTCAGTAGCCGATTCGATCAAATGGAAGAAACGGTATCAGTGATGGAAGATGAAATGAATGAAATGAAGTGAGAAGAGAAGTTTAGAGAAAAAAGAATAAAAAGAAACGAGCAAAGCCTCCAAGAAATATGGGACTATGGGAAAAGACCAAATCTACGCCTGATTTGTGTACCTGAAAGTGACGGCGAGAATGGAACCAAGTTGGAAAACACTCTGCAGGATATTATCCAGGAGAACTTCCCCAATCTAGCAAGGCAGGCCAACATTCACATTCAGGAAATACAGAGAATGCCACAAAGATACTGCTTGAGAAGAGCAACTCCAAGACACATAATTGTCAGATTCACCAAAGTTGAAATGAAGGAAAAAATGTTAAGGGCAGCCAGAGAGAAAGGTCAGGTTACCCACAAAGGGAAGCCCATCAGACTAACAGCTGATTTCTCGGCAGAAACTCTACAAGCCAGAAGAGAGTAGGGGCCAATATTCAACTTTCTTAATGAAAAGAATTTTCAACCCAGAATTTCATAACTAGCCAAACTAAGCTTCATAAGTAAAGGCGAAATAAAATACTTTACAGACAAGCAAATGCTGAGAGATTCTGTCACTACCAGTCCTGCCTTACAAGAGCTCCTAAAGGAAGCACTAAACATGGAAAGGAACAACCAGTACCAGCCACTGCAAAGACATGCCAAATTGTAAAGACCATCAAGGCTAGGAAGAAACTGCATCAACTAACGAGCAAAATAACCAGCGAACATCATAATCACAGGATCAAATTCACACATAACAATATTAACCTTAAATGTAAATGGGCTAAATGCTCCAATTAAAAGACACAGACTGGAAAGTTGGATAAAGAGTCAAGTCCCATCATTGTGCTGTATTCAGGAGACCCATCAGTGTGCTGTATTCAGGAGACCCATCTCACGTGCAGAGACACACACAGGCTCAAAATAAAGGGATGGAGGAAGATCTACCAAGCAAATGGAAAACAAAAAAAGGCATGGGTTGCAATCCTAGGCTCTGATAAAACAGATTTTAAACCAACAAAGATCAAAAGAGACAAAGAAGGCCATTACATAATGGTAAAGGAATCAATTCAACAAGAAGAGCTAACTATCCTAAATATATATGCACCCAATACAGGAGCACACAGATTCATAAAGCAAGTCCTTAGAGACCGAGAAAGAGACCTAGACTCCCACAAAATAATAACGGGAGACTTTGACACCCCACTGTCAACATTAAACAGATCAACGAGACAGAAAGTTAACAAGGAGATCCAGGAACTGAACTCAGCTCTGCACCAAGCGGACCTAATAGACATCTACAGAACTCTCCACCCCAAATCAACAGAATATACATTGTTCTCAGCACCACATCGCACTTATTAAAAATTGACCATATAGTTGGAAGTAAAGCAGTCCTCAGCACATGTAAAAGAACAGAAATTATAACAAACTGTCTCTCAGACCACAGTGCAATCAAACTAGAACTCAGGATTAAGAAACTCACTCAAAACCGCTCAACTACATGGAAACTGAACAATCTGCTCCTGAATGACTACTGGGTATATAACGAAATGAAGGCAAAAATAAAGATGTTCTTTGAAACCAACGAGAACAAGACAAAACATACCAGAATCTCTGGGACACAGTTAGAGCAGTGTGTAGAGGGAAATTTATAGCACTAAATGCCCACAAGAGAAAGCAGGAAAGATCTAAAATTGACACCCTAACATCACAATTAAAAGAACTAGAGAAGCAAGAGCAAACACATTCAAAAGCTAGCAGAAGGGAAGAAATAACTAAGATCAGAGCAGAACTGAAGGAGATAAGAGACACAAAAAAAAACCTTCAAAAAATCAATGAATCCAGGAGATGGTTTTTTGAAAAGATCAGCAGAATTGATAGACTGCTAGCAAGACTAATAAAGAAGAAAAGAGAGAAGAATCAAATAGTTGCAATAAAAAATGATAAAGGGGATATCACCACCTTTCACACAGAAATATAAGCTACCATCAGAGAATACCATAAACACCTCTACACAAATAAACTAGAAAATCTAGAAGAAATGATAAATTCCTGGACACATGAACCCTCCCAAGACTAAACCAGGAAGAAGTTGAATCCCTGAATAGACTAATAACAGGCTCTGAAATTGAGGCAATAATTAATAGCCTACCAACCAAAAAAAGTCCAGGACCAGATGGATTCACAGCCAAATTCTACCAGAGGTACAAGGAGGAGCTGGTACCATTCCTTCTGAAACTATTCCAATCCATAGAAAAAGAGGGAATCCTCCCTAACTCATTTTATGAAGCCAGCATCATCCTGATACCAAAGCCTGGCAGAGACACAACAAAAAAAAAAGAGAATTTTAGACCAATATCCCTGATGAACATCAATGTAAAAATCCTCAATAAAATACTGGCAAACTGAATCCAGCAGCACATCAAAAAGCTTATCCACCACGATCAAGTTGGCTTCATCCCTGGGCTGCAAGGCTCGTTCAACATACACAAATCAATAAATGTAATCCAGCATATAAACAGAACCAAAGACAAAAACCACATGATTATCTCAATAGATGCAGAAAAGGCCTATGACAAAATTCAACAGCCATTCATGCTAAAAACTCTAAACAAACTAGGTATTGATAGGATGTATCTCAAAATAATAAGAGCTATTTATGGCAAACCCACAGCCAATATCTCACTGAATGGGCAAAAACTGGAAGCATTCCCTTTGAAAACTGGCACAAGACAGGGATGCCCTCTCTCACCACTCCTATTCAACATAGTGTTGGAAGTTCTGGCCAGGGCAATCAAGCAGGAGAAAGAAATAAAGGGTATTCAATTAGGAAATGAGGAAGTCAAATTGTCCCTGTTTGCAGATGACATGATTGAATATTTAGAAAACCCCATCATCTCAGCCCCAAATCTCCTTAAACTGATAAGCAACTTCAGCAAAGTCTCAGGATACAAAATCAATGTGCAAAAGTCACAAGCATTCCTATACACCAATAACAGACAAACAGAGAGCCAAATCATGAGTGAACTCCCATTCACAATGGCTTCAAAGAGAAGAAAATACCTAGCAATCCAACTTACAAGGGATGTGAAGGACCTCTTCAAGGAGAACTACAAACCACTGCTCAACAAAATAAAAGAGGACACAAAGAAATGGAAGTACATTCCATGCACATGGATAGGAAGAATCAATATCGTGAAAATGGCCATACTGCTCAAGGTAATTTATAGATTCAATGCCATCTCCATCAAGCTACCAATGACTTTCTTCACAGAGTTGGAAAAAACTACTTTAAAGTTCATATGGAACCAAAAAAGAGCCCACATTGCCAAGACAATCCTAAGCCAAAAGAGCAAAGCTGGAGGCATCATGCTACCTGATTTCAAACTATACTACAAGGCTACAGTAACCAAAACAGCATGGTACTGGTACCAAAACAGATATATAGACCAATGGAACAGAATAGATCCCTCAGAAATAATACTACACATCTACAACCATCTGATCTTTGAGAAACCTGACAAAAACAAGCAATGGGGAAACGATTCCCTTTTTAATAAATGGTGCTGGGAAAACTGGCTAGCCATATGTAGAAAGCTGAAACTGGATCCCTTCCTTACACCTTATACAAAAATTAATTCAAGAAGGATTAAAGACTTAAATGTTAGACCTAAAACCATAAAAACCCTAGAAGAAAACCTAGGCAATACCATTCAGGACATAGGCATGGGCAAGGACTTCATGTCTAAAACACCAAAAGCAATGGCAACAAAAGCCAAAATTGACAAATGGGATCTAATTAAACTAAAGAGCTTCTGCACAGCAAAAGAAACTACTGTCAGAGTGCACAGGCAACCTACAGAATGAGAGAAAATTTTTACAATCTACCCATCTGACAAAGGGCGAATATCCAGAATCTACAAAGAACTTAAACAAATTTACAAGAAAAAATCAAACAACCCCATCAAAAAGTGGGCAAAGAATATGAACAGATGCTTCTCAAAAGAAGACATTTATGCAGTCAACAGACACAGGAAAAAATGCTCATCGTCACTGGTCATCAGAGAAATGCAAATCAAAACCACAATGAGATACCATCTCACACCAGTTAGAATGGCAATCATTAAAAAGTCAGGAAACAACAGGTGCTGGAGAGGATGTGGAGAAATAGGAACACTTTTACACTGTTGGTGGGAGTGTAAACTAGTTCAACCATTGTGGAAGGCAGTGTGGTGATTCCTCAAGGATCTAGAACTAGAAATACTATTTGACCCAGCCATCCCATTACTGGGTATATATCCAAAGGATTATAAATCATGCTGCTATAAAGACACATGCACACATATGCTTATTGTGGCACTATTCACAATAGCAGAGATTTGGAACCAACCCAAATATCCATCAATGATAGACTGGATTAAGAAAATGTGGCATACATACACCATGGAATACTATGCAGCTATAAAAAATGATGAGTTCATGTCCTTTGTAGGGACATGGATGAAGCTGGAAACCATCATTCTGAGCAAACTATCGCAAGGACAGAAAACCAAATACTACATGTTTTCACTCATAGGTGGGAATTGAACAATGAGAATACTTGGATACAGGGTGGGGAACATCACACACTGGAGCTTGACGTGGGGTGGGGGGAGGGGGGTGGGATAGCATTAGGAGATAGACCTAATGTAAATGATGAGTTAATGGGTGCAGCACACCAACATGGCACATGTCTACATATGTAACAAACCTGCACGTTGTGCACATGTACCTTATAATTTAAAGTATAATAAAAAAAAGAAGATGAAGATATCAACGAAATTAACAACAGGAAATCAACAAAACCAAAAAGCTGGTTCTTTGAAAAAAATCAATAAAATTGTTAATATTTTAGCCACATTAAATAAGTAAGAGAGTAAATACACAAAGAAGTGGCATCAGAAATAAAAGAATGAAAAAAATGAGATCCCGTCATTTGCAACAACATGGATGGAACTGAAAGTTATTTTGTTAAGTCAAATAAGCCAGGCACAAAAAGACAAGATATTTAAGAGGAGAACTACAAAACACTGATGAAAAAAATCAAAGGTCAAAATAAATGGAAAGATATTCCATGTACATATTAGGTTGGTGCAAAAGGAACTGTGATTTCTGCCATTACTTTTAATGGTACAACGCAGAATAGTGACAAGGATGTGGAGCAACCGGAGCTATCATTCATTGTTCATGGAAATAAAAACTGCTACAGTCAATTTGGAAGACAGTTTGGCAGTTTCTTACGACACTAGATAAAATCTTACCATATGATAGCAGTTGTATTATTTGGTATTGACTCAAACAACATCAAAATGTATATCCCTAAAAGCCTGCACACAATTTTTTATCGCAGCTTTAATAACTGCCAAAATTCAGAAGAAACCAAGAAGTCCTTCAATAGGCAAATGGATAAACCAACCGTGGTACAACCAGACAATGGCATATTATTCAGCCCTAAAAAGAAGTGAGTTATCAAGTCAAGAAAAGATATGGAGAAACCTTAAATGCATCTTGCTAACTACAAGAAGCCAATCAAAAAAGGTTACAAACCATATGATACCAACTATATGACATTTTGGAAAAGGCAAAAGTATGGAGTCCATAAAAAGATCAGTGGTGTCAGAGGTAGAGGTAGAAGGAGGGAGGGATAAAGTCCAGGGATGTTCAAGGCAGCGAAACTGTCCTGTACAATATGGTAATGCTGGATATATGTTATCATATGTTTTTCAAAACCCATAGAATGTTTAATACATTGGCTCCTCAATTCTAACAAATGTATCACACAAATGCAAGATGATCCTAAAAGAGGAAATGAGAAACTGTGTGAGGGAGTAAGGGCATATGAGAACTCTGTACTTACTATTTAATTTTCTGTAAACCTAAAACTTCTCTAAAGATGAAATCTAAATTTTTTGAAAGTGACTAACTCAAGATTGCCCTGCTCATTTTTTTATTGAATAAGTAATAAAAGGACATCTAGATATAGCACCAAACACCTAGAACACTCCAGAAGGTGTCCTAGCAAAAGTCTCCAATAGTTTGGATTGTGTCCAGGGTCCAGAAGACCACCCCAATTTTAATAATTCTTTAATAAATCTTTTTTGAGCAGGACTCAAAGTACTCAACATAGTAGTACTCACAGCTAAGATTTATTTCAGTGAAAGCGTACACAGCCGACTGAGCAAAGAGAAAAGGTGCCTGGGGCAAAATGCAGAGGAAGCTAGGTAAAAGCTTCCAAAAGATCTCTCACGGTGGTGTCACCCAAGACACATTTAATTCTTCCTTCAACAAGTTGTAACAACACAGAGAAAATGTTATCAGTCAGGGAAGCTCATAAGAGAATGAGTAGCTTAGGGTTTTACTGCGGGGCTAGTTACACAGGCACACTCTGCCCAGCACAACCAAAATTCAAGAGTACCAGAAGAAAAAGGTGTTCGACATAAGCTACATTATTTGCAGAGCCAGGCTTGGCACAGTCAGCCATTCTTACCCATTAAGGGAAACTTCTAAATCAATGTTGGGAGCTGTTTAACAGTGAAGTTCCCAGATGCCATTCCAAGGGCTAATTTTGTAAACAGGTCTTTCTAAGCATAGCAGTCTCAGGCCTGTTGACTGTTTTCTGCATAGAAACCGCGACACAGAATAGATAGAAAAGGAAAAAAACAAAAGTGGGCAAAAGGAAAATGATAGAAGATCCCAGACTCAATTCTAGTTTATGGAAGGAAAGTAGTCCTTCTCCTTTGCAATACTAACTCCATCCACAACTAAGGCTTTTTTTTTTTTTTTTGAGACAGAGTTTCGTTCTTGTCACCCAGGCTGGAGTGCAATGGAGTGATCTCAGCTCACTGCAACCTCCGCCTCCCGGGTTCAAGCGATTCTTCTTCCTCAGTCTCCTAAGTAATTGAGATTACAGACATGTGCCACTATGCCCGGTTAATTTTGTATTTTTAGTAGAGCTGGGGTTTTGCCATGTTGGCCAGGCTGGTTGCAAACTCTTGACCTCAAGAGATCCACCTGCCTTGGCCGCCCAAAATGCTGGGATTACAGGCATGAGCCACTGCACTCGGCCACACTGAGGCTCTTGACCTATTACCTTCAAGCACCTCAGATGATGTGATGGATATCTATGAAACCAGTTATCAGGAGATGAGCTCCAGCTCTGCCACAATCTGTGTGACCATGGACAAGATGACAGCTCCTGCCTATGATATTATTCCATCAGATATCTCTTTTCATACTTGAATCTTTAAAATCTCCATTATTACTGAATCTTTCATTGAACATATAGACCCCTCCTTCCATTAGAAAAATTCTCAATCAGTTTATTCCTTCTTTTCCTTCCCTAGTGCCTCTCTTACGGCTCTGTCACTTTCCCCTAGATCGTTTCCTAGATCAATAGTTTCCTAAACTGTTTATCCTGCTTCTAGTCTCTCCCTGATCTAATTCACCCTACAACCTATGCCAGTTTGAGATTCCTAAAATAGAATTCTACTTATGTTCCTTCCATCCTTGGGCCATTGGTCTCTGTTTGAAAGGTCCATTTATCCATTTTCACCTGTCAAACACTTTACCTATATTTTAATGACCACGTCAAATTGGAAGGGCAACATTCTTCCACAAAGGAAATTCCCCACATCCAAACATAAGTCTTCTATTCTCATTTCCCACTCCCAACAAAAGCACCATATACACATTAAAGTATGTAAAAAAAATCTATTTGTATAAGAGTAATGTGTTTTCTTATTTAGTAGCCCAACAGTAAGCTGCAGAAGGGCAGGAATCATGTCTCATTGTTTCTGTAGCCATGTTGCATCCAGTACAGTTCATGGCATGTGGTAGGGTCTCACCGAATGGTAGCTTATTTGAACTGAAGGCACTGCAAGTCCCAGGTAAGCAGTAGTCCCAAAACAGAACATTCCCCTAACCCCTCACCAAAAAAAAAAAAAAAAAAAAAGGTTGTGGAATCTCTCAGGGAAAAAAGTAGAAGATCTGTTCCTGATTTCTACCAAATACAACACTAGTTTAACTTTATCCTCGCATGGATTTTGGACTTGCAATTGAAAGGGACTCTCGACTCCTCTTCTTACAGATAATGGAATGAGGCAAAGAAAGAAGTATCCTATCCAAGGTCACACCCTGAGTTAGTGGAAGAGCTGGCTTAGTATTCAGGGCTTCTGAGTCTCAGGCCACAGTTTTGACTACAAGTGCTACTATCACATGAGGTTCCCTGCTGAGACGGGGTATGGGAAAAGCCTTGCAGTACAAAATTCACACTGTTTCTAAGGCATAGCTAGCAATGGAAGGCAGGGGCAGGCTTTGTGAACATACCTCTTGTAACTGAGATTCTTTCTTTTTTGAAGACAGGTGTAAGTGCCGATCCAGTAAAGAATAAAACCTCTCACCATCCTTTTCAAATTTCTTTTTCCGCTCCTAAAGGTGGGAAAGAAGGGCAAAGATTAAATGTCTGTAGTTGTAACTCTGTCTGCTTAGAAAGGAGAATGAAGGAGATAGTGTCAGGTTTCAGGTGGTCAATCCCTCTAGCTCCTGGAAGGAAAAAAAAGCAACGGAGAATTAACTTTGTATTGGTCTCAGCAGTTTCAGCTTCCTGAAATATAACCCCAAACCATTCTGCCTGCAGAAATGGCAGTCCCTATTTTTACAGCTGAAAGCTATGGAAGCTGCTCCTTAGAGAATGATACCTTAAAAGGGCCTGTGCAGTAGATATATTTTCTTCCCTCCAATATTTTTCACATAGATTAACCACTCATTCAAATTTTCTTACAAAGGAAGAAGACATAACACAAATGGAAGTAAATATTTGTCATGAAAAGGTTAATCTACAATGCACTTAGACAGCTAATAATAAGTAAAACATTTCCAAAGAAATAGGAACCTGGGATTGTCTCTTTTTAATAAATTACTTGGTATTATTTAAGCACTTCACTCCAAAAAGCTGATATTAAAAACAGAGAAAAAAAATCCTGGAAAGTTTAACTAGAAAGCAAGGGTTGTAAAGATTTGTGGCAGATGAAGGACTCAGCCTTTACTCTTCTCGAGTATGAAATTTAATTAAGTTCTCTGCTACTCAGCACAACTGGAAGAAACACAGCATCTAAAGTAGCACTAACAATGTTCCTTTGTCACAGACTAATGCTGACACTCTACTATTCTCTTAGCATCATGCTGGAAAATCAATGTAAATGGCTTGTGCTGTCTCATGCGAAATCCAAAATCACTGAGCACCTGCAATGTGCCAGGTAGTAGAAGAGGCACAGCAGGGGACACACGGATCAAAGAAAAAAAAATCACCCATGGTTTATTGCTACAAGCAATCTGTTGCTGGGCAGGAAGCTAGGGCAGAGCTGAGTGACCTGTGACATATAAGAAATGTGCTTTTGGCCGGGCACAGTGGCTCATGCCTGTAATGCCAGCACTTTGGGAGGCCGAGGCGGGCGGATCACCTGAGGTCAGGAGTTCGAGACCAGCCTAGCCAACATGGTGAAACCCCATCTCTACTAAAAATACAAAAAAAAAAAAAAGAGAAAAAAAATTAGCTGGGCTTGGTGGTGCACGCCTGTAATCCCAGCTACTTGGGAGGCTGAGGCAGGAGAATTGCTTGAACCTGGGAGGTGGAGGTTACAGTGAGCCGAGATTGTGCCACTGCATTCCAGCCTAGGTGAGAGAGCAAGACTCTGTTTCAGGCGGGGTGGACAGGGAAGAAAGAAAGAAATGTGCTTTTTACTATTTTTTTTTAATGAAGGGAAACGTGTAGGGAGGAAGCTAACATTCATTAACCAAGGCCTACATCAGGCCAGGCACTATGATAGACACTTAAAGTCTATTATCTCATTTAGACTTTACAACACTGAGAAGCAGATATTGTAAAGGAAATTAAGGTTCAAATAAGCTGAACTAACATCCAAGATCACAGTCCATGTAGCCCAGATTATCATGGGTGGAATAACATTCATGGGGCTTATAAATAATCAAGACGTCTTAGGAATACAACTCGAGAAGTTCCATAGCCCAACCCTAACTCAGATACCAAAACACAGGAGGTAGACATTTTCACACAAAACATAGGAAGGACAAACTGTTCCTCCAGCTGTTGAATCAATTTAAAGTACCAATTATTTGAGAAAAGCATGGGCCAGAAAACCTTACTGCCTTCACCAAGGACCGATAAGATTCTGTGGAATACTTTCTCCTTCAAATTCAATTTTTAAATTAAAAACTGAAATATAATTCTCATATCATAAAACTCATCCTTTTAAAGTGTACAATTCAGTGGTTTTTAGCATATTCACAAAGCTGTGCAACCACTGCTGTTATCTAATTCCAAAATATTTTCATCACCCCAAAAAGAAATCTTAATCACATTAGTAATCATTTTCCATTCCCCCTTCCACCCACCTTCAAAAAGCCACAGTCTACATTCATCTCTATGGATTTTCCTATTCTACATCTTTCATATTAACTGGAATCTGCATTATGGCCTTTGGTGACTGGCTTCTTAAACTTACATAATGTTTCCAAGGGTCATCCATATTGTAGCATGTATCGGTACTCCACTCCTTTTTATGACTGAATATTATTTGGCTGTATGGATGTACTATGTTTCCTTTATTCTTTTGCAAGTAAATATCCGGTAGTCCCAGCACCATTTATTCAAAAGAGTATTCTTTCCCAACTGATTGCTTTTAATATCCTTGTAAATTATTAGTGAACCATAAATGTTTGTTTCTGGACTCTTTATTCTATTGATCTATATGTCTATCTTTATGTCAGCACCACACTATCTTGATTACTGTGGCTTTGTAGTAAGTTTTCTTTTGTTTTGTTTTGAGATGGAGTTTCACTCTTGTTGCCCAGGCTGGAGTGCAGCAGTGCGATCTCGGCTCACAGCAACCTCCACCTGCTGGGTTCAAGAGATTCTCCTGCCTCACCCTCCCAAGTAACTGAGATTACAGGCATGTGCCACTACACCCAGCTAATTTTGTATTTTTAGTAGACACGGGGTTTCACCATGTTGACCAGGCTGGTCTCGAACTCCTGACCTCAGGTAATCCACCCACCTCAGCCTCCCAAAGTGTTGGAATTACAGGCGTGAGCCACAACGCCCGGCCTGTAGTAAGTTTTGAAATTTAAAAATTTGCCTTTGACATTTTTTTCTATTCTGGTCCTTTCCATTTCTATGTGGATATTAGGATCATCTTACCAATTTGTGTGAAATGGCCAGCTGGAATTCTGATAGGGCTTGCATTGAATCTGTAGATCAACTTGATGAGTAATGCCATCTTAACAATATTAAGGCTTTCAATTCATGAACACAGCTTGTCTTTCTATTGATTTAGGGCTTCTTTAATTTCTTTCAATGATGTTTTGTAGTTTTCAGCATATAAGTCTTGCACATCTTTTGTTAAATTTATACCTAAGTATTTTAATCATTTTGATTAAATCAGATTGTTTTCTTAATGTTCACATTATTAATGTCAATAGACATACAATTTTATTCCAAAGTAGATAGAAATAAAATTTATTTTTATATACTGATCTTGTATCCTACACAATGTTGTTGAACTCCTTCATTAGTTCTGTGTGTGTGTGTATGTGTTTGTGTGTGTGTGTTCCTTAGGATTTTCTATATACAACATGAAGTCATCTGCAAATAGAGATAGATTTACTTCTTTCCAATTTTGGCTAATTATGCTAACTAGAACCTCCAGTGCAATGTTGAATCAAAGTGAAGAACGTAGACATCCTTATTTTGTTCTTTACCATAGAGGAAAAGATTTTAGTCTTTCCCTTATGTGTGATGTTAACTTCTAGTTTTGGTTACAGCTGCCATCAATCAGGTTGAAGAAGTTCCCTTGAATTCCTAGTTTGTTCCATATATTTATCAGAAAAGGGTATATACACAGGACAGAAACAACCTTTGAGTTTTGCCTTTCACTTCTAGGCCCTTCATCCGCCTGGAATTCAGCATTGTTTGTGATGTTACGTAGGAATCCAGCTTTATATTTCTCTATATAGAGATTCATTATTCCTATAATCACCTATGAATTTTTCCACTCCCCATTAATTTGGAGTGCGATTTTTATTTTATATTAAATTAATATGTGAGTTTGAACTTCAGCTATCTATTCTGTTTGACTAGCCTTCTGTTTGAGGACCAATATCCGACTGTTTTCACTCCACTGACTTTGTAATATGTGTGCTGCCTGGTAGAGAAAATCTCCCTTCTTTTGTCTTTTTTTTTTTAAGGTTAACTTAGCTATTTGTGCATATTAAGCTAAAAACCCAACTAAACTTTAATTTATAGATTAATTAGAGGAGAATTAACATCTGTATAATATTAACGAAATCCATTTGAAAAGAGGAAAGGTCTAGAATTTATTTATATTTTCTTCCATGTCCTTTACTAGATTTTAATGTTTTTCCCAATAGAGATCTTGTGTATTTCTTTTGAAAATAATTTCTGCATATTTTAGTTGTTATTGCTAATGTGAATGATATTGAAACGGGAAAAGTTCCCTTATCCCCTTCACAGGGCATGAGACTGGGCTGTGGCTCGCTTCTTCGGTGCCCCTCTGCTCAAACCTCTAGGGGGCGCATGCAGATGGGCAGGTTGTGGGGCATGTGGGCTTTAACCCCAAGGCAGCATCTAGGGGCAAATGCTTACAGCTCCTTAAGCCCCAGTGGGCGTGCGTTACAGTGTGCTCTTTTAGTTTTGTTGTCTATAGGCAGCTCGTGTTAATCAGCTAAATTAGACCCTCTGCCTTATCACAAGGAGAGAGGGCTTTCTGTATCCCGGGTTCTTGCCGTGGTGTACCGGAAAAATCAGATCATACATGGGATTGGAGAATGAGTGCAAGGTTTTACTGAATGATGGAAATAGCTCTCAGCAGATGGATGGGGAGCCAGAAGGAGGATGGAGTGGGAAGTTGGTTTTCCCCAGGAGTCAGGCCGCTCAGCCGCCGAGCTCTCCTGCCTCTCCTCTGACCGCCCTCGGCTGAACTCAGCGTCTTCCCGCCATAGATGACCTGCTGGCAACTGCTGGTGTCTGCCGGTGTCCTCCTGGTGTCTGCCGGTGTCCTCCTGGTGTCTGCCGGTGTCCTCCTGGTATCTGCTGGTGTCTGCGGCTGTGTTCTTCCGCCTGTGTGTTCCTCTCGATGTCCAACCACTTGTGTCTCTGCCCTCTAGGGTCTTGGGGTTTTTATAGGCAAAGGATGGGGGCATGGCGGGCCAGGGTGGTCTTGGAAAATGCAACATTTTGGCATGAAAACAGAAATGCCTGTCCTCACCTAGGTCCGTGGGCACAGGCCCAGGGGTGGAGCCCTAGCCAGGGACCGGGCCTTTCTCTTCCTAGCACTTGCCTGCCCCCCTCCCGTATCAATATTACTTATCACATTTACTGGTTACTTATTGCACGTATTAAAAATAATATTAACTTTGGCAAATTACTCGTGTCATTGCCAATCTGGTGAATTTCTTATTAGTCCTTATAAAGTTTACTGATGCTGCTGATTTTCCCAGTTATATAATTATATCATCTGCAAATAACACCATGCTGTTTTGTAATGTTTTTCAAATAGTAACCAATTTTAAATCTTTCCTTCCCATCTTTGTGCACTTATTTAATTTTCTTTCCTTTTCTATTTTTTTTTTTTTTCTTTAGAAGGAGTCTCACTCCCAGGCTGGAGTGCAGTGGCGCAATCTCGGCTCACTGCAACCTCTGCCTCCCGGGTTCAAGCAATTCTCCTGCCTCAGCCTCCCAAGTAGCTGGAACTACAGGCACCAGCCACCATGTCTGGCTAATTTTTTGTATTTTTAGTGGAGATGGGTTTTTGCCATGTTGGCCAGGCAGATCTCAAACTCCTGACCTCAGGTGATCTGCTCGCCTCGGCCTCCCAAAGTGTTGGGATTATCGGCATGAGCCACTGCGCCCGGCCAATTTTCATTCTAACAGTATTAGTGGGGCTCTCCAGTACTGGGTTAAACAATAGTAGACAAATGGGTATCTTTCTCTTGTTCTCCATCGTAAGATGAACATATTTAAAGTTTCTCCATTTAGTATAATGTTTGCTATAGGTTATCATATAAATATTATTTACTTAATTTTCCTGCAATTCTAATTTGATTACAATAAGCACATGTTTTTCTCCTTTACACTAGTAATGAAAGGATTTGAACCGACTCATTTCTAAGGTTAAAATTTTTGGGGACCACTTTTTCTGAGGGAGTGAAGGGGAGGGGAAGTATGAATTCCATTTCAATATCTTTAATATATATCCGTCTACTCAGTCTCCCTCTTTCCTTTTGCCAACTTTTGGCCATTTACATTTTTCTAGGAATTAACCTCATCTCTTTTTTTTCAAATGTGTTATAATTCTTTCGTCTTTTTAACAAATCTGTTGTGTCTGTAATATTTCATTTATTTTACTCTATATTCTCTACTGTGTTTGTTTGCATTTTCCTACCAGTCTACCTTGTTAATCCTTTCAATAACTAATTTTTGGCTTTGTTAATTACCTCTACCATTTTTTATTGTTATAGTTGTTTTTTAATTTATTTCACTTCTGCCCTTAAGTCTTATATGTCCAGCTGTTTTGTCACTTCGGGTAGGTTTTGTTGTTGTTATCAATTTTTTTAATTTAAATGCTCAATACATTTGTTTTTAATCTTTCTTATTTGTTGATCAATATATCTAAAGCAATGAACTTCCTTTCTACATAATGAACTGTGTCCCACAAATGTGGATATATACTGACTTCATTGTCATTTCATCATAAAATATATTTATTTTTTTAACCCAAAGAATATTTGCCATTTTGTTAGTTCCCAAATATGGAATGTTTTATCATTAATTTTTAATTTTATTTTCTTATGGTTAGAAAACATACTCTATGTGATATAGAATCTTTTGAATTTTTGAGGCTTCCTTTATAGCCTGATGCATAGTTTATATTTCTTAATGTTGTCTGTGTACCCAAAAGAACATGTATCCCTGTTTCTTGGATACAAAGTTCTGTGTATTCTATGTAAATAAAATAGCTCAAACTTATTGTATTGTTAAGATTTTGATATTGTCACTTATTTTTCCTGGGCAATTATTATCAGTTTCAGAAAGGCAAATGTTAAAAAGTTCCAATGAAATTGCTGTTCTATCTGCTTCAGTTCATGTTTCACGAAAATGTTTGCTATACCATTATTAATAATAGCAAAGTGGAACAAAGAAATAAAAACAAACTAAATTATAATTCATTTATGTAATGGAACATTATGAGTCATTACAAATTGTAAGAGAACATTTATTGACCTACAGGGGTATCCATGATATTAGTGAGTATTAAAAAAAGTTACAAAACAGAACGCTATATGATCACATTTATATAAAATTATACACAATTATGCATATATATTTGACAAAGGTCTAGTATGCAAAACATAAAATGAACTCTTAAAACTCAACAATAAGAGGCTGGGCACGGTGGCTCACACCTGTAATCCCAGGACTTTGGGAGGCTGAGGCAGTCAGATCACCTGAGGTCAGGAGTCCAAGACTAGCCCGGCCAACATGGTGAAACCCTGTCTCTATTAAAAATACAAAAAATTAGCTGGGTGTGGTGGTGAATGCCTGTAATCCCAGCTACCTGGGAGGCTGAGGCAGGAGAATCACCTGAACTTGGGAGGCGGAGGTTGCAGTGAGCCGAGATCGCGTCATTGCACTCCAGTCTGGGCAACAAGAGCAAAACTCCATCTCAAAAAAAGAAAAAACTCAACAATAAGAAAATAAATGAGCAAAACTTGAATAGACATATGGCCATATCACAAGATATAGAAATAGCCAACGAATACATGAAAAGATACTCAACATCATTAGTTATTGGAAATGCAAATCAAAATCACAATGAAATATGACTTCACAGTTATTAGGATATCTAAAATAAAAAATACAGAAAATAGCCTGTAATCCCAGAGCTTTGGGAGGCTAAAGCAGAAGGATCGCTTGAAGCCAGGAGTTTGAGACCAGCATGGTGAGACCCCCATCTCTACAAAAAAAAAAAAAAAAAAAAAAGCTGGATGCAGTAGCACATGCCTGTATTCCTAGCTAGTCAGGAAGCTGAGGCGGGAGGATCTCTTGAGCCCAGGAATGCAAGGCTGCAGTGAGCTATTATCATGCCACTGCACTCCAGCCTGGGTGACAGGCTGAGATCCTGTCTATAAAAAAATTAGAAATGAAAATTATATATGTGGAAAATAAGTGTTCTTGAGGATGTGAAGAAATTGGAACTCTTGTGAACTGCTGATGGGAAAGTAAAATGGTACAGGCACCCAGGTAAATATTTTGTCATGTTCTCAAAAATTTAAACACAGAATTACCATATAACCAGGCAATTTCCCTCCAAAGTATATACCCAAAATAATAGATAACAGGGACTCAAGCAGATACTTGGTGACCAATGTTCCCTGTAGTATTTACAATGGCCAAAAGGTGGAAAAAACCCAAATGTCTATCAATTGATAAATGGACAAAAAATATGTGGTATATACACTAGATGGAATATTATTAACCCATAAAAATGAAGGAACTTCTGATACATGCTACAACATGAATGAACCTGGAAAACATTATGCTAATTCAAATAGGTCAGACACAAAAAGAGAAATATAGTATGAATTCATTTATATGACATATCTAGAATAAGAAAATTCTTTTTTTTTTTAAGATGGAGTCTTACTGTGTTGCCCAGCCTGGAGTGCAGTGGTGCGATCTTGGCTCACTGCAACCTTTGCCTCCTGGGTTCAAGTGATTTTCCTGCCTCAGCCTCCCACGTAGCTAGGACTACAGGCATGTGCCACCACACCTGGCTAATTTTTGTATTTTTAGTGCAGACGGGGTTTTACCATGTTGGCTGAGGTCTCAAACTCCTGACCTCACATGATCTGCCCATCTCGGCCTCCCAAAGTGCTAGGATTACAGTCATGAGCCAGCAAGCTTGGCTAGAATAAGAAAATTCATAGAGAAGACAGAAAGTAAATTAGACTTTACCAGGGCTGGGGAAAATGGGGAGTCATTCCTTACCGGGTACAGAGTTTCTGCTTGGGGTGATAAAAGGGTTTTGGAAATATTTGATGGTGATGGTTGCATATCATTTTTAATACAATCAATATTTCTGAATTACACACTTAAAATGATTAAAATAGCCAATGTTGTTATATGTATTTTATTTATGTATTTATTTTGACCTGGAGTCTCGTTCTGTCACCCAGGCTGGAGTGCAGTGGCACGATCTCAGCTCACTGCAACCTCCACCTCCCAGGTTCAAGCAATTCTCTTGCCTCAGCCTCCTGAGTAGCTGGGATTACAGGCACCCACCATCACGCCCAGCTAATTTTTGTATTTTTGGTAGAGACAGGGTTTCACCATGTTGGCCAGGCAGGTCTCAAACTCCTGACCTCGAGTAATCCGCCCGTCTTGGCCTCCCAAAGTGCTGGGATTACAGGTGTGGGCCACCATGCCTGGCCTGTTATATATATTTTAGCTTAATAAAAGCCATGTAGGCTTAGGATCAGATAAACTCAAACTCAAATCTTGGTTCTATAAATAACAATAATTTTGTGACCTTTAAAAAATTAACCTTACTAAGCTTCAGATTTCTTAATCTCTAAAATAATCACAAAAATAACATCATATTTTACTGGGTTATGTGAAGACTGATGAAATATATGCATGTAATGTGCTTATCACTGTATCTGTCCAATAAACAAAAGCTATTATTATTATCAAAAACATATAAATTGATCATATCATTCCCCACAGTTAAAAACTTCCAGGACTCCACACTGTGCTTGGGATAAAATCCATAGTTGTTACTATGACCTACAAAATCCCCTATGATCTGGCCTGGGCCAGAACACTCTCTCATCAGTGTTCACTTCAGACACAATGGCCTTCTTTTAGTTCCTTAGACAAACCACTAAGCTTGTTCCTACCTCAGGACCTTTGTGCGCTTGCCATGACTAGAACACTCTTTCTCCAATTTTTCTCATGACTGGCTTCTTTTCAATGTTCAGGTCACACCTGAAGTGTCACATTTTCAGAGGCTGTCCATTATGACTCCTTCTAAAGTTGCCCTAGACCAACTCCACCCCCACAAGTAACATCGAATCACCGATTTTATTGTCTTCAAAGCATTTATTGCATTTGTTGCAATCTGAAATTATTTATCTAATTATTTGTTTAACATCTGCCTCCCACCCTCTGGCACACCACTAAAATGTAAGGTCTACATAAGCAGAGACTTCATCTGTCCTGTTCATTGTACAAGGAATGGTGTCAGGTACAGAGTGTGGCCAAATTAACATCTGTTTAGTGAATCAGTGAATGAACACATGAAGCAAATTTGCAACCTCAGTGCAGAACAAGCATGAATTCCTATCCAAATATGACTATAACATCAGAATACTGGATCAACTCCTTTTATTCTACATATTCTGAGTTAACTTTTTCAAGTAAAAACACATTTTTCCAATATAACTTTAATGTAATACTAGAAATAGTTACCACTTATTGAGTATTATTTGTAAGTTGTTATGTTAAGCACTTGATATGCATTACCTCTTTGAATCCTCATACAAGCCTGTGAATGTTACTATTCTTATCCCAATTTTACAGAAGAGGAATGAGCCTGAGCCTCAGAAAACGAACTGTTCCAAAGTTGCACAAGCTAATAGAAGTAAAAGAAATGGAGATTCAAACCCATAATTGACTCTAAAGCCCTTACTTCTAACCTCGACAATATACTAGGTTATATACTAGGAAAGGGCACTAAACCACGTTCAAATTCTGCATTTTCCATTTACTACTTACATTACCTTAAACAAAAATCTTAACCTTCTGACTCTCAATATTCCCAATGTAGAAGTAGATAACCTTGTGAAGAAACCACCATATATTTTATAAGGAAAGGCACTAAGGAAATGCTTTAAGGACACAGCACACCCCTAAATGAGATCCCACAGACACCAGGTATAAGACAGTACTAGTAGACTTAACTCAGTACCAAGTATAAACTCTTTAGCCTCGTATTCAAGGCCCTGCAGTCTCACGCCAATCTACTCTCCAGTTTCACCTCTTGCACTCCTTGTATGAAACATGTATATTCTAATCACACCAGATTACTATATGTTCCCCAAATATGCCACACTTTTTCATACTGTGCTTTTTGTTCATATGATTTCCTCTATATAAAACATACTTTCTCAAAGATTTCCTTATTTAAATAGTAAGGCATTTAGCAGACTCGTTTCTTCTTTCAAGAGTGGAGTCTACTTAATTTGCTCATATAGGTCTACCTTGGCTCTAGTTGCTGAGACCAAGTCTACAATGAGACAGGGTAGATTAAGAACTCCAGCCCCATACACTAGATTTACTGTCATGTCAATGTGGCTACCAGCCTGACTCTGACTTTGTGTCCCATTTGAAACATCAGGACTTCTATCTGGTTCAGAATTCCCAGTCTCTACCTTGCATACCACTTGAGTGCCAGATGAATTTTGTGTGAATCACACCCTCCATTGATAGTCATGCCCTCTATAACTGGATCATATTTGGTTATGGAAAATCTTTATTTATTATTTATTTATTTATGAATTTTTGAGTTGGAGTTTCACTCTTGTCACCCAGGCTGGAGTGCAATGGTGCAATCTCCGCTCACCACAACCTCTGCCTCCCAGGTTCAAGTTATTCTCCTGCCTCAGCCTCCCGAGTAGCTGGAATTACAGGTGCAATGCCACCAGGCCTGGCTAATTTTTGTCTTTTTAGTAGAGACGGGGTTTCACCATGTTGGCCAGGCTGGTCTCAAACTCCTGCCCTCAGGTGATCCACCCACCTCGGCCTCTCAAAGTACGGGAATTACAGGCGTGAGCCACTGTGCCTGGCCGGTTATGGACAACTTTGACACTTGCCATTATCCCCTTCCTACCACCACTGAACTAAGCACCTTGCTCCCTGCTAAAAAACCATCCTGAGGTACCATACCTCCGTTTTAAAATAATGTCAACTCTTGAGTTCCTATTGCTACAATGTGTTGACTATCATCATTTAGCCAAAACTGTTATGCTGTAGTCCTTCCAGGCCTTGACAGTAAGAATGGGGCTCTGTTTTTAATGCAAGAGGGATTTAAGTGTGTTGCTATATGGAGGGAGAAAAAATAAGAAAATACAAGGAGTGGGATAAAAAACCCAAATGAAGAGATCATCTATGGGCAGGAGAAGGGCCAGGATGTTTTCTGGGATGAGAGATAAAAAGGCAAAGATAGGTGAGGATAAAGAGGAGTTTTGCAGAAGGCTAGAAAATGAGTGGGTCGATGGTTGCCCAGTGGCACAGAGGAGACAAGAAACCATGGTCTTGTGGTTAGAATAGTTAGTTTACATAACTTGTAGCTCCATAAAGTCAAGGACGGTATCTTATTCAACTCCATCCCTAGGGCCTAGCATTGAAATAGGCGAAAATGGGTGCTCAAGATACACTTGCTAAATTAAAATATAATGTAATACAGGAAATCAAACATGAGTATAAAGAGAAGAGAATCTGTTATTTTCTGAGTAGCTCTAATATACTATGCATAGTCTAGATATTTGACCCCCATTTAATGATCAAAGTTGCTGTATAATAAACTTTAGTAGTACTGTTTTACAAATGAAGAAACTAAACCTCAGGAAGATTAAATATCTTACCCAATGCAAAAAACCAGTAAGAGGTGGGTTAAACTATCTAAAATTTACTACATTCCCCTGCTGCAAAGCGTTCCATATCAACTACAGGACTAAGTATACTCACCTTGAGAGGATATACATGATCCCTCATGAGATGGCAACGCGTACTTTGAAAACTTTCTTTGTACAAGCTGAGCCCTCCACTTAGCATCCTTGTACCTCACACTCCACTTCACTGGCTAATTTCAAATCGTCCTTCAAGATTCCATACAAGAAGATGTATCATCTTCTCAGTGGTGTCTTCTCTAAGTCTTCCTCAATATCCCCATATCCTATCTTTGTTTGCAGTCCTTCCTGTACTCTCTCTGTGTACACGATCATATTATAACCCCGACCTCACATACTGTCCTTGTAAATTTGTCTGTCTCCAAAGTATTTAAGGCCGTAGGCAAATTTTCTCTTTACTATAGTTTTGCTTGTCAGGCATAAATTTAATATTCCATCACATAGATTTCTTATCTGTGCTAGCTATAAATATAGTAACTAAGCTTGTAACAGGCATAGACTTAGTTCTGAGGGGAATCTACAGAGGACAGGCCATTACAACTGGCTTTCAACACCCTTATAGTCCACCAAGGACAAGAGATGCATCCCAAAAGCCCAATATTCCTTTCAGTTGTAAAAAGAAATGTTGACATTAAGTTATGTGCTAGCCATGTCCTTCCCAGAGTTACAGTAAATCAAGAATAAATTGCCAGGTGGAGCGCAGTGGCTCATGCCTGTAATATCAGCACTTTGGGAGGCCAAGGCGGGAGGATTGCTTGAGCCCAGGAGTTTGAGACCAGCCTGGGTAACATGGCAAAACCCAGTCTCTACAAAAAAAAAAAAAAACACACAAAAATTAGCTGGGCATGGTGGGGTGTGCCTGTATTTCCAGCTACTCTGAAGGCTGAGGTGGGAGGTTGCAATGAGCTGAGATCACGCTACTGCACTCCACTCATCTCAAAATTTTAAAAGAATAAATTGCCAATTATTGTGGAAAGATGCAGAGCAAGATGTCGAAATAGAAGGCTCCACCGATTGTCCCCCTCCACTGCAGTGACACCAAGTTAACAACTATCTACACAGAAAAAAATACCTTCATCAGAACCAAAAATCATGTAAGCACTCATAGTACAAAGTACCTGGTTGTAACTTCATATCGCCGAAAGGACACTGAGGAGATAGATAAAACAGTCCAGAATTGCAGACACCACCACCCTGCCAACTCCTGGCAGCAGCAGCATGTTTCAGAGAACATCTCTGGCTGCTGGAGGAGGGAGAACACAGCAATTGTGATGCATTGAACTCAGTGCTTTCCTATTGAAGCAGAAAAGAAAACTGGACCAAAAATGGGCAAAAGATTTGAATAGACATTTCTCAAAAAAAAAAAGACATACAAATGGCAAACGGGCATATGAAAAGATGCTCAACATCATTGATCAAAGCAATGCAAATCAAAACTATAATGAGATATCATCTCACCCAGTTAAAATGGCTTATATCCAAAAGACAGGCAATAACAAATGCTAGGGAGGATGTGGAGAAAAGGGAACTGAGGTACACTGTTGGTGGGCATGTAAATTAGTACAACCACTATGGAGAACAGTTTGGAGGTTCCTTACAAAACTAAAAATTGAACTACTATAAGATCCAGCAATCCCACTGCTGGGTACATACCCCAAAGAAAGGAAATCAGTGTATCAAAGAGATATCTGTACTCCAATGTTTGTTGCAGCACTGTTTACAATAGCTAAGATTTGGAAGCAACCTAAATGTCCATCAACAGATGAATGGATAAAGAAAATGTAGTATGTGTACACAGTGGAGTAATTATTCAGCCATAAAAAAGAATGAGATCTAGTCACTTGCAACAACATGGATAGAACTGGAGATCATTATATTAAGTGAAATAAGCTAGGCACAGAAAGACAAACATCACATGTTCTCACTTATTTGTGGGATCTAAAAATCAAAACAATTGAACTCATGGACATAGGGTATAGAAAGATGCTTACCAGAGGCTGGGAAAGGTAGTGGAGGGATGATGGGGAGGTGGGGATGGTAAATGAGTATAAAAAATTAGAACGAATGAATAAGACCTACTATCGGATAGCAATACAGAGTGAATATAGTCAATAATAACTTAATTATACATTTTAAAATAAAGAGTATAATTGGACTGTTTGTAACACAAAGGATAAATGCTTGAGGTGATGAATACCCCATTTACCCTGATGTGATTATTATGCATTGCATGCCTGTATCAAAACATCTCATGTACTCCATAAATGTATATACCTACTATGTACCCCAAAAAATTAAAAATAAAAAAATGGCCTATGGAGATTGCTGTGTTTTATATCTGCCTTTTGAGAACTTATTTTATTCTTTTAGTTTAATGTAATGAAATGGATACTGATGCAAGAGCAACTGCCCAACCAAAAGTCTAAGGGTAATGAGCTTTGCACCATTCCTTGAGAATCTCCTATAGATGAGCAGCTGGCTGGGCCCAATTCAGGATGACACAAAATGCCTCGAGAACACCATGTCCAGGCAGCCAGAGCCAATAAGCATCTGTCCTAGCCAGAGGAAGTTAGCACAAATTGCCAAAGTTTTAAAACATTGGCTCTGGATCAGCAAATCTCCCCTCTGTGTACTGAGAAGCCTTCTTCTCTGATCAAATAAAGTTGGAATCACTTGGGCTGGCAAGACCAGCTGTGGAGCTGACAGCTGTTGTCCCTCGCCTCTTCCCACTTGGAAGGAGATGTGAGCTTATATAACCTCCTCCACCCACTTGCACCAGTCCCCGAGGATCCCAGCATGCGGAACAGGCAGGGCTGTGAGCTCTGAGTGAATACTGTATCACTCTTTGTATAGGAGGAGAACGCTTCTTGTCAGCAGGACATGGTACTTTGGCATGTAACAAACTAAGGCCTTTCTTCACAAGGGCACTCCAGCAAAGGTTTCCTAAATTCTTGCTGGGGTGTCAAGAGAAAAAATAACGAGCATAATGAATGAGAACTCTAAAAACTATAATGTCAGATTCACCTTCAACACTATATACAAAATTCAGATTCATGACTATTTTTAAGGTAAGGATAAATGTGGAAAAAGGAGATGGCACAGTTCAGCAACTTCTCAGACAGCCAAGATACATGGGGTCACTGGCTCTTAATCTCCGCCCCAAGGGAAATTGCCTCATTGCTCTTTTCCTATGTTAGACAGAAATGGCAAGGCCAAATTGTCTTACAGACTGCTAAGGAATCAGTCATACAGATAAATCAATCAAGCCAAGGATTATAAACCTTGTAAGAGTTCATAAACTATAAGTTAAAAGGAAGACTTATAAAGTCATCTTTAAAATGTATAGAAGTATTTCACGGAAATAGAACTAATGTTTCAATGCCAAGCATGGTTTTATGCACTATCTCATTGAATCCTCACAATAACCCTGTGAGGCTGATATAATTATTGTTCACATTTTAGAGTTGAAAACAAGGCTCAGAGGAGTGAAGTACTTCACTCCATGTCACAGAACTAGTAAGTAGCAGAGTTGGCCTGCTCAGTTCTGATGCCTATGTGCCACGTGGCTAAAGGCGTGGACTCTGGAATCACATAACCTGGGTTCAAGTACCAGCTCTGCTCCTTTCTAGTGCTTGACTGTGCCAAAGTTATGTCACCTCCCTGTGCCTTAGGTTTTTGTTGCTGTTGTTCCTTGTTCGTGTTTGGTATTTGCGTTTATTTTAATCTGTAAAACAGAAATAAGTAAGACTCCCTGTCTCATAGTTTTGAGGATTAAATGAATTAGTACCTGTAGACTTCTTAGAAGAATATCTGGCACTATATGAGCATGATATGAATGTCTGACAAATAAACACATATAAATATGTTATAATAGCATAAAGACAGAAGAGGCCATGAGTCATATCTAGCCCACTGTGCTTCTTTCAGGAATAACTCCACTTAACACATCACATAGCAACAGATGCCTCTCTAAAAGATCTTTGGGGACAGCAATGTTACCAGTTTCCCTAACAATATATAACATTTAAGTACAGTTACATGCAAAAAGCACTTACTCTGCCTGAACTTCAGTTCTTCCTATTATGATTTTGGCCTACTTCTCCTTGTTCAGGGCTTTGAAGAAATGGAAAACAGATAAGCATGGTAATGTGGAAAGAAGAATTGTAGTAAAACAGCTTTAATTTCATGAGAAAAGGAGGAGAGCTGAAACCTCTCCCAACACCCCTCCTCAAATGTTTTTTTTTTTTTTTTTTTTTTTTGGAAACGGAGTCTCACTCTGTTGCCAGGCTGGAGTACAATGGCGCAATCTCGGCTCACTGCAATCTCCACCTCCCAGGTTCAAGCGATTCTCCTACCTAGCCTCCCGAGTAGCTGGGATTACAGGCACGCACCACCACACCCAGTTAATTTTTGTATTTTTAGTAGAGACGGGATTTCACCATGTTGGCCAAGATGGTCTCGATCTCCTGACCTCGTGATCCACCTGCCTTGGCCTCCCAAAGTGCTGCGATTACAGGCGAGAGCCACCGCACCTGGCCCCTCCTCAAATATTAACTATTCTTCTAAAGCAATGAAGATTGAGGAATGGAAAAAGAACTCAAAGTTCCAGTCTTTACTGATTCAACCTAGCTGTTTGAACATAGACTAATCATTGCATTCATTTACTCTACATCCTTATCTAGGTAAGTGAAAATATAAGATGAAGACATCACATGGACCCTTAATGCTCAAATATCAAGGAAAATGACTTGTTCAAGGTCATACTAAAAAAGTGTCACAGTTAGGACTCAAAACCAGATCTCCTAACCATAAGGATCTTCCCACTACACCTCTCACTCTCCATCAGAGTATCTTTTCTAGCTCTCATCTTCTGACTTCCTACTGCCACTACTTTTCAGCCAAGGCATGGCAGATTGAATTATTGTTCCCAAATTTCCCCCCACCTCTCTGTATCCATGTACTCTGCCATGTGACCTTGCAGTTCTGCTAAAGGAAGAATGTATTTCACCTCCTTACTGATGTTGGGCTTGGCCATATGATTTGTTTTGGCCAACTGAATTTGTAAGGAAGCAATGGTAGGCTGGCTTTGAGCCTAGCTTTGAAAGACCTCACGTGTCTCTGCTTACCCACCATGCACTTCTGCCACCATCCTGAGAATAATCTGCCTCAGGTGACCCTCTGATCCCTGAAAAATTGAGACACATACAGCAGACCTAAATGGAACTTGTGGCCTGAGCCAAGCCCCATCGAACCTAATTGAAAAAAAACAAAGCTACCTCAGCCAACCCATAGATGTGTGAGCCAGAAATAAATGCTTATTGCTTTATGCCACTGAATTTTGGGATGCTTTGTTATGTTATTCTTATGATATCTAACCAATATGCAAGGTTTTCTGGGGTTCTCAGAAAAGTATTTCCTGGCAATAATACTGTCTTAAAGAACTAAAAATCTGAGCCCAAATTAAATCGCCATACATATCATCAGGCAACATCATCTACCAACAATTTCCCATTTTCCAATGAGAGGGTTTACCCATGAACTCAAACACCAGCTTGTTTAAAGTTCTTATTTTCCTGCCTCAGTTTCCTCACAAAATAAATGTTACAGTAGGGACTGCATCATAGAGTTGTCGAAAGGCTCAAAAGAGATTGCATGATAAATATTTAATACATATTGAGTGTTTCATAAGAATAGCAATGATGATGATGAATTGGCATCTTCCTTGATACAATCAAGGAGAGGAAAGTAAATGCTTTGAAAACAATATAACAATTTCCTTTTAACTATTGAATTCTGGTTGGGGTGCAGGGCTTTTCCCCCCTTACTTGCCTACTAATGCCAGCCACTTCCTAATTGTCAACGGAAGTGAGAAGCAGCTTTATCTCACACACACAGAGGCTACATAAGTAAATAAGAAAAAAAATCCTCTGGACATGCATATCCTACTGTGAGCAGAAGCCAGTTTCCTGGGGAGTTTTTTTTTAGAGGAAGTCTGGCTTTGGAAGATGGACCTCCTCGAAGATTGCTGTGCCTGGTGAGACTGACAACATAGTGCCAGTTGAAAGACAAATTTTTAAACACCCACTTTGGTTAAAAAACAAGCAAGTAAAAAAAAAAGTTATATTAACTAAGTTGTCTGGATAAATATTGGCTTAGTAGTTTATTAAAATAAAAATACACCCCTTGATTTTCAAAACAGAAATCTGGAGACTCAGCTAGGCTCTAGTCTTGGCTTGTATTAATCATAGAACTTTATAAGTAAAATAAACCATATAGTTCATTATCCTCATTTTTTTTCAGATAAGGAAACTGTGATGCAAAAAGGTGCATCTGATTCTTTCTGAAGAGAAATGGCTAAAGCAGGAATGGGTTAAATGAGGGCCAAGACATTGGGTCTACAAGGTTATCTCAGCATAATTTGAACAAAAATAAAACTCATACAGCTCTGCCCAAAATATTATATTTATGGAATATCTCTGAAGAACTGGTGATTACATCTGACTAGGAATCAGGCGACCTGGGTTCTGATCCCATCTCCCCTGCTAACCATCTATGCTCCTGGGTCAGTCACTTAACCTTCTAAGCCTCAGTTCCCCCAACTGTAAAGTGAGGTGGGACTAATAACTTTGAAGGTCTCTTCTGCTGCTAAATGTAAGCTACAATATAAATGGATAGTAATAAGTCAATTTCAGTTAAATTTTTTAAAATTTTTAAACCACAATATGCTTACATCATATAGGCAGAAATCACTGCCAAATATGTTCTTAAAGTGCCTGTAGAAGCTAAAGCAACTCCATCTTGGATGCAAATCTACTATATTGACTTCTGATTAACCTCTGTTCTGGAAATGCCTCTAAGATTTCTACTTTATCTACTGTTATCAGTCTTGCCCGTAGATCAGAATAACTTTGACCATAGATCCTGCCCTTAGAAAGATTCACACAGCATTCTTGCCTTTGCCGGGCAGGTCAACTTCAATTGTCCTACACATTCCGTCCCTGTGGTATGTACGCCCTGCGTCTAGGGGGTAACGGCACAGGGATCCACCATCTTGTCTCACTGCTGCCCAAGACTATGGCTTCTATTTGTAAACATCTATTACATGTTTCTCTCTCAGAAACTGGATATGTCAGCTTCTTTCTTAAGCCTCTCAGCTTTCTTAGACTTCAGGGGTAGGTGTGCATAGACCTGCTCACTGTGGAACAGTGCTTAAGACCTGCTGGAGGAACAAAAGTGGTACAAGCAGCATGAAGGTAGCAAAAGAATATGAGTATTATTCCTTGCTCTGCCACTAGCTTCCCGTAGGACCTAGGAGGTGTCACATTCCCTCTCTGGGTCTTTGAGGCAATCTCTCTTTGGAAAACAAGATATGGTGAAAGTGCCTCTGTGATTATTATATTAAAGTACTATAGATAGATAACCAGTATTTTTCTCTTTCCTGCCCTTTGAATATATTCCAGAGGCTCCTGGTTAGAGTCCAGCATCTCTATTCTCAAAAGGCCATTATGACAGTCACTGTTCATTGCCAATTCAATAGCCATCCTCTTTCTTCCTATTTCTTCAGATATCAGGCAGGCAAGCAACGTTCTCCAAAAAAAAGTGAGCCCCCCTCCCAGGCCAAAGGGGAATTTTAGTACTCCTATGTCTTTTTCCTAAATATTGTCCTAGGAGTGGGCCCACAACTCCGCTATTGCCAATGAGTTATTAGGGAAAGTCAGGTGGCAACTTTGGTAAGACATTTTTCTCTTGGATAAAAGACAAACTATGCCATGTGAAAAGAGCCCTTTATGGCTGGGCATGGTGGCTCATACCTGTAATCCCAGCAATTTGGGAAGCCTCGGCTTCCCAAACACCTGAGGTCAGGAGTTCACAACCAGCCTGGGCAACATGGTGAAACCCCGTCTCTGCCAAAAAATCCAAAAATTAGCCAGGCGTGGTGGCATGTGCCTGCAATCTCAACTACCTGGGCGGGGCTGAGGCATGAGAATTGCTTGAGCCTGGAAGGCAGAGGTTGCAGTAAGCCAAGACTGCACCACTCCAGACTGGGAGGCAGATCGAGAATCTGCCTCAAGAAAAAAAAAAAAAAAAAAAAGAGCTCCCCCACTTCCTTTCTGCTTGGGATGCTAACATGTGAGTATGTAATATGTTGAGCTGTGACAGCCATCTTATGACCCTGAGGTGAAGTCTAAGAGAACCACGGAGAAAAGACCTGGAGGACACTGACTGAAACTTCTAACTGCCTGCCTCAAGAGTTCTTAAGTCACTTACCCATACATATATATGATACAGTTAAATTTATAAATTAGCGACAGTAAGAGATGAGCAACAATAACTACTAAAATAGCACAACAAAAATTATAACAATATACTGAAATAAAAGTTATGTGAATACGGAAAAGGAAAGTAATTAAATCAACAACAAAAGTTCTCATAGTGTTTGATGATTAACTTTATGTGTCATTGTGGCCATGCCACGGTACCTAAACATTTGCTCAAACACTAGTCTAGATATTTACTTAGAAATAGTTTTTAGATGAGATTAACATTTAAACCAGTAGTCTTGCGGATATGTGGGCCTCATCTAATCAGTCAAAGGCCTCAGGAGTAAAAAGACTGAGGAAGACGACTGAGGAAGAGGAAGAGGGAATGCCTTTGGATTTGAGATGCAACATCAACTCTTCCCTGAGTCTCCATCTTGCCAGCCTGCCCTACAGATTTTGAACTTGCCAGCCCGTACAATCATATAAGAGAATTCCTTAAACTAAACCCCGCTCTACATACACACACACACACAAACACACACACACACACACACACACCCCTTGTTCTGTCTCTTTGAAGAACCCTAAGACATGGTATAATGATTTTTGACTAAAAATATACAAAAAGCCTAACTGACTCATTCAATCACTTTGTTCCTAGGCATTTATTATTCCTCCCAAATATCCTAGGACAGAAAGTCATTACTGAAGTGGCTGTGTTGTCTGGGGTTTGTCATCTCTTGCCAGGAAAATTTAGGAAACGGACACATACGAGGAGCTTAGGAGCAGAGGTTTAACAGGCAGAAGAGAGGAGAAAGAGAAACAGCTCTCTCTACAGAGAGAGGGGGGTCTCCAAAAGGAAAGGACCTGCTCACTGCGAATGCACCAGATTTTATGGTCCAGCTTGAGGAGGTAGTGTCTGATTTAGGTAGGGCTCACAGATTGGTTTGATCAGGAGCAAGGGGAAGGCTGGTCTCACCGCCCTAATCTTATTCCACAAATGAATTCTCCTTGGCGGGCACTATCTTGTCTGCTTCTTACTGTACACATGGCTGGCAGAGAAAGGATGATGGAGGAGCCATCTTGAACATATCTAGTCTCTAGTTCCTGCCAGCATTCACTCATGCAAGCTCTCAGCTTGCTTGTCTATGTCTGCAGCTCGACTTTACAGGCTGCGCATTGTTAGAAAATGATTTGAGGCTGCTTTTCATTAAAAAGAAAAGTCTTACCAAGGACTCCTATACCCTTACTATCTGCCTAAGTGATTTCTTCTTAACTCCTATATCATTACCAAAGTCCCTGGAATCTTAATATACAGGCACACCTCATTTTTATTATGCTTTGCTTTATTATGCTTCACAGTTACTGAATTTTTTACAAATTGAAGGTTTGTGTCAACCTGGCATGGATCAAGTGTACCAGCATCATTTTTCCAACAGCATGTGCTGACTTCATGTCTCTGTGTCAGCATCATTTTTTTAGCAATAAAGTTTGTTTTTTAATTTTACATATACATTTTGTTTTTAGACATAATGCTATTGAGGGCCAGGCACAGTGGCTCACATCTGTAATCCCAGCACTTTGGGAGGCCGAGGTGGGTGGATCACTTGAGGTCAGCAGTTTGAGACCAGCCTGGCCAACATGGTGAAACCCCGTCTCTACTAAAATTACAAAAATTAGCTGGGTGTGGTGGCACACTCCTGTAATCCCAGCTACTCGGGAGGCTGAGTCAGGAGAACTGCTTGAACCCGGGAGGCGGAGGTTGCAGTGAGCTGAGACTGCACTATGGCACTCCAGCCTGGGTGACAGAGCGAGACTCCATCTCAAAAAAAATTAAAAAAAAAAAAAGACAAAAAAAAAGACATAATGCTATTGAACCTTTAATAGACTACAGTACGGTGTAAATGTAACTCTTTTATGCACTTGGAAAGCAAAATTTTTGTGACTCATTTTATTGCACTATTCACTTCATTACAATGGTCTGGAACTGAACACACAATATCTGCAAGGTATGCATTTATTAGAGCTTCCAGAAACCCATTTGCTAATGCAAATTAACAGTTAAGAATATGGAATTACTGTTAGAAGGCATTCAATTTTAAGCTTTTCTGGCATATGGCTGAAGCCAAGTAGCAAGAACAAAATTATACCACCCTGTTCAGGATAAAGAGAATGGACTTTGGAATTGGAGAGACCAGAAAGACCTGTATTTAAATCCTGGCTCTGCCATTTTGTAGCCTGTGTGACCTTGAACAAGTAGGTCATCCTCTCTGAGCTCTGGTTTCCTGTTCTGTAAAATGGGGGATAAAATCTTCACAGGGTACTGTAAAAATTAGATGGCAGTATAGACCCCAATGCATAGCAGGTACTGAAAAAAAAATATTAGCTCCCTTACCTTCCTCTACCAACAAAATATTTATTAGACCTACACAGCTACCAATAGCCACAGGTGGCTACATTACCTTAAATTAACTAAAATCAACTAAAATTTAAAATACAGTTTTTCAGTTACACTAGTAACCTTTCAAGTATGTAGTAGCTACACGTTGCTAGAAGCTATTGTAGTGGAAAACTCAGATATAGAACATTTGACATTTCCTCCAAAAACAGGGAATCCCCAAATTACAATCCAATTTAGGGAGATACATGCTCTTGATTTCCTGTATCTCCTGTCAACTCCAGACATGACTTTGAAGCCAGCTAATATTAGGAACCGAGTTACAAGCTCACAAAAGGAAACCTCATTTCAGCGAGATCACCCTTGTAATTACAAAAATGCTCTCAAATAGTTCAAGTAGAAAGGGCACCGGGATAGGGAGAAGGGGCAGATAACAGTTTCACTTTGGTTATAGACGGGAAGAGAAAACTAGTGTCTCTCCGCTCTTTGATGCAATTCCCTTCTACTCTAGTGAAGGATGGCAAGGGAGATGGAAAAAATATGACCTCATCCTGGGTCATGGTCCATTCTATGTCACTGACAACAAGATAATATTCCCTTTCCACCCTCTACTCTTCAGGCTAAATGTGGCCATTATTCTTTTATTTATTTATTTTTTTATTTATTTAAGTTTTAGGGTACATGTGTACAACGTGCAGGTTAGTTCCATATGTATACATGTGCCATGTTGGTGTGCTGCACCCATTAACTCGTCATTTAACATTAGGTATATCTCCTAATGCTACCCCTCCCCCCTCCCCCCTCCTCCAACCCCCCACCCCACAACAGGCCCCTGTGTGTGATGTTCCCCTTCCTGTGTCCGTGTGTTCTCATTGTTCAATTCCCACCTATGAGTCAGAACACGCAGTGTTTGGTTTTTTGTCCTTGCGATAGTTTGCTGAGAATGATGGTTTCCAGCTTCATCCGTGTCCCTACAAAGGACATGAACTCATCATTTTTTATGGCTGCATAGTATTCCATGGTGTATATGTGCCACATTATTTTTCAGACATAGATTACCTTGTAAGAGGGTAATAACATTACCACATCAGCTGTGTGGGTACATTCCCAGATTGCTTGAGCAAAGGGGTTTACTCTATGCCAGATACTTTACATATGTGGTTGGTATTAAGTAGAGCTGCTCTGTGTCTGTACAGCAAATTTCTCTTCCACCAGTGACTGCTTCCTTCTCTATATACAGATTAGAGACACAATACACACTTGCTGAATCAAATTCTCTTGCATCTTTCTGAACTAACTCATTTTCCTTGGATATGCAGCAAATAAAACACTTTTATACTGCTAGTGATGAGTGATGATATAAATTGACACAACCATTTTGTAGACCAATTTGGCAACACATCTAGTAAAAATGCATAGATTCTACAACATAGAAATTCTATTTCTAAGTATATACCCAGGAGAAGAGTTGAAATATGCACAAGGAGACATGTAAATCACTGTCACAGGAGTATTGTTTGCACTCACATAAAAAATGGAAGCAAATGACTCATCCATCAATAAGAGAATGAGCCTGGCACAATGCCTCACAATCCAAACACTTTGGGAGGCCAAGGCTGGAGGATCACTTGAGACCAGGAGTTCGAGACCAGTCTGGGCAATACAGGGAGACCTCATCTCAACAAAAATATTAAAAATTTGTGAGGTTTGGTGGTACATGCCTATAGTTTCAGCTACTCGGGTGGCTGCAATGGGAAGATTGCTTGAGCCTGGGAGTTTAAGGCTATAGTGAGCTGTGATTGTGCCACTGTACTCCACCCTGGGCAACAAAGCAAAGCCTTGTCTCAAAAAAAAGATAATTGTTTAAGAAATCATGAGAAAAAAAGCAATATATAAAAGAGCACCTGCAGATCATTCCTTTTTTATAAATATGAAAATCAGTAGTAGCAAACATTTGTATGTTATGTACTATATGTACCAAACTATTCTGAGCATTTTACACATAATAAGGCATTTTATCCCCACAACTCTATGTGGTAAGTACTATAATTTATCCCATATTATAGATAATGAAACTAAGGCAAAAAGAAGTTAAGTGACTTGCCTACACTCACCAGCTACTAAGTTGAAGAGCCAAGATGCAAACCCAGGTAGTCTGGCTCCAGAGTCCACTGTCTTAACCAGTATATTATGTAAAACAATACTATATACTGCTTAGGGAAATTCACCTATGAGATAAAAGGGAAGGAAAGTCATCATAGAGGAAGAAGGTCCATATATGAGGATAATCAGGAGGATAAACCCATAAAGCCATTGTCTCCATGTATGAAGAAACACGGATTGCTGGTGGAAGGTGCTACAAAGGAGATATTAAGGTTTTCTAATGTTCTTTTCCATTTTTTGAAATTATAACATATACTCTGAAAAATACACTATACAAATGTCAAAAAATTTTCACAAACTGAACACACCCATGTCATCAGCACCCAAGGTCAAAACAACAAAATATTACCTGAACCCTTGAAAGCCCCTTTGTGATTCTTTTTTTTTTTTCAGTAACACCCCGACTCTTGGAGGTAACCACTAACCTGGCTTCTAACATCATCACTTAGTTTTACCTGTTTTTGCACTTTATAGAAATGGACTCATATAGCAGGTAATCTTTCGTGACTGTTTTTTTTTAACTCAACCTTGTATTTCTCAGATTCATCTATGTTACGGTGAACAACAGCTCTAGTTCATTTGTTCTCATTGCTATAGAATAATGACAATTTGCCACAATGTATATATCCATTGAACTGGTGACAGGCATTATTAATCTTTTTTTTAATCTTCTGATACGAGCCCCACAAAGCAGGGTTCAGAGTGCAGGGTAGTAGAAAGAGCACAGTCCCTGGAGTAACAAAAATCTGTTTTAAACTAGCTTCTGTTAATAACTATGTGTCCTTCTACAAGTTATTTGGCCATTATGGGTCTTGACTTCCACATCTGTAGGATACAAATAATAATAATTGAAAGGACATAAACCAAGTACCTAGTACATGGTAGTTATTATTGTAAGGCTTATAAAATGTTTGCTACAGACTTGGAAATCACTTACGGATTACTGTCACATAGCTTAATTCTTTAGCACCTTGGCCACTTGATCTTCCCTGCTAATGCACTCTGGTAGCCATTGAAACCCAAACATGGAAATTCAAATTATTTGGATCTATCAATGGGTGGTTTGCTGATGTTTCCTTCCCCTCTTTCCCAGAGCAAGCACTGGCCTTTGGAATGCAGACCAACACTAACACCTTTGTCTTCATCTACACTGTCAGGTTTGTGCCATCTTTGATACGTTTTCAGTCTCATCTACCTCCAGAACAGGTCCTTTTCTTAAAGTTCTTTCTGTGATAACTGTACATGGATGAGAAACATCATTAAGACTGACAATCCCATGTCCTGTCATCAATGCCCTCTTGCCTGCCATCTCTTGGGTGAGAACACACTATATCATAGCTTCCACACTAGCTCCCACTCTCCATGAAGTGGGTTAAATGCAGACTCAGATGTCTTAGTCAGACAATTTGGCCCTGGTCCCACCAGAAACCACAAAAAAGCTCAATTCAGTGGCTGTTCCTCTCTGGCAAGGGCACCCTTGAAAAAGAACTGAAAACATCATACTGTGGGCAACTCTGACAAGACCCAAAAAATATGAATCAAAGGGTACAAATACCCTCCCTGTCATAAGGCTAGAGGGGATGACTGAGTCTTTATTCTGCCATCCCTACTGGACAGTCTAGCATTCTACACTGCGGGATGAAAGACCCATTATAAACAGAGCTGGACTAAGACTTGCTTGTCCTCCCTTAATCTTGGGTCAGAGAAGTCGGTGGGGGGAGGCGGGGAAGTTGCATGATTATAGGAAGGCGAATAGTGGTGAGAACAGTTCTGCAAATCAAGTGATAAAGTGTACACATGGGGAAGGATGCACAAACTTTGCATGTGTTGGGAATTTTGAGAGGTGGGAGGGATAGGAGTGAACCAAAAAGAAATCTAGAGTGTGGCTGCTCAAAGAACTTTAAACATAGTAGAGAAGAAATTAGGAAAAAGGGGCAAAGAAAGGAATCATCCTTCATCTATCGTTGGCTCCAGAAATTAACTCTTACATTAACCCAATATAAGATATGTCAAAATTCATGGACTCGCAGCCAAAGAACTTGGGTTCAAATCCTGGATTGTCCACTTCTTTTTGCCACTGTCAAATAAGTCTATTAATAATATCAATAAGATTACATTAAGGTTCCAGACTAGAATAGTAATGTTATAACCCCTAAAATGAAAAATGAAGGTGTGGTTGATGGGAGTTGAGGGCTAAAAGGGTTAAGCAAGACAGAAGTGCTAATATCTTCATCTTACAAAGCTAGAGTCAAAAGTTGATGAAATAAGAAATAAGAGTTTAAGTATATTATTTAAAATAACAGAAGTAAGCAGTACAAGAAGTAAAATGGTCTTATAATTATCAAAGAGTGGAAGAAGAGGGAAAGTAAGGGGGAAGTGTGAGCAATGATCTCCTGTATTCTCAGCATGGAGAAATAATTTTTAAACTAAAATAAAACATAGCAATATAAGCATTTTAAAATATAAAAATAACTAAGAATGAAACATAAATGGTTAACAGTGGATACCTCTGAGTAGTGGATAAACATGAGAAGACTTTTGATTTTCTTTGTGGACTCTGTATTACTATTTTATTTTTAAAAATATGTCTATGCATATATCTGTTATAAAATTTTAATTTTTAAAATGGAAAAGTTAGCATTAATTATTTTCTCAAAAAGTAAGGATTGTGAAATAGGGTTAGTCTGATGAAACTGCAGATCACACATTAAAGTTAGAAAAAAAACAAATGTCCAGCTGGGCGTGGTGGCTCACCCCTATAATCCCAGAACTTTGGGAGGCCAAGGTGGGTGGATCACCTGAGGTCAGGAGTTCGAGACCAGCCTGACCAACATGGAGAAACCCCATCTCTACTAAAAATACAAATAAAATTAGGTAGGTGTGGTGGCACATGCCTGTAATTCAAGCTACTTGGAAGGCTGAGGGAAAAGAAGCGCTTGAACCCGGGAGGCGGAGGTTGCGGTGAGCTGAGATCACGTCATTGCACTCCAGCCTGGGCAACAAGAGCGAAAGTCCGACAGAACGGAAAGGACAGGACAGGACAGGACAGGACAAGAAAGGAAAGGACAGGACAGGACAGGACAGGACAGGACAGGACAGGACAGGAAAGGAAAGGAACAAATGTCCATCTCATTGCATAAATATACCAACTCCATACAGAAGTTGAAAGACATAACCTATTTAATTGAAAACAGGAAGATCTATCTGGTTTAACCATAAGGAGGTGGTTTACAAATATTTTTAACCAATAGAGTTCTGTTATAAAAGACATGTTGCCCCCAAATTCCACTATAGAAAACACATCCAAGGTAAAGTGCCACTTGAAGCATCAATGCCACTTGAAGAAGTTAATCCTGCTTGAATAACAGGATGAGTTTATATGGAATGTGTTCACTATTAGTTCAGAGCATTCTCTGTGTTATTTTGTTCCTTCCTTCATTGCTTTCATCCTTCCTCCCTACGAACCTCCACTTCTATGACAAAGAGATATCCTCCCACATCCTGCAAAGCCAGAGACACATACTGGGAGACCTAGTAATATGAAACCTCTTCATATGCCAGTAGCCACTTGGGAAACACTCAATGTTCAACACCCCTATCCCTCTGTTCCTGCCTCATTCATTAACTTCTCAGTTCTTTTTTGATTTTTAATTCACAGTAAGTCCATCGTCAATCGGACAGTTTCATGGAGCACTTTCTATCCTCCCTATTCTATTACCAGTACTAACAAGAATTACAGTGATGAAAGAAAATTTTTTAGCACATATAATTGATGAAAGAAACTTATTTAGTGCATATTATTTGCCAGGTACTGTACTAAGAACTTTATATATGTTAACTAATTTAATTAATTAAATAACTATCTGTATATGAATTTTCATCAAATACTTCCTCCTCTTGATTCTAAAGCCTGATAAAGCCCATGAACTATCTACCAAATGGGCAGGAGCTACCTATCAAATGTAATTTCTTTGTCTAGGTCAGTGTTATCCAATAGAAAGATAATGCAAGCCACACGTAATTTTAAAATGTTTAGTAGTCACATTTCAAAAAGAAAAAATAAATAAGTGGTCAAATATTATCACTTAAACATATAATCAAAATTAAATGTTAATATTTTCTATTTTTTCAAACTGTCTTCAAAATCCAGAGTATATTTTAGGGTATATTTTCCACTTACAGTGCAACGAGTTCTGTGTACTGTATTTCTAGTACTCAGCGGACAAATATTTAGTTAATTACCCTCAGAATCTCAAACTAGGTGCTGGGAAAACTGGCTACCCATATGTAGGCAGCTGAAACTGGATCCCTTCCTTACATCTTATACAAAAATTAATTCAAGATGGATTAAAGACTTACATGTTAGACCTAAAACCATAAAAACCCTAGAAGAAAACCTAGGCAATACCATTCAGGACATAGGCATGGGCAAGGACTTCATGTCTAAAACACCAAAAGCAATGGCAACAAAAGACAAAATTGACAAATGGGATCTAATTAAACTAAAGAGCTTCTGCACAGCAAAAGGACCTATCATCAGAGTGAACAGGCACCCTACAGAATGGGAGAAAATTTTTGCAATCTACTCATCTGACAAAGGGCTAATATCTAGAATCTACAAAGAACTCAAACAAATTTACAAGAAAAAAACAAACAACCCCATCAAAAAGTGAGCAAAGGATATGAACAGACACTTCTCAAGAGAAGACATTTATGCAGCCAAAAGACACATGAAAAAATGCTCATCATCACTGGCCATTAGAGAAATGCAAATCAGGGTAAAGCCAAGATGGCCCAATAGGAACAGCTCCAGTCTACAGCTCCCAGTGTGTGCGACGTAGAAGATGGGTGATTTCTGCATTTCCAACTGAGGTACTGGGTTCATCTCACTGGGGAGTGTCAGAAAGTGGGTGCAGGACAGTGGGTGCAGTGCACCAAGCATGAGCCAAAGCAGGGCGAGGCATTGCCTCACCCGGGAAGTGCAAGGGGTCAGGGAATTCCCTTTCCTAGTCAAAGAAAGGAGTGACAGACAGCCCCTGGAAAATCGGGTCACTCCCACCCTAATACTGTGCTTTTCCAACGGTCTTAGCAAACGACACACCAGGAGATTATATCCCATGCATGGCTTGGAGGGTCCTACGCCCACAGAGCCTCACTCACTGCTAGCACAGCAGTCTGAGATCAAACTGCAAGGCAGCAGCGAGGCTGGGGGAGGGGCGCCCGCCATTGCCCCTATGCTTGAGTAGGTAAACAAAGCAGCCGGGAAGCTCAAACTGGGTGGAGCCCACCGCAGCTCAAGGAGGCCTGCCTGCCTCTGTAGACTCCACCTCTGGGGGCAGGGTATTGCCAAACAAAAGGCAGCAGAATCTTCTGCAGACTTAAATGTCCCTGTCTGACAGCTTTGAAGAGACTAGCAGTTTTCCCAGCACGCAGCTGGAGATCTGAGAACAGACAGACTGCCTCCTCAAGTGGGTCCCTGACCCCCAAGTAGCCTAACTGGGAGGCATCCCCCAGTAGGGACAGACTGACACCTCACACAGCCAGGTACTCCTCTGAGACAAAACTTCCAGAGGAATGATCAGGCAGCAACATTTGATGTTTGTCAATATCTGCTGTTCTGCAACCTCTGCTGCCGAAACCAGGCAAACAGGGTCTGGAGTGGACCTCCAACAAACTCCAACAGACCTGAAGCTGAGGGTCCTGACTGTTACAAGGAAAACTAACAAACAGAAAGGACATCCACACCAAAACCCCATCTGTACGTCAAAATCATCAAAGACCAAAGGTAGATAAAACCACAAAGATGGGGAAAAAACAGAGAAGAAAAACTGGAAACTCTAAAACTCAGAGCACCTCTCCTCCTCCAAAGGAATGCAGCTCCTCACCAGCATCAGAACAAAGATGGATGAAGAATGACTTTGACGAGTTGAGAGAAGAAGGCTTCAGATGATCAAACTACTCCGAGCTAAAGGAGGAAGTTTGAACCCATGGCAAAGAAGTTAAAAACCTTGAAAAAAAATTAGATGAATGGCTAACTAGAATAACCAATGCAGAGAACTCCTTAAAGGACCTGAAGGAGCTGAAAGTCAAGGCACAAGAACTACATGATGAATGCACAAGCCTCTGTAGCCAATTCGATCAAGTGGAAGAAAGGGTATCAGTGACGGAAGATCAAATGAATGAAATGAAGTGAGAAGAGAGGTTTAGAGAAAAAAGAATAAAAAGAAACAAACAAAGCCTCCAAGAAATATGGGACTATGTGAAAAGACCAAATCTACGTCTGATTGGTGTACCTGAAAGTGACGGGGAGAATGGAACCAAGTTGGAAAACACTCTGCAGGATATTATCCAGGAGAACTTCCCCAATCTAGCAAGGCAGGCCAACATTCACATTCAGGAAATACAGAGAACGCCACAAAGATACTCCTCGAGAAGAGCAACTCCAAGACACATAATTGTCAGATTCACCAAAGTTCACATGAAGGAAAAAATGTTAAGGGCAGCCAGAAAGAAAGGTCGGGTTACCCACAAAGGGAAGTCCCTCAGACTAACAGCTGATCGCTCGGCAGAAACTCTAGAAGCCAAAAGAGAGTGGGGGCCAATATTCAACATTCTTAAGGAAAAGAATTCTCAACCCAGAATTTCATATCCAGCCAAACTAAGCTTCATGAGTAAAGGAGAAATAAAATCCTTTACAGACAAGCAAATGCTGAGAGATTTTGTCACCACCAGGCCTCCCCTACAAGAGCTCCTGAAGGAAGCACTAAACATGGAAAGGAACAACCGGTACCAGCCACTGCAAAAACATGCCAAATTGTAAAGACTATCAATGCTAGGAAGAAACTGCATCAACTAACGAGCAAAATCACTAGCTAACATCGTAATGACAGGATCAAATTTACACGTAACAATATTAACCTTAATGTGAATGGGCTAAATGCTGCAATTAAAAGACACAGACTGGCAAATTGGATAAAGAGTCAAGACCCATCAGTGTGCTGTATTCAGGAGACCCATCTCTCGTGCAGAGACACACATAGGCTCAAAATAAAGGGATGGAAGAAGATCTCCCAAGCACATGGAAAGCAAAAAAAAGCAGGGTTTGCAATCCTAGTCTCTGATAAAACAGACTTTAAACCAACAAAGATCAAAAGAGACAAAGAAGGCCATTACATAATGGTAAAGGGATCAATTTAACAAGAAGAGCTAACTATCCTAAATATATATGCACCCAATACAGGAGCACACAGATTCATAAAGCAAGTCCTTAGAGATCGAGAAAGAGACTTAGACTCCCACACAATAATAATGGGAGACTTTAACACTCCACTGTCAACATTAGACAGATCAAAGAGACAGAAAGTTAACAAGGATATCCAGGAATTGAACTCAGCTCTGCAGCAAGCAGACCTAATAGACATCTACAGAACTCCCCACCCCAAATCAACAGAATATACATTCTTCTCAGCACCACACCACACCTACTCCAAAATTGACCACATAGTTGGAAGTAAAGCACTCCTCAGCACATGTAAAAGAACAGAAATTATAACAAACTATCTCTCAGACCACAGTGCAATCAAACTAGAACTCAGGATTAAGAAACTCACTCAAAACCGCTCAACTACATGGAAACTGAACGACCTGCTCCCGAATGACTACTGGGTACATAACGAAATGAAGGCAGAAATAAAGATGTTCTTTGAAACCAATGAGAACAAAGACGCAACATACCAGAATCTCTGGGACACATTCAAAGCAGTGTGTAGAGGGAAACTGATAGCACTAAATGCCCACAAGAGAAAGCAGGAAAGATCTAAAATTGATACCTTAACATCACAATTAAAAGAACTAGAGAAGCAAGAGCAAACACATTCAAAAGCCAGCAGAAGGCAACAAATAGTTAATGAAGATCAGAGCAGAACTGAAGGAAACAGAGACACAAAAAATGCTTCAAAGAAATCAATGAATCCAGGAGCTGGTTTTTTGAAAAGATCAACAAAACTGATAGACCGCTAGCAAGACTAATAAAGAATAAAAGAGAGAAGTATCAAATAGATGCAACAAAAAATGATAAAGGGGATATCACCACCGATCCCACAGAAATACAAACTACCATCAGAGAATACTATAAACACCTCTATGCAAATAAACTAGAAAATCTAGAAGAAATGGATAAATTCCTCGACACATATACCCTCCCAAGACTAAACCAGGAAGGAGTTGAATCTCTGAATAGACCAGTAACAGGTCTGAAATTGAGGCAATAATTAATAGCTTACCAACCAAAAAAAGTCCAGGAGCAGATGCATTCACAGCCGAATTCTACAGAATACAGAGGTACAGAATACAGAGGTACAGAATACAGAATACAGAGGTACAGAATACAGAGGTACAAGGAGCAGCTCGTACCATTCCTTCTGAAACTATTCCAGTCAATAAAAAAGAAGGAATCCTCCCTAACTCATTTTATGAGGCCAGCATCATTCTGATACCAAAGCCAGGCAGAGACACAACAAAAAAAGAGAATTTTAGACCAATATCCCTGATGAACGTAAATGCAAAAATCCTCAGTAAAATACTGGCAAACCGAATCCAGCAGCACATCAAAAAGCTTATCTATCATGATCAAGTGGGCTTCATCCCTGGGATGCAAGGCTGGTTCAACATATGCAAATCAATAAACGTAATCCAGCATATAAACAGAACCAATGACAAAAACCATATGATTATCTCAATAGATGCAGAAAAGGCCTTTGACAAAATTCAACAACGCTTCATGCTAAAGACTCTCAATAAATTAGGCATTGATGGGACGTATCTCAAAATAATAAGAGCTATCTATGACAAACCCACAGACAATATCATACTGAATGGGCAAAAACTGGAAGCATTCCCTTTGAAAACTGGCACAAGACAGGGATGCCCTCTCTCACCACTCCTATTCAACATAGTTTTGGAAGTTCTGGCAAGGGCAATCAGGCAGGAGAAGGAAATAAAGGGTATTCAATTAGGAAAAGAGGAAGTCAAATTGTCCCTGTTTGCAGATGACACGATTGTATACCTAAAAAACCGCACTGTCTTAGCCCAAAATCTCCTTTAGCTGATAGGCAACTTCAGCAAAGTCTCAGGATACAAAATCAATGTGCAAAAATCATAAGCATTCTTATGCACCAATAACAGACAGAGAGCCAAATCATGAGTGAACTCCCATTCACAATTGCTTCAAAGAGAATAAAATACCTAGGAATCCAACTTACAAGGGACATGAAGGACCTCTTCAAGGAGAACTAGAAACCACTGCTCAATGAAATCAAAGAGAATACAAATAAATGGAAGAACATTCCATCCTCATGGGTAGGAAGAATCAATATCGTGAAAATGGCCATACTGCCCAAGGTAATTTATAGATTCAATGCCATCTCCATCAAGCTACCAAAGACTTTCTTCACAGAATTGGAAAAAACTACTTTGAAGTTCATATGGAACCAAAAAAGAGCCCACATCGCCAAGTCAATCCTAAGCCAAAAGAACAAAGCTGGAGGCATCATGCTACCTGACTTCAAACTATACTACAAGGCTTCAGTAACCAAAACAGCATGGTATTGGTACCAAAACAGAGATATAGACCAATGGAACAGAACAGAGCCCTCAGAAATAATGCCACATATATACAACCATATGATCTTTGACAAACCTGACAAAAACAAGAAATGGGGAAACGATTCCCTATTTAATAAATGGTGCTGGGAAAACTGGCTAGCCATATGTAGAAAGCTGAAACTGGATCCCTTCCTTACACCTTATACAAAAATTAATTCAAGATGGATTAAAGACTTACATGTTAGACCTAAAACCATAAAAACCCTAGAAGAAAACTCAGGCAATACCATTCAGGACATAGGCATGGGCAAGGACTTCATGTCTAAAACACCAAAAGCAATGGCAACAAAAGCCAAAATTGACAAATGGGATCTAATTAAACTCAAGAGCTGCTGCACAGCAAAAGAAACTACCATCAGAGCGAACAGGCAACCTACAGAATGGGAGAAAAATTTTGCAGTCTACTCATCTGACAAAGGGCTAATATCCAGAATCTACAATGAACTCAAACAAATTTACAAGAAAAAAACAAACAACCCCATCAAAAAGTGGGCAAAGAATATGAACAGATGCTTCTCAAAAGAAGACATTTATGCAGTCAACAGACACAGGAAAAAATGCTCATCGTCACTGGTCATCAGAGAAATGCAAATCAAAACCACAATGAGATACCATCTCACACCAGTTAGAATGGCAATCATTAAAAAGTCAGGAAACAACAGGTGCTGGAGAGGATGTGGAGAAATAGGAACACTTTTACACTGTTGGTGGGACTGTAAACTAGTTCAACCCTTGTGGAAGTCAGTGTGGCAATTCCTCAGGGATCTAGAACTAGAAATACCATTTCACCCAGCCATCCCATTACTGGGTATATACCCAAAGGATTATAAGTCATGCTGCTATAAAGACACATGCACACATATGTTTATTGCGGCACTATTCACAATAGCAAAGACTTGGAACCAACCCAAATGTCCATCAATGATAGACTGGACTAAGAAAATGTGGCACATATACACCATGGAATACTATGTAGCCATAAAAAAGGATGAGTTCATGTCCTTTGTGGGGACATGGATGAAGCTGGAAACCATTATTCTCAGCAAATTATCACAAGGACAAAAAACCAAACACCACATGTTCTCACTCATAGGTGGGAATTGAACAATGAGAACACATGGACACAGGAAGGGGAACATCACACACTGGGGCCTGTTGTGGGGTGGGGGGAGGGGGGAGGGATAGCATTAGGAGATATACCTAATGTAAATGACGAGTTAATGGGTGCAGCACACCAACATGGCACATGTATACATATGTAACAAACCTGCACGTTGTGCACATGTACCCTAGAACTTAAATTATAATAATAATTAAAAAAAAAGAATCTCAAACTAACAGAAGATCAGATTTGGAATATTTGTCCATTGTTCTTGTTGTCATGAGCCATGAGAAAACTAAGGTTCGGAGAGAAGTGCTGTTTCCTGCAAAGTGAAATGAGCCCTAGACTTACAACCAGATCTCAATTCATATCCAAGCTACTGAGTGACCTTAGAGGCTACACCTCACTGAACTTAGTGTCCCCACCTGTTAATGGGGGATAATAACTTTTGCAAGATTGTTCTGAGGTTCAAATGAGAACTGGATATGTATGAGTAAGGGCCTAATATAGCACCTATCACAACCAGTGAACTCACAAAGCCAGCTAGCAGCAGTGCTGGGTATACCAGGCTAAGTCCAATCAGGAGATAGAAAACCTTACAAATAATTGACATATAAGAAAACTCTATATGGTACTCTAAGTTTAAGGAAAAGTACTCAAATAAGGAGAAATTTTAATGGGGTTCAGACCTCACTTGAAAAGCAGTAATTTGGTGGGGCGTGGTAGCTCACGCCTGTAATTCTAACACTTTGGGAGGCCAAGCCAGGAGGGCTGCTTGAGCTCAGGCATTCGAGACCAGTCTGGGCAACATGGCGAAACCCTATCTCTACAGAAATTACAAAAAAAAAAAAAAAATTAGCCAGGCATGGTGGTATGTGCCTGTAGTCCCAGCAACTTGAGAGGCTGAGGTGAGAGGATCACCTGAGCCCAGGGAGGTTGAGGCTGAAGTGAGCCATGATTCTGCCACTGCACCTCAGTATGGGTGACAGAGTGAGACCCACCCTGTCTCACAAAAAAAGAAAAGGAGTAATTTAACACTCCGGATAGCAGAATGTTTGCTGATTTGGCCCGGTGGTTCATAGTTACTATGTAAGCAGGAGGCAACTCACCAGATTACAAAAAAGCAGGCCAACAGTGACCAGCGGAGAAGGTATAAAGAGAAGGTGGGAAAACTGAGTTGCAGGTGAGCTCAACGGGGCCAGCCTTGTTTGGTGAGAACCCCCTAGGGTGCAAGCTCAATGTATGAGGGCCCTGCAGAGAGGGTAATAGCTGCATGATAACTCTTCAGCCAGCAAGTGGGCCATGTGGGGTAGGGGGTCTACAGAAGGAAGCTGAGGGACAGCATGGTCATGAAGGCTTCAAGGAGATTGAGGCACCATGTGTCTGGGTGGGTGGCTGGGTCAGAGTTCCATCAAGCTGTCCTCCCCACCCTGCCCCAACCCCGCCTCAGCTGGAAACTTCAAGAGATCCCCCTTCCTCCTGCAACGTCCTCCAGCTCCCTCTACTGAGAAAGTTTAAGAGTGTGCTCACTATAAAGGAAAGATGCTTAAAGAAAATCTGTCCATTATCACAGAGCAGGTATTGAGAGGCTTGGAATTGATTGGCAATAAATTGATAACACACAGGGGTAGCCTATAAGCTTCATTTTGACTATTGGAATTCTAGATAGTTTATTGGAGACATGACTCATACTAAGTTGGTCTTCTTTGTAGATATGCAGGTTGGCCTTACTGGTAAAGAAGTATGAAAAAAGATAGATACATATTTAACCTTTCTGAGACTCACTTTCTTCATTGAGACAATGGATATTAAAAATCCTACCTCACAGGTTTGCTGTGAGAATTAAGGAAGAAAGCATATGTAAAACCCTCAGTGCAGGCATGGGCCATAGGAAGTGCAGTCATGCACCACAAAACAATGTTTTAGTAAACAATGAACCGCATATACAATGACAGTCCTATAAGATTATAATACAGTATTTTTATATGTATGCTTTATATGTTTAGATAAACAAATACTTACCATTGGGTTATAACTGCCTATATTATTCAGTACAGTTAACACCCGTACAAGTTTGTAGCCTAGGAGCAATAGGCTATACCATATAGCCTAGTTGTGTATTAGGCTAGACCATCGAGGTTTGTGTTAAGCAAACTCCTATGAAGTTCACACAACCATGAAAACATGTAATGATGCATTTCTCAGAACAACATTAGGCGACGCATGACTGCACATAATACAAATTCATTTCCATTTGCTCAGATAATATGAGGGCAACCATGGTAGCATATCCTTACTTTCCTAGTGTTATTCTTATAAGGGAATGAAAGTAAATCAAATTGTTTCACAAGTGGTTAAGTATTTTTATCCTCAGTTGTAATTTTAAATATACTTCTATTCTTCAATCATATCCTCTCCCAACTAAGTATTGATGTTAATGAGACTCCAGTGAAACAAGTATTGCTGGGCTATGAGGGGAACTCACTTTGCTTGAACACCAGTCATTTCTAACAATGCCCATGTCAATCTGATGATAGCAGGTAGTGGGAGCTCAACCACTAATTTGCTCTTTCTTCTCAAAATTTGGTACTTTCATGGCCAGGCATGGTGGCTCATGCCTGTAATACCAGCACTTTGGGAGGCTGAGTTGGCAAGAAAGTGTCTTTTAAAAAAAGAAAAACTTGCTGTTTTCAAATTCTTGATCCAAACTGATTGTCATCATATTCCAAATAATATCTACTGGTTGGTATGCTCTTAGTCCTAAGAAAACTAGATGCTTGGACAAGATGCTGTATTTTAGCCCTGGTAGAAGAAACTACCTTTGCTACATGGTGGATACACATTGAGAGCTCATGAAACAGACCTACACCTAGCTGAAAAGATTAAAAATGAAAATTATTAACATCCCTTCAACAGACATTGGAGAATCACAGAGATCCATGTGATGGTCAAGCTGAAAAGAATGAAATTAACTGGCACTCAGTATTGTCCAACGGAACTTTGCACAATGATGGAAATGTATTTTATCTGCACTGTCCAACACAGTAGCTACTAGACACAAGTGACTGCTGAGCACTTGAAATGTGGCTAGAAAGAATGAGGAGCTGAGTTGTTAATTTAATTTTATTTAAATAGATAGTAGTTACCATAATAGACAGCAAAGATCTAGACAGCATAGCTTAATGTAAAGAGTATGGAACGTAAAGCTAAAAAGACCTTTAGGTCTAAATCCAGGCCACTATCACTTACTAACCACATCAGTCTGTTCTAGCACTGCTATAAAGAAATACCTGAGACTGGGTAATTTATAAAGAAAAGAGATTTAATGGGCTCACAGTTCTGCAAGCTGTACAGGAAGTACAGCAGCTTCTCCTTTGGTGAAGTCTCAGGAAACAAAATCATGGCAGAAGGTGAAAGGAAAGCAGGTACATCTTACATGGCCAGAGCAGGAGCAAGAAGTGGGGGAGTTGCTACATACTTTCAAACAACCAGATGTGATGAGAACTCACTCACCACTAGGAGAACAGCATCGAGGGGATAGTACTGAACCATTCATGAAGGATCCACCCCCATGATGCAATCACCTCCCACTGGGCCCCACCTCCAACACTGGGAATTACAACTGAACATGAAATTTAGGTGGGGACACAGATCCAAACTATATCACCAGCTATATAACTTTGGTCATGTTATTTATCTTGTCCAAGGCTCAGTTACCTCATTTGTGAAATGGGGAAAATGCCAGAAGCACACAAAGTCCTTGTGATTAAAGAATGAACGTAAAGCACCTAGCCTAGTGCTCAATATAGCAGGCAGTTGATACATGATAGCTAGCTAGTTTTCCAGACAAAACAACAAAAACACCAAAAGAAGAAGAAACTTATGCACAGATACAGAGCCTGTTGGCCACAAAGTCAGAGGCCAATTCTAGATTTTCTTACTCTCTTTCGTGATCATTTTCTCATAGAAACTAATCACCCACCTCCCCACCCCCTTTGTCATGTTAGCTGAGGCTACTATAACAGAATGCCATAGACAGGGTGACATAAACAACAAACATTTATTTTGCACAGTTTAGGAGGCTGACTAGGCCAAGAGCAAAGCACCAGCAGATTGGTGCATATCTTTGTAAAGTGAAGAATAGTAGCCCATACAACTATTCGATTGCTATTTTAAAAAATCTTATGCATATACAGAAAATGTACCTTGGTGAAGCCTATTTGTTCCTTCCGGAAATTTTCCAAGGGTTTAATCAGCAAATCACTAGCATTGTGTACCTAGACAAAAAGGAAAAACAAACAAAACAATTTCTAGGTTAACAAGGTTCAGATACAAGATTCCTTGTTACTACATTTTCATTTATATACCAACCTGCAAAATGTTAAATGGTTTGCTGATTTGTTGGGTTTTGTTACTGTTTGTTTCTATATTGTTTCTGAAAAATCAAATGCATTGAGAAGAAATGGGAGAAAGAATAAGAGGGGCATTTCTCTGTAACTTTAATGATAGTCTGACCTGAGTTTTTAATCGATAAATATCTGAAGTGATGTCCAGCAGAGGACACAGGAGACCTGAAGGACAGGTGAAAAAGAGAAGAGAAAGAGAATGGCAAATACAAGAAAAGGACAATTGCAGCAAGTGCAAATCATTTCATCAGAGGCAAATGAGTGTGCAGTGATAGCATTAGGATAAAACATTTACAGTCCTGCCTGTGCCATAAAACCAGAACATTTCCTTCAGAATATGGAGTGCATTACAGCATCGCAGAAAACACTAGACTAGGCTTTCAAATTACCTAAATATAAATGCTCAGAAGCTAATAGGAATGGCCTGTTCAGGGACTATTAATATTGGCAATAATAAATATGTTCTGGAGATATGAAAACATCAAAATCAAAGAAGACCCCTTGTTCTTTGGGCAGGTAAAGGTATACAAAGCTTTTTCTTCATATAAACCTCTTATGAGATTGTATATGTTCAAGGCAACAAGTGGGGTTTGTGCCTCCATGGTGAGAGTTAGAATCACTAAAATGGAAGACCCTAGAGAAGGCATCTAAAGGGCTGCATTTTGGGAATCATTGCATTAATTTTTATTAATTACAAGACAGAAAACTAAAAGACAAGTTTCCTTGTCATATGAGACATAGGTGTCAGTAAGACAAGATATATCTTCATAACAAAAATAGACAACAGAGGAAAAAGCCAGTTTTGACAAGATCTGAGTTCTCCAATCTAAGAAGCAATTTTTAACCTACCTCCCCAAAAGTGTGGAAAGTTGTGGGGCATTAGTGCATAGGTTATACGTGTCTTTCAGGTAATTTGGGCCTCTTGTTCTGTGTATAGGTATGATTCAAGGTTCAACTAAATGGGAAAACTCCTAAAATGGCACTGCCAGCCTTTGTATGAGAACATCTTGGTGAACCCTGACATTCTGATCTACTGCAGCTCCTAATGCTATCATCCAGGACAGCCAGCACCCAGCAAAAAAAAATATAAAACTAGGCAAGAAAAAAAATGTTTTCCTTGAGAACAGAGTCATTCTCTATGTCTCCTGATCACCAGTGCTTTTATAGTTGGCTTTCTAAAACTTGTTTGCTACAAGCCTAGACTTAAAAAATCATGAAACCCTTCCCAAAGTTTGCTGATTTTTACAAAATCAGACCTCTTGCCTGCTAACATTTCCAGACCCTGTCTGATTCTCATCACATCTCTTCTCTTCTACTGGATCTATGAAACCCCATTGAGTCCTAATCGTACTATAACCTACCTCCCAGTACGACACTTAACATTCTCTTTATCTCTGAGTGTGCTCATTTGCCAAAGGCAGGAAAGTCTATAAATTCCACCCTGCAAGAGCCCCTAGTAAAGACTTCTCTATGCAGGTCTGATTCATAGAAAGATTCATTTTGGTTGCTTAGGAAATCAAAGCTCCACTAACAATTATGGTATCAAAAAAAAATTACACCAGTGACTCTCCTTAATTGAAAATAAGACTTCTTCTACTAAAAATACCCACAAATTAAGTTATTGGTGTCATAGGTCCAGTACAGAAAGTCATTTTTCTCCTTTACTATTGTGGAAGCTTTAAAACATGGCCACAAACTCTGACATACCTTCCATTGAGAGGTGAGGTCTATGTCCCCTCTACCTTGAATGTGAGTGGGCTTGTTAATATTTTGAACAAATAGAGTACTCCAGAAGTAACACTCTGTGACATTTGAAGCTAGGTCATAAAAGGCCAGCACCAGTTCTCTCCCAGTTCTCTTGGAATACTCCCACTAGGAGCCTTGAGACAGTACATAAGAAGTTTAATTACCCTGAGATTACCAAACAGAAGAGGCCAAATTCTAGTCAATGTCTCATACCAGCTGAATCCGCCCTTCCTGCCATCCCCACTGGAAGGTGCCAAACATTAGGAAAACCATTTTGGACCCTCCATATCAACTCATCTGCCAGGTAAATGCCATCATTTGGAGCAGAAGAATCGCCCAGCTGACCCGTCTGAATGCCTAACCCAAAAAATAATTACAAATAATTAGTTTTAGTTTAAGCCAGTAATCTGCAACCTTTTTGGCACCAGGGAGCAGAATCATGGAAGACAATTTTTCAATGGACCCAGGGTAGGGGGAGGTGGAGATGGTTTCAGGATGAAACTATTCAACCTCAGATCATCAGGCATTAGATTGTCATAAACAGCATGCAACCTAGATCCTGCATGCCCAGTTCACAACAGGGTTTGCTCCTATGAGAATCTAATGCTGCCACTGATCTGATAGCAGGCAGAGCTCAAGCAGTAATGCTCCCTATCCTGCTGCTCACCTCCTGCTGTGTGGTCAGGCTCCTAACAGGCCACAGACTGGTGCCCTGCAGGCTAGGGGTTGGGGACCCTGGTTTCAGCCACTAATATTAGAAAAAGTTGTTATGAAGCAATAGATAATTAGAAAGACAATTTGCAGTTTAAAAAAATGTAATACAGGCCAGGTGCAGTGGCTCACACCTGTAATCCTAGCACTTTGGGAAGCCGAGGCAGGTGAATCACCTAAGGTCAGGGGTTCGAGACCAGCCTGGTCAAAATGGTGAAACCCCGTCTCTGCTACAAATACAAAAAACTAGCCGGGCGAGGTGGCACATGCCTGTAATCCCAGCTACTCGGGAGGCTGAGGCAGGAGAATCACTTGAACCCAGGAGGCGGAGGTTGCAGTGAGCCAAGACTGTGCCACTGCTCTCCAGCCTGGGTGACAGAGTAAGACTCAGTCTCAAAAACAAATAAATAAATAAATAAATGTAATACCTAAGAAGTGGCCAACTGTGAAACATTGAGGAAGTTTTCCTTTGAATAAGAAGTGTACATACTACTTTCTAAAGCACTGTATGGAGCTGGGCCCTTGCATATTCAGGAACCCCCAGGAGGGCAGAGTTGCTGGCTTTTCATGCTCCAAAGGGGATTGTCCTGCATAAGCAAGTGTGTCAGCAACTTCTCTCACAGGGTCCATAAGGCCACTGACTTTTACATGTTTGACCCCAGTTCAGTCTGAAAAATAGTCCATGCTTTACTAGAATTGCAGGACATCATTTTCCCTTAATCACTTTGGCAACACTGCTCCCAGTCTCCTACAGCACAAACAGATACTCTGAATCTTTTCCTCTCTATGACACTCATTGGTTATTATACTATTTTCTGGTCAGAATAGAGACTTAGGAATGTAGAAAAAAGTCACATTGAGGATTTCCTCTTTTTTCTTTTTCACTCCATTTTATTCTTAAACCCCTTAGAACTCTAGCAATGACTCCCCTTTGAAGTAAATTTGGCCTTTAATCTCTTTTCTAATCACTGCATTCATTGTGTGAGCTCACTGGGGACAAAAACTCCCACCTGCTACCTCAGGTAGACTCTTCACCATAACGAGTGACATCCTAAACTCATTAGTGAGTTTCTATCATCAGAATCCTATTGAATAAAGGCCAAAGTAACACTGAAGGTGTTGAGCAGAATAGAGATGATATTCAGTCCAGTATTGCAGGACTGCTCAGGAATCTTTGATGGTAAATGAAATATCAAAAGAGAGCACTGGGCCAGGCGCAGTGGCTTGCGCCTGTAATCCCAGCACTTTGGGAGGCCAAGGCGGGTGGATCAGCTGAGGCCAGGAGTTCCAGGCTAGCCTGGCCAACATGGCAAAACCCCATCTCTACTAAAAATACAAAAATTAGCTGGGCATGGTGGTGGGTGCCTGTAGTCCCAGCTACTCAGGAGGCTGAGGCAGGAGAATCACTTGAACCCAGGAGGCGGAGGCTGCAGTGAGCCGAAATCACGCCACTGCACTCCAGCCTGGGCAACAGAGGGAGACTCCGTCACAAAAAATAAAATAAAAAAAATTTTTTTTTAAAAAAAGAGCACTAAAGACAGGCTGAAATATTATGGGGGCCTCTTTAGGTCACTTTTGGCCGTCTTCAAAAACAGACCTTGCACATTGCCAACAGAGGCCCCTTCAGAGTCAGAAAGGAATCTAGGCAAGCTTCATAATCATATAAGAAGTGTGCAATTCAGACTTTTCAAGGCCCTCCCCCGCTCTTTTTTTTTTTTTTTTTTTTTTTTTTTTTTTTTTGGCAGGGCCTTACTCGCCCAGGCTGTAGTACAGTGGCATGATCATGGCTCACTGCAGCCTTGACCTCCTCAGGTTCAGGTGATCCTCCCACCTCAGCCTCCCGAGTAGCTGGGACTAGAGATGCACGATAACGCCCAGCTAATTTTTGTATTTTTAGTAGAGACGGGATTTCACCATGTTGACCAGGCTGCTCTTGAACTCCTGGCCTCAAGCGATCTGCCTGCCTCAGCCTCCCAAAGAGCTAGGATTAAAAGCGTGAGCCACCGCACCCAGCCCCAACAGTATACTTTTGAGAACATCACAGGGATGCCCTTCCTCACTTCTCCCCATCATAATTCCTTCCCCAATTTATATTCATTTATGGAGATGACCAGACACAGGCAATTTCCATGCTTGAGTGCTGTGAACTTTCTTACTGTTATTCTAAAGCTTACTTTGGACTCTTCTTTTACAAAGGATAAAATGCAATATAAGACCCACTAAATTATCCAGACTGGGGTAGAGGGGTCCTTTTGCTACAAAGCCAGGAAATGGAAAAGTTATAATCAAGCAATGAATTCCTGGCATGGGGTGAAAGGCACTCATTAAGCCTAACCATCTCAGCATTCCTGGAATTAAGTGGGAAATAGGGAGCAAACACTCAATATACGATTGAAAAGTTGTTGGGACAAAAGGGCACAACATAATTAAAGACAGAAGAAAATGAGTCAGTCATGTGGCAAAGTATCAGCAGGAAGGGTGAGAAAAACAACATCTCAAAAGATGAATACTACTTCAATATGTGAGGGCTTTGTTATTGGGTAAATAAAAGAGATGGAGAAACAACTAGGGCTAAAGAGAAGTACAGCTGAGCTTTCTAGTGCTATCTGAATGAAATGGGGGCAAATGCCTTTGAAAACAACATAGGCAGCAGTCCACAAACCCTGTGGGCAGAGAAGAACATTTAGTAGACTGTGTATTAGCAAGGGGGCCATCTAAGAGGGTCCAGGGAAACCACACATATTGGTCTCTTCTTAGTACATTTAAAAGCAAATATTTTAAACTAAGAAAATTCCCAAATCATATTTCCACAAGCAGAATCCTGTGAGTAACTAAAGATAACTAAAAACCATGCTTACATAATCAGTATTTTCCCCTTATAAAACACGTCCATGTTTACTATGTTATTTGGAGCACTTTAAACAACCATAAGAGATGGGGATTATTTTCCTCACTCTACAAATAAGAAAAAGGAGCCCAGAAAAATGAAGTAATTAATCTGAAGTCAACAAGTTAGTGACAGATCCAGAATTAGAGCCTTAATTCTCTAATTCCCCTACCTCCAAGTCCTGCCTTCATTCCTACTTCTCTAGGAGTCTAGATTCTATGAGCAGTATTTTGAGAAGTCAGTACCACACTGTTGAAAAGAAAGGGATTTTATAGGTAAATTAGTTCTGGCTGTTGGAATAAATAGCTTTAACAAAACTGAGAAGCCCACAAAAAGTCATCTGATGGAGAAAAGTAAAACAGAATTCCCATCTTACCATCATGCCCCTAATAAAAATGAATATTGATCAACGCATACATTTCAACATTTAAGTCCCCAATAAGTCTGGGATGGGTACAAGGACCAGTATTTCCAATAATTTTCTGCTGGTGCTGGTCATGATGGTACTGCCGGTCTAAGGACCACACAAAAAGATTATTTTTAGGCTGTTAAAATAATTAGACTTCATAAAAATGAAACACTTAAGTAGAAATCTAGCAAAATACATAAAATATCTATATAAGGAAACTACAAAACTCTGATGAAAAAAATCAAAAAAGATATAAATAAATGGAGAGATAACCCACGTTTATAATTAGGAAAAGTCAATATTTTTAAGATATCAGTTTTTCCCTGGTAGCTTAAAAGCAAATCCTAATCAAAATCAAAAAGATATCTCTAGGATCTTAAAAGCAATCCCAGTCAAAATCCCAGCAAGTTATTTTGTGGATATGAACAAACTGATTCTTAAGCTTATACCTGACTTCAATGCTTTTTACTACAGTGCAATTACTACCATGCTAAAGTAATGAAGATAGTGTGGTATTTGTGAAAGAATAGATAAATAGATCAATGCAACAGAAATAGAGAGCCCAGATACAGACCCATATAAATATAGTCAAGTGATCTTTGATAAAGGACAAAAGGTAATTCAAGGAGAAAGAATAGTATTTTCAAAAAACAGTGTTGGAGCAACTGGATATCCACATGCAAAACAGTGAATCTAGACACAGACCTTATATCCTTCATAAAAATTAATTCAAAATGAATCATTGACCTAAATGTAAAACAAAAAGCTAAAAAATTCCAAAAATATAACATAGGAGAAAATCTGGGTGACCTTGGATTTGGAAAAGACTTTTTAGATATAACACCAAAAGTATGATCCATTAAAGCAAAAATGTGTAAGTTGGACTTCATTAAAATTAAAAACCTATGCAATGCAAAAGAGACTATTAAGAAAATAAAAAGACAAGCCACAGACGAGGAGAAAATCTTTGCAAATGCCTATTGGATAAAGGTCTGGAATCTAAAATATACAAAGAACTCTTAAAACTTAACAAAAGAAAATCAATTTAATAATAGGCAAAAGAACTGAACAAATACCTCACCAGAAAGGATATACCGATGGCAGTTAAGCATATGGAAAGATGCTCTGCATGATATGTGATTAGGGAGTTGCAAATTACAACAGTAATGAGATACCACTACACATCCGTGAGAATGGCTAAAATCCAGAACACTGACAACAGCAAATGCTGGTAAGAACATGGAGCTGGCGAGGACATGGAGCAACAGGATCTCTGATTCATTGCTGGTTATGCGAAATGGCACAGCTATTTTGGAAGTTGGTTGGCAATTTCTTACAAAATTAAACATACCCTGACAATTTACACTCCAGCAATTACACTCCTTATTATTTAACCAAATCAGTTGGAAATTTGTATCAACACAAAAACCTACATACAACTGTTTATAATAGTTTTCCTTATAATTGCCAAAATAACCAAGATGTCCCTCAGTAGGTGAGTGGACAAACTGTGGTAAATCATACAATGGGATATTACTTAATGATAAAAATAAATGACAGGAAAATAAAATGCATATTGCTAAGTCAAATACGCCAATCTGAAATGGCTACATACTGTTTGATATCTACTATAAACATTCTGGAAAAGGCAAAACACAATAAAAAGAAAGATCAGTGGTTGTCAGGGTTTCAGGACTGGAGAAGGAAGAGAAGGATGAATAGATTGGACAAAAGAAATGTTCACGGCCATGAATCTATTCTGTATGGTGACACTGTAATGGTGGATACATGTCATTATATATTTGTCAAATCTATAAAATGTATAATACCAAGAGTAAATTCTAATGTAAACTATGAACTTTAGTTAATAATATTGTTTCAATATTGGCTCATCAATTATAACAAATGTATCACATTCACATGATGTTTAATAATAGGGAAAACTGAATGGGAGAGAGAAAGGTGGTATATGAGTTCTATCTTTATTTTCTACTGATTTTCTCTATAAAAGTAAAACTACTCCACAAATTAAAGATTAACAAATGGATAATTTGGCTAAAAACACTAAAGACCTCAATTTCTGTCAACATGTTCAAAGGCCCAGTTTAATATCCACTGAAATTATTTTTCACTGAAATGAACACAGATGGGATTTGCACGTTAATTTCCCTCTATCTAATGCCAAACTCTCAGGGTGGAAGCTTGAGACATAATAACCAGATCTATTACCTAACTATTTTTATAGCACCAAGAAGCTATCTGACAGAAATCAAAATAGTATAGGATCAATCCAAGCATAAAGGAAAGGAAAAATCCCCTATATCACCCATGAACTCAGCTTCAGTGACAGCGTTAGTGACTTACCATCATCATCCTCTCATTTTCTACCTCGTTGAGCAATTCAGCAAATTCCTTGAAGGATTCAGCTGGAAGGAGAGAATCAAATGTAAAACAAATTAATCATGGTGCTTGACAGACAAATGGATAGAGATCTGTGCAACAGGAAGTAGGGACCAGTGCCCTATGCCCACATGGCCACTAGAGGAAGGTGTCAAATCGGAGGACAAAAGCAGGTGTTCAGCACCTGTTGAATGTTTCTTTTCTTTTCTTTCCTCTTTTATCAATCCCCATACACTTTAATATTTTATTTAATCCTTACAGCCACTCAGGAGTAGCTAGAATTTCTCTTATTTCATAGACAAGCTAAAAGATTAGGGAAGGGGCAAGAGGTTTGCTGTGTAATTAATTGGCAGCTATAGAACCCTGAAACGAGTTTGGATCCCTGTTCCACTACTGACCAACCAGAGACTATTGCTGTAAAAACTAAATTGGATGGTGAATGTAGTGTCAACACAAAGTAAATAATAAACATTACCCTTTCCACCCTCCCAAACTTTCTACTCTTCTAGTGCCAATTGTGCCACTTACTGGCAGGATGACTGGGCAAATCACTTCCTTTCTCAGAAATTCAATGTCTTTATATACAAAAAAAAGTAAGTTAAGCTAAATAGTCTTTAGTGCCTATTCAAATTCCTCAACTTCTCTCCAGAAGCAGGAAGTATATTCTCGACTGGCATCTGAATGAAAGCCTGGAAAAACAAATTTGTCTATACTAATATTTTTAATCAAAAATTGAGTTTCCTCCTTAAAACAACTGAACAAGTCCAGCATTCCTGGTGTCAAGGAAATGAATTTTGGAGTCAACACAGGATGCAAGGCAATGACATTTCTTTCTTCTTCTGAGGATTAAGTTGCTGCAAATACCCAGGGAGATCACCTTTGAAAACACTAAATTCATTCAGAGCTCAACCGTAGCATAGAAAAGATAAACACCATACTCAGAAAGAGTAAACAGGAAAAAATGGAAATGTTTATTGACCTTCTGTCCCCAAATACTTTATGCTAAGAAAAGAGTCAGAGATTTTAATTGGCATTTTTCCAGACACGATCAGTTTACCTCTAAAGGAAATGTGACAAATATCATATTCAAACATTTAAAGGAAAAGACTAAATTTCATGGACATTAAATGTGCCAAGCCTTCTGCTTGAGGGTTTAATTGTGACAATATCTTTATTAGGTGCTTATTATTATCACTGAATTGATATCACCATATAATATAGTTTGGGTATCTATCTCCTCAAAATCTCATGTTGAAATTTGATCCCCAATGTTGGAGGTGAGGTGTGACACACTGACTCCCTTTCTTCTTCTGCCACCACTGGAAGCTTCCTGAGGTGCTCACCAGAAGCAGATGCTGATGCCATGCTTCCTATACAGCCTGCAGAACCATGAGCCAAATAAACCTCTCTTCTTCATAAATCACCTAGCATTGGGTATTCCTTTATGGTGACACAAATGGACTGAGACATAATAAAATGCACCATTTTAAAGTGTACAATTCGGGCTTTTAGTATATTCACAAAGTTGTGCAACTATCACCACTGTACAGTTGCAGAACATTTTCATCACCCCCAAAAGAAACCCAAACCCCATTAGCATTACACCCCATTACCACTTCCTCCCAACACCCAGATAACCACTAATCTATTTTCTATTTCCATGAACTTGCCTACTCTAGACATTTCTCATAAATGGAAACACATGTGACCTCTGAATCTGGTTTATGCAACCATGAACATTTGTGAACAAGTTTTATGTGAATGTACGTACATATGAAAAGTTGGCCCTCCATGTGTGTGAATTTCACATCCCACAAATACTGTATTTTTCTATCCAAATCAAAGAGAAAAAGTCTGCCTGTAACTGGACCTCTGCGTTTTGAACCCATATTGTTTGAGGGTCAACTATATTTAGTATTTCATTATAATCAGTTTTATTTCTCTAGGATTAGTAGTAATGTCCCCTATTTCATTCCTGATTTTAGTAATTCAAGTAGTCTCACGGTCAGTCTAGCTAAGGGTTTGTCAATTTTGTTTAACTTTATGAAGAACAGATGTTTGGTTTCAATGACTGTCTTGTTATTTTGACAAGGCTGCCTTATTATTATATTCTTTTTCTGTTCTCCATTTCATTTATTTCCTCTTTAGTCTTTATTATTTCTTTACTTTTGTTTCTTTAGTTTGCTCTTGTTTTTCAAGTGTCTTAAGTTGGAAAGTTTGGTTATTGATTTGATATCTTTGTTCTTTTTTAACATAGGAATTTGAAGCTACAAATTTCCTTCCAAACACTGTTTTAGCAGCATCCCATAAGATTTAGTATGTTGTGACTGTTTTCATTCATTTCTCTTCTTTCATTTTTCTCTTATTTTTTACAAGATTATCTCTGTTATTTTCTTTCATTAGACTCATATGGTTAGGCATGTATCTCTAAATTTAACTTCTTGGATGTGCAGATTCATGTTTTTCACCAAATTTGCCAATTTCTTGGCCATTATTTCTTCAAATATTCTTTCTTTCCTGTCTCACTCTCTTCTTCTGAGGTTCTCATTCTGTATATGCTCTTATGCTTGATGATATCCCACAGGTATCTGAGGTTCTGTTCATTTTTCTCAATCATTATTCTTTATTTCCCTCAGATTGAATGATCTCAATTCACTTGTCTTTAAATTTGCTGGTCATTTATTTTCCCAGTACAATATGGTGCTGAACCCCCAGTAGTAAGTTTTTCATTTCAGTTATTATACTGCAACTTCCAACTGCAAGTTTCAGTTGATTCCTTTAAAAAAAATCTATCTCTTTATTGATATTGTCTATTTTGTGAGACACTGTTCTCATTCATTTCTTAAGTTCTTTAGACATGGTCTCATTTATTAATTTAAATATATTTAAATAGGTAATTGAAACTCTTTGTCTAGAAAATCTAATGTAAGGGCTTCCTCGGGGGCAGGTTCTATTAATTGCTTTTTTTCCCTTGTTCAAGGGTCATATTTTACTATTTCTTTGCATGTCTCATAATTTTTTAAAAGTTAACATTCTAAATAGTGTGGCAACTTTGGAAATCAGAACTCCTCTCTTTCCCCAGAGCTTGTTGTTCTTGTGGTTGCTTGTTGTTACATTGGCTTCATGGACTCATTCTATAGTCTGCATTCTTTGTCATATGAAACCACTAAAGTCTCTGGTCAGTAAGCTTACTGGTCAACAAGTGATTGGACAGAGATTTCTTTAAATGGTTTGAACAAATATCTCCAAGCCTTTGCTGAAGGGCTCTCTGTGTATTGTGGGGTGTGCCTTCAACATTCAGCCAGACAGTTTACAACTGTGCCTTAGCCTTCACTCCTCCTTGCAAAGAGCTGAAGGTCAGCCAGAAGTGGGAGATTAGATGTCTCAAGTCTAATCTCCTTGTTTGTATCTTCTAGACAGATACAAACGCTGGGTATGTACAAAGCCCCTCTCATGTGCATGACTCCTAGATTTCCAGGAATATCTCACAGCTCTTCAAAGCTCTCCAAGGATAATTCATTCTCCATTTTGTCCTGTTTGGTTTATTGTTCAGCTTCTTATTTGCTACTTTATTCTTTTTGTTGTCTGTGGAAACTGTAGTACTAAACAACTGCCACTGAATGGTTTTAGAAAATGCCCTAGGGGCAGGTGTGGTGGCTCACACCTGTAATCCTAGTACTCTGGGAGGCTCAGGCAGGTGGACTGCTTGAGACCAGAAGTTTGAGACCAGCCTGGCCAACGTGGAGAAACTTGTCTCTACTAAAAATACAAAAATTAGCTGGGCATGGTGGCAGGTGCCTGTAATTCCAGCTACTCAGGAGGCTGAGGCAGGAATATTGCTTGAAATCGGGAGGCAGAGGCTTCAGTAAGCCAAGATGCCACTACTGCACTACAGCCTGGATGAGAGAGAGAGAAAGAGAGAGAGAGAAAGAAGGAAGGAAGGCAGGAAGGAAGGAAAAGAAATTAAGAAAGGAAGAAAGGAAGGAAGGAAGGAAGGAGAAAGAAAAAGAAAGGAAGAAAAAAAAGAAAGAGAGAGAGAAAGGAAGGAAGGAAGGAAGAAAGAAGGAAAGAAAGAAAGAAAGAAAGAAAGAAAGAAAAGGGAGGGAGGGAGGAGAAGGGGAAGGGAAGAAAGGAAAGAAGGAAGGAGGGAAGGGAAGGGAAGGGAGAAAAGAAAAGAGAAGAGAAGGGAAGGGAAGGGGAAAAGAAGAAAGAAAGGAAGAAGGAAGGAAGGAAAAGAAAAGAAATTAAAAAAAAAAAAAAAACAATCACAAGTGGGTTGCAGTGACTCATGCCTTTAATCTCAGAGGCCAAGGCAGGAGGATTGCTTGTGAGGCCAAGGCAGGAGGATTGCTTGAGGTCAGGAGTTCTGTCTCAAAAAAAAAAAAAAAATGCACAAAAGAAAGAAAATGCGCTAGTAAAACAACAACAACAACCATTTAAAGAGTAAACTCTGAGTCAACTCAAATAACATAAGCCCTGTGAGTGATATTTCTCAAATTTTGAGTAACTTCACACCCATTCTACCCTCACCCATGGCTGCTAGAATGGTGGTTTGCACACATTGCATGATTATACAGACGTTAGTTTTCAAAGCTACTATGGAACTGCAGAAAGGAATAGGAACATGGCAAATTAAAATGTCATAGAGCTCAGTGTTTTCTCAACTATTCAGCCATTTTTATTTAATAAACATGCACTGTTTTGTTGCAAAATTTTGGTTCGTTTTTGGAGTTTTAAAAAAGTTGATTTTGGAAATTTCTGCCAGTGTTTTTGCTGCTTTTATGAAAGATCGAATTTTTGGAGGTCATTTTTCAACTATTCCCACCGTGGTAACCTGGTCAGAGCTTCTTGATCCTTACTTTCAATTAACATACAGCTTCAGTAATTGTTAAATCACTTTAAAATTAAGTTGCTGAGTCAAGAAAAACCTCATTGCTGAATATGTGGCCTGAAAAAGCCCTATGAGTACATTTATTGCTTGATCGGAAGACTGCAAATGCCTAGAGAAGTATGTGGCACAGGGCAAGAAGCATGTAGCAAAGTCAAGATAGCCTCTTGATTCTAAGATTGTAATCACTTGCTTTCTAAAAAGGTTAAGACTTTTACAGATCATCTATCTTAGTCCAACTATGTCATTTTATTCCTGAGAAAACTGAGGCCCAGAGATTGGAACTGACTTGTTCAAGGTCACACAGCTAGCTGAACAGTCAAAAGAGGACCCCATTTCAATGTTCTATCTACAGTCCCCAGTCATAGTGAAAGCACTATGTCACATTGTTTTCACTGTCCCTCCAACTGGCCCCACAAATGGTGTTTTCTTCTCCAAATATCCTCATATTCACTCTCCCTTGGTCATATCTATAGCAAATCAAGAAAAGGGCAAAAGCAGAACCAGGCACAGTGGCTCACACCTGTAATCCCAGCACTTTGGGAGGCCAAGGAGGATGGATCACCTGAGGTCAGACGTTCAAGACCAGCCTGGCCAACATCGTGAGACCCCCGTCTCTACTAAAAATACAAAAATTAGCCGAGCGTGGAAGCAGACACCTGTAATCCCAGCTACTCGGAAGGCTGAGGCAGGAGAATTGCTTGAACCCAGGAGGCAGAGGTTGCAGTGAGCCAAGATCGTGCCACTGCACTCCAGCCTGGGGGACAAGAGTGAAACTTCATCTCAAAAAGAAAAAGAAAAAGAAAAAAAAGACAAAAGAAAAAGGCAAAAGCGGAAGGTTTGGACAAGGGTTATTTCTGACTCAGAATCTTGAGGTCCTATAAAGCCTCTTACGGATCTATTTTTAACCAAATATCATGGATAATTAATTACAGCATCTTCTAAAAACTAACCCTGCAGACGGCTCTGTAGAATTAATGGGAAGGCAATAAAAGCTTTAGTGAGGAGATCAGACTGTCCATTACAGAGTGTGGGAGAGAATAGTCATTAAGGAGCCAAAGTCATTAGAGTCCTTTTGCCCTCTCTTCAGATACTAGGACTGAGGACTAAGAAAATTGGCTAAGAAATGGAAGAAAACAGCCCTGCATAACCATAACAAACAACAACACCATCATCAATAATAGCAACATCCCCTGCCGCAACACCACCACAAAGCAGGGCTTATAAAACTTACTGCAAAATTCCTCAATAATGTTTACCAATCCAAGAATTTTCTTTTTAAAAAAAGACCACAGCAAGAGAACATTATCCTTGGAAAATTTCAAAGAAATTACAAAAAATTCGGAAAAGTGAGATGGGAAAAGCAATATGGTAGATGTTTCTCAAGTGTTTTATTATTCATCATTACAATTTCAGTGATGAGAAAACTGAGGTTTAATTTAGCAAGGTCATATAAATTACAGTGTTATGCACTGTCTTCCAAACAATTGTAAAAATTGACAAATGTGGATCAAACAGCTTAAAATTATCTATACCCTTTTACATTGTAAATTCGTATCTGGGAAACCATACCTAAAACCTAATCATGGCATGGTCATGGTGGAAAATACCTGTAATCTCAACACTTTGGGAGGCCAAGGCAGGAGGATTGCTCAAATGCCTGATGGCAACAGTGAGCCATCTCTACAAAAGTGAGACCCCCCATCTCTACAAAAAACAAACAAACAAACAAAAAGAACTAATTCTGAATACAGAGGGATAAACCTTTATATCCAAAGGTAGGCATTCAACATTATTGCTGATGATGAATAATTGAAAACACATAAAATGTCCAATGATTGGGAAATTATTAAGTATGTCCACTTAATGGACTATTATTGAAGCTATTAAAAAGGAAATTACACAAAATTTTCTGTACATGACAAAATAGCTAGAGTGTCACACTATTTAAAAACAGAATATAAAAATCTGTATGCAACAATTGTACACAAGTACAGCTATATGCAGAAAATTGTTTCGACCCCCAAAAAAGCCAAGAAAAAAATACATCAAAATAATTGATTCTTTTTTTTTTAATTAAATCTAGCTCTCAGGCTTAACTATTTATTGATTATTTACTATGACATTAACACGGTTATGGAGTGCATATATGTATAAATTTTAAAGTCAAAAATGAAATGATTTAAAGACCTACTTAAAGCTGGGCATGGTGGCTCATGCCTATAATCCCTTCACTTTGGAAAGCCGAGGTAGGCAGATCGCTTGAGCTCAGGAGTTCACGACCAGTCTGGGCAACATGATGAAATTCAACTCTACGAAAAAAGCTACAAAAATTAGGGCCAGGTGCTGTGGCTCACACCTGCAATCCCAACACTTTGGGAGGCCGAGGCAGGTGGATCACTTGAGATCAGGAGTTTGAGACAAGCCTGGCCAACATGGTGAAACCCCATCTCTACCAAAAATACAAAAATTAGCCAGGGGTGGTGGTGAGCACCTGTAATCCCACCTACCCAGGAGGCTGAGGCAGGAGAATTGCTTGAACCTGGGAGGTAGAGGTTGCAGTGAACTGAGATCGTGCCTCTGCACTCCAGCCTGGGTGACAGAGCAAGACTCCATCTCAAAAAAAAAAGAAAGAAAGGGAAAAAAAAGCGACAAAAATTAGCCAGGTGAGGTGTGCTTTCTGGCTGCTCAGGAGGCTGAGATGGGAAAATCAAATGAGCCTGGGAGGTCAAGGCTGCAGTGAGCCACAGTCCTGCCACTGCACTCCAGCCTAGGTGACAGAGCCAAACCCTGATTAAAAAAAAAAAAAATCCCACTTAAGCTACTTATTAGCTATGTGATCCTGGGCAAGTTTCTTAACCTCCATTAGCCTCATTCACCTCCTTAAAATTGCTCTGAGAATTAGATAGTGTACACAAAGCAGTAGGCACACAGTAGGTACTCAGTATACGGAAGCTAATAATAATCTTTTTGTTCATTTCCATATTTTTATAATAAAGCATGTTTATATTATAATGCAAAGATACCAATAAACTCAATTATTACTTTTTTTAATGAAAACTGCCTAAGATCATGTAGTCAGTAAATAAACAGGTCAGAGTCTGAACTCAGGTCCAGCCAAATCCAAGACCATGTTTCTAAATCCTACCATATCCCCATGAAGAAAAGTGAGCCAAGATATAAGGGTCATTGCTATGGATACAATATGGTGGCAGGAACAGGATAGAGAAGAGAGCTCAGAGTGAAAGATTACTGGAGTCCAAGAGACCTTAATGAGGGAGAAAGAGTAAATGGCAGACAGGCCTGAAGCCTGGGCCTGCCAAATGATGCTCCTGAGAAAATGACATTCACTTTGCTAGATCTCTCAACAAATAGGAACGTCTTGGGATCATTTTGTACCACTTACTTGACCCTGGCTGGCACTTAACCAGCAGTCAGTCTCCAGATCAGTCAGAAGGGAAATGGGCAAAAAGGTACAAAAAGCCTATGAGAATAGGGGGCTCATGTTCAGCAGTCTCCTCACTCTGCATGAGTGCCATCTTCTTCACTCAAATTCCCCAGTGGAACCTCAGAGGGCCTGGGAGCTTTGAAAGGACACTGGGTTGTGCCCTGCTTTGTGAATCCCGGACCACTGAGTGTGGAACTGAGACCAGGGCTCCAAGAAAGCAGCCAGTGTTAAGACATCCCACATCCTTCTGTGTTCTGAAAAATGGTTAGACTGCAAAGTCTATATATAGACTTTGCACCTCATATATAGCATCAATCTCCATTCTTCTTCATGCCTCCCATAAGACTTGCAGGTGACTCCCTTGTTTACCTGCCTCTACAATACCCCAATTTTCTTCCATTTCTTTGAGATGTTCCTCATTAATAAAGGTTCTCCCTATGGCAATAACTTCCTTAATTGTCCAGTGCATAGTTTTGGTGCTTTTTGTTTTATCGTCTGAGTTGCACAGGAAGCACCATGAAATCAAAAGAGATGTTCAGACTTCCCTAGCTTAAATGGGCTAAACGTTACCAATGTACATATTTCAGAAATTGAATGCTATACAGGAAGTTCTTAGAGAACGATCAATGTTCTTGCTTTCCACAGTATGTTTTATTAAGATTTCTCAATCTCTTTACTTGATATTCTTTTGGGTGGCTGGGGGTTGTTCAATCAATCCTCCCACCTCAGCCTCCTGAGTACCTGGGATTACAGGTATGCATCGCTGAGCCCAGCTTTACTTGATATTATTGATATATTCTTGGTATATTCTAACTATAAGCTTGCTATGTTCATGGTATATTATGTCAGAATTATTATGTTATGTCTGAAGACTTTTTTCTTCATAAAGGTTGTTTACCAATTTTTATAAATATAATATTCACTCTTCCTTGAAAATAGTGTTATTATGATTATAGATTTTTTGTAAAATCTTTTTATGGATTGATATTTCTTTTGTTTTATATGCCACATAAATCCCATGTATTTTTCAGTTGCATTATTCTTCTGGTAATAAAATTTCATCAAGTCTTCCACTTTTGAAAATGATCAGTAATAAGTTGGCCACTGCCATTTTAAGTCCTTTCTCATCTACACATAGGTTTTTATGTTTTAATCTGATGCTTCCCTGAAAGCATTTAGAATCAGCTCCTAGGCTCAAGTGAGTCACTCACATTTGCCTTCCAAAGTGCTGAGATTACAGGCATGAGGCACCGTACCCAGCCCAATTATCACCTTCTCATATGACTTCGAGTCATGGAGAACTAAAACCTGACGGCCCAGATCCCAATAGAGACTTCTGATTACCTTGTATTTTCTCTTTTCCTCAGGATCTGAGAAGAAGCCCTATGCACTCAAGCCCAATAACTTGATATAAACCTCTAAGGGCTTATCACCACAGCAGAAGGTGCATTGGGCTAGAACTTTCCCCAGAAAAGCTATTGCCTGTGCTAAGAAAGTCTGGCAAAATATTTGGTTCATGCATGCCCCTATATGAAAGATAATCAATATTGTGAACAATGTCACCAACTGACATATGAGCTTAAGAGCTTCAAGATGTATAACCAAAAGATTTTCCCCCCACCAATCTCATGAAAATCACTGAACCTTCAGAATTCAACTCCTGGCTCTTTACTTAAATACAATCTTTTACATTAGTGCTTCTTTTTTCATTTTAGCCATTCCTCTTTTAAGATGCCTGACCTCCAGGACTCTAAAACAACTGACATTTGCCACCACTTCTCAAAAGATACTTCAACTGGTTTTGTAGAAAAAAATACCAACAAAAGCCCTCAAGAGACTATTTCTTAGTCCCTTCTTTATCTCAACCAAGAGGTTTATGATCTGCTGTGAGTTGTTTAGCAATGAATAATATTCACATTAAACAAAAATCAGGATCAGGGGACTGACAATGTTAAACCCTCATGTCTCAGAAACCAGTAATGGGTGGCTGATGGAACTTTCCATCTAGAAGTCTGACCTTAAATCAATCTTCTTGGTCCACAAAGGTGTTTCTTTAAATATGTTAGCATAACTGGGGTGGAAATGTGATTTACAGTCTGAGATTTAGAACATGACTTTTATTCCCCCAGGCATAAACAAACAACCCACTAAAACCCCATGGGTGACATTTTCTGGAAAAGATGTAGCAAGGTAGATGCACAGAATAAAAGAACTATGCTATCAGGGTTCACCTAATGGATGCCATGCTCTGCTGATGACAAGATTGAAATTTGAAGTTAAAATACGAGGCCCTCTGAAGATCCTCACCAAATAATTCCCAGGTACCCAGGCTGTAAACTTTAAGGAGGTATATTCACTCTCAAGTGCCAGCCTGTACTTGCACAACCCTGAGAGTAAGTGCCTCCTTAAATCTGAGCCCTAGCCACCTGCCTTGTTTCACCTTAACCCTGGAACTGACTCAGATATCACTTCTCTGAGAAGGCTTCCATGTTTATTCTCCGCATCATCCCGTCCCCCAATACATATACACACCAGTCTGAATTAGGGGCTACCATGTGCTTACCTCTACCATAGTCCTTATCACATTGTGTTACCATTGCCTATTTAGTTATCCACCTCCTTTAATAGACTATGAGCTCCTTGAAGGCAGGAAGATGTGTTCTATGTCTCTGAATCCCTTGTTTATGTCATTTAGTGGACACGCTACCTATTTACTAATGAACAAAAATACATATAAGGGATCCTGAGAAAAGAGTAACCTGGCCGGGTGCAGTGGTTCACGCCTGTAATCCCAGCACTTTGGGAGGCCAGGGTAGGCGGATTACCTGAGGTCAGGAGTTCAAGACCAGCCGGGCCAACATGGTGAAACCCAGTCTCTACTAAAACTACAAAAAATAGCCGGGCATGTATTTACGCATGCCTGTAATCCCAGCTACTCGGGAGGCCGAGGCAGGAGAATCTCTTGAACCCGGGAGGCGGAGGTTGCAGTGAGTCGAGATCACGCCACTGCACTCCAGCCTGGGTGACAAGAGTGAGACTCTATCACAAAAAAAAAAAAAAAAAAAAAAAAAAAAAGTAAGCATATTCTCTTAAGCCTATGTGGCAAACAGGCCTCTTTCTAGCTCATGGTGCTATGGTGACATTGCAAGTCATTTGCCTATGCCAAAACTTGTATGATTGGGAAGTCCATGAGGACAAGCTTTATAGCAGATGCTCAATAAAATGTTATTGAATGAATCAATTGGGCCTTAGGAGATTCAGGCTCTAATAGTAAATCTGGTACTATGTAGCTGTGTGGTACCTTCCACAATCACATCCCTACCTCTGGATCTCAGTTTCTCCATCTGTTGAATTGAGGGATAAACTTGCTACTATTCTGTCTCTCTTTCTCTCATTAGTCTATATAAAGTGCTTACAATGACATCTGCTATTTGGGAGCACTCTAAAAGTGTCTGTTTCTCTCGTTTAATCTACAAATCCCATTTTTCAAGCAAATTCTTACATGAAAGCCCAATATAAACCGCTGTTTCATTTGATCATGAAAGACGGGAGACACTGAGGATCCAAGGAGCACAGTTTGGAAAAGCTTGAGATCTGTCCTGGGGTTACAAAATGCTCGCTGATGTTATAAAGACTATGTAAAAATCAAGGCCCTGGGCTCCGCTATAGAAATTCTGATTCTTTAGGTATAAGGTAGGTCCTGTGACAGGATAAACGAGATCCTCAGGTGACTCGGATATGAAGTTATACGAGAAATAATGAACTAAATACTATTTAAGGTCCCTGCCAACATGGACATTTTACAATCCTATATTTTCCTTTGGTTAATTTGGGAAATATAATTTCAAACCAACACTGTTTTCCACAAATTACCTTCTATAGTGTTCCTAGTAGAATCAATAACAATGAATTATTGAGCACCAACTATATGCCAGACACTGAGCTAAATGATTTACAGACACTCTCTGATATAAGTATTATCTGATTTGCTCCTCATGACCTTGTGAGGTGGATTATACTCCCCCACTATACTGATGTGGAAAACAGATGCTCAACAAGCTCAATTAATGTTACCAAGATCCCATAGCTAACATATAAAACTCAAATCTAAGCAGACACAAGACTTCTTAGACACCTGGGATTTCCTTTGGTTACAGAGACATAGAGGTAAAGACAAGGCAATGCCAAGAAGGCATAGATGTCTAACTCTAAAGCAGTGAAAAAAGTCACGGTCAGATCAATGACACATGGCCTCCCACTTGTCCCTGTTAGACATAAACTATTCAGGGTAAGTCCTAGAGCTGATCGTCAGGGGGAGGAACTCTTCAGAATCCTCAGGCTTTCTCCATGAGCTCTAGGAAGCACTGTCATTTCTGCTAAATAACGAGTACCTACAATGCTACTGAGTGACCTTTTGGAGCCAATAATGAAAAATTTTTAATGAGAAGGCCCTCTGCACATATAATGTGAAATCCAAAAGGGTATCACAATTCCATCCAAAGTGTGCTTTAAGCAATTTTTTTTTCCAGTGAAACAAGATGTATTGACTCAGGGCCAGCAGTATTGGCAATAGGAGGGCATGGCACACTCTGCGTTCTCAGCTTCCAAAGCAACTGCTCTTTCCCAACAATAGCCTCCCAGTAGGGTCCCCAGTATTTTTTTCTCGAAGCCTCCAGAGAGCCTCAGCCTCAGCTGTTGGAGTACTGGCTCTTCCTCTCACTACCACCACAATTCCCAGCTTTCAAAATGAGATTCAACAAGGACAATGACCATGACAGGCCAATGAATTTTCAAAACCTCTCTTTGGTCCTCAATAATGAAAGTCAGTTCATTAAGTCAGCATCCTTAAAAGCAGTGTTCAAATGATAAGTAGGAGCTTCTGAAATTGGCAGGCAAATGATCACTGAGTTAAAGAGTTATTATAAATCATACATTAAGAAGCAAAAAGGCCGGGCACTATGGCTCATGCCTGTAATCTCAACACTTTGGGAGGCCAAGATGGGTTGGATCACTTGAGGTCAGGTGTTCGAGACCAGCCTGGCCAACGTGGTGAAACCGTGTATCTATTAAAAATACAAAAATTAGCCAGGCATCATGGCGGGTGCCTGTAATCCCAGCTACTCGGGAGGCTCAGGCAGGAGAATCACTTGAACCCGGGAGGCAGAGGTTGCAGTGAGCCCACTGATCTCCAGCCTGGGGAACAGAGCAAGACTCCATCTTAAAAAAAAAAAAAAAAAAAAAAGAAGCAAAAGACTGGGTGTGGTAGCTGATGCCTGTAATCACAGAGCTTTGGGAGACCAAGGTGGTGGGAGGATAGCTTGAGCCCAGGAGTTCAAGACCAGTCTGGGTAAACAGAGCAAGACCCTGTCTTTCTTTCTTTTTTTAAAAAAGCAGCAAAGATGTCATAATCAGCAGCTCTGATGGAGCCCCACAGACCCCCACAGGAACCTGGCATCACCAAGGAGTCATTTTTCTTTTGTTTATAAGTCATTTTGCCCAGGCTCACACACCCTTTTTCCTGCATAGCACTCATTGACATTTGCAGTGAGGTTCATGGGATTAAGAGAATTAAGGCTCAAAGTTCAACATAAAGGAAGACATGAGAAAAGTCTCAGATCTGTTGGTGGCTTTGGTATCAATAGGCACCTGTTCAAAATCAGACCCTTATACCAGAAAAAGGAGCCATTTATATAATTTCATGTACCATGTATCTCCCAATCTTCCAACTGATAGGCAAGTAGCAGTTATTTTTAAAAAGAAGTACAAAAATATCTTATATTAATAATAATGTTGAAATACCTAACATTCATTTAGACACTATGCACACTTGGCATTATCTCATCCCCATTTTACAAGATAAGAAAATTTAACACTTAGAGAGGTGAAGTTACTTGCCAAGGTTACAGAGCTATTAAGATGTAGAGGTAGAGTTCAAACTTGGGTTACTTGATTCCAGAGCCCATAATGTTAACTTTTAAATAGTCATGCACTTGGACCTGGATAGATTTACTGAAGTAAAATAAAATGGAGTGAATAAGAAAATAATACAAATACAAATATCTGACTCACTAGTTACACAGTCACATTTAACCAAAATGGTCACCAATCTAAATCTAAAAAATGTTCATTGAAATATTACTTATAATAGTGAAAAATGGAAATAAGCTATATTTCCAAGAATAGCTAAATATTAAATGAAGTATAGCTCTCATAATAATGAAATTTGAATGTATCCATTACTCATTCATTTACCAACATTTCATTGAACATCTACTGTATGCCAGGCACTCCTTTATGTGCTGGGAAAACAGTAGTGAACAAAACAAGGCCATACAAACCACCCATAAAACTTGTGAAAAATCTTAAATTACATGGGAAAATGCTTATAATAAAATATTTGGTTAGAAAGATAATATTATATATTTAATATGAACTACATTGCATACAAAGAAAACAGATATATGTAGAGAAAAAGACTTAAAGGATAATATAAAAGTATGTCCAAGATACTATTTCTGTGCAGGAATATCTTCCTATCATAAGTAACTTATACTTTTATATATTATTAAAATTGACTATAATAGGCATTTATTAATAATAATACATTTTCACATTTTAGTTCCAGGGCTAATAAATATAACTGTGTTACTAACTTGTTCCAGTAACAATAGATCATTCATAATAGCTCTTTGGTTCAGTGTTCTCATCTAGCAAATGCTCTACACTAACCCTTTAACTCAGGAATCAGCAAACTTTTTCTTAAATGGCCAGAAGATAACGATTTTAGGCTTTGAGGACCATCCAGTGGTGGTCACTAACTACTCAGTGCTATTCTTGTGCCACAAAAATACCCATAGAAAACGCTTAAATAAATGAGTATGGGTATGTTCCAATAAAACTTTATTTACAAAAGCAGGTGGTGAGCTGGAATAGGCCCAGGGGTTTGTTAACCTCTCCTCTTTACCTTCATAACAAATAATACAAACGCAAACTTCTTTTGACTTCTACTATTCAACCTCCTCTTTTTAACATCTTTGATAGATATTAACCCCATTTTAACAGAGGACAAGATGAGACTCAGAGACAGAAATATCTTCTCCAAGATTATACAACTAATAGAGTGAGTTGTTAAATCCAATTCCCAAGAGAGATGCTAAGCAACCTGTTCCTGATAAGTTGTAGACACACAAATGCTAATTTAACACTTTCTAGGGAAATTTGATTCCTTAGAAGAATCTAACTCCAACCATTTTGGGAAATAAACCAAAAAAGTCCCCCTTTTAATATATCCTTTAGGAAAATAACTATGCTTTAAAGAAAAGGTCGCTTGCAGACTGTCTGAGTCAAAAATCTCAGTAGAAGTTTAAGGGTATCTTTTGATTGCTGTCGTGTGAGGAGGAAATGGGACTGGCAGGGAAAGTTTCCTGATCCTTCCTAATCAACCTCCCAGGGCCTTGGCATTGGACCACAGTGGATGAAGATGTCCAAGTGCTCTGTATCCACAAATCAAAAAGACTACATGGTCTCAGGGCTGCCTCAACAGGTATATGACCACATGTAGCTGAAGACTTACCGATGTTAATTTCATCATCAGTCAGAGTGTCTCCAATGAAATCAAACTGAAATGACTGCAGCGTCTGGGAAAATTTCTGAACAGCAGAAGAATAATCTGCAAAGGAAGGGTAACAAGAGAAATGTTCAACAATGCTATGCTTTGATCTATTTCCTCATCTCTATAAGAGCAGATAAAAGAAAACCAAAGGTAAGTGCTCTGAGCAGGTTGCAACTAGCATTTAATGAAATAAAACAAAAGATTAGATATGCAGTAGAAGAAAGTTTGAACAACTAAAATCACAAGAAGAAAGGATGGGGCATCTCAGTAAAGTCCTTAAAAGTTACGGGACATGTTTTTATCCTCAACACCTCTCCTCTCTGACCTGTTCCACTCAAAGCATGGAAGACATGAAACTACTTAGATATACTCTTAAGAGGGTCTCCTTACACATTTCCTAAACCCCTATTATGGGCAATACACTAGATGCTTTCCATTTTATACGTGTGGAGTTCAAAGTCCCAGAGCTTGGTGGCAAAGCTGGAAATAGAAGCCAGGTGGTCTGTCTGCTTCTCCAGAGCCCTATCCATGATGATACAGGTACCACCTGGACATTTTACATGTTAACCAGATGACAGCCTGGGTTAGGATGCTATCTGGAAGACGAAGACTCCTTAACTTGTTCACAGAGTATTTATCAAGAGACCTGACCTAAGAAAGCAACGAATGAAAACAATCAGGGTGACATGGCCAAACAAATGCTTTTATTTTTGGTCAATGATTTTGAATTTTAGAATATATTTTAGTGTATAAGTTGGTATAAAATTAAATCATGTTTAGCTATACTTTTGAGAAGTTATCTTTATTGAGATTTTTTAAATATGCCCCCACCAAGAGGTCCAACCCAACTTTTGACCCTTGTTGCACTCCAAGAGTGGTTCTAAGGCCAGCAGCATCATCATCGCCTGGGAGGTGGAAGGAAATGCACATTGCCAAGCCCTACCCTGGACTTAACAAATCAGAAATTACATTTTTATCCAAGCCCCAGGGCATTCATATACTCCTTAACTTTGAGGCACACTGATCTTACCAACAAAGCTAACCTGTTAGACCATGTTCTAGGAAAGCTTAAGCTTGTTGGTTATTTTTGGCTCTCTTTTCCGATTTCTTCTTTCTCTCCCTAGTTTCATCATCCTCCTCCATCCTGCATTTTCAAACCTATCATATGCATGGACTTACTGAGCCTGAGTATTTGCTCTCAGACCAAGGAAAATGGAGACAAGGCAAGCAACCACACTGAGTCCTTTTAATGAAAAGCTGACATCGTTAAGCAAAAACACAATAAAACAAGTTCAAGCATTTGGCTGAAACAAATTATAAGCCAAAAATTTTATTAGCATTTTGTCTTTGTCTCATTTTCAGAAATACTTATTATCAGAATTTTAAGTCTTAACTCTTTGAACGAATCACTGAAAATAGTAATAATAACAATAATAATGACATTTTTACACAGACCAGGTTAGCATGGCTTCTCACAATTTTGACAATCTAGAATAACATTTTCCACTACAAATCTAAGCCACATGAATGTGACAAGTGCATGCACACCCTTCAAATCCTTTCACAGTACATCAGCAACGAGAACACAAAACTGGCTCCATGTCTGGAAAACAATTTATTTTTTCTGCTCTCCTTGGCTAACAGTAAAAAAGGGCAGGCCCAGAATTCCCCATCTGCTCTCTGTTATGCTCAGGGAAATTAAATAAAAACATTTATTGTGTTGCTCTTCCACACCTACTAGTATTTCCTAAATATTATTTGAGCCAAGGAAGGAACAGTTATTAATTATTCCTCTTCTTAAAATTATCTCAAAATTTCAGAAACCACAAATACTATAATATTCAACATTTATAGTATTTTGAAAATAAAGGCATGGAATAAGGAAGAAGTTGCATCTAGTCTCCCTTTTCATTATTTGTACCTATCTCTTCTTTTCTCCAGACTCTGGGCCTTTAAAACACTATATCTACAAAAGGCCTTGAAATTTTATGAGGAGCTTTCCACAAACATTTCCATTTACTGCTCCCAACTACATAAAAGTAGGAAATACTGTCCTCACCTTAGAATCAAATGAACAAAAAATGAAACAATGCACACAAATTCCATTCAAAAATATGAACAAGCAGCCGGGTGTGGTGGCTCACGCCTGTAATCCCAGTACTTTGGGACACTGAGGCGGGCAGATCACCTGAGGTCAGGAGTTCGAGACCAGCTTGGCCAACTTGGTGAAATCCCATCTTTACTAAAAATACAAAAATTAGCCAGCTGTGGTGGTGGGCTTCTGTAGTCCCAGCTACTTGGGGGGTTGAGACAGGAGAATCACTTGAACCTGGGAGGTGGAGGTTGCAGCGAGCCGAGATCATGCCACTGAACTCCAGCCTGGGTGCCAGAGCGAGACTCCATCTCAAAAAAAAAAAAAAAAAAAAAAGAACAAGCATAAATTCACAGCTCTTCTTGAAACAAGGTCCAAGTTCCCATACATTTGTCCCTTGTGCTGAGAAAAGTCCTGGAAAAGACTCATATATTTTAGATAAACAAGTGAAGTGGATGACTTCTAGACTACAAAGAATCCATAGATAACCTAGAAATGCTTGTCGTGTGTGACACATTTAATTCTTCATCATTTTAAATTCACTACATCACTCCAAACAATGTGAACTCATCATTTTATCTTCCCCATCCCCGTCCATTCTGCCACTATGTCAATATTTTTCAGTCCAGCTTTCAGAGTCCTCTCTCCATCACCTTATTTATGTATGTGTCTTCCACAATGTCTTTACTTCACCTTTCCCTTACACATTATAGAATGTAGTTGGATAGTGCTTTTTAGGCACTTTGAACTTTAAGGGAATGAGACAGAATATGAACAAGATTGATTAATTAGTGTAGACACCTGTTTTTCATCACAATACTTTTCGAGAGTTTCATGAAAATAGAATCATATAAAATAGACTCCTTTGTATCGGACTCATTTAGGTCTGCACAATGTTTTAAAATTCATCCACGTTATCGCTTGTATCAGTAATTTTTGTTTTTGTTGCTAAGTAACACTCCATTATGTAAATATACCACAATGTGTTTATTTATCATTTCTTCATGGACATCAGTGTTTGTTTCAGTTTTTCACCATTGTGAATAAAGTTTCAAAGAAAATTCATGCACAAGCCTCTTCAGGGCGTATGTTTTCATTTCTCCAATGCATGGGTTACATGGTAAATTGGTAAGTATACATAACCCGAGTGCCACATTTAGCTAAAAATAAATCAAGAGCCAGGCGCAGTAGCTCATGCCTATAATTAAGCACTTTGGGAGGCCAACGCGGGCAGATTACTTGAGGTCAGGAGTTCGAAACCAGACTGGCCAACATGGTGAAACCCCATCTCTACTAAAAATACAAAAATTAGCCAGGCATGGTGGCATGCACCTGTAGTCCCAGCTACTTGGGAGGCTGAAGCAGGAGAACCACTTGAACCCGAGAGGCAGAGATTTCAGTGAGCTGAGATCCTGCCACTGCACTCCAGCCTGGGCAACACAAAGAGACTCTATCTCAAAAAAAAAAAGAAAAAAGAAAAAAAAGAAATTTAAAAAGCAATCACGACGGGTTGCAGTGGCTCATGCCTTTAATCTCAGAGCTTTGGGAGGCCAAGGAAGGAGGATTGCTTGAGGTCAGGAGTTTGAGATCAGCCTGGGCAATATAGTGAAACCCTGTCTCCACACAAAAAAATTTTCTTTAAATTAGCTATGTGTGGTGGTGCAAGCCTGTAGTCCTAGCTACTTGAGAGGCTGAGGCGAGAGGACTGATTGAGCCCAGGAGTTCAAGGCTACACTGAGCTGTGATCATGCTATTGCACTCCTGTCTAGGTGAGAGTGAGACCCTGTATCTTAAAAATATAAAAATTTTAAAAAAGAAAGCAATCACATTTGCAATAGCTACAAAAAAATAAAATACCTAGGAATAAATTTGACCAAGGAAGTAAAAGATCTACACATGGAAAACTATAAAACACTGAAGAAGGAAAGTGAATAGGATGCACAAAAATAAGGAAAAGACATCCGATGTTCAATAATTTTAGAAGTTAATATTGTTAAAATGAACACACTACCCAAAACAATCTATACTTCAGTGCAATCCCTAACAAAATGCAAAGGGCATTCTTCACAGAAATATCAAAACAAATGCTACAATTTATCTGGAATCACAAAAGACCCCAAAAGCAGTATATCAAAGAGATATCTGCATCATTTTTATTGCAGCACCTATTCACAATGCCAAAATATGGAATCGACCTAAGTGTTCATCAATATATAAATGAGTAAAGAAAATGGGCCAGGCACAGTGGCTCACGCCTGTAATCCCAGCACTTTGGGAGGCCAAGACGGGTGGATCACTTAAGGTCAGGAGTTTGAGACCAGCCTGACCAACATGGTAAAACTCCATCTCTACTAAAAAAATACAAAATTAGCCAGGTGTGGTGGTGCATGCCTGTAATCCCAGCTACTTGAGAGGCTGAGGCAGGAGGATCGCTTGAACCCAGGAGGCGGAGGTTGCAGAGAGCCGAGATCACGCCATTGCACTCCAGCCTGAACAACAAAAGTGAAATTTCATCTCAAAAAAAAAAAAGAAAGAAAGAAAATGTAATATATATACACAGTGAAATATTATTCAGCAATTAAAAAGCATGAATCCTGGCATTCATGGCAACACGGATGAGCCTTGAAGACATTATGTTAACTAAAATAAGCCAGGGACAAGAAAGATAAATACCACATGCTCTTACTCGTATGTGAGAGCTAAAAAAGTTGATCTCATAGAAGTAGAGAATAGAGTAGTGGTTACTAGAGGCTTGGAAGGGTAGGGAGGAGCAGGGGATAAAGAGGAGTTGGTTAGGCCTGTCTCAAAGAAACAAAGAAGAGTTGGTTAATGTATACAAAATTATGGCTAGACAGAAGAAAAAGTTCCACTTTCTATTGCAATGCAGTGTGACTATAGTTAACAATATTTTATTGTATACATTCAAATAGTTAGAAAACAGGATTTTGAATGTTGCCCAGACAAAGAAATGATAAATATTTTAGGTCATGCTAATTACTCTGATTTGATCATTACACATTATATACACATATTGAAATATCACACTGTATCCCATAAATACATACAAATATGTATCAAATAAAAATGTTTATCAATCTTTTATAAAATAAATGACCATTTTTTTTCAAACATGATTATACCATTTTGCATTCTGTAGGATAATTTCAGATGATCCACATACTTGCCAACACCTGGTTATTTATTTATTTATTTTCATTTTAGTCATTCTAATGGGTGTGTAATAGTATCTCACTAGTTTTAATTTGCATTTTTCTGGTGATTAATGATATAAATGTCATATATTTATTATTTGCGTATCTTTTTTTCAAGAAGGGTCTGTTCAAATCTCTTGCCCATTTTATAATTGAGTTGTCTTATGACTAAACTATAAGATTTCTTTATGTATTCTGGAAACGAGTCTTTTGCCAGATAAATGTATTGCGAATATTCTTTAAATTAACAAAGGGCTTAGCATTCTTTAAATTAACAAAGGGCTTAGCAATCTGAATACTGTTTATTTAATTTTAAAAAGACTGAATCTCTATAAGAACAGTGACCTTTTTGGTATATTAAGGTATGCTAATCAAAGCACCATCTCCATCTCTGCAGTAACACTGAAAACCCACAGTCATACAGCTACAACAGCTGTGAAAATCAACAGCTTAGCAGCCACTAGAGAAGGCAGAATGTGGTTGAAGTTTCACAAGGCCCTACCCCCAGAAAATTGCCATCCGGTTTAATATGTCCTATAAGCTCTATACTCAAAATTTGTCTTAGTTTGTTCTGACTTTAAGTTCATTCTGTGAAAACAACACTGCTATTGGGGAATTTGTCAAAAACAATCATCTGAAATAGTTTAAGATTATGGTGACCTGAAGCAGTGTGACAAGCTGAAATTAACAAGAGGCTGACCAAAACACTTGGTAAAAAAAAATAATAATAATTAATTAAATAAAATCAAGACACGCCAGGCTTGGTGGCTCATTCCTATAATCCCAGCACTTTGGGAGGCTGAGGCTGGAGGATGGCTTGAGCCCAAGAGTTCGAGACTAGCCTGAGTAACATAGTGAGAACCCCATCTCTAGAAAAAATAAAAATAAAAAATAGCCGGGTGACGTAGTGTATGCCTGTGGTCAAAGCTACTCAGGAGGCTGAAGTGGCAAGAGGTCGAGACTGTAGCGAGCAGTGATCATACCACTGCACTGAAGCCTGAGTAACAGAGAGAGACCCCATCTCAAAATAATAATCATAATAATTTTTAATGGACAATGGCCTGCCCATGGGGGCTTTGAAAAGTTGCAATGTAAAATCTAGAAAGACATGGGTCATAAAAAAGAATATGTGCATGTTCCAGGCTATTCATAGGCCCATGAAAGACTTAAGAAGTTCCTAATCTCTCACCTCTTGCTTAGCCTTGAGGTTCTGCACAAGCAGGAAGAGAAACATAAGGCATAATGGTCATCTGACTAGGTGAATGTCGTTGAAAGCATATCCCAATTCACACAATGACCAGCAGCAAAAGCTGGAAGGCTATTGGTTCAAAGTATTTAAATTAAATCATTGTTCAATCATTAGCTGCCCACTAAGCAAACCTACCAGAGGCTTCAGTGGCTTCTAACAACAAAGAATACACACTTTATAGAATTAGTCCAAAAAGTCAATAAATAAGCATACAATAACAAACAACCACCCTGGGGAAGGGAAAAATCTAATTTCCAGAGTTGCCACATGATTTTATATGTTCACTTTTCAACAAAAAATTATGAGACAGACTAAGACACAGGAAACAATAGTCCATGCTCAACGGGACACCATGCCTAAGAACTAAGGAAAGACTGAGAACAATGTCTCACCAAAGAGAAAATATCAATAAAACAATGGAAATAATTTTGAAAGAACCAATTAAAACATACAGTGGTGAGGGAGCTGCTGAATAAATTCTTCCACTCTTCAGTCCCCAGCTGGATAGTTCTCAGTCATATTTCATAAGGCCCTTCAGAGGCTACAGCATGATTAAACTAGTTGTCTGAGCATTGGCCAACTCAATAATGCATCCAAATATTGGCTTTTCCTCCTTTCCCATTTCACTTCTTTTCCACTCCCTGCATTGATCATTTCCTTTGTCCCTCACTCTTGCTTCCACTTAAACTACCTCTGCTCCCAAGCCTCTGCATCAAGCTCTCTCTGCTTTTAGGGGGAAGCCAGGTAAAGATAATGAGCTCTTCATTACTGGAGCTGACTACTACTCGTTACTGGAGCAAATGTTAGAAAAAGATTCTAGGCATTAGATTATAACAAACTTTATCGAAAGATTGGGGAGGAATCAGTAACTAACTGGAATGGGAAGTTGGGAGATACAAAGAAGGGGAGCAAGAATGAAGGAGAAGGAAAATACATGAGCTGCTTCAGAGAAAAGAAAAGCTTTTCTTATCCATAATCTCAAAATCTAAAATAATGTCCAGTATAAAGTAGGTCGTCAATGTTAGCCAAATGAATGTATGACTTTAAAAGAGTAAATCAACTTTTTAATTTCTAAAGGTCTAATTTAATAGATGGAAGCTGTCCGAAAAATTAAATCTACTTTTTCCCCAAATTCATCTTCTTTTTTTGAAACAGGGTCTCATTGTGTCACCCAGGCTGGAGTGCAGTGGCATGATTGCAGCTCACTGCAGCCTTGACCTCCCGGGCTCAAGTGATCCTCCCACCTCAGCCTCCCACATAGCTAAGACTACAAACACACACCACTCCACCCAGCTAATTTCTAAAATTTTTTGTAGAGACAGACCCTTGCTTTGTTTCCCAGGTTGGTCTTGAAGTCCTGGCTTCAAGTGATCCTCCCACTTTGGCCACCCAAAGTGATGGGATTACAGGTATGAGCCACTGCACCCAGCCCCAAAATCCACTTTAATATATAAGCAGTTTACTACCATTTCAGTGGTCCCAGGAATATTAAATAAATGTTGCAAAAATTTAGCACAGCTTACAGTTTCATTACTATAGCTGTATTACATTAGGAATTTATAGAGTGGGTCAGATGTGGTGGCTCACGCCTGTAATCCCAGCACTTTGGGAAGCTGAGGCATGCGGATTGCCTGAAGCTCAGGAGTTCAAGAGCAGCCTAGGCAACATTGTGAGACCCTGTCTCTACCAAAAAAAAAATAATAATAATAATAATAGCCGAGCATGGTGGTGTGCACCTGTAGTCCCAGCTACTCAGGAGGCTGAGGCAGGAGAATTGCTTGAGCCCGGGAGGCAGAGGTTGCAGTGAGGTGAGATCACATGCCATTGCACTTCAGCCTGGGTGACAGAGCGAGACCCTATGTCAACAAAAAAAAAAAAAAAGGAATTTATAGCGAATGGATATACGAAACTCCATGTGAATTGTGCCAGTAATCCATTATGCCATAAAAGCTGCATAAGGATAACCTATAGAAAATTGTTCTGAGATATTAGTGCCAAAGGTACTGATCAACCCAGGGAGTGGAAAAAGGGTGTATCAAGAAAAGGAAATAATGAAGCTCAAGTCCTAATTAGTTTCCACTTATAGAGGAGACAAACTACAATGCAACATGTATAGAACAGGAAAACATGTATAAAACGTTATCTACAAGTACAGGTATATATATTTACCTGTATTGTGTATAACTCCATTTGCACCTAGTTTTTAACTGGGAAGAAACTTAGGTAGCTAAGTTTCAATATGACTCAAAACTTCATGGATGCAACTCTAATTCTAAAGCAGATTACACAATAAAAATGCCCGAGGGATTCCTAGGCTTTGTGGTTTTGACTACTTTCAGTTTGAAATAAAAAATGTTCTCTTAACACATGCATCCCTTTATACTTATGAATTTATTAGTTTCAATGACTCATCACATTACCACCTGGTAAGGTTATGTGCTTTTCCAAAGCAAAATGAGGTAGTGGAAATATCACTAAGACAGGAGTTTTAGTCTTGCCTCTGGAACAAATCAGTTTCATGAGTTTGGGCAAGTTAACTTGCCTCCCTGGGCCTCAATTAATCAAAAACAAAAAAATGCTACTACTTACCAGTTACTGTGGCTTCCCTTTAGTTCCTACAGTTGTGAAAGAAACATAATATCATATACCTCATTGGCTTGTGGGGGGATTAAAATAAGATGTCATGGTGAAGTTCTTTCACAAAAAATAAATTGGCTGGGTGCGGCAGTGGCTAACGCCTGTAATCCCAGCACTTTGGGAGGCTGAGGCAGGCAGATCACTTGAGCTCAGGAGTTCGAGACCAGCCTGGCCAACATGGTGAAACCCCGTCTCTACCAAAAATACAAAAAATCAGGCAGGCGTGGTGGTGTGTGCCTGTGGTTCTAGCTACTCAGGAGGCTAAGATGGGAGGATCACTTGAGCTCAGGAGTCAGAGGTTGCAGTGAGCTGAGACTGTGCCACTGCACTGCAGCCTGGGTGACAGAGTGAGACCCCATCTCACGAAAAGAAAAAAGAAAAGAAAAGAAAAGAAAAAAGAAAAGAAAATAAATCACTTTCTAAATGTAGTTATTTTTATTTTAAAATTTGGCTAACGTTGCTATTAACTAGACTGATATGAACTAATGAGGATATACGCAGTTAGCCTATAAATTTGAAGTGAAACTAGACTAGGACAGTGGTTCTCGCACTTGTTTTTTTGTTTTTTGAGACAGGGTCTAGCTCGGATGCCCAGGCTGGAGTGCAGTGGCATGATCTCAGCTCACTGCAGCCTCAACCTCCTGGGCTCAAGTGATCCTCCCACGTCAGCCTCCTGAGTGGCTGGGACTACAGCTGTGCGCCATGACACCTGGCTATTTATTTTTTTATTTTTTTCTTGTAGAGACAGGGTCACACTATATTGAGGAGGCCGATCTCAAACTCCTGTGCTCAAGCAATCTTCCTGTCTTGGCCTCCCAAAGTGTTGGGATTACAAGTGTGAGCCACTGCGCCCAGCCTGGTTCTTGCATTTTTAAAGGGTTATAGACCCCTTTGAGAATATAAAAAATACTTTCTTCCCAGAAAGATATATGTAACATAAACTTCTGTACAATCTCTACAGTTCCAGATGCCCTAAGAAACCCATGTTAAGAACCAATAAACAAGATAATCCTCAAGGTCTCTTCTCTTTAACACTCTTGAGTATATGTTTTTCCTTTTTAAAATGAGTAAATGAAGTAGCTACTCTATAAATCAGATTGATTTAACCAAAATATCTTCCTCCTAATCCAAATACATAAAAATACTGGGTAAAAGGGCAACAAACATGTGTGTATTTTTAAAATACATAGCAAACTGAGAAAGCAAGAAAAAGAAGCTCCCAAGTACTAGAAATGAAGAACAAATTCAAAGCCATAACAGAGAGCAGCAGCTGAGGCAGTAGAGAGATTAGAACTAGATATACTCAGTTCTCATTATTTACGGATTCTATATTTGCAAATTTGCCTAGTCAATAAAATGTACTTGCAACACCAAAATCAATACTTACGACATTTTGCCCACTCATTCATGGACATGCAAATAGCTATGAAAAATGTGAGTCACCAATATATACATTCTGAGCTTGAAAAGGGGGATACTGCCTTCTTGTTTCAGCTCTCATACTATAAAACAATTGTCCTTTTCCTGGTCTATTTAGTGCCACATTTGTCACATTTTTCTACTTCTTGTTGATGGGTTAGCTGTTTAACATGGCCCCTTAGCATAGTGCTGAAGTACTATCTGGTGGTCCTAAAGGAAAGAAGGCTGAGACATCCTTACAGAGAAAACAAGTAGGTGCTAGATAAGCTTCGTTCAGCCACAGCTTCTAGTGCTGTTAGCCATGAATTCAATGTTAATGAATCAACTATATATATGATAAAATATGGGGTCTTTAAACAGAAACCAGGTAAAACAAGTTTATGTATTGATGGCTGCTGAAAACGTGGAGAGGCTCACAGGTACCTAACCCTGTATTTCCTCTAGGAGAAATGGTTCAGTATTCACTAACTAAATGTTTACATTGACTTTACAGAGCATAACTACCATGAATAACAAGAATTGACTATATGTGGTAGTTGGAATTTTATCAGCAGGCAAAGGGACATTACTTAGGAGCTGGGAGCTTGGAATGAGGTCCCTTCATGAGGTCTACTGGCATATGACACTGTAGGAATACACTAGAGAGTCTCCCATTGTGGTAAAATAAAGTTATCCAGAACCACAAGCTTTTGCTAATTAGAGTTCAAGTTTATACTGCTCACAAAGGTTTCTAAAAGTTAATTTTAAAACTAATCCTGAACCAGCACCACGCAAGCTCTAAGAAGAGGAAAAAAAAAATGCCCCATAAGAACACCTCTATAACCCAGGGCACATAAGGGAATCCCAAAGAAACAACTGCCACCCAGAACTTCACAGTTGAAAATTATAAACCACACTAGGAAACCAATATGAGAGCCAGGCAGCAGTCAAGGCAAATAAGTGGGTTCTCTTCTGTAAGATCTAGGATTATATTACACTCCAAAAAGTAATTTTTAAATATGAATAATTTAAATATTCAAAAAAATAGTAAAAATTAGAATCCATATACCAGTCACAGATTATCTCAAAAGAAACAAGAATCAGAATGACAGCCATTTGCTCAACAACAACACTGCCAAAAAATGGATTATTAGTTTTTACTTGCTAAGAGAAAATAACCATCAACATACTAGTAGCAAACTAGAAAACAGATCTGAAGAAATCATCCAGAGCACAGCACAGGGAGAAAAACAGCTGCAAAATATAAAAGAAAAAATAGAAGATAAGGCTAGGAAAAGAGGCACTGATAGGAAAACCCAAATAAGGGAATAAAAGGCATGGGGGAGGCCAGGTGCCATGGCTCATGCCTGTAATTCCAGCACTGTGAGAGGCCAAGGCAAGCAGACTGCTTGAAACCAAGAGTTCGAGACCAGCCTGGGCAACATTGTGAGAAGTTGTCTCTACCCCTTCAAAAAAAAAATTATTTAAAATCACCAGGAATGGTGGTGCATGCCTGTAGTCCCCAGCTAAGGTGGTTGGAGGGAAGTTGAGGCTGGAGGATGGCTTCAGCCTGGGAGGTCAAGGCTTGCAGTAAGCTATGATAGTGCCACAGCACTCCAGGCTAGGCAACAGAGCAAGACCCTGTCCCCGCTCCCAAAAAAGAAAGAAAAAGAACAAAATGGGAATATCAAACAAAATGGATAATATATATTTAAAAGGGCAATTCACGTAGAATACACAGCAATTACAAACATACAAGCAACAAACATGAAATCCCCAGAATACATGAAGCAAAGGTATGTCTTTGTTTGTTTGTTTGTTTTGAGATGGAGTCTCGCTCTGTCACCCAGGCTGGAGTGCAGTGATGCAATCTGGGCTCACTGCAACCTCCGCCTCCTGGGTTTAATCGATTCTCCTGCCTCAGCCTCCCGAGTAACTGGGATTATAAGCACCCGCCATCGCACCTGGCTCATTTTTGTATTTTTAGTAGAGACGGGGTTTCACCATGTTGACCAAGCTGGTCTCGAGCTCCTGACCTCAAGTGATGCGCCCACCTCGGCCTCCCAAAGTGTTGGGATTACAGGCGTGAGCCACCGTGCCTAGCTGGTGAAGCAAACACTGATAAAACCGAAGGAAGAAACAGATAGTTATACTATAATAGATACAATAATGGATGAAACAACCAGACAGAAGATCAGTAAGGAATTTGTGTACTTGAACAACAATATAAGCCAACTGGAACAAACAGATATATAAAGGATACTCCATCCCACAACAATAAAACACACATTTTTTGAAATGCACATGAAAATTTCTCCAGGACAGACAACATGTTAGGCCACAAAACAAATGTTAATACATTTTAAAAGCTTAAAGTCATGCAAAATATTTTTTCTGATAAAAATGAAATTAAACTAGAAATTAATAATATAAGAAAACAGGAAAATTCACAAACACATGAAATTATATTCTATTTTTTTTTTTTTTTTTGAGACAGGGTCTCATTCTGTTGCCCCAGCTGGAGTATACTGGCACAATCTCAGCTCACTGCAGCCTCAAGCAATCCTCCCACCTCAGCCTCCCAAGTAGCTGGGACTACTGGCATGTACCACTAGGCTCGGCTAATTTTTTTTTTTTTTTTTTTTTTTTGTAGAGACGGGTTCCCACTATGTTGCCCAGACTGGTCTGAAACTCTTGAGCTCAAGCAATCCCACATGCCTCGGCCTTCCAAAATGCTGGGATTACAGGTGTGAACCTGTGCTCCCGGCCAATAACTCACTCTTAAACAACCAATAAGTCAAAGAAGAAATCACAAGATAAAATAGCAAGTATCTTGAGATAAATGAAACCAAAAACACAACATAATTTTCAAGACGTATGGCATGCAGTAAAAGCAGTGCTGAAAGGGAGATTTATAGCTGTAAATGCTTACATTAAAAATGAAGAAATATCTTGAATCAGTAATCTAACTTTACACCTTAAGAAACTTGAAAAAGAGAAAACTAAACATAAGATAGTAGAAGAAAGAAAATAAAAAATAGTCCCCAGATCAATAAAATAGACAATAGAAAAACAATAAGGAAAATCAATGAAGCCAAAAGATTAAAGAGATCAACAAAATTGACAAACTTTTAGCTAGACTGAATAGGAAAAAATAGAGATGACACAAATTATTAAAATCAGGAATAAAATTAGGGACCGAGCACGGTGGCTCATGCTTATAATCCCAACATTTAGAGAGGCCAAGGCAGGAGGATTACTTGAGTCAAGGAGCTCAAGACCAATCTGGGCAACAGAGTGAGACTCATATCCACCAAAAAATAAAAATTAGCTGGGTGTGGTGGTACATGCCTGTAGTCCCAGCTACTTGGGAGGCTAAGGCAGGAGTATTACGTGAGCCCAGGAGCTCGATGTTGCAGTGCGTGATGATCCTACAACTGCATTGTGGGCTGGATGACAAAGCAAAACCCTATCTCAAATAAATAAATAAATAAATAAGAAAGAAAGGAAAGGAAGGCTTTTATCCAAAAGGCAGGCAATAATAAATGCTGGCGAGTATGTGGAAAAAGGGGAACCCTCGTACACTGTTGGTGGGAATGTAAATTAGTACAACCACTATGTAGAACAGTTTGGAGCTTCCTTAATAAACTAAAAATTGAGCTGCCGTATGATCCTGCAATCCCACTGCTAGGTATATACCCAAAAGAAAGGAAATCAGCATACCGAATAGATATCTACACTCCCATGTTTCTTATAGCACTCTAAGTGTCCATCAACAGATGAATGGATAAAGAAAAAGTGGTACATATACCACGTCATTCACAAATACCACAAATGAGATCTAATCATTCTTTTTTTATGGCTGAATAGTACTCCATTCAACCATAAAAAAGAATGAAATCCTGTCATTTCCAACAACAATGGATGGAACTGGAGATTGTGTTAAGTGAAATAAGCCAGGCACAGAAAGACAAATTTCACATGTTCTCACTTATTGGTGGGAGCTAAAAATTAAAACAATTGAACTCATGAAGATGGAGAGTTGAAGGATGATTACCAGAAGCTGACAAGGGTAGTGGGGAGTGAGGGAAGAGAGTAAGAATGGTTAATGGGTACAACGATATAGTTAGAATGAATAAAATCTAGTACTGAATAGCACAACAGTGTAACTATAGTCAACAACAATTTATTGTATATTTTAAAATAACTAAAAGAGTATAATTGGTTTACAGTACAAATAAATGATAAATGCTTGACATGATTGAATACCTCATTTACCCTGATGTGATTATTAACCATTGTATGCCTGTATCAAAATATCTCATGTACCCCATAAGTATATATACCTATTATGTACCCACAAAAATTAAAAAAATTAAATTTTTTTAAAAAGAAATAAATGAGAGGACATTACTACCAATTTTACATGAATCAATAGGATTATAAGAGAATACTATAAACAATTGCATGCCAACCAATTGGATTGCCTAGATCAAAAGGACAAATTCCTTGTAACACACAACCTACAAAAACTGAATAACAAAGAAACAGAAAAACTGAATAAATGAATGCCATTAGGAGATTGAATCAGTAATCAAAATCCTCCCAACCGGGCCAGGCACAGTGGCTCATGCCTGCAATCCCAGCACTTTGGGAGGCTGAGGCGGGTGGATCACTTGAGGTCAGGAGTTCGAGACCAGCCTGACCAACAAGGTGAAACCCCATCTCTACTAAAAATACAAAATTAGCCGGGCGTGGTAGCGCATGCCTGTAATCCCAGCTACTTGGGAGGCTGAGGCAGAAGAATTGCTGGAAACCAGGAGGTGGAAGTTGCAGTGAGCCGAGATCGTGCTATTGCACTCCAGCCTAGGCAACAAGAGCGAAACTCCATTTCAAAAAAAAAATCCTCCCAACCAAAAAAAATAAAAATAAAAATAAAAGCCCTGGACCAGGTGGTTTCACTGTTGAATTCTACCAAAAATTTAAAAAACAATAACACCAATACTTCTCAAACCCTTCTAAAATATTCAGATACCAAAGCTAGAGAAAAACACTACAAAAAAAAACGAACATCTTGGCCAGGTATGGTGGCTCACACTTGTAACCCCAGCACTTTGGGAGGCCAAGGCAGGCGGATCACCTGAAGTCAGGAGTTCAAGACCAGCCTAAGCAAAATGGTGAATCCCTGTCTCTACTAAAAATACAAAAATTAGCTGGGCATGGTGGCACATGCATATAGTCCCAGCTACTCAGGAGGCTGAGGCAGGAGAACCGCTTGAACCCAGGAGGTGGAGGTTGCAGTGAGCCAAGATCGTGTCACTGCACTCCAGCCTGGGCGACAGAGCAAGACTCCATCTCAAAAAAAAAAAAAAAACAGAGAGAGAAAGAGACACAGAGAGAGAATCAGTCGATATTATACATCGTTTAATAAAAACAAAGGGAAGCCTGTCATGGTCACGTGCATCTTCCCAGCTACTTGGGAGACTGAAGCAGAAGGATCAATTGAGCCAAGGAGTTCGAGCCTGCAGGGAGCTATGATCACACCACTGCACTCCAGCCTTGGTGATCTAGGTGACAGAGTGAGACCCAGTCAGAAGACAGAAAAGAAAGGGAAGAAAAGGAAGAAAGGGAAGAAAGAAAGAAAGAGGGGGGAGAAGGAGGTAGGGAGGGAGGAAGGGACAGAGAGAGAGAGAAAGACAGAAAGTAAGAAAGAAACATACTCATCTCGATTTATGCGAAGTCATTCTACACATTTCATTTGATGAAATTCAACACATTTCATATTAAAACAAACAATAAACTATGAATAGAAGATTGCTACCTCAACATGATAAAGGTCATATATGAAAAACACACAGCTAATATCATACTCAATTATTAAAGTCTAGAAGCTTTACCACTTCTATTCAACACAGTATTGGAAGTTCTAGCCACAGCAATTTAACAAGTAAAGAAAATAAAATGTAAACTTAAATTGTAAAGGAAGAAGTAAAATTATCTCTATTTGCCAATGACATGAACTTAACATGCAGAAAATCCCTAAAATTCACAAAAAATATTATTAGACCTAATAAATGAATTTAGAAGTTACAGGACACAAAACCAACACAAAAAAAACAGTTGCATTTCTATACACTAAAAAATTAACAATTAGAAAAATTAAGAATATAATTCCATTTACAGTAGCGTCTCAAAGAATAAAATACATAGGAATAAATTTAACCAAGGAGACAAAAGACTTGTACAATGAAAACTACAAAGCATTAATGAAAGAAATTAAAGACAGAAATATATGCAAAGACATCTGTGTTCATGGATTAGAAGACTTAATATTATTATAATGACAGTCTCATAATCTGGTCTCTAAATAAATAACTAAAAATTAAAAAAAACAGGAGTGGTTATATTAATATCAGATAAAGTAGACATCAGAGCAAATAAATTAATAGGGATACAGAGGGGCATTACATAATGTTAAAAGTGCCAATCCACCAAGAAGATATAGCATTCCTAAATGTGTATGCACAAAACAACAGATGTTCAAAACACATAAAGCAAAGACTGACAGAACCATAAGAAGAGACAAATCCACAATTACAATAGGAGACCTCAACAGTCCTCTTTCAACAATGTATAAAACTAGACAGCAAGGTTATAGAACAACTAAGCAACACCATCGGTCTACAGGATCTAATCAAAATTTATAGAACACCCCAACCAAAATTAGCAGAATAGACATTCTTTTCAAGCGTCCATGATATATTACTGATATAGACCATTATATTAGTTTTCTATTCGCTGCCATAAGAAATTACCATAAACTTGGTGGTTTAAAACAATACAAATGTATTGTCTTACAGTTCTTGAAGTCAAACCTCAAAATGGGCCTCACTGAGCTACAATCAGTGTCAGCAGGTCTGTGTTCCTTCTGGAGGCTTTTAGTGAGACTCTCTTTCTTTGCCTTTCCCAGCCACGCACATTACTTGGTTCCTGACCAAAGATTTCTCCATCTTCTACATCAGCAATGTCAGATCAAGTCCTTATGACACCTCCACCACTCTGGTTCTCTCTTTCCTGCCTCCCTCTTCAATGTATAAAGACCGTTATGAAAACACTGGGCACAATTGGCTAATCCAAGATATGCTCACATCTCAAAATTAGGCCATCAGCAAACCTCATTACACTTGCAACCTTAATTCCCTTTTGCCATGCAATATAACATTTATAAATTTAAGTGAGTAGAATGTGGACACCTTTGAAGGGCTATTATTCTGCCTACCACAGCCATATTCTGAGCCATAAAACCAACCTCAAAAAAAGTTTTTTTATTTTCAATTCCACAGGGAATATTCTGTGGTCAGAATGAAATCAAACTAGAAATCAGTAACAGGCTGGGCACGGTGGCACAAGCCTGTAATCCCAGTGCTTGGGGAGGCTGAGGCATGTGGATTGCTTGAGCCCAGGAGCTCGAGAAAGGCCTGGGCAACATTACAAAGCCCCATCTCTACAAAAAATACATGAAATTAGCCTGGCGTGGTAATGCATGCCTGTAATCCCAGCTACTCAGGAGGCTGAGATGGGAGGACTGCCTGAGCCCAGGAGGTCGAGGCTGCAGTGAACCCTGATGGTGACAATGCTCTGCAGCCTGGGCAACAGAGTGAAAATCTGTCTCAAAAAAAAAAAGAAAAAGAAGAAGAAGAAAGAAAGAGAGGAAAGAAAGAAAGAAAGAAAGAAAGAAAGAAAGAAAGAAAGGAAGGAAGGAAGGAAGGAAGGAAGGAAGGAAGGAAGGAAGGAAGGAGCGAGGGGAAAAGAAAAGAAAAAGAGAAGAAGAAGAAGAGGAGGAGGAGGAGGAAGGGAGAGAGGGAGGGAGAGAGGGAGGGAAAGAGAGAGAGAAAGAAAGAAAGAAAGAAAAAAAGAAAGAAAGAAAGAAAGAAAGAAAGAAAGAAAGAGAAAGAAAGAAAGAGAGAGAAAGAAAAAAGAAAGGAGGGAGTGAGGGAAGGAGAAAAGAAAAGAAAAAGAAGAAGAAGAAGAGAAGGAGGAAGGAGGAGGAGGAGGAAGGGAGAGAGGGAGGGAAAGAGAAAGAAAGAAAAGAAAAGAAAAGAAAAGAAAAAAGAAAAGATCAGTAGCAGTAAGAAATCAGGAAAATTTCCAAACACATGGAAACTAACACATTCCTAAACCTATAGGTCAAAGAGGAAATCTCAAGGAAAATTAACAACACACTGAGGCCAGGCAAGGTGGCTCACACCTGTAATCCCAACACTTTGAATCCCCATCTCAAGTAAAAAAACAAACAAACAAAAAACTATACATTGAACTAAAGTTACAACGTATCAAAAGTGTCTCTATTTCAAAGCGTCTGTATTTCAGATGACTGATAGTCTGTAAAACAACACCAAGCAATCTGCCACAAAATTCCTAGAACTAATAAATCAGTTCAGCAAAGCTGCCCCATACAAAATCAACATACAAAAATCAATCGTATTTGTATATACTAGCAATTAACAAGTAGAAACTGAAATAAAAAACACAATACCATTTACAATGAACCCCCCCAAAAAACAAGTACATGTAATTCTAACTAAACCTATTCAAGAATTGTATACCGAAAACAAAACACAGACAAAAGAAATCAAAGTCTAAATATATGGAGAAGCTTACCATGTTTATGTATTATAAGACTCAACATAATAAAAATGTCAATTCTCCCCAAATTGATATACAGGTTTCAGGCAATTCCTATCAAAACCACAGCAAGATTTTTTTGGGGCAAAGACAGACAAAATAATTCTAAAATGTATATGGAAACATAAAGGAACTAAAATAGCTCCTTTTTAAAAAATCAAAGTGCTGGGATTAAAGGCATGAGCCACAGTACCCAGCCCCACTGATTATTTTAAATAAACTTTAGAATGATTTAGATTTATTGAAGAATTTCAAAGAGAGTACAGTTCCCATATACACTACACCCAATTCTTCTGTTATTAGCAGTGTATAATAGTATGGTACATGTGTCACAACTAGTGAATATTGATACATTATTAAAGTCCATACTTTAATCAGATTTCCTTGGTTTTTACCTAAGGTCTTTTTACTTTTCCAAATCCCATCCAAGATCCCACATTACGTTTAGTCATCATGACTCCTTAGGCTCCTTTTAGCTCTGGTAGTTTCTCAGACTTTCCTTGTTCTTGATGACCTTGCCGGTTTTGAGAAGTACTGCTCAGGTATTTTGGAGAATGTCTCTCAATTAAGATCTGTCTTAAGTTTTTATCATGATTACACTGGGATTATAAATTTTGGGGAGAAATACCACTGAGATAAAGTGCCACTGTCATACATCATACCACAGGTATACACTATCAACATGATTTATCACTATTGATGTTGACCTTGATCACCTGGATAACGCAGTGTCAGGTTTCTCCACTCTCAAATTACTCTTTCTTTCCTCCTTTCCATACTGCATCTTAGGAAGAAAATCACCATGTGCAGTCCACATTTATGCCCTCCTGAGGGTGAAATGGAATATCTACACAAATTATTACCCAAGTGATTTTTATCAAAGGTACAAAAGCAATTGAATGGAGGAAATATTACTTTTCCAATAAATGGCCCTGGAGCCACTGAACATGAGACATAAAAATGAACCTCAACTTAAACCTCATACCTTATTCAAAAATTATCTCAAAATGCATCACAGACTTAAACATTAAACAACAGAATTTTTAGGAGAAAGTTTGAAGAAAATCTTTAGATCCTAGGCCTTGACGAAGAGTTCTTAGACATAATACCAAAATCATGACCTATAAAAGAAAAAAAAAATGACTGGGCATGGTGGCTCATGCCTGTAATCCCAGCACTTTGGGAGGCCGAGGCAGGTGGATCACTTGAGCACAGGAGTTCAAGACCAGCATGGACAACACAGTAAGGCCCCATCTCTATGAAAAATGCAAAAATTGGCTGAGTGTGGTGGCGCTCACCTGTAGTCCCAGCTACTCGAGAGGCTGAGGTGGGAGGATTGCTCGAGCCTGGGAGGTGGAGGTTGCAGTGAGCCGGGATCTAGCCATTTCACTGCAGCCTGAGAGACCAGAATGAGACTTGCTCTCCAAAGAAAATAAATAAATAAATAAATCTACAACCTAAACTCCAACAAAATTTTACAATTTTGCTCTACAAAAGACCTGTTAGGATGAAAAGACAAGTTGTAGATTGAGAGAAAGTATTCACAAACCACATATCTCACAAAGGACTCATATATAAAATTCTTTATACATATAAAGAATACTCAAAGTTGAAAATTGATAACAATCCAAACAGAAAACGGGCAACAGATATAAAAAAATATTTAACTGCAGAGGATATGTGGATGGCAAATAAGCATAAGAAACAATAGTCAACATAAATAGCTGATCAGTAAACATAAAGAATAGAAAGAGAAGCCGGGCACAGTGGCTCACACCTGTAATCCCAGCACTTTGAGAGGCTGAGATGGGTGGATCACTTGAGGTCAGGAGTTCGAGACCAGCCTGGCCAACATGGCAAAACTCCATCTATATTAAAAATACAAAATTAGCCAGGCATGGTGTTGGGCGCCTGTAATCCCAGCTACTCAGGAGGCTGAGGCAGGAGAATCGCTTGAACCCATGAGGCAGAGGTTGCAGTGAGCTGTGATCACGCCACTGCACTCCAGCCTGGGCGACAGAGTAAGCCTCCGTCTCAAAAAAATATATATAAATACAAAGAGATATTGAGATATTACCACAGAGCTATCAGAAAGGCTAAAACAAAAAACAGTGACAATACCAAATGCTGGTGAGGATACAGAAAAACTGAATTTCTTATTACATTGTTGCAAATGTAAAATTGTGAAACCTCTCTAGAAAACACTTTGACAGTTTCTATGAATGAACCCCCCCCCATTTTTCTATATTCTCACAACACAGCAACAATCAACATGCATGACTTCTGTGACCAAATGGTTGGGAATTTTCCCCCATACCCCAAATAAGCAATCAATTTTGCAGTGGACACCAGCTGGGCATCATCCAATTCAATTATGACACTATCTACCTGGAGATAGCATCAGATCCCACAGGCTGGGGGCTCGGTACCACAACACTACCCCAATTCAGACACCAGACCCAAGTCCAGGTCTCTGGAACATCTCACTGACCAGATTCAAGTTGGGGTACCCATTACCCCCTCTTTGTGTTCTATTAATTTGATAGAGCGGCTCACCAAACTCAGGAAACCCCTTATGTTTACTGATTTATTATAAAAGATATTACAAAGGATACAGGTGAAGAGATACATAGAGCAAGGCATGTGGAAAGAGGAACAGGGCTTCCCTTCCCTACTTGGGCATACCACCCTCTGGGAACCTTCATGTGTTCATCTATCTGGAAGCTCTACAAACCCAGTTCTTTAGGCCTTTATGGAAGCTTCATTGTGTAGCCATGATTGATTAAACCATTGATTATTGGTGACCAACTTAACCTTCAGCCCCTCTTCCCTCCCTGGAGGTTGGGAGTGGGACTCAAGTCCCAACCCTCTATTCCTGCCTTAGTCTTTATGGTGACCACCCCCTATCGTGACGCTACCTAGAAGGTGCCAGGCATGGGTCCATTATTAGCATACAAAAAGACATCACTTACAAGATTCGAATGATTTTAGGAGTTGTATGTCAGGAAACCTGCTCAAAGACCGAATACATATTTTGCAATATCACAAGTCCCTACTCTCTACCCCTTAGAACCCTGCTGGCCTTACATCAGAAGGATACAGAATTCAAAAGATACTGGCACATTACTAGAATCCCATTCAATCATTAATAATTAGTCCAGTCCATCATATTACATGAAAGTCTCCCAGCATGAAGCCACACAGGTTTGCAGGCTTCCATTCTACCCAAAGTATGAGTGACAGGAATGGAAAACCCAAATGTCGTATGTTCTCACTTACAAGTGGGAGCTAAGCTATGAGGACTCAAAGGCATAAGAATGACATAACAGGCTGGGCATAACACGGTGGCTCATGCCTGTAATCCCAGCACTTTGGGAGGCCAAGGCAGGTGGATCACCTGAGGTCAGGAGTTTGAGACTAGCCTGGCCAACATGGTGAAACCCCTTCTCCACTACAAATATAAAAATTAGCTGGGCATGGTGGTGGGCGCCTATAATTCCAGCTACTCAGGAGGTTGAGGCAGGTGAATCGCTTGAACCTGGGAGGTGGAGGTTGCAGTGACCCAATATCGCACCATTGCACTCCACCCTGACTCTGTCTCAAAATAAAGAAAAAAAAAAGACCAAACATATTTTACATTCTAAGAGTTTGTTTTTATTTTATTTTATTTTATTTTTCAGACAGGGTCTCACTCTGTCACCCAGGCTGGAGTGCAGTGGCGCCATCATGGCTCACTGCAGCCTCAACTACCTGGCTCAGGTTATCCTCCCACCTCAGACTCCACAGTAGTTGGGACTACATGTGTACATCACTGGACCCAGCTAATTTTTTGTACTTTTTGTAGAGATGGGGTTTCGCCATGTTGCCCAGACTGGTCTCAAACTCCTGGATTCATGCAATCTGCCCACCTCAGACTCCCAAAGTGCTGGGATTACAGACATGGGTCACTGTACCTGGCCCTCAGTTTCTTTTAAAACACTTATCATACAACCCAGCAATTACGTTCCCAGGCATTTATCCCAGAGAAAACAAAACATATGACTGCACAAAATCCTCTACAGGAATATTCATAACAGCTTCATCTGTAATAGCCAAAAAATGGAAATGACTAAAATGTCCCTCAAAAGGTGAATAGTTAAACAAGCTATGATACATCCATGCCATGGAATACTATTCAATAGTTGCACCACTTAGCTGGGCACGGTGGCTCATGCTTGTAATCCCAGCATTTTGGGGGGTTGAGGCAAGACGATCACTTGAGGCCAGGAGTTCGAGACTAGTCTGGTCAACATGATGAAACCCCGTCTCCACTAAACATATAAAAATTAGCCAGGAGTGGTGGTGTGTGCGTGTAATCCCAGCTACTTGGGAGACTGAGTCAGAAGAATCGCTTGAATCCGGGAGACGGAGGTTGCAGTGAGCCAAGATCGCACCATTGCACTCCAGCCTGGTTGAAAGAGTGAGACCCTGTCTCGAAACAAAATAAAACAAAACAGAAAGTTGCACCACTCAATACCAATACAAATAAATCAATTATTGACATATGCAATAACTTGCAAGAATCACCAGAAAATTATGCTGAGAAAAAAGAAAAAAAAATCTTAAAAGGTCACATACTGTATGATTCCACTTATATAATACTCTCAAAATGACAAAAATATAGAAATGGAGAGCATGTTCTTAGTTGCCAGAGGATACATGTGGTGGCAAGGAAGTGTGTGGGCGTGAATATAAAGGGGTAGCATGAAGGAAGATATTTGTGTTGATGAAATCGTTATGTATATTAACTAAGGTTAAAGTCATGCAAATCTACACAGCTTGATAAAATGCATAGAACGATACATATACATTGTACCATTGTCAGTTTCCTGGTTTTTATATTACAGTATAATTATGTAAGATACAATTACATTTTTTAAAGAGAGGGAAAGCTACCCAATTTACTTATTGGTCTGATAGTAAAACAGTCTAGCTACAATGGCTTCCTTTCTCTTTCTTGAACCTACCAGAAACATGCTTACTTCAGAGCCATTATACTTTCTCTTCCCTCACATGTCTTTCCTAAAATGTCACCTTGTAAGAGAGCTGTTGCTGTAAATTCTTTTCTGAGATTGCATACCCCCCTACACACACACACTATGTATCCTAATTTCTGCTTATTTGTATCGTTAGCATTTGTCAACATCTAATATACTACATATTTAATAAATTGTCTTGTTTATGGTCTGTCTTCCCCATAGTAGAATATAAGTTTCATGAGGGCAAAGATTTTTATCTATTTTATTCACTACTATATCAACATTCACTAGAACAGTACACAGAACACAGTATGGACTCAATAAATACTTGTTGAATGAGTAAATGATAAAATGTACAAGAAAAAAATTATAGACCAATCTCATTCATGAAGATAAATGCAAAAATCCTAAACAGAATTTTGGTGAATAAGCAACATATAAGAAATTGACTATACATCATGATTACGTATGGTTTAAGACTTTAAGGATAATTGAACATTAGAAAACCTATTATTGTAATTTATCATACATACAGACTGACAATAAAAAGCATTTGATTAAAATGCAGTACTCATCCATGAGGATCATTACAAAAAAAGGCATCCTCAGACTAGAAAGAACTTCATTAACCTGATGACCACTATCTATTAAAAGCTTACATCAAACATCAAATTTAATGGTGAAATTGTAGAAGCATTCCTATTAAAGCACAGATGAAGTCCAGAGTGTCCCTATAGCTCTTACTAATAGAAACTGTATGGCCATGCTAGCCAATGCATTTGGACATGGAAAAGTTAGATAAAGTGTAAAGGTTAGAAAGAAAGCCATGAAGTAATAAATATTTATAGGTGACATGATATTACCAGTAAGAAAATACAAACAAACCTACAGGCAAACCATTAGAAATAATGACAGTTCATCAAAGTTACTGGATACAAGATCAACAATATGAAAATCAATTGAATTCCAAATGTTCAAAATAAACAATTAGGCTGGGCATGGTGGCTCTTGCCTTTAATCCCAGCAACTTGGGAGACCCAGGCAAGAGGATCATTTGAGCCCAGGAGTTCAAGATGAGCCTGGGCAAACCGGTAAGACTCCGTCTCTACAAAAATTAAAAAAAAAAAAAAATAGCCAGGTATGGTGGTGCGCGCTGTAGTCCCAGCTACTCCAGAGGCTGACGTGGGAGGAGGATCACTTGAGCCTGGGAGTTCAAGGCTGCAGTGTCAGATGTGTTCATGCTACTGCACTCCAACCTGGGCGACACAGTGATACCTTTTCTCAAAAAAAAAAAAAAATCTAAAAATAAAAATAAATAATAATTAGAAAATACTTTAAAGGGGTTCATCATAGCAACTAAACATGTAAATTACCTTAAAATGAATTTAAGAAAAAATGTGCATGAATTTCATATTAAAAATTTTAGACAGACTGGGTGCAGTGGCTCACGCCTGTAATCCCAACACTTTGGGAGGCCAAGGTGGGAGGATTGCTTGAGCCCAGGAGTTTGACACCAGCCTGGGCAACATAAGGAGACCCCATATCCACAAAAGTAAAAAAAAAAAAAAAAATTTGATGGGCATGGTGGAGTGCACTTGCAGTCCCAGCTACGCGGGAGGCTGAGGTCGGAGGATCACTTGAGCTTGGGAGGTCAAGGCTGCAGTGAGCTATGATCATGCCACTTCACTCAAGTTGGGGCAACAGAGCAAAGCACTGTCTCTTAAAAAAATTAAACAATATTGAAAGATACAAATGACCCCTGATAGTTGAAACAATTACCCATATTCATACATGAGAAAACTCATGGGGTCTGTTCTCTCAATCAATCTATAAAGTCATGCAATTCTAATCTGTAGGTTTTTTTTTAATGGAACTTGATGAACTCAGTCATTCAATAGAGAAGTGCCAATCTAAAAACAGTTAAGAAAGTACTGGAAAACAATTTAATCAGACTCTCCAATAAGCTAGACTTCTTACAAGCTACAATAATCAAGACAGTCTAGTTGCCGGGATAGACAAATAGCCAGGTGGACCAGAAATGGAAATCTCTGATATAGATGCACATATATATAAAAAATTATGATATGACACAGGAAACATCACAAACTATTGAAAAAAGTGAATATTATTACATAAAATATGTTGGATTAATTGGCCATCTATATACAAATCTAGATGTCTATCTCATACCATACACAAAAATAAAACTACATGGATTATAATCTAAATGTGAAAAGCAAAATTTTTAAACTTTTGGATAAAGACCACAGTCTCCCTCTCCCTCTCCCGTCTCCCTCTCCCTCTCCCGTTTCCCTCTCCCGTTTCCGTTTCCCTTTCCGTTTCCCTTTTCCTTTCCCGTTTTCCTTATCCGTTTCCGTTTTCCTTTTCCTTTTCCGTTTTCCATTTCCTTTTCCATTATCCATATCCTTGTCCGGTGTCCTTTTCCGTGTCCGGTATCCTTCTCCTTTTCCCGTATCCTTGTCCATGTCCCGTGTCCATGTCCAGTGTCCATATCCATCTCCCGTCTCCATATCCATCTCCAGTCTCCGTGTCCATCTCCCGTGTCCATCTCCCTCTCATGCCGAGCCAAAGCTGGACGGTACTGCTGCCATCTCGGCTCACTGCAACCTCCCTGCCTGATTCTCCTGCCTCAGCCTGCTGAGTGCCTGCGATTGCAGGCGCGCGCCGCCACGCCTGACTGGTTTTCGTTTTTTTTTGGTGGAGATGGGGTTTCGCTGTGTTGGCCGGGCTGGTCTCCAGCTCCTAACCGCGAGTGATCCGCCAGCCTCGGCCTCCCGAGGTGCCGGGATTGCAGATGGAGTCTCGTTCACTCAGTGCTCAATGGTGCCCAGGCTGGAGTGCAGTGGCGTGATCTCGGCTCGCTACAACCACCTCCCAGCCGCCTGCCTTGGCCTCCCAAAGAGCCGAGATTGCAGCCTCTGCCCGGCCGCCACCCCGTCTGGGAAGTGAGGAGCGTCTCTGCTTGGCCACCCATCGTCTGGGATATGAGGAGCCCCTCTGCCTGGCTGCCCAGTGTGGAAAGTGAGGAGCGTCTCTGCCCGGCCGCCATCCCGTCTAGGAAGCGAGAAGCGCCTCTTCCCCGCCGCCATCCCATCTAGGAAGTGAGGAGCGTCTCTGCCCGGCCGCCCATCGTCTGAGATGTGGGGAGCACCTCTGCCCCACCGCCCTGTCTGGGATGTGAGGAGCGCCTCTGCTGGGCCGCAACCCTGTCTGGGAGGTGAGGAGTGTCTCTGCCCGGCCGCTCCGTCTGAGAAGTGAGGAAACCCTCTGCCTGGCAACCGCCCGTCTGAGAAGTGAGGAGCCCTCCGTCTGGCAACCACCCCGTCTGGGAAGTGAGGAGCGTCTCCGCCCGGCAGCCACCCCGTCCGGGAAGGACGGTGGGGGGATCAGCCCCTGCCTGGCCAGGCGCCCCGTCCGGAGGTGAGGGGGCCTCTGCCCGGCCGCCCCTACTGGGAAGTGAGGACCCCTCTGCCCGGCCAGCCGCCCCGTCCGGGAGGGAGGTGGGGGGGGTCAGCCCCCCGCCCGGCCAGCCGCCCCGTCCGGGAGGGAGGTGGGGGGATCAGCCCCCTGCCTGGCCAGCCGCCCCGTCCGGGAGGTGAGGGGCGCCTCTGCCCGGCCGCCCCTACTGGGAAGTGAGGACCCCTCTGCCTGGCCAGCCGCCCCGTCCGGGAGGGAGGTGGGGGGAACAGCCCCCGCCCGGCCAGCCGCCCTATCCAGGAGGTGAGGGGCGCCTCTGCCCGGCCGCCCCTACTGGGAAGTGAGGAGCCCCTCTGCCTGGCCAGCCGCCCGTCCGGGAGGGCGGTGGGGGGGTCAGCCCCCCGCCCGGCCAGCCGCCCCATCTGGGAGGTGAGGGGCACTTCTGCCGGGCCGCCCCTACTGGGAAGTGAGGAGCCCCTCTGCCCGGCCACGACCCCGTCTGGGAGGTGTGCCCAGCGGCTCATTGGGGATGGGCCATGATGACAATGGCGGTTTTGTGGAATAGAAAGGCGGGAAGGGTGGGGAAAAAATTGAGAAATCGGATGGTTGCTGGGTCTGTGTGGATAGAAGTAGACATGGGAGACTTTTCATTTTGTTCTGTACTAAGAAAAATTCTTCTGCCTTGGGATCCTGTTGATCTGTGACCTTATCCCCAACCCTGTGCTCTCTGAGACATGTGCTGTGTCCACTCAGGGTTAGATGGATTAAGGGCGGTGCAAGATGTGCTTTGTTGAACAGATGCTTGAGGGCAGCATGCTCGTTGAGAGTCATCACCACTCCCTAATCTTAAGTACCCAGGGACACAAACGCTGCGGAAGGCCGCAGGGTCCTCTGCCTAGGAAAACCAGAGACCTTTGTTCACTTGTTTATCTGCTGACCTTCCCTCCACTATTGTCCTATGACCCTGCCAAATCCCCCTCTGCGAGAAACACCCAAGAATGATCAATAAAAATAAAAAATAAAAAAAATAAAAAAAAAAAAAAAAAAAATTTTAAACTTTTTTTTTTTTTTTGAGACGGAGTCTCGCTCTGTCGCCCAGGCCAGACTGCGGACTGCAGGGGCGCAATCTCGGCTCACTGCAAGCTCCGCTTCCTGGGTTCACGCCATTCTCCTGCCTCAGCCTCCCGAGTAGCTGGGACTACAGGCGCCCGCCACCGCGCCCGGCTAATTTTTTGTATTTTTAGTAGAGACGGGGTTTCACCTTGTTAGCCAGGATGGTCTCGATCTCCTGACCTCATGATCCACCCGCCTCGGCCTCCCAAAGTGCTGGGATTACAGGCGTGAGCCACCGCGCCCGGCCAAACTTTTTTTTTTTTTTGAGACGGAGTCCCGCTCTGTCGCCCAGGCTGGAGTGCAGTGGCGCGATCTCGGCTCACTGCAAGCTCCGCCTCCCGGGTTCACGCTATTCTCCTGCCTCAGCCTCCAGAGTAGCTGGGACTACAGGCGCCTGCCACCACGCCCGGCTAATTTTTTGTATTTTTAGTAGAGACAGGGTTTCACCATGTTAGCCAAGATGGTCTCGATCTCCTGACCTCGTGATCCGCCCACCTCGGCCTCCCGAAGTGCTGGGACTGCAGGCGTGAGCCACCGCGCCCAGCCAAAACTTTTAAACTTTTAAAAGAACACAAGAAAACATCTCTAACTTCAGCATAGGAAAGAATTTCTTAAATAAGATGCAAAAAGTACAAGTAATAAAGGAAAATAAATATATTTTAACAGTTAAAAACTTCTGCATGACAAAAAATACAGGAAATAAAATGAAAGGAGGATAAAAATTAACAGTATAGTTGACTTTGGCAATGGGGAATACTAGGAATAGGGGAAATTATTTGTAACATATATAACAAATAAAATACTAACTTCTAAAATATAGAAAGGACTCTTATAAATCAATAATGAAGACCAAAAACCCAAAAGAAAAATGGGCAAATACTACAAAAATAAGCACGTCACAAAAAAGAAAATATGAATGGCTAATAAACACATTGTAACATACTCAATTAGTAGTTAGGAAAACAAAAATTAAGGAATAATGAGATACCATTTCACATCCGTCAGATTGGCAAAATGTTTAAGGTCTGGCCATTTCAAATCTTTTTATTTTTTGAGATGGAGTCTCGCTCTTGTTGCCCAGGCTGGAGTGCAATGATGCGATCTCAGTTCACTGCACTCTCCGCCTCCTGGGTTCAAGTGATTCTCCTGCCTCAGCCTCCCAAGTGACTGGGATTACAGGCGCCCACCACCACGCCCCGCTAATTTTTGTATTTTCAGTAGAGACGGAGTTTCGCCATGTTGGCCAGGCTGGCCTTGAACTCCTGACCTCAAGTGATCCACCCACCTCAGCCTCCCAAAGTGCAGGGATTACAGGTATGAGCCACTGTACCCAGCCTCAAATCTTAATGATGTGAACAAATGGATAAAGTGGATAGTCTTATATTTGTTGGTGTAAGTATAAATGTGTATAAGCACTCAGGAATACAATTTGGAAATATCTGTAGTATTAACAATGCTCATAATCTGAGTAACTCTTGCACACTGCCCAGGAAGGCATAGATAAGGATGTTCATTGGCATATTATGGGAAATAATGAAATATTAGAAATAGCCTACATGCCCATTTATAAGTAAATGAATAAATAAATATGTAGTATATAGTAGGATTGAATGTTCCCAGTTGCTGAATAGGAAAAGGCTTTTCCATTCTTCCTTTTCTTAGAGCATTTCCTCAAGAAAAGGTTATTACAAAGCCACCTTCTATCTTTTCTATAACTATGCAAATGTTCTAAAGAGCTAAATAAGCCTCTTGCCAGCATGACCACCTAATATTTTTCTTAAGGACCTGGGGATCCATCTCTTTGAAACATTAACATCAAGATAAATATACCTCTATCTCCTTGTTACCTCAGGGAGTTTAGCTTAGGTACCTTGCTTTAAATCTTAAATGCCTGCTGGGCATATAGACAAGAGAAGTTATATTTTTTTCTTTGGATAAAGGCAATTAGCTAACATATGGCCACCTCAACTACAAGGTGAATATTGCCTGAACTATGTAAAATAAAAGTGCTGTCAAATCTAACTGGAGGGCAAGTTATGCTTTATATTGAGAACACATATGTAAATGGATCATATATTCTTGCCTATGTAAAAGTGTGACATTTCTTTCTATGCTTACAGTCTCATTAGTGTATTACCTGTCATTCACATCCCCGTCTGATTTAATGCTTTCAGTAACACAATGGTTTTCTTTCTTTTCCTTTCTTCTTTTTCTTTTTTTTTTTCTTCCTTTTTTTGAGACAGAGTTTCACTCTGTCGCCCAGGCTGGAGTGCAACAGCAAGATCTCGGCTCACAGCAACCTCCACCTCCTGGGTTCAAGCGATTCTCCCGCCTCAGCCTCCCGAGTAGTAGGATTACAGGCACCCACCATCATGCCCAGCTAATTTTTGTATTTTTGTACAGACAGGGTTTCACCATGTTGGCCAGGTTGGCCTCGACCTCCTGACCTCAGGTGATCTGCCTGCCTCAGCCTCCCAAAGTGCTGGGATTACAGGCATGAGCACAGCGCTCGGCCAGTTTTCTTTCTTTTCCACATTTGTGAAAAGGATTTTCTAAGTTAGCAAGAGATTTAATTTTTAATTTTCCCAACAATATTCATAACAGAAGTGTCCTAGTGAGTATTATAAGTTAATGAATCCCAGCATGGCAACAAGTGCCTTTAGTTCCAGCTACTTGGGAGGCTGAGGCAGGAGGATCATTTGAGCCCAGGCGTTCGAGCCCAACCTGGGCAACATAGTGAGACTCTGCCTCTTTAAAAAAAAAGTGAAGAATGAATTATATCTATATACTGTATATCAACATGAAAATATCTAAAATTCGAAAAAGAACAATGCTAAGTGGAAAAAAAAACAAGTTGAAGTACATATAGTATGATTCCACTTGTAAAAAAAATTTAAATATACAAAACATTTCCAGCACAAATATATATTTATATCTCTATATAATATTCATAGTATCTATAAATATAAGCATTTATATATTTATATAACTAAAATATTTAATATAACTATTAAATATAGATTTATTAAATATATTACATATTAATATATTTAAATATATATTTGGCATGCATTCTTCTTGGCCATGTTTTCTATTCCATATATATAGACACAAACAACAAATGTATACATCTAGTATATATCTAATATATATCTCATATATAATATACATAAGATGTATAATTCTGTAAAAGTATACTTATATAATGTACATAAAATTATATATATAATTTATATAGTTATGTTTATATAATTTATGTAAAATTATATTGTACTTGTATAATTTATATATGATTATATACAATATAGTACATAATTATATAATAGTTATATCTTATAATTATAATGTATTGTATTAATTATATATTAGTAGATATATGTATTAATATATAATTATATTACATAATGATTATAATATTATATATAAACAGAAAACATTGCCAAGAAGGATAAATACCAAATTCAGCATTGTGGCTGCCCTTGGTGAGAGAAAGTAATAAGGACTGGGGAAAGAGGTAAACGCAGATTTCACTATCTCTATGTTTTACTTAGAAAATGAGATCGATCTGGGCCAGGTGCGGTGGCTCAAGCCAGTAATCTCAGCACTTTGGGAGGCCGAGGTGGGTGGATAGCTTGAGGCTAGAAGTTCGAGACCAGCCTGGCCAATACGGTGTAACCCAGTCTCTACTAAAAAAACAAAATCAGCTGGGTATGGTGGCAGGCACCTGTAATCCCAACTACCTGGGAAGCTGAAACACATGAATCACTTGAATCCACCAGACACAGGTTGCAGTGAGCCAAGATCGCACCACTGCATTCCAGCCTGGGTGACAGAGCTAGACTCTGTATCAAAAAAAAAAAAAAAAAAAAAGAGGCCGGGTGCAGTGGCTCCTGCCTGTAATCCCAGCACTTTGGGAGGCTGAGGCAGGTGGATCACGAGGTCAAGAGATCGAGACCAATCTGGCCAACATGGTGAAACTCTGTCTCTACTAAAACTACAAAAAAATTAGCTTGGTGTGGTGGTGCATGCCTGTAGTCCCAGCTACTGGGGAGGCTGAGGCAGGAGAATCACTTGAACCTGAGAGGCAGAGGTTGTGGTGAGCCGAGATCGCACCATTGCACTCCAGCCTGGTGACACAGTGAGACTCTGTCTCATAAATAAATAAATAAATAAATAAATAAGAAAAAAGAATGAGAACGATCTGAAGCAAACATGACAGAATGTTTATCTTGAGGACATGTGTACACAGTGTCTATTTTATGACTCTGTGCTTTTAAATTTGCATTAATAATGATGATGATGAAAATAACTAGCTTTTTGCTGTGTCTCCTGTGCTCTTTCCAAGGCAGAGAACTTTTTTTTTCATTTCCAACATGACGTTTGTGGCAGCAACTGGCAGTTAAGCATTCACTAGCAGCTGGGGTTAGAGACATGGTGAGAAACCCAAAGAAAATGTGAAAATCTGGCACCCAAATAGGCGCCTGGTGTTGCCAGTGCTTATTGCTTGCTGTGACTTTTGAAGCTTGTATTGGATTCCAAGTTCAGAGTGATGACTTTTGGGAGAATTCCACCTTTGTGATCCGTTCTTAAAGTTATCACCAATAGTTAAGAACCTGGCCACAGCCGAGGGAAAGGTTATACCACTTGGGTATTTAATCTGCCTTGGAGACTGCAGAGCTTCCTGGGTCCTGTTTAGACTTATTAACATCTGAAAAGCTTGCCTTTTTCAAATTTGCTGAATACTGAGCCTTTCCTCTGATTCCCAAGGGAAAACTCCAGTTCTTTTTGGCAGAGCCTCTGCTAAAGACTCAGCCTTTGAGAGAACAAAGCAGGAGATTTCTGGGCCAAAAAACGATAGGGGGAAAATCTTTATAACCTCCCAACCATTTCTATTACCTCTAAATGATAATTTATGGAAATTAAAAAAAAAAAACAGCAAAGAGCTTAAAGCCTTCAAACCATAGGAACACAGGCTGCTACTGTGCCTGTACACGAATCTTCAGTAAATAAAGCAAACAGATTCTGCTGCCTGGATGCAGGAATAATAGAAAATGGGAGCTAATTTGTTTCTTTAGTGCCAAGATAACAATATTCTTCAGAAACTGACCACTCCATCACTAGCTAGCCTCATTCAAATTTACAGAGAAAGGAACCGAAACACTAAAACTTCAAGTTCACATTCTAGCCCCTGTTAAGCCATAGTATATATAACGGTGGCCATAAAATGCATGCAAAAATAAATAAATACTTATTTTTTTAAAAAAAGGCCAGGCGTGGTGGTTCATGCCTGTAATCTTAGTACAGGCAGGAAGATCACCTTAGGCCAGGAGTTTGAGACCAGCCTGGGATACATAGTGAGACCCCCATCTCTACAAATAATAATAATAATAATAATAATAGAATGCATGCAAATGTCATATAATGTAATAATATTCATCCAATAAGATTAGTGGTTTAAAGCACACACACATGCGGCCGGGCACGGTGGCTCACGCCTGTAATCCCAGCACTTTGAGAGGCCGAGCAGGCAGATCACCTGAGGCCGGGAGTTTGAGACCAGCCTGGACAACATGGCGAAAACCCGTCTCTACTAAAAATACAGAATTAGCTGGGCATGGTGGCACATGCCTGTAATCCCAGCTACTCAGGAGGCTGAGGCAGGAGAATCACTTGAACCCGGGAGGCGGAGGTTGCTGTGAGCTGAAATCGCACTATTGCACTCCAGCCTGGGCAACAAGAGTGAAACTCCGTCTCAAAATAAATAAATAAATAATAAAGCGCGCGTGCGTGCACACACACACACACAGACACACACACACACACACACACGCACCTCCATATATGAAATGGCTGTGACAAAACATCAAAATATTCTCATGCACAGTGAGTACCTCTCTATTGGGAAGCAAGTGTTATTAATTTCAGAATAAAACCCGTGACTTCTGAGAGCTCCTAATCACACTCTTAAGGACCAATGTTGGCAGGGAAGTTTTCTCTAATTTCAAATGAATTTTTTTTTTTTTTTTTGGGTTGGGGGAGCCAGAGTCTCTCTCTGTCCCCACGCTGGAATGCAGTGCATCATCTCGGCTCACTGCAACCTCTGCCTCCCGGGATCAAGCGATTCTCATGCCTCGGCCTCCCAAGAAGCTGGGACTACAGGCATGCGCTACCACACCCATTTAATTTTTGTATTTTTAGTAGAGATGGGTTTTCGCCATGTTGTCCAGGCTGGTCTCAAACTCCCAGCCTCAAGTGATCTGCCCACCTGAGCCTCCCAAGGTGCAGGGATTACAGGCATGAGCCACCATGCTGAGCTGTAACAGCATGTTTTAAATAGACTAAGGTAAGAATTATATTTTAAAGATTTTATTTCTGTAAAACCACTAATTTTAAAATAGAAAGATTAAAGTACAATCCAGTAAGGAAGTATGACTTCCCCTAAGTCAAAGAAGTAACTAGTTTAGTGTAAGAGCTAAGTGTTAACATGCTTTAGCTACTGATATGACAGGACAAGATTTTGAGCTTTTGTTGGTGAGGAGGTGGGAGAATGCAACAAAATGCTCTTAGTATTTTAATATACACAATTTTTCTCCTAGCTCTCCTGTGGATTTTGATGCAGTTTGATCTTTGTGTACTTACATTTTGATATCGATGAATTTCCATATAGTTAGACTTTGATGCAGCTGGATTGATGTTGAATTTCAATGTATAAATTCCAATACAATTCAAAAACTAAATTGGATTTCTAAATAATTATTTCACTACATGTAGAGTGGTTATGAATTAAATAAAATAATAAATATGAAATTCCTGGCTGGGTGCAGTGCCTCAGACCTGTAATCCCAGCACTTTGGGAGGCCAAGGTGGAAGGATCCCTTGAGTCCGGGAGTTTGAGACCAGCTTGGGCAACATGGTGAAACCCCATCTCTACAAAAAATACAAAAATTAGCCAGGCATGGTGGTGCATGCCTGTAGTCCCAGCTACTTGGGAGGCTGAGGCAGGAGGATTATCTGAGCCCAGGATGCAGAGGTTGCAGTGAGCCAAGATTGCACCATTGCACTCCAGCTTGGGCGACAGAATAAGACCCTGTCTCAATTAATTAATTAATTAATTAATTAATAGTTCCTGTCCCAGAAGAGATGCTTAATGAATTGTACTTCCCTTGCTCACAATGACTCCTTGTGTGTGCCTACATGCTTCGCAGTTTACAAAGGGGCTTTGACATAAGCGCTCTAGCCTCACAACAACCATGTGAGTTAAGAAAATGCAAATATTCTTCCTCTCCTTAAAAAAAAAAAAGCGGGGGGGTGCTCAACGAAGATACGTTAGGTGCCCAAAATAACTGGTCATTTATACATACCTCTCCAAGACTAATGAGAAGTCCTCGGACCCCAAAGCCCACAGTTCTCTTTCTCTATGCCAGTGGTTCTCAAACTTCACAGTGCAATAGAATCACATGGAGAGATAGAGTTTGTTAATACACATACTGCTGTGTCCTTTGCAGGAATGTCCATTGCTGATTCATTCCACGTAGAGTGGTGCCTGAGAATTTGCAATGTTAACATTTTACCAGGAGATGCTGATGCTGTTTTTCTAGGGACAAACTTTGAGAACCACAGGCCTCTGTCAGACTGATATGCTACGAAGGTGTGGTCTAACATGAACTACGAAATCTATCCACAGTGTCACACGATGTGAGAGCTACATGAGACCTTGGAAATCATCTAACCCTGTGGTTATAGTCCTTGGTTTATTATCAGAATTTGCTGGGCACGGTGGCTCACGCCTGTAAAATCAGCACTTTGGGAGGCCAAGGCAGGTGGATCACTTGAGGTCAGGAGTTAGAGACCAGCCTGGCAAACATGGTGAAACCCCATCTCTACTAAAAATATAAAAATTAGCTGGGCACGGGTGGCGTGCACCTGTAGTCCAATCTACTTGGGAGGCTGAGGCAGAAGAATCACTTGAACCCGAGAGGTGGAGGCTGCAATGAGCAGAGATCATGTCTCTGCACTTTAGCTTGGGCAAAAGAGTAGACTCCGCCTCAAAAAAATAAAAATAATAACATGGTACAATTTTTTAAACTACCGTTGCCTAGGCTCCACCCTCAAAGATGCTGATTTTCATTGTATAAGTTGAGACCCAGATTCTAGTGAGAGAGTCCTCTGCTAGTGGACTCACAAGAAATACTGAAGGACTTCTTGAATCTCAAAGCAGTTGACCACAGAGAGTAATTCAAATTCACATAAAAAACTGAGATCTCTCTTTCACAGAAATGCTTGCTAAAAAAGTAATTAATTAATTTTTTTAAACTGAGATGTCTTGTAAAGGAAATTTTATAATTATAAAAGACAGTATAGGCCAGGAACAGTGTTCACGCCTGTAATCCCAACACTTTGGGAGGCCGAGGCAAAAGGATTGCTTGAGCCCAGGAGTTTAAGACCAACCTGGGCAACAGACTGAGACCCCATCTCTACAAAAAAATAAAATAATAAAATTAATTAATTAATTAATTTAAAAAATTAGCTGGGTGTGGTGGTACACACCTGTAGTCCCAGCTACTTGGGAAGCTGAGGTAGGAGGATTGTCTTGATCCTGGGAGATCAAGGTTGCAGTAAGCGAAGATCACACCATCATACTCCAGCCTGGGCAACAGGGCAAGACCGAGTCTCAAAAAATAAAAAGGAAAAAGACAGTATAAACATATGTATCTTCTTCTTTCTTCTCTTAACCGATGTAAAAGGCAATTATATTAAACTCTATGTGTGTACGTGTGTGTGTGTGTGTGAGAGTGTGTGTGTGTGTGTGTGTGTGTATTTCGGGGCCCATGGCTAAAAAAATTTATTTTCCAATATGATCACAGAAGTGGATTAAAGCAAAGCTATTATGGGCCAGGCGTGGTGGCTCATGCCTGTAATCCCAGTACTTTGGGAGACCGAGGTGGGAGGATCACTTGAGGTCAGGAGTTTGAGACCAGCCTGGCCAACATGGTGAAACCCCATCTCTACCAAAAATACAAAAAGAAAACATTAGCTAGGCATGGTGGTACGCATCTATAATTCCAGCTACTCGGGAGGCTGATGCAGGAGAATTGCTTGAACCCGGGAGGGAGAGGTTGTGGTGAGTCAAGATCACACCACTGCACTCCAGCCTGGGTGACAGAGTGAGACTCTGTCCCAAAAAAAAGAAGTAAGAAAATGACACAAAATGGTAACATGAACCCACAAAAACAAATGAAAAGAACCAGAAATTGCACCCAAAAATGTTACTATAACAAATGCTATAAAGGTACACTTGTTCCCTTCCTTCAACTTTTTTAAAAAATTGTTTCTGTATGTTCATTTTTGTCTTTTTCAATTTTTTTCCCATTCTTACGCATCAACTTCTTTAAAAGTTACAAAAACCTCTAGGATAATTATTATAAAAACGTATTGTTCGATTTTTAAATATTATAGATAAAATATGTATAACAATAACAGCACCGAATGCAAAATAAAGCAGTTAAGGAGGAATATAGCAACGAAAAAGCATGAGACAAATTTTTAAACCACAATGGCAGATGTAAATCCACCTATGTCAATAGTAACATTCAACAGAAATACATTAAACAATATAAATTTGTTTAAGTGCAAAACTTAATTTTTGGTTTTTTTTCTAAAGACAAGGTCTACGTTGCCCAGGCAGGCCTCAAAATATTGACCCCAAATGATCCTCCTGCCTTAGCTTCCTGAGTTGCTAGGATTACAGGCATGAGCCCCCACAACCAGCTAAATTTTTTTTAAAGAGACAACTATATGCAGTCTACAGGAGACACATCTCACATTCAAAGACACAAATATGTTAAAAGCTAAGTATGAAAAAGATCAGAAACCTGGAGTGGCTATATTAGAATAGGACAAAATACACTCCAAACCAAAAAAAAAAAAAAAAGACAATGGAAATCAGGAGAGATATTTTATAATGATACGAGTCAATCCATCAAGAAGATATAACAATTATAAACATGTATGCACATAACATCAGAGCATCAGAGCCCAAAATACATAATACATAAAATAAACAATGACAAAATTGAATGGAAAAATAGACAATCCAACAATAGACATTGAAGAATTCAACGATTCACTTTCTTTTTTTTTATTTATTTATTTTTTTTAGAGACAGAGTCTCACTGTGTTGCCCAGGCTGGTCTTGAACTCCTGAGCTCAAGTTATCCGCCCACCTCGGCTCTTCCCAAAGTGCTGGGATTACAGGCGTGAGCCACCACGCCCAGCCAGTAACTCACTTTCAATAATGGTTAGATCTAGATAGAAAATCAATACTTCAGAAATATAAGACTTCAAAAATATGAAAAGCTAACAAGACTTAACAAACATCTATAGAACACTTCACCCAACAATAGCAGAATACACATTCTTCTCACGTGCACTAATAAAATTATCCAGGATAGATTATATGCTACTTCATTAAACAACCATCAATAAATTTGAAAGAACTGAAATCATAAGAAGTATGTTTTATGGCCACAGGAATAAAATTAGAAATTAATAACAGAAATGTTAAGAAATTTACAAAGATATGGAAGATGAACAACATGCTACTAAGCAGTAAATGGGTAAAACAATAAATCACAAGACAAATTAGAAAATATTTTCAGATAAATGCAAAATAAAGACACAACATACAAAAACTTCCCAACTCAGTCTGTAAGGCCAGTATTACCCTAATATAAAAATTAAACTAACCACAAGAAAATAAGTCTAAATACAAAAGTCTGTTATAAATATTAAAACAACACCTTCAACAACAACAAACAGCAAACTGATTCCAGAAATATATAAAAAGGACTCTACATAATGACAAAGTGGAATTTATGCCAATAATGCAATGTTGCTCCAACATACAAAAAATTCTGGGCGCAGTGGCTCACGCCTGTAATCCCAACATTCTGGGAGGCCAAGGCAGGAGGATCCCTTGAGCTCAGGAGTTCAAGACTGGCCTGGGCAACATGGTGAAACCCCATCTCTACTAATAGTAAAAAAAAAATTAGCCAGGCATGGTGGCACAAGCTTGTAGTCCCAGCTATTCGGGGAGCCAAGGCGGAAGGGTCACTTGAGCCCAGGAGGTCAGGGCTGCAGTGAGAGCCCTGATTGTGTCACTGCACTCCAGCCTGGGCAACAGTGAGACCCTGTCTGAAAAAAAAAAATATATATATATATATATTTATATATATATGAAAATTAATGTAATATACCACATAAATAGAATATAAGAGAAAAACCACATGATCATTTCACCAGATGTAGATTAAGTAATTGACAAAGTCCAAAATCTTTCTTTATAAAAACATTCAACAAACTAGGAACAGAAGGAAATCTCCTCCACCTCATAAAGAAAATCTATGAAAAACACAACAGCTAACCTCATACTTAATGGTGAAAGACCGAATACTTTCCCCATGATATCAAGAAGGAGACAAGGATGTCTGCTTTCACCAGTTCTAGTCAACACTGTACTAGAGATTTGAGCCAGGACACAGGCAAAGAAAAGAAGTGAAAAACATGCAGATTGGAAAGGAAGAAATAAAACTATTTGTATATGCAGATGACATGATCTTGTATACAAAACAATCTAATGGAATCCAGTTTTTAAAAAAACTATTAGAAGTAATAAATAAGTTCATCAAGGTTACAGAATATAAAATCAATACAAACACAAATGTATTTCTTTTTCTTTTTTTGAGACAGTCTCACTCTGTCACTCAGGCTGGAGTGCAGTGGCAGAATCTCAGCTCGCTGCACCCTCTGCCTCCCAGGTTCAAGTGATTCTCGTGCTTCAGCCTCCCAGGTAGCTGGAATTATAGGCATGTGCCACCGTGCCCAGCTAATTTTTATATTTTTAATAGTGACAGGGTTTCTCCATGTTGGCCAGGTTGGTCTCAAACTCCTGACCTCAAGTGATCTGCCCGCCTCAGCCTCCCAAAGTACTGGAATTATAGGCATGAGCCACTGCACCGGGCCACAAATTGTATTTCTATACACTAGCAATAAACAATGCAAAAATAAAGAACACTGTTTCACGTACAATGGTCTGAAAAATAATACTTAGAAATGAATTTAACTAATTAATGCAAACTTTGTATACTGGAAACTACAAAACACTGGTGAAAGAAATGAAAGAACACCTAAATAAATGGAAAGACATTCCATGTTCATGTATCAGAACACCTAATGTTGTTAAGATGGAAATATTCCCTCAAATTGTTCTACGGATTTAACTGCAATGTCTAACAAAATCCCAGCTGTCTTTCTGGCAGAAGTTGACATGGTGATCTGAAATTCATATGGAAATTAAAGGGACCAAAAATAGTCAAAACTATCTTGAAAAAGAACAATGTTAAAGAACTCACACTTCTAAATTTAAAACCTTACTACACAGCCACAGTAATCATGACTATGTGGTCTTGGCATAAACATAGACATATAGATCAATAAAATAGAATTGGGAATCCAGAAATAAGCCTACACATTTGTGGTCAATTTATTTTCAAAAAAATGTCACAACAATTCAGTGGAGAGAGAACACTGTCTTTAACAAATGGTGCTGGCACAAACATATTACCTGCAAAAGAATGAAGTTGTACCTTACCTCATACTACACAAAAGTTAACCCGAAATGGTTGACAGACCTAAATACAAAATCTAAAACTATAATACTCTTAAAAGAAAACATAGGGATAAATCTCTTGACCTTGGACTAAGCAATGATTTCATAGGTATGACACCCAAAACACAAGGAACAAGAGAAAAAAAAATAGTTTTAAAAATGAAGAACTGGCCGGGCACCACTGTGGGATCACACCTGTAATCCCAGCACTTTGGGAGGCCAAGGTGGGTGGATCACCTGAGGTCAGGAGCTTAAGGCCAGCCTGGCCAACATGATGAAACCCTGTCTCTACTAAAAATACAACAAATTAGCCAGGCATGGTGGTGGGTGCCTGTAATCCCAGCTACTCGGAGAGGCTGAGGCAGGAGAACCGCTTGAACCCGGGAGGTGGAGGTTGCAGCGAGCCGAGATCACACACTCCAGCCTGGGCAACGAGAACAAAACTCTGTCTCAAAAAGAAAAAAAAAAAAAGAAGAAGAACCACCACCATGTGGCCTGCCTCACATCAATTAAACATTTTTTTACTGCAAAAAAAAAAAAAATGAAGTTGTAATAGAATTAAAATATCACCATTGTGCAACCCATAATTAAATAGCATATCTAAGCAATAACTGCTAAGACCATTAGGTGAAAGAAAAGCTGATGGGAAATTTCAAAATGCAAGGATCAAGCTGAAAACCCCTACAAACACTGATGAATCTTAAGATCACAGAAAATAGAAGAAGATAACCAGATATTATGAACCTCCTATATCAGGCAATATAATACACACACTTTCAAAAAAAAAAAACCCTAAACCTAAATCTGATCAAACATCCAGATCTATATTTTTCCTATAAACATATAGGAAACAGGGGAACATGTAAAATGACAACATGATTATGCGATCAGTAAAATGTAGAATATGGCAAACTCTATAGGTCAAACTACCAATTTATTCAACAAGGAAATTGTAGAAAGAAAAAGGAGGTGGCATTTTTAAAACAGATTTAAGAAACATATTGGCAGGGCATGGTGGTTCACACCTGTAATCCCAACACTTTGGGAGGACAAGGTGGGTATATCACTTGAGTTCAGGAGTTCAAGACCAGCCTGGGCAACACAGGGAAACCCCGTCTCTACAAAAAAATATATAAAAAATTAGCCAGGCATGGCGGCACGAGCCTGTAGTCCCAGCTACTCAGGAGGCTGAGATGGGAGAATCACTTGAGCCTGGAGGTCACTGCTGCAGTGAGTCATGATCGTGCCACTGCACTCCAGCCTGAGTGACACGGCCAGACCCTATCTAAAAAAAAGAAAAAAGAAAAGAAATATATCAATCTGGCACAATGTATGAACTCTGAATCCTGATTTTCAAATTTAAAAATTTGCATATTTATTCTTTATTTGATTATTAATGAAAAAAAGTTAATTTTTGGTGTTTTTTTTTTTTTTTTTTTGAGACACAGTCTCACTCTGTCATCCAGGCTAAAGTGCAGCGGCACAATCTCCACTCACTGCAGCCTCAACCTCCCAGGCTCAAGTGATCCTCCCACCTCAGGCTCCTGAATAGCTGGGACCACAGGTGTGCACCACCATGCCCGGCTGATTTTTCTATTTTTTTGTAGAGAAGGGGTTTCAGCATGTTACCCAGGCTGGTATCAAACTCCTGGGCTCAAGTGATCCACCCACCTCAGCCTCCCAAAGTGCTTGGATTACAGGTGTGTGCTACCACGCCCAGCCAAGAAAATATTTTAAATTGCCTTAGGTGTGATAAAGGATTGTGGTATGGTTTCTCTATGTTCTTATTTTGTGAGGTAAATACAAAAATGTAATATGTTATTTGAGACTTGCTTCAAAATAATCCAATGGGAAAAGGGAAAATAGGTAGGTATACAGATAAAACAAAAGTGGCCATAAATTGATAACTGTTGAAGAGGGGTTGATGGACACATCAAGTTCATCATACTATTCTCTCTACTTTTATGTTTGATATTTCAAAATAAAATGTTTTTAAAAATAAATGAATACAAATATATACAATAAAAATTAATTACACTCAAAAAGTAAAAGAAAGCAGTAACAAAAGATCACATGTGGTTTGATTCCATTTATATGAAACAGACAATTCAGGCTGGATGTGGTGGCTCCCATCTGCAATCCCAGCACTTTCAGAGGCCAAGGTGGGAGGGTCGCTTGAACCCAGGAGTTTGAGACCAGCCTGGGCAGCATGGTAAGATACCATCTTTATAAAAAATAAAAAATTAGCCAGGTGCAGTGGCACAAACCTGTAGTCCCAGCTACTCAGGAGGCTGAGGCAGGAGGATCACCTGAGCCTGAGAGGTCAAGGCTGCAGTAAGACAAGTTTAGGTCAATGCACTCTAACTTGGGTGACAGAGTGAGATCTGTCACGAAGACGAAGAAGAAGAAAAAAAGAAGAAAGAAGAACGAAGAAGAAGAAAAGTCTGGGTGCAGTAGCTCATGCCTGTAATCCCAGCACTTTGGGAGGGCGAGGCAGGTGGATCACCTGAAGTCAGGAGTTCGAGATCAGCCTAGGCCAACATGGCAAAACCCCATCTCCACTAAAAATACAAAAATTAGCTAGGCATGGTGGCAGGTGCCTGTAATCCCAGCTACTCGGGAGGCTGAAGCAGGAGAATCGCTTGAACCCAGGAGGTGGAGGTTACAGTGAGTCGAGATCATGCCATTGCATTCCAGCCTGGGAGACAAGAGAGAAGCTCTGTCTCAAAAAAAAAAAGCGGGGGGGGAGGGGCGCTGGGCATGGTGGCTCACAGCTGTAATCCCAGCACTTTGGGAGGCTGAGGCGGGCAGATCACTTGAGGTCAGGAGTTCGAGATGAGCCCGGCCAACATGGTGAAACACCGTCTCTACTAAAAATACAAAAATTAGCCAGACATGGTCGCGTGCCTAGGTGACAAAAGCAAAACTCTGTCAAACGAAAAAAAAATAGGCAAATCAAATCTATAAAGACAGAAAATAAGTGAGTGATTGCCCATGGTTGTGGGTTTGAAGGAAATAATAGAAACCAATGACATGTATGGTATGTGAATTATATCTCATTAAAACTGTCATATAAGAATTGATGTGGGTTGCAATGAGGATAAGAATACCTAAAAAGTCTCCTTAAGGGGATGATAATGAAAAAAAAAAGGTTGTGAAACACTGACTCAAACGATGGACATGGAAGTCCTTCGTATACAGAAAAGCAATATTTGCCATGTCTTGAATAGCTCTTGTGACTCAGAAATGAATAGCATAGTTATAACCTCACTGGATCAATAAACACACTTAAGTAATTCCCATCCTGAAATAAAAAGAACCCTCCCTTGATCCCTCAACCCAATGCAACTACTGATCTCTCTCACTTTTTCACCTTTAAGACTGGCGTATAGCCTTGCTACTCAAAGTGTGTTCCCCAGATCTACTGAATCAGGCTTCATTTTAATACATCCTAGGTGATTCACATACACATTTAAGTGTCAAAAGCACCATTATAAAGATCCTATCAATTTAGTAAGTCTTAGCAATGATGTAAGAATGTGGGAACTATCCAAAGGTGTTGTCAACCCTTTGGCCAGGTCAACCCCATTTTTGGAAAGGTAAAATGTGTAGTTTAACTTGCTTGTCACTGAACCTGTTTAAATGTTATTCTAAGAAAGGAAAGATACAACATCTATGAAAACCCCATCCCTTTCATCGACCAACCAATGGGTATTTTCTCACTGGCACATTCAAGAGAAGCCCCAACCAATATATATGCAAAATTTATGTAAGAAATAATAGCTGGGCATGGTGGCTCACATCTGTAATCCCAGCACTTTGGGAAGCCAAGGCAGGCAGACCAATTGAGGTCAGGAGTTCAAGACCAGCCTGGCCGACATGGTGAAACCCCACCTTTACAAAAATTACAAAAATTAGCCAGACATGGAGTTGGGTGCCTGTAATCCCAGCTACTCAGGAGGCTGAGGCAGGAGAATCACTTGAACCCAGGAGGCAGAGGTTGTACCGAGCCGAGATTGTGCCACTGCACTCCAGCCTGGGGGACACTGGGCAACGTGGCTCACACCTGTAATCCCAGCACTTTGGGAAGTCAAGGAGGGAGGAGCGCTTGAACCCAGGAGTTCAAGATCAGCCTGGGCAACACAGTGAGACACCCCCTACAAAAAATAAAAATTAAAAAAGATAATAAAAACATAAAATGCTAATTAGACAAGAACACATTAAAATAGCAGACAGCAGAAAGGTTTTATTTTTTAATAAAATGCTATGCTTATAGGACTGCAAGAAAACACATATAGTTTTAAAATTACTGCTGGTACTATAAATTATTATAACCTATGACATTCATCTATTCGATTAATATTTCTTCAGTACTTTCTTTGCACCAAGTACTGTGTTAGGTGCCAGAGACAACATAGGGACCCAGATAGACAACATCCCTGCCCTCCTGGAATTTACAATCCAAAGAGGAGAAAATCATAATACCTATTGTCATAATGTGCTAAATTTACTACATAAGTTTTTCTCATTTAAACTTCAAACAACTCTGTGGAGTACAAATTGTAATTTCCATTTTTTCAAATAAAGAAAGAAGCACTCGAAGTAGAAGACACTTGAGAGAGATCACACAGCTGGCAAATGTTACAAACAGGACTTTAAACAAGGTCTGTCTCATTCCAATACTTCTGCTTTCACACATTGTGTAAACTTCCTCTCAAAAGAATGGAGTTCAGCTTACCAAAGCCACCAAAATATCTATACCCTTTGACCAATAACCCTCCATAGGAATGTATATCTTAAAGAAATAATTTGAAAGGAGATTAAAAACCTATATCTACAAAAATGCACACAGCATTACTCAAAATACCAAAACAAAAAATGATAATGTTCTCAATGTCCAAAAATAGAGATTACTTAATTCATAGCAAAATCTCAGTGGAGGTGGGTTTTACAAAATGAGATTTGTTTTAAAAACCTCACAATTGGTAAATTTTGAATAAAGTCTGTAGATTAGAAAATAGTCTTGTATCAGCCGGGGAGCTCATGCCTGTAATCCCAGCACTTTGGGAGGCTGAGATGGGCAAATCACTTGAACCCAGGAGTTCCAGACCAGCCTGGGAAACACGGCAAAACCCCTTCTCTACCAAAAATACAAAAATTATCCAGGTGTGGTGGCACACGCCTGTAGTCCCAGATACAATTCAAATATGTATACAATTCAAGAAGAACTGTGCTTATGCATAAAAATATTCTCCAGTATTTCTACAAGAATGTTATAATAGTATATAAATGTCCTTTTTGGCTGGGTTAATCGGCTCACGCCTATAATCCCAACACTTTGGGAGGCTGAGGCGGGTCCTTTGAGTCCAGGAGTTTGAGACCACCCTGGGCAACACGGTGAAACCCCGTCTCTACAAAAAAATATGAAAAATTAGCCAGGCATGGTAGTGCTTGCCTGTAGTCCCAGCTACTAGGGGGCTGAGGTGGGAAGATAGCTTGAGCTTGGGAGGTTGAGGCTGCAGTGGGCCGTGATCGCACCACTGCACTCCAGCCTGGGCAACAGAAAGGGACTCTGTCTCAAATAAATAAATAAATAAACAAATGTCATTTTAAAAGAAACCACAGAGACTAACTATCAACACAGGTACAAATTGTATGGTCTTGAATACACATACTGTTATATTTGGAGGCATCTCAGATTAAATAAAGCAAGAGTGGAGTCCTCTGAGCACTGAATGAAAACACAGTTTTCAGAACTGATGAACTGAAGAGAGAAGTGACCAAGAAGACAAACTTCTATTAATAGGAGGCTGTATCAAATAACAATAGAGTCCAAGGATAAATCAACCAGAAGCAAAACAACTGGGAAATCCAAGAGAAAACAAAGGCTTCTGCATAAATGAAAAGCACAGCATGTCCATCAGTCTGTAGTATACAACAATCTAATTAGGCAATAAGGAGAGAATGGAGACCTCTCTTGGAATACAGCAAATAGCTGAGAGGAGTGACTGCTTCAGCAGAAAGCTGAAAAAATGACCTTAGAAATAAGATATCAGCACAAGAAAATCCATGAAATGAACAAATGTAATCTCTGATTTTACATAACAGGAAACTGAGGCTGGGAGAGGGAAAAGGTCCCTATTAATTGTCCACAATAAGTTTCCAGCAGGACCAGTATTTAATCCCAGGACAGACCTCTTTCCATCAACTCTAGCTGCTTTCTGCAAAGTGTGTTTGCTGAGAATATTAGTTTGCACACGGGGAACCCACAGCCCCCAAATCATTATACTCCAAATTCTGTTCATCGTAAAAAGCTGACAAAGTAAGCTCAATTTCTCTGCGAGAATTCTTTTGGGAAAACAATCTAATTTGTTTACCTACCTTGTGACAATCCTTCATGTGTATATACAACACAGAACTAGAGTGTACGAAGCAAATGTTATTTTTGTGGACCCCTTCCCATTCACAAATATGACACATGCTATAATATGTCAGAGGAAAAGACACATATCCCAAGACTTTCTTCTTCACCTACCTTGTGGCCCTGCCTAATATATTCTCCAGTGTCTTTTAGTATTGGAGGCCTGAGGCTCCTGCTAGTACCTTCCCCACCATTTACAGCTATGTGACCTTGGGCCCTCTCAGGACCTCATTTCCTTCATCAGTAAAATGGGGCTGCACTACAGAACTTCAAAGGCTCCTCTCAGTTCTAACATCTTATGATTCTGTGAATCCTGAATTAACATTGCCAGTGATCAAATTTTAACACCCATATATTTATATCTTTAGACAGGGATTTGCCCTGTCACCCAGGCTGGAGTGCAGTAGCACAATCTCAGATCACTGCAGTATCAAATCTCATGGGCTCAAGCTATCCTCCAATCTCAGCCTCCTGAGTAGCTGTGACCATAGGTGCACGCCACCATGCCCAGCTAATTTTTGTATTTTTTGTAGAGATGAGGTCTCTCTATGTTGCTCAGGCTGGTTTCAAACTCTCAGGCTCAAGCAATCGTCCTGCCTCAGCCTCCCAAAAAGGTGGAATTACAGGCATGAGCCACTGTGCCAAGCTAACACTCACATATTGATTTCTATATTTCCTGATTAAAAAAAAATGAGGAACTCTCCTCAGAGAACTCAGCTGGCTCTCATGGCCTAAACTGAAAATCTAGACATTAGAAGATATGAATATTATTCCTAGCTCTGCTAAGAAGCTCTCTGGGTGAGCCTGGGAGAAGTTCCAAAGCAAGGAACCATTCTATCCTGGGTCAGTTGGTCAGTCAGGCTAATGTGTGGGGAACATTAATTTTGCAAAGCACTTTGGTAAGAGAGAAAAGACACATGGATTTTGGAGACAAAAGTTATCTTCAACAACCAAATAACATTTTAACAGAGCAACCTATCAAGGAATATAGGTTAGCTTAGGAATCAGTTAGACCTGGACTCTAGTCCTGATGCTGCCAATTACCAGCTATAAGACCTCAGTAAGAACAAAAGGCTAGGAATAGGGAGGGCCCTACTACACACTTACCACCACCTATGTGTGGGGCACATGAGTTATCTGAAAATGACAAGGGAGGACTAGCCTCCCCAAGGTCACTTACAGCTTAAATATCCATATTTAATTTCCATCAGTGTTAGAGGATCAGGTAGAGAAGTAGATGGGTTCAATCATGCAAAACTCATTGTGACTATTGGTTTGATAACAGGTTTTGATGAAAAACAAGGTTAGTGAAGGTGGAGGACATAGCCAACAAAGAGAAACACATCTAATTAGGTTTTTGAGGAGGGAACTAGCAAGTGTGCAAGTGGAAGATGGGGAGGAAAGAGAATATAACTATATGAACACAGCCAGAGCAAGAAGACCATCAGGGGATCATGAAACATGAGTGGAAAGAAGTAATAAAGAGAGCAATTTATCAACCTTTTACCAAAACAATCTCAACCATCTACAAAATATATGATATACTTAGAAAAGACTAGAATATGTCAAAAAAAAAAAGTGGTTGTTACTGCGGCTGTGCATGATTGCTACTTTCTTATTTATATTCTTCTGTATTTTTCAAATTTCCTTAGGGAGCATATTTGCTATTATAGTATGAAAACGAATGAACCTCATGCAAAATGTTTACTCAGCACCTATTTGGTGACAAGCATTGTGATAGGCACTAGGGCTACAAAGACGAACAACAGAGTAATTGTTTTGGCATAGGAAAGGCTCCACAGAAGAGTGACAGATATTTGGCTATGACTTCAAGGATAAGGAGATGTTCACACAGGTGAGAATGGAGGAGGAAATTCCAGGCAGAGGAAACAGCAGATAAATAGACAAGGAATCCAAAAGGAAATTAGAAATATTCTGAGAACCCAATGCATTTGGCAAGTAGGAGGTGTGGAGGGGAGAAATAGAAGATAAAACTGGAGAAGTGGTACAAATAGAAGACAAACTGTGAATAGCTTGAATGCCATCTAAAGAAGTTTAAATTTCCTAAGACCTGATGCTGGATAGATTAATTAACATTAATCTATTGTGCATTTCCAGCAAAAGAAACTATCATCAGAGGGAACAGGCAACCTACAGAATGGGAGACAAATTTTGCAATCTATCCATCTGACAAAGGGCTAATATCCAGAATCTACAAAGAACCTAAACAAATTAACAAGAAAAAAAAACAAACAACCCCATCAAAAAATGGGCAAAGGATATGAACAGACACTTCTCAAAAGAAGACATTTATGCAGCCAACAGACATATGAAAAAATGCTCATCATCACTGGTCATTAGAGAAACGCAAATCAAAACCACAATGAGATACCATCTCACACCAGTTAGAATGGTGATCATTAAAAAGTCAGGAAATAACAGATGCTGGAGAGGTTGTGGAAAAATAGGAATGCTTTTACACTGTTGGTGGGAGTGTAAATTAGTCCAACCATCGTGGAAGTCAGTGTGGTGATTCCTCAGGGATCTAGAACTAGAAATACCATTTGACCCAGCAATCCCATTACTGGGTATATACCCAAAGGATTATAAATCATTCTACGATAAAGACACATGCACACGTATGTTTATTGTGCCACTATTCACAATAGCAAAGACTTGGAACCAACCCAGATGTCCATCAATGATAGACTGGATGAAGAAAATGTGGCACATATACACCATGGAATCCTATGCAGCCATAAAAAAAGGATGAGTTCATGTCCTTTGCAGGGATATGGATGAAGCTGGAAACCATCATTCTCAGCAAACTATCACAAGATCAGAAAACCAAACACTGCATGTTCTCACTCATAAGTGGGAGTTAAACAATGAGAACACATGGACACAAGGAGGGGAACATCACACACTCGGGCCTGTCAGGGGGTGGGGGGCTAGGGGAGGGATAACATTAGGAGAAATACCTAATGTAGGTGACGGGTTGAGGAGTGCAGCAAACCACCATGGCATGCGTATACCTATGTAACAAAACTGCACGTTCTGCACATGTAATCCAGAACCTAAAGTATAATTTTTAAAAAATACAAAAAAATCTATTGTGCATTTCAAAACAGCTAGGAGACAACAATTCAAATGTTCCTAGCATTAAGAAAGTTAAATATGTAAGGTGATGGATACCTTAATTACACTGATTTGATTATATGAAAGTATCAAATTATCATATGTACTTTGAAAATATGTACATCTATTATGTATCAACAAAATAAATAATTTTTAATAAGTTTAATTTTCAAACTATGAACTATTTTAACAACCAGTGAATAACCAAATCATATTTACATAGTAGGAAGAGCCTGCCTTTCTTTCTTTTTCTCTTCCTCTTTTGCTTGCTTGCTTTTTCTTTCTTTTCTTTCTTTCCTTTTTCTTTCTCTCTCCCCTCCCTCCCTCTCTCCCTCCCTCTCTCCCTCCCTTCCTTCCTTCCTTCCTCCCTCCCTCCCTTCCTCCCTTCCTCCTTTCCTTCCTTCCTCCCTCCCTCCCTCCCTTCCTCCCTTCCTCCCTTCTTTCCGACAGAGACTTGCTCTATCACCTAGGCTAGAGTGCTCACTGCAGCATTGAACTCCTGGACTCAAGACATCCTCCCCCACTCAGCCTCCCAAGTAGATGGGACTACAGGCACATGCCACCACACTTGGGTAATTTTTAAATTTTTTATAGAGACAGGGTCTCACTTGTTGCCCAGGCTGATCTCAAACTCCTGGACTTAAGCAGTCTGCCTACCTTGGCCTACCAAGTGTTGGGATTACAGTTGTGGGCCATTGCACCAGGTCAAAAAAAGCCTTTAAAATGCCAAGTGTTACTAGGGCATAGAGCTGCCTCTGCCATATTTTCATACCCCTTAGACCACACAGGGTCTTTTAGTGACTTTATTTTTCTGAAACTGTTTTTTGTTTTGTTTTGTTTGAGATGAGCCTCACTCTGTTGCCCAGGCTGGAGTGCAATGGCATGATCTCAGCTCACTGCAACTTCCGCCTCCCAGGTTCAAGCGATTCTCCTGCCTCAGCCTCCTGAGTAGCTGGGATTACAGGCGAGCACCACCACGCCCAGCTAATTTTTGTATTTTTAGTAGAGACGGGGTTTCACTATGTTGGTCAGGCTGGTCTCGAACTCCTGGCCTCGTGATCCACCCACCTCGGCCTCCCAAAGTGCTGGGATTACAGGCGTGAGCCACCACACCTGGCCTATTTTTCTGAAATTCTTTTGATGTCCCCTCAACCAGATTTCACCCACCTGAAAATGTCAGGGGAGGAGTAAGAAAAAAGCAAAGAAGTCAGTAACACTGTTTCCTCTTACCTCACCACTGACTGTAAACTCAGGAGTACTCTTGAACAAGAGTCACAAAATTTCGATTTATCTGTATATGATACTATATATCCCAGAAAATAAGGAAGGCCCCAGTTTAAAATATTCCATCTCATTGTTACCATAAGCACATAAGTACACTGCTATTAATAATGACCATATATTCCAAATTTGGTTCACTAAACATGGTCACCAAAGCACAGCTGGTTGTGAATTACCCTGTCTCTCTCATCCAGCCGTGGGACACCTGTAGGCTGGCACTGTGGTTGCTTCATCTCTCCATCCCCTGGGTCTAGTACAGGACCTCCCAGCAGCCACCAAAGAAATGTTTGGTTTTCTGGTTTTTTGTTGTTGTTGTTGTTGTTTTTGAGACAGAGTCTTGCTCTGTCGCCCAGGCGGGAGTGCAGTGCCGCGATCTCGGCTCACTGCAAGCTCCGCCTCCCGGGTTCACACCATTCTCCTGCCACAGCCTCCCGAGTAGCTGGGATTACAGGTGCCTGCCACCACGCCTGGCTAATTTTTTTTTCTTTTTTTTTTTTTTTTTTTTTGAGACGGAGTCTTGCTCTGTCGCCCAGGCTGGAGTGCAGTGGCGCGATCTCGGCTCACTGCAAGCTCCACCTCCCGGGTTCACGCCATTCTCCTGCCTCAGCCTCCCAAGTAGCTGGGACTACAGTTGCCCGCCACCGCGCCCGGCTAATTTATTTTTGTATTTTTAGTACAGACGGGGTTTCACCGTGTTAGCCAGGATGATCTCCTGACCTCGTGATCTGCCCGCCTCAGCCTCTGAAAGTGCTGGGATTACAGACGTGAGCCGCCACGCCCAGCCAGAAATGTTTGTTAAATCCAACTCCGCACCCAGAAGGTAAAACCTTCTTAAGGGGCTTAAACTTTGGAAAATTTTCCAAAGAATATTAATATTATTCCTATAAAATTTTCCCTGTTCAGAAGATTTGGTAGACAGTCTCCAGAAAAATCCTTTAGAGGCTTTTATTACAATTAATTAACAAAAGAAATGAAAAAAAAAAAACACCCAGCCCTCCTCAAAACACATCACTATTTGATGGAAACTAGATTATCAGCCGGACAGTGCTTTGATCCCAAAGCCCAATGATTTGCTATGCATGCATTTCTTGTAAGCTTTCACCTTAATGTAAAGAAATAGTATCACTGGAGCTACAATTATAACATATTTATTGGCAGAAAGAGGAGAATGAGGCCTAGATGTTTCCCCCAGCTATGGGAAAACATTCACTTATTAAAATAAACACCAGGCTTAGAATGGAAAGCAACTTAGGTTTCATTGGGAGACTTTGATGAAACTAAAGCACAAAATCCTTCATAAAGTCCTTCCAATGTCAGAACTAGAAAGGGTTTTACTTTCTCTAAAATTTAGACAACTATTTTTAAAACTAGTTATAGGAAAGAGCAACGAAGCAGGAGGAACATCTCAATGCTTTATGGTAAGAAGGGAAAAAAGTCATCCACAGAGGGAAAGAAAAGTTTCTTCAGAAGAAAGGTGTATCAGGCCCGGTGCAGTGGCTTACGCCTGTAATCCTAACACTATGGGAGGCTGAGGCGAGTGGATTGCTGAGCCCAGGAGTTCGAGACCAGCCTGGCCAACATAGGAAGATCCTATCTCTACAAAAATTCAAAAAATTAGCCAGGCGTGGTGGCTTGCACCTGTGGTCCCAGTTACTCAGGAGGTTGAGGTGGGAGGATCACTTCAGCTCAGGAAGCCGAGGCTGCAGTGAGCCATGAACGCACGTACCCCTGGACTCCAGCCTTGGAGACAGGGAGAGACCCTGTCTCAAACAAAAAAAAAGAAGGTGCATTAAGAAAAATCAGAACAACAGGGAGATTAAGTGCAGGTTCTTATAAATACTTTTATTGAGACATACTTCATATACCATAAAATTCACCTATTTAAAGTGTAAAAAGTAGGCCGGGCATGGTGGCTCATGCCTGTAATCCCAGCACTTTGGTAGGCTGAGGCGAGTAGATCACCTGAGGTCAGGAGTTTGAGACCAGCCTGGCCAACATGGTGAAACCCCGTCTCTACAGGAAAAAAAAAAAAAAAAAAAAAAAGCCATGGTGGCGGGTGCCTGTAATCCCAGCTATTCAGGAGGCTGAAGCAGGAGAATCGCTTGAACCCGGGAGGAGGAGGTTGCAATGAGCCAAGGTCACACCACTGCATTCCAGCCTGGGCAACAAAAGCAAAACTCCACCTTAAATAAATAAATAAATAAATAACGTGTAAAAAGTAAATTTATGCTGTTTTTGTTTCCTACTTAAAATGACAAATGCTTTTGTAGAATATTAAAGCATAATAAGATCAAATAATCAAGAAAATGATAATACCTTATAATTATTTCTCATATTAACTTATTTGTAAGATTCCATTCTACTTTCACAATTTCCATTGCTCAATTTCTTCATTTCAGCAACCATGACTGTTTTAATATACACTCAAAGGAGCTACACCACAAGGCATAAATTAGTCTTTTTTTCTTCCTAAAATATAATATTGTAAAAAGTTAGTACTAAAACAAAATATACAGGCAGACCTTTCAATATTATTGACTTAACATCCTAGACCATAGTGATGAAGACTCAGCAAAACAGATGCTGAAATCGAAAAAGTTAGAGTACATTATTTCAAAGAATAAGGTTCCTATTCACAGATACTCATTTTAAATCCACTATTTATACAAACTCAGTATATACATAGTTTAATAAAAGAGCATTAAAATGATATTAGCCATTGATAATGTCTCTGGACAAGGCATTGTTGAGCAGTGTTTGAGAAGTTATGATAAGGCCAGGCTCAGTGGCTCACACCTATGATCCCTGCACTTTAGGAGGCCGAGGCTGGCAGATTACTTGAGGTCAGGAGTTTGAGACCAGCCTGGCCAACATGGTGATACCCCATCTCTACTAAAAATACAAAAATTAGCTGGGCGTGGTTGCAGACACCTGTAATCCCAGCTACTCGGGAGACCGAGACCGAGTTCAAGAATTGCTTGAACCCAGGAGGCAGAGATTGCAGTGAGCCGAGATCACACCACCACTGCACTCCAGCCTGGGCGACAGAGTAAGACTCCATCTCAAAAAAAAAAAAAAAAAAAAAAAAGTCGGGCGCGGTGGCTCATGCCTGTAATCCCAGCACTTTGGGAGGCCAAGGTGGGTAGATCACCTGCGGTCAGGAGTTTGAGACCAGCCTGGCCAACATGGTGAAACCCCGACTCTACTAAAAAAAAAAATAGCTGGGCGTGGTGGCACACACCTGTAGTCCCAGCTACTTGGGAGGCTGAGACAGGAGAATCACTTGAACCCAGGAGGCGGAGGTTGCAGTGAGCCAAGGTCACGCCACTGCACTCCAGCATGGGTGATAGCGAGAGACTCCGTCTCAAAAAAAAAAAAAAAACTAAAAGAAACGTCATGATGAGATAGAAAGAACACTGAGTTTGTAGTTCAAATTCTGGCCATACCTCCCACTACCTCTGTGATCATAAGGCTCTGCTCATCCCTAATTATTTCCTATCTGCAGTCAAATATTCTTTCTGATTTTATGAGTACATATATCTTAGGTAAATATTCTGGGGCCTGGAATGGACATCCAGATCCTGTCTTCATAAACCCAACTGTTGGGCCCAGGAAGGTGCCTATAACTCAGTGGCATCAGACTGGAGACTCTGAGTGACTAGGCTAGTTTCCCCTACATATTAGTCAGCCTGTATTTATTTAAGCTCTGCAGAATTCCTTCATTTGTACTCAAGAGTTTTACATTTTACATGACTGTGACTAGAGAAGCTTTCTCTTGAAATGCAGAGACAAAGGAAAATCTTTCTAGTTGTGTCAGAAAACTTAATAACTGCATCTAGAATCTGCAAGAAAACGAATTCATTTTAAGAAAGTAGGAAAGGAAATTGCATAGGACAGAGGCAGGGATAAAATACAGAAGTACATAAAACATTGCATCTGTCCATTGTGGAAGATTAATGTCTGCTGTGGAACGTAGACCAATAAAACCTGAAGGTAGTCCTGACATTTGATCATTTGAGTTTCTGGCTGATACATGTAGTTAATCTCTCTCTCTCCAGTTCATATGCTGATATAGGCTATCCAGGGCAGGAAGAAAGGCTCAGATAGTTTCAAGATGAAATATTTTCCTATTTCAAGAAGACAGAAAAGAACTCCTTTCTTTACTTAGCTTTGAGGCTACCGTGCAAGATCCATATTCTTTCTGGGTCATTTCAAAAGTCATTCTTTATCTCAGAGTAGTTGTTTACACAAAGAGATTCAAAATACAGCAATTGCTGGTGCTAATTTTAAATTGCATATGCTTCCAAGAAAGACAATCCTCAATGTTAGGTTTGTTTACCTATTCACAGGATAAAAATAGCGAAGTGTGGCCAGGTGCTGACTCACACCTGTAATCCCAGCGCTTTGGGAGGCCGAGGTGGGCGGAACACCTGAGGTCAGAAGTTCAAGACCAGCCTGGTCAACATGACAAAACCCCATCTCTACCAAAAAATAAATAAATAAAAGAATTAGCTGGGTGTGGGTGGTGGCACATGCCTATAATCCCAGCTACTTGGGAGGCTGAAGCAGGAGAACTGCTTGAACCCGGGTGGTGGAGGTTGCAGTGGGCCGAGATTGTGCCACTGCACTCTAGCCTGGGTGACAGAGCAAGACTTCTTCCAAAAAAAAAAAAAATCGCCAAATGTTACAATTTTATGTGTCATTTTGGCTGGGGCACGGTGCCCAAATATGTGGTCAAACGTTATTCTGGATGTTTCTGTAGGGGTGTTTTTGGATGAGATTTATGTTTATATCAGTGGACTTTGAGTAAAACAGATTGCTCTCGTGATGTGGGTAGGCCTTAACCAATCAGTTGAAGGCTTAAATAGAACAAAAGGCTGATTTACCCCCAAGCAAGAGGGGATTCTCCAGCAGACTGCCTTTGGACTCAAAGTGCAACTCCTTCCTGAGTCTTCAGCCTGCCTGCCTCTCCCATTAGGTATTTGGACTTGCCAAGCCTCCACAATCACATGAGCCAATTCCTTAAAATATTTTTTTTTTTTGAGACAGGGTCTCACTCTGTTTCCCAGGCTGGAGTGTAGTGGTATGATCTTGGCTCACTGCAACCTCCACCTCCTGGGTTCAAGCGATTCTCCTGCCTTGGCCTCCCGAGGAGCTGGGATTATAGGTGCCTGCCACCACGCCTGGCTAATTTTTATATTTTTAGTAGAGGTGGGGTTTTGCCATGTTGCCCAGGCTGGTGTCAAACTCCTGACCTCAAGTGATCCACTTGCCTTGGTCTCCCAAAATGCTGGGATTATAGGCATGAGCCACTGCGCCAGGCCCCTCTTTCTGTATATATATATAGATACATATCCTATTGGTTCTAAGTCTCTGGAGAGCCCTTCTGAATACACTGAGGTCTGACCTCCAAATGCAGAGATTTTTTAAAACAGTCTCCACAATAGGGATGAACCTGGTAAACATTATGCTAAATCAAAGAAGCCAGTCACGAAAAACCTCGTGTTGTATGATCCCATTTATATAAAATGTCCAGAATAGGCAAATCTACAGACACAGAAAGATTTGTGGTTGCCTAGTGCTAGCAGGAATGGGGGAAAATAAGGAGTTACTGTTATTTGGTATGAGGCTTCTTTTTAGGGTGAAGAAAATGCTCTAAAATTGATTGTGGTGATGGTCGCAAAACTCTGCGAATATACTAAAACTCAGTGAATTGTACAATTTAAGTAGGTGAATTATTTGCTCTGTGAATGATACCTAAATCAGCCAGGATATATATATTCTCACAGCTACTTCTAGGTTTTCCGCAGCATTTCTCTAGCTCTCAGCAAAACAGAGTGTATCTGTGTTTTGCTTTTGCTTTTGTTTTGTTTTTTATTATACTTTAAGTTCTAGGGTACATGTGCACAACGTGCAGGTTTGTTACATATGTATACATGTGCCATGTTGGTGTGCTGCACCCATTAACTTGTCATTTAGCATTAGGTATATCTCCTGATGCTATCCCTCCCCCCTGCCCCCACCCCACAACAGGCCCCTGTGTGTGATGTTCCCCTTCCTGTGTCCATGTGTTCTCATTGTTCAATTCCCACCTATGAGTGAGAACATGCGGCGTTTGGTTTTTTGTCCTTGCGATAGTTTGCTGAGAATGATGGTTTCCAGCTTCATCCATGTCCCTACAAAGGACATGAACTCATCATTTTTTATGGCTGCATAGTATTCCATGGTGTATATGTGCCACATTTTCTTAATCCAGTCTATCATTGTTGGACATGTGGGTTGGTTCCAAGTCTTTGCTATTGTGAATAGTGCTGCAATAAACATATGTGTGCATATGTCTTTATAGCAGCATGATTTATAATCCTTTGGATATATACCCAGTAATGGGATTGCTGGGTCAAATGGTATTTCTAGTTCTAGATCCCTGAGGAATCGCCACACTGACTTCCACAAGCTTTTGTTAAGATGCCTGTTGATTTTGTTTGACTGTTTTTATTGAGATAGATAATATTTAAAGGCCAAAATAGGCCAGAAAAGTTGGTTACTCCATGAAAACATACTATTTAGGGACCCAAGCAATAAGTAGCAAGTACTAATTACATTAAGAAATAGTCCATTAGGGCCAGGCACAGTGGCTCACGCGTATAATCCCAGCATTTTAGGAGGCCGAGAGGGACAGATCAATTGAGGCCAGCAGTTCAAGACCAGCTTGGCCAACATAGTGAAACCCCATCTCTACTAAAAAAAAAAAAATAATAAAATAAAATAAAATAAAATAAAAAATTAGCCAGGCATGGTGCTGCACACCTGTAGTCACAACTACTCGAGAGGCTGAGGCACGAGAATCGCTTGAACCCAGGATGGGGAGGTTGCAGTGAGTCGAGATTACACCACTGCACTCCAGCCTGAACAATGGAGTGAGACTCCATTTCAAAAAGTAATAATAATAATAATGAAGAAAGAAAGAAAATAAATAGTCAATTTGGCTTATAAGTCATTGTACACAGGGACTGTCTACCTTGGGAGGTCATGTGCTCGTTTTCCTAGATATCTTTTCAAACAGGATTTATAACAAAGGGAATACTGAATTTTGAAGTTTGTCTGACAAGAGGCAGAGCACAGAACTAAATAACCTCTTGAGGTCCATTTGATTCTTTCCAAATGATATAAAGAGGTCAAAGCTGTTAAGAAATCAACTAGAACAACATAGTAATTCCCAAGTCACTGTTGTCTACCATACTAATACTAAGCTCTTTGACTAATGCCTTTAGAGGATTCTTACTTTGTCAAATATCTAGTTTTGTGTTAGGCACTTTTACATCCATAATCTTATTTATGACTTCATACCATCAAAACTCAAGTTCTTGGCCACTTTATTTGCTGGGTGACCTATTTTGTGGTTTACTTTGTAGGTCAGGAATTATATTTTTCAGATAAGAAAGCTAAGGGTTGGAGAAATTGAGTAACTTGTCCCAAATCACACGACTGTTAAGCAGTGGAAATGTGGTTCAAATCCAAGACTACCACTGCCAAAAGCCCCCAATGCTAGTGTTCTGACTACCAGTTCACAAATGTCATCATTTTCTATTCTCTCAAAATGGCAGCCCTGGTCTACAGTTTGGAAAAAGTTTTCTCATCTGGAAGAGCCAGTGTGGCTAGGATTCCCCTTTTTAACCCAAGGTTTTTGTTTTTACTTATCTCTGCTTTTTAAAAAATTTAATTCACAATCACCCTCTCTCTTGAGCAACATTTACCTCCTATTATGTATGATGAACTATTTTTCATACCTCTCAATATTTTTTACCCTCTCATATGATTATAGCTGTAATTTTTAATATTTTTTAATAGTGCACACATTATTATTCTGCAGAAAAATTTGGGGTACATATGGATTTGTAAATTATTTACAATAACTACAAGCCTCCAAGCATCTCATACTCATGGGTTTTACAGCTTTTATGAACATATGTGGCTAGAAGATGAAACTAATGGCTTTCTGTTTTTGTGAGGCAGCACAAAAGATCATAGAAGGAAAATATAAGAGACAATTGAAAGGAAATTTCCCTGGGGCGTGAGCCTCCTGGAACAGTTTATAGAGAGACCCAAGAAATAACATATCCATCCCATCCCATCCCATCCACATTTAGTAGTGATGTCTCACCACCAGCTAAGAATTACCTAGTACAGGCCGGGTGCAGTGACTCAAGCCTGTAATCCCAGCACTTTGGGAGATCAAGGTGGGCGGATCACGAGGTCAGGAGATTGAGACCATCCTGGCTAACACGGTGAAACCCCGTCTCTACTAAAAATACAAAAAATTAGCCAGGCATGGTGGCGGGCACCTGTAGTCCCAGCTACTCGGGAGGTTGAGGCAGGAGAATGGCGTGAACCCGGGAGGCGGAGCTTGCAGTGAACGGAGATCGTGCCACTGCACTCCAGCCTGGGCGACAGAGCGAGACTCCGTCTCAAAAAAAAAAAAAAAAAAAAAAAAAAAGAATTGCCTAGTACAGCATGAGAGCCAGAATGCCTAAGTTCAAATCACCAGGCTGAAATGTAATTGCTCTGTGGCATTAGGCAAGTTACTTAACCCCTCTGTTCCTCAGCTTCCTCCTTTGTAAAATGGTCATCCTAACAGCACCAACCTTATAAGTTTTCCTGTGAGGATTAAATAAGTTAATATGTGTAAAGTGCTTAGAACAGTGTCTGCAATTACATATACAGGAAAATATAGTTGGGTAGCACTACGTAAATCAGCTCAACTCTTAAAATGAGTGGCTCGAGGTGCTTTGTTTTGTTTTGTCTTTTTTAGAGATGAGATCTCACTCTGTCTCCCAAGTTGAAGTGTAGTGTCACGATCATAGCTCACTGCAGTCTCAAACTCCTGCGTTCAAGTGATCCTCCCACCTCAGCCTCCAAGTAGGTAGGACTACAGTGACGCGGCACCAAACCCAGCTAATTTTGAAAATTTTGTAGAAATAGAGTCTCATTATGTTGCCCAGGCTGGTCTTGAACTCCCCGTGGTGCCTCACACCTAGGCTTAAGCAGTCCTCCCACCTCAACCTCACAAAGTGCTGGGATTACAGGCATAAGCCACCATGTCCAGCTGTTGATAAAATAGATAACCAGCACAGTAGCTCACAACTATAATCCCAGAACTCTGAGAGGCTGAGGTGGGAGGATCGCTTGAGCTCAGGAGTTCAAGACCAGCATGGGTAACATAGTGAGACCCTGTCTCTACCAAAAATACAAAAAATCAGCCAGGCACATGCCGGTAGTCCCACCCACTCGGAAGGCTGAGGTAGGAGGATGTCTTGAGCCCGGGAGGTGGGGGTTGCAGTGAGTGAAGATCATGCCACTGCACTCTAGCCTGGGTGACAGAGCAAGACCCTGGCTCCACCCAAAAACAAACAAACAAACAAAAACCACCAAAAACAGAAACAAAAAACAGATGACCATTTGCTTAAAATAATGATAGGGACAATGTATTCAGTGATGACAGTGCATGGATAGCTGAAATGAATGACAACAATATCATAAGGGACTCGAGAAAGAAATTGGTAATCTTCTGCTATAAGATACTAACACTACCTGTGAAATAGTGTAGCGTTATTTGAAAATAGATTTGGCTCTTTCTAAATGCACATTGCAAACTCTAGGGCAAACACCAAAAAAAGTTTTAAAAGAAGGGCTGGTCTGAGGGTAGTGAGTTATCTCAACTGATTGTTCACAGTCAGTTACAAATCAAACTTCTTGTTCTACTCTTTGCCCCCTTCTCACTACTGCACTTGAGTAGTCTTAAAAATAAAAATAAGGCCAGGCACAGTGGCTCACACCTGTAATCCCAGCATTTTGGGAGGCCAAGGTGGGCGGATCACAAGGTAATGAGTTCGAGACCAGCTTGGCCAATATGGTGGAACCCTATCTCTACTAAAAATACAAAAATTAGCTGGGTGTGGTGGTGGGCGCCTGTAGTCCCAGCTACTCGGGAGGCTGAAACAGGAGAATCCCTTGAACTTGGGAGGCAGAGGTTGCAGTGAGCTGAGATTGTACCACTGCACTCTAGCCTGGGTGACAGAACAAGACTCCATCTGAAAAAAAAAATAAAAATAAAAAATAAAAAAAATATATATGTATATATGTAAAATAAAATAAAAAGATTTAAAAGAAGTATAATTAATATGCTGAGAGAAAATGGAACCCTACAAATGCTCAATTAAAATTACAGAAGCCTGAATACTATTTTGTTGTGTATGCATACCACGTTTTCTTTACCTATTGATAGATACTCGAGCTGATTACAAATATTGGCTATTGTGAATGATGCTGCAATGAACACAGGAGTGCAGACATCCCTTCAACAACCAATTTCATTTCCTTTGGATAGTTCTATTTTTAATTTTTTGAAGAAATATCATACTGTATTCAATAATGGCCATACTAATTAACATTCCCACAAAGTGTACACACTTATCCACATCTTCACCAACACTTATCTCTTTCATCTTTTTGATAATAGTGATTATAACAGGTAGGAGGTGGTATATGGTTGTGATTTCAATTTGCCTTTCCCTGATGACTACTAATGTTGAGCATTTTTTTCATATACCTGTTGGCCATTTATATGTCTTCTTTTGAGAAATGTCTTTTCAGGTCCTTTGTCTATTTTTAAATCAGGTTATTCATTTCCTTACTATTCAGTTGCCTGAGTTCCTTACATATTTTGGATATTAAACTCTTATCATATGTATGGTTTGCAAATATTTTATCCCATTTCATAAGTTGTCTCCTCATTCTGTTGATTGTGTTCTTGCTATGGAAATCCTGACATTTGCAACACAGGGATGAACATGGAGGACCTTATGCTAGTGAAATAAGCCAGGCACAGGAAGTGAAAACTGCATGATCTACTTATATGTGGAATCCTAAAAAGTCTAACTCATAAAAGTAGAGAGTAGAATGATAGTTAGCAGGGGGATGAGAAGAGATTGGGAAGATGCTGGTCAAAGGACACAAAATTTCATATTGACAGGAGGAATGAGTTCAAGAGATCCATTGTCAAGCATGTGATTATAGATAATAACAATGTCTTGTATACATGAAAATTGCAAATAAAGTAGATTTTAAATATTCTCACCATAAAATAAGTACGTGAGGTAACGAGTATGTTAATTAGCTTGATTTAGCCGTTCTACGTGTATACATAGATGAAAGCATCATGAAGTACATCCAGGAGCTCAAAGGGAAAGAGGAAGGGATAACTAGGTGAGGCACGGGGTTGGGGGTGGGGTTTACAGCACTGAAACTATTCTGTATGATACTGTAATGGTGGATACATGTCACTACGCATTTGTCAAAAGTCTTAGCATGTAATTCAAAGTGTGAATTCTAATGTAAACTATGGACTTTAATAATAATGTAGCAATCAATATTGGTTCATCAATTGTAACAAATGTCTCACACTAATGCAAGATGTTAATAGGGGAAACCGGAGGAGGGGGCTTGGGAGGTATATGAGGACTCTGTACTTTCTCCTCAATTTTTCTGTGAAACTGAAACTGCTTTGAAAAATAGAATCTTGGCTGGGTGCGGTGGCTCACATCTGAAATCCCAGCATTTTGGGATGCCAAGGCGGGTGGATCACTTGAGGTCAAGAGTTCAAGACCAGCCTGGCCAACGTGGTAAAAACCCATCTCTACTAAAAATACAAAAATTAGCCAGGCACGGTGGCGCGTGCCTGTAGTCCAAGCTAGTCAGGTGGCTGAGGCATGAGGATCGCTTGAACTGAGAGGCAGAGGTTACAGTGAGCTGAGATCACACCACTGCACTCCAGCCTGGGCAATAGAGCAAGACTCCATCTCAAAGACAAATTTTTTTAAAAAAAATTTAAATAATAAAAAAATTAAAAATAGGATCTATTAACTTTTTTTTCTTTTTTAGTGAGACAGAGTTTCACTCTTGTCACCCAAGCTGGAGTGCAATGGCACGATCTCAGCTCACTGCAACTTCTGCCTCCCAGGTTCAAGCAATTCTCCTGCCTCAGTCTCCCAAGTATCTGGGATTACAGGCACGTGCCACCACACCCAGCTATGTTTTTTTTTATTTTAGTAGAGATGGGGTTTTACCATGTTGGCCAGGCTGGTCTCAAACTCCTGACCTCAGATGAGCTGCCTGACTCAGCTTCCTAAATTGCTGGGATTACAGGCATGAGCCACCATGCCTGGCTGTTAACTTTTTTAAAAAAGACAGTTTGAAACAATTGGGAGAGTATAGGTATAGACTGGCTAGTGGATGATAGTAAGAAATTACTGACAATTTGTATTGCATATGATGATGTCACAGTGGTTATATATACTAAAACAGTCCGTATCAGAAATGCATACTGAAATATATATGGGTATAATGACATACCTGGGATTTGCTTTAAAATACTCCAGAAGAAAAATACCATGTGTGTTTTGGGTGGGGGAATTGAGGGTACCTGAAATGAGATTGGAAAAAAAGTTGGGTGATGAATCTAGAGGGTTCATTATATTAAAACTCTCTGGTTTTGTGTATGTTTGAAATTTTCCATACTAATGTTTTTAAAATATGTGTGAACTGAAATACAAGAAGAGCCCAAAGAATTCTTTGAGCACTAAGGTTCCTTGAACATGCCCAGTTCTTATTCAATGCATATGCTGTACGAGAGACTGGATTTTCTCAATGATTAATAAGAACGCATTCTTCATCTATCTCTAACATCTACCCACAAGAACAGCCTGTCTTGGATTATTCTCTAGGACCTCTTGACATGTCAACAGTGACTTTAGGCACTGAGTGCTTTTCATAACTTCCTGTTCCTTCAGCCCAACAGCAAGTGTCTTTGATGGGACACTTCTAGACTGTAGTATCCCTGTGATTTTAAACTTCCTTTGGAATAATTATTTTTGCCTATTTGTGTGTTAGCCAGAGAAGTAACATTTTTCCCCCAGAAATCTATTGCAATCTGTTTCATCTTTGTACTTTATACTTAATATAGTCGAAAACTGGGTTTAAGAGTGATGACAACATTTATTCCCAACAACTTTTCCAATTTCTACAGCCTTAACACCAACTCTAAATAATAACGATAGACTGCTAAAAGATACATAACTGTCTTAAGAAAAGGAGATCATTCTGTTTCCATCAGGATGTAATTCAGTTTCTTTAATAGAGTAATTGATGAAATAAGAACAGTTGAGAGAAATTCTGAGTTAAGGCTAAAAGAAAATGCTAGACAGCCATTAAGAGATCAGAGTTCAGTTTTCTACATGTGGCTATTTAAATTTCAACTCATTAAAATTTAATAAAATTAAAAATATATTTCATCAATCACACTAGGCAAATTTTAAGTGCTCAGTAGCTATATTGCAAAGAACACACAGACATTTCCATAATCACAGAAAGTTCTATTGGACTGCACCATGCTAGAGCACAGAGGTTAACAGCATGACCTTGGAGTCACAACAAATTTCTACTACATGCTCCTCAATCACCTTGCCCTGTGATCCTTGATGATTTACCTAACTTCTCTAATCCTCACTTTCCTCATCTGTGCAATGGGAATAACAACAGTATCTACTTTACAGGGTGAGTGTGAAAGCCTGTGAGATAATATGGACAATAGTAAACTTCAGCTATGATAACTGCTCCATGTGCTAGGCCTGTGCAATACAAAGAAGAAATAAACATGGCCACTGTCTTCAAATGAACATAGACGCTAATAGAGGAGAAATGCATTTAAACAAATAAATTATACCATGCGGTTCCAGATATAGGAATAATGTTACTCTTCAAAAGAGTCATTCAACAAGGCCTTACAAAAGAAATGACATTTGAGCAGAGACTTAAAGGATATGTAGGAGTTTGCTAGGTACAAAAAGGAAAAAAAAAAAATTGGAATTTGAGAGAAACCACGTGAGCAAGGTATAGGAGATGAAAGAGCCTACGTAGCATATTGAAGAAGCTGGAACAAGACCAGTGCAGCAAATGGGTAGGGGCATGTTTAACATAAGGCAGCCACTGAAGAAAACATCAACAAGAGCAAAAGTCTCAGAATGTACCAGCTGACACGAGGCAATTACCATTTTGTTCATTTTCCACAAACAGCTGTGCTCTCCTCCTCACTCAGCAGTAGGAATGTCTCTCGAGAGAATTACAGCATCCAGCTGCTACCTTTCCCTCAGCCACTAACAAATCCGCCACAGAGAACAATGTTGATCTAATTCTACACACTCATAAACATAAACAAAGTTTGAGCTGAGCAGGGAGAATGTCACTGAGCCCACTTCTCTCAAAGGAGTAGAAAAGAGAACCAACACTGAGTGGAAATCTACCATGTGCCAGGCAGTATTCTTAGAAGTGATGCCATTTCACACTCTGAAACAACTCTATGGAGTAGCAATTATTCCCTTTTTTTTTTTTTTGGAGATTTCTAACACTGTTTGGCTCAAAGAGACTAAGTGACTATCCAAGGTCTCATGGCAAGAGAGTGACATCTGATTTTTAATCCCACACTCATGCTCTCAGAAAAGACTCAACTTACCCAGCTAGACTTCAGCAACTTTTTCTCCAAAAAAAAAAAACAAATTCCTCCTATTCTTCTCACTTTGAGCACATTGCTGACGAAAATCTAACACACCTACAACAGTGAGACATAACAGAATAGTATTTATAATATAAACTACTAGTTGTGAGAGACTGGGGCCCCAGTCTCTCTGGGTACCCAGAATAAGAGTCAGGGAACCTGATCCAGATCTGGCTATGACATAAATGCCTACAAATCCATGAGCAAGTCACTTACCATCTCTAGGCCTAGCTGCCTTGCCTGCAAAATGTAAAACCTGCACCAGGTGAGGCCTGGCAATCATAGTGATAATGATGGTGATATGATAATTAATCAGTTGTAAAATACACCTATTTGACTTTTTTTTCTAAATTGAGACAGGGTCTCACTCTGTCTCCCAGGCTGGAGTGCAGTGGCATAATCATGGCTCACTGCAGCTTTGACCTCCCAGGCTCAGGCAATGTTCCCACCTCAGCCTCCCAAGTAGCTGGAACTACAGGTGTTCACCACTATGCCCAGACAATTAATTTGTGTGTATGTGCAGGTATGTGTGTGCCCGTGTGTAGAGTCAGGGTGTCACTATGTTGGCCAGGCTGGTCTCAAACTCCCGGCCTCAAGCAGTCCTCCTACTTTGGCCTCTCAAAGTGCTGGGATTACAGGTTTGAGCCACCATGCCCAGTCATCATATTTTACATTTTAACATTTTTGAAATTACGATACATTTTACTATCAATGGCATGCCACATGCTAACTGACATTTTGTTCTTTCTTAGTGGTACATATAATTATGGTGTAATTTCCAAAGATAACTAACGTTTATTGAGCACTTAACTTACCACACACTATACTAATGTCTTTACATGAATTATGTTATTTAATTCTTACAACTATCCTTTGAGGTAGGTACTATCTTTATACCCAACTTTGCACTAAAGAAAACAGAGAGGTTAAGTAACTAGTTCAAGGTTACAGAGTGGAGCCAGGACGCTACTGTAAGTTAGGGAGTGTGGATTAAAAAGAGTAGTCAGAGTGACATCAGCAAAATGGTGGACCAGGAAGCTCCAAGCTCTTGTTCTCCCACAGAAACATCAAAAACACATGCAGAGGCCGGGGATGGTGGCTCACGCCTGTAATCCCAGCACTTTGGGAGGCTGAAGCAGGCAGATCACTTGAGGTCAGGAGTCTGAGACCAGCCTGATGAAACCATGTCTCTACTAAAAATACAAAAAAAATTAGCAGGGTGTGCTGGTGTGCACCTGTAATCCCAGCTACTCAGGAGGCCGAGGCAGGAGAATCACTTGAACCCGGGAGGCAGATGTTGCAGTGAACCGAGATAGCACCACTGCACTCCAGCCTGGGCAACAGAGCAAGACTCTGTCTCGGGAAAAAAAAAAAAAAAACACAAGCAGAAACTCTCAGAATCAACTTTATTGAACTCTGGAAAAAAGTCAAAACTTTACGTGACCCAAGTGAATGCTGAATCATAAAACAGGTCACCTCAAAATGGTAGGAAAGTTTTGTGGCATTTTTACTTGCCTTTAACCCACCCTTTCTCTAGCACAGTGGCATTTTTTGTTTTAAAGTGATGGTAGCCTACGTTCCCAGTGTGCAACCCTGTACCCTGATTCCAGAGGGAATAGAGCAAACCTTAAATACAAATTATTGTATACTTCTTGATATGGTTTGGCTCTGTGCCCCCGCCCAAATCTCACCTTGAATTGTAATAATCCCCACCTGTCAAGGGATAATTGAATCATGGGGGCAGTTTCCCCCCTGCTGTTCTTGGGCTGGTGAGTGAGTTCTCATGAGATCTGATGGTTTTATAAGGGGCTTCCTCCTTCACTGGGCACTCATTCTCTCTCTTGCCACTCTGTGAAGACGTGTCTTCGGTCATGATTGTAAGTTTCTTGAGGCATCCCCAGCCATGCAGAACTGTGAGTCAATTAAACCTCTTTCCTTTATGAACTACCCAGTCTTGGGCAGTTCTTTATAGCATTGTGAGAACAGACTAATACACAACTGTTCAAACTAGTCTGGAGGCTACCTGAAGAACTAAGGCCAGGCACTTGTGTTTGTTTTACCTAATACAAAACTCAAGCTAGAAATGGTGAGTAGTGCCCAAAAACACTGCACGCTGACCTAATAACCCTCAGATGTCTGGGCCATATTATTATAGTTGAAACAAACAATACACTGGCTAAGACATGGGAGAAAAAGCTGATGGGGGGCAGATGAATGGTTTCCTTGGACAATGAGGACGTTCAAAAGCAACTGCTGGCCAGGTATGGTGGCTCATGCCTGTAATCCCACCACTTTGGGAGACCGAGGCAGAAGGATCGCTTGAAGTCAGGAGTTGGAGACCACCCTGGGCAACATAGCAAGACCTCATCAGCACAAATAATAAAAACAAAAAACAAATATTAGCTGGACATGGTGTTGTGCACCCGTAGTTCCAGCTATTCATGAGGCTGAGGCAGAGAATCACTTGAGCCCAGGAGGCAGAGGCTGCAGTGAACCATAATCACACCACTGCACTCCAGTCTGGGCAACACAGTGAGAACCCCCATCTCAAAAAAAAACGCAACCATGTATATGGGGAATTTAGAAAGCCACATGCATGCCCCAGAAAACAAGCATACTCAGAAAATTCCTGAGAGGACTAAGCTTTCACCTTGAGCTAGTTTATAAGTGCAATGCAAGTCTGGCTAAGTGCTGAAGGAGTACCCACACACACAACCAATCAGGAAAGATGAGTAGAGGTGGTTTTTGTTTGTTTATTTGTTTGTTTTTAGCTCCTTGTATTTCAGAAACTCTGTGTCAAAATTCTCACTGAACACAATTTAAGGAACAGAGACTTCAGTGACCATACAGGACAAGATATAGTCTTTGCAGAAGTAGCTTGGAAAAGTAAGTAAACCAAAATACTACTAAGAATTTTAACAATAAGAAAAAATTGCTGGGCACAGTGGCTCACGCCTGTAATCCCAGCACTTTGGGAGGCCAAGGCAGGTGGATCACGAGGTCAGGAAATTGAGACCATCCTGGCCAACACAGTGAAACCCCATCTCTACTAAAAATACAAAAAATTAGCCAGGCATGGTAGCACGTGCCTGTAGTCCCAGCTACTCAGGAGGCTGAGGCAGGAGAATCGCTTGAACCCGGGAGGCAGAGGTTGCAGTGAGCCGAGATCTCACCACTGCACTCCAGCCTGGGAAACAGAGTGAGACTCCTCGAAAAAAAAAAATCTAGTCATCTCTTAGTCCTAGCTACTCAGGAGGCTGAGGCAGGAGGATCACTTGAGATCAGGAGTTCAAAACCAGCCCAGGCAACATAGCAAGACTTCATCTCTACAAAACAACAACAACAACCACAGAAAAAACCCCAGCAACTCCTGGAGAAGGGAGAGAATATGATATCCAGGGTTAACACATTATAATATTCAAACATTGTTTTCAACAACAACAAAAAAATCACAAGACAAACAAAGAAACAGGAAAGTACAGCCTACTCAAAGAACAAAATAAACTGACTGAAACTGTTCCTGAGGAAGTCCAGACATCAGATTTAGTAGACAAAGACTTCAAAAACACTGCCTTAAATATGCTAAAAGAGCTAAAGGAAAACATGCAGAACAAAAAATCAGGAAAATGACAATATCACTAAGATAGAGAAATTAAAGATTAACAGTCTAAGGGTCATTGAGACATCATCAAGCAGACAAAATTACATACTGTGAGACTGCCAGAAAGTGAAGAAAAAGGGACAAAAGGAATGTTTAAAGAAATAATGGCCAAAAATGTCCCCAATTTGATGAAAGACATGAATCTAGACATCTAAGAAGCTTAAACTCAAGAAAGATAAATTCAAAGAGATCCACACTGAGGCATCCTATAAACAAATTGTCAAAAGACAGACAGTCTTGAAAGCTGCAAGAAAAAAGCAACTTACCATGTATAAGGCTCCTCATTAAGACTAACAGCCAATATCTCATCAGAAACTACAGAGGCCAGAAGACAGTGGGATGGCATAAATTGCTGAAATATATATATATATATATATATATATATATATAGAACCTGTCAACCAAGAATTCTGCATCTGGCAAAATGGTCTTTCAAAACGGAAGGAGAAAGTAAGACCTTCCCAGATAAACAAAGGCTGCAGGAGTTCATTACCAATAGACCTGCCCTACAAGAAATGCTAAAGGGAATCTTTTGAGTGGAAATAAAAAGATGCTCAACCGGCCAGGCACAGTGGCTCACACCTGTAATCCCAGCACTTTGGAAGGTGATCCCAGCCAAGGCAGGTGGATCATTTGAAGTTAGGAGTTTGAGGCCAGCCTGGCCAACATGGTGAAACCCCATCTTTACTAAAAACTACAAAAATTAGCTGGGTGTGGTGGTACACACCTGCAATCCCATCTACTTGGGAGGCTAAAGCAGGAGAATTGCTTGAACCGGGGAGGTGGAGGTTTCAGTGAGCTGAGATAGCACCACTGCACTCAAGCCTGGGCAATGGAGTGAGACTCCGTCTCAAAAAAAAAAAAAAAAGAGATGCTAGACAGTTACTCAAAACCACATTAAGACATAAGGATCTCTGGTAAAGGTAACTACACAGGCAAATATAAAAGCCAGCATTATCGAACTTTTTGTTTATAACTCTACTTTTTTATATCCTACTTTGTTTTTAAGTGCTTTAAAATAATTATAAATCTATGTTATTGAACATAGTATGTAGAAAGATGTAATTTGTCACAACAATACACAGGAGAGGGGACAGAGCTGTAAAAGAGTGGAGATTTGTATTTTATAAGTGTGAAGTTGGTATCAATTCAAACTCATTTGTTATAAATTTAGGATGTTAAAAGTAATCCCCATGGTAACCACAAATAAAATATAAACATAAAAAGAAGAAGGGACTCAAAACGGTCCACTACAAAAAAATCAATTAATACAAAAGAAGGCAGTAATCGAGAAAATGAGGATGTAAAAGTTAAAAGATATACAGAAAACAAAAACCAAAATGTCGGAAGTAAGCCCTTCCTTATCAGTAATTACTTTAAATGTATGGTGTGAACTCTGCAATACAAAGGCAGAGAGACCCACAATATGGATTAAAAAGCAGGATCTAACTACAGTTATATGCAACAATGTTTCAGTCAATGACAGACCACATATGCAACAGTGGTTCCATAACATTATATAACCATATTTTTCCTATACCTTTCAAGTTTTTTCTTTTTCTTTCTTTTTTTTTTTTTTCCAAAAAAAGGTCTCGTTCTGTCAGCCAGGCTGGAGTGCAGTGGCGTTATGACGGCTCACTGAAGCCTCAACCTCCCAGGCTCAATTGATCCTCCCACCTCAGCCTCCTGAGTAACTGGGACTATAGGCGTGAGCCACCACACCAGGCTAATTTTTGTGTTTTTTTATAGAGACCGAGTTTTGCCATGCTGCCCACGCTGGTCTTGAACTGCTGGGCTCAAGCAATCCACCCGCCTCAGCCTCCCAAAATGCCAGGATTAGAGGCATGAGCCACTGTGCCCAGCCCTCTTCAATGTTTGGATATATAAATACTTACTGTTGGGTTATAATTACCTATAGTATTCAGTACAGTAACATGCAGTATAGGTTTGTAGCCTAGGAGCAATAGACTGTACCATATAGCCTTGGTAGGTTTATAGTAGGCTATGCCATACAGGTTTGTGTCAATACACAAAACAACAAAATTGCCTAATGACGTATTTCTCAGAATGTATCCCCGTTTTTTGTTTGTTTGTTTATTTTTCACGGAGTCTCACTCAGTCACCCGGGCTGCCGGGCTGGAGTGCAGTGGCGCGATCTCGGCTCACTGCAACCTCTGCCTCCAGGATTCAAAGAATTCTTCTGCCTCAGCCTCCCAAGTAGCTGGGACTACAGGCATGTGCCACCATACCCGGCTAATTTTTGTATTTTTAGTAGAGACGGGGTTTCACCATGTTGGCCAGGCTGGTCTCAAACTCCAGACCTCAGGTGATCCACCCACCTCGGCCTCCCAAAGTGCTGGGATTACAGGTGTGAGCCACCATGCCCACCCATGTATCTCCATTGTTAAGTGACACATGACTGTATATGTTATCTACAACAGACTCACTTTTGACCCAAAGACAAAAATAGATTGAAACTTAAAAGATGCAAAAAGCAATTCCATGAAAATAGTAACCAAAAGAGAGTTGAAGTGGCTCTGCTAATATCAGACAAAAGAGACCTTAGGTCAAAAATCGACACAGAAGGCAAATCCATTCAACAGAGAAAGAAGAGTCTGTTCAACAAATGGAACTGGAACAACTATATTTCCACATCAACAGAAATCCACAGCCGGGCACAGTGGGTTATATTGCATTATGAATGTAACCAATGCCACTGATCTGTATACTTACAAATGGTCAAAATCAAAAATGTTGTTATATATTTTACCGAAATATGCCTCAGAACCTATGCTCTTGACCACTGTGTACCCCTCCAACTCTGCCTCCCTGACAGTTTCGGCATCTGTAAAACATGAATAATAATCCCTGTCCTATCTCTCTCATTCTTATTGTAAGAATCAAATTAAATAGGAAACATGACAGGACTTTCTAAACTACGAAGGGCTGAAGTCAGGTGCCATTATTATCTTGGAGATGTACACATAAAACACCAAACTAAGTTGTGTCTTCGGTGCTGTACAATAAAACATTTGTTTTGCCACATCTGGAAGCTCAAAGACCATGTCAATTGCAGTGTCAGTTTCCAGTGACACTACTCCAAGCAGGAGTGACTTGACCAGACTGATAATGATCTCTGGTCACACTGGTTGTGACTACAACTTTTCCATAGCATTACTTCCTTTCTGCGTATCTTGCACATGCTTGTCACAAAAAACGTATTCACCTAGGATCTCAAAACACTGATCAAAGAGGAAGTTTAAGAAAAAAAAAAGACATTGCAACTGTCAGCTCTTTCTCGGGGAGACAAAGGAGAGTTGCTGGGGAGCCTACATGGCATGGAGTGCCAGGGAGCATAGTGAGGATGGACAAAGTAGCTGTGGTATCCAGCTTTGGAAATGGCTCCCAGACCAAGACCTACCACAGGCACAATCACCTTCTGGAGAAGGTTCTTCAGCCTTTTCAGCTCTGCTGAGCAGTATGTTTTAGAAAGCCTCCCCAAAGGGGAACTGGCACATTACCAGGTTTTGACACCAAAGCAGCAGAGCTCACAGCAAAACATGGTCTTAGACTGAATTTGTTTGGAGAACAGGGCAAGAGGCTCCCAACGCAGTACTGAAGGGCATCTTGAAGAGAAAAACCAAGTTCGACACTTTTAAACAAGAATAAAGGACCAGTGTTCCTTCTGTAAGAGGGAGCCCCAACATCTTGCTTTATTCACAGTCAGGGTCCAGAACCCTTTTCCTTTACCCATTTAATCCATCACATATGACTTCATTTTTCATTTTGTGTTTCTGGCTACACACTCTTGCCTTTATTGAACTGACTCTGGCCTCAGTTCCCCTCCCAGCTGGAAACTACTATCATTTCTTGACTACAAGTGGTTTCAGCCATCATCCCAATAAAACCCATCTACCAGAACCCTACCTCAGCACTGGCCCACGTACTCCAACATCCTTGGAAGGGATGAAAAGGGACAATGTGTATTACATGTTATCAAAGTTTGTCAATCATGAAATTAAACCTCAAAATTTGAAACTCTATAAAATGAATACTAATAATAACTGTTTGTTGTGTGCTAGGCATTTATATATGTAAATAGTAGTCTGGAATCTTTCCTTTAACCACATGAACTACATGCTATTATTATCCCCATTTTAGAGAAAAGAAGAGTGAGGCCATGACAGGTTAAGTGATTTCTAAGTTGTCACAGTTAAGTTGTGGCAAATGGTGCTAGTACAATTGGGGGAAGAAAAAAAAACTTCTAAATAAACCTCACACCATACACAAAAATATAACTCAAAATACATAACAAATCTAAATATAAAACCTAAAATGCTAAAATGTCTAGAAGAAAACATAAGATAAAATCTCCATGATCTAGGGTTAGGTGAAATATTCTCAGGCATCCATAAGCACAATCCAGGGCACGGTGGCTCATGCCTGTAATCCTAGCACTTTGGGAGGCCAAGGCGGGCGGATCACGAGGTCAAGAGATCAAGACCATCCTGGCCAACATGGTGAAACCCCGTCTCCACTAAAAATACAAAAATTAGCTGGGCGTGGTGCCGCACGCATGTAGTCCCAGCTACTCAGGATGCTGAGGCAGGAGAATGGCTTGAACCTGGGAGGCAGAGGTTGCAGTGAACCGAGATCACGCCACTGCACTCCAGGCTGGCAACAGAGTGAGACTCCATCTCAAAAAAAAAAAAAAAATCACTAAATAAATTGAACTTCATCAAAATTAAAATATTTTGCTCTATGAAAGACCCTAATAAGAGGATTTGGGGTTTTGTTTTGTTTTGTTTTGTTTTTGAGACAGGGTCTGATTCTTTCACCCAGGCTGGAGTGCAGTGGCATGATCGTAGCTCACTGCAGCCTTGATCTCTCCAGCTGAAGCAATCCTACTGCCTCAGCCTCCCAAATAGCTGAGACTACAGGCATGCATCACTATGCCTGGCTAATTTTTTTCATAAGACGATTTTAGAAAAGACAAGCCACCAACTAGAAGACAATATTAGCAAATCGTATATCTGACAAAGAACCCATACTCAGAATACATAAAAGATTCACTAAACTTTATTATTTTGTTATGTAAACAGAATACATAAGATTCAATAAAGAAAATTAACAACAAATTACATTAGTAGGCAAAATATTTGAACAGATATTTGACCAAAGATACATGGATGGCAATTAAGCACCTGAAAATACGTTCAACGTCATTAGTCATTATGGAAAAGCAAACTAACACCCAGTCAAGATTCCACTTCACACCTATTAGCAAGGCTAAAATAACAAAGTGGCCATACCATGTGCTGCCAAGGATAGAGAGAAGCTGGAATTCTTATACATTGCTAGTGGGAATATAAATTGTCACAGCCACTCTAGAAAATGGTTTGGCAGTTTCTTATAAAATTAAACATGTACATATATGAGCTCACAGTCCTGCCCATGGGCATTTACCCTCTAGAAATAATGTGTGTTCACACACAAAAAAAAACATATAATAATGTTTACAGCAGCTCTATCTGTAATCATGAAAAACTGAAAATGTGCCAGACATGGTGGCTCATACCTGGAACCCCAGCACTTTGGGAGGCTGAGGCAGGAGGATCACTTGAGGCCAGGAGTTGGAGACCAGCCTGCCAAACATAGCGAGAACTGGTCTCTTTACAAAAATATTTTAAAACTTAGCAGGGCATGGAGGTGCACACCTGTAGTCCTAGCTACTTGGGAGGCTGAGGTGAGAGGATTCAGAACAGGGATCTGAAAAAAAGATTCAGAACAGGGATCCCTGAGGAGAAAAAAATGATCTCTAGACTTATTCCAAACTTCCTTTATTTGAATATGCCTCTATTTTACTTAGATGAGAAGAGCTAACATTTACAGAGTGCTTGCTAGGTGCCAGGAACTGTCTCCGCTTTTTCTTCTCTTTCTATGTAGATGCAGGGTCTTCCTCTGTTGTCCAGGATGGTCTTGAACTCCTGGGTTCAAGTGATCATCCCATGTCAGCCTCCTGACTAGCTAGGACTACAGGCACATGCCACCACACCCAACTAATTTTTTTTTAATTTTTTGTAGAGACGGGGTCTTCCTATGTTGCCCAGGGTGGTTAAGCATTTTATGTATATTAAATTATATAATTCTCAAAACAACCCTACAAAGTAGGGACTATTATAATCTTCATTTTATGGATGAGAAAACTGAGGCACAGAGAGATGAAACGACTTATTTCCAGGTCCCACAGCTAGGAAGTGAAGGAGCTATAACGTAGTCTGACTCTAGAATTATGTTTGCAATACTTTGCAATATAGCCTTATTACCATATTCTATAGCCTCCCCCTGATCTGCTCTTCAGTCACTGGATCTGTGGTTTATGATTCAGTTCATAAAAGATGTATAAATAGAGAAGTCTTGAAGGAGTTCCTAGATAAATCTTGGTTATCTATATAGTCTTCCACTTTTACAATTATTTCAAGTCAGCAAGCATTTCCTTAATGCCAATCCTAGCACTAAGAACCAGGGACCCAGAGACAGACAAAGCACAATCCCTGCCCTCAAGGAACTCATTCTAGTGAAGGAGACTCAAATGGAACAACTGCAATTCAATGCAATCACTTGGACAGCAGAAAGATCAGAGAAGGCTTTCTAGAGGAGGGGAAACAGAAGCTGAGGATGTGAACTTAAAGTTTGCCTGGAAAATATGGCACGGAAGAGCACTTCAGGCAGATGGAAGTAGGTGTAAAGGAATGAATTGGGGATTGGGGGAGCATAGAGAGATAAATGAGATGGAAAGGGAGAAAGAGATAGGAAACAGAGATAAAGAAAGAGAAAGATCATGGAACTACACATGGTTCTGTTTGGTGGGTGTGTTACTGGTTGCTATAAAGGGCAGAGGCAAGGCCACAGAAGGAGTGTGGCCACACTGCATGAAGCACCTACTCCTCAGTCATGCTTCCCTTATTCCATGCTGGCAGACTTAAACATAGCACAAAGAAAACTCCCTGAAGGCTGCCTTGGCCACCACTACCCTCCCACCATCTAGCTCAGTACCTCTTATAGAGTGCCTTGTACCAACTGTGCTTTGTGATTTAAAATTCTGATTTATGACTTTGTTGACATGAAAAATTCAATTACCACTATCAGATTCCTGGAAAGACTTAAAAGAACAGCATTACAATTTTCACAGGCACTGTCCACAAGGGCTAACTTTTCATATTTGTAGATGACTATACAACTAATGAAGGTTTCATTCACATTATCTCAAGTAATCTTTTTTTTTTTTTTTTTGAGATGGAGTCTCACTCTATCACCCAGGCTGGAATGCAGTGGCACGATCTCGGCTCACTGCAACCTCCGCCTCCCAGGTTCAAGCCATTCTCCTGCCTCAGCCTCCTGAGTAGCTGGGATTGCAGACTCACGCCAACACATGCAGCTAATTTTTTTTTTTTTTTTTTGAGATGGAGTCTTACTCTGTTGCCCAGGCTGGAGTGCAGTGGCACGATCTCAGCTCACTGTAAGCTCCACCTCCCGGCTTCACACTGTTCTCCTGCCTCAGCCTCCCGAGTAGCTGGGACTACAGGCGCCCGCTACCACGCCCGGCTAATTCTTTGTATTTTTGGTAAAGACAGGGTTTCACCACATTAGCCAGGATGGTCTTGATCTCCTGACCTCGTGATCCGCCCACCTCAGCCTCCCAAAGTGCTGGGATTACAGGTGTGAGCCACTGCACCCAGCCTTCTCTTTTTTTTTATTTTTTTATTTTTTATTTTTTATTATTATTATTATTATACCTTAAGTTCTAGGGTACATGTGCATAATGTGCAGGTTAGTTACATATGTATACATGTGCCACGCTGGTGTGCTGCACCCATTAACTCATCATTTAGCATTAGGTATATCTCCTAATGCTATCCCTCCTCCTCCCCCCACCCCACAACAGTCCCCAGAGTGTGATGTTCCCCCTCCTGTGTCCATGTGTTCTCATTGTTCAATTCCCACCTACGAGTGAGAATATGCGGTGTGCGGTTTTCTGTTCTTGCGATAGTTTACTGAGAATGATGATTTCCAGTTTCATCCATGTCCCTACAAAGGACATGAACTCATCATTTTTTATGGCTGCATAGTATTCCATGGTGTATATGTGCCACATTTCCTTAATCCAGTCTATCACTGTTGGACATTTGGGTTGGTTCCAAGTCTTTGCTATTGTGAATAATGCTGCAATAAACATACGTGTGCATGTTTCTTTATAGCAGCATGATTTATACTCCTTTGGGTATATACCCAGTAATGGGATGGCTGGGTCAAATGGTATTTCTAGTTCTAGATCCCTGAGGAATCACCACACTGACTTCCACAATGGTTGAACTAGTTTACAGTCCCACCAACAGTGTAAAAGTGTTCCTGTTTCTCCACATCCTCTCCAGCATCTGCTGTTTCCTGACTTTTTAATGATTGCCATTCTAACTGGTGTGAGATGGTATCTCATTGTGGTTTTGATTTGCATTTCTCTGACGGCCAGTGATGATGAGCATTTTTTCATGTGTCTTTTGGCTGCATAAATGTCTTCTTTTGAGAAGTGTCTGTTCATATCCTTCACCCACTTTTCGATGGGGTTGTTTGTTTTTTTCTTGTAAATTTGTTTGAGTTCATTGTAGATTCTGGATATCAGCCCTTTGTCAGATAAGTAGGTTGTGAAAATTTTCTCCCATTTTGTAGGTTGCCTGTTCAATCTGATGGTAGTTTCTTTTGCTGTGCAGAAGCTCTTTAGTTTAATTAGATCCCATTGGTCAAATTTTGGCTTTTGTTGCCATTGCTTTTGGTGTTTTAGACATGAAGTCCTTGCCCATGCCTATGTCCTGAATGGTAATGCCTAGGTTTTCTTCTAGGGTTTTTACGGTTTTAGGTCTAATGTTTAAGTCTTTAATCCATCTTGAATTAATTTTTGTATAAGGTGTAAGGAAGGGATCCAGTTTCACCTTTCTACATATGGCTAGCCAGTTTTCCCAGCACCATTTATTAAACAGGGAATCCTTTCCCCATTGCTTGTTTTTGTGAGGTTTGTCAAAGATCAGATAGTTGTAGATATGTGGCGTTATTTCTGAGGGCTCTGTTCTGTTCCATTGATCTATATCTCTGTTTTGGTACCAGTACCATGCTGTTTTGGTTACTGTAGCCTTGTAGTATAGCTTGAAATCAGGTAGCATGATGCCTCCAGCTTTGTTCTTTTTGCTTAGGATTGACTTGGCAATGCGGGCTCTTTTTTGGTTCCATATGAACTTTAAAGTAGTTTTTTCCAATTCTGTGAAGAAAGTCATTGGTAGCTTGATGGAGATGGCATTGAATCTATAAATTACCTTGGGCAGTATGGCCATTTTCACGATATTGATTCTTCCTACCCATGAGCATGGAATGTTCTTCCATTTCTTTGTATCCTCTTTGATTTCATTGAGCAGTGGTTTGTAGTTCTCCTTGAAGAGGTCCTTCACGTCCCTTGTAAGTTGGATTCCTAGGTATTTTATTCTCTTTGAAGCAATTGTGAATGGGAGTTCACTCATGATTTGGCTCTCTGTCTGTTATTGGTGCATAAGAATGCTTATGATTTTTGCACATTGATTTTGTATCCTGAGACTTTGCTGAAGTTGCCTATCAGCTAAAGGAGATTTTGGGCTAAGACAGTGCAGCTTTTTAGGTATACAATCGTGTCATCTGCAAACAGGGACAATTTGACTTCCTCTTTTCCTAATTGAATACCCTTTATTTCCTTCTCCTGCCTAATTGCCCTGGCCAGAACTTCCAACACTATGTTGAATAGGAGTGGTGAGAGAGGGCATCCCTGTCTTGTGCCAGTTTTCAAAGGGAATGCTTCCAGTTTTTGCCCATTCAGTATGATATTGGCTGTGGGTTTGTCATAGATAGCTCTTATTATTTTGAGATACGTCCCATCAATACCTAATTTATTGAGAGTTTTTAGCATGAAGGGCTGTTGAATTTTGTCAAAGGCCTTTTCTGCATCTATTGAGATAATCATGTGTTTTTTGTCTTTGGTTCTGTTTATATGCTGGATTACATTCATTGATTTGCGTATATTGAACCAGCCTTGCATCCCAGGGATGAAGCCCACTTGATCATGGTGGATAAGCTTTTTGATGTGCTGGATTCCGTTTGCCAGTATTTTATTGAGGATTTTTGCATCAGTGTTCATCGAGGATATTGGTCTAAAATTCTCTTTTTTGGTTGTGTCTCTGCCCGGCTTTGGTATCAGGATGATGCTGGCCTCATAAAATGAGTTAGGGAGGATTCCTTCTTTTTCTATTAATTGGAATAGTTTCAGAAGGAATGGTACCAGTTCCTCCTTGTACCTCTGGTAGAATTCGGCTGTGAATCCATCTGGTCATGGACTCTTTTTTGTTGGTAAGCTATTGATAATTGCCACAATTTCAGAGAGCCTGTTACTGGTCTATTCGGAGATTCAACTTCTTCCTGGTTTAATCTTGGGAGGGTGTATGTGTCGAGGAATTTACCCATGTCTTCTAGATTTTCTAGTTTATTTGCATAGAGGTGTTTATAGCATTCTCTGATGGTAGTTTGTATGTCTGTGGGATCGGTGGTGACATCCCCTTTATCATTTTTTATTGCATCTATTTGATTCTTCTCTCTTTTCTTCTTTATTAGTCTTGCTAGCGGTCTATCAATTTTGTTGATCCTTTCAAAAAACGAGCTCCTGTATTCATTGATTTTTTGAAGGGTTTTTTGTGTCTCTATTTCCTTCAGTTCTGCTCTGATTTTAGTTATTTCTTGCCTTCTGCTAGCTTTTGAATGTGTTTGCTCTTGCTTTTCTAGTTCTTTTAGTTGTGATGTTAGGGTTTCTATTTTGGATCTTTCCTGCTTTCTCTTGTGGGCATTTAGTGCTATAAATTTCCCTCTACACACTGCTTTGAATGTGTCCCAGAGATTCTGGTATGTTGTGTCTTTGTTCTCATTGGTTTCAAAGAACATCTTTATTTCTGCCTTCATTTCGTTATGTACCCAGTAGTCATTCAGGAGCAGGTTGTTCAGTTTCCATGTAGTAGAGTGGTTTTGAGTGAGTTTCTTAATCCTGAGTTCTAGTTTGATTGCACTGTGGTCTGAGAGACAGTTTGTTATAATTTCTGTTCTTTTACATTTGCTGAGTAGAGCTTTACTTCCAACTATGTGGTCACCTTCTCAAATAATCTTGATAACACTTGTTGGTTAGGTGCTCCTATCCCCACTATACAGAAGAGGAAACAAAGCTTAGAGAAGTGAAGTGACCTAAGGTTCCTGCCAGAGTTCAAAGTGTATGTATCCAAATCCAGTGCTTTTTCCACTGTACCACAGCTGCAAGACTCAGAGGCTACACCTGGCTCCCACTTGCCCTAGAGCTTCCTACCTGCCTCTAAGCCTCTCCAAGACTCACTTCTCACTTCTAAAGCTCTCCTTCTCTTAGGCAATCGCAAGGATAAACACCATGCCAAAACATAGTATGAGAAGTTTGTCAATGGCTGTCAGCTATCTAAATGAAAAATTTCAAAATCCAAATATGTAGCCACTACCCCCTACACATGACACTTCCTATGCCCCCTTCTTTGTTTTTTCACATTATCTGATCATACAACTAACTTATTTGTTTTTCATCTATTTCCCCAAATAGAATTCAATTTCCTTGAGGATAGGGATTTTTTTGTATTTTGCCCACTGCTCTACCCCCAGTGGCTGCAAGAGTGCTTGGCACATAGTAAGCGCTCAACAAATGTCTGTTAAACATTCATTTAACAAACTATTTTGTCTGACATGCAAGGCCCTCCACAGTCTGATTTGCACAAAGGTCTCCCAACCATCTCCAACCTATTTCAAGGTCCTTCCAACATACTTCCTGGCATTCCCACTCCTATCCATTTGATTTTATTTCCACCTAGGTTCACCTAGGTTCTGCTACAGACCACTTCTTTCAGGAAGCCTTCTCTCATCACTCCAACCCACATTAATGTCTCCTTCTACAGAGCTTAACAGTACCAACCATCTGTGGCATGTGTATGGCATCTCTCAAGTGTGGCTCTACAAGGTGGACCAGCCATACCAATTAGATGGCAAGCTTCTTGAGGATAGGGCCAATCTCTCTCTCTCTTCTCTCCTCTTCCCTTTCTTTCTTTCTCTCTCTCTCTCGCTGTCTCTTTCTTTCTCTCCCCTCTCTGCATCCCACATTGCTTCTGTCCCAGTGTATGGTATAAGTAACAAGTGATTAATAAATACTGACTCAGTGACCTGTTTATGACAGAAAATCTCAAATTATAGTTCATGTAAATGAAAAGGAGTGAAAACTGTGCTTGGTCCCATCCTATAAACAAAATGTGACAGTGTTATGATTTGTTAAAAGCAATGCCACCAGGCCAGGTGCAATGGCTCACACCTGTAATCCAAGCATTTTGGGAGGCCAAGGCAGGTGGATCATTTGAGGTCAGGAGTTCAAGACCAGCCTGGCCAACATGGTGAAACTCCGTCTCTACTAAAATACAAAAATCAGCCGGGCGTGGTGGTACACACCTGTAGTCCCAGCTACTCAGGAGGCTGAGGCAGGAAAATCACTTGAATCTGGGAGGCAGAGGTTGCAGTGAGCTGAGACTGGGCCACTGCACTACAGCCTGGGCAACAGAGTGAGACTCTGTCTTAAAAAAAATAAAATAAAATAAAATAAAATAAAATGCTATGGCACCAGATGGCCTAAGTTAGAATCTAGGATTCACCATGTACAACCAGTTTGGATAGGAACAAGTTTTAAACTGCTACATGCCTCAGTTTCCTCATCGTAAAAATGGGAATAATATTAGTCCCTAATTCACAGGATGGTTTTAAGTATTAAATGAGATAACAAAGGCAAGTACTCAGCCTAATGCACAGAATAAGCCCTCACCAAATATTATTATTATTGATAATGAACTAAGTTTAAGAGTAGGCCGTCTTCATAATGGGTACAAGGTTTCTTTTTGGAGTGATGAAAATACTCTAAAATTGATTGTGGTGATGGTTGCACAACTCTGTGAATATACCACAAAACATTGAATGAGACACTATAAATAGGTGAATTTTATGGTATGTGAATTTTATCCCAGTAAACCTGTTTTTTAAACCCCCACAAAAAGAATAGATCTTGTATCTATAGATGAGTTGCAACAGAGAGTAGAACAGAAAAGGGGCTCTCCCCAAAAGCAAGTTATTAACACTATTTGGTCAAAGCCCATAGAATTCATGAAGTCCACTTTTGTTTTCGGTGATAGGCAAGATCTCTGTAGCGTGTGGCCCACTTGGGAGGAAGAATGAGGGTCATCATACTAAGGATGGAGCTAACACTGAAAATGCTACTGAGGCCAAGTTCAGTGGCTCAGGCTTGGAATCCCAACACTTTGTGAGGCCGAGATGGGAGGATCACTTGAGGCAAGAGTTCAAGACCAGCCTGGACAACATAGACAGACTCCATCTCTACCAAGAAATAAAGAAAAAAAATGCTATTGAATAGGATCAGAAATGAAGGAGGAGAAAAATAGGTCACCTCTCATCTCAGACCAAGTGCAGACTGCTAAGTCATCTCAGAGAGCATTTTGGCATGACAAAAAGGAATTAAACAGGCAGTGTTTGGCTGGGCGTGGTGGCTCACGCCTACAATCTCAGCACTTTAGGAGGCCAAGGTGGGCAGATCACCTGAGGTCAGGAGTTTGAGACCAGCCTGGCCAATATGGTGAAACCCCGCCTCTACTAAAAATACAATAAGAAAATTCGCCAGGCATGGTGATGCACTCCTGTAACCCCAACTACTCAGGAGGCTGAGGCTGGATTCAATTCCTTGAATCCAGGAGGTGGAGGTTGCAGTGAGCCGAGGTCATACCATTGCAATCCAGCTTGGGTGACAGCGAGTCTCCATCCCAGAAAAAAAAAAAAAAAAAAAAAAAAAACAGGCAATGTTGGAGGAACATCCTCCAAAGCGAAACTCAACATGGAAAACAAGAAAAAGTAAATGGAAAACAACTGGCCCTCCAGAAGAGGACAACCCCCTAGGGATCCCCAGAGAGCTCCAACTTGTTCTTTCAATTCTTTCTCTCATCCATGAGAGAACGAATTGCATTTTGGTAGTCTGAGGCAAAAATTCCATGGCAGAGAAGACTGTTCCCTGTTTATATCTTTGCCTCAGTGTTACTGGTGACAAAGCCAAGATCTAGAAGCAACTTGACCAGGGAGTGAGTTTGGAATTGTTTCCCTAAGGAGGAACGTTTGCCAGTTACCTGATCACTCTTCACTCTGACCTGGGCTAAATAAACGGAAAGTGGGGAGAAACGTATATGGGGGAGGGGTGACTGAAGAAAAAATAAAGAAGCTGGTGATTATACTTGATTCCTAGAAAATAAATAATCCGGTATGAAATAAGCATTACATTGCATTTCAACTTTTAAAAACTGGTCACCCTCTAAATTGTTAAGTAATTTCCTTCATATGACCACCCCATTCCATTTATATTATTTCAAAAGTAGAGGGTTATGAGACTACCATTTTCCCAGACTGTCACATAGCAGACATTCAACAAATTTTCTTGATTAAATTAAAATGAGGGTGTATTATGCTCTAGGTAAATTCCATATTCCACCACCTTTTGATCATACTTATGCCTAGGAAGGCCCTCTCACTAGTCAAAAAGCTCTAAGGGCACAAAAAACATCAGAATAACCATGGAATACTACTCAGCCATAAAAAGGAATGAAATATTGTCTTTTGGCCGGGCACCGTGGCTCACGCCTGTAATCCCAGCACTTTGGGAGGCTGAGGCAGGTAGATCACCTGAGGTCAGGAGTTCGAGACCAGCCTGACCAGTATGGTGAAACCCCATCTCTACTGAAAAACTACAAAAATTAGCCAGGCATGTTGGCAGTTGCCTATAGTCCCAGCTACTCGGAAGGCTGAGGCTGGAAAATTGCTTGAATGCAGGAGGCAGAGGTTGCAGTGAGCCAAGATCGTGCCACTGCACTCCAGCCTGGGCGACAGAGGGAGACTCCATCTCAAAAAAAAAAAAAGAAGAAGAATATTGTCTTTTGCAGCAACTTGGACAGAGTTAGAGGCCATTATTCTAAGTGAAGTAACTCAGCACTGGAAAATCAAATATTGTATGTTCTCGCTTATAAGTGCGAACTAAGCTACGAGGATGCAAAGGCATAAGAATGATATAACAGGCTTGGGGTCTCCGGGGGAAGGTTGGGAGGAGGGTGACAGATAAAAGACTACATACTGGGTGCAGTGTACACTGCTTGGGTGATGGGTGCACCAAAATTTCAGAAATCACCACTGAAGAACTTATCCATGTAACCAAAAACCACCTGTACCCCAAAAACTATTGAAATAATTTTTTTAAAAAAAATCAGTATAAATGTATTTAAATAAGCCCCTCAAAATATATTGGGAGAAAGGACACTAATCTAGGACTCAGAAGAGCTAGGTTGCAGTCCAGTTATGTGTAGCTTTGAACAGGTCCCTCTGGACCTCGGTCTTCCCCTCTGAAATAGGAAGGGTTTAAACTAGATCAGTAGTTTCAATCTCAAAGGAGTACTACTCCTGGGGGGCATCTGACAAGATGCAGAGTTGATTTTGCTTGGCACAATGGCTGCGGGTATTTAAACATCTAGCAATGCCCAGCCCAGACAAACAATGAAGAACTATCCTGTCCAATGCCAAAAGCATATTACCCACCCTCCCCCAGAAATAACTGGACAAAATAATTAAGATCTCAGCAACTTCTAAAATTCCTTGCCATAGGCCAATATAACAAAGAATACTGTTAAACTGTGACTGTCCTATTAAGTCTGAAGAGTGATGAAACAGTCAGTCATGTTTTGTTTGGTAAACAGAGAATGAAATGAAAAAGGAAAAGAAAAAATTCCTCTACATTTCATATTCTGAAACTAGTGTGATTAACTAGTTATCTTCTGGAAACCAGCATGACAAGAATAAGACCTGAATGTGGCAATAAGCCTTACAACTTAAAACATATCTCACACATATACACACACACACAGGAGGAACTTTATTAACTATAACCAGATGTTTCTTAACAACCATTTGCTTAAAAAATCACAAACAGTGAATTCTGTTAGACTCTGTTGTTCACATTTGAAATCTAAGTAAGTCTGAGTTAGGGGCAAGTAAAAACAAAGACTGGAAAAGTGTGCATAGAGCAGCAAGTTGTTCGCTCTGCTGGTTGCATGTGTTTGGAGCCAATAAAAGAACATGGATGGTTGTTTATCAGTTTCATCCCAAGAGTCAAGAGGGTGGAGTTGGATAGGCTTTGCTTATTAATATAATTTACTATTTTTAATGCCTGCTCTGAAATGCTTCCCACCAATCTGCATTATTTATTCTGCCTTATAGATTAGAAACAATGAACCCTTTCTTTCTGCTACTCGTCAACCCAAAGGTAAATCAGTTGGAATAAAAATTCTAATTCCAAGGACTTAACCATAAACTGTTGTGAACCAGCAATTAACTTACTGATACAATACCACAAGCCAGAGAAAGAAGAACATCAAAGCTTTCAGCCCCTGAGAGAAGACGGGCCAACATTTCAATAGAATCTTTTGAGAAGATGGCTTTGGGAAAAAAATAGCTTTTCTGATTTTTCTGGACACAATTTATGATAACTCCATCCAAACCCACTACTAATCAAAGCCAAATTTAACCCCTTCCTGAAACTAGACAAGAAACTACAATGAATAAACCTTTTCTTTTAAAGATTTATTTTTTTAAAAAGCAGTTATTTTCTATGGCATAAAAGGCAGACCTCTGTGGCCAGGCGCACCTTGGCAGCAGTCTCCAAGAATATAGCGTAGAGTTCCAGAAATATAAAAATCCTGAATCTGCACTAATAGTGTTTGCCAGTGGCCTCACTGGGCCAGTATCCAAACTCTAGGGTCTAATGTTTCAAAATAAAGCCAAACCCAATACTGAACAATCATCTTTACTGTTTAGCAGTGTCTTAATTCTAAGATTCATTTGCTACCAGCAAGTTGTCATATATACTGGGGAAACTAATATCCGTATTTGGCTCTGATGAAGCCGTTATTTGCCCTGCCACCCACCAGCTGACTTCTCTTAGCCAATCTATCTGCAACTGTTATTAAACTTCGCAGACCTACACAGCCCTTGCTAAGGGTCAGCTGTGTGGGTCGGTTTATTTTATAAACCAAAGAAGGAAGGAGAGGGGAGAGGAACAACACCTTGTTGCCATCTAACATTTGGAAAGGGTGGGATAGAAGAAAACCCTAGGTAAACTGTAGCGACTTGAATGTCACAGAGAAATGATTTTCTTCCTTCTATCACCCCTGTTCCCAAATATCAGAGAACAATAAACAAAGGGGAATGAAGCCAGACCACCAAAAGCTACTCTTGTTTTATTCATTTCAAATAGGCATCTCAAATTTATGTCCAAACAAAACTCAACTCTTTTCTCTTCTCTTCCCTTCTCTTCTCTTTTTCTCTTTCTTTCTGTTTCTCTCTCTCTCTCTCTCTCTGCCCTATATCCTCTCCCTTGCTCCCCTCCATGGGCAAGTCGTGATGATTCCACTTTCTAAGTATATCCTAAATCCCTACGCGTTTCTCACCATCTCCACCACCACCACTTTAGTTCAAGCCACCATTCTCTTACTCAGATTAATGTAATAGCCTCCTAAACTGATTGCCCTGCTTCCACTCTCATTCCTATAATCCATTCAATGCACAGAGCCAGAAGTATCTTGAAAATACAAACTATATGATACTCTTTCATCATCCTGTTGTTTCTTTATTGCATTTATTCCTGTAAGAAAATACTGTATCTGTTTGTTTACTCGTGTATTTTATGTCTCTTTCTATGAAAATTTAAGCTCCATAAAAGGGACTTTGTCTCTTTCACCAACATATCTGCATACCTAGGACAGTGCGTGGCATACAGATATTCAATAAATATTTGTGGAATTAATTATTATTTTACAAACTCTTAGTGCACACTTACCTGACATATCTGTGCTAGGTGCTATGGTCTGATGAAGACAAATAAGACATGTTCCTGCCCTGAAGGAACTCATAGGAGGAGCAGAAACATTAAATAATTACAATACAATATACTGAAAACAAAAATAAAAGTATAACTCAAAGGCACTGCAAGTAAGAAGAGGGATCATCTGACTATGTTTGAGTGTGATGCAGAGAGCTTTACAGAAGAGATTTGAGCTGGAGCTTGAAGAATGAGTATTTCCAGACGGAGAAAATGTGTGATGGGCGTGGCATGCAAAGGGAACAGCACAGGCAAAGAATGGAATCTTAAGCAAAGATAGGGGTCAGAAGAATGTGGACTACAGTCAGGAAACAAAAAGCAGTTTGGTGGGTGGAGTGGAAGATATATATGGGAATAAATAACAGAAAAGGAAGCTTGAAGAAGTGGGCTGTGGTCAGAGTATAAAGGGTCTCGTATGCCTATTTAAGAAGTTTGGGCCAGATGCAGTGGCTCAAACCTGTAATCCCAGCACTTTGGGAGGCCAAGGTGGGTGGATCACTTGAGGTCAGGAGTTCGAGACCAGCCTGGCCAACATGGTGAAACCCTGTCTCTACTCAAAATACAAACATTAGCCATGTGTGGTGGCATGCACCTGTAATTCCAGCTACTTGGGAGGCTGAGGCAGGATAATGGCTTGAACCCAGGAGGCAGAGGTTGCAGTGAGCCGAGATCGCCCCACTGCACCCCCGACTGGGTGATAGAGGGAGACTCTGTCTCAAAAAAAAAAAAAAAGAAGTTTGGTATTAATTCTTTTAGACAGTAGGGAGTCAGCTGCATTTTCAAGCAACCAGGGAAAGGGATTAAGCCATTCAACAGCTATTTATTGAGTGTCTGATCAGATGTGTTTTTTAGGAAGATAATCCAGGCAACTGAGGCAATTTTATAGTATAAAAATAGTGTTTAATGCTAAAGTATTCACAGATGAAATGATATGATGTCTGAGAATTTGCTTCAAAGTAATCCAGGCCCAAGGTGGAAGGAACTAGGTGAGGGGCATAGATATAACAGATTGAAGCTGGGTATGGAGACACATGAGTTCTTTATACTATTCCCTCTACTTCACTATATATTTGAATTTTCCATATCAAAAATAAAAACAAACTGAATTAAGTTTATAATGGAAATAATCTAAAATGTTTAGTAATAAGACCTATTTAGTAGTAATAAGATCGTACTGAGAAATTATGGTAGATACAGACAATGGAATACTAGTCAACATTTTTTTTTTTTTTGAGACAGGGTCTCATTGTTACCCAACTTGGAGTACAGTGGTGTAATCATGGCTCACTGCCACCTTGACCTCCCGAGCTCAAGCAATCCTCCTGCCTCAGCCTCCCAAGTTGCTGGGACTATAAGCACACACCATCAACTCTGGCTAATTTTTTTTTTTTTTTGGTAGAGACAGGGTCTCGCTTCATTGACCAGGCCAGTCTCGAACTCCTGAGCTCAAGTGATCCTCTCACCTCAGCCTCCCAAAGTGCTTGGATTACAGGCATGAGCCACCACACCTGGCCAGAACATGTTTTAATGATAGTTAAAAATGGGCCAGGCACGGTGGCTCATGCCTGTAATTCCAACACTTTGTGAGGCCGAGGCAGGCAGATCATTTGAGATCAGGAGTTAGAGACCAGCCTGACCAACATGGTGAAACCCCATCTCTACTAAAACATAAAAATTAGCTGGACATGGTGGAGGGTGCCTGTAATCTCAGCTACTCGGGAGGCTAAGGCAGGAGAATCGCTTGAACCCAAAAGGCAGAGCTTGCAGTGAGCCAAGTTTGTGCCACTGCACTCCAGCCTGGGCAACAGAGCAAGACTCCCTCTCAAAAATAAATAAATAAATAAATAAATAAATAAATAAATAAATAAATAAAATGTGTAATGACATGGGAAGATATTAATATGTGTGATTTAGTAAAAAAAAAAAAAGCCATAAAAATCAGCATGTACAGGATGTTCCAATATTTAGCAAGCTGTAGAGTGTTGTGGTTAAGAGTGTTGAATCTGGACCCTGAGAGATCTGGGTTTCTGCCACTTACTCACTATGTGACTTTGGGCGAGGGGGATAATAATAGCATTTACCAGTCATGAGGTTTTTGTAAGGATTAAATTGAGATAATGTATGTCTATTAGTCTGTTCTCACACTGTTATAAGGACATACTTGAGACTGGGTAATTTATAAAGGAAAGAGGTTTAATTGACTCACAGTTCCACAGGGTTGGGAAGGCCTCAGGAAACTTACAACAGAAGGGGAAGCAAACACGTCCTTCTTAACAAGGCAGCAGCAAGGAGAAGTGTAGAGCAAAAGGGGGAAAAGCCCCTTATAAAACCATCAGATCTCATGAGAACTCACTATCACAAGAATAGCAGCATGGCAGTAACTGCCCCCATGATTCAGTTACCTCCCACTGGGTCCCTCCAGTGACACATGGGGATTATGGGAACTATAATTCAAGATGATATTTGGGTGGAGACATAGCCAAACTATATCAGTACGTAAAGCACTTAAACGATTATTATTAATATTATTATCAGCTATATATGGCAGGAGCTACTTAAAAAGGAAAACACTGGGGCCGGGTGCAGTGGCTTATGCCTGTAATTCTAACGCTATGGGAGGCCAAGGTGGGCAGATTGCTTGAGCTCAGGTGTTTGAGACCAGCCTAAGAAACATGGCAAAACCCCATCACTACAAAAAATACAAAAACTAACAGGGTGTGGTGGTGTGTGCCTGTAGTCCCACCTACTCAGGAGGCTGAGGTGGGAGGATCACTTGAGCCCAGGAGGTCGAGGCTGCAGTCAGCAGAAATTGCGCCACTGCACTCCAGCCCAGGTGACAGAGTGAAACTGTCTCAAAAAGAAAAGTTAGATAAATTGTGGTGTATTCACTGATTTACTAAATGAATAATTATTAAGGGCCCACTGCAGACAAGACATTGGAAATATAATGGTGATCAAGACGTAAATGGTCCCTGCCCTTGTACAACTTGCAGTCTAGAAGAATAAACAGCAATAACATTAAAGAGCTATTACAGTATTCACAAAACATGTTTTAGCATGAAGGAATGCTTATTAAAGACATAGTATTAATTGCCTAATGCTACCGAAACAATTTACCACAAATTTAGTAGCTTAAAATGACACAAATTTATTATCTTACAATTCTGGATGTCAGAAGTCCAAAGGTGTTGGTAGGGCTGCATTCTTCCTGAAAGCTCTAGGGGAGAATTCAGTCCTGGACTTTTCTAGCTACCAGAGGCTACACATATTCCTGTATCCTAGACAGCTACTTTTGCCACCACATCATCTTCTCTCTATCTGACCTTTCTTCCTCCCTATTATAAGGGCCCACCCCAGATAATCCAAGATAATCTGTTCATCTCATGATCCTTAATCACATCTGCAAATTTCCTTTGGGTACTTAGGGTAACGTGTTCACAGATTCTAAGGATTAGGACTTGGATATTTTGGGGAAGCTATTATTCTATCACAGACATAATTATGAATAGAAATAACATAAGGAAATATATAAAAAATATTAATAGTGGCTGAGTCTGGGCAGTTGCACTATGATTAATATTTTTGTGTTTTTCTCTTTTTTTGCAATTTCTAAAATATCCACAATGAGCATATTTCACTTTGTGACAGAATACAGAGACACAAACTCAAAAAATACAAAGGGGCATTCAGTAAAGCATACGTTTTTGTCTTACCCTTGTCCGTCAGCCCCCAGCTTCCTATCTCCAGAGGCAACTACCCTCAGCAGTTTTTTTCTTCCAGAGATAGGGTATGCAAGAACATATCTGTGGTAGGCTGAATAATGATCCCTCAAAGATATCCACACCCTCATCCCCAGAACCTATGAATGTGTTACTTTACATGCCAAAAGGGACTCTGCTAGTGTGTGGTTGAGCTACAGATCTTGAGATGTTAGGATTATCTTAGATTACCCAAATGAGCCCAGTGTAATTGCAAAGATACTTAAGAGGGACGTAGGAGGATCAATGGAGGAGAGAAGTCAGTAATGTAATGATGGAAGCAGAGATTGGAGCAATGTGCTTTAAAGATGGAGGATGGCCCACAAGCCAAGGATCGCAGACAGCCACTTGAAGCTGAAAATGGCAAGGAAACAGGTTCTCCCCCCAGAGCCTCGACGAGGAACCAGCCCTGCCTACACCTTGACTTTAGCAGTGAAACTCATTTTGTACTTCTGACCTCCAGAACTATCAGATAATATGTGCATGCTTTAAGCCACAAAATTGTGCTAATTTGTTGCATTAGCAATAGGAAAACAACAAAAGGTATACATATTATCAAAATAGACAATTGACCCTTGAACAACACAGGTTTGAACTTCACAGATCCACTTATATGAAGATTTTCTTCCTCTTCTGCCACCCCTAAGACAGCAAGACCAATCCCTCTTTTCTCAGCCTAACTCAACATGAAGATGAACACCTTTATGATGATCCACTTCCACTTAATGAATAGTAAATATATTTTCTCTTCCTCATGATTCTTAACATTTTCTTTCCTCTAGCTTACTATATTGTAAGAATACCGTATATAATACATATACAAAATATGTGTTAATCTACAGACCAGATAAGCCTTCCGGTCAATGGTAAGCTATTAATAGTTAAATTTGGGGGGAGTCAAAAGTTATAAGGAGATTTTTTACTGCATGGTAGGAGGATGGCTTGAGTCTAGGAATTCAAGGCAGCAGTCAGCTATGATTGCACCACTGTGATACACACAGGAGACAGGCAAATACTGGATGGAAGAGAGTGGTTCCCCAGCAAAGGCCCCACCCTCAAGCCTGGAGACCCACGGCCCTAAATGGGGACAGTCATTCCTGTTTTCACGCCCAAAACATTGCCTTTTGGCCCACAACACTCCCTATCCTGTACCCATATAAACCCTGATCTCCAGGCTCCAGAAGCAGACGAGGAGACAAGCAGATGAACAGCAGAACAATGCAGCAGAGAAAGAGAGAACAGGAGGAATGTCTGAAGGCCAAGAGGAGTTCAGCTGGGAGTGGTCAGAGAAGAGTTTGGCTGCTGGACAGCCAAACTCCAGGGGAAGATCATCTTCCCACTCGATCCCCCCTTCCAGCTCCCCATCCGGCCCACTGAGAGCCACCTCCACCACGCAATAAAACCCTGCATTCATCCTTCAAGTTCGTGTGTGACTCGATTCTTCCGGGACACTGGACAAGAGCTCGGGATACAGAAAGCTGTCACACTGGCCCTCTGCCCTTGCAGAAAGGCAGAGGGTCCACTGAGCTGATTAACACTCAAGCTGTCCATGGATGGCAGGGCTAAAAGGGCACACTGTAACACATGCCCACTTGGGCTCCTCCACCTGTTCACCTGCATGCTCCGCTTCCCGTAAGGGGTTTGAGCAGCGGCAGCGACTGAACAGATGAGCCACACCTCTGTTGCATGTCCTGCAAGTGGGGTCAGGGAACTCTCCCGTTTCAACTGCACTCCAGTCTGGGCAACACTGCCTCTTTAAAAAACAAAACAAAACAAACAAAAAAACAGTGATTTTGTTTGTTTGTTTTTAGACAAAGTATCACTCTTTCACTCAGGCTGGAGTGCAGAGGCTCGATCACAGCTCAGTGCACCCTCAAACTCCCAGGTGCAGGCAATCCTCCTGCCTCAGGCTCTCAAGTAGCTGGGACCACAGGCACACACCACCACACCCAGCTAACATTTTAAATTTTGATTGAAATTGCCAAACTCCCTTGAAAGAGATTCTGTCAATTTCTACTGCAGCAATGCATGAGGGCTACCAATTTGACATTTGCATTTATTCATGATACTTTTTCCATATACAAATTGGAGTTTCATGCGTCAAACATATCATCCTTTCCTTTCTGTTTTTTTCAATTATACTTTAAATGTCCCTTTTTTATTTCTATTTTTCAAGTTTACTTCCTAATTTTGTATCATATAAGTAAGGCTTCTGCACTCTAAAATTAATTTTTACATACTCCCTTTTTTACCAGAAGTTTTATGGCCCTATTTTTCACATGTAAATCTTTGATCTATCTGAAATGTACCTGGGTGTCAAGCATGAGGTATGGATACTAATCTCTTTTTTCCGAAATGGCTATCAAGGTGATCCAATAGACTTTGTTTTTTTTTTTTTTTTTTTTTTTTTTTTGAGACGGAGTCTCGCTCTGTTGCCCAGGCTGGAGTGCAGTGGCGCGATCTCGGCTCACTGCAAGCTCCGCCTCCCGGGTTCACGCCATTCTCCTGCCTCAGCCTCCCGAGTAGCTGGGACTACAGGCGCCCGCTACCACGCCCGGCTAATTTTTTGTATTTTTAGTAGAGACGGGGTTTCACCGTGTTCGCCAGGATGGTCTCGATCTCCTGACCTCGTGATCCGCCCGCCTCGGCCTCCCAAAGTGCTGGGATTACAGGCGTGAGCCACCGCGCCCGGCCTGACTTTGTTAAATAATACGTCATTTCCCCACTGCTCTGAAATGCCACCTTTATCAGACATGAAATTTCTGAGTTCAATCTATTTCTAGACTTTCTGGTCTGTTCTGTTGTTTTTAGAATCATGCATCAGTACCACACTGCTTTAACTACTATAGCTTAATAGCATGCTATATTTTAATATCTGATAAGATTAATTTCCCCTAATTACTCTCCATTGACTAATTTCTCTGGGTTTTCATGCTTGCCTGCTTTTACATACAACTTTTAGAATCAGTTTATCTAGTTAACAAAAAATTGTATCTTTATTTGCACTGAGTTTATTTTAATAAATTTACTTAGGCAAGTTAATATTTTTATGTTATTATCTTTCTATTCAAGAATACCTGAGTCTAAGTCTTTTATGTTACTATGTAATATTTTTTCTTCATGTAGAATTTACATGTTAAGTTTTTTTTGTTTTTTGTTTTCTTGAGACTGAGTCTCATTCTGTTGCCCAGGCTAGAATGCAGTGGCACATTCTCGGCTCACTGCAACCTCTGCCTGCCAGGTTCAAGTGATTTACCTGCCTCACCCTCCCAAGTAGCTGGGACTACAGGCACGCGCTACCACGCCCAGCTAATTTTTGTATTTTTAGTAGAGACGGGGTTTCACCATCTTGCCCAAGCTTGTCTCAACTCCTGACCTCAAGTGATCCACTCACCTCGGCCTCCCAAAGTGCTGGGATTACAGGCGTGAGCCACCACACCTGGCCTATGTATTTATTAATTTATTTATTTATTGAGACAGAGTCTTGCTCTGTTGCCCAGGCTGGAGTACAGTGGCGTGATCTCAGCCCACCGCAACCTCCGCCTCCCAGACTCAAGCGATTCTCATGCCTCAGCCTCCTGAGTAGCTGGGATTACAGGCATGCACCACCACACCCCGCTAATTTTTTGTATTTTTGGTAGAGATGGGGTTTCACCATGTTGGCCAGGCTCGTCTCAAACTCCGGACCTCAAGCAATCCACCCACCTCGGCCTCCCAAAGTGCTGGGATTACAGGCATGAGCCACTGTGCTTGGCCTTGTTTTTTTGTTTTTGTTTTGTTTTGTTTGAGAAAGGGTCTTGTTCTGTCACTCGGGCTGGAGTACAGTGGTGCAATCTTAACTTGCTGCAATCTCCAACTCCTGAGCTCAAGCAATCCTCCTGCCCCCACCATCCGACTAGCTGAGACTACAGGCACACAACACCATGCCCAGCTAATTTTCTCTCTCTCTTTTTTTTTTTTTCTGGAGATGGAGTTTCACTCTTATCACCCAGGCTAGAGTGCAATGGCACGATCTCGGCTCACTGCAACCTCTGCCTCCCAGGTTCAAGCGATTCTCCTGCCTCAGCCTCCCAAGTAGCTGGGATTACAGGCATGCACCACCACACCTGGCTAATTTTGTATTTTTAGTAGAAATGGGGTTTCTCCATGTTGGTCAGGCTGTTCTCGAACTCCCGACTTCAGGTGATCCACCCACCTCGGCCTCCCAAAGTGCTGGGATTACAGGCGTGAGCCACCATGCCCAGCTGCTAATTTTCTCATTTTTTTGTAGAAATGAGGTCTTACTATGTTGTCCAGGATGGTCACAAACTCCTGGGCTCAAGCGATCCTCTTACCTCGGCCACCCAAAGTGCTAGGATTATAGGCATGAGTCACCACGCCCAGCCATTAAGTTTAAGTATTTTCTCTTTTCTGTTCTTATTAAAGTGGAATCTTTCCTTCCATTATATATTCTGATTGTTACTTGTTTATATTAAGGCAATTGATTTCAGGATGCCTAAGGAATCTAAGCTCCCTATTTGAAGGTATATCCGGGATTCAGAGCAATAGATTACTGGCGGTGGAGGCTGGCTGGTGGGACCCTCAAGCATTCCTTCCTGAAACAGAACAAAGCAGGACTTCCTTGTATAGCCAGTAAGGATCAAGGCTGTGGACGAGGAATGGCGACTCATGCCTGTAATCCCAGCACTTTGAGAGGCTGAGGTGGAAGGACCACTTGAGCCCAGGAGTTTGAGATGAGCCTGGGAAACATAGTGAGGCTGTCTCTACAAAAAAAAAAAAAATAGCCTGGCACGGTGGCACACGCCTGTGGTCCCAGCTACTTGGAAGGCTGATGTGGGAGGGTCGCTTGAGCCCAGGAGTTGGAGGCTGCAGTGAGCTATGATTGTGCCACTGCTCTCAAAAAAAAAAAAAAAAAAAAAAAAAACAAGGTTGTGGAGGCTAGGTGAATCTACATGTCTCTCCCTGTGTTTAGGGCAAGAGAACTTGTATGAGGGACAATCAGGGAGTCCTTGACTCTGAATACGAATGAGTTGGCCAGGCGCTGTGGCTCACGCCTGTAATCCCAGTACTTTGGGAGGCCGAGGCAGGCGGATCACCTGAGGTCAGGAGTTTGAGACCAGCCTGGCCAACATGGTGAAACCCCATCTCTCCTAAAAATACAAAAATTAGCCGGGCATGGTGGTACGTGCCTGTAATCCCAGCTACCCGGGAGGCTGAGGCAGGAGAATCGCTGGAGCACTGGAGGCGGAGGCTCCAGTGAGCCGAGATCACGCCACTGCACTCCAGCCTGGGCGACAGAGCGAGACTCCATCTCAAAAAAATAAAAATAAAAATAAAAACTAATGAGTATCCTGCTGTCACAGGATGAGCCCTTGATAAGTAGTAAGTGGCTGGAAATTTACCCGTTACTCCTCTCCCATCCCAGGGGAGCTTCCCCCCAGGGGCATAGGACTCTCTCAGGACTGAGGAGCAAACAGAAACTGCAATTACCTGGGTCTTGAGGTTAATCTTCTCTGGGTGGCTAGCGAAAACTGCCTCCTGATTGCAAGCTGCTCTTGCCTTGGAGCAACACCAGGACTGCTCAGCAAGAGCTGTGCTGGAACACCCTCCACCCTCCAGCACAGTTCACCCAGATTTCTTTAATCTTCTCACAGCCTGTAATGGAAGTTCTATTTAGATAAAATCATAGCAGCTGTTAACAACTTTTTCCTTTGGTTGTTTTTTCCATTTTTCTTTCTAACTTCTAATTGGCTATAAACCAGGGACCACAGTGGCTGGCTAAAGGATTCCCAGAGTTACAAAACAGGCCTTCTCAGTGCCCCAGGCTTCTTATCGGAGAACATCATTAACTTTTTCAATTGCAACTCTGCAAGTTTCCCAGGTAGCTGAATCCATTTCCATACTGCAGCCTTATCACATCCTGAATCCTGACAGCCTGTTTCTGTTTGTCTTTTATGTTCTTTTTTTTTTTTTTTTTGGTCTGTTATGTTAGGTTGACACTTTTTTCTTTTATTTATTTATTTATTTTTTTTTTTTTTTTGAAACAGAGTCTCACTCTGTTGCCCCAGTTGGAGTGCAGTGGCACAATCTCGGCTCACTGCAACCTCCACCTCCCAGGTTCAAGTGATTCTCCTGCCTCAGCCTCCGAAGTAGCTGGGATTACAGGCACCCACCACCACGCCCAGCTAATTTTTGTATTTTTAGTAGGGACAGGGTTTCACCACGTTGGCCAGGTTGATCTCGAACCCCTGACCGCAAGTGATCCACCCACCTCGGCCTCCCAAAGTGCTGGGATTATAGGCATGAGCCACTGTGCCTGGCCACAGGTTAACCCTTTCTTAATTCCCTGGGCTTTTTTCCCTTATTGCCACAGTCTTCCTTTTATCACTGGCAGGTGTAACCCTGTTCTTCCTTACTTTTCTTTTTCTCAGATTAGGCTCCTCCCATCGTCCCTTAACAAAAGGATGATTTAATGATCTTGCTTGGGGTGTGGGGACTGCCAGGAGAGACTGAGAGCCAGCCCTGGGGCCAGCTGGTTCCTGATCAGAGCATCTGTAGAAAACCTGCCAGAGTGGGGGCACAAAATGCTGCAAAGAAACAGAAGCTGTCTTTGATCTTATATTGTCCCTTGCCTTTTATTTTTCTCCACCTCCATTTATTAGCTCACTATTTGCTAGTATTTTGGGGAGACACTTTAATACTTGCTCATGACTACATGTGCACTTTTCTCAATTTATGCCCTATCCAATGGTAGAAAGGCCCACCTAAATGATCCCCTTATTCCACAGTGCCCCAATGCTTGCATGTTTTGGTTTTTCATCTGCTGCTCCATTAATTGTTTTCAGCTGCAACTATAATAGCCCAGTGGAATAGTTTCCAAAGATTTCAATCCAACATATTTTTCACTTGAAATTTTTAAACCCACGAAATGTTCTCCAACCCCTTCTATGTATTCCACTGCTGTGGTGATGATGCATTTAATGGTGGAAAAGAAACCACACAGAAACACAGGGCTATCAGGTTTATAAAGAAGTCACTTGCTCTGGTCCGCCTGTCTTGAATTAGGATCACATTTACACAATATCAGACAGCTAAGGCCCTAACTTAAAGGCAATGTGCTACCTTAGACTGGGAATCAGGGAGGGTCCTAAATATATACAAAATCTGGCCAGGCCCAGTGACTCACGCCTGTAATCCCAGCACTTTGGGAGGCCGTGGTGGGCGGATCACCTGAGGTCAGGAGTTCGAGACCAGCCTGGCCAATATGACGAAACCCTGTCTCTACTAAAACTACAAAAATTAGCCAGGCGTAGTGGTGGGCGCCTGTAATCCAAGCTACTCAGGAGGCTGAGGCACGGGAATCACTTGAACCCAGGAGGCAGAGTTTGCAGTGAGCTGAGATTGTGCCACTGCACTCCAGCCTAGGTGACAGTGCAAGACTCTGTCTCAAAACAAAAAAAGTGTGTGTGTGTGTGTGTGTGTGTGTGTGTGTGTGTATAGTAATAATATGCCAAACCTTCTCCACAAAACTGGTCCTCTCCAGAATTAACCATTTCAAAGAATGGCCCCACCATCTATTTACAAACCAGTGAGCCATCTTTGATATCTCCATCTCCCCAACCTTCCATATCCAATTTATCACCAAGTCCGATTTATGTAAACTCCTAAATATCCCATTAATACAGTTCTCTCCATCTCCACCCTCATCCAAGCCATCAACTTCTTCCACCTATACCACTGCAACTACCACCTAACCGGTCTCCCTTCACCCATTCTTGCCTGTCTTGAATTCATTCTCCACTGTGCAGCCAGAGTAAGCTCAAAATATAAAGCACATCACTTGAATCTTCCTATTTAAAACCATCTGAGGGGCTGGACAGTAGCTCATGCCTGTAATCCCAGCACTTTGGGAGGCTGAGGTGGGCGGATCACTTGAGGTCAGGAGTTCAAGACCAGCCTGGCCAACATGGCGAAACCCCGTCTCTACTAAAATTACAAAATAAATAAATAAATAAAAATTAGCTGGGCGTGGTGGCACATGCCTGTAATCGCAGCTACTCAGGAGGCTGAGACAGGAGAAATGCTTGAACCCAGGAGGTAGAGGTTGCAGTGAGCCGAGATCGTGCCACTGCACCCCAGCCTGGGCGACAAAGCAAGACTCTGTCTCAAAATAAATAAATAAAAATAAATAAATAAATAAATAAATAAAACCCTCTGAGGGGTTCACGCTATATCTCCCTAGCATGACCTATAGGCCCTGAGTGATTGGGCAACTACTCCATACCTTCCAACTACATTGGTCTTGTTTTAGTTTCTTTTTTTTTCTTTCTTTTTTTTTTTTTAAGACAGAGTTTCGCTCTCATTGCCTAGGCTGGAGCACAATGGCACTATCTTGGCTCAATGCAACCTCTGCCTCCCGGGTCCAAGCAATTCTCCCGCCTCAGCCTTCTGAGTAGCTGGGATTACAGGCTCTGATTGGTTGCTTTCTGTAACCAATAGGATGTTTGCAGAGGAGTGTGAGCTTTGTAACTTCACTTCAGCCTCTGGTCGACTGCTTTCTGCAACCAATCAGACTGACTCTGGGCTACCACTTCATTTACATGAGGTGAGCATGAAATGGCCAATGGGAAACTTCTAGGGGGTATTTGAATCCAAGAAGATTCTGTATCTGGGCCCTTGAGCCACTGCTTGGGTCTGCTTCCACACTGTGGAGTATATTTTTGTTTTCAATAAATCCCTGTTTCGTTCTTTTGTTGCTTCATTCTTTCTTTGCTTTGCAGGGCGTTTTGTCCAATTCTTTGTCCAAAACGCCAAGAACCTGGACAACTTGCAGTCACAACCCTCTACCGGTGATATTATGAGCCAGGTACTGTGCTAATCAGCATGAGATATTGTATTAGTCTGTTCTCACACTGCTATAAAAAAAATGCCTGAGACTGAGTAATGTATAAAGAAAACAGGTTTAATTGGCTCACAGTTCTGCAGGCTGTACAGGAAGCATAGTGGCTTCTGCTTCTAAGGAGGCCTCAGGAAACTTACAATCATGGGGAAAAGCGAAGGGGAAGCAGGCACGTCTTTCTTCTCTCTTTTTTTTCTTTTTTCTTTTTTCTTTTTTTTTTGAGATGGAGTCTCGCTCTGTTGCCCAGGCTGGAGTGCTGTGGCATGATCTCGGCTCACTGCAACCTCCGACTCCTGGGCTCAAGCAATTCTCCTGCCTCAGTCCCCTGAGTGGCTGGGATTACAGGCGTGCACCACCATGCCTGGCTGATTTTTCTATTTTTAGTAAAGACAGGGTTTCGCCATGTTGGCCAGGCTGGTCTCGAACTCCCAACCTCAGATGATTCACCCGCCTCTGCCTCCTAAAGTGCTGGTATTACAAGTGTGAGCCACTGCACCTGGCCAGGCATGTCTTTTGTTGTTGTTATTTTTTCTTTCAGGCACATCCTACATGGCCAGAGCAGGGGCAAGAAGAGGTGGGGAAGTGCCACACACTTTTAAAAAATCAGCTCTCACAAGAGCTCACTATCATGACGACAGCACCAAGGAGGATGGTGTTAAACCACAAGAAACTGCCACCATGATCCTTTCACTTCCCACCAGGCACCACCTTCAACATTGGGGATTACAATTCAACATGGGATTTGGGTGAGGACACAAATCCAAACCATATTAGATATACAGTAATAAATCAGAACCAATCCCTCTCCAAAGAAGGAAGGGAGATATTCACAATACAGCTAACTTAGTAATGAGACAGACAGCTACAAGTACAGTGTAAACAACATGTAAGTGAACATCAAGGAACAAAGGGTTAATTCTAACTGAGAAGATATCCTCAAAGGTGGTGGCATTTGGCCCGCTCTAGAAAGATTCTAGATAGACTACCAGGATTACAAAGAAAGCTAAATAAAACTCTACTCAATTCCACAAATACTTTCTAAAAGCCTGATACACACAAGGCCCTAAGTTTCAAATTGTACCGTAACACAATTGTACAGTAACGCAATTGTACAGTAACACAATTGTACAGTGATACAAGACTACTAAGAGACAACTTTTATCTTCCAAGAGCATCCAATGTAGTAGTGAAGATGAGTGCATAATACCAAGCATTATACAAACATCAGGAGATGTAGATTGTCCCAAGAGAGTTCAAATGAGGAAGAAATCATATTCGGTTGGGGAGATCTAGGAAGAATGCAAGGAAAAGGTAAGATTTGAGATGGGCCTTGCATGATGGGCAGACTTCAATAAACAGAGATGTATGGGGGTAAGAGCATTCCAGGAAAAAAGAATGGCCTGAGCAAAAGAGACCGAGGAGAACCAGAGCTGAACACAGGTTTGCAGAACAGTGCAGAGTCCAATTTAGCTTGATAGCCAAAGATATAAAGGGAAGTAAGAGGAGATGATGCTGGAAGACCCTTAGGCCCATAATCTGGAAAACCTTGAAGGTCAGGCTGCACACTCTTTTCTTGAGGAAGCCGGCAGTGTGGAAAACCACTGAAGGTTTCTGAACAGGAAGTGGCATGATGAGTGCTTTAGTTTCAAACAGTTCATCTGGAATCAGTATGGAATGAACCGAAGGAGAAAGGGATAGAAGTTGGCGGCTAGTGTTTTCTCAGGCAAAAAGTGAAAAGTGTTTGAAATGTAGCAGTAAGAAGGAGCAAGAGAAAGGTGGAGACGAATGCAAAAGACACTGCTGGAGGTAAATCTACCAGACTTAGGCATTTATTGGATGTAAGGGTCATGAGAGAGGAAAGAAAGAAAGAAGGGGAGAAGAAAGAAGGGAGAAAGAAAAGAAAAGAAAAGAGAGAAAGAAAGAGAAGGAAGAAGAAAAAGAAGAAGAAGGAGGAGAAGGAGAAGGAGAAGAAGAAGAAGAAGAGAGAAAGAAGAGAAGAGAAGAGAAGGAAGAGAAGAAAAGAGAAGAGCCTGTCTTTGAGGTTTCCATTCTTGCCAACTGGTAGGCTACAAATACCATGAACCAAAATAAAGAAGTCAGTAGGATGTGGGGAAAATGCTTAGCCGGATTTTGACTCAAAGCAAAGGCAAAGTAAATAATGCCTAATGTCAGTATGAACTGAATCATTAAACCCCAAGTATAAAGAAATCTTATTGCATATCTTATGTTGATGGGCCTCATGATCTGTTCTCTTCAAACAGCCCAGTTAGAGTTATAGGTAGTGCCATATCAAGAACCAGAAACCAAAGAAATAGGTCCTGATAAAATCTTCAGAAGAGTGCTTATCAGGTCAGGTTTGCAAATGACTTGAGGCATTGTGATAATGGAAAGGGCCAAGACAGGTTCCACATATGGCCAGTAGTTTTTAAACTTTGGGAGTCAACTAAACTCTAGGGAGATACCATCTTTCTCTCCGAGAAAAACAAACATAGGCACATACTCACACGTTAAAAGATAAAATTGGGGGAGAGGTTTTCACAGAGAGGTGTAATCTGAGGTGTACAGGAGTATCTGAAGTAAAGACTGAACATTTTGATAGCCTGCCTAGAAAGAATGACAGTGTCCTAAAAGATCAGAATTTGAACAAGCCAACACTGCACAAATCAGAAATGGGTGAGATGGGAAGATGATGAAGAAAGCAAAGCCAAAGATGGAGAATTAAGATACAGTCCTAGCCGCCAAATGTCCCTGTGTGTTAAATAGGAAAAGCAGCACAGCTGCCAAATGTTTCAAGTCTACAGACTCCAGCAAGACACTTGATTCAGGAATCTACAGTTTTGGGAGTTTGTCTTGGAAGCTTTCATACCATTAGCCTCAGAGCCCAGATACAGAACCGGTGTCAAATGCCTTTAAGTGGAATAGAATATTGAGATGATCTCTAGGAAGGAAAAAGGCAGCAAATAAGTTTAAACTCAGAGAGGAGACACAACTCCTGGCAGGAAGCTTTCCTAGAGAGAAGGGTAGTGTTAATTACTACTGAAAGATAAAAATCATATGCCTTCTTTTTTGGAATTGCTACTCTTCCCTACAGATCAGCAATTTTTTGAGCATGTGCAAGCGTGTTTTCTTTTTGAAGGTGTTGATGTTGAAATGATAGCTGCTTTCAATTTGCAGAAATCTAAGCAGGGGGTCAGTGTTCAGCAACTAAATCAAAGAGCAATTGTGCCTTTCGACTTTAAAAAATAAACGTCCCTATCATAGACCTACTGCTGTAGAGACTCACAGAGCCGTGCCAATTGGCTGCTTCCTCAAATGTGCCTTGTGTACGATCCTAGGCTCAAGAGAACAAGGCAAAAGGGCAATGGTGAGTCTAAACAGAGGCAGCATTCTGAACTCAGGTACTGCACGAGATGTACTGCTTGATGGGGAGGGCATTTCTTGAGCAAAGGAAACAGTTGTACCATCTAGACTCAGAAAAATGCTAAAAGTGAAGTGCCACAGTCATGTCTGAGGAGCGCTGGAGGGGTGGCACAAGCAGAAGAGTAAGATAAGAGGAAATGAGATGCTGAATGCAGAGCCAGGAGACCTGGGTTGAAGTCTCAGTTTTACATTACCGCTGCGTAACTTTGTATATATGTAAGTCATTCAGCTTCTTTATCTGCACAATAGGCTTAATGATAACAACTCTACCTATTTCAGAGAATTGGTATGGGATGCCAAAATGGTGCAGCCATTATGGAAAACAGTATGGTGGTTCCTAAAAACTTTTTTTTTTTTTTGAGACAGAGTCTCACTCTGTCGCCAGTCTGGAGTGCAGTGGCATGATCTCGGTTCACTGCGACCTCCGCCTCCCAGGTTCAAGCGATTCTCCTGCCTCAGCCTCCCGAGTAGATGGGATTACAGGTATGCACCACCACACCCAGCTAATTTTTGTATTTTTAGTAAAGACAGGGTTTCACCATGTTGGCCAGGATGGTCTCCATCTCTTGACCTCATGATCTGCCTGCCTTGGCCTCCCAAAGTGCTGGGATTACAGGTGTGAGCCACTGCGCCTGGCCAAAACTTTTAAATAGAATTATCATATAATCCAGCAATCCCACTTCTGGGTACATACCCAAAGGAATTCAAAGCAGGATCTCAAAGGTGTATTTGCACACTTATGTACTCTGCAGGATTATTCACAATAGCCAAGAGTTGGAAACAACCCAAATGTTCATTGATGGGTAAAAGGATAAACAAAATGCGGTATATATACATACAAAGGAATAATTATGCAGCCTTAAAAAGGAATGAAATTCTGACACATTCGGGTAGGAGAATAGAAACTTAAAAAAGAATAAACCAAAAAAAGAAAGAAAAGAAGTTCTGACACATGCTACGTGAAAGAACTCTGAGAATGTCAAGCAAAATAAGCCAGTCACAAAAGACAAATACTGTATGATTCCACCAATATGAAGTAACAAAAGTTGTTAAAATCATAGAAAAAGGAAGTAGAAAGGTAGTTGCCAAGGCTGGGGGGAGAAGGGGGAATTAGCATTTAGTGGGTATAGAGGTTCATTGTTGCAAGATGAAAACAAGCTAGTGATCTGTTGCACAACAATGTAAATCTACTTAACACTACTGAACTGTACATTTAAAAATGGTTCAGATGGTAAATTTAATGTTATGTGTTTTTTCACCACAATTTTAAAAAAAGAATTCGTATGTGATGCAAACATTATCATAAAAGTGATGCACATTTGAAATAATAATGTCCTACATCAGGTACAGCATTTGCTCTTCCATCTATTCCCCTAGTCTGCTCATTACAGTCTGTTTGTTTGTTTGTTTGAGTCACTCTGTTGCCCAGGCTGGAATGAAGTGGTGTGATTATAGCTCACTATAGCTTCAAACACCTGGGCTCAAGTGAGCCTCCTGCCTCAGCCTCCCATACGAGCACATGACACCACCTGGCTAATTTTAAAAAAATTTTTTAGAGCGGAGGTCTCACTATGCTGCCCAGGCTGGTCTCAAACTTCTGGGCTCAAGTGATCCTCCTGCCTTGGCCTCCTAATGTGTTGTGATTACAGACATGAGCTACCATGCCTGGCCCATTATAGTCTTTGGGGTGATTTTCTTTCTTCCCTAGCTTGGCACAGCCACACTCCTGCATTACAGCTCAGATCAGACCTGTGTACACCTGGGATTTCCTAGATGTCAGCAGAAAAGCTTGGAGGGGCCCAAATCCCCACTCTGTTGGAAGCAGAAGCTGCTGCAGAATAAGTGATCTTTATCAGGTCTAAGTGGTAGATGAGTTTTCACAAAAAAATGCAAGCAACCTGAGGTGACTGAAAAGGAAAGGGTCCACATTCCCATTTTTTAACCTCTATTTTATGCACTTCTTTCATCCAAGAAATGTTTTCTAAACTTTTGGGACATAATGGGCTAAGAGAAGCAACAAGATATTATATAAAGGGCAATGAGGCTGGGCGTAGTGGCGCACACCTATAATCTCAACACTTAGGGAGGCTGGGGCAGGTGGATCACTTGAGGCCAGGAGTTCAAGACCAGCCTGGCCAACATGGTAAAAACCCCATCTCTACTAAAATACAAAAAAATAGCCAGGCGTGGTGGCACATGCCTGTAATCTAGTAAGCTACTCAGGAGGCTGAGGCACAAGAATCGCGTGAACCCAGGAGGCAGAGGCTGCAGTAAGCTGAGATCACGCCACTGAACTCCAGCCCGGGTGACAGAGCAAGAATCTGTCAAAAAAAAAAAAGGCAATACTCCAGTGATAACTACATGCAACTCATAATCCTGTTTTCTGGGTCAGAAAATAAAACAGATATTATTGGGACAAAAAGGATATTATTGGGACAATTAGTTAAATTTTAGTATTGACTTTAGATTAGATAATAGTATTATATCAGTGTTAAATTTCCTGACTTTGAGGCCAGGCACGGTGGCTCACGCCTGTAATCCCAGCACTTTGGGAGGCCGAGGTGGGCAGATCGCCTGAGGTCAGGAGTTCGAGACCAGCCTGGCCAACATGGTGGAACCCCATTTCTATCAAAAATACAAAAATTAGCTGGGCATAGTGGCGGGCACCTGTAATCCCAGCTACTCAGGAGGCTGAAGCAGGAGAATCACTTGAACCCGGGAGGTGGAGGTTGCAGTGAGCCAAGATCACACCACTGCGCTCCAGCCTGTGCAACAGAGTAAGACTCCATCTCCAAAAAAAAAATTAAATTCCTGACATTAATACTTCTACTATGCATATGTAATAAATATCCTTATTCTTGGGAAATACATGCTGAAGGATTTAAGGGAAAAGGTCGTAATATATGCAACTGAATCTAAAATGATCCAGAAAAAATAATATGTAAATAATCAGAGACAGAATAAGACAAATAGAGCAAAATATTTTTTAAAAATCAGTGAATCTGACTGAAGGATAAACTGAGGTTCTTTGTACTATTTTTGTAACTTCCCTGTAACTTTGAAATTATTTCAAAATAAAATGGTTTCTAAAATAGATACTGGGGCCAGGCATGGTGGCTCATGCCTGTAATCCCAGCACTTTGGGAGGACAAGGCGAGTGAATCACCTGAGGTCAGGAGTTCAAGACCAGCCTGACCAACATGGTGAAACCCGGTCTCTACTAAAAATACAAAAATTAGCCGGGCGTAGTGGTGTGCACCTGTAATCTCATCTACTCAGGAGGCTGAGGCAGGAGAATCACTTGCACCTGGGAGGCGGAGGTTGCAGTGAGCCCAGATCATGCCACTGCACTCCAGCTTGGGCAACAAGAACAAAACTTCGTCTCAAAATAAATAAATAAATAAATACATACATACATAAAATAAAGTAGTTAATGGTCCAGAAATCGACAGACCTGGGTTCTAGCCATCATGTGTCCATTGGGCAGCTCACTTGGTATCTTTCAGCTCAATTTGCTCATATGGTAAAATAGGGATAATGATGCCTATATGTTCTTTTTTACAGAATTGTTCCAAAACACAAGGCATAATGATGATACCTAAGTGGAAGACTTAGAAAAAACAACAGCTTTAGAGTCAAAAGGCCAACATTTAAATCCATTGCTCTACCACTTTTATGAATATGTTGATCCTATCTTAAGCCTCAGTATTCCCATCTGTAAAATGCGGGCATCGATATGTACCTCAATGGATCATTATGGAGGTAAAATGAAACAATGCCTATAGGAAAACCTTATACAATTTATAGCATGGTAACATATCAGAATAAATAAGAACCATGTATTCCTCTCCAAATGATGCCATAAATTTGGCATAACCATACCTTGTCAATGTCCTCTACTATAAATTAGGTATAACAATACAAAATTATCCAAATGGAGAAAATAACAAAAATACCTTTGTAATATAATGGTCAAAATATTAATACAATAATGTTCTGTTTATTCAGCATTATCAGATAATAATCCATTACAAAAAGTTAATTTTCAATTTAAATAAAGTTTATCCCTTCAAACATTTAGAACTTTTGTAATTTAACCATTTTAATGGAAAGCTAAGCTAACATTTAATTTTCTGCATTCTTTTTGTTGTTGGTGGTGGTGTTGTTTAGAGACAAGGTCTCACTATGCTACCCAGGCTGGACTCGAACTCCTGGACGTAAGCAACCCTCCTGCCTCAGCCTCCTGAGCAGCTAGGACTACAGGCATATGCCATCATGCCCAGCTTTCTGCTTTCTTAAATGGTTTTTGGATGACTCCACTTCATCATTGTGACAACATCAGTCAATCTGAGGCTGTCACATACTCAAAGAATGCTCAGGTATGTAGGACTATTGAACTCTACATAAAATAGACACAAAGCACAATGCTTTATAGGCCTTATATCTGTTTTCCCCAATATTTTCAGGCTCCCCCAATACATACACACACTTCAATTCAATTCCATTGTCACTTCTTTTTCATATCAAAGTTCTGGTGCTAGACTCCTCACTTCACCTCCAAATCCCTAGATTCTGCTTCTAAATTTCTAAGGGGTAGAAACCACATCAGAATTTAAATGAAGAGCCAATAAAATCAGGACAACATTCTCTCCCACGGAATAGTGCACAGCGAAAACCACTTAAGCTATTAGAGACCGTTTTTGGAAAGGCAAGCCTCTAGACTCCCAGCTTTATTCTGGATATTGAGATTATTAGAAATCTGACCTTCAAATGTCCAGTAGTATTAACATAATGAGGTAACAGCAGTGACAATATTCTAACTGATGTGCATGTTAAATCACTTATTCTACTTAGCAACTGGGCCAGACACAGTGGCTCATGCCTCTAATCCCAGCACTTCGGGAGGCCGAGGTGGGCAGATCACTTGAGGCAAGGAATTCGAGACCAGCCTGGCCAACAGGGCGAACCTTGTCTCTACTAAAAATACAAAAATTGGCCAGGCGTGGTGGTGTGTGCCTGTAATCCTAGCTACTCAGGAGGCTGAGGCAGCAGAATCACTTGAACTCGGGAAGCGGAGGCTGCAGTGAGCCAAGATCGTGCTACTGCACTCCAGCCTGGGAAACAGAGCGAGACTCCGTCTCAAAAAAAGATAATAATAATAATTAGCAACTAATCCATGGGCTTATAAATAAAAAAATTAAGCCAGAAAAGCAAAATTACTTGATACACCCTATAGTCTTTAAGTCTCAATCGACATTTCCTCTAGGCATACAGCACTTAATTAGAAAGAACTTTCATTTCCATGATCTCACTTGATTCTCAGAATAATCTTGTGAGGGGAACAGGGTAGGTGTTCTTGATCCCATTTCACATATAGGGAAATTGAGGCACCAAAAGGTGAACTGTACCTAAGATTGCGTGGTTAGCAAAGATTTAAGACTAGAATCCTAATTCTATAAACCCTAGGCCAGTGCTTTCTGCTGGGCCACACTGACTCTCATGAACACACAGGAGCATCTGTCAGTACCCTATCTCTGGAGAACATTTTATTGGCTACAGTCCTGGAGAGGAGGAGTTGTGAACTGTCTCCAAAAAACCCAGGCCCAACAATAAGGTGATTATCACTAGGCAGGGGATTATAAACTTTGCAGACCAAAATCTCTTTTATAGGCTTCAGCAATGCCCTAGAATGCTGAGGACAATGTTCAGAATGTCATAAGACAGCTGGAGATGATCCAGAAAGAGGACAAGAAACTCACCAAGCAAGGGATGTGTTTTTAAGTGAGGTTGCTAACAGAAAAAATACAATTCTTTTGTATGCAAAGATGAGGAATGAGGGCTGAGGGCTGAGGGCTGAAAATACAAATCTTTAAAATCACACAAGGTAAGGATATGTGAATACACTTTTCTTTTTTAAGCAAGTCTAAAAAACCAGAACTTGGAAATTCCTCTTGAAGTTTCAAAGAATCACTTCTAGGACAAATCAAATAACGTCATATTTTCATGAGTAGACTTAGGAAACTCCTTTATGTGGGTTAGAGTTATAAACAGGTTTAAGAAGGAGTTAGAAAAATTAATATGAGGTCAAGATGTAGAGAAATTCGGACTTCCAGGGTATCTAATCACTGTGTGAAGCAATATCATTCTTTTCATCAACTATCTCCTAATGCCACTGTCCAAAACAAAACCCCTGGCCGAATGAATCATGGGTTTGAATCAAAGTAGCAAATCCAACATTTTTATGAGTCAGTTCATGCAAATATTATGGATCCTGAAGAAAACTTTAAAATTATTTATCAAGTTATTCAAAAAATTAAAAATAGAATTACTATATGATACAGCAATTACACTACTGGATATATCTCAGTCCATTTCTGATGCTATAACAAATTACCACAGACTGAGTAATTTATAAAGAACAGAAATTTATTTCTCACAGTTCTGGAGGCTGGGAAATATAAGACCAAGGTGCCGGTAAATTAGGTGTCTGGTGATGGTCCAGGCTCTGCTTCCAAGATGGCACTGCCTCCATAGGGGAGGAATGCCGTGTTCTCACATGGCAGAAGGCCGAAGAGCAAAAAAACAACAACAAAAAAGGCCAGTGCAGTGGTTCACGCCTGTAATCCCAGCTACTCAGGAGACTACGGCAGGAGAATCGCTTGAACCCAGGAGACGGAGGTTGCAGTGAGCCAAGATAGCGCCACTGCACTCCACCCTGGATGACAGACTGAGACTCCACCAAAAAAAAAAAAAGTGGAAGAACAAACTTCTTCCATCAAACCCTTTTATAAGGGTATTAATCCACTGATAATAACAGGGGCCTCATTACTAAACATCTCAGGGGCCTCATTACTAAACATCTCCCAAAAGTCTACACTTCCTAATACTGTTGCATTGGGGATTAAGTTTCCAATACATGCATTTGGGGATACACATTCGCACCATAGCAGGGTATATACCCAAAAGAGTTGAAAGCCAAGGTCTCAAAGAGGTATTTGTACACTCATATTCACAGCGGCATTGTTCACAATAGCCAAAAAGTGGAAGCAACCTAAGTGTCCATCAATAGGTGAATGGATAAACAAAATGTATATGCACATAATGTAATATTATTTCAGCCGTAAAAAGAAATGAAATTCTGACACATGTTACAAGATGGATGTATCAGGGCTAAGGGAAAACTCCCTCCATCCTTGCTGGTTCTCTGAAAAATCAACTGACAAAAGGCAAATTAATAGGAGAAAAGGCATACAATTTATTAATGTGCACAGGAATCATACAAAATATAAGAATTCAAAGAAAGGCAAGGTAGCTGGTGCTTTTATTTTTTTAACTTTTATTTTAGGTTCAGGCATACAAGTGCAGGTTTATTATATAGTTAAATTGCATGTCACGGGGGTTTGGTGTACAGATTATTTTGTCACCCACGTAATAAGCATAGTACAATAGGTAGTTTTTCAACCCTCACCCAATAATTTCCCAATAATGGGATTGTTGGGTCGAATGGTGGTAGTTCTGTTCTAAGTTCTTTGAGAAATCTCCAAACTGCTTTCCGAAGTGGCTGAACCACTGTATAAGTGATCCCTTTTCTCCACAACCTTGCCAGCATCTGTTATTTTTTGACTTTTTAATAATAGCCATTCTGACTGGGGTGAAATGGTATCTCACTGTGGTTTTGGTTTACATTTCTCTAATAATCAGCGATGCTGAGCATTTTTTCATAGGCTTGTTGGCCCCGTATATGTCTTCTTTTGAAAAGTGTCAGTCGTGTCCTTTATACACTTATTAATGAGGCTGTCTGTTTCCTGCTTGTTAATTTGTTTAACTTCCATATAGATTCTGGATATTAGACCTTTGTTGGATGTGTAGTTTGCAAATATATTCTCCCATTCTGTAGCTGGTCTGTTTACTGTGTTGATAGTTTTATTTGCTGCACAGAAGCTCTTTAGCCTAATTAGGTCCCATTTGTCAATTTTTTTGTTTTATTGCAATTGCTTTTGGTGTCTTTGTCATGAAATCTATGCCTGTTCCTATGTCCATAATGGTATTTTCCGAGATTTTCTTCCAGAGTTTGTATAGGGTTGACGCTTTTATACCATCTTGAGGTTACAGAAAGAATGGAAACTCCCTCGAGGCATGGCCAAAAACAGGTTATGGTGGAAAATCAGGTTATGGTGGCAGAACAGGGGGAGAAGAGGAGGCCTGGCTAGCAGAAGTGGTCTTGTTATATAGATAAAACTTCACAGGCAGAGCCCTCAGAGAGAATAGATGGTGAATGTTTATTCAGACCTTTATAGGTGTCAGACTCTCAGTTAATCTTTCCTAGATCTGGACAAGGGAGGGCCTCAGAAAAAAACCTGGCTATATCAGTGCAGATTTTCCCTACAGCTGCAAATGTCCCCAAAAAGACAGCTTTGCAGGGCTACTTCTGTTTACTGGTGCTCTGAACAGTCATCTTAAAATATGACAAAGACGTATATTTTCAGGTGAAATATTTTTGTTTCCTTCAGATGAACCTTAAGAACATTATGCTAAGTGAAATAAACCAGTCACAGCAGGCCAGCCAAAAACTGTATACTTTCCTTTACATGAGGTACTTCCATTTATAGAGTAGTCAAATTCATAAAGACAGAAAGTAGAACAATGGATGCCAGGGGCTGAGGGCAGCTGGGAATGGGGAGTTAAAGTTTAACGTGTATAGTTTTAATTTTACAAGACGATAAGAGTTCTGGAGATGGGTGGTGGTGATGGTTATACAACAATATGAATGTACTTAATCCCACTGAACCAAAGACTTAAAAATGATTAAGATGGTACCTTTATGTTATGTATATTTTATCACAATTTAAAACAATTAAAAATTATTTATCAGACTCTATTAAACAAATCCTTTTTCTTGCCCACATAAGAAGGGTTGAGAATGAAAAGTCTATTTATAAACTGAGAAGAACTTGCCTAAAATGGTACATAAAAAGAAAGACACTAGACCCATCTCAGCTATATACTTGGGGCCTGAAAAGGGAAGAATGCGACTAAATATGGTTTATCATGTGAAAGTTTTTATTTTGTTGTTCAATAGTAATCTTTTGGAGTATTTCTTCATTTATATCAGTTTCAGAAGCATTCTGAAGGTACTGCAGATGTCAGGTGAGAAATTTGAATTCCTGGGTCCTATTCCCACATTGGCCAAGGCTCCCTACAATCACAAAAAGCTTCTGCAGTCACTCAAAGCAAGGCAGGAAGCAAAGGGAGAAGAAAGACAAACAAGTAAAATAGCCTGCCATCAAATGTGAAATTATTCCTCTCCAGCTTGTTCAGGCCCAGTATGCAATAGACCCTATTTATATATTTCTTCTGGGGTTTCTAAATTACTTCTGTAACAACTAGGACATAGTGAGAAGTTCAAAAAGAGGCCAACTTTCTAGAGACAGAGGATGTCTGTATATTCTGTGAGATGATTTATACACACATCTCCATTAATGTACATTAGCCCTGCCCTGCAGCTTCGTCTATCAGAATAACCAACATCAAGGTAATCAAAGCCAATTCTCAGGGGAAGGTGGGCAGATTCAAAGATACAGTGCTGGAAAAGAAGATATCCCTCTACACCCACACCCACATGTTACTGTTACTGTGATTTTCTTCCAAGCCAACACCATCTGCCTATAAAATCCATGCCGTAACCACCTATCCTTCCCCACACGCCCACCCAGGGCCCTTTGTTCAACCTCAGCTCTGACAAAACATGCAAAAAAGGGGTTATCCCTCTCTGTTGCAATTCCAAAAACTAAGAAATCCTAGATAGGGCAGGTTCAGTGGCTCATACCTGTAATCCCAGCACTTTGGGAAGCCAAGGCAGGAGGATCACTTGAGCCCAGGAGTTCAAGACTAGCCTGAGCAATATAATGAGACCCCCATCTCTACAAAAAAACAACAAACAAACAAACAAAATGAAAGAAATCCTAGAGAAAACATTATACTTTGAATTGCCATAAAGCACTCTCATTGCATCTTTAACCTACTCTCTTAATTTAGGTACAAGCAAATCACCAGCTCATAAGGGGGAAGGAAGTCTCTTTACAGTGTATTACACAATATTCATGGGATAAGACAGCCTGGAAAGGGAAGAATATGTGTTAAGAACCAAGGCAGTAGACCAGGTCCCATTATTGACAAGAACTCTGTCTCTCTTAATCCTTAGATGAGCCACTTAACCGTTCTGTCTCAATTTATCTCCTGTAAAATAGGGTCTTATTAATTCATTCAAATAAAATACTTAGAGACTACTGAGGGCCAGGAGTTATGTTAGGCACGTTGACCAGAACTAAAGATTGTTCCCTTTCTCAGTGCCAGTAGAACCACAATGATATAACATCAGACCCAAGAGCACTATAAATAACAATGCTAATCTTTCTCAAATGGTTATTACTGAAAAGGAGGAGAGGATCAGGCATACCAATACCTTATTGGTGAGTGTGGCTGCTGTTATATGCTATCCCAGAAGGCTTTCTGATCAGTCCCCACTTTACTGTCATTGGAATATGGGTAAGGCTGTGTGACTATGAGAAATATGCACTCATATTCCTTTTCTCTTCTCTTTGTGAAGTATATTCTTGAATTTTCAAGTCATAAGCCATATCCAAACACCAATTAAGTTATTAATTACTACAATTTAAGTTTGTTTATGGCACAAGCACTGTCATAAGTATGTTTTTTTAAAATATATACTTAAACAGTAGAGACTAACATTTATTAAGAGTATATTACTTTCAAATATGTTATTTCATGTATACCTTCTATAACCAAGGTTGGTATTACTGTCTCCATTTATAATTGAGGAAACTGAAACTTTAAGAAGTTCATAGCTTGTTCAAATGCCACCCAGATAGTAAATAGGGAATTCAAACCCAGATCTGTGTGCCTCCCAAGCCAATGGTCATTCTGGCAACTAAATGCCATTGTGCTAAGCCTTCCCATTACCATTACTTGCTGATGAGCTCAATTTCCTAGACAGAGAATATGCTGAAACCTAAGCTCAGTAACCTAACTTCAACCAAGACTATGTCTTTAACCACTTTAGTCCCAAATGTTCTTTAGGTGCATAAGAATAAAAAAAGAAGAAGACTTAATTAAAGCCCTGCAGTCCAAAAGTTAGCATTTCCCCTTCCAAACTAGTTTCTACTGCTCTCAAAAGGACAGAGTTAAAGATGGAAGACATCTACAAGGCAACAATCTAATTCCATTCTTTCTCTAGCCACGTCTGTCTTGGCTGATTTAGGTGGCTAGGAAGCAGAGGAGTTGACTCCATGACCTCTCAAGACTCTTTCTAATATTGTAATTCTGATTCTCTTTGCCCTACTTACACATGGGAACCTGTGATTATTCTCTATAGCTAGATTTTGGAGGCCAGATTGCTCCATTTTGAAAAGGTACCATGAATAACATGAGATAGAAACTTATAACTGCCATATTTTTTAAATCTGTATTAAATCATACTAAAATAATCATCCTGAAATAACAAGATCATACCAATCAATCAGAAGGAATTAAGAGTCAGGGAAGCAGAGAGTTGCTCCTGTTCATAACATTTCTTCTCTTTAGACCTCAGTGAAATATTATCTGACCAGCTGGAGAAAGCTTGACTGGGCAATGTGCCCTGTGGTGACTTCTGTGGCTCCTGTCCTGTAGCCTTCACTACTTGGTGTATTACATCATTATTAACTATAAAGGGAACTGCTGTCTGGCCCCTTTAATAAAGAACTTCCCAACTGTGTCAAAGAGAGAAAAAGGTCCCTGTTAGCTTATGACAAATAACATATCAAAAACCATGGGTTTCTCTGCCAACGGAGCTTCAGACTGCTTATATATTACCCAATTGTATAATACACTTTAGGGCTTAATATACCAGTTCAAGGCTGGGTGTGGTGGCCCATGCCTGTAATCCCAACACTTTGGGAGGCCACCGCAGGCAGATCACCTGGGGCCAGGAGTTTGAAATCAGCCTGGCCAACATGGTGAAACCCCATCTCTACTAAAAATACAAAAATTAGCCAGGTGTAATGGTGAATACCTGTAGTCCCAGCGACTCGGGAGGCTGAGGCAGGAGTATTGCTCGAACCCAGGAGGTGGAGGTTGCAATGAGCTGAGATCGTGCCACTGCACTCCAGCCTGGGTGACAGAGCAAGACTCCGTCTCAAAAAAAAAAAATTATATAATATATATATATATATATATATATATATATATATAGAGAGAGAGAGAGAGAGAGAGAGAGAGAGAGAGAGAGAGAGAGCGCTCACTGAAACTTCTGCCTTCTGGGCTCAAGCCATCCTCCCACCTCAGCCTCCTGAGTAGTGGGATTACAGGCGACCATCACCATGCTTGGCTAATTTTTGCATTTTTTTGTACAGGCAGGATTTCACCATGTTGGCCTAGCTGGTCTCGAACTACTGAACTCAAGCAATCTGCCCCACCTGGGCCTCCCAAAGTGCTGGTATTATATATATACCAGTTCAAAGTTCAAAATCAACAAACACATACAAACTATTCAAGGGCTTTGTGAAAAATCCCATCGACTATCTATAATGGGAAAGAGGAAAAAGGAGTTCGTGACCAAATACACAAAGACAGACAGTCAAAAAGGATGAACTGTTTCTGCGCTAGTGAACCAGTGTGTTTCTGAATGCCCACTGGGAAAAGCAAAACCCCTGTATGAGAGTTTCTTGAGATCAGAACTGAGACTGTGTCAGGCCCCGGGGTAGGCAATAGGAATACATCTCTGATGATGAACACTTTGCCCATTCAAACAGGAAAACACCTCATAGCACAACCTGCATTCCAAGCTTTCATTATGTATGCGGGAATAGGTCATTTCCAAAACCACTTCCCTGCATACCTCTCTACACAAACTCAGCAGAAGCTGGACACAAACAAGAAGGTCCAAGGAACACTTAAGGAACTCAATGCCCTGCCCCACCCAACAACAGCCAATTAATGTTGCACAGCCTGTTTTAGTCTTGGAGGGCTATTCTGTATCTATTGCAATGACTCAATTCTGCCACTTTATTGCAAAAGCAGTCACAGACAATATATAAACAAATAGGTGTGGCTATGTGCCAATAAAACGTTATTTATGAAAACAGACATTATTTACGAAAAGAGGAGGTGGACAGGATTTGGCCATGAGCCACAGCATGCTGGCTCCTGCTTTACTACAAATAGATCTCCTTGAGAAATCGAGTTACTATTCCTTTTTATATTTATTTATTTATTTATTTATTTATTTATTTATTTTGAGATGGAGACTTACTCTGTCATGAAGGCTGCAATGCAGTGGCGCGATCTCGGCTCACTGCAACTTCCACCTCTGGGGTTCAAGCAACTCTGCCTCAGCCTCCCAAATAGCTGGGATTACAGGTGCATGCCACCACACCCAGCTAATTTTTGTATTTTTAGTAGATACGGAGTTTTGCCATGTAGCCCAGGCTTGTCTGGAACTCCTGACCTCAGGTGATCCACCCATTTGGCCTCCCAAAGTGCTGAGATTATAGGCGTGAGCCACCACGCCCAACCTCAAGTGACTATTCCTTATCCCCTCTCTCTTCTGCCCAGGACTTCTGGAAAGGAGCAAAAAGCAAAGGTGCAAGGCTAAGAAGTTTCCCTCTATCAGTTATTCTCAAAAGCAGAAGCTACAAAAGACTTCAAAGTAAAAGATACCTGTGGGTATCCCATATACTTATTTCTACTTATCACCATTAAAAAACAAAAATCTTTGCTGGTTTAATGGAGAGACCAGAGCTGCCTTCTCTGGTGTGCCAATAGGATGACACATGTTTTCTATTAAACATCACATTATTAACTCCTGCCATTAGAAATATTAAAGGCACAGTTGACCAGCAGCTTTCAGAACAACTGGAAGCCACTGGGTGGAAGGGTGGGGAAACACACTTTGGGAAAGCCAGTTCTAAAGGGAGCTGCTGACTCCTTAGAGGTAAGACTGCTACTAAAAAAGGAAACCCTCCCTGAAGAGAAGAACTGCCAAGCAACCGCCTCCTTGCCCAGTGGCCAATTCAATGAATGCTTCAATCAGCCAGACCTTGCTGGACTTGTTAGACCTGACAAAACAACGGCAATAGCTTTGGTAATAATGTCAGACAGGGGCTTGTACAAAATTGCCTGCTGCAATGGAAATCTCTATAATGAGCTCTGCTGAAAACACATGCCAATTATGCCCATATTGCCAGAGGAGCAGAAGCTGATTAAAGGCATATGGGTAAGAAGGAGGCAAAAGAACTGGTCCTAAATATACTACCATAGCATACCTATATTTATGAGCCCCTCTGAATGTCAGAGGCTGCCTAACACATGGCATAAGAAGATCCAAAAGACTTGAAATCACAGTTTGAAGGTGAATCATTAGAGCAGGGATGGCTGGCTAGGAGGGCAATTTTCAAAACAATGCACAATAAGGCAAGGTCTCTAAGAGGGCTTCCTCAGGTCCTAGAGGGAAAAGGAGATACTGGCAGACACAGGCAACCCCGAGGAGGATACATGACAGGGTTTTACAGAGACTGAGCTGTGTGCAAAGATGGTATTAGGAGGAGAGGCTCAAGGAGCAGGAGAGGGCTGAGTGCAAAGCCAGGCCAGCTGGGACAGACATCAGGGAGAATCAGGTAACTACAATGGCAAGACACCATACAGGAAGGCCCAGAGACGCAGACTTCCCAAACGCACCCTACAAGGCATAACCATTGACCTCCTTCTATAATACATCATAATATAGTAAAAAATTTTCCACCTCTAGGAGCCAGAAGATCTGGGTTTGAATCCCAACTTGCCACACACTAGTGGAACAATTTTGAGCAAATAACTTCTCTGAATTTAAATTTCCTCATCTGTAAAACAAGGGACCATTATCTGCCCTTGGTGACTTCACCTGTCTGAGAGCACTAATAATGCCCTGCCTGATTAGTTCAAAGGGTTGTTGTAAAGATCAAATCGAGATCATAGGTGAAACTTGTTGAACTGAAAAATACTAAGAAGGAAATTATACTGTGATTATTTTTACGAAGTATTATGTGTGGTATCACTACAAACACACAACTCCATTTAAGGATGAAACTGGTTCCAAGCAAGATAGAAGCCCCAGCTTTCCCTCCACTTCTTTTTTTTTAAATTTTTTGTTGTTGTTGTTTGTTTGTTTTTTTGAGATGGAGTTTTTCTCTGTCACCCAGGCTAGAGTGCAGTGGTGCGATCTCGGCTCACTGCAACCTCCGCCTCCCGGGTTCAAGCGATTCTCCTGCCTCAGCCTTCGAAGTAGCTGGGATTACAGGTGCCTGCCACCATGCCCAGCTAATTTTTTTTTTGTATTTTTAGTAGAGACAGGGGTTTCACCATGTTGGCCAGGCTGGTCTTGAACTCCTGACCTCAAGTGATCTGCCCGCCTCGGCCTCCCAAAGTGCTGGGATTATGGCCTTTCTCTCCTCTGCTACTCTGCTAGCGTGGCCATCCAATTCCTGGCTAAGTTGTTACTCAATTAGCACACTGGCACCCCGCACTTCCCCATTTAGTACCATTACAGAACAATCATCCCCAAACTCAACATTCACAGGTAACTTGGGCTAAATGATGTCTGCACCATCTATGAAACTTCTAGAATAAAAAAGCAAGTAGTCTATAAAATACCATCCTACTTTTCCTCTTTCTTAACTCCTTAACAATTTTTTTTTTTTTTTTTTTTGAGACAAGGTCTGGCTCTGTCAACCAGGCTGGAGTGCAGTGGTGTGATCACGGCTCACTGCAACCTCTGCCTCCTGGGCTCAAGCCATCCTCCCACCTCAGCCTCCTGAGTAGTTGAGATTACAAGTGAGCGCCACCATACTTGGCTAAATTTTGTATTTTTTGTACAGGCAGGATTTCACCATGTTGGCCAGGCTGGTCTCGAACTACTGAGCTCCAGCAATCTGCCCCATCTGGGCCTCCCAAAGTCCTGGTATTATGGACGTGAGCCACCACGCCCCACCACTACTTTATAATTTTCTAGTTTTTTTCCACCCTAAAGACGTAATGAAAAATGCCCAAGGTTACTCCCTCCTTTATCACCAATATGCATCTTCCCCAATTTTTTTTAACCACCTCACTGGCTTCAGGCAATTCTCCTTTAAAGACATCTACCTTGGTCTGGACTGTCTTCCTCAGCAGCCTTCACAGAATAGCACATAGAAATTCTTACCACAAGCTCAGGTGTCTCAGCCCTGTCAGCTACCCACTTCTCTAATGCTGTTCTCCAGCTTTCAAACATTTTCTAATGGCCACCACTTCCTATGGGTATGTGTACAGACGGCTACTTCCGTTTCTCTACAGAAGGCCCCAGATGTCTTCTTGACACTTCTACTTTCTGAACTATGTATTCTTCTGTACAGCACTTATATTCTCTTTCATCACTAAAGGGAATAAAAACAATGGGGAACCGTGGAAAGAATACACAGAAAATCTAAGTCTTGGCTCAACTACTGACTAGCTATGCAATCTTAGGGAAGTACCTAGGTTCTCTAAATCTTAGTTTCCTCATCTATAAATTGGAGGTAATTTAACACATTTCTTCCCTGTTTAGTTATAGAATGTATGTTAAAGTGCCTGGTATACTGTAAAGAGCTTTGCAAATGGCAGTTTATACCTACATCTACCTATATATCCACATCCTAAAACCCAACTCAATTTGTATTAGAGTTGCTTCTTCCTCATTCATAAATGGATTCTCTAGATTTCACATATTTGGGGGAAAGATCTATTATAGAAGGTCTGTCTCTTGATCTTCTATTTTTATCAAGCTCCTACTAGGCAAAGGCTAACCAGAAAAACTCCAGAAGTAACTTCAGACTCCCTGAACCTTCCCCTACTTCATTCCTGCAGGTCTGTAAAATGCTTGGCTGCCTTCAGGCTGACACTGAACGTGCATTCTTGGCAAGATGCATTGAAGAAAAAACAACTCTTTTCTTTCTTTCACAAGCTGAAAGTGATTCTCAACAGAAAAAAAAAAAAAAAAAAATCACAGTCTCAGCAAAGAGAGTTCCTGAAGGGTAGAAACTGTTTTCATGAAGCACAGTAGGACCGATTATTGGTTTCAGTACTGATTTTGTGACTAACTGGCTCTGTGACCTTGGACAAGGAACACCCCTCATAGGCTTCGGTTTCCTCATCTGAAATATGAAGGCATTAAATGAAATGTTGAAAAGGCCCCTCGAACTCTGAGTCCAATTCCAGCAAGATACTGCCGATTAGTCAAAGAAAAGGAAATTGTTAAATACAAATAGCATCTGCTCTTCACAAAGCAAAAGCAAACAAAATTCCAAGAAGCCCCAGCTTTCCCTCCCCTTCTACTCTGCTTTCATTGTTATCCAATCCCTGGCTGAGTTGTTACCCAATTAGCACACTGGTACCCCTAGCTTTCCCATTTAATGCCATTACAGAACAATCATCCCCATAATCCCTCAAATACTGGGCATGGATTCTAGAAGACAAACCTCTCCACATCAACCAAACAGGGAAAAAAATCAATATTTCCCATGTTTTAGAGCAAAAGAAATTCAGCATAGTGATGATGGTGGCAGAGGCATTTTCTTTACAATGCTCCAGGTTTGTTTTTTGTTTTTTTTCTGTACTCAACAAAAGTTGTAAGGGGCAGCTATAAAACACCTCAATGCCTTATTACCCACCCTCTTCCTCCCACCTAATGAATTCAGGATGGATGAATTCAAGATTAGTCTCCAGCTGTCAATTGCCACATACATAATATATATTTTTCCAATCACAGAGAAAAGCTTTTCCATGACAGCCTGGCTCTGGAAAGAGTTGGAAGTTGAAGTGTGGCCCTCCTGCTTCTGGGAAGTCCTTAATGAAAACCTTTTGTAAAGAACTGCCTTGGAGTTCCTCATATGGCACTATAGTGCTGGACTTACTGCTCACCACTTGTGAAAAATTCCAAGCTGCCTTAGGATAAAAATAATATGGGGAAGGACTTTGTCACTCGTTAGTAATGCCACACGTTTCCCAATATATACTACTCACTACATGAAAAGCAGCTGTGTTTGCCCTAAGAGGTCGACAGATGAGCAAAGAGGGGAGACTTTGGGAACTGCTCAACCAGCTGGTGTAGGCTCTTGGGGCAGAAAACAAAGAGGACAGGTATCACACCACCAAGATGTATTGCCATTATTCTATGACAAAGGAAACAGAACACAACCAGACCCTAATTAAACTGAGCTAGATTGCTCAACAGGGAAATCACTTGATCCTAGCCCTAATGGGGAGGAAATACTGAAAAGAAACCTTCCACTAATGCAATTTTTGCTGCCATCTGGGTCATTTCAAACAAAAGCACCCCTAGCCCCGATAAAGAACATCAAGACAGTTGAAATGCAAGCTACCTGCTTGCAGAAAGAGCCTTGGACCCAGCACTTTGGGAGGCTGAGGTGGAGGATCGCTTGAGCCCAGGAGTTTGAGAGCACCCTGGGCAACAAGACAACAAAATCCCATCGCTACAAAAAATTTAAAAATTAGCCAGGCATGGTGGCACGTGCCTGTGGTCCCAGCTACTTGGGAGGCTGAGGTGGGAGTATCGCTTGGGGTTGGGATTCAAGGTTGCAATGAGGAAAGACAGACAGAAAGAGAGAGAGAGGGAGAGAAAGAAAAAGAAAGAGAAAGAAAAAGAAAGAAAGAAGGAAGGAAGGGAAGGAGGGAGGGAGGGAGGAAAGAAAGAAGGGAGGGAAGAAAGAAAGAAAAAGAAAAGAAAAAGAGAGAGAGAAAGAAAGAAAAAGGAAGGAAGGAAGGAGGGAGGGAGGAAAGAAGAAGAAAGGGAAAGGGAAGAAAGAGAAAGAAGGAAAGAGAGAGAGAGAAAGAAAGAAAGGAAGGAAGGAAGGAAGGAAGGAAGGATGAAAGAAGAAAGGGAAAGGGAAGAAAGAAAGAGAGAGAGGGAGGGAGGGAGGGAGGGAGGGAAAAAGAAAGAAAGAAAGAGAAAGAGGAAAGGAAAAGAGAAAAGAAAAGAAAAAAGAAAAGAAAAGAAAAGGCCTTGGAAAGGGAAACCAGGAAATCTGATTCTGGTCACAATTCCGACTCTAGCTCTAGGTCTCTGGAGAAGTAACTCTCTGTCTTGACTTTCTTTTCCCTACATATAAACCCAGTGGAGTAGATATGTAGCTTTCTTTTTTTTTTTTTTTTTCTTTTTTTGAGACGGAGTCTCGCTGTGTTGCCCAGGTTGGAGTGTAATGGCTCGATCTCGGCTCACTGCAAGCTCCGCCTCCTGGGTTCACTCCATTCTCCTGCCTCAGCCTCCTGAGTAGCTGGGACTACAGGCGCCCACCACCACGCCCAGCTAATATTTTGTATTTTTAGTAGAGACAGGGTTTTGCCGTGTTAGCCAGGATGGTCTCTATCTCCTGACCTCGTGATCTGCCCGCCTCGGCCTCCCAAAGTGCTGGGATTACAGGCATGAGCCACCGCGCCCAGCCATAGATGTGTAGCTTTCTAAACAACCTTCCAGGTCTGATGTTCTATAAGATAGAGCTAAAGGAAGATATAGGTATATAAGACAAGCGCCTGTCACCTGTTTCTCCAAACACAATGTTTTTTTTTTTTTCAAACAGCTCTGAGATACGACTCACACACCATAAAATGGCTCACAGAGCTGTACAACCATCACTGCAATCCAATCTTAAAAAATGTTCATGACCCCAAAGAGAAACCCTTTACCCATTAGCAGTCCCAATACATTCCAACCCCCCAGCTTAGCAATCACTAACCTGATACTCTCTCTAATAGATCTGCTTATCTGGACATTTCATATGAAAGGAATCATGAACAATAGGTAGTCATTTATAACACTTTTCTCACTTATCCTAAGGTTTTCAAAGTTCATCCTTATTGTACCATGTGTCAGTACTTCATTACTTTTTATTGCCAAATACTATTCCATTGTATGTCTATACTACCTTTTATTTATCCATTTTTCAGTTGATGGACATTTAGAGGTTGTTTCCACTTTTTGGCCATTATAAATAATTCTACTATGGGCCAGTCATGGTGGCTCACGCCTGTAATTCCAGCACTTTCAGAGGCCGAGGTGGGCTGATCACCTGAGGTCAGGAGTTCGACACCAGTCTGGCCAACATGGTGAAACCCCGTTTCTACTGAAAATACAAAAATTAGCCGGGCGTGGTGGCGGACACCTATAATCCGAGCTACTCAGGAGGCTGAGGCAGGAGAACCGTTTGAACCCAGGAGGCGGAGGTTGCAGTGAGTCAAGATCGTGCCACTGCACTCCAGCCTGGGCAACAGAGCTAGACTCCATCTCAAAATAAATAAATAAATAAAAATAAAAATAAAAAAAAAATCACACACTGAATTTCCTCTTCATACTCTTCTCACAATTGTAATTAATTATTTAAGAGGGTAATTTGATATTTAACATATGTTCCAAAAGGGCAGAGTCTATAGTATTCTTATTCACCACTGTATCCCCAGTTTCCAGGACAGTACCTGACACATAGTAGGTGCTTAGTAAAACCTTCTTGAATTAAACTGAATTGCCTTTACATTGCCCAAGGTTTAGCACTTGATACAAGCCTGGTAAAGGATCATGAGGGCCTTCCACTCCACTAGAAAATAAAATCAGCTCAAGATTTCCAGGGTACTCCCATGGAAAAGTGTGTAACTTTCCAGATCCTCATAGGCTTTTAGGAAATTTCTGTAGTAACTGATTAGAGAAACAGATGCCAGATTAAACAAAAGGTTTTGGCTATGCTTAAAAAAAATAAGGCTATAAAAATGAGGCTGAAAGGTAAAGTTCCTTCATCACTCTAGAGTCTGATTGGAAAACTTTTCTTAACAGGCAAGTCAAGCTAAAATCTTCCCTACCCCAGCCTGGCACCATCCTCTACTCCCAAATAAGAATAGTTTCTTATAAATGGACACACTGAAAGGTTGGCTTGGTTCACTTTTCAATCCTAGTTCCCACAGCAGCCACAGTCCAGCTACTCTGGAATCTGGTCTTGTGAGGAACTCCAATGAATATGGCAATATATCACCTCTGTCAAATTCCATTTAGCATTGCTTCACATCTATTAATACTAACAGCAGTACCAAATGACATACCCATTATATTGATCTGAGTTACTCTGGAGAAGATGTAAAATAACTCCATGTGCTCAGAGGCACTGATTAAATATCACTGGGAAAATGACAAGATACCTGCTGAGCAAGAATGCATATTATATCACCAACTCCTCCCGCACACCATGGCACTACACCCATCCCAAAGGGATTAAAAGCTTTGGGGTCCCTCAGTATAGAGCTATTCAGAACAGAACTGAAGGGAATCAGGTGGAGACCTACCAAGAAGCATTCAATGAGAGGATAGTCAAGTAGGTCAGCAAGTCATCTACTCATGCTGGACATACTACTTGGATTTTCCCTTTGCCTATTCTCCCAGAGTGAAGATGAATTGGCTCCTAAAGTTTATGATAGAATCAATTCACATTGTTTGACCATTTGACTAGCATGGTGGTAGCCAGAAAACAAAATAATAAAACCAGAAAGAACCGTAAATATTATTGACCAAGCCTCTAATTTTATAAAATGGGAAAACTGAGACCGACAAAACTAAAGACATGTTTAAAGTCATATAGCTAGCTAGTGGCAGAATTGGAATCAACCCATCCTTCCAGGAAAGCAACCACTCACCAGATAGGTGCTCCGGTTGCCAAAGTGAAAGCTGCAAAGGTACCCCAAAAGGTGACCTTAATGTAAACATCTAAAACTCTAACTTTAAAAGCAAAGAATGTAAGACAGTGACCTTTTTTTAAAAAATTAAGATTGAGTTATTAAAACTATAGAATTATTTCTACTTTATCAATTTTATGTACATTTAGAGTACTGAATGCATCTTTTGGATTTTTTTTTTTTGAGACAGGCTTGAGCCAATGCACCTGGACTGGATTCTTTTTTTTTTTTTTTTTTTTTTTTTTTAGAGAGGGAGACAGGGTCTCACTCTGTAGCCCAGGCTGGAGTGCAGTGGAGTGATCTCTGCTCACTGTAACCTCTCTGCCTCCAGGGCTCAAGCAATCCTCCCACCTCAGCCCCCTGAGTAACTGGGACTACAGGCACGCACCACCATGCCCAGCTAACTTTTCATATTTTTTGTAGAGACAAGGTTTCGCCATGTTACACAAGCTGGTCTCAAACTCCTAGACTGAAACGACCCACCCGCCTTGGCTTCCAAAAGTGCTGGGATTACAGGCGTGAGTCACCAAGCCCGACCCTGGATTCTTTTAAAACATAAGTTTTCAGCTGGGCACAGTGTCTCACGCCTGTAATCCCAGCACTTTGGGAGGCCGAGATGGGTGGATCACTTGAGGTCAGGAGTTCGAGACCAGCCTGGTCAGCATGGTGAAACCCCGTCTCTACTAAAAATACAAATATTAGCTGGGCGTGGTAGCGCACGCCTGTAATTCCAGCTACTTGGGAGGCTGAGGCACCAGAATCGCTTGAACCCAGGAGGTGGAGGTTGCGGTGAGCCGAGATGGCACCACTGTACTCCAGCCTGGGTGACTGAGTAAGACTCTGTCTCAACAACAACAAAAAAAACATGAGTTTTCATTAGTCCAAGAGAGCCTATGTATGTGTGGTTGTGCACGTATATATGTGGGTTTAGTGATATATTTTTTTTCTGACATCTGTTTTATATATATATATATATACATACACAGAGGCTGGGCGTGATGGCTCACACCTATAATGCCAACACTTTGGGAGACTGAGGTGGAAAAAACATTTGAGCCCAGGAGTTCAAGACCAACCTGAGCAACATGGCAGGACCGCATCTCTCCAAAAAAAAAAAAAAAAAATTAGTTAGCTAAGATTGGTAGTGTGTGCTTGTAGTCCCAACTACTCAGGAGGCTGAGTCCGGAAGATCCTTTGAGCCCAGGAGTTCGAAGTTGCAGTGAGCTATGATGGTGCCACTGTACTTAAAAGTATGCCACTCTGGGTGACAGAGTGAGACTCTGTCTCTTAAAACAAACAAAAAAAAAAAAACAAAAACATACTTATAAAGCACATTATCCTTGGTTTGGAAAAGGGTATTTAGAAATTCTCTTTTAGGCCAGGCACAGCGGCTCACACCTGTAATCACAGCACTTTGGGAGGCTGAGGCAGGCAGATCACTTGAGGTCGAGAGTTCGAGACCAGCCTGGACAGCATGGTGAAACCCCATCTCTACTAAAAAAAAAAAAAAAAAAAATTACAAAACTTAGCATGGGCATGGTGGCATGCGCCTGTAGTCCCAGCTACTTGAGAGGTTGAGGCATGAGAATCACTTGAACCCCGGAGGCGGAGGTTGCAGTGAGCCGAGATTGCGCCACTGCACTCCAGCCTGGGCAACACAGTGAACTCTGTCTCAAAAAAAAAAAACAACAACAACAACAAAAAATTCTGTTTTAATTTTTTGTTAAATTAAATACTGTCATTTACACTAAAATAATGTGAAATTTTATGTAAGCGTAAAATAAGGTCCTGTAATTGGGTTAGTCATTCCTTTCTCAAATCATGAAACTATAATATGCCATGCAAAACATAGTAAGTCATAGAATGTTAGAGCTCAAAGTGGGTTTATAAACCTCCCACCCCAGCCCCATCTTTGTAAAGCCACAGACCCTGGGGTCCCAGTGAAATCGCTTATCAAGGTCACAGATCCCATAACAGAACCAGCACCTTACTCAGGTATCTAGATGCCATGTCCAGGGTTTTGTCCCATTATACCATCATTTCGCCTCTGCTCATTTGCAAAGAGTATCCATTGTTGCTTCCCCAGGAAAGCCCCTATCTGAAGACTGTCATCCTCTATTTTCCTAGCCCATTAGAGTCCAAGAGCCAGACTTGTAGAGCTGTATCATTTAGCTCAGGGGTTGCAACCTGATTGAATCTGGCCTATGAAAATGTTTTATTTAGCTAGCACAATTAAAAAAAAAAAAAAGAATGTAGGCTGGGCGTGGTGGCTCACGCCTGTAATCCCAGCACTTTGGGAGGCTGAGGCTGGTGGATCACTTGAGGCCAGGAGTTCGAGACCAGCCTGGCCAACATGGTGAAATCCTGTCTCTACTAAAAATACAAAAATTAGCTGGGCATGGTGGCTGTAATCCAGCTCCTCAGGAGCCCAAACCTCCCTTTCTGTTGCCTATACCCCAGATGACTCAAATTATTTGCTGTCCCCTTTATATTCTGTGTCACTCCCGCTACATGAAATGCCCTGTCCTGAATAGTGTCATGCAGTAGGATAAGCAGGGCCTTTAGAGTCAGGTCTAGGTTCTAATTCAGACACTTGCCCTTACTAGTTGAGAAAGTTACTTAACTCATCTGAACTTCAGTTTCCTCATCTAAAAAATGGGAATAATAATCCTTATCTCAAAAATCTGTTACAAGATGTAATGCCTGACACATGGGAACAGCTAAACAAGTGATAGTGTTATTAATTCTACCCAACTCTGATGGTGCTTCTTCCTTGGCTTCTCCCTTGTGCTCCCACTGGGAAATCAGCTTTCCCTCTCATGTCATATATCATCAGGTCCACCTGTTCCCACTTTTATGGCTCTCATCTGTATCTACTACCTTATATGACAATCATTTCTATCCACGTCTTGTCTCTCCCACCAGCCTAAGAACCTCTTGAAAGCAGTATCCATCTGTGACTCATTCTGTATGCCTGACAGCTCCAAGAACAATGACTTGAACACGGTATGTGTCCAAGTATGTATTGAATGAATAGTATGCATTCGCTAACTATATATAACACTTATTAGATGTGTCATGCTGCTTTGTGATATGAGCAGGGGCCACATCACTTGTTCTGAATAATGCCTAGCCTCAGGGCTTAGCAAATATTCAAACAACATTGGGGACTGAAGCTACCAATATAAAAATAAAGGACAAACAGAAAAGTTGGCAATATAGTCACCTTTCAGAGGGATGGTATTTTTATTTTCCATTAGTTTAAGTTATAATCACCTTGCACTTCAACAATTATGAAGAGATCACATTTAAGCAAGAGGAGTTCCAACTACTTCTGCTTATGCATTTCCCTTCAGAAACCTACAGAAAATGACACATTCACCAACAGATATATTAAGAATCCGAAGATGTATTATCAACAACTTTGTTTAGCCATTTCCATTTACAGATCATTTTCATAATCCATTAATTTCTTTGAGCCTCACAACAATCTTGGGAGGTGGGTATAATTACCCCGATTTTACAGACGAAGTAAAAGTGATTTGGGGCCAGGCACGGTGGCTCATGCCTGTAATTCTTGCACTTTGGGAGGCCAAGGGGGGGCGGACTGCCTGAGCTCAGGAGTTCAAGACCAGCCTGGGCAACAAGACAAAACCCCGTCTCTACTAAAAAAAATACAAAATTTAACTGGGCGTGGTGGTAGGTGCCTGTAATCCCAGCTACTCAGGAGGCTGAGGCACGAGAATTGCTTAAACCCGGGAGGCGGAGGTTGCAGTGAGCTGAGATCATGCCACTCCACTCCAGCTCGGGCAACAGAGCATGACTCTGTCTCCAAAAAAAAGTGATTTGGCTGGGTGTGGTGACTCACGCCTATAATCCCAACACTTTGAGAGGCCGTGGTGGGAGGCTTGCTTGAGCCCAGGAATTCCAGATCAGCCTGGGCGAGATCAGTGAGACCCAGTTTCTAAAAAAAATTAAAAATTAGCCAGGCATAGTGGCGTGTACTTGGAGTCCAGCTACTGGGGAGACTGAGGTGGGAGGATCACTTGAGCCCAGGAATTAGAGGTGACAGTGAGCTATGATTGTGCCACTGTACTCCAGCCTGGGCAACAAAGCAAGACCCTGTCTCTAAAACAAGAAAAATGAAAAGTGATTTGTGGGACCAAGTGCAGTGGCTCATGCCTGTAATCCCAGCACTTTGGGAGGCCAAAGTGGATGGATCACCTGAGGCCATGAGTTCGATACCAGCCTGGCCAATATGGTGAAACCCATCTCTACTAAAAACACAAAAACTAGCCAGATCTGGTGGTGTGTGCCTGTAGTCCCAGCTACTCGGGAGGCTAAGACACGAGGATCACTTGAACCCAAGGGGCGATGGCTGCAGTGAACTGCGATCATGCCACTGCACTCTAGCCTGGGTGACAAAGCAAGACTCTGTCTCAGAAAAAAACAAAAAAAAAAAAAGTGATTTGTGTTAGATCCCAAGATGGAGAAGCCAAGAACATAATCCTGATCTTCTAACTCCGATTCCAGTGTTCCTTTTTCCTTTTTCCTCAACACAGAGCAAGAACATAACTTTGTTTTGCTTCCACCCTACCTACTTTCAGAAAGTCGCTCCGCTGGCACAGTGTGAGGAAGGAGAGTGGGAGTATAAACATCACTGTGGTCAAGACAGTAGGAAACATCCTACCTTTGCCTCTAGCTAATCAGACTTTTAGAATCCATGCAATTGAATGGAAAGAAATGGAGAATGGGTTAGCTGCTGGGTTTTATTTTCTACCTGTCCTATTTTTGGCTTTCTGTGTATACTCAGAAACAGAAAACTACCACAAATTTCAAGGAGCCCCTAATCTAGAATATCTCTTGGATCTTCTGCTCATATGCAAAATTTTAGATCTGCTTAACTGTTGACTCTTATCACTTTGAGTCTTAGAAAAGAAGGAAAGAGGCCAGGCGTGGTGGCTCATCCCTGCAATCCCAGCACTTTGAGAGGCCAAGGTGGGTGGATTACCTGAGGTCAGGAGTTCAAGACCAGCCTGGCTAACGTGGTGAAACCCCATCTCTACCAAAAAATACAAAAATTAGCCAGGCGCAGTGGCACATGCCTATAGTCCTAGGTACTGGGGAGGATGAGGCAGGAGGATCGCTTGAAACCAGGAGATCCAGGCTGCAGTGAGCTGAGATCATGCCACTGCACTCCAGCCTGGGCGACAAAGCAAGACTTCATCTCAAAAACAAAAATTGAAAAAAAAAGAAAGAAAAGGAAAGAATAAAAACCTTTACTTGCCCCTAGCTTATGAAACTTTTGCTCTTCCACCATGTTTTATTGAACTACTTTTTTTCTTATAAATCTTAATCTCTCTGATATGCCTTAGCTGGTGATTTTTAGCATGCTTTTAGTTACCATCCACTTCACAAAGCCATTCTGTTCCTAGGGCTTATGATGAGATTCGTTTTACTGGGGACACAGCACCAAGCAGTTTACTGTAATATATAAACAAAACAAAACAAAGCTGAAACATTCCTCCTTTTCCTTTCCGTGAACTCTCACCTTTCTACTTATGTAGCACAACCTGCATATCCTTAACCTCTTAAGGATCAGCATTTCAGATACTACTAGGAGTTTACTCTTGGTCAGGCCACAATAAGACAAATCATTAAAAGATCAAACACAATCAAATGACCTGCAGGAACTTCGACAGTGTACATATTCTGACCAAAAGTGGGCAGAGAGCATGTGAAGGAAAAGCACCGACTCCACAGGGCAAATCAGAAGGGCTGCACAAGAAATACCAGCTGGCAGCAGTTACCAACACACTACCACTTTCTTTTCTTTTTTTGAGATGGAGTTTCACTCTTGTTGCCCAGGCTGTAGTGCAATGGCACGGTCTCGGCTCACTGCAACCAACATCTCCTGGGTTCAAGTGATTCTCCTGCCTCAGCCTCCTGAGTAGCTGGAATTACAGGTGCCTGCCACCATGCCCAGCTAATTTTTTTTTTTTTTTTGTATTTTTAGTAGAGACAGGGTTTCACCATGTTAGCCAGGCTGGTCTCGAACTCCTGATCTCAGGTGATTCACCCGCCTTGGCCTCCCAAAGTGCTGGGATTACAGGCGTGAGCCACCTCGCCCAGCCTCGCACTACCACTTTCAAATCTTTCTTTCTCCCTGCTCTTGGTTGACTGCATCCGCCTAAGAAGGTTGCCACACTGGTCCTAGACCCTGTATTTGGTGATAAATTCACTCAAAACAAAGTTATAACCATATAGGACATACTTGCCAATGACTCTGAGTTTATTTTTCACAATCATCTTTCAGCCAAGAGAAAAAATTAATTATCACTCCACCCAATCATTACCCTCCATTCTTCTGTGTATATGCTTTGGCATAAAGGGTTGGCTTGCCTGCACTCTCGTTGGGGATGTTTATTATTCTTTCTTTTACTCCAAGCCTCCTACCAACAAGCAGAAAAAAAACCTCCACACACAATGGGGGAAGGAGAGAGCTTCCCACAGCTGAGTCAGCTGTGAGCACTGGAAAAGCGAAGCTAGGTGAAGTTCCTTCAGCCCAGCAGCCCCCAACCCTATCCCTATTTTACTCCCTGGGGGCTGGGCCCCTTGTGGCAGGGACTAAGTAGTCAGCTCTTTGTTCCACACTCAAGCAGAATTCAGTGGCAGGTGAAGCCATCCAATAATCCTGAACTTAGACTGACCTTGACCTAAACCATAGCTCAGTGTGATAAAGAAAATAATTCACTGGGGCAAAGGTGCTTTCCTTAAAAAATAACTTGCCATGGCGAATTTTTTACTGCCCCCCACACTTATCTGTAGCAACCAGAGACCAGGACAAAATTATTATTCAAGCTGCTGACCTTAATCCCCAATTGTTTAGGAGGTGCTGGGGCAGTTCCTTGGTCAGCTTGGATGTCACTTTGCCCCAGACAGGGGTGCTGAATATGTCTAACAGTACAGCAGATTGTCCCTTAAGAACAATCATCTGCCAAGTAAGGGTAATTGCTGAGCAAGAGGGTCCCTGGCACAGCTACGGATCACGTCTTATAAGGTCAAAACCACTAAAGGAAAAGGCCCAAAGTTCTGGTTGTATCCACCACTTTCCACTTCTACTATCTCCACTCCCCAAGTGTGGGAAACCCATTTGCCTCAGAGATCTGGGCTGGGAGTCACCCTGCAATCTCCCTTCCCCTGGTGGTGTGGAAAGGCTTAAAGGCCAGACACACCAGCTCAGAGAAACAGCTCATCGAAGCCTTGCACTTACTTCTCATAGCGCTGATAAGCGCGTTGCCGTCTTTGATTACGTCTTTGATGAATTTGTTGGTCCTCTCCAGTTCCTGCTCATAACACTTGAGCCTCTCGCGGAAATCGGGGCTGTCCAGGTAGCAGTCGCTGAACTCCAGCGGGGGATGACCCATGGTTCTGATGGCCGGGAGTAGGGGGAAAGGGGAAAGACACAAAGACCGAGAGCATCAATGGCACAGTAGAGGAAGTAGAGGGGACGGACTGAGCGCGCGACCCGCTTAAGGAAGCTCATAGCCTCCGTCCCTTTGGAGGACAGGTACCTGTTTCAGTGAGACTCCTGAGGAGCGCTGGCTGGTCCGGACAGAGAACAGGCGCCCCGGCGATGGCTTCAGGGCCAGGGAGAGCTAACTATCGCAGTCGGATCCCGGCAGGGTGCTGCCTAGCAAGCAGCATGTCCCTTAGGCATCGCCTTCCCAGATAAGCAGCAAAAACCGCAGCCCGACTTGCCTCCGGAGACGGGCCGGATCCTTCCTGAGCAATTGCAAACGTGACACTTGGGCCCGCCCAAGGTGTAGGCGAGGTTAGAGCTGGAGCTGGGAACAGCCTCTCTACAGGCTCCTCGCTCCGGAGCGAGCGGAAGACTTCCTTGGCCGAACTCCGCGGGCAACCCGGATTGCACTGTCCCCTCCCCTTTCTTAAAGCCAACGCCTGCGCCCCGCCCCAGCGAAGCCCGAGGACCAAACCGGAGCGCTCTGGCTCCTTCCTCAACTGTTTTCCTTGTACCTTAGAGTTTCCTGACCAGGGCCCGCTGGCTGCTAAGACTTCTTCCTGGTGCAAGGGAGCCGGCCGGCCGGCCGTCCTTTTAGGCGCCGGAAGGGTTAAGCCAGGGCGGCAATGAAACGTAGCCTCGCTCCATAGACACTGCAGCGGGAAGAGGAGGGCGAGAGCGCGACGCACAATAGCCGCGGTAGCCCAGCGCTTCCCTACGGAAACTGGGGAGCAGTCAGCGCCCTAGGACTCCAGCTGGAAAGCGTGGCGGCCTGGGAGATGTAGTCTTTCCGTTTGCACTCCCCAAGACTCCTCCCTGCAGTCTCCCCACCACCCCGCCTGGGAGGCTGCTCTCCCAGAACGGCATTCCCAGCCTGCCGCAGGCTCCTGCGCAGGGACCGGCCCCAAGGGGCAGGTGCGCGGCGCTGGACTCTGCGGGGGAAGTTTCCGAAACTAGAGCAAGAACCCGCAAGACTAGATTGCAGGAAGCCATCTCTCAATTCCCATGATTCGGCTGGGTTGTGTATTCTTTTGCCTTCCCCTCTTTCCAGCCTCCTTCGGACCTACCAACTTCTTTTCCTCTTTCTTTTCCCATGTCTCCTGCTCTAAGTGCTCTAATTCCCTTGGGCCTTCGACCTGAAGGGTTGATTCCTACTCTAGGGTCTCCGTGAAGCTCAGTGCCCCCTGCCAAAGAAAGGGAGGCCATAATTCAGAGTTAATATTTTCCTGAATAGGACCTCAGAGCATGGCTTTTGTGGCAGACGCCGATAATGCATATGATTTTCCATGTGTAAGTGGAAAGTCTAAGAATAGGATGTTATAAATTGTCTTGCAGCTTACCTTAAAGGCAGCTGTCTTGAGACTAAGGGTAGGTAGAGGCTCGAAAAACTAAAAAATAGTTTGTGCGTGGGCAAAGAGATCCCTTTAATTCTGCAGAAGTGTTTACATTAGATTGCCCTGTGAAGAAAGCCAGAACGGAAGGGGGTTGTAAATAGAATAATAGTGGCTGACCCACCTGAATTAGGGTCCTGTTGCTGCTGTGACAAATTACCACAAACTTGATGTCCTAAATCAGCATAAAGTTATAATCTACAGTTCCAGAAGGCAGAAATCAGAAATGGGCCTCACTGGGATCAAATCAAGATGTTAGAAGGGTTGTGTTCATTTTCAGATAGTCTAGGGGTAGAATCTGGTTCCTTACCTTTTCCGGCTCAAGCTGCTCACATCCTTTGGCTCATAGCTCCCTTCCTCCGTCTTTAAAGCTAGCACTGGCCAGTCAAGTCTTTCTCATGCTACATCACTGTGATTCTCATGCCTCCCCTTAAGGACCCTTATGATTACACTGGGTCCACAGGATAATCTCCCCCATCACATCATCCTTAATCACATCTGCAAATTTCATTTTGCCACATAAGATAACGTAGCCACAGGTTTCAGGACATGGACATCTGTGAAGGAGGAAACATTATTCTACCCACCACACAACCTATCGCCCATCTCACTAATCTTCAAAACAACCCTATGAGGATGGTTTTATTATTATACCCATTTAAAGATGGAGAAGCTGGGTCAAAGAGAGTTTAAGTGACTTGCCGAAGGACAAACAGCTAGTTAAATGGCAGCACTTGAACTTGAGCCCAGCCTGGCTGGCTCTAGAGGTAGTGCTCTTGACCACTACACTATATAGCAGAATGGCAATGAGAAAACGCCCTCTGAAAATAAATAAGTAGCCACATCTCAGGGGAAAGTTTTGTTTCTTACTCTTTTTATCTTTAAGGTTAATTTATGGGAAAATGTCCAAAATGAGCTTTAAATGCACCATGGGTTGAAAAATGCAGGTACTAAGGGAAGGTACCCATTCAATGGGTATATGGTCTTTCACACTAGTAAGTTTCCTTTTAGCATTCATTCACTCGTTTAACAAGCATTTTTTGAACACCTGCTATATACTTTTATTTATAAAGCCTATACATATATTTTCATCACTATAAAAATTGCCATTGACATTTTTTAAAATTTTATTTATTTATGTATTTTTTTGTTTGAGAAAGGGTCTCACCCTGTTGCCCAGGCTAAAGTGCAATCAATAGCTCAATCACGGCTCCCTGCAGCCTCGACCTCCCTGGGCTCAGGTGATCCTCCCACCTCAGCCTCCTCCTGAGTAGCTAGGACTACAGGCACATGCCACCACACCTGGCCAATTTTTGTATTTTTTTGTAGAGACGGGGTTTCACCATGTTGGCTAGGCTAGTCTCAAACTCCTGGGCTAGAGGGATCCACCCACTGCAGCCCCCACCAAAGTGCTGGGATTACAGGTGTGAGCCACCATGCCCAGCTGCTGTTGACATTATTGATGTTAGATTCAATCATACTCATCTGAGTTCCTATACTCAAAGTGTTTTACAGTCATCTGTGTTATCCTTTATCTAGACAATGAAACTAAAGCACAGAAATAACAAATTCCCTAGACCAAATACCGAAGAAGAAACAGGGCTAAAATTAGAACTCACACGGCGTGGTGGCTCACGCTTGTAAACCCAGCACTTTGGGAGGTCAAGGCGGGCAGATCACCTGAGGTCAGGAGTTCAAGACCAGCCTGGCCAACATGGGGAAACCCCATCTCTATTAAAAATAAAAAATTAGCCAGGTGTAGTGGTGTGTGCCTGTAATCTCAGCTACTCAGGAGTCTGAGGCAGGAGAATCGCTTGAACCCAGAATGCAGAGGTTGCAGTGAGCCAAGATTGGGCCACTGCACTGCAGCCTGGATGACAGAGCAAGACTCCATCTCAAAAAAAAAAAAAAAAAAAAAAAAAAAAAAAAAAAAACTCAGTTCTTCAGATAATACTTGCATTCATCAAGCACTATCTTAATTGCTTTGCACAATTTCTCCCTGACCCTCACAGCTAACCCTATGTCACTGAGAGTCTTTAAAATTTTGTTCACATAACCCCTAAAAGAATTTTGGGAGCTATGTACTCCTTCGTTTTTAAGTGGTATCTTTTTTTTATTTTATTTTTTTGAGACAGAGTCTCACTCTGTCACCCAGGCTAGAGTGTGGTGGCACGATCTCCACTCACTGCAACCTCCACCTCCCAGGTTCAAGCAATTCTCCTGCCTCAGCCTCCCGAGTAGCTGGGATTCCAGGCACATGTCACCATGCCCGCTTTATTTATTTATTTATTTTTAGTAGAGATTGGGTTTCATCATGTTGGTCAGGCTGGCCTTGAACTCCTGACCTCGAGCGAGCCACCCACCTCAACCTCCCAAAGTGCTGGAATTACAAGCATGAGCCACCACCCCTGGCCTAACATCTAAATTTTTTCATTATGCTTAAATAGTTGCAAAAAGTTTAATTTCTAACATACTAGGAATATTGACGTTTTAAAATAAAACTGTTACATCACTCTTTTAAAAGTATTCAATCTGACATCCATCATCAAACGCACAAAGCAAAACAAAGTGTAAACACATCTTGAATCTTCAAAAAATTTATTCTATTGTTCATTTTTTCTTCTTCAAATCAATTATCTATACGTTTTCCCCACAGAAATTTTATCCTTTTTTTTTTTTAAACAGTCTTACTCTGTCACCCAGGCTGGAGTGCAGTGGCACAATCTTAAGTGCACTGCAGCCTCGAACTCCTGAACTCAAACGATTCTCGCATCTCAGACTCCCAAGTAGTTAAGAGTATATGCCTGAGCCACCATGTCTGGCTAATGTTTTTTGTTGTTGTTGTGTTGTTTTGTAGGGACAGGGTCTCACCATGTTGTCCAGGCTGGTCTCAAATTCCTGGCTTCAAGCAATCCTCCTGCCTCGACCCCAAGCCCTGGGATTATAGACATGAGCCACCGTACCTGGCCAACCATCATACTTCCATACTTAAAGTCTATTGATCACCATATTGAATTTCTCTGCAACAAAAATATGCTCACAAACATAATTTTTTTTTAAACCGGGTCTCACTCTGTCACACAAGCTGGAGTACAATGGTGCAATCACAGTTCACTGCAGCCTCAAATTCCCAGGCTCACACAATCCTCCCACTTCAGTCCCAAGTAGCTGGGACTACAGGCGCACGTCACCACACCCTACTAATTTTTTAATTTTTAATAGAGACAGGGCCTCCCTATGTTGCCCAGGCTGGTCTCTAACTCCCGAGCCCAGGAAGCCAAGGCAATTCTCCTGCCTTGGCTTCCCAAGGTGCTGGAATTACAGGCATGAGCCACCATGCACAGCTCATAAATAGAAAGTTAATTCTTTTTATTTCCTTGTGACCATAAGGCTTCATGGATTAAAAAGCTTCTGTGATTATTAAGCATACATAATAGAGTAAAATAATGCGAACACATTGTAATTATTATTAAATATAAAATTTTATTGGGGCTGGGCATAGTGGCTCACTTCTATAATCCCAGCACTTTGGAAGGCCAATGCCGGCAGATCACTTGAGGCCAGGAGTTCGAGATGAGCCTGGCCAACATGGCGAAACCCTATCTCTACGAAAATACAAAAAAAAAAAAATAGCCAGGCATGGTGGAGTGAACCTGTAATGCTAGCTACTGAGGAGGCTGAGGCAGGAGAATCACTTGAACCCCGGAGGCGGAAGTTGCAGTGAGCCGAGATCACACCATTGCACTCCAGCCAACAGAGTGAGACTCTCTCTCAAAAAAAAAAAAAAAAAAGTTTATTGGAACTGCATCTCTTAGTAAGATGGTTAAGAAAGAGGTAGGTTTCAGGGCATTGAGTTAAAGAAGATTCCTGAACACCAATATTTTAAATTATTTCTATGTTTAGCCCCAAGGGTTTTTATACCTTGGGCCAAAGCACCATAGTAAGATTCTTGATGTTTAAAAGGTATGCTTTCCCTTTGAGATATTGAGCAAGGGAGGTAGGAAAGGAAAACTGGAGGTGAGTTCTCAGACAAATGATTTTTAGAAAAAGTGCTAAAGAAAATTGCGTATCCGGAAATTGGTTCACTTTCGGCTACCTGGTGACCTCAAAGCCGTTGGACAGTTTCCATGTGCCTTGCTCTGGACTGAGTATTTGTATTCACCCAGTTTATATGTTGAAATCCTAACCCTCAAGGTAATGGTATTAGGAGGTGGGGCATTAAGACTTGGTTAGGTCATGAGGGTGGAGCCTTCATGAGCTGGATGAGTGCACTTGTAAAAGAGGCCTGAGAGAGCTCCCTTATCCCTTCCACCATGTGAGGACAGAGATAAGACAGCAGTATACAAAGCAGGAAGCAGGCCTTCAGCAGGCACTGAATCTGCAAATGCCTTGATGTGGCACTGAGGCAGGGGAATAGGGTCTGGAGGCAGGGAACCTAAGGCCGTTTCACACTGACTTCCTATAACTAAATTGAAAGGAAAATCCCAACTTTCCACGCCTAAGTAACAAAAGGACCAGAAGCTACTCCCTTTGCAAACTCCCACCTTTTCTGAGGGGCAGATGGAAAATTGAAAGTACCTCTGATTGACTGCCGAAAGCATAGGAGTGTAACTTTGTAACATCACTTCAGCCTCTGATTGGTTGCTTTCTACAACTAATCAGACTGATTGGGGGCCACCACTTTATTTACATGGGGTGAACACCAAATAGCTAATGGGAAACGTCTAGGGGGTATTTGGACCCCAGAAGATTCTGTATGGGGGCGCTTGAAAAGCTTGCTCGGCCCACTTCCACACTGTGGAGCGTGCTTTCATTTTCAATAAATCTCTGCTTTTGTTGCCTCATTTTTTCCTTGCTTTGCTGTGCGTTTTGTCCAATTCTTTGCTCAAAATGCCAAGAACCTGGGCAACTTAAAGTGAAAACCTTCTACCTGTAACAGGACTTCTTAGCCTACAAAACTGTAAGAAACAAACTTCTGTTGTTTATAAGTCTCCCAGTCTATGATACTTTTGTTATAGCAGCCCAAATGGACTAAGACATACCTTCAGGGCTAGGCATACCCCAGTGTAAAGACAGCTGCTACGGTATTATCATCCTCACTTTATATGTGAGGGATGGTAGGCTCAGAGAATTTCAGTAATTGCCTAGTCTCGTGTAACTAGTAAGGGTTTAACAAGCTCCACTAGTTCGATGCAATTTGAGTCTGTGACAGTAAAAAGAATACACATGCACATGCACTTATAAGCAGGGTTTGCCACCATTTTACAAGGAAGCGAAAGAAATCCCATTTTAGGAGGGGCCCAGTGGCTCACATCTGATATCCCAGCACTTTGGGAGGCCAAGGCAGGCAGATCACTTGAGGGCAGGAGTTCGAGGCCAGGAGTTCGAGACCAGCCTGGCCAACATGAAGAAACCCTGTCTCTGCTAAAAATACAAAAAACTAGTTGTTCGTGGAGGTGTGAGCCCGTAATCCCAGCTTCTCATAAGGCTGAGACATGAGAATCATTTGAACCCGGGAGGCAGAGGTTGCAGTGAGCCGAGATCACACCACCGCACTCCAGCCTGGGCGACAGAGCGAGACTCCGTTAAAAAAAAAAAAAAAAAACTGGTCTGGGAGGCTGGAAAGAAAAGGTAATTTTCCAAATGTCATTTTTAGACTTCAGTAATTTATTAAATGTGTTTTTAAAAAGAGTTTTATCCTGGTAGATGTGGTGGCACTCGCCTGGAGTCCTAGCTACTCAGGAGCTTGAGGCAGGAGGATCCCTTGAGCCCAGGAGTTCGGGTCTGCAGTGAACTATGATCGCACTTGTGAATAGCCACCGCTTTCCAATGTGGGCAACACAGGGAGAACCTGTGTCTGAAAAAAAAATGTTTACCTAAAGATATAAAGTAATATTTTATAAACCCTATGCTTCTTATAAAGGATCCTAAAGGTCTTTGTCCTGAAATGTTATAATCCTTCCTTCACAAAAAGGTAGAAAAAATATAGAAGTTACTGGCCTGTATCCAATAACAAGAAGAAAACCTGGAGGTGAAATAGAGGTGGCAGGTGGAGGGAGAGGGGACAGCACAAGTTGATGATGATTTCTCCTATGCCAGGCACTTTACATAAATGATCTCATTTACAGGCACTTTACATAAATGATCTCATTGAGGAAGGTGCTATTGTCCCTTGCATTTTACAGATGAAGCAACTGAACCTCAGAGAAGTTAAGCTACTTGGCCAAAGTCACCCAGAGAATAAATGATGTCCTAGAGATTCAAATCCAGCTCTGAATTCAAAGTCATGTTTTGCCATTGCATTACAGTACCTTCCAGCCTAACTCATCAACATCTAATCTCCATTCCCTCCTGCTTATGTGACTGGACGTACTTGGAACTGTAATACAGAAAAAATAGTTCTGGGTCACTTGCTGTAACTTCAGCAAATGATTTGAAATTATCCCAGGCTGAATATTAACAGAGGCTTTATGTTGAACTTCTCTGAAGAGCTAGCTGACAAAACTGGCTCCCAAGCTACATATGCTCAGCTGTCTAGAATTTCCAGACTTGCACTGCATGAGACAGAAGACAAAGTAGATAACTGCCCCTCAGCACAACAACACTGCTAGCCTAGCCCCTAGTTCTAGCCTGGTCTAAATCCTTTACTACTGTTGGCACCATTCCCAGCTCTAGTCTTGGCTCTGGTCCATTCCCTGCTTTGACTGAACTTGGCTTAGTTTTTTTCCTCAGCCTACGCCAAGATTTTAAAACTTTTAGGAGCTAGAAGTGGCAAATGGTTAGAAAGGAAAAATCCTCTTTTATAATTCTCTGTACATCCAACTCTCCATTTACCCACTCCCTTCAAGTTTCTCTTTATGGAGTTGCTTGGTGGAAAAAAAAGCCACCAATTTATAGCTTTAAAAATATAATCTATTTCAGTCTATGTGATTAAATATCCACCAAAATTCTTTATCCATAGAATTCACCATTTTCATCACATTTTCACACCAGCAGCACCATATCAAAGCTATCTATTGGTAATAACCTGGGAATTTTTTCCTCGTGACCATTTTATGTGTCCATTTTGATTCCTAATAAGCCACATTTCAAAAAAAATTCAAACAAGGTTTATGTCAGTTCTAAAAGGCTTTATAAGGGCAATAAAGGCACAGTTGTATTACTTTTTAACTCCCAGGAAGATATCAATACCCAGCATCCCAGCACAGCCTGCTGGGCTATGCCATTTTATAGCATCTTAGAAGATACCATGCTCTACTGAGGGGCCAGAAATTTCCCAGCAGTTCCTAGAGGGGCCTGCTGAATCATGGAAACTAAATTATAACGTTCTACTAATGATTCTTGAACTTTGGTTTGTATGAGAATCACTTAGGGTGCTTATTGAAAATGTAGATTTCCTTGGACCCCTCTCCCAGCGATTCTGATGGTATGATGTGGATTTAGGTAGGGGCTGAGGCCAGACAATATGAACTGAGGCTTGAAAATAACAAAGAATCAGAAACTAATGTGGGTGGGGGAGTGGGGTCTTAGGTAAGGCCTTGGGAAATCTAAATTTTTTATAAGTACAACAGGTGATTCTGATGGAGGTGGTCCAAAATGTAGGCATCCAGTCTTATGCACTGATACGGTTTTAGGGGGGATTTTTTTGAGACAGGATCTTGCTGTCTTGTCCAGACTGGCCTCAAACTCCTGGGTTCAAACCACTCCCTCCCACCTCAGCCTCTAAAATGGCTGGGACTACAGGCACATGCAACCACACTCCACTCGACATGAGATTTTATCTACTAAAAACTGGTCAAAAACTGATCGGGATATGACAGTCCTCATACAACAATGGTTTTGATTAATAACATGAGTGAAAACTTCTGTTCCTCATATTGGCAGCATTAGGCTTTCTGACTTCCATACTACTTCAGTTTATTTTGCATCTGACTCAAAGCTAATAATTAAATAAACATGATTAACTGTGGAATTTGCATAACATTTTTTTTTTTCCTTTGGAGACATTCGCTCTGTCGCCCAGGCTGGAGTGCAGTGGCACAATCTCGGCTCACTGCAACCTCCACCTCCCAGGTTCAAGCAATTCTCCTGCCTCAGTCTCCCAAATAGCTGGGATTACAGGTGCTCGCCACCACACCCGGTTAATTTTTGTATTTTTAGTAGAAATAGGGTTTCACCATGTTGGCCAGGCTGGTCTTGAACTCCTGACCTCAAGTGATCCACCCGCTTCGGCCTCCCAAAGTGCTGGGATTACAGGCATGAGCCACTGCACCTAGCCTGCATAACATTTTATATGTGGTCATTTTCACCAGCATCACATAGCACATTACATACTCTTTAGCAGAATTACTAGAATACCTTGAGAAAAGTATACAACTGAAATGTATTTCAACAAGTTTCTGGCCCTGGGGGTGGGAAGACGTGAAGAAACCTTCAGACAACTGAGCCCCACAAAGTTCTTTTAGTTTCTTTTAAAGTAAAATGACATAAGCTGAAATATGCAATTATTTCCAATTTCTAATTCTCTTCCTCTTTCAGCAACAAAACAAGCAATGGACAAGAGTCATAACTTGTCATGACTGCAAATGGATGTGCATCTATACTTAGAGTAGAACAAAACAGATACAAAGTAAAGCATTTTAAGAAAGGATTCTAAGGGCAACATTAATTTTTTCCACAATATTAATTTTTCCCACTGACTTACAATAATTTTCATGCTAGTAAAATTTTCATGCTAGTAATTTTATAAATGGAAGCACCTCACAAGGCAGTGGGTGCTGAGATCGTTGTCAAAAGAATGCAACAGTGCAGTGACAATGCTCTGGCAAGGCCCCAGAACATGCCAATCATGCTTTCTCTCTCACATGGTTAAACCGACATTACCACAGGAAGGAAACTGGTTTCAGAACCTTACTAAGAATTAATTGTGGGTGAATTCACATTTCAGCCTTCAAAAAGCTTGATTAGACCACTAAGTTACTCTACCTGTTTAGCTTAAGAAGAACAGTTATGAATATTAAGTTAATAATACTGAATGATAAACAAAACACAAACGTCAAAATTTACTATGTCCAAGGCACATGCTTAATCTTTACAACCACCACCCTTTTAAGTAGGTACTATTATGTCATTCCCATTCTCCAGATGAGAAAACTGAGGCTTAGAAAAGTGAAGTAACTTGTCCAAAGCTGCTGAGGCCCTAGAACCTCACCCTCACTCTTTAAAAAAAATTTTTTTTAGAGACAGTGTCTTGTTCTGTCATCCAGGCTGGAGAGCAGCGGTGCAATCATGGCACATCGCAGCCTCAAGCAATCCTTCTGCCTTAGCCTCCAAGTAGCTGGGACTACAGGCGCAAACCACCACACTCAGCTACTTTTTTAAATTTATTTTTTGGTACAGATGGGTTTCACTATATTGCCCAGGCTGGACTTGAACTCCTGGCCTCAAGTGATCCTCCAGCCTCGGCCTCCCAAAGTATTGGAATTACAAGCATGAGCCATCACATCCAGCTGTGAGAACCTCACTCAAGTATTGTGCTAGCCTGCTTCTGTGCTGAGATACCATTTTCATAACATTGGACAAGCTTTGCTAAAAATTGATGTTGACAAGGAGAAACAGGAGTTCTCATAGACTTCAGGGATGTAAACTGGTATGAACATTTTTGAAGGCAATTTGGCAATACCTACCAAAATGTTAAATCTGTGTACTCTTTGATCCATCAGGTCTAATTAAGAATTTGTGCTATAGATTTCTCCACAAAAGCATGCAAAGAGATAAAAAATGTATCGGCTAAGCGTTTTTTTGTAGTGTTGAAAACTGGAATCCCTTCAAATGACCATGACTACAGGAATAGTTATATAAATGATATACATCCATGCAATGGGAAATTATGCACACATGAAAGAGAATGATTTATTATGAAAATATATCCAAGGATGTAAATGAACAAAATTAGTTAAAAATAGCTGCACATTAGTATCTAGATTTTTTTTATTATACTTTAAGTTTTAGGGTACATGTGCACAGCGTGCAGGTTAGTTACATATGTATACATGTGCCATGTTGGTGTGCTGAACCCAGTAACTCGTCATTTAACATTTGGAGTATCTAGATTATAATCATCTTTTGTGTGTTTTTAAAGAAGTCATATACGCATATATAATAATTCAATAAAAATGTGATACCTGGGCCAGGCACGGTAGCTCACACCTATAATCCCAGCACTTTGGGAGGCCCAGGCGGGAGAACCACATGAGCTCAGGAGTTTGAGACCAGCCTAGGAAACATGGCGAGACCTTGTCTCTACAAAATATTTAAAAATTAACTGGTTGTGGTGTTGCGTGCCTAGTCCCAACTACTCAGGAGGCTGAGGTAGGTGGGCTCACTTGAGCCCAGGAGTTCAAGGTTACAGTGAGGTGTGATGACACCACTGGACTCAACCTGGACAACAGAGTGAGACAGTGTGTCAAAAAAGAAAAAGTGGTATGTGTATGTGTGTATATGTATTTCTTCATAAATGATTTTAATGGTTTTCTGATCTGGGGAAGTTGAAATGGGATAGAGAGAGGGAGATTTTCAATTTACTCCCTTCCAAACAGTTTGAAATTTTACTATGAGCATGTGACTTTCATATTAAGAATGAAATTAGGACCCCCCCCAAAAAAAACTTCAAGGAGCATCATCTAATTCTGTAACATTTGAACTTTTGTGACCATGAACATAGTAAGAAATACTTTTTTAGGCTGGGCGCAGCGGCTCGCCCCTGTAATCCTAGCACTATAGGAGGTCAAGGTGGGTGGATCGCTTGATCCCAGGAGTTTGAGACCAGCCTGGGCAACATGCAAAAACCCCATCACTACTAAACATTTAAAAATGAGAAGGTCCTGTAGTCCCAGCTACTTGGGAGGTGGAGGTGGGAGGATCGCTTGAGCCCAGGAAGTCGAGGCTCCAGTGAGCCGTGATCACACCACTGCTCTCCAGCCTGGGTGACAGAGCAAAGCCCTGTCTCTACAAAGTAAATACATACATACATACATACATTTTACACCATAGACTAGAACATACATACATATATACATAAATATAACTAAAACAGGTTTCACAAAACAATATTTACTATATGCAATGTGCTCTCATATTTTTTATTCTAATCTATCCTATCATTCTATTCTTCTATTTCATTTTATAAAACACTGGTCACTACCTACTAAAATGACTTCATATACAAAGGTAAACCTCAACTTGGCCTGCTGTCACCAGTGCAGGCTGAACTAGATGACACATCCAGAGAGGACTCCAACATACCCAGCAGACCATCTCTAGCCAGGCCAGTGTATACCTAACCCCAAATCCAGATATTCTCAGCCAATCAACACCACTCAGAGATTTTGTTTTTTATTTTTTTGTCTTTAGAGACAGAGTCTTGCTCTGTCACCCAGGCTGGAGAACAGTGGTGTGATCTCAGCTCACTGCAACCTCCACCTCCTGGGTTCAAGTAATTCTCCTGCCTCAGCCTCTCAAGCAGCTGGGATTACAGGCACCCACCACCACACCAGGCTAATTTTTATATTTTTTAGTAGAGACAGGGTTTCACCTGATCTCGAACTCCGTACCTCAAGTGATCTGCCTGCCTCGGCCTCCCAAAGTGCTGGGATTACAGATGTGAGCCACTGTGCCTGGCCAGATTTTGCTTTTTAAATATAGGAAAAAAAGAAAATAAATAAATAAATAAATAAATAACACACCAGAAAAATAGAAAAAACAAAGAAATTGGACTGACACAGTTCGAGATCTCTCTCTCTCTCTCTCTCTCTCTTTTTTTTTTTTTTTTTGAGACAGACTTTTTCTCTGTCGCCCAGGCTGGAAGGCTGGAGTGCAGTGGCATGACCTTGGCTCCCTGCAACCTCTGCCTCCCAGGTTCAAGCGATTTTCCTGCCCCAGCCTCTCTAGTAGCTGAGATTACAGGTGTGTACCACCATGCCCAGCTAATTTTTTTTGTATTTTTAGTAGAGATGGGGTTTCGCTATGTTGGTCAAGCTGGTATTGAACTCCTGACCTCAAATGATCTGCCCACCTCAGCCTCCCAAAATGCTGGGATTACAGGCGTGAGCCACCACCCCCGGCAGTTTGAGATCTTTTGACTGAAAGACCTACTTCATTACTCCTTTTCCCAACCTCATTCTCCAGAAACTACCTAGATTTGGTACTGTGTTGGGTTCTCTGCTTGCCAGAAAAGTTTTTTTTTTTTTTCGTTTTTTTTGTTGTTGTTGTTGTTGCTGTTGTTGTTGAGACAGGGTCTCACTCTGTTGCGCAGGCTGGAGTCCAGTGGTGCGATCTTGGCTCACTATAACCTCTGCTTCTCAGGTTCAAGTGATTCTCGTGCCTCGGCCTCCCAAAAAGCTGGGATTACAGGTGCACACCACCACAGCAGGCTAATTTTTGTATTGTTAGTAGAGACAGGTTTTCATCATGTTGGTCAGGCTGTTTTTGAACTCCTGACCTCAAGCAATCTGCCTGCCTCGGCCTCCCAAAGTGCTGGGATTACAGGTGTGAGCTACTGTGCCCAGCCAAGTTTTTTCACTTAATACTCAATCGTTAGTCTTTTGTTGTTGTTGTTGTTCTTTTTATAGAGATGAGGTTTCACTGTTTTGCCCAGTCTGGTCTCAAACTCCTGGGCTTAAGAGAGTCCTCCTGCCTTAGCCTCCCAAAGTCCTGGGATTACAAGTGTGAGCCTGGCCTTTTTCTTTTCTTTTCTTTCTTTCTTTTTGACAGGGTCTTGCTCTGTCGCTCAGGCTGGATGGCAATGGCTTGAACATGGCTCACTGCAACCTCGACCTGCTGGGCTCAAGTGATCTTCCCACCTCAGCCTTCGGAGTAACAGGGGTTACAGATGCAGGTCACTATGCCTGGCTAATGTTTTAATTTTATTTTTTGTAAAGATAGGGTTTCACTATGTTGCCCAGGCTGGTCTTGGAACTCCTAGCCTCAAGTGATCCTCTCACTTTGGCCTCCCAAAGTGCTGGGATTATACGCATAAGCCACAGTGTTCAACTTTTTTTTTTTTTTTTTGAGATGGGGTCTCGCTCTGTCACCCAGCCTTGTGTGCAGTGGCTCGATCATGGCTCACTGCAGCCTTCACCTCCTGGACTCAAGTGATGCTTCCACCTCAGTCTCCCAAGTACCTGGGACCACAGGCATGCACCACCACACTGGGCTAATTAAAAAAAAAAAAAAATTTGTAGGCCAGGCGCAGTGGCTCACTCCTGTAATCCCAGCACTTTGGGAGGCCGAGGCAGGTGGATCACCTGAGGTCAGGAGTTTGAGACCTGCCTGACCAACATGGAGAAACTCCATCTCTATAAAAACACAAAATTAGCCGGGTATGGTGGTGCATGCCTGTAATTCCAGCTACTCAGGAGTCTGAGGCAGGAGAATTGCTTGAACCCAGGAGGCGGAGGTTGCGGTGAGCCAAGATTGCGCCATTGCACTCCAGCCTGGGCAACAGGACAGAATCTCCGTCTAAAAAAAAAAAAAAAATTTTGTAGAGACAGGGTCTCACTATGTTGCCTGGGCTGGTCTCAAACTCCTGGACTCAAGCAATTCTCCCACCTTGACCTCCCAAAGTGCTGGGATTACAGGCATGAGCCATCATGCCTGGTCCTGTTAATCTTTATTTTTTTAATTTAACAACCCACTAATGATTTATGACATGTAGTTTGATAAACACTGATCTAATTGACTAGGGAATTAATAGATGTCTGTTCTGTTGCTCACTTGTTTTAATGCAACTTTTCCATTTGCTTCCCAATGTACTACCAGTTTGCCTAACCAAATTCTTATTTCTTGATACCAAAAACAACACATTTTAAAAAACCCAGTGGGCCGAGTGAAATGGCTCACGCCTGTAATCCCAACACTTTGGGAGGCTGAGGCGGGCGGATCACGAGGTCAAGAGATCAAGACCGTCCTGGCCAAAAAAAAAAAAAGAAAACCCAGTGAACCCAGAGGTAGAGAGGGTTTGGCTGACAAGGAAATTTAGGAAGAGGCATTAGAATATTTAATGAGGAGTCAAATTTAAATTTTTACTTTAAGTAGTTAAGAACATTTGGGCTGGGAGCGGTGGCTCAGGCCTGTAATCCCAGCACTTTGGGAGGCCAAGGTAGGCAAATCACTTGAGGTCAGGGTTCGACACCAGACTGGCCAACATGGTGAAACCCCGTCTCTACTAAAAATACAAAAATTAGCCGGGAGTGGTGGTGCGCACCTGTAGTCCCAGCTACTCAGGAGACTGAGGCAGGAGAATCATTTGAACCCAGGAGGCAGAGGTTGCAGTGAGCCGACATTGCTCCACTGCCCTCCAGCCTGGGAGACAGAGCAAGACTTTGTCTCAAAAAAATAAATAAATAAAATAAAATAAAATTCTTAGTTATTTTTTATTGTTGATGTGAGCTTATGTAAAACTGCCTTGTTAAACTGTATTAGTAAAACAAAAATAAATAAATAAATGGGACATTTATTTATTTGGCCCAGGAAGGTGGCTCACTCTTGTAATCCCAGCATTTTGGGAGGCAGAGGTGGGAGTATTGCTTGAGCTCAGGAGTTTGAGGCCAGCCTGGGCATAATGGCAAAACTCTGTCTCTACAAAAATACGAAAATTAGCTGGACATGGTGGCACAGGCCTGTAGTCCCATTTACTCAGGAGGCTGAGGTGGGAGGATGGCATGAGTAGAGGTTTCAGTGAGCTATGATTGCACCACTTTACTCCAGCCTGGGGGACAGAGGCAGACCCTGTCTCAAAAAAATAAAATAAAATAAAAATAAATAAAAGGTACAATTCAATGCTTTGAAGGTTATTCACAAAATTAAGCAATCATCACCACAATACATTTTTGAACATTATTATCACCTCAAAAATACCCTATATCCATTTGCAGTCACATCCTATTTCCATCTAAACCCATCCTCCCCAGCCTCTAACAAACACTAATCTACTTTCAGTCTCTAGAGAGTTGCCGATCCTGCATATTTCATATAAGTGGAATCATACAACGTGTGATCTTTCTGTGTCTGGCTTCTTTTACTTAGCATGATGTAATCAAGGTTCATCCATGTTTGAGTATGTATCAGTACTTTATTTCTTTTTATTTTTGTTGATTGATTGATCGATTTTGAGACAGGGTCTAGTTCTGTCGCCCAGGCTGAAGTGCAGTGGCACAATCTCGACTCACTGCAACCTTCACCTCGTGGGCTCAAGCTATCCTCCCACCTCGGCCCCCCCAGTAGCTGGGATTACAGGCTGGTGCCACCATGCCCAGCTGATTTCTTGTATTTTTAGTAGAGATGGGGTTTTGCCATGTTGCTCTGGCTGGTCTCGAACTGCTGGACTCAAGCAATCCACCCACTTTAGCCTCCCAAAGTGCTGGGATTACAGGCATGAGCCACTGAGTCCAGCCGCTGGCTAATTTTTTAACTTTTTTAATAGAGACAGTGTTTCACTATGTTGTCCAGGGTAGTCTTGAACTCCTGGCTCAAAGTGATCCTCCCACCTTGGCCTCCCAAAGTGTTAAGATTACAGGTGTGAGCCACCCAGTCCAGTTCCTTTTTATTTTTGAATAACAATCCCTTGTATAGATATTCCATACTTTGTTCATGAATTCATCAGTTGATGGACGTTTGAGTTGTTTCAACTTTTGGGCTATTATGAATAAGACTGGTATAAACATTCATGCAATAAAATTAGAAATTAATAACAAAAGAATTGCTAACAGAATCACCTATATTGGGGAATTAAATTACATATACATAAATAACCTTTTCGTTTAAAAGGAAAACATAAAGAAAATTAAGAAAAACTAGAATAGAATCATAACAAAACTATACAGGTCAAAATTTGTGGACCATACCTTAAAAAGTTATATAGGGCCAGGCACCGTGGCTCATGCCTGTAATCCCAGCAGTTTGGGAGGCTGAGGCGGGTAGATCACTTGAGGTCAGGAGTTCAAGACCAGCCTGGCCAACTTGGTGAAACCCTGTCTCCACTAAAAATACAAAAATTAGCCAGGCATGGTGGGGCATGCCTGTAGTCCCAGCTAATCGGGAGGCTGAGGCAGGAAAATCGCTTGAACCCAGGGAGGCGGAGGTTGCAGTGAGCAGAGATCGCACCACTGCACTCCAGCCTGAGACTCCATCTTAAAAAAAAAAGTTATATATAGAGGTAAAAAGGGCAAAATTATGTCTTTAAGTAAGTTGATCAATTATGTCTTTAAGTAAATTGATCAGGAAACAAGAAAGATTAAAAACAGGTTGAACCCAGTGCCTCACATCTGTAATCCCAACACTTTGAGTGGCTAAGGCAGGAGGATCACTTGAGCCTAGAGTTTTTTGTTGTTGTTTTTGGTTGTTTTTTTTTTTTTTTTTTTTTGAGATGGAGTCTCACTCTGTTGCCCAGGCTGGAGTGCAGTGGCATGATCTCGGCTCACTGCAACCTCTGCCTCCCAGATTCAAGTGATTCTCCTGCCTCAGCCTCCTGAGTAGCTGGGATTACAGGTGTGTGCCACCGCGCCCCACTAATTTTTGTATTTTCAGTAGAGATGGGGTTTCACCATGTTGGTCAGGCTGGTCTCGAACTCCTGACCTCATGATCTGCCCGCCTCGGCCTCCCAAAGTGCTGGGATTACAGGTGTGAGCCACTGCGCCCAGCCCAAATTTTCTTTAACAAATTAGTTGTGTGTGGTGGCAAGCCTCTCTAGTCCCAGCTACTCAGGAAACTAAGGCAGGAAGATTACTTCATCCCAGGAGGTCAAAACAGCAGTGACCAGTGAGTGTACCACTGTACTCCAGCCTGAGTGACAGAGTGAGACCCTGTGTCTCACACAGACACACAAAGCATTAAAAACAAAAAAGTTAAACAGTCAACTCATAAATTAAAAAAAATGCATAGAGCAAATATAAGAAATAAGGGATAAAAAGTATAAGAGAAAATGTAATACAGAAGAGAAAAACAACAAAGATTTATAAATTTTGAAATTGGGCTCTTTAAAAAAGATTTATAAGAAAGAACTTCGGCAAAAGTCATTCTTTTTTTTTTTTTTTTCTTGAGACAGGGTCTTGCTCTATCACCCAGGCTGGAATATAGTGGGGAGAACAGGGCTCACTGAAGTCTTGACCTACTGGGCTCAAGTGATCCTCCTGCCTCAGCCTCCTGTGTAGATGGGACCATAGGCATGGGCCACCACGCCCAGCTATTTTTTTTTTTTTTTTTACTTTTTGTAGAGATGTGATCTTGCCATATTGCCCAAGCTGGTGTCAAACTCGTGGGCTCTAACTATCCTCCCACCTCGTCTTCCCAAAGTGCTGGAATTACAGGCATGAGCCACTCGCGCCTGGCCAAAAGTAAATAATTTTTTTTTTTTGAGACAGAGTCTCGCTCTGTTACCCAGGCTGGAGACAGAGGTTGCAGTGAGCCAAGAATGCGCCACTGCACCCCAGCCTGGGCAACACAGTGACTCCGTCTCAAAAAAGAAAAAGAAAAGAAAGAAATATATAAAATGCCAAAACCATCACAAAAAGAAAATAATTTAAATAGAAAAACTGAAGTGGTAGTCAAAGACTTTGCCGCTCACAAATCTCCAGGTGCACATTGTTTTATAAGTGAGTTCTAGCAAACTTTGTAGATCTCTAAATCACTATCTTATACAAGTTGTTCCACTAATAAAAAAGGAGCAAAACCTGCCCAGTTAATTTTATAAGGCCCCATACTCTTGATTCCAAAACTATGCAACAAATAACAAACACCAGAAAGGAAAAGTGTAGGCTCAGTTTATAAATAAGTGTACGTACAAAAATCCTAAAGAAATTGTTAGCCAACAAACACAAGAATATATATATATATATATATATATATATATATATATATATATATATATGTATATATTTTACACCATCCATCATGATCAAGTATGGGTTCTCCCAAGAATAAACAATGATTTAATATCATCAAACTTATTTACATAGTTTAATGTATTAATTGTATAAGTAAGAAAAATCAAATGATATAACTTTTTCTTTTTTTTTTTTTTGAGACAGTGTCTCCCTCTGTCACCCAGGCTAGAGTGCAGTGGCACAAACCTGTAGTCCTAAGTGCATCTGTGGTCCTAGCTATTTGGGGGAGGCTAAGGTGGGAGGAATGCTTGAGCCCAGGAGGTAAAGACTGCAGTGAGCTATGATGAGTCCATTACACTCCAGGCTGGGTGACAGAGCAAGACTGTTTCAAAAGAAGAAAAAAACACACGCACGCACAGAAAACAAACAAATAAACATGAAGCCCAAAACAAAAAAACACCAACACCAAATAGACTAGTGGAACAAAATAAACCATGCCCAAGCATAAAACCATGCACATGAGAGTTAATATATAATAAAAGTGAAATCACTAATCAATGGAAAATAATAGATTCCTTCATAAAAAGTTTGGGGAAAATTGGCTTACTCTAAAAATAGAAGCAAAACTGCTTTTCTTATCTAAGGTCACATATCATTATGGGCTCCAGGTTTAATAAAGTCATAAATGTGAAAGGTAAAACTATGTTGTGTTTTCTTTGTTTTTTGGGGTTTTTTTTGTGTTTGTTTGTTTGTTTGTTTTGAGACAGGGTCTTTCTCTGTGGCCCAGGCTGGAGTGCAGTGACGTGATCTCAGCTCATTACAGTCTCAGTCTCCTGGGTTCAAGCGATTCTTGTGCCTCAGCCTCCCAAGAAGCTGGAACTATAGACGTGCACCATCACACCCAGCTAAATTTTGTATTTTTAGCAGAGATTGGGTTTCACCAAGTTGACCAGGCTGGTCTCGAACACCTGACCTCAAGTGATCTGCCTGCCTCGGCCTCCCAAAGTGCTGGGATTACAGGCATGAGCCACTGCACCTGGTCAAGAAAGGTAAAACTATGTTTTAGAAGAAAATATAAGAGAATTATTTTGTGATGCAGATGATAAAGGACTTTTTTAAAAAAACCTAAAGTACAAGTTATATGGCAAAAAAATTGATGAATTTTGTGACATAGGCTGGGTGCTGTGGCTCACACCTGTAATCCTAGCACTTTTGGAGTCCAAGGAGGGTAGATCACTTGAGCTCAGGAGTTCAAGACCAGCCTAGGTAACAAAAAAAAAAAAAAAGGATTTAATGACATAAAACTTAAGGATTTCTGTTTATATAGCAAACAATGGATAAAGTTAATAGGGTGATAACAAATTGGTAGAAGACATTTCCCATGTCTAAAATCAACAAGGGACTAATTATACAATATGGCAGGAATGGCAGATCAGCAAGAAAAACACAGGAACCCCAATGGAAAAAATAGACAAAAGGATATAATCAGGCAATCTATAGAATAGAAAATCCAAAAGGCTGAAAAGCATTTGAAGAGATGCTTTAATTATTTAATAATCATGGCCGGGCACGGTGACTCATGCCTGTAATTCCAGCACTTTGGGAGGCTGAGGCGGGTGGATCACCAGACCACCCTGGGCAACATGGGGAAAACCTGTCTCTACTAAAAATACAAAAATTAGCAGAGTGTGGTGGTGAGCACCTGTAATCCCAGCTACTTGGGAGGCTGAGGTGGGAGAATCCCTTGAACCTGGGAAGCGGAGGTTGCAGTGAGCTGAGATTGCACCACTGCACTCCAGCCTGGATGACAGCAACACTTCATCTCAAAAATAAAAATAAAAATAAAATATATTTAATAATCAGAGAATAGCAAAATGAAATAACAATGAGAGGCTGCTAGTGGGTTATCAGAACTTATGATCATTAATGTCACTAAAGTTGGTATACAGCCCCCCACGTCTAAATTTGACTGGCTTAAAAAAATTTTTTTAAAGAAATAACAATGAGAGGGACTTCCACTTCCAATAACATAAACTAGGTAATTCATATCAACAGTCTTTTTGAGGACAAGTAAAAATGCTTAGTAAAACAAGAAAAAAATCAATTTTCTTAAAAGTATAAGTTTACAAGATAGTAAGAATTATCAGGTCAAAATCTAGGAAAAAAGAAAAACTCAGAGTTAAGATCAGTGCTCAAAGGCTCTTTTACCCTGAGGATATTTGCCATTTCCAAGTAAACAACAGGAAATCTGAGCTTTGTGTTTAGTAGCCTTGTTTGGCAAAGGAGACAAAAGTCAAAGCCTAGGGCCCTCCAAAAAGGGATTTATGTATTTATTTTTTTAGACAGGTCTTGCTCTGTCACCCAGGCTGGAGTGCAGTAGTGTGATCACGGCTCACTGCAGCCACAACCTGAGCCACCGAGCCTGGCCTAAAAAGGGATCTTTAGCAAACTTTCCCCTTACTTTAAGATGGCAACCTTTACTCCACGTTTAAGGTGTTAAAAGATAAACTCTCGCATGTTAAAATTTTAAAGGGCTGGTCGGGCACCATGGCTCACGCCTGCAATGCCAGCACTTTGGGAGGCCGAGGCAGGCAGACAACTTGAGCCCAGGAGTATAAGACCAGCCTGGGCAATATGGCAAAACCCCTTCTCTACAAAAACTACAAAAAGGAGTGGGTGTGGTGACTTACATCTGTAGTCTCAGCCACTCAGGGGACTTAGGTGGGAGAATCACTTGAGCCTGGGAAGTCGAGGCTGCAGTGATCCGTGATTGCACCATTGCACTCCGGCCTGGGTAACAGAGTGAGACAGTGTCTCCAAAAATAAAAAAATAAAAAATAAATAAATAAGGTTTATTTGAACAGTAAATCAAGCAGCTTCAAACCAAAGTAAATGAGGAAGCAAGGCAGAGAAAATATTTGATCAGCTAAGGTGGAGCGGTAGCCTTATTTGTATCATTCCAGTGGAAAGTTTCTAGTTAGAGGATAGTTAGAAGGGCTCTGGTTGGTTAAGCTTCAATTTGTTTTCCGATAATATGACTATTTACAGAGTTGGGTTTCAGTTTACATACATAGGGACCCAGGGTGCTGGCATCCCATTTAATTCTTTCTTTCTTTTATTATTTTATTTTATTTTATTTTATTTTATTTTATTTTATTTTATTTTATTTTATTTTATTTTATTTATTTTGAGACAGTCTCTCTCTGTTGCCCAGGCTGGAGTGCAGTGGCGTGATCTTAGCTCACTGCAACCTCCGCCTCCTGGGTTCAAGCAATTCTCTTGCCTCAGCCTCCCAAGTAGCTGGGATTACAGGTGCGCGTCACCACGCCTGGCTAATTTTTTGCATTTTTAGTAGAGATAGAATTTTGCCATCTTGGCCACACTGGTCTCGAACTCCTGACTTCAGGTGATCTGTCTGCCTTGGCCTCCCAAAGTGTTGAGATTACAGGTGTGAGCCACTTTGCCCAGACTATTTTATTTTATTTTTTAAAAATTTTTCTCATAGGAAAATCTTCATGAATATTTCTTTCTTTCTTGTGTTTTTTCTTCTTTCTTCCTTCTTTAATTCATTAATTTTTTGTATTACTTTTTACTTTATTCCTGAAACACCACCATTTAGTTGTTTCAACAAGGGAAACATGAAGCAGAACTAAACCAGCACTTCCATTGGGTTTGCAGCCTACCATCTGATTGGCTTACAAATACCAAGTCTTGAAATTCAATTTAAGTAATCCCCGACTGATAGTGTTCCCACACACCAAACAGAAGCAAATAAAATACCTCTCTGGAATAAGAATGCATTTTCTAAGCCTCTACTTTTTTTTTTTTTTTTTTTTTTTTGAGACAAGGTCTCACTCTGTTGCCCAGGCTGCTGGAGTGCAGTGGCACCATCTCGGCTCACTGCAGCCTTCTTCTCCCAGGCTCAAACGATTTTCCCACCTCAGCCTCTTGAGTAGCTGGGACTACAGGCGCCCGCCACCATGCCGGCTAATTTTTCTATTTTTTAGTAGAGACGGGGTTTCACTATGTTGGCCAGGCTGGTCTCAAACTCCTGACCTCAAGTGATCTGCCCGTCTCGGCCTCCCAAAATGTTGGGATTACAGGTGTGAGCCACCATGCCCGGCTGCTTCCACTTATTTTTACAAATATATTATACCACATAATCAAAGATAAACATGCATACAACAAAATAAGAAAAGTATCTTTAGAAACAATAGCCAAAATAAACAGAAACAGATCCACACACACACACACAAAATTAGATATTATGATTATCAAACACAGGCCATAAAATAACTATGCTCTCAATGTTCAAAGTAATAAAAATCCAAGCTTGTTATTTTTATCAGAGAACTGGCAACTAAAAGGTGACATAGCAATTAAAAGAAAATATGAATTAATTCCTCTATAACCTAGGAGTGGGAAAAACTTTTCTTATTGTGCCTTAAAATCCAGTAGCAATTAGGGAAAATAATCTATCACAAAGACACACTAAAAAAGTATGAAAAGATGTATGCATAAGGCAGGTATCAAAGCATTAAGGCTAATAGTCAAAGACTGGAAACAACGAAAATGCCTATCCACATGGGACAGGTTGAATTAATTATGAAGTATCCAAATAATGAATTACTGAGCAGCAATGAAACCACTGAGGAAAATAATAGGGAATATCTTTATATACTACTGTAAAGTGATCTCCAGGATATATTTTTAAGTAAAAAAAGAAGCAGGATGGGTAATAGCTGGGTGCACTGGTGTGTGACTGTAGTCCCAGTTACTCAGGAGGCTGAGGCAGCAAAAGTTGGAGGCCAGCCTGGGCAACATAGTGATTATAGGGATACCCGCATCTCTAAAAAAAAAAAAAAACTAAAAGAAAGAAAGAAAAGTGGAGGAAAGTGTGCATACTATGCTATTGTTTTTAGAAAGGAAGAGAACATGAATATATTCTCTATAGATATAGATGTAAATATAAACAAACAGAGAAAAGGTTAGCTATAGTTACCTATATGAGAAGGGAGAGAAAGATAATAGGATGGAAGAGACAGGGAAAGAAACTACCCTTCTCTGAGTACATACTGTTTTGTAGATTTGACTTTGGGACCATGTAAACATTTATTTTTAAATAATATAAAATTTTAAAACATCTTCATCCATGTCCCTACAAAGGAAATGAACTCATCATTTTTTATGGCTGCATAGTATTCCATGGTGTGCAAGGACAAAAAACCAAACACCACATGTTCTCATTCATAGGTGGGAATTGAACAATAAGTACAATTGGACATAAGAAGGGGAACATCACACAACGGGGCCTGTTGTGGGGTGGGGGGAGGGGGAGGGATAGCATTAGGAGATATACCTAATGTAAATGATGAGTTAATGGGTGCAGCACACCAACAAGGCACATGTATACCTATGTAACAAACCTGCACGTTGTGCACAGGTACCCTAGAACTTAAAGTATAATGAAAAAAAATACAAAAAAAATTTAAAAAAAAATTTTTAAAAAAACAAAAAAGTCAAAAGCAAATGAACCTGTGCATCATATTGGTAGCATAACCCATAAAAGTGAATTATTTTAAGTAAATTTGAAATATAGTAATTTTTCTTTTTTTTTTTTTAAGATGAAGTCTGGCTCTGTCACCCAGGCTGGAGTGCAGTAGTATGATTTCAACTCACTGCAACCTCTGCCTCCCGAGTTCCAGTGATTCTCCTGCCTCAGCCTCCTGAGTAGCTGGGATTACACGTGCGTGCCTCCATGCCCAGCTAATCTTTGTATTTTTTAGTAGAGACTGGGTTTCACCATGTTGGCCAGGCTGGTCTCGAACTACTGACCTTAGGTGATCCGCCTGCCTTGGCCTCCCAAAGTGCTAGGATTACAGGTGTGAGCCATTGTGCCCGGTCGAAATATAGTAATTTAACTTTAAATTCCTGGAGGTATAAATTCTTAAAATAATGAACAAAGTAAGTCTTAAACTGTTGTTCAGAATAATATTGTTAGTAACGATAGCAAAACTAATAGTATAACAATAGGATAAAGAAAATATATAATTACGTTAATGATGTTGGGAACCCCCAGATTTGCAGTGTAAAACAGATACAATTACAAACTCAAAGAACTCAGTTAAAAACTTGTTTTTCATTTTATTATATATTTTTTAGAGATGGGGTCTCACTATTATTGCCCAGGCTGGTTTTATTTATTTATTTTTTTTTTTGAGACAGAGTTTTGCTCCTGCTGCCCAGGCTGGAGTGCAATGGCACAATCTTGGCTCACTGCAACCTCTGCCTCCTGGGTTCAAATGATTCTCCTGCCTCAGCCCTCCCAGGTAGCTGGGATTACAGGTGCGCACCACCATGCCTGGCTAATTTTTGTGTTTTTAGCAGAGATGGAGCTTCATCATGTTGGCCAGACTGGTCTCGAACTCCTGACCTCAGGCAATCTGCCTGCCTCAGCCTCCCAAAGTGTTGGGATTACAGGCATGAGCCACTGCGCCCGGCTGAGGCTGGTTTTAAACTCCTGGTCGGTCTAAAGTCATCCTCCTGCCATGGTCTCCTAAAGTGCTGGGATTACAAGCGTGAGCCACTAGTACCCAGCCCTAAAAACTCATCTGACTTGTAAATATCAGTGTTAAAATGTGATGCATTTTCTCTTAAAAATGTCTTTGTCTACATATATATATATATATATAGAGAGAGAGAGAGAGAGAGAGAGACATATATATATATGTCTCTATATATATGTCTCTATATATCTATCTTTATGTATATCTATGTGTAGCAATATCTACATCTATCTACATACATATATACACACGTATTTTTGAACTCTGATCACTAAAATGGCCTAAAAGCTATGATGCACCCAATAACAGTGTACAGGAACCAGGATTCATTGGAGAAATGGTGATTCCATGTCTGAAGAAGAAAATGTAGGCCAGGCACGGTGGCTCACGCCTGTAATCCCAGCACTGTGAGAGGCCTAGGCGGGTGGATCACGTGAGGCCAGGAGTTCAAGACCAGCCTGGCCAACTTGGTGAAACCCCATATCTACTAAAAACACAAACATTAGCCGGGCATAGTGGCATGTGCCTGTTGTCCCAGTTACTCAGGAAGCTGAGGCAGGAGGATCGTTTGAGCCCAAGAGGCAGAGGTTATAGTGAGACGAGATCTCGCCACTGCACTCCAGCCTGCTCAGTGACCGGAGTAAAACCCTGAAAAAGAAAGAATATGTAAAAGATGGGCTGGGTGCACTGGTTCATGCCTTAATCCCAGCACTATGGGAGGCTGACGAGGGAGGGTTGCTTTAGCTCAGAAGTTTGAGATCAGCCTAGGCAACATGGCGAAACCCAATCTCTACAAAAAGTACAACAATTAGCCCAGTATGATGGCAGGCGCCTGTGGTCTCAGCTACTGGGGAGACTGAGCCAGAAGGATCGCTGAAGCCTGGGAAGTTGAGGCTGTGATGAGCTGTGTTTGCACCCCTGCACTCCAGTTTGGGTGACAGAACGAGACCCTGCTTCAAAAATAAATAAATAAATAACTAAATAAATAAAATAAAATAAAATAAAAAGAAAGAAGAGTATTCCAACTAACAAAATTTAAAAGGATGATAGAATTAGAGCATCACAATTTTGCAACTCCCTAATAAAATAATGGCTCTGGGCAATGATCATCATTGACTACTAACATCACAGAAAGAGAAACAATAGCACATTATGTTCAAATCTGAATCTGTTTAAGACTAGAATTTACTGCCAGTTTTCAGGAAATGAAGGATGCAAAGGAACATGTTAAACAACATCATAGGAGCACAATTACCAAAATACAGACTGTGGAAATCTCTGGAGGACAGTTTCTTCAATAACAAAAAATGGAGGGCAGGAAAAAAAAGACATGAAGAATTTATAGATTAAAAGGAATTTAAGGTCGGGTGAAATGGCTCTCGCCTGTAATATTAGTACTTTGGGAGGCTGAGTACATTCCGGCGAATGGCTTGATTCCAGGAGTTTCAGACTAGCCTGGGCAACAAGGCAAAACCCCATTTCTACAAAAATACAAAAATTAGCCAGGCATGATGAGGCGTGCCCTGTAGTCCCAGCTACTCAGGAGGCTGAGGAGGGAGGATTGCTTGGGCCCAGGAGGTGGAGGTTGCGGCAAGCTGAGATCTCGCCACTGCACTCCAGCCTGGGAGACAGAGTGAGACACCGTCTCAAAATAAAAAAAAAAGGAACTTAAAAGGCATCAATCAATCATACTGTATGGACCACGATCAATCACACTATATGGACCACTTTTGGATTTTGGATTTTCACTTGAACAAATTGTTAAAAAAAATGAGGCTATTGGAGAAATTTAAACACTAACTCAATGATAGTAAAGATTTATTCTTTATTGGTTAAGATAATGAAGATTGATATTTATTTACTTATTTATTTAGAGATGGAATCTCGCTCTGTCGCCCAGGCTGGAGTGCAGTGGCACGATCTCGGCTCACTGCAACCTCCACCTTCTGAGTTCAAGTGATTCTCCTGCCTCAGCCTCCGAGTAGCTGCAATTACAGGCATGCACGAGCACTCCCGGCTAATTTTTGTATTTTTGGTAGAGACAGGGTTTCACCATGTTGGCTAGGCTGGTCTCAAACTCCTGACCTCAGATGATCCACCTGCCTTGGCCTCCCAAAGTGCTGGGAATACAGGCATGAGCCACAGCCCAGGGCTTATTTATTTTTGACAAAGAGTTGTAGTGTTACCAGTTGAGGGTGTCCTGTCCAGGTTCTTGGCGTTTTGAACAAATAATTGGACAAAAAAGGACAAAGCAAGGAAAGAATGTAACAACGAAAGCAGAGATTTATTGAAACTGAAAGCACACACCACACGGTGGGAGTTGATGGAGCAAGCGGCTCAAGGGCCCGGTTACAGAATTTTCTGGGGTTTAAATACCCTTTAGAGGTTTCCATTGGTTACTTGGTACATGCTCTAAGTAAATGAAGAGGTTAAAGTGAAGTTACAAAGTTATTTACTTAGTGTACACTCTATGTAAATGAAGAGAATGAAGTAAAGTTACAAAGTCATTTACTCGGTGTGTGACCTATGTAAATGAAGAGGATATTTCCTGTCATAGCTGAAGTGTTTCCCTTTGATTTAGTTCTAGGAAGTCCTTAGGTTCCCTGCTTCCAGGCCCTGTTCTCCTGCCTCAGTAGGAGACCAGAATATGCCACAATAAAATATGCCTCTTTGACACAGGATTATTTTGAGTTTATTACTTTCAGAAACTGCAGACCTAGAAGTTCTGAAAACATAATAGTTATCCTTTTGTAAAGGAAATTTAAAGGAAATTTCCATTTATAAGGATCTCTCTCTCTCTTTGCTCCAGTAAGAGAAGGATGACTAAATCACTAGACATTCATCAATGGAGAAGTCAGTGACTTAAATATGCATAACAAATCTTATCCTTCTTTACTGTACTTTTCCTGGGTACCTCACCATAACTGGCCTTGTCTGCACCCTTGTTTCTTTGTTTTAGTGTATGATAATATTTAAGCCAGAATTCAAAGCCACCTCTTTGAAATTTACTATTTCTCTTGGTATCTCTTATGTATACATGAGGTATACATGTTAATAAACCTCCATTTGCTTTTCTCTTATTAATCAGTTTTTTACAGGGGTCCATCCCAATTAAGAACTATGAAGTTTAGAGAGAAAATCGTTTTTCCTCCCCTACGGAGTTCTTGTATAAAAATACATATGGAAATACATATAGATAAAAAGATATGGCATCATCTGTCACAGTCAAGAGGAACCTAAGAAGACATGATGACTAAATGTAATGTGGTATGCTGAATAACTTCTTGGAACATAAAAAGGACATTATGTTAAAACTAAGGAAATCTGAATAAAGTGTGAAATTCAGTTAATAATAATGTCAGAGGCACTCGAACCAGAGTGACTCCATCTTTAATAGGTGCTGGGTAAAATAAGGCTATGACTTACTGGGCCACATTCCTAGGAGGTTAGGCATGCATAGTCACAGGATGAGATAGGAGGTCGTTATGACATGTACGTCATAACGACCTGTACAACATACAGGTCATAATGACCCTGCTGATAAAAAAAGAATGCAAAGGCCGGGCACGGTGGCTCAAGCCTGTAATCCCAGTACTTCGGGAGGCCAAGTTGGGCTGATTGCTTGAGCTCAGGAGTTCGAGACCAGCCTGGAGAACATAGCGAAACCCCATCTCTACTAAAAATACAAAAATTAGCCAGGTATGGTGGCACGAGCTACTTGGGTGGCTGAGGCAAGAGAATCGCTTGAACCCAGGAGGTGGAGGCTGCAGTGAACCCAGATCACGTCACAGCACTTCAGCCTGGGCAACAAAGTGAGATCATGTCTCAAAAAAACAAAACAAAAACAAAACAAAAACACAGTGTGATAAAGAAGCTGTCTGAAACCCACCAAAACCAAGATGGTGATGAAAGTGACCTCTGGTGGTCCTCACTGCTCATTACATGCTAATTATAATGCATTAGCATGGTAAAAGACACTCTCATCAGCGCCATGACAGTTTGCAAACGCCATGGCAACGTCTGGAAATTAACCTATATGGTTTTAAAAGGGGAGGGAACTTCTTCTCCGGAAATTGTCCCCCCTTTCCCGAAACCTCATGAATAATCCATCCCTTGTTTAGCATATAAGCAAGAAATAACTATAGGTATACTCAGTCAAGTAGCCTGCATTGCTGCTCTGCCTATGGAGTAGCCATTCTTTTGTTTCTTTACTTCTCTAATAAACTTGCTTTCACTCTACTCTGTGGACTCTCCCTGAATTCTTTCTTGCCCGAGGTCCAAGGACCCTCTCTTATGGGTCTGGATCGGGACCCCTTTTCCGGAAACAATAATATATGAATACTGACTCACTAATTGTTTAAAAAAAAAAAGTACCATACTAGTGTAATACAATAATAACAGGAAAAACTGGGTTTGCAGTATATGGGAATTCTCTATATTATCTTCTCAATGTTTCTGCAAATCTAAAACTGTTCTAAAATAAAAGTTTATTTTAAAAAAGATACGATATATGGGATTGGTTGAAAATAACCCAGGTCAGACACAGCAGGGAAAATAAATTAAACAAGAGTGGCCATGAATCAATTACTGTTGAAGCTGGTGATGAGTACAAAGAGGCTCATTATACTATTTTCTTTTTTAAAACAGTGCCTTGCTCTGTTGCCCAGGCTGGAGTGCAGTAGTGCCATCTCAGTTCACAGCAGCCTCAACTTCCTGGGCTCAGGCAATCCTCCCACCTCAGCTGGGACAACAGGTATGCTCCAACATGCCTACCTAATGTTTTTAAAAAAATTATTTTTAGTAGTCAAGAGTGGTTGCTCAGGCTAGTCTCCAACTCCTGACCTCAAGCAATACTCCAGTCTTGGCCTCTCAAAATGTTGGGATTACAGGCATAAGCCACCGCTTCTGGCCTATACTATTTCTTTATTTGTTTATGTTAGACATTTTCCATAATAAACATCAAAATAGATATATCCCAGATTTGCAAAAAAGGAAGAAATAGAAATTCTAGAACTAAAAAGTACAATAACTGAAAATAAGAATTCAGTGAAGCTCTTCCTCTTCCACTTCCATTTCCTTTTCCCTTTCCTTCTCATCCTTCCATTTCCCTTTCTACTTTCCCTTTTCTACTCTCCCTTTCCTTTCCCTTTCTTTTTCTTTCTTTCTTCTTTTTATTTATTTATTTATTTGAGATGGAGTTTTGCTCTTGTTGCCCAGGCTGGAGAGCAACAGTGCAATCCTGGCTCACCGCAACCTCCACCTCCTGTGTTCAAGTGATTCTCCTGCCTCAGCCTCCTAAGTAGCTGGGATTACAGGTATGCACCAATACACCCGGCTACTTTTGTATTTTTAGTAGAGATGGGGTTTCTCCATGTTGGTCATGCTGGTCTCAAATGCCCAACCACAGGTGATCTGCCCACCTCGGTCTCCCAAAATGCTGGGATTACAGGCGTGAACCACTGTGCCCGGCCTTCCTTCCCTTTCTTACTTTGCCCTTTTCTTTCTGAATAATTCAGCTCAGAAGACATTAAAAGTGATGAAGAAAAGCAGGTTTCTGAACTAGGCTTAAGGGAAGCTATGGTGGCTCAAAGCAGGGTGTTTCAGCCAGATCAGAGTGAGGAGGGTGGACCGGGTGCAGTAGCTCACACCTGTAATCCCATCACTTTGGGAGGCTGAGGAGGGTGAATCACTTGAGGTCAGGAGTTCAAGACCAGCCTGGCCAACATGGCAAAACCCCATCTTTACTAAAAATACAAAAATTAGCCGGGTGTGGTGGTGGGCGCCTGCAATCCCAGGTACTCGGGAGGCTGAGGCAGATAGAATTACTTGAACCTGGGAGGCGGAGGTTGCAGTGAGCTGACATCATGCCACTGCACTCCAACCTGGGCGACAGACTGAAACTCCATTTCAAAAAGAAAAAAAAAAAAGAAATATGAGAGTGAGGAGGGTGTTTATGTGGAAGCAATTAATGACCTGTCACATAGTGTCAGAGCCCATATGCGATGATGAAATCATCCACGTATATTCCCTAGCTCTGCTCACTGAGACAGCTGAGAATAGCAATATCTCCATAGCAACATGCACACTTAGCACCCAAATTTTGCATTCTTTTTTTTTAAGAGGAAATCTCGCTCTGTTGCCCAGGCTGTAGTGTAGTGGCACAATCTGGGCTTATTGCAACCTCCACCTCCTGGGCTCAAGTGATTCTCCTGCCTCAGCCTCCTGAGTAGCTGGGATTATAGGCATGATCCACTGTGCCCGGCCCCAAATTTTGCTTTCTAAATCTCATTCTCTACCCCTAGAAGTGGGGATGCTTGGAGAAATGACTGAGTCCTGGGCTGGGGCAGGGTAAATACAAAACGAGCCTGGAAGATCTTATGCCAGAAAGCAAAGGAATGCTCAAAGAATGAAGGGATCTTATCAAAAGGACATAGAATCAAGCTTCAAGGGACTCCCACTGGCCAAGTTTAGGACAACCTGAATATCAAAACAAATAATGCTAGTTGAGAAGTATAAACTCATTGAATAAAATGGGAAAATATGAAGCTGAACTTATATTGAAAGAGTAAACTGAAAGTTTGATAAGTAATGGACTATTCACATAGGCTCAAAATACCTCCTAACAAAAATACATATTAATTACAAAAGAAAAAGAGTAATATTACAGCAGAACACCCTTCCAGACACCACCTTAATCAAGTGATTCAAGTCAGCATCTTTTTTTTTTTTTTTTTTGAGACGGAGTTTTGCTTTTGTTTCCTGGGCTGAGTGCAGTGGCACACCCTTGGCTCACTGCAATCTCTGCCACCCGGGTTCAAGAGATTCTCCTTTCTCAGCCTCCTGAGTAGCTGGGATTACAGGCACACACCACCAGGCCTGGCTAACCTTTTGTGTTTTTAGTAGAGACAGGCTTTCACCATGTTGGCCAGGCTGGTCTCAAACTCCTGACCTCAGGTGATCCGCCTGCCTTGGCCTCCCAAAGTGCTGGGATTACAGGCGTGAGCCACCGTGCCCGGCCTAAGTCAGCATCATTAATAAAGAAACAAATCAGGCTGGACGTGGTGACTCACACCTGTAATTCCAACACTTTGAGAGGCTGAGGTGGGAGGATCATTGAGACCAGAAATTTGAGACCAGCCTGGGCAACATGGCAAGACGCTGTCTCTAAAAATATATAACAAATTAGCCTGGAGTGGTGGTGCATGTCTGTAGTCCCAGCTACTGGGACAGCTGAGGTGGGGGGATCATTTGAGCCCGGGAATCAGATGTTGCAGTGGGCCATGATTGTGCCACTGCACTCCAGCCTGGCTAACAGAGCAAGATCCTGTCTCATAATAATAATATAGAACAAATAAAAATCATGTGACATCTCATAGGCTGCAATAAGAATGCAACATCATTTCTGATTAACTTGCCAAAGATGCATAATTTTCACCTAATCATGAAGAAAATTAGAAGATCCAAATTGTGGATTGATCCTGTAATCTTTAAAAGTGTTAAGATCATGAAAGCCAAGGCAAGACTGAGAAACTGTTCCACTCTGAAAGCAGCTAAAAAGACAAATAATACAGCACATAATCCTGACCTGAATCACTTTGCTCTGATGAAGAGTATTGGAAAACTGAAGAAACTTACATCAGGTCTGGGGATTAGATGGTAGTAGTGTATCAATGATAATTTCCTGATTTTGATGGCTGTACAGTGGTTGTGCATGAGAATGTCTTTGTTTTTATGAAATACACACTAAAATATTCAGGGCTGATAGCATATCTTGTTGGCAACTTAATCTCAAATAGATCAGGAAATAAAACAGCTTTATACTGCACTTTCAACATTTATGTAAGCATTAGGTGAATATGGTGATGTGTGCCACGTAGTCGCAGCTACTCGGAAAGCTGAGGTGGGAGGATACCTTGAGCCTAGGAGTTTGAGTCCAATCGGCAATATTATAGCAAGACTTCATCTTACAAAAAAAAGGAGAACCCCCTTCCACATTTATATAAGCTTAAGATTGATACAAAACATAGATAAAAAAGAAGAGACTGGGTATTGTGGCTCACACCTGTAATCTCAGCACTTTGAGATGCCAAGGTGGGAGCATCACTTAAGACCAGGAGTATGAGACCAGCCTGGGCAACATAGTGAGATCCTATCTCTAAAAACAATTTTTTTTTAAATAGCTGGGCATGGTGATGCACACCTGTAGCCCCAGCTCCTCGGGAGGCTAGGGTGGGAGGATGGCTTGAGCCCAGGAGGTTGAGGCTGCAGTAAACTGTGATCACGCCACTACACTCCAGCCTGGGTGACAGAGCAAGACAGTCTCAAAAAAAAAAAAAAAAATGTCCAAGCACTGTCATGCCTGTAATCCTAGCACTTTGGGAGGCTGAGGTGGGCAGATCACCAGAGGTCAGGAGTTCGAGACCAGCCTGGCCAACATGGTGAAACCCCGTCTCTACTAAAAATACAAAATTAGCCGGGCATGGTGGCACGTGCCTGTATTCCCAGCTACTCAGGAGGCTGAGGCAGGAGAATTGCTTGAACCGGGGAGGTGGAGGTTGCAGTGAGCTGAGATAGACCATTGTACTCCAGCCTGGGCAAAAAGCAACACACCGTCTCAAAAAAAAAAAAAAAGGAAAAGAAGTAAATTCCGTGAATAGGTTAAGATATTAAGAAACTGATTAAAAACAGTGAACTGATATTAAGAAATTAAGGAAAGAATCAGTAATCTGGTAGAGTGTAGAAGAAGCTATCCAGAAAGTGTCAGAGAATGTTCAAAGACAGAAGGGAGGGTAGTAGACATAGACAAATCAATGAGAAGGTCTAGTCTGTGCTAAATTTGAGAGCAAATGAAAAAAATCTCGGGAGATTGGGAGAGAGAATAAAGAGATAATAGTTGAGGTCTACCCAGAGCTGATGAATATATCAATCAACAGATTCAAGAGACCCAACAAATCCAAAACCGGAAAAACATAAATTCTTGACAAGAGTCATAGTTAGAATGCAGAACATCATCAAAAGTTACCATTACAAGGCTGGGATCACACCTGTAATGCCAGCACTTTGGGAAGCTGAGGTGGGAGGATCACTTGAGGCCGAGAGTTCAAGACCACCCTGGTCAAACAGAGCAAGACTCCATCTGCCCCCATCCTCGCCAAAAAAAAAAAAAAAAGGATGGACTTGGTGATGCATGTCTGTAGTCTTAGCAACTGGGGAGGCTGAGGCAGGAGGATTGTTAGAGTCCAGCAGTTAGAGGTTGCAGTGAGCTATGATTGTAGCATTGCAGTTCAGTCTGGGTGACATAGTGAGACCTTGTCTCTAAAATAAACAAGCAAAGAAACAAACAAAAATGAATGAAAAGATAATCCACAGGCTGGGAGAAAATACTGTATATGCAAAGCAACTATCTTACCAAGGGCTGGTACCTAGAATATATAAGGAAGTGCTCAACTCTATAATGAAAGGACAAACAACATAAATAAAAATGTACAAAACACTTAAACAGTCACCTAACAAAATGCAGCTATATGAATGGTAGATACATGAATGTCCACAATAGAAGGTACACAATGTCATTAATCATCAAAAAGTGCAAATTAAAACTTCAAGAAAATACTGCTACATACCCATAAGAGTGGGTAAAATGAAAAAGTATGGCAAAAATGACACTATTAGAATAACTCATAATAAATTAATTTAGCAAGGTCCTAAAATGTAAAGTTTTATTTTTTGTTTTTTGCTTTTTTGTTTGTTTGTTTGTTTTGTTTTTTGACACAGAGTCTTGCTCTATTGCCAAGGCTGGAGTGCAGTGGCATGATCTGGGCTCACTGCAACCTCTGCCTCCCAGGTTCAAGCGATACTTGTGCGTCAGTCTCCCAACTAGCTGGGACTACAGATGCGCATCACCACGCTTGGCTAATTTGTGTACTTTTGCTAGAGATGGGGTTTCACAATGTTGACCAGGCTGGTCTCAAACTCCTGACCTCAAGTGATCAGCCGGCCTAGGCCTCCCAAAATGCTGGGATTACAGGTGCGAGCCACTGAGCCCAGCCTAGAATAGAAGGTTAATATATAAAAAAACTGTTTTATATTCTAGCAAATGGAAAGTGGAAAATGTTTAACAAATTCCAAATACAGTAAATATGAAAGATAAGGAATAAATATAACAAAAGTCATCTAAAATCTCTATAGTAGAAATTTAAAAATATTAGTAAGATAAATTAAAGATCTAAACAATCAGAAAGCTACCCTATGTTCATGAATTGAAAGACAATATTGTTGCCAGGGCGTGGTGGCTCACGCCTGTAATCCCAGCACTTTGGGAGGCTGAGGCAGGCAGATCACTTGAGGTCAGGAGTTGGAGATTAGCCTGGCCAACATGGCGAACACCCATCTCTACTAAAAATACAGAAAAATTAGCCTGGCGTGGTGGCATGTGCCTGTAGTTACAGCTACTCAGGAGGCTGAGGCACTTAAACTCCTTAAGTTAAGGATCACTTAAACTCAGGAGGTGGAGGTTGCAGTGAGCTGAGATGGCATCACTGCACTCCAACCTGGGCAACAGAGTGAGACTTTGTCTCAAAAAAATAATAAAATAAAATAAATAAATAAATGAAGGGAGAAACAAATAATTCAACAACAATAGTTGGATAGGCCAGGCACAATGACTCACACCTGTAATCCCAACGTGGTGAGAGGCCAAGGCAGGAGGATCACTTGAGCCCAAGAGTTCAAGACCAGCCTGGGCAACATAGTGAGACCCTGCCTCTATAAAACTAAAAAATTTAGCTGTGTGGTGTCACCTGCCTGTAGTCCCAGCTACTTGGAAGGCTGAGGTGGGAGGATAGCTTGAGCCTGGGAGGTCAAGGCTGCAGTGAGCCATGATCATGCCACTGCACTTGAGTCTGGACAGCAGAGTGAGACCCTGTCTCCAAAAAAAAAAAGAATTGTTGGATACTTCAACACACTACTTTAAATAATGAGTAGAAAAACTAAGCACAAGATCAACAAGGAAATAGAAGATTTGAACCACATTATAAACTAATTATATTTAATAGACAGCTACAGAACCCACCAATCATGCTTCTTAACTGCATGTGGAACATTCTCTAGGATAAACCATATGCAATAAGCCTCATTTTAATATAAAGGTTTGAAATAATATAAAGTATATTTTCTAAATATGGAATGAAATTAGAAAATAACAGAAGAAACTTTGGGAAATTCAAAAATACATGGAAAGTAAACAACATACTCTTTAATAAACAATGCTTCAAAGAAAAATTCACAAGAGAAACAAGAAAATACTTGGACATGAAGAAAAGGGAGATATATCACCAAAATTTATCAGATCCAGCTAAAGAAGTACTGAGAGGGAAATTTATAGCTATAAATGTCTTCATTACAAAAGAAAGCTCTCAAATCAATAACCTAAACTTCAACCTTAAGACACTGGAAAAAGAAGAGCAAACTAAACTTTAAAGAAGCAGATAGAAGGAAAAATAGAGATTAGAGTGGAAATTAATTAAATATAATATATAGAAATACATAGAACAATAAACAATAACAGCAAAAGTTGGTTCTTTAAAAATTAACAAAATTCACAAACCTTTAGTTAGATTGATCACAAAAAAGAAGGAACAGTCAAATTCCTAAAATTAGAAATGAAAGAAGACACATTATTTCCAACCTGATAGAAATAAAATGGACTTGGCTAGGTGTGGTGACTCACGCCTGTAATCCCGGCACTTTGGGAGGCCAAGGCAGGCGGATCACCTGAGGTCAGGAGTTCGAGACCAGACTGACCAATGTGGTGAAATCCCATCTCTACTAAAAATACAAAAATTAGATGGGCGTGGTGGCAGGCACCTGTAATCCCAGCTATTCAGGAGGCTGAGGCAGGATAATTGCTTGAACCTGGGAGGCGGAGGTTGCAGTGAGCTGAGATCCTGCCATTGCACTCCAGCCTGGGTGACAACAGCGAAACTGTGGCTCAGAAATAAATAAATAATAAATAAATAAATAAAATACATTAGAAGGGGATACTATAGACAATTCTATGCCAACAAATCAGATAAACTCAATGAAAAGAACACATTTTTATGAAGACACAAACTACTGATACTGACACAAGAAGATATTAAAAACCTCAATGTACCTGTAACATATAAGGAGATTGAAGAGGTAATTTTAAATTTTGCCACAAAGAAAATCATAGGCCCAGGCAGGGCACGGTGACTCAGGCCTGTAATCCTAGCACTTTGGGAGACCGAGGCAGGTGGATCATTTGAGGTCAGGAGTTCGAGACCAGCCTGACCAACTTGGTGAAACCCCATCTCTACTAAAAATACAAAAAAAATAGCTAGGCATGGTGGTGGCCACCTGTAATCCCAGCTACTTGGGAGGCTGAGGAAGGAGAATTGTTTGAACCTGGGAGGCGGAGGTTGCACACAGTGAGCTGAGATTGCTCCACTGCACTCCAGTCTGGTCTGGGGAAAAAAAAGAAAGAAAAAGAAAGAAAATCACAGGCCCAGATGGCTTCACTAGTAAATTTATTTTCATATATGTAAAAAAAATTTTTTTTGAGACAGAGTCTCACTCTGCCGCCCAGGCTGGAGTGCACGGGTGCCATCTCAACTCACTGCAACTGCCGCCTCTCAGGTTCAAGCGATGCTCATGCCTCGGCCTCCCAAGTAGCTGGGATTACAGGCACCCACCACCATGCCCGGCTAATTTTTGTATTTTTTGCAGAGACGGGGTTTCTCATGTTGGCCAGGCTGGTCTCAAATTCCTGGGCTCAAGTAATCTGCCTGCCTTGGCCTCCCAAAGTGCTGAGATTATAGGCGTGACCCACTGTGCTCAGCCTAAAAAGATTTTTTTTTTTGAGACAGAGTCTCACTCTATTGCCCAGGCTGGAGTGCAGTGGCGTGATCTCGGCTCACTGCAACCTCCAACTCCCAGGTTCAAGCGATTCTCCTGCCTCAGCCTACCAAGTAGCTGGGATTACAGGTGTGCACCACCACGCCCGGATAATGTTTAGTATTTTTAGTAGAGACCGAGTTTCACCATGTTGACCAGGCTGGTCTCGAACTCCTGACCTCAGATGATCTTCCCTCCTCGGCCTCCCAAAGTGCTTGGATTACAGGAGTGAGCCACCGTGCCTGGCCCAAAAGATTTTTTAAAAAGAATTAATACTTATTCTTTACATGTACTTTCAAATATTAGAATAGAAAGAATCACTTCACAATTCATTCTATGAAGACAGAATTACCCAGACATCAAAACCAGAGAAGAAAATTAAAGGAAAAAAAATTACAGACCAATATGACTGATGAGTACAGACACAATAATCTTCAGCAAACTACTAGCAAAATAAATTCATTAACATATAAAATGGATTTTATAACATGGCTAAGTTTTATTTATCCAAGGAATCCAAAGTTGGCTTAATATCTAAAAATTATTATACTACATAAAAATCAATAGAATAAGGGACAAAAACATGATCATCTCAATAGAAGCAAAAAAATGCATTTGACAAAATCCAACAAGCTTTCATGATAAAAACACTCAACAGATTAGGAACAGAAGGGAACTTACTCAACTCGGTAAAGAGCATCTATGAAAATCCCACATATTACTTTACATTTTACTTAAAAGAAAAAGACTGAATGCTTTCTCCCTACAGTCAGGAACAAGACAAGAGTACTACTTCCATTCAATATTGTACTGAAGGTTCTAGCAAGGACAGCTGGACAAGTAAAAGAAGTAAAAGGCATACAGAAATGAAAGGAAGAAATAAAACTATCTTTATTTGCCAAAGACATGATATTGTATGTAAAAAATCTGGCCAGGCACAGTGGCTCACACCTGTAATCCCAGCACTGGGAGGCCGAGGTGGGCAGATCACCTGAGGTTGGGAGTTCGAGACCAGCCTGGTCAACACGGAGAAACTCTGTCTCTACTAAAAATACAAAATTAGCTGGGCGTGGTGGTGCATACCTGTAATCCCAGCTACTTGGGAGGCTGAGGCAGGATAATCATATAAACCGGGAGCGGAGGTTACGGTGAGCCAAGATCACACCATTGCACTCCAGCCTGGACAACAAGAGCAAAACTCCATCTCAAAAAAAAAAAAAAAAAAAGTCTTAGTGAATCCATGTGGGCACAGTGGCACACACCTGTAGCCCTGGAGACTTGGAAGGCTGAGGCAGGAGGATCACATGAGCCCAGGAATTCAAGGCTGTGGTGCACCATGATCACATCTGTGAATAGCCATTGTACTCCAGGCTGAGCAACATAGTGAGACCCCGTCTCTTACAAGAAAATCATAAGGAACTCACAAAAATCTATTTTTCTTTAGAGATGGGGTTTCACTGTCACGCAGGCTGGAGTGCAGTGGCCACACTGGAAAGCAGTGGTGCGATCCGGCTCGTTGCAGCCTCAAGCTCCTGGGCTCAAGTAATCCTTCTAACTCAGCCTCTCGGGTAGCTGGGATTACAGGCGTGTACCACCATGGCCAAATAACTTTTTTATTTTTTGTAGGGATGTGGTCTCGCTTTGTTGCTCAGGCCAGCCTTGAACTCCTGGCTTCAAGTGATCCTTCCATTTTGGCCTACCGTAGTGCTGGGATTCCAGGTGTGAGCCACCACGACTGGCCTACAAAAAAACTATTACAACTAAAAAAAAAAGTCAACCAGTTTGTAAGATACAAACTTAATATACAGAAAGCAGTTGTATTTCTATACACGTGTAACATACAATCCAAAAATTAAATTAAGAAGGTATCCCATTAAAAGAGCTTCAAAAAGAATAAAACGCTAAGGAATAAATTTAACAAAAATAAATAAATAAAAATCATACTCTAAAAATTATAAAACATTGTTCAAAGAAATTAAAGATCTAAATAAAGTGAAAGGTAGATATACCATGCTCATGTATTGGGAAGACTTAATTTTATTTATTTATTTATTTATTTTGAGATGGAGTCTCGCTCTATTGCCCAGGCTAGAGTGCAGTGGGGTGATCTTGGCTCACTGCAACCTCTGCCTCCTGGGTTCAAGCGATTCTCTTGCCTTAGCCTCCTGAGTAGCTGGGATTACAGGCATCCGCCACCATGCCTGGCTAATTTTTGTATTTTCAGTTGAGACGGGGTTTTGCCATGTTGGCCAGGCTGGCCTTGAACTCCTGATCTCAGGTGATCCTCCTGCCTTGGCCTCCGAAAGTTCTAGGATTACAGGCATGAGCCACTGTGCCCGGCCCAAGACCTAATATTTTTAAGATAGCAGTTCTCCTCAAATTCATCTACAGATGCAATGCAATCACTACCAAAATCCCAGTCACGGCTGGGGACGGTGGCTCACCCCTGTTATCTCAGCACTTTGGGAGGCTGTAGTTGAGAGGATTGCTTGAAGCCAGGAGTTCGAGACCAGCCTGGGCAACAAAATGAGACCCCAATTTCTGCAAGAAATACACACACATAAAAAACAAACAAACAAACAAAAAACACCAAACCAAAAATACTCAGTCAACTTTTTTTTTTCAGAAATTTATTTGCTGATTCTAAAATTCATATGAAAATTCAAGGGACCCAGAATAGCTAAACGACCTCAAGAAAGAGGAACAGAATGGAGTGGAGCTCAGAGCTGTGGAGAGGAATGAAGCTGAGCAGCTGGGTTAGCCTGGCCAAACCAGTGGAGCACAGACGTGGGTCAAGCGCTGGTGAACATATGCTTTTGACACATTAGAGACTTTTTTGATCATGGATGATGAACATATACCAGATTTTTCAAGTTTAAAGGATGAAACTGCTTATTGGAAGGAAATGTCCTTGAAGTACAAACATAGCTTCCAGGAAGCTTGAGATGAGCTAGTTGAATTTCAGGAAGGAAGCAGAGATTTAGAAGCAGACTTGGCAGCACAATTAGCACAGCCTGAACAAAGAAATAGAGACTTGCAACTTTATAGCCAAAGTCTGAAATATGAAGTGGAGGCATTGAAGGAGAAACCAGAACATCAATATGCGCAGAGCTACAAGCAGGTCTCAATATCAGATGATTTAAGTCAGATGTGGGCCATTAAGGTGTGGTTGCTTAAGTATGTGAGAGAGCTGGAACAGGCCAATGATGACCCGTAGCAAGCAAAAAGGGCAATAATAGGGCCGGGCGCGGTGGCTCACGCCTGTAATCCCAGCACTTTGGGAGGCCGAGGCGGGTGGATCATGAGGTCAGGAGATCGAGACCATCCTGGCTAACAAGGTGAAACCCCGTCTCTACTAAAAATACAAAAAATTAGCCGGGCGCGGTGGCAGGCGCCTGTAGTCCCAGCTACTCGGGAGGCTGAGGCAGGAGAATGGCGTGAACCCGGGAAGCGGAGCTTGCAGTGAGCCGAGATTGCGCCACTGCAGTCCGCAGTCTGGCCTGGGCGACAGAGCGAGACTCCGTCTCAAAAAAAAAAAAAAAAAAAGGGCAATAATAGTTTCACTAAAAGACGTTGTTTTTGTTTTGTTTTGTTTGAGACGGAGTCTCGCTCTGTTGCCCAGGCTGGAGAGCAGTGGTGAGATCTCGGCTCACTGCAACCTCCACCTCCCGGGTTTGCTGTGTTGACCAGGCTGGTCTCGAACTCCTGACCTCAAGTAATCCACCCGTCTTGGCCTCCCAAAGTGCTGGGATTACATGTGTGAGCCACCACACCTGGCCTTCACTGGAAGACTTTGAACAAAGGCTAAATCAGGCCATTGAACGGAATGCATTTTTAGAAAGTGAACTTCATGGAAAGGAATGTTGTCGGTCTCTGTACAGAGGTTAAAAGATGAAGCAAGAGATTTAAGGGCAAGAACTAGCAGTTCAGGAAAGCAAGTAACCAGAAAGTTGGCTCCTACTTCTCCAACTCTAGATGGTGAAAAGATAGATTCCACTGTCCAGGGATCACTCTTTTTGCCAGCCACTCCTATTGGCAAAGGAAAGGAAAACAGTTTTCCTTCCCGAAAGCTACACTAAGTGGTTTTGGTACCAGTCCACTAACTCCTGCTGGGCTATCAGCATTAACGACCATGGGGGATCTCTTAGGAAAATTAGGGACTTTACAATCCTAATTAGCAGCTTGCAGAAATTTTGCAAAGGACCAAACATGAAAGTCCTATATTTCAGGAAATGTTAACAGTGGGGTGCTGAATGCCAATTGCACAAGAGTCTCCCAATCAGATGAAGGGCAAGAAAAAGTCATATTTCCGGTCAGGCAGTAATCCCAGCAATTTGGGAGGCCGAGGTAGGCGGACCACTTAAGGTCAGGAGTTCGAGACCAGCCTGGCCAACATGGTGAAACCCCATCTCTGCTATAATTACAAAAATTTGCTGGGCATGGTGGTGGGCACCTGTAATGCCAGCTACTCAAGAGGCTGAGGCACAAGAATCGCTTGAACCCAGGAAGCGGAGGTTGCAGTGAGCCTAGATAGCACCACTGCACTCCAGCCTGGGTGACAGAATGAGACTCTGTCTCAAAAGAAAAAAAAAAAAAAAGGCCAGGCGCCCTGGCTCACGCCTGTAATCCCAGCACTTTGGGAGGCCAAGGCAGGCAGATCACTTGAGGCCAGGAGTTCGAGAACAGCCTGGGCAACATGGTGAAACCCTGTCTCTACTAAAAATACAGAAATGAGCCCGGTGTGGTGGCGCATGCCTGTCGTCCCAGCTACTGGGGAGGCTGAGGCAGGAGAATCGCTTGAACCCAGGAGGTGGAGGTTGCAGTGAGCCGAGATTGTGCCACTGCACTCCAGCCTGGGCGACAGAGTGAGACTGTCTCAAAAAAAAAAAAAGTCACATTTCCTACATTGTTCATAATGCAGTAAACGGCTTTAATCCAGCTCCTCCTTCTCCTGGTCTGCACTCCTCATGCCTGCTGCCAGCACCGGGTATGCTGCCTTTCAGTGTGAGTGCTTGGCCTCCAAGTGGGGGCTCTTGCCCTCCTCCAACAACCCAATACGCCCATGCCTCACCCCTTGGTGCCGGGGCCCAGCCCCATGCCCCTCCAACTGCCTTCCCACCGCTGGCAGGGGGCTGGCTGCATGCAGCGGCGGCTGCTGGGCCCTGCCTAGCCCCAGGACTCTGCACAATATCAATACTGGCTATTTTCTCTTCTTACCATAGTGAAGTTGGCTTCATATGATTGCACTTGTGTGGGTCACAAGGTGATGCATCTGTGTATTACTTGGTCACTGGATGGAGAAGTACCCATTCATCACACCTGCTTCATAGCCCCCACTCTGCTGTACTGACAGGATTTAGTTGTGTTAGGACATTGCAAATCTTCTAGAAGTTCTCCACCAAATCAGGTCAATGTGTGCCTTCTTTCTGAGCTCCCACTCAAGCATCTTCAGTGCTCATGATCATGTGTCCCCCAGCTCCACCCCTCACTGTTCGGGCCTGTTTCTGGCAAAAAGTCAGGAAGGTTACTGAATTAGAGAAAATTTTCTGGACCTTCTGATTTTACTTAAGCAGTTACCATTCCATGGACTTGCCTCCTAAAGCAGCAAAATGCCTGTCAGAGCCCCAGATGGCAGGAGCCTCTGGGGCCTGGGCACACAGACTAAGCCTCTGTGCTGTCTTCTTCTCTGTGTGCCTCAGACTCGGTGGGTGGAGAGCTGGCAGGCAACCTCTCACCAGCTTTCCAGTCCTTCAGGTCTATGACATCTTCAGACCTTTTTTCTCCTCTGAGGGCTAGCCCAGTTAGTTTTGGAAGGGTTGAGTAGCCTGACTCCAGGGCTGGCTGGTGCCGGCTCCTGGGGGGCGGACTCACCAAAAGTGGTTGTCTCTGTGCATTGCTTGATCACTGTCATGCTGCATTTAGTGTTTACATTTGCTTCATTGTATTGGGTTGGTGCAAAAGTAATTGCAGTTTTGCCATTACTTTTAATAAATGAAATTCATTTTTAGAAAGTGAACTTCATGAAAATGAATGTTGTTAAACCAAACACCGCATGTTCTCACTCATAGGTGGGAATTGAACAATGAGAACACTTGGACACAGGAAGGGGAACATCACACACTGGGGCCTGTCGTGGGGCGGGGGGAAAGGGGAGAGATAGCATTAGGAGATATACTTAATGTAAATGATGAGTTAATGGGTGCAGCACACCAACATGGCACATGTATACATATGTAACAAACCTGCACGTTGTGCACATGTACCCTAGAACTTAAAATATAATTTAAAAAATATATTAAAAAGTCAAAAAAAGTCTCAAATAATTAAATAAAGTCCTCCAGTATTTCTCATCCTCAAAAAAAAAAAAAAAAAGAAAATGAATGTTGTTGGTCTCTGTACAGAGTTTAAAAGATGAAGCAAGAGATTTAAGGGCAATTACTGTCGCACCAACTTAATACACAGGTTTGTAAACATGACTAAGATATTTATATATAACTTGTGTTTTATAGATTTTATTTATTCAGAACTCATACGGCATGTTAATGACTTACGATAGTGTCCTACTCTGGGCAGCTGTGTAGGATCATAACACGGTTAAAAAAACACTTCCCCTCAAAAAAAGTCTTTTAGTGTAGATACAATAAATTTCATAGAAAAAAAAGAGGAACAGAGTTGGAGAACTGACATTTTCTGATTTTAAAATTCACTAGAAAAGTACAACAATGAAAACTGTGTTGTTTTGGCATAAGAATAGACATATAGATCAATGGAATTTAATTGAGAGTTCTGAAATAAACCTTTACTTTGATGGTCAGTTGATTTCAACAAGGATACCAAAACAATTCACAGGAGAAAATAAGTAGTGTTTTCAACAAATGATGTTGGAATAACTGGATATCCAGCTGCAAAAGTTGAACTTAGACCTTATCTTATACCATATGTGAAAGTTAACTCGGCGGCCCCGTCTGGGAAGTGAGGAGCACCTCTGCCCAGCCGTCCCGTCTGGGAAGTGGGGAGCGCCTCTGCCCGGCCGCCCCGTCTGGGAAGTAAGGAGCGCCTCTGCCCGGCTGTCCATCATCTGGGATGTGAGGAGTGCCTCTGCCCGGCCGCCCCATCTGGGAGGTGTACCCAACAGCTCCGAAGAGACAGTGACCATCGAGAATGGGCCATGATGACGATGGAGGTTTTGTCGAAAAGAAAAGGGAGAAATGTGGGGAAAAGAAAGATCAGATTGTTACTGTGCCTGTGTAGAAACAAGTAGACATAGGAGACTCCATTTTGTTCTGTACTAAGAAAAATTCTTCTGCCTTGGGATGCTGTTAATCTATAACCTTACCCCCAACCCCGTGCTCTCTGAAACATGTGCTGTGTCAACTCAGCATTAAATGGATTAAGGGCAGTGCAAGATGTGCTTTGTTAAACAGATGCTTGAAGGCAGCATGCTCGTTAAGAGTCATCACCACTCCCTAATCTCAAGTACCCAGGGACACAAACACTGTGGAAGGCCACAGGGACCTCTGCCTAGGAAAACCAGAGATCTTTGTTCACATGTTTATCTGCTGACCTTCTCTCTGCTATTATCCTATGACCCTGCCACATCCCCCTCTCCGAGAAACACCCAAGAATGATCAATAAATACTAAAAAAAAAAAAAAGAGCTTATCAATCAGAAAAAAAGAGAAAGTTAACCCAAAATCATAATAAACCTAAAAGTAAGTGCTAAAACCATAAAATTTTCAGAGGAAAATATAACTACAAATCTTCATGACCTTAGATTAGGTATGATACCAAAAGCACAAGCAACAAAAGATAACCAATAAATCAGGATTCATCAAAATTAAAAATTAAATATCAAAATTAAAAATACTGCCATGTTTTATATGTGTCTCTAAAAGTTTATGTGTCAGAAACTCTTTTTTTTTGAGACAGAATCTCACTCTGTCGCCCAGGCTGGAGTGCAGTGGTGCCACTATGACTCATTGAGCTCACCTGGAATTCCAGGTGTCAGCCACTGTGCCTAGCCTATGTATTGGAAACTTAATCCTTCTTCCCTCATGAATGGATTAATGTCACTATCATGGGAGTGGGCTTGTTATCATGAGAGTGGCTTTGCTATAAAAGCAAGCTTTCTGTGGCCTCTTGCTCTTGTCCTCTAGCCATGTGATGCCCTCTGCCATGTTATGACACAGTAAGAAGGCCCTCACCAGATGCTGGTGCAATGCTCTTGGACTCCCTAGCCTCCAGAACCATGAACTAAATAAACGTATTTTCTTTATAAATTACCCAGTCTGTGGTATTGTTATAGCAACAGAAAACGAACTAAGATAGATACTATAAAGAAGTTGAAAAAGCAACCCACAAAATGAGAGAAAATATTTGCAAAGCGTATTTCTGATAAGAAACATGTACCTATAATATATAAGGAACTCTTAAAAACTCAGCAATAAAAAGACTACTCAATTTAAAATAGGTAAAGAATTTGAATAGATATCTCTCCAAAGAAGCTACATAAATTGTCAATAAGGAAATGAAAAGATGCTCAACACCATGTAATTGTGATATCTGTGACATTTGTGAAATGCAAATCAAATCCAAAATTATATATCACTTCACACCCACTAGGATGACTATAATTAAAAATATATGCAATAACAAATGTTGGTAATGATGTGAAAAAAATTGAAGGCTTCATACATTGCTAGTGGAAATGTAAAATGGCATAGCTATTTTGGTAAATGGCTTGAAAGTTCCTCAAAAGGTTAAACATGGAGTAACCATAAGACCCAGCAATTTCACTCCTAGATACATACTCAAGAGAAATGAAAACTTATGTCCATGTACTACATGCAAAAGTTCACAGCAGCATTACTCATAATAGCTGAAAAATGGAAATAACCCAATGTTCATGAGCTGATGAATGGATAAGCAAAATATGGCATGTCTGTACAATGGAATATTATTCAGCTTTAAAAAGGAATTAAATGCTACATTCATGCTATAGCATGGATGAAACTTGAAAACACTATGCTAAGTGAAAGAAGCCCACATATTTTATGATTCTATTTATATAAAATGTCCAGAACAGGCAAATGTATGGAGACAGAAAATAAGTTAGTAGTTTCCCAGGGCTGGTGGTGGGCAATGGGGGATTTGAGGATGATGGTTAAGGGGTGCAGAGCTCTTGTCTGGGACAATGAAAGTGTTATAAAATTGATTGTGGTGATAGATGCATATCTCTGTGAATATATCAAATATCAGTCAATTGCACACTTGAAAGGAGTGAATCATAGGACATGTGAATTATATCGCAATAAAGCTGTTACAAAACCCCTGAAGTTTCATTTATTTGCTTAGTTTTTCCAGGGAAGACATCAAACTCAGAATTAATTTGTTTTTTGAGACAAGGTCTCATTCTGTTGCCTAGGCTAGAGTTCAGTGGTGCAATTGTAGCTCACTGCAGCCTTAACCTCCTGGGTTCAAGTCATTCTCCCACCTCAGCTTCCTGAGTAACTGGGACCACAGGTACGCACCACCATATTTGGCTAATTATTAAGTTTTTTGTAGGGACAGGTTCTTGCCATCCTGCCCATACTGATCTCAAACTCCTGGCTCAAGCAATCTTCCCGCCTTTGCCTCCCAATGTACTGGGATTACAAGCACGAGCCACCACACTTGGCCCTGAAGTTTTTCTTTCTTTCTTTCTTTCTTTCTTTCTTTCTTTCTTTCTTTCTTTCTTTCTTTCTTTCTTTCTTTCTTTCTTTCTTCTTTCTTTCTCTTTCTTTCTTTTTCTTTCCTTTTTTTTTGTGACAGGGTCTCATTCTGTCACCCAGGCTAAAGTGCAGTGGCATGATCACAGCTCACTGCAGCCTCAGCCTCCCTGGGCTCAGGTGATCCTCCCACGTCAGCCTGTGGAGTAGCTGGGACCACAGTCACCATGCCTGGCTAATTTTTTGTATTTTTTGTAGAGATGGAGTTTCGCCGTTTTTCCCTGGCTGGTCTCAAACTCCTGAGCTCAAGCAATCCATCTGCCTCAGCCTCCAAAAGTGCGGGGATTATAGATGTGAGCCACCATGGCTGGCCCCGCTGAATTTTTTTTTTTTGAGACGGAGTCTTGCTCTATCGCCCAGGCTGGAGTGCAGTGGCGCGATCTCGGCTCACTGCAAGCTCTGCCTCCCAGGTTCACGCCATTCTCCTGCCTCAGCCTCCCGAGTAGCTGGGACTACAGGCGCCCGCCACCAAGCCTGGCTAATTTTTTTATATTTTTAGTAGAGACGGGGTTTCACCATGTTAGCCAGGATGGTCTCAATCTCCTGACTTCGTGATCCGCCCACCTCGGCCTCCCAAAGTGCTGGGATTACAGGCTTGAGCCACCGTGCCTGGCCTGAAGTTTTAATAAAGCTATTTTCAGACATGAAGCCACTGAAATAATTCATTTCCAGTAGACCCACACTACAAAAAATATTTTAAAAATTTCTTCAAGTGATAGACAAATGGCACCAGCTGGAAACCTGGATCTATACACAGAGCACACAGGAATGAAAAGCCTTAGAAAGGGTAATTACATGTGTGAATAGAAAGACCTTTCTTTCTTATTATTTAAATAAAATAATAAGTGTTAAATAAAATAATAACAAAAACCTTAATAATTAGCCAAAAATGGTGGTGCGTACCTGTGGTCCCGGCTACTCAGGAGGCTGAGATGGGAGAATGACTTGAAGGCTGCAGTGAGCTACAATTGCACCACTGAACTCTAGCCATGGCTGGGTAAGGTGGCTTACCTGTAATTCAAGCACTTTGGAAGGCTTGAGGTGGGAGGATCACTTGAGCCTAGTAGTTTGAGACCAGACTGGGCAATATAATGAGGCCCTGTCGCTACAAAATACATATATATATATATAATATATATACACACACTATTATATATATACTATATATAATATATATATAGTGTGTGTATATATACTATATATAATATATAGAGAGTATGTATATATATTATATATACTATATATAATATATAGAGTATGTATATATATTATATATACTATATATAATATATAGAGAGTATGTATATATATTATATATACTATATATAATATATAGAGAGTATGTATATATATTATATATACTATATATAATATATAGAGAGTATGTATATATATTATGTATACTATATATAATAGAGAGTATGTATATATATTATATATACTATATATAATGTATAGAGTATGTATATATATTATATATACTATAAATAATATATAGAGAGTATGTATATATATTATATATACTATATATAATATATAGAGAGTATGTATATATATTATATATACTATATATAATATATAGAGAGTATGTATATATATTATATATACTATATATAATATATAGAGAGTATATATATTATAGTGTGATATGTATATATATTATAATTATACACACATTATATATTATATACATACTATATATAATATATATAGTGTGTGTGTGTGTATATGTATTATATATATACATTAGCCTGACATTGTGGTGCGTGCCTATAGTCCCAGGTACTTGGGAGGCTGAGGTGGGAGGATTGCTTGAGCCCAAGAGGTCGAGGCTGAAGTGAGCCGAGATTGTACCACTGTACTCTGGCCTGGGTGACAATGTGAGACCCTGTTTCAAAAGAAGAAAAACAGCAACAATGTATGACAGAATTTATAACATGTAGAAGTAAAATGTATGACAGTAAGGGCACAAAGACCAGAAGGGAGAAATGGAAGCATCCTCATACTGGTAAATACAGGTCTCATACTGTGAATCTAACAGCATAAATTATTTGAAGGTAGACTGTGATATATTAAAACTATTTAACATAAACCCTAAAGCAATCACTATACCAACACAACAAAGAGTTATAGCCAATAAATTAACAAGGATAAAAAAATGGAATGATTGGGGCCGGACATGGTGGCTCATGCCTGTAATCCCGGCACTTTGGGAGGCTGAGACTGGTGGATCACCTGAGGTCAGGAGTTCGAGACCAACCTAGCCAACATGGTGAAACCCCGTCTCTACTAAAAATACAAAAATCAGCAAGGGGTTGGGTGCCTGTAGTCCCAGTTACTTGGAAGGCTGAGGTGGGAAGATTGCTTGAACCTGGGAGGTGGAGGTTGCAGTGAGCTGAGATCATGCCACTGCACTCCAGCCTGGGTGAGAGAGTGAGACTCCATTTCAAAAAACACAAACAAACAAAAAACATAGAATGATAAGAATAATAAGAAAGTCAGAAAAAGAGATGAAGGACAGGCAGAATCAGATGGAACAAATATAAAACAAATTGCAAGATGGTATATGTAAATCTAATCACGTCAATACTCTTTTTAAATGTGAATAAACATATCCATTAAAATACAAACATTATTTGGATAAAAAAGTAATAATCAACTATATGCTGTCTATTAGAAACTCATTTTAAGTACGAAGATCTAGCCTGGCACAGTGATGTGCACCTGTGATTCTAGCTACTTGGGAGGCTGAGGAGGGAGGATTACTTGAGCCCAGGAACTCAAGACCAGCCTGGGCAACACAGCAAGACCCCATCTCAAAAAAAGGTCTATTATATGAAAAGTAACAGGATAGCAAAATATATACTATGCAAACACGAATTATGCTGGATTATCTACATTAATTTCAGAAAAAAGTAGAATTCAGAGCAAGGGCTATTATTAGGAACAAATATTACATAATAATAAAAGGGTGAGTTTGGTTCCTTCAAACTATGAGGCAAAACTGATGATAGATCTAAAAGAAGCAATAGAACAAAAATAAAAGGAGCAATAGATAAATCTACAGGTATAGTTGGAAACTTCAACACTCCTCTCTCAGTAATTGATAGAACAAGAAGGCAGAAAATCTGTAAGAATACAGATAACATGAAGTACATTATCAACCAACTTGACCTAATTGATAACACTCCACCCAACAACAGCAGAAGAGACACTCTTTCCAAGTGCACTTGAATCATTCACCAACACAGACTGTATTCTAAGTCACAAAACAAACCTTAACAAATTTAAAAGAATATAAGCCACACAAAATATGTTCTCAAACCAGAAGGAAACTAAATAAGAAGTTGATAACAAAATGATACCTTGAAAAATTCCCAAATATTTGGAAACTAAACAGCATACTTTTTTATTTTATTTTTATTTTTATTTTTATTTTTTTTTGAGACAGGGTCTCATTCTGCTGCGCAGGCTAGGGTGCAGTGGCGCCATCATAGCTCACTGTAACCTTGAACTCCTGGGCTCAAGTGATCCACCCACTTCAGCCTCCAGAGTAGCTGGGATTACAGGTGTGTGAAACCATGCCTGGCTAATTTTTCAATTTTTTGTAGAGATGGGGGTTTCTCCATGTTACCCGGGCTGGTCTCGAACTTCTGGGCTCAAGTGATCCTCCTGCCTCGACCTCCCAAAGTACTGGGATTACAGGCAGGAACAACCGTGTCAGACCGGTTTCTGCATTTTTAAGATCTGTAAAAACCCAAAACAAAAAGACATAAAAGAATAATATGCAACAGAGACAATTGATGGTCTACATAACCTAAAACATTTACTATCTAGCCTTTTACAGAAAATATTTGGCAACTTTTGATTTAGAGGACTGATTCTCTGACAGTTGTTTGTTTTTGAGATGGAGTCTCACTCTGAAGCCCAAGCTGGAGTGCACTGGCACGATCTCAGCTCACTGCAACCTCGCTTCCTGGGTTCAAGCAATTCTCATGCCTCAGCCTGTGGAGTAGCTGGGATTACGGGATGCCCCACCCCACCCAGCTAAGCTTTGTATTTTTAGTAGAGACAGGGTTTTGCTATTTTGGCCAGGCTGGTCTCGAACTCCTGACCCAAGTGATCCGCCCGCCTCGGCCTCCCAAAGTGCTGGAATTACAGGAGTGAGTCATGGCGCCAGCCTGATTCTCTGAGAGTTTTAAAGATATTTTTACATAGTCATTGTTCTGATGAGGTTTCCTAAATTCTCTTGGGTCAGTTTGAACACTTAAATTTTTCTAAGAAACAGTCTATCTCCTTGATGCTTTCAAACTTATTTGCATAGATTTGTACATAGCACTTTCATGTAAATTAAAAATAAAAACCAATTTTCCATTATTATTCTTGGCCTAAATTTCTTTATTATTATTATTATTATTATTATTATTATACTTTAAGTTTTAGGGTACATGTGCACAATGTGCAGGTTAGTTACATATGTATACATGTGCCATGTTGGTGTGCTGCACCCATTAACTCGTCATTTAGCATTAGGTATATCTCCTAATGCTATCCCTCCCCCCTCCCCCCACCCTGCAACAGTCCCCAGAGTGTGATGTTCCCCTTCCTGTGTCCATGTGTTCTCATTGTTCAATTCCCATGTATAAGTGAGAACATGCGGTGTTTGGTTTTTTGTCCTTGCGATAGTTTACTGAGAATGATGATTTCCAGTTTCATCCATGTCCCTACAAAGGACATGAACTCATCCTTTTTTATGGCTGCATAGTATTCCATGGTGTATATGTGCCACATTTTCTTAATCCACTCTATCATTGTTGGACATTTAGGTTGGTTCCAAGTCTTTGCTATTGTGAATAGTGCCACAATAAACATACGTGTGCATGTGTCTTTATAGCAGCATGATTTATAGTCCTTTGGGTATATACCCAGTAATGGGATGGCTGGGTGAAATGGTATTTCTAGTTCTAGATCCCTGAGGAATCGCCACACTGACTTCCACAATGGTTGAACTAGTTTACAGTCCCACCAACAGTGTAAAAGTGTTTCTATTTCTCCACATCCTCTCCAGCACCTGTTGTTTCCTGACTTTTTAATGATTGCCATTCTAACTGGTGTGAGATGGTATCTCATTGTGGTTTTGATTTGCATTTCTCTGATGTTCTTGGCCTAAATTTCAATTCCATCTTTACCACTAACCAAATTTCCAAGCAATTTGGAGCAAATAATTTACCTCTTTGAAGTCTCATTTTCTTGCAAAATGGGAATAAGAATAAAACCTACCTCATAGAATTTTTGTGAAGATAAGGTACAAAAATGTACGTGCAATTAGTTTGTAAAATAGTAGAGTTCATACAGATGTTAGTTAATATTTTTAATCTGCTTAAATGCAGTCATTTCATATATGTGAACTTTTCCTTTTAATCTTGAGATGTTATCCTTGAGTGGGAAGATATGGGATCAGACCTAGTATATAAGTGCCTTAGATAATACAGTTGATTGTGAGGAGAAATGGCAGAGAATGTGCTTATGGATGCTAACAAGTGGGTACATGTGGTGGTCAATAGAAGGTCTCTTTGGATTGCTTTTATTTTCTCAGTGAAGTAGGGGGCAAAGTTTTCATCTGAAATTCAGGATTGGAGAGGAGACATTGAAGTTTTGAGGAGAAAGAAGGTATGATATAATCTTTAGGTGAGTGGGCAAGTAAATGGACTTAAGAAATTTGTGTGATCACCAGGCAGCATTAAAGGTCTATGAAGCTTTGTGGTCCCTTAAAGTGAGACCAGTCAGCAAAGTTGTATGTTTTTCTCTGATTACATTTAGCTGACGATGCAAACACGAAGTATACAGAGTGTTGGGTTTAACCAGGTCTGTATTCTTGCCAAATGAGTGCAATAAAAGCAAAAGACGGGTAAGGGAGTTGAGAATGTTGCAAAGAAACGATTGTGGTGATTGCCAGTGGAGTTTAAACTGAATAAAGAGAAAAAAGTGGACATCAGGGGGATGAAAGACAGTAAAACTGTGGCAAATCAGTGGATTGTAGGTCTCAGTAGGATCGAAGTGTAGGCGTGAGTTGGTCTTGTCTCTTTCCCTGAGCTTTTATTGCTTGCTTTTTCTTAGACCTTGTTTCACATACATTAAAGCTTTGTGCTTTTCTGAGAATCCACACATGGACAGAGGTAGGAAATGATTTGGAGGGCTGGACTGAAGAATTAACTATATTTTAAATTTGTGTAGGCTGGGAGCAGTGTCTCACACCTGTAATCCCAGCACTTTGGGAGGCCAAGACAGGAGAAGCACTTGAAGGCCTGAGTTTGAGGCTGCAGTGAGCCTCAAAAAAAAAAAATAAATAAATACACACATACATACATACATACATACATCTGCATCCAAGTAGTTCAGATATTAGTGAGTCATCTACTCATCCTAAGGGACTGCATGCAGTGTGTTAGGAACTCAGTGGCCTCTGCTGCCCTTGGTCATGCCCACTCATAGGATTCTCTGTTCCCAATCTTACTAGAGAGGAAGCTTTAAAATGATTCCCGTGTGGTTCATCTTTCCTTCCTTTTTTTTCCTTTTCCTTTTTCTTTTCTTTTTTATTTCTTTCTCTTTCTCTTTTTTCTTTTCTTTCTTGCTTTTTTTCTTTTCTTTTCTTTCTTTCTTTCTTTTTTTCTTTCTTTCTTTCTTGAGTTGCTCTGTTGCTCAGGCTGGAGGGCAGTGGACTCACTGCAGCCTCAACCTCCTGGGCTCAAGCAATCCTCCTGCCTCAGACCCCCAAGTAGCTGGGACTGCAGGCACCTGCCACCAGGCCTGGCTAATTTTTGTATTTTTTTTATGGATATGGGGTTTTGCCATGTTGCCCAGGCTGGTCTCGAACTCTTGGCTCAAGTGAGCTGCCTGTCTCAGCCTCCCAAAGTGCTGAGATTACAGGCATGAGCCACTGCACCTGTGGAATTTGTATGCTTATTCACTACATCAAAAACACCTCGTGTGGTGTTTCTTATATTAAAGTTTACCTCAAACTTTAACATGGGAAGCATGGGAAGTATTGAGTTGCTGTTGCCTACTCCTAAGGGTATCCTTTCCTTGCTATTCTTCCTCTTTCCTTGTCAGGTTCGTCCTTCTCAAGAAAGCGATGGGGGAGGGGTGGAAAGTAGGAGTGTGTAGTACAACAGACACACTGCTCTTTGCACTGTGTGTCATTTTAATGGCAACCTAACTGCGTAGGTTTTGTTTGCTTTTCAGAAGTGCACTTTTTAGATGAACTCATTCAGAACAAACATTGACCATACATTCGTCCACAGTGGCCCCATGTTCACCTTTTTTTCAGTTACAAAAAGGGAAGGCATTGCTGCCAAGAAGCAAGGTAGTGAAGGACCAGAAAAAAAGGCAGAAGGAACAACAGAAAACAGCAGGGGAAGGAACACCTCCTGTTGGCTAGCTACATACGCTCACCACTCAGTTTATCCAAGTTCCATTTCATTCCTCGGCTTCCCTCAGCCCCTTGGCCTGACTTTGCTGACAGAATAGTTTTATGTCACCTTCCAACTGCCTGACCCCAAGGCTTTCCATCTCAATTCATGGGCCTTGCTTTCTCCAATCCATCACTAGCAGTGTGGGTTGATTTTGTCTTACTCAAAAACGAAAACATTCTGGCCAGGTGCAGTGGTTCACACCTGTAATCCCAGCACTTTTGGAGGCCGAGGCAGGAGGATAACTTGAGGTCAGTAGTTCAAGACCAGCCTGGCCAACATGGTGATACCCCATCTCTGCTAAAAATACAAAAATTAGCTGGGCTTGGTGGCACGCGCCTGTAATCCCAGCTACTCAGTAGGCTGCCGCATGAGAATCACCTGAACCTGGGAGGCGGCGGTCGCAGTGAGCTGAGATAGCACCACTGCGCTCCAGCCTGGGCGACAGAGAGAGCCTCTATCTCAAAAAACACACACAAAAAAACAAAAACAAAACAAAAAAACCCCACATTCTAACAACAGACACAGAACACTTAACTTCATATTTTTATATAACTATGTGTTCTCAATTTTTACAACAAATGTAATTTTTTTAGTTTAAAATTTTATTTATTTTTAAATATTTTTATGTAAGAAAAAGTAAAAGTTCTTGTCCTACCATCTTTGTGTGGTATCTGTCTGTCTGTCTCTCACACAGGTCACTCAAGTTAATGGGAAAGAACAGGAGGCCAAATTCTGAAGTTATAAATAATAGAAAATAAAAGATCTTCTGTCTTCAGTGAGGGAATAGATGAGAGTATGGAAGGGCAAAATCGGGTGGGGAGGGGCAGCAGACATGTGTTTCTTATTTTTTTAATATTTATTTATTTATTTATTGAGATAGAGTCTTGCTCTGTTACCCGGGCTGGAGTGCAGTGGCTCGATCTCGGCTAATTGCAACCTCTGGCTCCTGAGTTTAAGCAATTCTCCTGCCTCAGCCTCCTGAGTAGCTGGGATTACAGGCACACACAACCATGTCTGGCTAATTTTTGTATTTTTAGTAGAGATGGGGTTTCCCCATGTTGGCCAAGTTGGTCTTGAAATCCTGACGTCAGATGATCCGCCCACGTCAGCCTCCCAAAGTGCTGGGATTATAGGCATGAGCCACCACACCTGGCCAAACATGTGTTTCTATTGTAAATATTAATAGCTAACATTTAACTCAGTCCTCACAACTCTATTAGGCAGCTATTGTTATCTCCATTTTACCGATGATGAAACTGAGGCATGGAGAGATTTAGTAACTTGTCCAAAATGACATGATTTACTAATGATGGAGTTTAGTTTCAAACCTACATAGTCTGGTTCCAGAGTTTGTGTGCTTATTCACTACATCAAGCTGCCTCTTTGAAAATGTAAAGATAAAAAGTAAAGAAAAATGAAAGTAAAATTGCTTCCTTGACACTCCTACTACCACCACTATTTTTCAGATAACTGTCGCCTTGCGTTTAGAGTAGGCATCAAATACCTTTCAAGCCCTGCCTTGTATTCTTTCCATCTACCACTATGTAGGCAGGTTCAACCTGACAGTACTTGCCTACACTGTGTTTTATCTCACAGAAGTCCACAGGCTTCTTCTTGCCTGTGGGAAACTGTTCTAATATTCTGAAGCATGCACAAGTCTGGAGGTGAAAGGGAATTAACACTGCACATAGTGACTCCTGACCAATGGGATACAGGAGCTGTAGAGAGACTCCTACTCTTCTGTCCCTCCAGTGGACAACTGTGAATTGCATTCTACATGGCTCCTCAGTGGGATTGACCCCCAGGTGCCCAGCTGGAAATATATTCTTTTAATGACTTTCCTTCCTTTTCTGCTTCAGACTTTCATGTTCTGCACTCCTGTTACATGGGATGACTTCCCAATATCAACACCAACATGAAAGTCCTTGTCTCAGGCTCTGCCTTCTGGAGGAAATCCAGGAATAGACAGACAACTGCAGCAATAAGATACATTTTGCTTTATTGTTGGCATTTTACTTTCTCATGTATTTTCTCTTTCAAGCCCCCAAAAATTCCTTTGAATTAAGTTAGTACTGATATATTCCCATTTTTTAAAAATAGAGACAGAGTCTCAGCTCACTGCAACCTCCACCTCCTGGGTTCAAGCAATTTTCCTGTCTCAGTCTCCTGAGTAGCTGGGATTACAGGCGCCTGGCACCACGCCTGGCTGATTTTTGTATTTTTAGTAGAGACGGGGTTTTACCATGTTGGCCAAGCCATGTTGGCCTGACCTCAAGTGATCCACCCGCCTCAGCCTCCCAAAGTGGTGGGATTATAGGCGTGAGCCACCTCGCCCGGCCTGATATATCCTTCCCTGCCCCCCAACCTTTTTTTTTTTTTTTGAGACGGAGTCTCACTCTGTTGCCCCAGGTTAGAGTGCAGTGGCACAATCTTGGCTCACCACAACCTCTGCCTCCCAAGTTCAAGTGATTCTCCTGCCTCAGTCTCCCAAGTAGTTGGGATTACAGGTGCCTGCCACCAAGCCTGGCTCATTTATTTTTATTTTTTGTATTTTTACTAGAGACAGGGTTTCGCTATGTTGGCCAGGCAGGTCTCAAACTCCAGACCTCAAGTGATCCGCCCACCTTGGCCTCCCCAAATGCTGAGATTACAGGTGTGAGCCACCGTGCCCAGCCTATATCCCCATTTTTAATGAAGAGATTCATATTGCTTTTTACAATATATGTGATGACTGGTTTTTTTTTTACATTTTTAATTTAATTTAATTTTTTTTGAGACAGAGTCTTGCTCTGTCACTCAGGCTGGAGTACAGTGCCATGATCTCAGCTCACTGCAACCTCTGCCTCCTGGGTTCAAATGATTCTCATGCCTCACCCTCCCAAGTAGCTGGGACTACAGGCATGCACCACCACACCTGGCTAATTTTTGTATTTTTAGTAGAGATGGGATTTCACCTTGTTGGCCAGGCTGATGTCAAACTCCTGGCCTCAAGTGATCTGCCTGCCTTGGCCTCCCAAATTGCTGGTATGAGTGAGCCACCATTCCTGTCCTTCTTTTTGTTTCTTTTTCTTTTCTTTTCTTTTCTTCTTAATTCACAGAACGTGAAAAGGGCATCCTTAGCACTTGGACTTTTGTTCTCATCTTTTTCTTCTTTTGGTGGCAAGATGGTTGTTGCATTCTTGCATCTCCAGATATCATGTCTATATTCAGGACAAGAAGATTGAGAGGAGTAAGCCATGCAAGCTGAGTGTGTGTCCTCTATTTAATAAAATAATTGCTTTCTCAGAAACCTGCCCATGTACAGGTCTGTTAAAGAATAAGGGGGACATGGATATTGGTAGGAAAATTCAATTCTTGTGTGTTCATTAGTCCTTCTATTTACATAATATTTATTACATAAATAGTATTTTTATAAGCTGCTTTTCTTTTTTAATGTACCACTCACATATATCTTAGTCCATTTAGTGTTGTTATAACAGAATACCCGAGACCAGGTAGTTTATAAAGAAAAGAGGTTTATTTGGCTCATGATTCTGGTGACTGGAAAGTTCAAGATTGAGCTTCTGCATCAGATGAGGGCCTCAGGCTGCTTCAACTCACTGTGGAAAGCAGAAGGAAAGCCAGTGTGTGTAAAGAGATCACATGACAAAAAAGGAAGCAAGGGTGGGGAGGTGACAGGCTCTTTTTAACAGCCAGCTCTTGTGAGAATTAACAGAGTAATAACTCAAGCGCCCCAAGAGAGGGTATTAATCTACTCATGAGGAATCCACTGCCATGACCCAAACACCTCCCACCAGGTCCTATCTCCCAACATTGTCACATTGGGGATTAAATTTCATTTTTTTTCTTTTCTTTTCTTTTTTTTTTTTTTTTTTTTTTTTTGAGACAGAGTCTCACTGTGTGGCTCATGTGGCTCAGGCCTGTAATCCTAGCATTTTGGGAGGCTGAGGTGGACGGATTGCCTGAGGTCAGGAGTTCGAGACCAACCTGGGCAACATGGCAAATCCCTGTCTCTACTAAAAATACAAAAAATTAGCCGGGTGCGGTGGCATGTGCCTGTAGTCCCAGCTACTCAGGAGGCTGAGGCAGGAGGATTTCTTGAACCCAGGAGTTTGAAGCTGCAGTGAGCAGAGATCGTACTACTGCCCTCCAGCCTGGGTGACAGAGTGAGACTCCATCTCAAAAATACATAATAAAAAAAAGAAAGCAAATGTTAACTACTCTACTGAAAATGTTCATGATTTGAAAGAGAGTAATTTATGTGGGCATACACAATGACAAATGTTGCTAGATATACTTGTAATTGAAAAAATAGGCCTGGTGTGGTGGCTCACGCCTGTAATCCCAGCACTTTGGGAGGTTGAGGCAGGTGGATCACCTAAGGTCAGGAGTTCGAGACCAGCCTGGCCAACATGGGGAAACTCCATCTCTACTAAAAATACAAAAATCAGCTGGGTGTGGTGGTGGGTGTCTGTAATCCCAGCTACTCAGGAGGCTGAGACAGGAGAATCGCTTGAGCTCGGGTGGCAGAAGTTGCAGTGGCTGAGATTGTGCCATTGCACTCCAGCCTGGGTGACAGATCGAGACTCCATCTCAAGAAAAAAAAGAGTTCAACCATTGTGGAAGACAGTGTGGTGATTCCTCAAGGATCTAGGACTAGAAATACCACTTGACCCAGCCATCCCATTACTGGGTATATACCCAAAGGATTATAAATCATGCTGCTATAAAGACACATGCAGCATATGTTTTTCGCGGCACTATTCACAATAGCAAAGACTTGGAACCAACCCAAATATCCATCAATGATAGATTGGATTAAGAAAATGTGGCACATATACACCATGGAATACTATGCAGCCATAAAAAATGATGAGTTCATGTCCTTTGTAGGGACATGGATGAAGCTGGAAACCATCATTCTCAGCAAACTATCACAAGGACAAAAGACCAAACACTGCATGTTCTCACTCATAGGTGGGAATTGAAAAATGAGAACACTTGGACACAGGAAGGGGAACATCACACACTGGGGTCTGTTGTGGGGTGGGGGTAGTAGGGAGGGATAGCATTAGGAGGTATACCTAATGTAAATGACGAGTTAGTGGGTGTAGTACACCAACATGGCACATGTATACATATGTAACAAACCTGCACGTTGTGCACATGTACCCTAGAACTTAAGTACAATAAAATAAATAAATAAATAAAAGAAAAAAAAAGAAAAAGAAAAAAATATTATGGCAATTCCTATTCTGTGAATTTGTTTATATGTTTCACATTGTTTTACCTTTAGAGGTACTTTGGAGTTTTTGTGAATTGCCTAATCCAAAAATATAGGGCACTCTGCTTCATCTCGTAATTATCTCCTACCCTGTTTGTTAGCTGAAAAGGCACCCAGGGAACCTGAATACTGACTGCATCCCCAATCACTTTATAACCTAACCTCCTCCTAGCCCAGTGGCGACGCAATCTTTAGTCAGGGTGCTGAGAAAGCCCAGAGATGAGGTACATGGTAGGAGGTTAGGGAGATTGGTTAGGGAAATCTTCAGTGAAGTGAGAAAGGACTAGGGAATGGGGTAAGGGTAGGGAATTGGGTTGGGCCAAGGCAGGAATGGAGAAGGGAAAGAGGTAGAGGTAAATAGAGAGGTTAGGGAAGGATCTGTCAGTAATTTTTTGAGATTGAAGAGAAGCTATGGTTACACTAGGAAGGGTTAAGTGCACAGAGAAATGCTATACTTATACAGAGAAGTGCTATACTTTGGAAAAGGCAAGTGCCAAGAAAAGAAAATGCTGAAAGTGGGAAACACATGTGGAGTTTTGTAGGGCTGTACGGTTGCTTGTGTGTTGGAGACTGAGGTTTAAGCTAGTGTTAATGGGTGAGAGTATTCAGTGGGACCAATGGCCTCAGGGAGAATGGAGCTGGCCTTTGTCCCAAGAGGAGGAAGAATCTAAAGACATTTTCAGGCACTTCCAGAACAGTGCTAAATAACAGTGGGGATAAAAGGTATTCTTGCCTTGTTCCTGGATTTAATGGGAATACCAGGTATATCATGATGTTGGTTTTCGTTTGAGACAGATATTCTTTGTCATATTAAGTTGTCAGATTTTATTTGCTAACAGTTTGTTTAAGGTGTTTGTGTGTATGTATGTATGTGTGTGTGTGTGTATATATATATTTTTTTTTTAAGTTTTTTTTTGAGACAGGGTCTTGCTCTGTTGCCCAGGCTGGAGTGCAGTGGCATGACTATAGCTTATTGCAGCCTTGCCTCCCTGGTTCAAGTGATCCTCCCACCTCAGCCTCCCAAGTAGCTGAGACCACAGGTGTGTGCCACCACTCTTGGCTAATTTTTTTTTGTTTGTTTGTTTGAGAGATGGAGTCTCGCTCTGTCACCAGGCTGGAGTGCAGTGGCATGATCTCGGGTCACTGCAACCTCCGCCTCCTGGGTTCAAGCAATTCTTCTGCCTCAGCCTCCCGAATAGCTGGGACTACATGGCGCACCCCGGCATGCCCGGCTAATTTTTTTTTTTTTTTTTGGTATTTTAGTAGAGACAGGGTTTCACCTGTTGCCCAGGCTGGTCTCATACTCCTGAGCTCAGGCGATCTGCCTGCCTCGGCCTCCCAAAGTGCTGGGATTACAGGCATGAGCCACCGCACCTGGCCTCTCAGCAAATTTTTATTTTTATTTTTTTGTAGAGACAGGAGACCCTATGTTTATTAACATCCTATTAACCTATGTTGCCCAGGCTAATCTCGAACTCCTCTCTTGGATTCCCAAAGTGCTGGGATTATAGGTGTGAGCCATAATCTAACCATGCCTGGCCTGTAGATATATATTTACATGCAAGATGACACAGTTTTCTTTTTAGTACTATCTTTTTCAGGTGTGGTACCATGTTTATGCTAGGTCCCTGGAATAAATTTGTAAACTTTGCCTTTTCTTCTCTCTTGAACAATTTATATAGTGTAGGAATTATGTGCTCTGTGAAGGCTTGAATGAATAGCCTATGAAACCATCTGGGCCCAGCACTTTGAGGGTAGGAGAAGAGGGGAGATATTTGGCAACTTTTAAAAAACTAATACATGTATATGTTTAAAATTTCAAACTGCTTCACATACAATGAATAGTCTTCACTTGCAAGTCAATCCACCCCTATTGCCAGTTTCTCTCCCCACAGGCAACCAGTTACCGGCTTTTTGTGTAGCCTTCCGGACACAGTCTGTGAATATTCAAGTACAATGTATGGATATCTATCCATTGCCCTTACATTTTTACTCAGTTGATAGCATACCATACAAACTGTCTTCATCTTACTTTTTATGTATTTATTTATTTATTTATTTATTTTTGTGGAGATGGATTCTTGCTCTGTCACCCAGGCTGGAGTGCAGTAGCGTGATCTCGGCTCACTGCAATCTCCTCCTCCAGAATTCAAGAGATTCTCGTGTCTCAGCCTCTCGAGTATCTGGGACTACAGGCACGCACCACCACACCAGGCTAATTTTTGTATTTTTAGTAGAGACGGGGTTTTGCCATGTTGCCCAGGCTGGTCTCGAACTCCTGAGTTCAGGCAATCTGCCCACCTCGGTCTCCCAAAGTGCTAAGATTACAGGCGTGAGCCACCGCGCCCAGCCAGCTTTTAACATGTGTTTTAAATTTTTCCTTTCAAAATTTTGTTTTAATGAAATTCCCCACTTTGTTTTGAGTCAATTCTGATCATTTTTCTGGGAAATTATTTCCTTAATATTTCCTGGTTATTTTCATAGAGTTGTATGTTATAGTGTCCTGAAATACAGATTAGCCAACAAAGTTCTTCATACCTATTGACTTAAATATTAATTCCACTTCTACCACTTACAAAGGTTCTAAGTAACTTTGGACAAGTCATGCAAGTCCTGCTGTATTGTAAATATCCATGATCTGGCAAACAGTAATGACTGTAGGTGTATTAAAGAACTCTGAGTTAGTCTGGCAATTTTTTGAGATACACTTGCAACTAAAAACATAGAATAATTCCTAGTTTTGGGAGCTTGTTCCTGTGCAGCCCCTTCCTTCACAACCTTCCTTCCTGATTTTCTTTCTACAAAGCATATTGTCTCACACCCAACCAGTACCCTATTAGTTAAATGGGGAGAACAGGCATTGGTAGTCTGAAATAATGCCCAACTAACCTGAGCACTGCCTGCCTCAATTGTCCTATGGCCCGTCCTCTTTTTTTTTTTTTTTTAAGACGGAGTCTCGCTCTTTCGCCCAGGCTGGAGTGCAGTGGCGCGATCTCGGCTCACTGCAAGCTCCGCCTTCCGGGTTCATGCCATTCTCCTGCCTCACCCTCCGAGTAGCTGGGACTACAGGCGCCCGCCACCACGCCCAGCTAATTTTTTGTATTTTTAGTAGAGACGGGGTTTCACCGTGTTAGCCAGGATGGTCTCGATCTCCTGACCTCTTGATCCGCCCGCCTCGGCCTCCCAAAGTGCTGGGATTACAGGCGTGAGCCACCGCGCCCGGCCGGCCTGTCCTCCTCTTAACCTATCACCAAGGCTACCTTGAAATAAGTGGCCAAGAGGGCCAATAGATGAGGTTAGAAGGGGTAGAAGCGAGGGGCTTGTGGCTAGGGAGAAATAGCTAATTTTGGAGGTTGGCAAGGAAATAGCAGACGTTATCAATGGCCTCAGGGAAGTGGGACGGGAGGTAGTGATCTGGTAATCATGGGGTGGGAGGATGAGGTGAGAAGCTCAGGCTGGGGTTGGGACATTTGTACATGATATTCCCTTGCAATTGCAAAAAGATTTCATGTCTACTGGCTTAAATTTTAATATCACTTCCACCAGTATTTGTGCAAGTACTAAAATTGTGCTTGGTCTGAAGGGGAATTATCGTAAACAAAACAAAACAACAAACACCAAAAAAAAAAAAAAAAAACACCTCCATTCGTTTGGAATTTTGTCCCTCCACATTCCACATTCTTCCTCCTTAAATTTACTACTTGGATTGCCTATCCAAAAATATAAAACACTTTTATTTCACAGCCATCCCCTGCCTTGTTGGTTAAATGCTTAACACCACCAAAGGGCACCCAGGTATCCTGGATGCTGATGCTGTCAACAATGGCTGCCCTGTCTGACTACATTTTAGCCTGGGGCCAACGTAAACTGGGACCAGAAATACCTTGAAAGCCCAAAAGGATGAGATAAGGAAAACAGGTTGGGACATGAAGATTATCTTTTAAGTTATTGTCACAATAGTTACTCTCTTTTAGACCCTGAACATTTTCAGTACTTGCTCCAAATGGTTTAGCAACTTTTGAAGTGGGATTAACAAGTTTGGCCAATGAAGCTTCTTCCCTGCCCACCGCCAGAGGTGCTGGAGAAAAGTAATCCTGGAGGGTCGGCGTGGAGGCAGTAGAGAGGTTTATAAAAGTCAAGGAAGTGGGAAGAGGCTTGCGAGCAGCAGGAGAGGCGCAGAGTCAGAGGGGCAGGGGCGGCGGCGGAGGGAGCAGGAGGTTGGGGCTTGAGCCCGTCATTCCGGCGCACGAAAACTTGAAGTCGCTCGGTAGCCGGGGAAGGGAAGGAAGAGAGGCAGGCTCTTTCCTAGAGGTGCCGTGATCGAGGGTCTGGCACTCCAAGCCAACTCCTGAGAACGGGAAATGGGCGGGAGTCGGTGGGGTGGAGAGGGCAGCCGTGGTCGCGAGAGCGAAGGAGCGGTCTGAGAATCCGGCTTGAGTGTTAAAGGCTAAGCGTGTCTAGCTGGACCCGTGGCCCCGAAGAAGCGAGACAAGGCGACGCGGAGCTGTCCCTGACACCCCGAGGACCGAGGGACAGCGAAGGGCCGGGGCCGCCGGCCATTGCCAGGCGCCATTAGGTGACGCGGCCGTCACGCGATGACGCGCTGACCGGCAGTGGCCTCCACGTCGCAGGTTCCGCAAAGACCTGTGGGAGCGACCCGGGAGAAGGAGGGCCAAGATGGCGGAAGCGGAGGAGTCTCCAGGAGACCCGGGGACAGCATCGCCCAGGCCCCTGGTGAGCTTGGGATCTGCGACAAAAGGGACCGAGGGTGAGGCAGAGTGCCCCCTAAAGAAGTCGGGGGACGGGCTCGTGGCCTGAGAGCCGGAGCTCCTTCCGCCCGGCAGGCCCTTCTTGTACCCGATGCCAGAACCAGTCCCAACACTGCACCTGTTCTTTGCGCTAACCGCTTTGCCCCCTGCCCTCGTGGTTCCTTCCAGGTCTTTTTGTGAAACTCCGATCTTTCCTTTCCCATCCTCCCAGGTCTCGTCATCGTCCCCTACATTGTGTTAAATGGCGAACTTTAGGTGATTTCTTAAGTTATCTTTTCTTCTGCTGTCCCCTCATTTTATCAAAACCTGTCACCAGCCTTTGTTGAAGGAATAATGAGAGATTGCTTCCCGTGGGACATTAACGTTTTGTTGCTTATAACTTTAGTATTGACTTGTTCAGTGACCCCAGTAGGCCAGGTTTAACCCCTGTCGCAGCTCCTTGCCATTCTCTTCACCATACTTGTTCTCCTTTCTTATTTTTTACTTTTTTAAAAATCGAGACAAGGTCTCACTCTGTCACCCAGGCTGGAGGGCAGTGGCGCGGTCTCTGCTCACTGCAACCTCTGCCTCCCAGGCTCACGTGATCCTCCCACCTCAGCCTCCCTAGTAGCTAGGACCACAGGTGCGTGTCACCACACCAGGCTAATTTTTAGTATTTTTTTGTAGAGACGGGGTTTTACCATGTTGCCCAGGCTGGTCTCGAATTCCTGGGCTCAAGCTATCCTCCTGCCTCGGCCTTCCAAAGTGTTGGGATTACAGGCGTGAGCCACTGTGCCCGGCCATCTTCACTATACTCTCTTGCTCCTGTCTCTGCAAGGGATAGAATTTCCACTGCAAGCCCAAAGTGTGGACAAGTATTTTAAGAACACAGGCTTTGGAGTTAAACTTTACTTGGGATGGAATCCACCCACTTTGTGAGTTTCGGCAAGTCATTTTAGGGAGGGTGTTTCTTCATCTGTAAAATGGAGATAAAAATACCTGCCTCAAAACAGTTTTTAGAAAGATCAAATGGCATAATTTATGTAACGTGTCTAATACTATCAGTACCATGAACTGAGGAGTATAATGAGGTCAATATTCTGCTCCTGTCCCTCTTCTCAATGTGTTTAGTTATATAGTAGTTGCTCAGTAAATGGTTCTTCCCTTTCCTCTTTTTTTTTCTTTTTCTTTTTTTGAGACGGAGTTTTGCTCTTGTCACCCAGGTTGGAGCACAATGGCACAATCTCAGCTCACTGCAACCTCCACCTCTGGGGTTTAAGTGATTCTCCTGCCTCAGCCTCCTGAGTAGCTGGGATTACAGGCGCCTGCCACTACGTCCAGCTAATTTTTGTATTTTTGTAGAGACGGGCTTTCACCACGTTGGCCAGGCTAGTCTCGAACTCCTGACGTCAGGTGATCTGCCCGCCTCGGCCTCCCAAAGTGCTGGGACACAGGTGTGAGCCACCGTGCCTGGCCCCCTTTCCTCTGTTTTGAATTAGCAACTTAACATAGTGAACTGAGCTGGGAGATCAGTGAACTTAATTCTAGTCCTAGCTCTGCTGCTTACTAGCTCCATTTGTTCACCTCTTCACTCACTCAACAAATATTTATTGAGCATCCGCTACTATGTTCCAGGCACTCCTTTAGGCACTGGGGATATGGCAATAAGAGTGAGTTGTGTTAAGTTCTATCGTGACCTTGAGTAAAATCAGGCTGAACCCCAGTTTCCTCCTTTGGAAAATGGTGATAGGAACACATCACTGAATTAGTGAGAGTACTAAATGAGATAATATATACATTGTGCCTACTGTGACATTGTCATAGGTGCTTAGTAGTTTTTAGTTTCTTTCATTTAAACTTCTCCACCCCTCTTCTGTGAAGCTTTCCCCAGTTAACTTCAGTGGTTCTGATCACTCATTACTCAATATGCAATCCGCTTCCATTCAACAAATGTTTAGTGAACTCCCACAATGAGTAATGCACTGTGCTAGTTGCTGTAGGGAATGCAAAGGGCCTGCCTCTATGGTGCTACCAGTCTTAAGTTTTAGGGATAAGACAAGTATACAATGCTAAAATAAGGCAGTATGTAAGAGAAAGTTACACAAAGAATATTACAGAAATTTAAAGGAAAATGCTATCATGTCCAGTTGGGGTGACCAAGCTACATGGTGGAAGTTATATTTGAAAGGACTTCAAAGGATGGGTAGGATTTGAAATTGCAAGTGAGTATAAGAGCTATCAATAACTGAGCACCTGCTACATGCCAGGTATTGTGCTAGACATCCTCTGCGTATTTGCTACTAAACTTTACAGCAATCATTTCAGTTAGGTGGCTTTTAACTACATTTTATGTGCAGATGAGGATATGACATGCAGGGAGGTTTGATGATTTCCCTAGGGTCTACATCCAGTTAGTGCCATGCATGAAATTTGAACCTAGATCTGACTCTGAAGCCCAGACTTATATATCCATTTATATATAAGTGGATATATCCATTCATATATATATAGAAGCGCAGACTTATATATATCCATTTGTGCTACACAGCCTCTTGTGAACAAAGGCACAGAAGTTGGAAGGTGCTAGTATATTTATAGAACAACACTTTGGCTGAAGCACAGAGAATTATTAGGAGATAAGCCTTCAGAGGTAAGCCTACTGAGTTAGGGAGGCAGTATGGAACAGTGGTGGTTTGGAATGTGTACTCTGGAGTCAGCTTGCTTAGGTTTGATTCTAAGCACTGTCACTTAACTAGTGGGATATTGGGGAAATTACCAAACCCCTCCTTGCCTCAGTTTCCCCATCTGTAAAATAGAGATATAACAATACTTAGTTCATAGGGTTATTAGGTGGAATGAGTTAACACATTGGATAAATTAACACACTTAATAGAATGCCTGGCATATAATAATGCAATGTGTTATTTCTTATTATTGGCTACTAACCTGGGAGGCTTAATGGGCTACAAAGAGCCAGTGGAAATTTTTGAGGAGGGAAGAATTTGAAATCATGAATTGGACAACATAATAGAGGGTAAGTTACAGTGGGGGAATATCTGGAATCTAGAGGGCCAGTGAAGCTGTTACAGTAGTTCTGAGAAGAAATGATAAGGATCTGGACAACAGCAGTGGCAGGAGACAAGAGGATTTGAGACAAGGCAGAATCCACGAGGGTTTGTAGCGTGTGAAGGAGGATTTGTCTTAGATCAGTATTTTCCAAACTTTAGTGTGCTAGCAGTCATCTGGGGAATCTTGTTAATTTGCAGGTTCTGATTCAGTTGGTCTGGGATAGGGCCCGAGATTTTGCATTTCTTACAGACTCCCTGGAGATGCTGCTGCTGCTGCTCCCAGTACCACATTTTGAAGAGCATGGCTATAGACACCCAAGAGTATAGTGACACTCTGAACAAAAATAGATAATATATAAGGAGGGTTAGCTGGATGAGGGCCTTAAAAGTTGACTAATTCAGTTTGGGACATGTTTAGTTTGAGATACTGGCAGGCCATTCAATAGATATCCAACAGGCAGTTGGACTTTAAAACATGCACTTCAGGGCGCAGAAGAGGTCTTGCCTAGAGTTGTTGATTTAGGAGTCATCTGCACAGGGTTAAAAAGACAGAATCTTGGGTAATGCCTGTATTTAGGGGGCAGGAAGAAGAGATAGGCTGTAATAATGGCTGCAGTCTGGGGTCTTTTTTTTTTTTTTGAGCCGGAGTTTTGCTCTTGTTGCCCAGGGTTGGAGTGCAATGGTGCCACCTCGGCTCACTGCAACCTCTGCCTCCCAGGTTCAAGTGATTCTCCTGCCTCAGCCTCCCCAAGTAGCTGGGATCACAGGCATGCACCACCATGTGCAGCAAATTTTTGTATTTTTAGTAGAGACAGGGTTTCACAGTGTTGGCCAGGCTGGTCTTGAACTATAGTCTGGGATCTTTGGAAGATCTCAGGCTATGAGGAAGCTGGCCCCAGGTGAAGGGGCTGGCTGGAGACCATGCCACTGGCTACCCCGTCATCCACTCCTGGGAGCCAGGCCTCTTTGAGCTGATTCCTGCTTCATGCTTCCCCGTGTTGATTCCTTTTTCCAGGATTTTGGTCAATAGTATAACCCATTTGCTCCCAGCTATTTTTTTTAGGGTTGCAGTCCCTGCTTTTATTGTGTGTTTTTTGGCCCTGCCTCTACCTGTTCCCCTTACTGGCCCAAGCCAGGCAGAGCAATGTTCATGTGTGTTTCTGTGAGCACATCTATATATGTGCAAGAGCCTGCCTGCTGATGGGAAAGGGGAGGGACATGGATCCAAGTCGCCTTTCCCGCTGAGGGCTAGACAGAGAGCAGGGTCCATTAGCTGAGGTCCTGGAAGTCCTGTCTTTTATACATGGAGCTGGAGGGCCATAGTTCCTGACTCAGCTCATGGAACACTGTTGCTGATTCTTGAAGAGACAAAGGGGAGAGAGTAGGGGATCACATGGGACTTCAGTGACTACAGAGACTTCTGATACCAACTACCTGGAGTTAGGCCAAACTGCACAGGTTAAAAGCACAGTCCTCTACAAGACTGCTCTTCAGACACCAGCCACAATTTTGGGGGTTCCCAGGACCATCCTCACTTCAGAGCAAGTAGCAACAAATTCACGGGTTCCCACGTTCCGCTCAGGTTTATTTCTTTTTTGGCACAATCTCAGCTCACTGCAGCCTCTGCCTTAGCCTCCTGAGTATCTGGGACTACAGGTACATGCCACCATGCCCGGCTAACTTTTGTATTTTGGGTAGAGACGGGGTTTCACCCTGTTGGCCAGGCTGGTCTCGAACTCCTGACCTCAAGTTATCCGCCCATCTTGGCCTCCCAAATTGCTGGGATTACAGGCGTGAGCCACGGCACCTGGCCCTCCCCTCAGGTTTCATAATTCACTAGAATGACTCATAGGACTCAGAACAGCACTCTACTTAAAATTACAGTTTTATTATAGCAAAGGGATACAAATCCAAATGTGCAAAAGAGAGAGATACACAGGGCGAGGTCTGACAGGGTCCCAAACACAAAGATTCCTTGTCTTGTCCCTGTGGATTCAAGACATGTTACCCTCCTGGTTTGCTGGTATGTGACAATATGCAGAGTATTGCCAATCAGGGAAGTTCACTCATGTGTCTATAGTTTTTATTGGGGTTTCATTATGATTAATTGGACCATTGCTCACATAATGGAACTCAATCTCCAGGGTCCCACCACTCCCGAAAGTTTGGGCTTATATGTTGTGACTTAAAGCCCCAAACCTCTAGTCATATGTGCGGTGTTTCTGACGTGGTTAGCCCCCATCCTGAGTCATCACCAGAGTACAAACTACGTAAGGGCCTACTGTGACTCACCTGTAAGCATAAACTACCAGAGCCCCTGTGAATATCAAAAATACTCCTCTGTCATTCAGGAAATTCTAAGTTTAGAGGCTAACTCTCAAGTACAGGGGACAAAGGCCAGCTAAATTCTTTATTATACAGTAGTGACAGAACTGGAATTGACTCCATGGGAATCTTGAACTTGAGCTAACATTTATCCAGCCCCTATTGTGTTCCTGTATTAATACATTTCTTCCTCACAATAACCCTGTGATGATGGTACCATTATCTCAATTTTACAGAGGAGGAAACTGAAGCACAGAGAGGCTAAGTAACCTGCTCAGTGTCACATGGATAGTACAAGATGGAACTGGGATTTGAACTCAGGCTATTTGGCCTGCACTCTTAACCAGTATTCTCCAAATACCATGTTGAGCATTGAGTATGTGCTAGGTGCTGTGCAGTGTTATTTATCTTTATAGCAGTATTGTTTCCATGTGAGATCCCTGTTTGACTTTAAAGCCTGTTTTTTTCCTACTGTACTACAATGCTTCTCCTAGCAGTAGCAGGCAACAGGGAAACTGAAAACAAGCAATCCTGGCACTTGAAAGGGCAGTGTTATAGTAGTGAGGAGAAAATATGGCTTCAAAAAGTGTTGGTTTTGGCTGGGCATGGTGCCTCACGCCTGTAATCCCAGCATTTTGTGAGGCCAAGGCGGGCGGATCACTTGAGGTCAGGAGTTTGAGACCAGCCTGGCCAACATGGCAAAACCCTGTCTCTACTAAAAATACAAAAATTACCCGGGCATGGTGGTGGGTGCCTGTAATCCCAACTACTAGGGGGGCTGAGACAGGAGACTCGCTTGAATCCAGGAAACAGAGGTTGCAGTGAGCCGAGATCACGCCACTGCACTCCAGCCTGGGTGACAGAGCAAGACTGTCTCAAAACAAACCAAATGGGTTGGTTTACGCATTACATGCTGCAGAGTATTCAAAGAGAGTGAGGCTTGAATGCAGATCCTTGTATTTCTTGATTATGTGAGGCTACTTTTGGAGAGCACAATGTCAGTAAAGTGGTGAGAAGGCCAATGCCAGATTACAGAGGATTAAGTGCGAAAGTAAAGTTTGATCAAGCAAGAGAAGGAGAGTAGTTTGAGAGAATGGCAGAAACAAGGGAGTGATGTATTTTTAAATTTTATTACAGAAGCTTTCAAATGTGTAAATAAAATGAAGAGTAGCATAATGAACCTCATATACCTATCAACATTCTATTATTTTATTGGTCTCACCACATTTTTTTTGGCCTTTTTATTTAAAACTAATTTTAGGCATATAGAAAAGTGCAAAAATAGTAGAGAGAGTGCCTGTATTCCCTTCGCCCAGATTCCTCTAATGCTAACGTTGTACATAAGCATAGTACACTGATAAGAACCAAGAAATTAACATTAGTAAAACACTATTACCTATAGACCATATTTGAATTTTAGCAGGTTTTCCACTTATGGCCTTTTTTGTTCCAAGATCTTATCTAGGATCCCACATTGCATTTAGTTGTTATTTTTCCTTCATTTCTTCCAGTCTGTAATGGTTCTTCAGTCTTTTCTTATCTTTCATAATCTTTTCTGAGTATTTTAAAGCAAAGCCCAGACATATCATCTTCATTTGTAAATACTTCCCTACGTTTCTCTAACAGGTAAGGACTTTTTCTTTGTTATCATACATAACAAAACTAATAATAACTGCACTCCAGCCTGGGCAACAGAGTGAGACTCCATTTCAAAAAAAAAAAGAAAAGGTAAATTGGATCCCCATATACACCTTCAACAATTATCTACTTACGATGAATCTTCTTTCTTCTACAGCCCTACCTACTTTCTTTATTATTTTGAAGCAAATCCCAGGCATCATTACATTAGTAAATATTTGGTATGTATCTCTAAAAGATAAGGATTCTGGCTGGGCACGGTGGCTCATACCTGTAATCCCAGCACTTTGGGAGGCCGAGATGGGCAGATTGCTTGAGCCCAGAGGTTCGAGATCAGCCTGGGCAACATGACAAAACCCTGTCTCTACTAAAAATTTAAAGAGTAGCCTGGTGTGGTGGCACATGCTTACAGTCCCAGCTACTTGAAAGGCTGAGATGGGAGGATTGCTTGAGCCTGGGAGATTGAGGCTGCTGTGAGCTATGATCATGTTATTGCAATCCTGCCTATATGACAGAGCAAGACCTTGTCTCTAAAAAAAAACAATAAATAAATAAATAAGAAATTTTTTTTTGATTTTGTATTATTTTAGAGTTGCCTTCTTGCTATGTTGCCCAGGCTGGAGTGCAGTGGCTGTTCACAGTCGTGATCATAGCACCCGCAGCCTTCAACTTCTGGCCTGAAGGGACACTCTCACCTCAGTCTCCCAACTAGCTGGAACTATAGGTGTGTGCCACAGTTCCCAAATTAGAATTCTGCTTTTAAAGAGAACATAACCACAATAACATTAATGCATGTAAAAAATTAATAACTTCTTAATATATCTCAGGGTTCAAATTTCCAATTATCTCCTAAATTATATTTTTATAATTTAAAAATTGGCCCACTGCCTGTTTTTCTAAGTATAGTTTTCTGGGAACAGAGCTACACTTATTTATTTATGTGTTATCTTTAGCTGCTTTCATGCTACAATGGCAGAGTTCAGCAGTTGCAACAGAAACCATATGGCTCTCAAAACCTGAAATATTTACTGTTTGACCCTTTACAGAAAGTTTGGTGACCCCTGCTTTAGGCAATTATCTTTTAGAATAATTAAAAATAGGAAGAAATGTCATATTTACTTTCATTTTAACTAATTTGGGAGATCATTTATTTATGTAAATCCAAGTTTCCTTCTGATATCATATTCCTTCTTCCAGAGGAACTTCCTTTAGCATTTCTTGTAGAATATATTTTAGCTTTTGCTTGTCTGAAAAACGTTTTTACTTTGACTTTATTTTTAATAGTTATTGCTGGGTTTAGAATTCAGTGTTGATAGTTTTATTCTTTTAGCACTCTAAAAGTGTCCCTCCATTTTCTTTTGGTTTGCATAGTTTCTGGTGAGATGTCTTTCTTTGTTTATTTGTTTGTTTATATTTTGTTAGAGATGTCTATTATAATTTTTTTTTTTTTTTGAGATGGAGTCTCGCCCTGTCACTTAGGCTGGAATGCTGTGGCATGGTCTTGGCTCACTGCAACCTCCGCCTCCTGAGTTCAAGCTATTCTCCTGTCTCAGCCTCCCAAGTAGCTGGGATTACAGGCACCTGCCACCATGCCCAGCTAATTTTTTGTATTTTTAGTAGAGATGGGGTTTCACCATGTTGGCCAGGCTGGTCTTGAACTCCTGATCTCAGGTGATCCACCTGCCTCGGCCTCCCAAAGTGCTCAGATTACAGGCGTGAGCCACCATGCCGGCCTTTTATTGTGATTCTTATCTTTGTTCCTGTAAATGCAATGCCTTTCTCTTTGGCTACTTTCAAGATTTTCTCTTTATCTTTGGTTTTCAATAGTTTGTGTCTAGGTTTGTGGATTTTTTCATTTTGTCCTTTGGTATTCATCTTGATTGGGGTTCTCTTGGCTTGTATCTGTCATTTGATGTCTCATTATTTTTGGAAAATTCTCAGCTATTCTTTTTTTTTTTTTTTGAGACAGAGTCTCACTCTGGAGTTCAGTGGCGTGATCTTGGGCTCTGCAAGCCTCGACCTCCTGGGCTCAGGTGATCCTCCCACCATAGCCTTCTGAGTAGCTGGGACTAGAGGTGTGTGCCACCACTCCTGGCTAATTTTTAAATATTTTTTTGTAGAGATGGGGTTTCGCCATGTTGCCCAGGCTGGTCTGGAACTCCCTGGCTCAAGCAATCTGTCTGCCTTGGCCTCCCAAAGTGCTAGGATTACAGGCATCAGCCACTGCGGTTAGCCTATATCTCTTCAGAGCCATTATCTTTCTATTCTTCTGGGATTCCAATTATTTACATAATAAGACCATTTAATGTTTTCCCATAGTTCCTAGATACTCTATTCTTTTTTCTTTTCTTCTTTTACTCTTCTCCTTTTGTTTTAGTTTGCATAATTTTGACTGACCTAGCTCTGAATTCTTTCTTTGGTATTGAGGTAACTGATAAGGCTGGCAAAGGCATTCTTTATCTGTTACTATGTTCATGTATTTCTAGCATTGCCATCTGATTCTTACAGTTTCCATCTCTTTGCAGAAATTCATCATCATTCATGCATGTACCTTTTCTACTAGAGCCTTTTGCATATTAAACATAGTAATCTTAAATTTCTTTTCTGATAATTCTAACATCTTGGTCATCTCAGAGCCTGGTTTTGTTAATTGCTTTGTCTCATAGTGGGTTGTTTTTTCATGTGAGTATGGGGGAGATAATTTGTTATTGATATTGAACGCTGGACATCATGTACACACTGCTAGAAGTGGCACATCTCTGCTGCTGAGTTGTCAGTCAGTAGGGGTTAAGTCAGTCTAGTCAGGGTTGAGCTTTGTTTGTTTTGTTGTTGTTGTTGTTGCTATGGTTACCTTCAGTGCATCACCAGCTTCAGATTCCTCTGTTGTTACCTTGAGTTTAGGGGTGGGGGTGCTATGTTGTCCCAGTGTTTTGTTTTTTGTTGTTGTTTTTTTTTTTTTGAGACAGCATCTCACTCTGTTGCCCAGGCTGGATTGCAATGGCGTGATCATATCTTACTGCAGCCTTGACCTCCTGGGCTCAAGTGATCCTCCCACTTTAGCCTCCTCAGTAGCTGGGACCACAGTTAGTTGCATGCCACCATGCCCAACTAATTTTTTAAAAACATTTTTTGTAGAGATGGGGGTCTCACTGTGTTACCCAGACTAGTCTCAAACTCCTAGCATCAAGCGATTCTCCTACCTCAGCTACCCAGAGTTGGGGTTACAGGCATGAGCCACTGCACCCAGCCCCAATGTTTTTATTAATGTTCATGTTCTGTACTCAGCTTCTGTCTTTGCCCTTGCATCTCATGGTGAGTCTCTTTCTAAGCTCTAGCACTTCCTCCAGCAGTAGACTGCTGTTGTTTATTACTCCATACTTGCTAGCCTGGTGATAGGGGCCAGGGAAAGGGGATTCTTTGTTTTCATAGTCTAGTCTCTGCCTTAGGCAGACCATGTGTCCCTGGGTCTCCTGGGTAGCACTTTCTTAGTGATCCTGTCCCCCTCCTAGCTGAAGGAAACTCTTAATGGTCTGGGCCCAGGATGGTTTTCTGTCCATCCCTTAGTAGTAGAGAGCTTTTCCTTTTCCCTTTCTCCAGCTTCAGTGAGTTGTCACCTGTGTTCTGAAGGCAACTTGTTTTTGTCTAAGTGGCTTTAAGGCTCTTTCCTCTAGGGGCTTTTTTCTAGAGAAGAGCCTGTAAGTGGGTGTGAACTCCCCTTGCGTCTATTGCTTCCAGGGATTCTGTACTCTTGTGCTGATCCATACTTGGACTTTAGCAATTTATTTAAAATTTTATTTGAATTCTTACCCATCTGTGTGGTGTGGTGTGCAGCATTGTCTTCCCCTCATGCTTTGCTACTGTTGAGCCAGTGCTGATGTCTCTTCGTGGAAGCACCTGGCTTTCTTTAGATTTCATCCAGGCTACTTGGTCTCCCTACAACTCAGTTCTCAGATGAATTCAGGGAAAGTTATGATTCAGTAAAGTATCTAGCCTTTTCTCATTATTCTACTTGGGGAATGGTCTTTCCAGCTTCCTATATCTTAATCAGAAGTCAAATTACAGTGTTATATAGTCACTTGAAATAGGTGCTATCTTTGTGGTTGTGTGTTTATTTCAATACATGGTAGTTTCATTGGTTTAATTTTTTCTCTCAGTTTCAGGGATTGCTTCCTTCAAATTTTAATTTTGTTTAATAATTGTGTGAAGTGTTTATATGATTGCAAGTCATTTATATGGACAACATATATTGAAAAAAGCCTAGTTTCTCTCCCTGTCTGCTCTATCCTATTCCTTTCTTTCCTCTATAAGAAACCTTTAAAAAAAAATTCTATGGCATGTTTCTTATATTTAAGAAATATGAGTGTGGTTAAGAAATTGTTTTTGTTTTATTTTATTTTATTTTATTTTATATTTTATATTTTATTTATTTTATTTATTTATTTATTTGTTTATTTTTTGTATTTTTTTGTATTTTATTTTATTATAACGGAGTTTTGTTCTTGTTGCCCAGGCTGGAGTGCAATGGCGTGATCTCGGCTCACCGCAACCTTCACCTCCCGGGTTCAAGCGATTCTCCTGCCTCAGCCTCCCGAGTAGCTGGGATTACAGGCATGCGCCACCACGCGCAGCTAATTTTGTATTTTTAGTAGAGATGGGATTTCTCCATGTTGGTCAGGCTGGTCTCAAACTCCCGACCTCAGGTGATCTGCCCGCCTCGGCCTCCCAAAGTGCTGGGATTACGGGCATGAGCCACCATGCCCAGCCTTTTACAAATTCTTTGAACATCCTCATTCCTTCTAAAATTTCAGTATACTGTCTGCATTTCATTTATCTGCAACTGTTGCCCATTAAAAATTGTGCCTACTGGGCCAAAAACTGTATGAGAAGTCATTGCCTCTATTTTCTTAGGAATTTGTAGATTTGAGTTTTGGTTGTAATAAAATTTGACGGATGTGAACATCCTCATTCTTTCTAAAATTTCAGTATACTGTCTTGTGTTTCCTTTATCTGCAACTGTTGCCCACTAAAAATTGTGCCTACTGGCCCAAAAACTGTATGAGAAGGCATTGCCTCTATTTTCTTAGGAATTTGTAGATTTGAGTTTCGGTTGTAATAACATTTGGCAGATGACTATGAATTTAAAAGTTCACATTCTTTATTCACTTTGAAAATTTTATTTGCTCTGTGATTGCCAGGTAACCTGTAAAGACTGTAATCAAGGTATATTTTGCTATTTCCCTGTTTCCCGCACTTGCCTTTATGGTTCATGTAATGCTCATTTTTAGCCAGCAGAGGCCACTAGAGCCTGTTAGGGAGCAGAAGTGCAACAGAAACGTGGCCATTCTAAGACAGTGATTGCTAAAAGGTCACTTTTTAATAACTTTACAATTATTATCTCAGTCTTGCTAGCTTGTGCCATGTGAAGATTTTATGCTAAATGTTGGTGGGCAAGAAGGTGTCTATGACATTTACTTTAGTTTTTTCATTATGTTTAATCTTTAAAGAAATAAATTTGAGGATTATTGTTAACTGCATTGTGTAATGTCTGTTGAGCTAACACCTACTTTCCTATGTAAAACCCTACAAAATACATGGTCCCAACTCTCTAGGAAATGATGATATATATGAGGAATGCTACAGTTTATTACAGGCTTACTTTTTTTCCCCTGACTCTTCTCAGTTTGCAGGCCTTTCAGATATATCCATCTCACAAGACATCCCCGTAGAAGGAGAAATCACCATTCCTATGAGATCTCGCATCCGGGAGTTTGACAGCTCCACATTAAATGAATCTGTTCGCAATACCATCGTAAGTTAGACTAGTTGAGAGAACTTCTGTTCAGTATCATGGGACTAAGTAACTAATAGTACTTTGCAATATTTTCATTTGGTTCACTGATTTTGAATATATTTTATATACTGAAGTTTAATATTTTATCCTAGAGATTAATTTGGTACAGCCTTTTTGGAGAGCAGTTTGGTTATAATGCATATTAATAATCTTAAAACAGCAAGGTGCGGTGGCTCGCGCCTGTAATCTCAGCCCTTTGGGAGGCCAAGGCAGGCGGATCACCTGAGCTCAGGAGTTCGAGACCAACCTGGCCCAGATGGTGAAACCCCCATCTCTACTAAAAATACAAAGATTAGCCAGACATGGTGGCATATGCCTGAAATCCCAGCTGCTTGGGAGACTGAATCGCTTGTCTCCGGGAGGCTGAGGTTGCAGTGAGCCGAGATCGCACCACTGCACTCTGGCCTGGGCGACAGAGCAAGACTCCATCTCAAAAAACAAAAAAAAGGTCTTAAAATGTCCAAATCTTTTTAAACCAATATATTATCATACTTCTCCAAATGTAGTATAAGGAAAGTTTTAAAATGTAAAACAAAAATTTTCAACATTAAAGTATCAATATACAAAGATGTTTATTATAGCATTCTTTGTAATAGGGGAAAGCTAGAAATAAATGAACCACAGATGAGGTATTGGTTAGGTAAATTATGTTATATCTTTGTGGTGGGATGCTAAGCAACTATTATAAATTATGTTTACAAAGTGTTTAATAACGGGTAAAATTCTAGGTGAAAAAATTAAAACAGAATTAGCTCAGTGGTGCTTTGAGAGGTTGTATTTGTATTACTGAACCCTTCTTCCAGTTTCTTGATTTTTTTTTTTTTTTTGTATCTGGCATCTAGGATTCATTTACCAATTAAATTGGGAATGTTAAAAATTTATTTCATATATTGCAAAGAATGTAGTAGCTAGAGAGCAGGCTAATTGGTCCTTGGAACCTCATCTTCTATGAACTGAATGTCACATACTGTGTTTTGTAGAGCAGCTTTTTATAGTACAATTGTTTTAGTTTCTTTAAGCAGCCTATTGGGAGGGCTGTGTTTCTTTTTTATGGATTTTTTCAACATCAAAACAGAACAGATCAAAACAGATGTGGAAAGGTGTTAAAAGTTGGCTTAAGAAGTTAATAGAAAAAGCATACCCTACCTCTCTGGTTTGTTTGTGTAGTGAAGGAGTTGAACTGGAATTATCTGCAAAATTCAGTGAAGAGTTCACAGGAGATTGAAATGAAAGAAATTTTAGCAAATTAAGTAAGGCTGCTGGCAACCTTGGTCATCACAATACAACAAGTTGTTTCTGTCTTTCAGATGCGTGATCTAAAAGCTGTTGGGAAAAAATTCATGCATGTTTTGTACCCAAGGAAAAGTAATACTCTTTTGAGAGATTGTAAGTATATGAGGTTTTTAAGGGTTTGCTTAATCTATCTCACTGTACCTTATCGTAAGTACTTTATAAGGCAAAGTCTCTGTGGTAATAAAACTGACATCATTTTGTAGGATAAAAAAATATGTAAACGAATATGTAAATCAAACTTCTGGCAGAAATTAAAAATTGATTTTATTTTATTTTTATTTTCATTTTTTTTTGAGACAGAGTCTCACTCTGACTTCCAGGCTGGAGTGCAATGGTATGATCTTGGCTCACTGCAACCTCCGCCTCCTGTGTTCAAGTAATTTTCATGCCTCAGCCTCCTGAGTAGCTGGGATTAAAGGCGCCCACCACCATGCCCAGCTAATTTTTTTGTATTTTTAGTAGAGACGGATTTCACCAGGTTGGCCAGGCTGGTTTCCAACTCCCGATCTCAGGTGATCCACCCACCTCGGCCTCCCAAAGTGCTAGGATTACAGGCAGACATTAAAAATTTAGATTGGAATCTCAGAGATTGAAACATTTTGCTTATTATATTGTCCTCATCAGTAAATGTACACTGGCCAGGCATGGTGGCTCATACATGTAATACCAGCACTTTGGGAGGCCGAGGCAGGAGAATTGTTTGAACTCAGGAGTTTGAGACCAGCCTGGGCAACATGGCGAGACCTCATTTCTACTAAAAATAAAAAAACTAGCCAGGCCTGGTAGCACAAGCCTGTAGTCCTAGCTACTTGGGAGGCTGAGGTGGGAGGATTGCTTGAGTCCAGGAGATCAAGGCTGTAGTGCCGTGACTGTGCCACTGCACCCTAGCCTGGGTGACAGAGTGAGACCTGTCTCAAAAAAAAAAAAATATATATATATATATATATATATTTTAAAAAATGCTCTAGTGGTTACTACAAAATACATTTCTGGAGGCTGCTAATTTACAATATTTACATTTATTACATAATATTCCTGGAAGCTGCTGACACATAAAGAGTTAATGATCTCCAAGGGAAAGGCAAATGTTTAAATTTTTGTTTGTTAGTTTTTTGAGATGGAGTCTCGCTCTGTTGCCCAGGCTGGAGTGCAATGGCACAATCTCAGCTTACTGCAACCTCTGCCTCCAGGGTTCAGGAGATTCTTCTGCCTCAGCCTCTGGAACAGCTGGGATTACAGGTGCCCCACCACCACATCCAGCTAATTTTTGTGTTGTTAGTAGAGACGGGTTTTGCCATGTTGGCCAGGCTGGTCTCGAACTGCTGACCTGAAGTGATCCACCTGCCTTGGCCTCCCAGAGTGCTGGGATTACAGGCAAGAGCCACCACCCCGGCCTAAATGTTAAATTAATATGATAGTAAATACCCGTAAACATTTAACAAATTAATAGTACCTTTATTGACAGTTTGATTTTCAAGCCTATCATTTAGTCTGATGACTGCTTTCTTTATTAGAGTTCTGTCAAAACAGACAGCGTCTCATTCTGTTACCCAGGCTCAAATGCAATGGCGTAATCATAGCTCACTGCAGTCTCAAACTCCTGGGCTCAAGCAGTCCTTCTGCCAGTCTCCTGAGTAGCTGGGACTGTAGGCACACATGGCTAGTTTTTAAATATTTTGTAGAGATGGGGGTCTCCCTATGTTGCCCAGGCTTGTCTAAAACTCCTGGCCTTGGCCGGGCGCGGTGGCTCACGCCTGTAATCCCAGCACTTTGGGAGGCCGAGGCGGGCGGATCACGAGGTCAGGAGATCGAGACCATCCTGGCTAACACGGTGAAACCCCGTCTCTACTAAAAATACAAAAAATTAGCCGGGCGTGGTGGTGGGCGCCTGTAATCCCAGCTACTCGGGAGGCTGAGGCAGGAGAATGGCATGAACCCAAGAGGCGGAGCTTGCAGTGAGCCGGGATAGCGCCACTGCAGTCCAGCTTGGGCGAAAGAGTGAGACTCCGTCTCAAAAAAAAAAAAAATAAAAAAAATAAAAAAATAAAACTCCTGGCCTCAAGCAGTCTGCCCACCTCAGCCTCCTAAAGTGCTGGGATTACAGGCAAGAGCCACTGCCCAGCCAATGTTTTATTTTTTCAACTTTTTGTTAAAAACTAAGACAAAAGCACACACTTTGGTCTAGGCCTTCACAGGGTCAGAATTGGATCATTAGTACAATTGTCTTCCACCTCTGTATCTGTCCTATTGGAAGGTCTTCTGGGGCATTAACACGCATGAAACTGCCATCTTTGATGATAACAATGCCTTCTTCTGGAATATCTACTGAAGGACCTGCCTGAGACTGTGTTATGGTTGACTTTTTTTTTTTTTAGAGACATGATCTTGTTCTGTCACTCAGGCTGGAATGCAGTGGTGTGATTATAGCTCACTGTGGCCTCAAACTTCTAGGCTCAAGCCATTCTCCCACCTCAGGCTCCCATGCCCGGAGCCTGTGCCACCATGCCCAGCTAATTTTTAAATTTTTTTGTCTGGGCACGATGGCTCATGCTTCTAATCCCAGCGCTTTGGCAGGCCGAGGTGGGTGGAACACCTGAGGTCAGGAGTTCCAGGCTAGCCTGGCCAACATGGTGAAACCCTGTCTCATTACAAATACAAAAATTAGCTAAGCGTGGTGGCAGGCGCCTGTAGTCCCAGCTACTCCGGAGGCTGAGGCGGAAGAATCGCTTGAACCCGGGAGGTGGAGGTTGCAGTGAGCCAAGATTGCACCATTGCACTCCAGCCTGGGTGAAAAGAGGGAAACTCTGTCTCAAAAAAACAAAAAACAAAAAACAAACCACATTTTTTTAGAGACAGGGTCTTGCTATGTTACCCAGGCTGAACTTTTTAAGTAGAAGTATACTCCAACATAACAATGAAAAGTATAATATAGTAAACACGTAAACCACAGTAACATAGTCATTTTTTGTCATTATCAAGTAGAGTATTATGTAGTGTACATAATTGTTCTATATTTTTATATGACTGTCAACATACTAGGTTTGTTTATACCAGCATCACCACAGACACGTGAGTAATGTGTTGTACTAGATGTCACTAGGTGATAGGAATTTTTCAGCTCCATTATAATTTTATGGGACCACTATCATTGACCGAAATATCATTATGTGGCACATGACAGTACACTTGAATTCAGTTTTTAAGTTGAGCAGTTAAAAAAAAATTAATGAAATTAGCAGCAGTTTTATTAGAAGTGGTAGGATTATGGTTTTTTATGTCTTTTCCAAACTTTCCACAATGGTGTCAAAATTACTTATACAATTAAAAAATAAACAATATTAAGTATATAAATTTGCGTACCTCTCTTGGGTAAGGTTATATACATGTGAGGTTAAAGTTCGATGTGGAATATTTGCCTTTTTGGAATGAATTGAGGAAGGTAATTGTGCTCTAAGCTATGTGCTACTGAACTGTTGGCATGCAAATCACTCAGCAGCTTTTTTTGTTTGTTTTTTTGAGACAGAGTCTTGCTCTGTCACCCAGGCTGGAGTGTAGTGAGTGGAGGTTGCGATCTTGGCTCACTGCAACCTCTGCCTCCTGGGTTTAAGGGATTCTCCTGCCTCAGCCTCCCTAGTAGGTGAGATTACAGGTATGTGCCACCACACCTGGCTAATTTTTTTGTATTTTTAGTTAGAGACGGGATTTCACCATGTTGGCCAGGCTCATCTCAAACTCCTGACCTTAAGTGATCTTCCCGCCTCAGCTTCCCAAAGTGCTGGGATTACAGGCATGAGCTACCGAACCCGACCAAATCACTCAGCAGCTGTTTTTGTTTGTTTGTTTGTTTGTTTTTGAGACGGAGTCTTGCACTGTCACCCAGGCTGGAGTGCAGTGGCACAATCTTGGCTCACTGCAACCTCTGCCACCCGGGTTCAAGCAATTCCCATGCCTCAGCCTCCCAAGTAGCTGGGATTACAGGCACGTGCCACCATGCCCAGCGAATATTTTGTATTTAATAGAGATGGGATTTCATCATGTTGCCCAGGCAGGTCTCAAACTCCTGAGCTCAGGCCATCCGCCCGCCTCGGCCTCCCAAAGTGCTAGGATTACAGGCGTGAGCCACAGCATCCAGCCTGCAGCTTTTGATTGAGGACCATGTTTGCTAGACCTGATGTTGGCAGAGCCTGCAGAGCCTTTTGCAGTTTTCAGAAAGCTTTCATATGTTATTAAAGTTTAACCTTGTGAAATTACCAATACTGGGCTGTTTTTTCACCTAGAAGAATAGCAACTCTATATTAATTCAATATACTAATTATAAAAGGGAAGCAGTATGACAGAGTGGCAAGAACTTTGGTCTAAGAATCAAAAGACCAGGCTGGGTGTGGTGGCTTATGCCTGTAATCCCAGCACTTTGCGAGGCTGAGGCAGGTGGATCGCTTGAGGCCAGGAGTTTGAGACCAGCCTGGGCAACATGGTGAAACTCCATCTGTACAAAAAATAAAAGTTAGCTGGGTGTGGTGGCGTGTGCCTGTAGTCCCAATTATTCAGGAGGCTGAGGTAGGAGGATCACCTGAGCCTGGGAGGTTGAGGCTGCAGTGAGCCATGATCGCACCACTGCACTCTAGCCTGGGCAACAGAGTGAGACCCTGTTTCAAAAAAAAAAAAAAAAGAAAAGAATCAGGCCAGGTGCGGTGGCTCACGCCTGTAACCCCAGCACTTTGGGAGGCCAAGGTAGGCAGATCACCTGAGGTCAGTTCGAAATCATGCTGGCCAACATGGTGAAACCCCGTCTCTACTAAAAACACAAAAATTAGCCAAGTATGATAGCGGGTGCCTGTAATCCCAGCTACTCGGGAGGCTGAGGCAGGAGAATTGCTTGAACCCAGGAGGCAGAGGATGCTATGAGCTGAGATTGCGCCATTGCACTCCAGCCTGGGCAACAAAAGCCAAACTCCATCTCAAAAAAAAAAAAAAAAATCAATAGCCCTAGGTTCTGGTCCCACCTCCACATATAAAGCTAGGCAAGTCATTTCCTTCTCAGCTTCATTTTTTGTATTTGTGAACTGAGCATGATTATACTTGCCTTGTCTAATGCAGTCTCTGACTGGTAAAGTGCCTTGGCTATAGTCTTTTTTTCTTAGAATATGGGGTAGGGAACCTAGGTCTGCTGATTGTTTGTCCATTGGTCTTTAATTATAGCGTGCCAGCATGTGTCTTAGTAGATGGGGAGAAGGAAAGGGTGATTTGTGGGATATGAAATAAGCGAAACTGGAAGTCTATGTAAAGAAGTGCATTCAGGATTAGGGGACAGGGAGGGCAGGTGGTGGGAGAGGAGAGGTAGGAAGGCTTGGCCAGCCAAAGAGAGCCTTGATGTCTGAATTCTAGGAGGGAGAGAGGTAGATATTAGAATAAAGACAGAAAATATTACCTTCGCTTCTGTCTTTTCTTGTCTTGTAGGGGATTTGTGGGGCCCTTTGATCCTTTGTGTGACACTCGCATTGTAAGTACTTGCATTTTCTTTCTTTGTCATTTGAGCTAGACTAGACTTTTTTGTGGATTTCCAAAATTGTGGGGGATTTTGATTGAATATTTCATTTAGGACTTATATGACATGTTGTACATGTTATACTCCTTAGGTATTTAAGCCTCTAAAGTCACTTTCCAAATCAATTAAAATATGATGAAATTAGGCTCACCTTCCTTAACCAATGACATTTTAGTCTGTTTTAGCCATGTCTATTCAACAAACATTTATTTACTTATTTACTCTCCTGTTCCTCCCTATTATTAAACTAAGTGAATTAAGGTTTAAGCACCCTTTGTTTGCAAACATAATTCTCTGTAATCTTACTAAAAATATGAATGAGAATGAGAATAAATTAGGAGAGTTAAAAGCAAGATCATGTTTCAGAGTGTTGTACTTTTCCATACACATTGTAGGTAAAGGAAGAGGACGGGGAAGGAGAAGAAGGTTACACTAGAGAGATGAATATAACCATTGATAGAGCGGGAAAAAATACTGCCCTGGAATTCAGTTCTGAGTTCGCATTCTGACTCTGCTGTCAGCTAGCTATGTGACTTTGGGCTACTAATAACCAATGTTTGTATAATTTTTCCCAGTTTGCAGAAAACTTTAAAATACTTTCTCTTATTTTAACCTCATTGCAATAATTAAAATTATTTTATTTTTCTTTTTTTTTTTGACAAACAAGCTCAGGTTCAAAAAGGTTGAGGATTTAACCAAGATCACATAATCAGTGGTAGACCTGAGATTCAACCTCAGGTTTCCTCACTACCTATTTTGTACCTCTAGGGTTCATTACACATCTCTTCCCACCTGGTCACTCTGGGTCGCCTCTTCCATATCTGTAAAGGGAGTGGTTGAGGGTCCTTTCCAGGCTTAACCCTTTATGGGTCTAAATTCACTAAGTTTCTTGCTGACCTCTCTAATTTTTTAAATTTAAATTGAGCATATATTAATTTAGGTAATAATGTAGAGTACTATTTCTTATGCTTTTAGTAACCATGTTAAGGGATGCAGCCTAATGCCTTGATGGAGGGGTTTATATTAGATGTCCCGAGCATATATATTTTTTTTACTTTTGAAAGTTTAACCTTATAGATTATGTAGTTTAACCCCACTTAGTTGCAGAGAAAACTGGAGTCCCAGGACATCAAGTGACATATCTAGTGACAGAATTAGGATCAGTATCTGGGTCTCTTGCCTTCCAGGCTAGTTAATATTCTTTCCATCATACCATGCTGAAGCAACAGGGATTCCAGACAACAAGTGATGAGTGCTGGCCATTCTTTGCATCTGGTTGTCACGACTTGGAATGGAATATGCATATCATAGAATACAAAAGCCTGTGCATACTGCCAAGTAGCATAGCAGGGCAAGAAAGACTTACAGTGTGACTTCTCTATACTGTTTAATAAGAAGAGGTTGTGAGCTTACAGTTATTATTTTTCTTGGTAATAACACCAAGTCCAAATATTCAAAACAGTTTATATCTGTAAAATTCTTAGACAAAGAAAGGATATTTAAGTGGTTGTTCAACTACTCAATTCCAAAGCAAAACCCTTTAGTAATAATCTGTATGTTTTGATTTTTTAAAAATCAACAACTAAAAAGGTTTATAGACTGTTTCCATTTTTATTTATTATTTTTATTTTGTTTTGAGGCAGTCTCACTCAGTTACCCAGGCTGAGTTGGTGGTGTGATTACAGCTCACTGCAGCCTCAACCTCCCAGGCTCAAGCGATTCTCCCAACTCAGCCTTTCTAGTAGCTAGGACTATAGGCGTGTACCACCATGGCCAACTAATTTTTTATTTTTTGTAGAGACGGGGGTTTCGTCATGTTGCCCAGGCTGGTATCGAACTCCTGGCCTCAAGCGATCTGCCTGTCGTGGCCTCCCAAAGTGCTGAGATTACAGGCTAAGCCACCATACCTGGCCTATTTCCATTTTTAAATATCTCAACTGAAATCTTAACCCAAGAACTACAAATTCTGATGTGTCTAAAGGCTAGAATAGTAACCTAAATGCATGTAGTAGTGATATGGTGACTGTAAGCCCCTTGTACTTATGTCAGTTACACTTGATTGTTGCAGTGTTGGAATGCAGGCTCAATGTTAGAAAGTCTAACAGTTTTTTCAAGAAAATCTAGAAATTCATATTCTTATGTGAAATAAAATAGTGTCAACTTAAATTCAAAATCATCTTAAATATTATATAAGCCCAAGGCCTCATTATATATGAGCCACATTTGACCCTTCAGTTTATAACCTCTGCTTAAAAAAAAGGTCTTCAATAATTCATTTAAACATTTCAACAAGGTCAAATGGAGCACCCCTTGTAGTCCTGAGGCATTTGGAATTTGCAGTAAGGGAGCCTTGCCAAATGCTTGTGTCATTTTCCTTTTAGCACAACCTACATATTACAGATCTTCAGGTGAGGTATGGCACAGCAATCTGATTCAAAGTTTGAGAACCCATGCCTTAACTTTGTTGCCCTAAGTAAAAGATTAAGCAATTCTTACGCTGTTTCCTTTTCTCAGAATGCTGCAAAGAGACTCTGCAGATAGTGAAAAAGATGGAGGGCCCCAATTTGCAGAGGTGTTTGTCATTGTCTGGTTTGGTGCAGTTACCATCACCCTCAACTCAAAACTTCTTGGAGGGAACATGTGAGTATTATTAAAATGCATTCTTTTTTTCCTCTTGCCAGGTAGTATATCTTAGATTAAGGAATACAGGCTAGCTAGATTTTTTTTTTTTTTTGAGACAGGGTGTCACTCTGTCACCCAGGCTCGAGTGCATTGGTGTGATCATGGCTTACTGCAGCCTCTATCTCCCAGGCTCAGCGTCCCAAGTAGCTGGGATCCTCCTGCCCCAGCATCCCGAGTAGCTGGGACTACAGGCATGTGCTACTATGCCTGGCTAATTAAAAAAATTTTTTTTTTTGTAGAGATGGGGTCCCACTGTATTGCCTAGGCTGGTTTTGAACTCCTGGGTTCAAGTGATCCTCCCACCTTGGCCTCCCAAAATGCTGGGATTACAGGCATGAGCCACCATACCTGGCCTCATATTTTGTTTTAAAGAAAAATCAAACTAAATAAGGGCCAAAGAGAAGTGTTCTTAAAACCACTACCACTGTACAGAGATAACCTTGTTAAGTTAAATTATCTTAAATTATCAGAGGTCCTTTGATAAGCTTCAGATGCCCTTTCCAGGCCCTGAAATCATAGGCAGACTTTTTTGTGTAAGAAGAGTATGTACGTTTTGGGGGGCAAGTGGTCCCTAGCTTTTAACAAATTCTCAAGTATAATAGGTCTATAAACTAGAAAGGATTAAGAACCACTACCTTAGAGGTTCAGAGAAAGATATCTGTAGGAACTAGAGCAGATCATCTGGTGTTAGATGATTGACTTTTAAGGAATTTGAGAGGAGAGGAGGAAGAGTATGGGGAAAGAAAATTAAAGCATGTACTTAATTTTTTTTTTTTTTGAGATGGAGTCTCGCTCTGTCCAGGCTGGAGTGCAGTGGCACAAGCTCAGCTCACTGCAACCTCCACCTCCCAGGTTCAAGCGATTTTCCTGCCTCAGCCTCCTGAGTAGCTGGGATTACAGGTGCCTGCCACAATGCCCGGCTAATTTTTTTTTGTATTTTTAGTAGAGACGGGGTTTCACCATGTTGGCCAGGCTGGTCTTGAACTTCTGACCTCAGGTGATCCACCCCCCCACCCTTGGCCTCCCAAAGTGTTGGTATTACAGGCGTGAGCCATCGCGCCCAGCCAAAAGCATGTACTTAATAATTAATGTTAGGATGTAGATGTTATGTACCAAGAAGGAGGCAACATTCCGTTACATAGAGAAATCTATGTAATAAGCTGTGTCATAACACCCATCAGTTGTATTTATGATCTTTATTAATGTATTTTGTTTTTAAGATCTTTTTTTCAGAGCCTCTGTGTGCTGGGTTACTGTATACTTCCCTTGACAGTAGCAATGCTGATTTGCCGGCTGGTACTTTTGGCTGATCCAGGACCTGTAAACTTCATGGTTCGGCTTTTTGTGGTGATTGTGATGTTTGCCTGGTCTATAGTTGGTAAGTATGTACTTATTTCCACAATAACAGAACAGACAAAAACATGATTTAATGATGAAGACCAGATGAGGAGCAGTATAAGTCCAAAGTTAGATGTGAGTGATATGATTCTTGATAGTATTATCCATAGAACCCTCTTCCCTGAGTAGGCAATGATGGGGCTTATCTGAGTTGGATATCTGGACTTATAAGATGTGGAGAGTCACATCTTTTTTCTTTCTTTAAAAAAAAAAAAAGGTTGGGAAAGTGGATTACACTACATTTAGCCTAGTCCTGGTATATACAAGGCATTAGGTGACTTGTGGAATGACTGGGATCTTTTCCTGATAAACTAATTAAAATAAAAATAATAACATTTACAGATTGCTTATCAAAGGCCAGGCACTGTTTAAGTGCTTTATATATATTATCCCATTTAAGCCTCACAGCAACTCTAATAGAGAAATACTGTTATTAGTCCCATCTTACAGATGAAGAACAGTTACAGAGAAGTTGAGCAGCTTGCCCTAGGTTGCATTACTTGTGAGTAAGAGAGTCAAATTGCAAACCAGGCAGTCATGAACCTTTAAGAACTATACTATACCACCTTCCAGTGTAGATTGTAAGTATCATTATATAGCACTTTTCTGCTTCAGTAGAACATTTTGCTAAAGACTAGGAAGGGCCTATAGCAATGATAATGAATGCTATGTGCTCATTGTTTTTATATTCCTAAAGTTCTCTTAAGATTCCAGCTTAAATTTAGAAGTGTTCACTAGCTTCTGCTTTAATGGATAGGCAGACTGCTTAATATTTTTAAGTGTAGTAACATCTCATTGCTCTGGAACATGGTTGAAAGCTAAGAAGTAATCCAACAAAGGTCTGAGAGAGCCAGAACTGATATTCCAAAGACTGTATATTAAGCTTGGGTGCTTTTCCCATGGGGAGAGCCCCTCATTCTCTCACTGAGAATCTCATAATTACCATAAATGTAATTATACTTACTTAGTTATCCAGTGTCCAGGCTCACAGGTGATCACGAAGTAGAATCATAGGAGAGAGAAACTTTAATTCAGCAAACATTAATCACAAACTATGCGTCAGGCATAATTTTAGGCATGGTCTTTGTCCTTGGAGTTCACAATCTAACAGAGCAGCCCGACGTGAAAACATTTAAAGGCAATAGGTGTTCTAAGTGGGAAATGGAGATTTATACACAGTACAGTGGGACAGACATGATTATTCAGGAAAGATTTCCCAGAGATGTGATGATGATGATGATTAGTATTTGAGACAGAGTCTCACTCTGTCACCCAGGCTGGAGTGCAGTGGCACTATCTCGGCTCACTGTAACCTCCACCTCCTGGATTCAAGCAGTTCTCCTGCCTCAGCCTCCCGAGTAGCTGGGATTACAGCTATGTGCCACCACATCCGATTAATGTTTGTGTTTTTAGTAGAGATGGGGTTTCACCATGTTGGCCAGGCTGGTCTCGAACTCCTGACCTCAGGTGATCCACCCGCCTTGGCCTCTCAAAGTGCTGGGATTACAGACATGAGCCACCGCACCTGGCTGATTATTTTCATTTATTTATTTATTTGGCTAAAAATATATATATATATATATGTTTTTATATTATTATTATACTTTAAGTTCTGGGATACATGTGCAGAACATGCAGGTTTGTTACATAGGTATACACATGCCATGGTGGTTTGCTGCACCCATCAACCCATCATCTACATTAGGTATTTCTCCTAATGCTATTCCTCCCCTAGCCCCCCCAGCCTCTGACAGGCCCCAGTGTGTGATGTACCCCTCCCTGTGTCCATGTGTTCTCATTGTTCAACCCCCACTTATGAGTGAGAACATGTGGTGTTTGGTTTTCTGTTCCTGTGGTAGTTTGCTGAGAATGATGGTTTTCAGCTTCATACAAAGGATATGAACTCAACCTTTTACGTGGCTGCATAGTATTCCATGGTGTATATGTGCCACATTTTCTTTATCCAGTCTATCATTGATGGGCATTTGGGTTGGTTCCAAGTCTTTGCTATTGTGAACAGTGCAGCAGTAAACATAGGTGTGCATGTGTCTTTATAGTATTACCCAGTAATGGGATTGATGGGTCAAATGGTATTTCTGGTTCTAGATCCTTGAAGAATCGCCACACTGTCTTCCACAATGCTTGAACTAATTTACACTCCCACCAACAGTGTAAAAATATTTCTATTTCTTCACATCCTCTCCAGCATCTGTTGTTTCCTGACTTTTTAATGATAGCCATTCTAACTGGCGTGAGATGGTATCTCATTGTGGTTTTGATTTGCATTTCTCTCATGAGCAGTGATGATGAGCTTTTATTCATATGTTTGTTGGCCGCATAAATGTCTTCTCTTGAGAAGTGTCTGTTCATATCCTTCGCCCACTTTTTGATGGGGTTGTCTTTTTCTTGTAAATTTGTTTAGGTTCTTTGTAGATTCTGGATATTAGCCCTTTGTCAGATGGATAGATTGCAAAAATTTTTTCCCATTCTGTAGGTTGCCTATTCACTCTGATGATAGTTTCTTTTGCTGTGCAGAAGCTCTTTAGTTTAATTAGATCCCATTTGTCAGTTTTGGCTTTTGTTGCTATTGCTTTTGGTGTTTTAGTCATGAAGTCTTTGCCTATGCCTATGTCCTAAATGGTACTATCTAGGTTTTCTTGTAGGGTTTTTATGGTTTTAGGTGTTACATTTAAGTCTTTAATCCATCTTGAGTTAATTTTTGTATAAGGTATAAGGAAAGGGTCCAGTTTCAGTTTTCTGCATATGGCTAGCCAGTTTTCCCAACACCATTTATTAACTAGGGAATCCTTTCCCCATTGCTGGTTTTTATCAGGCTTGTCAAAGATCAGATGATTTTGGATGGGAGGCATTATTTCTGAGGCCTCTGTTCTGTTCCATCGGTCTATATATCTGTTTTGGTACCAGTACTGTGCTGTTTTGGTTACCATAGCCTTGTAGTATAGTTGGAGGTCAGATAGAGTGATAACTCCAGCTTTGTTCTTTTTGTTTAGGATTGTCTTGGCTATATGGGCTCTTTTTTGGTTCCATATGAAATTTAAAGTAGTTTTTTCTACTTCTGTGAAGAAAGTCAATGGTAGCTTGACGGGGATAGCATTGAATCTGTAAATTACTTTGGGCAGTATGGCCATTTTCATGATATTGATTCTTCCTATCCATCAGCATGGAATGTTTTTCCATTTGTTTGTGTTCTCTCTTATGTCCTTGAGCAGTGGTTTGTAGTTCTCCTTGAAGAGGTCCTTCATATCCCTTGTAAGTTGGATTCCTAGGTATTTTATTCTCTTTGTAGCAATTGTGAATGGGAGTTCACTCATGATTTGGCTCTCTGTCTGTTATTGGTATATAGGAAGGCTTGTGATTTTTGCACATTGATTTTGTATCCTGAGACTTTGCTGAAGTTGCTTATCAGCTTAAGGAGATTATGGGCTGAGACGATGGGGTTTTCTAAATATACAATCATGTCATCTGCAAACAGAGACAATTTGACTTCCTGTCTTTCTATTTGAATACCCTTTATTTCTTTCTCTTGCCTGATTTCCCTGGCCAGACTTTATGTTGAATAGGAGTGGTAAGAGAGGGTATCCTTGTCTTGTGCTGGTTTTCAAGGGGAATGCTTCCAGCTTTTGCCCATTAAGTATGATATTGGCTATGGGTTTGTCATAAATAGCTCTTATTATTTTGAGATACGTTCCATCAATACCTAGTTTATTGAGAGTTTTTAGCATGAAGCGGTGTTGAATTTTATCAAAGGCCTTTTCTGCATCTGTTGAGATAATCATGTGGTTTTTGTCATTGGTTCTGTTTATGTGATGAATTACGTTTATTGATTTGCATATGTTGAACCAACCTTGCATCCCAGGGATGAAGCTGACTTGATCATGGTGGGTAAGCTTTTTGATATGCTGCTGGATTCAGTTTGCAAGTATTTTATTGAGGATTTTCACAGTGATGTTCATCAAGGATATTGGCCTGAAATTTTCTTTTTTTGTTGTGTCTTTGCCAGGTTTTGGTTTCAGGATGATGCTGGCCTCACGAAATGAGTTAGGGAGGAATCCCTCTTCTTCTATTGTTTGGAATAGTTTCAGACGGAATGGTACCAGCTCCTCTTGTACCTCTGGTAGAATTTAGCTGTGAATCTGGCTGGTCATGGGCTTTTTTTGATTGGTAGGCTATTAATTACTGCTTCAATTTCAGAACTTATTATTGGTCTATTCAGGGATTCGACGTCTTCCTGGTTTAGTCTTGGGAGGGATTATGTGTCCAGGAATTTATCAATTTCTTCTAGATGTTCTGGTTTATTTGCATAGAGGTATTTATAGTATTCTCTGATGGTAGTTTGTATTTCTGTGGGATCAGTGTTGATCTTCAATTTATCAGTTTTTATTGTGTCTATCTGATTCTTCTCTCTTTTCTTCTTTATTAGTCTGGCTAGCGGTCTATTTTGTTAATCTTTCCAAAAAAAACAGTTCCTGTATTCATTGATTTTTTGAAGGGTTTTTCTTGTCTCTATCTCCTTCAGTTCTGCTCTGATCTTAGTTATTTCTTATCTTCTGCCAGTTTTTGAATTTGTTTGCTCTTGCTTCTCTAGTTCTTTTAATTGTGATGTTAGGGTGTCAGTTTTAGATCTTTCCCGCTTTGTCCTGTGGGCATTTAGTGCTATAAATTTCCCTCTAAACACTGCTTTAGCTCTGTTGCAGAGATTCTGGTATGTTCCGTCTTTGTTCTTATTGGTTTCAAAAAACTTGTTTATTTCTGCCTTAATTTCGTTGTTTACCTAGTAGTCATTCAAGAGCAGGTCGTTCAGTTTCTGTGTAGCTGTGCGGTTTTGAGTGAGTTTCTTAATCCTGAGTTCTAATTTGATTGCACTGTGATCTGAGAGACTATGATTTCCATTCTTTTGCATTCTGTTGTTATGATTTCCATTCTTTTGCCTTTGTTGAGGAGTATTTTACTTCCAATTATGTGGTCAATTTTAGAATAAGTGTGATGTGGTGCTGAGAAAAATGTATATTCAGTTGATTTGGGGTAGATATCTTTTAGGTCCATTTGGTCCAGAGCTGAGTTCAAGTCCTGAATATCCTTGTTAATTTTCTGTCTCGTCTATCTGTCTAATATTGACAGTGGGGTGTTAAAGTCTCCCACTATTATTGTGTGGGAGTATAAGTCTCTTTGTAGGTCTTTAAGAATTTGTTTTATGAACCTGGGTGCTCCTGTATTGGGTGCATATATATTTAGGATAGTTAGCTCTTCTTGTTGCATTGATCCCTTTACCATTATGTAATGCCCTTCTTTGTCTTTTTTGATCTTTGTTGGTTTAAAGTCTGTTTTATCAGAGACTAGGATTGCAACCCCTACTTTTTTTGCTTTCCATTTGCTTGGTAAATATTCTTCCATCCCTTTATTTTGAGCTTATATGTGTCTTTGCACGTGATATGGGTCTCCTGAATACAGCACACTGATGGGTCTTGACTCTTTATCCAATTTGCCAGTCTGTGTCTTTTAATTGGGGCATTTAGCCCATTTGTATTTTAGGTTAATATTGTTATGTGTAAATTTGATACTGTCATTATGATGCTAGCTCGTTATTTTGCCCATTAGTTGATGCCATTTCTTCATAGTGTCGATAGTCTTTACAATTAGTTACGTTTTTGCAGTGGCTGGTACTGGTTTTTCCTTTCCATGTTTAGTGCTTCCTTCAGGAGCTATTGTAAGGCAGTCCTGGTGGTGACAAAATCTCTCAGAATTTGCTTGTCTATAAAGGATTTTATTTCTCCTTCACTTATGAAGATTAGTTTGTCTGGATATGAAATTCTGGGTTGAGAATTCTTTTCTTTAAGAATGTTGAATATTGGCCCCCACTCTCTTCTTGTAGGGTTTCTGCCGAGAGATCAGCTGTTAGTCTGATGGGCTTCCCTTTGTGGGTAACCCGACCTTTCTCTCTGGCTGCCTTTAACATTTTTTCCTTCATTTCAGATTGGTGAATCTGACAATTATGTGTCTTGGGGTTGTTCTTCTCAAGGAATATCTTTGTGGTGTTCTCTGTATTTCCTGAATTTGAGTATTGGCCTGCCTTCCTAGGTTGGGGAAGTTCTCTTGGATAATATCCTGAAGAGTGTTTTCCAACTTGGTTCCATTCTCCCTGTCACTTTCTGGTACACCAATCAAAGGTAGGTTTGGTCTTTTCACATAGTCCCATATTTCTTGGAGGCTTTGTTCATTCCTCTTCATTCTTTTTTCTCTAATCTTGTCTTCCTACTTTATTTCATTAAGTTGATCTTCAATCTCTGATATCTTTTCTTCTGCTTGATCGATTCAGCTATTGACACTTGTGTATGCTTCATGAAGTTCTCATGCTGTGTTTTTGAGCTCCGTCAGGTCATTTATGTTCTCTAAACTGGTTATTCTAGTTAGCAATTTCTCTAACCTTTCTTCAAGGTGGTTAGCTTCCTTGCATTGCATTAGAACATGCTCCTTTAGCTCAGAGGAGTTTGTTATTACCCACCTTCTGAAGTCTACTGTCAGTTCGTCAAACTCATTCTTCATCCAGTTTTGTTCCCTTGCTGGCAAGGAGTTGTGATCCTTTGGAGGAGAAGAGACATTCTGGTTTTTGGAATTTTCGGCCTTTTTGTGCTGGTTTTTCCTCATCTTCATGGATTTATCTACCTTTGGTCTTTGATGTTGGTGACCTTCAGATGGGGTTTCTGTGTGGATGTCCTTTTTTTGATGTTGATGCTATTCCTTTCTGTTTGTTAGTTTTCCTTCTAACAGTCAGGCCCCTCTGCTGCAGGTCTGCTTAAGTTTGCTGGAGGTCCACTCCAGACCCTGTTTGCCTGGGTATCACCAGCAGAGGCTGCAGAACAGCCAAGATTGCTGCCTGCTCCTTCCTCTGGAATCTTCATCCCAGAGGGGCACCTGCCAGATGCCAGCCAGAGCTCTCCTGTATGAGGTGTCCGTCAACCCCTGCTGGGAGGTGTCTCCCAGTCAGGAGGCATGGGGGTCAGGGATCCACTTGAGGAAGCAGTCTGTCCCTTAGCAGAGTTGAAGCACTGTGCGCTGCTCTCTTCAGAGCTGGCAGGCAGGAATGTTTAAGTTGCTGAAGCTGTGCTTACAGCTGCTCCATCCCCCAGGTGCTCTGTCCCATGAAGATGGGAGTTTTATCTATAAGCCCCTGACTGGGGCTGCTGACTTTCTTTCAGTGATGCCCTGCCCAGAGAGGAGAAATCTAGAGAGGTAGTCTGGCTACAGCAGCTTTGCTGAGCTGTGGTGGGCTCTGGCCAGTTTCAACTTCCCTGTGGCTTTCTTTACACTGTGAGGGGAAAACTGCCTACTCAAGCCTCAATAATGGTGGTTGCCCTTCCCTCCACCAAGCTCAAGCATCCTAGGTCCACTTCAGACTGCTGTGCTGGCAGTGAGAATTTCAAGCCAGTGGATCTTAGCTTGCTGGGCTCCATGGGGGTGGGATCCGTTGAGCTAGACCACTTGGCTCCCTGGCTTCAGCTCCCTTTCCAGGGGAGTGAACACTTCTGTCTCGCTGGTGTTCCAGACACCACTAGGGTATAAAAAAAAACTCCTGCAGCTAGCTTGGTGTCTGCCCAAATGGCCGCCCAGTTTTGTGCTTGAAATCCAGGGCCCTGGTGGCATAGGCATCCGAGGGAGTGTCCTGGTGTGCGGGTTGTGAAGACCATGGGGAAAGTGTAGTATCTGGGCTGGAATGCACCGTTCCTCATGGCACAGTCCCTCATGGCTTCCCTTGGCTAGGGTAGGGAGTTCCCCGACCCCTTGTGCTTCCTAGGTGAGGCGATTCCCCACCCTGCTTCAGCTCACCCCCCGTGGGCTGCACCCACTGTCTAACCAGTCCCAATGAGATGAACTGGGTACCTCAGTTGGAAATGCACAAATCACCTGCCTTCTGTATTGATCTTGCTGGGAGCTGCAGACCGGAGCTGTTCCTATTCGGCCATCTTGCCAGCCACCTCCTGTTATTTTTCTTTAAAGAGATGGGGTTTCACTCTGTCATTCAGTCTGGAGTGGAATGGTGCAACCGTAACATATTGCAGCCTTGAACTCTTGGCTTCAAGCAGTTCTCCCACCTCAGCCTCCCGAGTAGCCGAGATTACAGGCATAAGCTGTAGCACCCAGCGAGAGGAATGATTCTTTTTTGTTTGTTTGTTTGTTTGTTTGTTTTTTGAGACTGGGTCTTTCTCTGTCACCCAGGCTGGAGTGCAGTGGCGCCATCTTGGCTCACTGCAACCTCTGCCTCTTGAGTTCAAACAATTATCCTGCCTCAGCCACCCGAGTAGCTGGGATTACAGGTGCCCGCCACCACACCTGGCTAATTTTTGTATTTTTATTAGAGATGGGGTTTCACCATGTTGGCCAAGCTGGTCTCGAACTCCTGACCTCTGGTGATCCGCCTGCCTTTGCCTCCCAAAGTGCTGGAATTACAGGCATGAGCCACTGTGCCTGGTCAGAAGGGTGATTCTTGATGAGTAAAACGATGATTAGGTTTTTCTTAGATGGACAAGGGAGGGATGGCGTTTAAAAGAGCTGACAATTTCAGAAGCACAGTTAGCTCAAAAAGCAGAGCAGCACGAGGCCGTTTACCATAGGAACAAATAACCTTACACATCTTTGTAAGCCTTTTCAGTACAGTTCAATAACTTTTCCAGAAAAGGGTAAAAAACTCCTTTTAGAAAGATTTCCATCCAAAATGGTTTAGTACTTGAAATAAGTCCTCGGCCTCGGCTCTCTGAAAAACTATGTTGCAGAATGCCTTTATCTCTGAGGATCACCAGTATAACTAAACTTTTAGTGTAATTCTGTGTTCTAGATGATGCCAAGCTCATGAATGTTTAGTAAATGTTAATAGTTGTGACAATATTACTGTATTAAACATTCCTTTTTGTTTTGTCTTGTTTTGTTTAGCCTCCACAGCTTTCCTTGCTGATAGCCAGCCTCCAAACCGCAGAGCCCTAGCTGTTTATCCTGTTTTCCTGTTTTACTTTGTCATCAGTTGGATGATTCTCACCTTTACTCCTCAGTAAATCAGGAATGGGAAATTAAAAACCAGTGAATTGAAAGCACATCTGAAAGATGCAATTCACCATGGAGCTTTGTCTCTGGCCCTTATTTGTCTAATTTTGGAGGTATTTGATAACTGAGTAGGTGAGGAGATTAAAAGGGAGCCATATAGCACTGTCACCCCTTATTTGAGGAACTGATGTTTGAAAGGCTGTTCTTTTCTCTCTTAATGTCATTTCTTTAAAAATACATGTGCATACTACACACAGTATATAATGCCTCCTTAAGGCATGATGGAGTCACCGTGGTCCATTTGGGTGACAACCAGTGACTTGGGAAGCACATAGATACATCTTACAAGTTGAATAGAGTTGATAACTATTTTCAGTTTTGAGAATACCAGTTCAGGTGCAGCTCTTAAACACATTGCCTTATGACTATTAGAATATGCCTCTCTTTTCATAAATAAAAATACATGGTCTATATCCATTTTCTTTTATTTCTCTCTCTTAAGCTTAAAAAGGCAATGAGAGAGGTTAGGAGTGGGTTCATACACGGAGAATGAGAAAACATGCATTAACCAATATTCAGATTTTGATCAGGGGAAATTCTACACTTGTTGCAAAAAAAAAAAAAAAAAAAGCAAAGGGCCTCTAAAGAATCAGCCTCTTTGGTCCCTTTGTGCTGTCACCTTTTTGCCATGTTTAACAGCATCTTGGTTGGCACTCTAGTCTTAATCTTGCTCCTTAACTTTGAATATGCAGTCTAAAATGTCAGTAGTCAACATGTAATTTTCCTTTGAAATTCTGAATATTCCAGTGCTGGAACTTATCCAAAAAGAAGACCTCAGAAACTTAGATTGGTAGATCTCTAGTGCATATTATCATGTGGGCACCTTCTCTTAGGGTGGAATGAGGCAGTCTGGATGCAGCATAGTTAAAAGGAGCTGTTTAATATTCTCTGTAGTCTGGCCTCTTAACTAGAAAGTAAAGCTAAATCAGAAGCCTGTATTTAACCATGTGAACAGGGAGGGATTTAGTGTTCTGATGGCTGATTAATAGAACAGCTAGATACTTAGAGCATGACGTGGGATGGGATGAGTTTACAGCTGCTGCCTTTTCATGGTGAGCTTAGCAGTTTTCTCATTAGATGTGTTTTTTTGGGTTGGGGAATAGCAATTTATTTTATTGATTTTAGACTTTATCAAGCTAATTAGCTCCCCTTTAGATAAGTACATGTTGCACATGTGCACCTACTTGTAATCTCAGATATTTATGCACACAAGTGTGAAGGTTTTTCAGGGAGCAGAGCATCTGGGACAGGCTGATTCTGAGCTAAACAGGGCTCCTTTAAGGCAATATGAACTGTTGCCTTCTATAAATTGCACATTGAGGAACTCTAATAGACAAAGATTAGGTGTCAGGCAGAAAACACTCATTGTAAATATACTATTAGTTGATAAACATAGGACTTTCTTATTCCCCAGTTTTTCTTTATCATATAATTTAAATATTTATTCATTTTGTATTTAAAGACTACCTACACATAGATATATGATTCCAAAGTCATACTTTCTCCATCCCCACATTAGCCAAGTGAATACAGGGCCAAATGGGTTCTTGGAATGATAATAACAAAGCATTACAAAGTGGGTCCCCTTGGTTCCAGCCTTGTCCAGAGTTTTTGGTTATATATTTCTATTTATTACAATTTACCTTTTAAATTGTAAAATAAACCTTTGTGTGGACAGAGCCAATGTTTCAATCTTGAATGAGTAAAGAAAATACTTTGGAACTGATCCTCATTTTGAAATTGGTTCTAAATTATTATCCATTTCCAATGTCTGAAATTCTCTTACTTCCTGCTAAAACTCTCTTTCTGCCAAAGTTGTTTCGTAATCTGTCTCAATGACTATAATGTAAAATTAAAGAAGTAACCATGCTTCTCAAGGGGGAATTAAAAGTGTTTATTGAATTTTACTCAGGCTAATTGTTTGGTCAGAAATTCCTAAGGCCACAGCTTTGGGGGGTTCGTGTAGATGTACATGGTGGGTGGGTTATAAATATTGGGACTTAAGGCAGCTTGTTCTATGTATTTATCTTTGCTCTTGGGTGACTTAGGGAATGATTTTATTTGATTTAACCTTCTTTCTGTTTGCCCCGAGAATACTCGCCAGTGGCGCTTGCAGTTGTAGCATTTACCCCAAGATAACTTTGCCTACGAAATATTTCGCTTTTATTATTTTCACATCATTCTAGTATATGGACTTTGGAAACAAAAGACATTGTTCTATTTATAGCATTCTTTTTTTTTTTTAGTAGCGGTATTTCCATTTACAAAATATAGTAACTCTTGATTACTGAAAATGTCAAATCCTAGAAAACGTAGCATGCCTATACATGATGTTAACATCATTCTCGAACAGTTGTTGGCCGAAGATTCATTTGATGAATCCAATTTTTTTGAAATAGACAATTCTGATGTTCTCTTTAGAAATAACTCAGTTTTTATCTTTTTTCACATTGAAAATCAGTTAGATTTGCTTAAGCCTCAAAGAGAATGTTTATGTAAATTAGCGCTGGCAATTTTTTTTTTTCTAAACAGGAAAAGGGTTAAATGAAGGTTGATAAAATGGATGTTCAATTGTCTTTCTGAAAGTGAGTGGCTTGAAGGGATGAATAAATATTTTCTTAATATATTCAAAAAAGTGCATTGCTTTCTGTGATGGAAGTTAAGACCTAAATGTCTGGAAGTTGTAACCCTCAACACAGCTTTTCCTGATTTGCTGCAAAGGCACATAGCTGATTATAGAAGTGAAGACGGCAAGGACGGGGACTCCAACAAAGGAAACCCTGTTGCAGGATTTGGGAACTTTCATGCTTCAGATGAAATTCAGGCATGTGAGCATCACTGCAGAATGTGGTGCATCATTGCCATCATGAGTAATCACTTGCTGCTCCTACTTCTGAGACCAAGACTCTTTTGTCATATTCTTTAGCAATAGGACGGGTAAAGACTGGATTTAATTGCTGTTCAGAGTATAAAAACTCAATTGATTCCAACATATCTGAATGTGCAGTAAAGTCTTAAAAGTCAACCGTTAATCATTAAGTCTTTTGCCTCTAAAGTCTTTTGCCTCTGAAGAGGTTTATTACATGAGTTGATTTTCATATTTTCATTTTGGTGGGGTTTTCCTGTTGTTGGGCAAGGTGGGGTCACAGGACATGGGACTAGTAAGCATTTTACTGTTTACTATATTTGTCTTTTTATAAACAGTATCTCCCAAAATGTGATTAGAAGGCTACCAAGCCTGTATTTGGACATTTAATTGTGTGCTTTATATAATGTAACTACTAACAGTATTTGGACTGCCTGTTCATTCCTGGAGACAAAAATGAAAATCTGTCAGTTCAAGTTCTTGGGTAACATCAAGTCATTAGAATTTATCTAAAGCTTATCATGATTTGATAAGACATCCATTGCATGCAGCTGTTTTAGCTCAGTGCAAAACACTGAAATTGTGATTCTTAGACTGTTTCTGAGACATTTGGATGGAAATAAATGTATAAATGTTAATTCATGTATATAAATTAGAAACACTTTTCTAGATTCTGTAGGCTTTTGTTAAAAATAGAGAATTTCTTGGGGTTTACTTAGGCCACAGAATGGCCAAATAATAATAATGACAATGATATTACTAATAATAATAGCTAACCTTTATTTGGCACTTACTGTGTGCCAGGCACTATTCTATTTTTTTAAGAATTTTTAAAATAACAGCTTTATTGAAATACACTTTACCATAAACTTCACCTTTTTATTTTTTATTTTTATGAGACAGGGACTCACCCAGGCTGGAGTGCAGTGGAGCAGTCATGGCACACTGTAGCCTCGACCTCCCTGGGCTCAAGCAATCCTCCCACTTCAGTGTCCCGAGTAGTTGGGACTACAGGCATGCGTCACTACACCTAATTGGCTAATTTTTGTAGTTTTTGTAGAGATAGGGTTTCGCCATGTTGCCTAGGCTGGTCTTGAATTCCTGGGCTCAAGCGATCCACCTGCTTTGGCCTCCCAAAACAGTGGGATTGCAGGCGTGAGCCACCATGCCTGGCTGAAATTCACCTTTTAAGATGTACAATTCAGTGGTTTTTAGTATATTCACACACAAAATTGCACAACTATCACTAACATCTAATTTTAGATCATTTTGTAACTTCACCAAGAAACCCCAGGTCTGTCAGCAGTCAGTTCCATTCCCCCTTCATCCCAGCCTCTGGCAACCACTAATCTGCTTTCTGTCACTATTGATTTGGCCAGACACTATTCTTCTGTGCTTCTCATGCATCTCCTGTAATACCAGTGCTACAATTCTCATTTTATGTGGAAAATTGAGGCACTGAGAGGTTAAGTAAATTGCCCACGGTCACACAGTAATTTGATTTACAACAGTAATAACACATTAGATGAGAACACAGTAGGACACAATTTTGAATTCCATTTTTATGTACCTGAAATGAATACACCCCTCCCCCAAGGTATTTTCCCTATTGTTAGCCTTTGTACCCTAGGTACAAATATAGGTATTTTCCCTATTGTGTTATGTACCTGAAATGAATACACCCTTCCCCCAAGGTATTTTCCCTATTGTTAGCCTTTGTACCCTAGAACTGACTGGATGTAGATAACATTTGTTTTCAGAGTAATGGAACACTGTATCAGCAGCATCTGAGAACATAAGAACAGTTGGACATTGGAAAGAGGTTTGTTGCCCTCATCCCTCCTTGAACCTCTTTTCTCTCCCGCTTCCACCACCACCACACATATATACCCCTTTTTCTCAGTCTTAAGCATCAAACAATTTCTGCCTCTTTCTTTTTAATTCTCCCAGAGGGATGGTTAATGCATCACAATTTAACTTGTCTATTCAGGTATTAATAGTCAAGGGATGCATCTGTTTGCTTATAGTACCAGTTATATTCCTAGGACCTTAGAGAGCAGTAGTGTGAGAATAGAATGCCTTTCTATTTGGGTTAAACTATGTGGGAGGAAAAAGTAACAGAGTAAAGGCTTTGCCTTAATGAAGTCAAGTGTTCTGCCTGGTGGGAAGTGGCCACACGCTGCACTGCGCTGCTCTTGTTTACTCTGTTCTTTCAGAGCCTTTGTACTTTGCCATCACTGCTAGTAATTTCTTGGTCCTTTTCAATACTCCATTTTAATCTTGATTTTTTTCTATAAATAATAAATCTGTGAAAAATCTGTAAAAAGATTTGTGACTATTAAATGTGCAACTAAAAACACTGGAAAAAGAATTTGTGTGTGCCTATTCTTGTACTGAAGGCACAGAGATTTGCTACATACTGATTTCAGATATATTGTCATCCGACAATATTGAATGCTTTGTAAATTGGGCAGGGAGCAAGTAAGAAAGGGAAGTCACATTTATTGAGCAAATGCTGTATACCATGCCAGGCACTTTATTAGTTGCTTTACAAACAGTATCTCTGATTGACAGCAGCCTTTTGAGATCAGAGGCATTATCCTTAAAGTTGGATCTGGCTGGGTTTCGAGGCTCACACCTATAATCCCAGTGCTTTGGGAGCCCGAGGAGGCAGGATCTCTTGAGCCTAGGAGTTCAAGACCAGCCTGGGCAACATAGGGAGACTCTTTCTTTAAAAAAAAAAAAAAAAGCCAGACTTGGTCTTGTGTGCCTGTAGTCCCAGCTACTCGGGAGGCTGGGGCGGGAAGATTGCTTGAGCTCAGGAGTTCGAAGATGCTGTGAGGTACAATGGTGCAACTCCAGCCTGGGCGGCAGGCTGAGACCCTGTGTCAAAATAAATAAATAAATAAAAATTTTAAAAAGTTGAGAGATCCGAGACTCAGGTTAAATTGCCCAGAGTCACATAGTGAATGGTGCAACCAGAATTCAAACTCAGGTTTTATGACTGCATGGCCTTTTTTTTTTTTTTCTATATTGGTTCTTTGCCAAATTAAAACCATACCTACCCACTTAAATGAAGCTAAGCTGGGCCAATCAGGCAATTTAGGAGCTTGGTGAGAAAAACTGGGTTTTCAGCTTTCTGCTGGGGGCTATACCTGTTCCCGCTCTTGACTTATAAACTACTTGGATAAACAAAATTCCGCATAGCCCTACACACATAATAGTTGAAAAATGTCATGGCTTTTATTTTTGGTACCAAATAAAAGAGCAGAGTGATCTGTAAAAATAAGAAGTCTGTGAAGTATTGAGAGAATGTGTATCATCCAAGAGAAGAGGAAGGGCATTCCCAATGGTAGAGAATACTTAGGAGCAAAGATAAGAGGCAAAAAGCAGGTCTGTCTGTACAGCTGTTCACATGCACATGTGAGTGTGGCACCTTGTTCTGTACGTAATCACAATGCATTGTGACACTTCATTTTCCTAGCTGCCTTTATTTTACATCACTGTGCAAAGTAGATAAAGCTGATTATCTTATAGCTAAAGAAATAGGCTCAGAGAAGTATGTCCTGGGTTATAAAGTCAGTCTCAAGAATGCAATTGGTTGTTCCTCATGTTAATCCAATCTTTCATTTTCTAATGAGAATGCAAAAGTTGAAGTGAATTCAACTGAATTGGGAAATGGAAGAAATTAGTTGGCTAAGATGAGACCAAATTATTGAGAGTAGGTATTGAAAACCAGGGAATTGTGAAGTTAGGTCTTACTGTGGTGGGAAATAGGGTGACTTCAAGGGGAATATCTTGATGAAAGTGACCTCAAAGGAATAAATGGGAACATGGTGGGAAATTGGATTGGGAGGAAGGTAGAGGGAAGAAAAGAGTGTGAATATATTTCTAAGCTGTAAGTCTGAAGTCGGGAAGAATGGCGGGCTAACAGTTGTGGAGGTACTGACTTTGGCTGTCACAGTGGTGATATTCTACAGACCACTGAAAATAGGCGCCTGGAGGGTAGTATTATAGAAGTCATTGCTATAAATGTAAATTTGAGCTTACAGATGTGATGAATATTGAGAGAACACTGTCCCAGGCACAGTCTTGATGACAACCACAGTGCTGGATGATAGACCTATGAAAAGGAGCCAGAAAGATGAGGAGGAAGTTATGAAGCTAACACTTACCTACCATGGATTTTCACATTGCTATCTTCATCTAACACTAACCCTGTGAGATCATTCCCTCCATTTTTTTCAGAAGAGGAAGAAGTTTGGATTCAATACCTTGCCCACAGTAAGTGGCTGAGGTGGAATGTGAATACAGGTCTGTCTGAACTCCAAAGCCTTGGTGCTTTCTGCTCTGCTGTTACCACCATGCCCGATTAATTTTTGTATTTTTTGTAGAGATGGGGTTTCGCCATGTTGCCCATGCCAATCTTGGACTCCTGAGCTCAAGCGATCCACCCATCTCAGCCTCCCAAAGTGCTGGGATTACAGGCATGAGCCACCACACAGCCAAATGTTTTATTTATTTAAGTAAAAACATGGAAGTGTTGATGAATGTGTGTGTCGTCCTTCTGCAGGGGCCATGCTAATATTCTCCCTATCGTTCCAATTTTAGTATATATGCTGCCTAAGTAAGCACTCCAAAAGTATTGATAGGTAGGAGATGGAGGCTCCTGGTATTTGTTCCTTATTTGTAGATTCAGATCAGGCACAGAACATTAGAGATTAAAAGAATGTTATCGATAATTGGTTCAATTTGCTCATTTTACCAATGAAAAACTGAGGCTCAGAGAGGGAAAGTCATTTACCCAATGTTGTTCAAAGGAACCAGACTAAAACTTAGTTTTTTTCATTTCTGGTTCACTGCTTTTTCTACTATGTGAGAGTACAGTAGCTAAAAGGGTGACAACCTCATGCAGGTTAAAAAAACAAACAACAAACAAAAAAAAACAAATCCACAATTTTTTTTTTTTTTTTGAGATGGAGTCAGAAATACAATCCAGGGTAGTGGGGCTGGTGCTATAGCTTCAGAACCAAGAGTGGGAATGTGTTCCCTTCCAGCTATGGTCCAGATGCCAACCTGCTCTCATCCAAACTTCTCGAAAAAGCTTGTCTACATTCATGTTCACTTCTCAACCAACTGCAGTCTGGCTTCATGCCCATGTCATGAACATTCTCAGAGAGTGACTACTCTCACTAAAATTGCTAAGTCCTTACCTTACTCTACTGCACTGATGCTGTTGTAAACTCCTATTCCTCCTGGAAACATTTTTCTTTCTTGTCTTCCATGACAGCTAACTCCCTTGATTGTCAAAATAGTCTATTTCTTCTTAAAGAACTCCTCTTCTTCCACCTGCCCCTTGAAACTGAGTGTTTTCTCTGCCTTCTGCTCTTTTCAATCTAGAAATTCTCCCTAGATATAAAAATTCACTCTCATAATTTCACCTACCATTCAAACTATTCAAACTGTTATTTTTTTTTATTTCTCCCCAGCATGCATTTTCATCTTCTTTCTAGTTGCTTTGGAGAATTCCTCCCTTACTAGATTGACCTAGACTGAGCCACGTTACCACCTTTCCTTGATCACAGTGATTAAGTAATGAATACTTAAGCCAAGATGGGCCATTCAGAGGCCTTTCCAGGTTTTTTTCTGCTAGACCTAAGAAGCCAGACTGTCTTCCTTTTGTATTATGAGTTGTAAAGATGCAAGCCTGGGGTGGTCAGTGGCCAACTTTTTCATCACAATAGTAGAAGAGAATGAGTGTATCACAGGAAGAGAAGCTGGCACTGAGGGAAGCTTCATGAGGTTTGAGCCTGAGTCCAGCTGTGCCTGAAGGCAGTGAGCTCCATCCTCAGATGGATGAGCCAATAAGTCAGCTTGAGGAGTTCTGATGACTCCAGAATCTCCAGTTTATGACTCTGACGTGTGATTTCTAGAATGATACAGAAATAATTGCTGGACCATCACTTGAATGTCTCATTGCTTTTTAAACTCGTCATGTCTCAACTAGACTGGGCAGGTCCCCCAAACCCTGCTCCTCCTATGTTCCTTATTTTGGAGAACCACTGCTATACCTAGTTACCCAAGTCAGTAATCTGATAATTGCCCTTAATGCCCCCTTCACTTTCTTATATCCATTCAGTCACCAGTCCTGCTAATTTTACCCAACAAACATTTCTCAACTCCATATCTTACTCCGTATCCCCACTGTCACGGTTTGGTTCAGGTTCTCATCTCTTTTTTGGCCTATAGAAACAACTACGTAGGTAATCTGCTTCCATGTTGCCCTGCTCAAATCCATTTCTCATACTGTTGTCAGAGTGACATACTTCAAGTGTATATTTGACCCTCTCTTCAGTTTAAATTGCCCTACTGCCTTTGTGTCCGGAGTTGGTTCCTTCCGGTGGGTTCGTGGTCTTGCTGACTTCAAGAATGAAGCTGTGGACCTTCTCACTGAGTGTTACAGCTCTTAAAGGTGGCATGGACCCAAACAGTGAGCAGCAGCAAGATTTACTGTGAAGAGCAAAAGAACAAAGCTTCCACATCATGGAAGGGGACCTGAGCAGGTTGCCACTGCTGGCTGGGGTGGCCAGCTTTTATTCCCTTGTACCCGCCCATGTCTTGCTGATTGGTCCATTTTACAGAGTGCTGATTGGTCCATTTTGCAAACCTCTAGCTAGCTACAGAGTGCTGATTGGTGCGTTTTTACAGAGCACTGATTGGTGCATTTTACAAACCTCTTGTAAGACAGAAAAGTTCTCCAAGTCCCCAGTCGACCCAGGAAGTCCAGCTGGCTTCACCTCTCACCTTCACATCTTCTTTGGGACAAAACTGAAGCTTCTTATGCCATTGATTGCAAGGCCTTCTGTCATTTGGCCCTAGCTTTCCTCTCTCCCAGCCTTGAATTCTGTACTCCTGCAACAATGAACTACTTGTTCCCAAGTGCTTGCTGTGCTACTTCTCACCTCCCTGCTGTCTCTCTGAAATGCCCTCCACACCCCACTTTTCCATTAAAAATTTTCCGGGCCTCACCTCATCCAGGAGACCAATTGTCCTCCTCGCTTTTCACCTCCTCTGCTATTTCACCTGGCTTAGGTTATTCTCTTCTGTGCCATCATAATACCATTCATTCATTTATTTAACAAATATTTACTGAGTGCCTATTAATAGTGAACAAGACAGAGTCCCCGCTTTCACGGAGTTGACATTTTCTTGCATTCTCTTGTGGTTAAGTTCACATCTGTTATTGTACTTAACTACACTATGTTAAATTATACTCACCTGTTTACTTGTCCATATCTCATACTAGATCATGAGATATAACAGGACAGGAATCATGTCTAATTCACCTCTTTGTCCTCAAAATCTAGCCCAAAACTTGGTACATAGTAGGCACAGTATTTGTTCAGTTAATTAGACTCAGAAGTGTCATTCTAGAAGACTAGCATAGTATTCTGTTTTGTTTTGCTATGACGGAATACCTGAGACTGGGTAATTTATAAAGAAAAGAGGTTTATTTAGCTCACCATTCTGCAGGCTGTACAAGCATGACACCAGGATCTGCTCTGCTTCTGGTGAGGCCTCAGGAAGCTTTTACTCATAGAGGAAGGTGTGTCACAAGGTGAGAGACAGAGCAAAAGAAAAGGAGAGAGGAACCAGGATCTTTTTTTTTTCTGTTTTTTTTGAGACGGAGTCTCATTCTGCCACCTAGGCTGGAGTGCAGTGGCACCATCTCAGCTCACTGCAACCTCTACCTCCTGGGTTCAAGTGATTCTGCCACCTCAGCCTTCCCAGTAGCTGGGACTACAGGCATGCGCCAACATGCCTGGCTAATTTTTGTATTTTTAGTAGAGACAGGTTTCACCATGTTGGCCAGGCTGGTCTTGAACTTCTGACTTCAGGTGATCCACTCTCACCCTCTCCTCAGCCTCCTAAAGTGCTGGGATTACAGGCATGAGCCACCATGCCCAGCCTTCTTCTTCTTCTTTTTTTTTTTGAGACAGAGTCTCACTTGCTGTGTCACCCAGGCTAAGTGCAGTGGTGCAATCATGGTTCACAGCAGCCTTAACTTCCCAGGCTCAAGCAATCCTCCCATCTCAGCCTCCAAGTAGCTGGGACTGCAGGCATATGCCACCATATGCCACCATGGCTAATTTAAAAAAAAACTGTAGAGATGGGGGGGGTCCCACTATGTTGCCCAGGCTGGTCTCGAACTCCTGGACATAAGTGATCCTCCTGCCTCCAGCTCCCAAAGAGTTGGGATTACAGGCATGGGCTATTGTGCCTGGTTGCCAGGCTTTTTTTTTTTTTTTTAACAACCAGGTCTCATGTGAACTAATAGAACGAGAACTCACTCATTATCGAGAGGAAGACACCAAGCCATTCATAAGGATCTGTCCCCATGACCCAAAAACCTCCCACCAGGCCCCACCTCCAAAGTTCGGGGTCACATTTCAACATGAGATTTGGAGGGGACAAACATCCAAATTATATCAACTAGGTAGAAGGGATATTGGAGGTTTGATCTCTGGGGAACAGGGGAAGATAGACAGGTAAAGAGATACATTTAACTACAATGTGGAAAACACTTTAAAGAGGTATGGCCAAAGGCTGTGAGAGCCCAAGGATGGAGCATTTTTATCTAATGTGTTGAGGTGAAGATGGTAGGCCATGAAGCCATTCACTCTGTATGTTGGCACTCTTCTCTGGGAAAGGGGAAGCCTGCTTCTCTGCTGACAAGGGAGAAACCATGCTCTAGATATTTAGTGTATGCTTTCACTGAGTCCTTCATATTAGCCCTGCAAGATATATATTATTAGCACCATTTTACAAACAAGGAAGCAGAGACTCAGAGGTGAAATGACTCACCCAAGGCCGCACAGCTAGTAAGTGGCAGGGCTGGGACTTGAACTCAATCTGATTCTAGAGAATGCATTCAATTAGAATCAGCTGAATATAGGCTGCATGTAACAGAAGAATCCAAAACAAGCGTGGCTTAAATAAAATAGAGGCTTATTTCTCTCTCATATAAAATAGTCTAAAGGTGGGAGGTCCAGAGCTGGTATGGTGGTTTTCTGGTCATTTGGGACCTAAGAAGATCCAAATTCCTGGTCCCACCATCTTCATTATTAGTTTCCTTTCTGATGGTCCAAGATGGCTGTGAGAGGCCAATTCATTATACCTACCTGCCAGGCAGCAGTTAGAAGTAGGGGAAGACAAAAGGGCAGTTTTTTTCCGGCCAAGTTAGCTCCCCTTAAGCTATTTCTTAGAAGTTAAACACAGCACTTCTACTTACATGTCATTGCTAGGGAGCTTAGTCGCATGGACATGTCTAGCTGTGGGGGAGGGAGGAAAGGGGGCTGAGAAATGTACTCTTTTAGCTCCATGCATTGCTATCCCAAATAAACTTGGAGTATTGCTATTAAAGAAGGGAGACTTGATATTGAGTACAGCAAGCACTCTGTTATAATTGTGTGAATAAATTTAAAGATAATTTACATACAGTAAGTACTCATTTTTAAATGTACAGGCTAATGAGTTTTGATAACTGTTAACAGTCATGTAAGATGTTGAATATTTTCACCACCATATCCATGATATTGAATATTTTTGTTTTTAAAAGGTCTTTTGTGTCCCTTTGTAATCAATCTCTTCCAATCCCTGGCCTCAGGTATTTAGTTATCTGCTTTCTGTCACTTTAGATCAGTTCTTCCTGTTTTAGAATTTCATGTGGTCTTTTATGTCTGATTTATTTCACTCTGCATGTTCTTGCGGCCAATCCTTGTTGTGTGTATCAGTAGTCTATTCTTTTTTATTGCCGAGTAGCGTCTCGTTATATGAATCTGTTAATGGATGTTTCATCTGTGTTCTAAAATTCATCCCACATTCTCAGCAAACCCACACTTCCCATGAGCTGCTCCCTGCAGTGACTAAGTTGGATAGGCATACTGACAGGCCCATTCCTGGGATAACGGGGCTACTCTGATGGGTGATTTTGGTTTTAAGGATTCTTCAACAGCCTTGCTGCACTTTTGTTTCAGAACCGCACTGCAATCTGAGATGCTTCCATCCAACTTTTCTTCTTCCCTCTCTTCTTCACTCGGGATCAGACCTACATGATGGTCTGATGGCTCTCCCAATCTCCCTTAGCTTCCCACTCATCTTCTCTCACAAGATTTTCCTTAATACATTTCTTGCATATTAAAGCCACTCTTGACGTCTACTTTTCAGAAGACACAGACTAACACGGATTATTTCCAGTGTTGTTACAGAAATGAGCATGAATCTGCCCACCTGGGGCAGCAAAGCCAAACATTGAGATTTGCACCAAGAGAAAGTGAGGCATTTATTACAGGGAGCCAAGCAAGGGGAATTGGGCAGCTCATGCTTAAGACTCAAACTCCCAGTGGCTTGCATGTAAGGGTTTTTAAAGATGGGGAGGCAGAGGTTACAGGAAAAGTCACAAATCAATACATGGAGATTATACACTGGTTTGGCCTAAAAAGGTGGCACATGTAAAAGTGGGGGGCCCGTAGATCACAGGTGGATTCAAAGGTTTTCTTCTTCATTTTTTTTTTTTTTGAGACAGAGTCTTGCTCTGTCACCCAGGCTGGAGTGCAATGGTGTGATCTTGGCTCACTGCAACCGCCACTTCCCAGGTTCAAGCAATTCTCCTGCCTCAGCCTCCCGAGTAGCTGGGAGTACAGGTGTGTGCCACCACGCCCAGCTAATTTTTGTATTTTTAGTAGAGACGGGGTTTCACCATGTCATTCAGGTTGGTCTCGAACTCCTGGCCTCAGCCTCCTGAAGTGCTGGGATTACAGGCAGGAGCTACTGCGCCCAGCCCAAAGATTTTCTGATTTGTGATTGGTCAAGGTTTTCTTAGCAGAAAAGACAACATTTTCCATTTGTTGGGGGTTCAGGTTTCTGAAAAACAACTCAGGGACATATGTTAAGATGTTATCTTTAGTTTCTATAGGGAACCAAATATTTTGTGGCTCTAACTTCCTTGGCTATTATTACCTTCTTGCTTATCAGGTTGCTTATTTATTTTTCAAGGCTAGCCAGGTGCCTGGAATTTCACTTGAAGGAACACAAGGTTTTACTTTATTTTCATTCTTGGGAAACCCAGCAGGCCCACAAGAGGGGTCCCTGGCTCTGTCTCTGTCTGGCCATTATGAATAATGCAGCTATGAACATTCTTGTTCAAGACTTTTTGTGGGCTGTGCTTTCATTTCTCTTGGGTAGATACCTAGGAAGGGAACTGCTGAGTCACATGGTAAGTGTATATTTAACTTTGTAAAAATTTGCCAAATAGTCTTCCCAAGTAGTTATACCCATTTACACTCCTACTAGCAGTGTTTGAGAGATCCATTGCTCTACATCCTCACCAATACTTGATATTTATAATTTTATAAACTTAGGCTGGGTATGGTGGCTTATGCCTATAGTCCTAGCACTTTGGGAGGCTGAGGCAGGAGGATCACTTGAGACCAGGAGTTCAAGGCCGGCCTGGCAACATAGTGAAGAATAATAGGCTTGTGTATGAATGACTGTTAAGTAAATGGAGATATAAATGAACAAGCATATAATTAAGACTCTCAAAGTAAAAATAAATGCAATTATGTATTCAGATTGTTCTTTGTTTTTTTGTTTTGACAAGGTCTTGCTCTGTCACCCAGGCTGGAGTATAGCAGCGTGATCTTGGCTCACTTCAGCCTTGACCTCCCAGGCTGGAGCCATCCTCCCACCTCAGCTTCCCAAGTAGTTGGGACAACTGTCATGCACCACTATGCCTGGCTATTTTTTAAGCTGGAAACCATCATTCTCAGCAAACTATCGCAAGGACAAAAAAACCAAACACCACATGTTCTCACTCATAGGTGGGAATTGAACAATGAGAACACATGGACACAGGAAGGGGAACATCACACACCGGGGCCTGTTGTGGGGTGGGGGGAGTGGGGAGGGATAGCATTAGGAGATATACCTAATGTAAATGACGAGTTAATGGGTGCAGCACACCAACATGGCACATGTATACATATGTAACAAACCTGCAAGTTGTGCACATGTACCCTAAAACTTAAAGTATAATAAAAAAGAAGAAGAAGAAGAAAACCCTGAATCAAGATATCCCAAGGAATATCCCAATTAGATCTGACCTAAATATATGTCCTAATTCTATGGAAAACTCAACTACTAGCATATTAAAGAAAGATACAAACAAAAAAAATTTTTTTTTGTAGAGACAAAGTCTTACTTATGTTGCTCAGGCTGGTCTTGAACTCCTGGGCTCAAGCAATCCTCTTGCCTCAGCCTCCCAAAGTGCTGGGATTACAGGTGTGAGCCACTGCACCCGGCCAGCTTGTTCTTAATAAACATTTGTCAAATTGGGTAAAAATGCAGCTGCCTTAGAAAACAGTTTGGTAGTTCCTCAAAAACTTAAACATAGAATTACCATGTAACCCAGCAATTCCACTCCTAGGTATGACCAAAAGTATTGAAAACAGGTACTCAAACAAATACTCATATACAAATGTTCACAGCTACTCAAAAGTACTGGTTCACACTACTCAAAAGGGGGAAACAACTCATCAACAGATGAATGGATAAACAAATTGTGCTATATACATGCAAATGGAATGGTACTTAGCCATAAAAAGGAATAGAGTACTGATACATGCTACCATGGGGATGAACCTCAAAACATTATGTGTAGTGAAAGAAGCCAGAAACAAAAGATAATATATTGTAATATTCCATTTATATGAAATATCGAGAATAGGTAATTCTAAAGCTGTCTAAGAAGTGAAGAGCTAGTAATGTTTTATAGGAAATAGGTCCCTAATAGGACCAGAATCTGGAGACCTGCACTGCTCTGCCATGTCCCATTTTTTTGAAGCTTCCATCTGGATCCATGCAGAAATGCTGGAAAAATAAGCAACAAGTGGCCTGCAGATGAGGTGACAGCAAAATAACAACAACAAAATCCATAGTGTTTGATCTGTATTTGTTAATTTAGTATATTTAGGGAAGGTAGTTGGGGATTAAATGGAACTAATATTTATTCAGTGTCAACTATGTGTCAGGTACTGGGCTAAGCATTATACATTTATAATATCTTTAATTTATACAATATTTATAAACCTTTAGTTACATGTAACAGAAGCTCAACTAGCTTAAGAAAAAAAAAAAGTACTCATTTAACTAGGAAGTCCGAAGGGCTGGGTTAGCGTCAGGCACAACTGGATTCATGTGCTCAAACAATGTCATTGAGATTTGTGTGTTGGCCAGGCATAGTGGTTCATGCCTATAATCCCAGTATTTTGGAAGGCCAAGGCAGGAGGACCACTGGAGCCCAGGTGTTCAAGACCAGCCTAGGCAACATGGTGAAACCCCATCTCTACAAAAAGTCAAAAAATTAGCTGGGCGTGGTGGTACATGCCTGTAGTCACAGCTACTTGGGAGGCTGAGGCAGGAGGATCACTTGAGCATGGGAGGTCCAGGCTGCAGTGAGCTGTGATTGCACCACTGCACTCCAGCTTGGGTGACAGAGCAAGACCCTGTCTTGAAAAAAAAAAAAAAAAGACTTGTGTGTCTGTGTGTCTTCTCTCTGTCAGCTTTAGGGGTTCATTCTCAGACTCTCTTCATGGTGTTGCAAATATAGCCGCCAGCTACTCATAATGTACATGGTCCTTAGAACTCAAATTATACTAACTGAAGCACAGGACCTTCTCTCTCACAGCAACAATCCTCTTCAAAGGTCTCTGATGAATCCTGCCTGGGAAATGTGTACTCGCTTGGCTCACTATATCCAAGGGAATTGGAGTAATCAGATTGCTCGTTTTGGGTCGAGTGCCCCTCTCTGTGGTAGTGGAGATGAACTCCTACCGATTGATCACTGGTAGGAATCACATAGCGGAGGAGGGGCAGGTCCCAAAAGGAAGAGATGTGAGGCATAATTTCATTGTCAAGTGGGCATATCATCCCCATTTCACAGAGAAAGAAACTGAGGTAAAATGCCGTTCTCTACATTACAGACCTAGAAGATTAGAGATCTTTGGGTTGGAAGAAGCAGCATGAAAAGTGGACAAAGGTTTGGATTGTGGATCAGACAGACTGGGTTTCACCTGGCCTTGACCATTGACTATATACATATACAATTATAAGAGAGTCAATTCCACTTAGTCTCATATTCCCCATATGTGAAATGGGAATAATGTCCCTAATTCTCAATTCATTGTGAGGATTAAGCGAAATATGTATGTGAAAGCACTTTGTAATAAAGTACTATATAAATTTAGGATGTATTATTTTCTCTAGTATATTTGACAATGGGAACAGATATTTTACTTTATGTGAATTATCAGTTTCATTTTCATACATATTCACATACAGTTAAATTGACTTTTTCTTTTTTTGAGACAGATTCTCACTCTGCCACCCAGGCTGGAGTGCCATCTTGGCTCATTGCAACCTTCGCCTCCTAGGTTCAAGCGATTTTCCTGTCTTACCCTCCCGAGTAGCTGGGATTACAGGTGTGCACCACCATGCCCGGCTATTTTTTATTTTTTTATTTTTAGTAGAGACAGGGTTTCGCCAGGTTGGCCAGGCTGGTTTCAAACTCCTGTCCTCAAGTGATCTGCCTGCTTCGGCCTCCCAGAGTACTGGGATTACAGGCATGAGCCACCATGCCAGGCCTAAAATTGACTTTTGACAGGACGTACAGTTCTATGGGTTTTAACATAGAAATAAATTTGTTTAATCAGGATACGAAACACTTCTATTCACCAAAAAAAATCTCTGTAGTGCTATCCATTTATAGTCTCATCCTCTCCCTACCCACTAAACACCGGCAACTGCTGGTTCTGAACCACTATGGTTTGTCTCTTAGAGAATACTATAGAAAGGGAATTATGTAGTATGTAACCTTTTGAGACTGACTTCTACCACTTAGTATTTAAGATTCATCCATGTTATTGGATGCAGCAAGAGGCCATTGTCCTAAGTGAATTAATGCAGAAACAGAAAAACAAATATGGCATGTTTTCACTTATAAGTGGGAACTAAATATTGCATACACATCGATGTAAAGATGGCAACAAAAGACACTGGGGACTATTAGAGAGGAGAGGTAGGGAGTGGGGTAAGCATTGAAAAAATAACTATTGAGTACTATGTTCACTCTTTGGCTGATGGGTCCAGTTGAAGCCCAAACTTCAGCATCACGCAATATATCTATGTAACAAACCTGCACATGTATCCCAATTCTAAAAATTTTTAAGAACGAGTCATCCATGTTTTTGTGTGAATGTATAGCTCATTCCTTTTTATTGGTGATTACCATCCCATTGTATGGATCTACCATTTTTGTTTATCCACTCACCAGTTAAAGGACATTTGTGTTGTTTCCTTTTCTGTGCTATTACGAATAGAATTGCTATGAATATTCCTGTTGAGTCTTGCGTGAATATATTTTCCCTAGGCTAATTACCAAGGAGTGGGATTGCTGAGTCATGTTGTAAATGTGCAACTTACTTTCTAAGAAATTGCCAAGCTGTTTTCCAAAATGGCCATATAATTTCATGTTCTGACCAGCAATGTGGGAGAATTCTAGTTGCTTTGCATCCTCAGCAGCATTCTGTATTGTCAGTATTTTAAAATTTCAGCTATTCTAATAAGTGTGTAGTGGCATCTCATAGTTACTTTGATTTACATTTCACTAATGGCTAGTGATGTTTAACATCTTTTCATGTGCTCATTTGCCATCCATATATCTTCTTCTGTGAAACATCTTTTCATGTCTAGCCCATTTCCTAATTGGATTGCTTGTACTTTTTCTGTTCAGTTTTGACAGTTCTTTATATGTTCTTCACGAAAGTCAATTGTCTGATGTGTAATTTACAAATATTATCTCCCAGTCTCTAGCTTGTCTTTTTACCCTTTCAACAATATCTCTTGCAGGGTAAAGATTTTTAGTTTTGATGAAGTCCAAATCATCATTTTTTATCAATCATGCTTTTTGTGTAATGTCTAAGAACTATTTGCATAACCACAGGTCATGAATATTTTATTTTTTCTGGTAAAAGTTGTATAGTTTTGTGTTTTATATTTAGATCAGTGGTTGTTAACCAGGTGCAATTTTGCCTGGGTCAGGAAGGATTTAGATGTATGGTACACTTTGAATTAATTTTGTGTAAGGTGTCAGTTTTAGGTCAAGTTTCATTCTTTTGTATGTGAAGGTCCAGTTGTTCCAATATATTTGTTGAAAGGACTGCCCTTTCTCTGTAGAATTTGTCTTTATAACTTTATCAAAAATTAATTGGCCATATATGTTGTTATGTTATCTACTTCTAGACTCAAATTGGTTCCATTGATTTCTATGTCTATACTTTTGCTAATACAACCTAATCTTCTTGATTGTAACCCTGAAATTGGGAAGCATGACCATGACCAGGTGTGATTTATCCCAAGAGTGCAAAGTTGGTTCAACATCCAAAAATCAATATAATACACCATTTTAATAGAATAAAAGTCAAAAAGCACATGATCGTCTAAATAGATACAGAAGGAGGATTTAAAAGTATGCAACATTCCTTCACCCAACAAATGGAAGGAATGTCCTCAACCGATAAAGGGCATCTACAAAAAATCAACAACCAACATCTTACTAAATGACAAAAGATAGAATGCTTTCCCCCTGTGATCAGGAACCAGACAAGGACGTCTGCCATTGCCATTTGTATTCAATGTTGTGCTGGAGGTCCTATCCAGGACAATTGGGCAAGAAAAAGAAAAAAAAAGGGATCCAAATTGGAAAGGAAGTAAACAATAAACTATCAACAAAAATCTATTGTATTAATAAAAATCTGTCCCTGCTAAGAAACGAGTTCAGATTGATGGTGGTGTTTAGTTCCTTTATATCTTTGATGATTTTCCACTGACTAGTGTTATCTTTTACTGAGAAGAGTGTTGATGGCACCAACTATAATTATAGTGCCTTCTATTTTTCACTTCAGATCTGTGCATTTTTGTTTCATGTATTTTGAAACCATGATTTTAGGTGCATATACATTTAAGATTGTTATGACTTCTTGGTGAGTGGACCCTTTTTTCATTACGAAATGTCTCTCTTTTTTCTTTGTAATGTTCTTTGCTCTGAAGTGTACCTTGTCTAATATTAATATAACTACTCCAGCTTTATTTCGATTAGTATTATATGGTATATCTATTTACTTTTAAAATTCCTATATCATTATATTCAAACTGAGTTTCTTTTAGCAAGCATTTAGTTGGGTCACATTATTATTTTTATCTATTCTGATGCTCTCCATCTTTTAATTGGTGTGTTTAGTATATTTACATCTGATGTAATTATTGACTTCTTTGGGTATAGGACTAGTATTTATTTCTTTTCTTCCTCTATTTTTCATGACTATGTTTTTCCTTTCTGCCTTCTTTTGAACATTTTTAGCATTCCATATTAATTTTACCATATCTATTTGCATTTTTAGCAATTGCTTGAGTGATTACAATATACAAACCTAACTTTTAACAGTGTATTTTTCAATAATATTTTACCACTTTAAGTGAAATCTAGAAACTTCATAATCTCATAGATTCCTTTCCCTTCTCTCATTTATGTTGTAGTTGCCTTATTAATTACAGGTACATAAACTGAAAACTCCATCATCAGGCTGGGCATAGTGGCTCATGCCTGTAATCACAGTGCTTTGGGAGGCCAAGGTGGGAGGATCACTTGAGCCTGGGGAGGTCGAGGCTACCATAAGCTGTGATCATACCACTGCACTCCAGCCTGGGCAACGGTGTGAGACCCTGTCTCAAAACAAACAAGCAAACAAACCTCCACCATCAGATAATGGTATAATTTTCTTTTCAAGTATGGAACATATTTTAAAGAACTCAATACAAGAATGATCTATTATTTTTACCCAGCTATTTGCCACTTCTGTTGCTCTACCTTCATTTTTGGTGGTCCAAGTTTCTTTCTAGTATAATTTCACTTCTCTGTGAAAATTTTCCGTAGTAATTATTTTACAACGTATCTGCTGGCAGTGAATTCTTAGGGATTTTTTAATCCAACAATGTTTTTATTGCAATTTTACTCCTGAAGAATATTTCAATCAGATATAGAATTCTAGGACAATAGATATTTACTGTTGTTCCACTTCCTTCTTGCCTTCCTAGTTTCTGATAAGAAATTCAGTCATTCTACCATTCTCAGCAAACTATCACAAGGACAAAAAACCAAACACCGCATGTTCTCACTCATAGGTGGGAATTGAACAATGAGAACACATGGACACAGGAAGGGGAACATCACACACAGGGGCCTGTTGTGGGGTGGGGGGAGGGGGGAAGGATAGCATTAGGAGATATACCTAATGTTAAATGACGAGTTAATGGGTGCAGCACACCAACATGGCACATGCATACATATGTAACAAACCTGCACGTTGTCCACATGTAACCTAAAACTTAAAGTATAATAAAAAAAAAAAAGAAATTCAGTCATTCTAATCATTATACCCCTCTAAGTAATGCATTGATTTTGTCTGGTTACTTTTAAGATTTTTTTCTTTGTTTTAGTGTTCACCAGTTTGATTATTATGTGTCTGGGTATGTATTTCTTTTTTAAAATTTTTATTTCTTAACTTTTTTTTTGAGACAGGGTCTCACTCTGTTGCCCAGGCTGGAGTGCAGTGGTTTGAACATGGCTCACTGCAACCTCCACCTCCTGGGCTCAAGTGATCCTCTCACCTCAGCTTACCAAGTAGCTGGGATTACAGGCATGTGCCACCATGCCTGGCTAATTTTTGTAGTTTTTGTAGAGATGGGGTTTCACCATGTTACCCAGGCTTGTCTCGAACTCCTGGGCTTAAGAGATCTTCCCACCTCATCCTCCCAAAGTGGTGGGATTACAGGTGTGAGCCACTGTGCCCAGCCTGGGCATAGATTTCTTTGTGGTTATTCTGCTTGGGGGTTGATGAACCTCTTGAACTTATAGCTTTATGTCTTTCATCAAATTTGAGAAGTTTTCAGCTATTATTTTTCAAAATTATTTTCTGCATTTCCCTTTTTCTTTTTTCCTCCTCAGATTCTGAGGAATGTTAGGCCATTTGGTATTATCCTGCAGTTCCTCAAGGCTCTGTTAATTTTTTTACAATGTTTTCTCTGTGTGGTTTAGATTGTATCAGTATTGCTTGTTTTGCCTTCTGCCTCAGGTTCCAATATGGCTCAGCACAGCACTGTTGCTAATCCTGTCTTTATTTAAATTTTGATACGTTACTAATCATGAAGTTTTTGTTTTAATTTTGATTTTTAAAAATTATGAAATTAAAATATTTGTCTTGATTACTGAGTGTTTTGGTACTCCTCCACCCCCACTTAAGTTTTGTGCCTGAGGTGATTGCCTCACCTGTATCTCCCTAGCTTTGGTCCTGTCAGATAATTTGTATTGATCTATATGATCTTCAAGCTCACTGATTCTTTCCTCTGTTATCTCCATCCTGCTATTGAGCTCATTCAGTAACTTCTAAATTTTGATTATTTTATTTTTCAGTTTTAATAATTTCCACTTGGATTTTCTTGATAGCTTCTATTTCCTTGCTGAAATTTTGATCTTTCAGTTTGTTTCTAGGTATTAGCACTTACTTATTAAAATGGAATTTTATATGAGCTGCTTTAAATTCTTTGTCAGATGTTTCCAATATCTGTATCTTCTCAGTGTTGACATCTGTTGATTCTTTTCCCTTGTAAGTTGAGATTTTCCTGGTTCTTCATATAACAAATAATTTTGAAATATATTCTGAATATTGTCAATATTATCTCATGAGACCCTGGGTCCTGTTTAAACCCTAAGGAGAATGTTGATAGTTTTGGTTTGAGCCAGCTATTGACTAGTTAAGTTCTGACCCACCTTCTATGGGTTGCAGTTTCAGTGTCCATTCAGTTTGCAAAGCCTTTGCAATGCTATTCAGATCTGCCCAACTGTGTAGTGGTGTTCTATTCTTTCCTTCCTTCTCAAAATCTGTATATGTGATTTTGGATCAGATCCATGCATATGCAGCTTGAAGTGTAAACCCAGCAGTTCATAAGTAGCTTTAAAGATCACTTTTCTGAATTCCCCCCTCTTCATAATCTTCCTGATACTTTCTGCTTTTCTGGAGCTCTCCTTTTTGATCCTCCAGCCAGAAAGCTGAGACTTTAGGAACTCTACATTGTCATGTACTTCCTGCAACTGTGCCCATATTTGGGCCAAGTGGCAGAGGACAGAGAGAGGAAAAAATGCAAAGAGGGTTCATCTCACCTGATTGGGACCACCACAGCTCTGATGGAGAGGAATATCTCCCTCTCGGTGTTTTGCATTCTATGGGCTACAGTTGCCACCACTGCCACTAGGGATTGGGGCACAAGGAAATGAAGAAAAGGAAACAAAGGACAAAAAAGAAAAATGGAGGATTTTTGCACTGTCTCTGAACATTAAGAGACCCCTTTTCAGCTCCTTGCACCAGAACTACAGGGCTTCTCCTGAAATTCTGTCTCCACTAATGCCCACTTCTGGGTTTTTGGCCATATTGAATTCAGACTGGGGGATACTGAATGGAAGAAAATAGTAAACTCACTGCCAGTGGTTGTCCTACTCGAACTCCAGTCTTCTTTCCTAACCCTCCTGCTACTGTTTACTTTTCAGAATCCTCCATTTGGCCAGGTTTTACAGCTGTGTTCAGTGGGAGAGACAGTGTAAAATGAGCTTACCCAGAATAGGAATTCCTAATTATTATTGTTATTATTATTATTATTATTTTTAAAAGGATTGCTACTTAAAATGATTAATATTATTTCAGAAATAAACACAATGATGGTTATCCCAGTGTCATGAGCACAGACTAAAAATTCTTAAATTACTGGCAGTACTATCTGGACAACTCCTGAAGACCCCAACTTACTTAGACTCATGCTTACTTTGCCTTGGGAATCTTTGTGACTGTTCTACTCGAAGATGATGTTAGAAGTGAAGAGAGTGGATGAGTGACAAATGCAAGGTTTTCATAGGCCTGAGCACTCGAAGAAAGCCTTATGGTGTACTTGGAAATAGCTTTGTGGCTTTTTTTCCTCTTCTTAAGCCAAGATATCCTCAATTCAAATGAAATATGTATTGTATAGAAGCTCACTATGTCAACTAGATAAAAGAGGCGGAGCAGCTCTGTATAAGGCGAAGTCTAGCACCTTCCAATGCCTCATTAAGCCCTTGGACTATATGGAGCTCATTAAAAATCCCTGGCATGGAGCCAGGTTTTGGAAACATACGTGACTATTTGTGCCATTTTGAGTAAGTCACTTCACCTCTCTGCGCTTCCTCATCTGTAAAATGTATCTAATTATACTTATCCCACATATCTACTGTGAAGATCAAATGTGCTTTCATGAGTTAAACATCTGGAAAATAACAGGTGCTTACTAAATGATAGTCTTTGCTCTTTTAAAGCCATACATTCTCAAGATACATTGATAACACTACTGCTAGTCAGGCTGATTATAGATATGTCTTTACTCAAACTTCTCTTGGATCTTCAAGACAGAAACTTTCATCTTGTGTTGTTTAAAGCATTCTAGTCTTAGACAAACCTGAGTTTGAATCCAGACTTTTCTGCCAGTAGCTCTGTGACCATGTAGTTCCTTCTTCCTTGTTCTGAGCCACAGATTTCATACTGTAAAGTGGATATGATAAAAGTGTTTACTTCAAAGGATTTTGTGAGTTTTAACTAAGCTAATGCACTTAACATGGTGACTGACATATGCTAAAAATTGGCATAAAGATGTGGTATTTTCTGGGTGAGATGACAGATAATGTTATGCAACATGATTCTCAGAAGATACAGGGTTGTCTGACTCCTGTGTACTCGCCTCTCTTCTGGCCATCTCTAGCAATACCTGGGTTGAAAGCTCTGCTAATCCATGAGAACTATTGTGCATATCAGTCAGGCCACTTAATTTCTCTGAGCCTTCCTTTTGTCCTGCTCAGGTTAGAAAACTCTGCTTGCCTGTCCTAGCCATGACGTACTGGGAGAAAAGGAGGTGTGTGTGATGATGTAAAAATATGTCCACAGGCTGGACGTAGTGGCTCATGCCTGTAATCCCAGCACTTTGGAAAGCCAAGGCGGGTGGATCACGAGGTCAGGAGTTCGAGACCAGACTGACCAACATGGTGAAACCCCGTCTCTACTAAAAACGCAAAAATTAGCTGTATGTGGTGGCATGCACCTCTAATCCCAGCTACTCAGGAGGTTGAGGCAGGAGAATCACTTGAATCCGGGAGGCGGAGGATGCAGTGAGCCAAGATCACGCCACTGCATTCCAGCCTGGGTGACAGAGCGAGACTCTGTCTCAAAATAAATAAATAAATAAATAAATAAATAAATAAATAAATAAAATAACTATATCCACAAACTCTTTGACACTCCTCCCTTCCAAAGGCAGGACCTAAATCCTACTCCCATGAGGATTTGCTCCTAATGAATAGCACGAAGCAGTGTGCAATTTCAGAGATTTCAGAGACGAGGTCAGAAAAGGCAGTGTGGCTTCTTCTGAGCTTTCTCTTATGGATCAGCAACTCTGGAGGAAGTTAGTTGCCATGTCATGCGGACGCCTAAAGAGAGCCCTGTGTGGTGAGGAACTGAGGCCTCCAGCCAACAGCCATGTGACTGAGCCATCCTAGAAGAAGATCCTCTATCATCATTCAAGCCTTCAGATGATAGTAGACTTGCTTATATCTGTGTTTTTTTTTTTTTTTTTTTGAGACAGCGTCTTGCTCTGTCACCCAGGCTGGAGTGCAGTGGTACGATCTCAGGTTACTGCAGACTCCACCTCCCAGGTTCAAGAGATCCTCCCACCTCATCCTCCTGAGTAGCCGGGACCACAGGTGTGCACTACCGCTCTGACTAATTTTTGTATTTTTAGTAGAGATGGAGTTTCACCATGTTGGCCAGGCTCATCTTGAACTCCTGGCCTCAAGTGATCCACCCATCTTGACCTCCCAAAGTGCTGGGATTACAGGTGTGAGCCACCACACTGGGCCTAGACTTGCTTATATCAATGCAACCATATGACAGATCCTGTATTAGTCCATTGTCACACAGCTATAAAGAACTTCCCAAGACTGGGTAATTTATAAAGAAAAGAGGTTTAATTGACTCACAGTTCCTACATGGCTGGGGAGGCCTCAGGAAACTTTCAATCATGGCAGAAGGGGAAGCAGGAACGTCTTACATGGCAGCAGGCAAGAGAGAGCATGTGAAGGAGGAACTGTCAAACCATCAGATCTTGTGAGAACTCACTCACTGTCATGAGAACAGCAAGGCAGAAACCACCCTCACAATCAAATTGCCTTCCACCAGTTCCCTCCCTTGACATGTGAGGATTATGGGGATTACAATTTGAGATGAGATTTGGGTGGGGACACAGAGCCAAACTGTATCATTCTGCCCCGGCCCCTCCCAAATATCACATTCTTTTTACATTTCAAAACCAATCATAGCTTTCCAACAGTTTCCCCAAAGTCTTAACTCATTCCAAAGTTAACCCAAAAGTCCAAGTCCAATGTCTCATCTGAGACAAGGCAAGTTCCTTCTGCCTAGGAGCCTGTAAAATAAAAAGCAAGTTAGTTACTTCCAAGATACAATGGGGTTACAGGCATTGGATAAATGATCCCATTCCAAATAGGAGAAATGAGCCAAAACAAAGGGGCTACAGGCCCTGTGCAAGTCCGAAATCCAGAAGAGCAGTCATTAATCTTTTGTTGTTGTTGTTGTTGGAAGACAGAGTCTTGCTCTGTTGCCCAGTATGGAGTGCAGTGGCATGATCTCAGCTCACTGCAACCTCTGCCTCCCAGGTTCAAATGATTCTCCAGCCTCAGCCTTCCAAGTAGCTGGGATTATAGGTGCACACCACCAAGCCTGGCTAATTATTGTATTTTTTGTAGAGACAGGGTTTCACCATATTGGCCAGGCTGGTCTCGAACTCCTGACCTCAAGTGATCTGCCCGCCTCAGTCTCCCAAAGTTCTGGAATTACAGGCATGAGCCACCATGCCTGGCCAGCAGTCATTAAATCTTAAAGCTCCAAAATTAATCTCATTTGACTCCATGTCACATCCAGGGCACGCTGATGCAAGACGTGGGCTCCCATAGCCTTGGGCAGCTCCTTCATGGGCTGGCGTTGAGTACCTGTGGCTTTTCCAGTGCATCATGCAAGCTGTTGGTGGATCTACCATTCTGGGGTCTGGAGGACGGTGGCCCTCTTCTCACAGCTCCACTAGGCAGTGCCCCAGTGGGGACTGTGTGTGCGGGCTCCAACCCCACATTTCCCTTCTGCATTGAGCTAGCAGAGGTTCCCCAGGCTGCAGACTTCTGTGTGGACATCCAGGCATTTCCACACATCCTCTGAAATCAAGGTGGTTGTTGCCAAACCTCAATTCTTGACTTCTGTGTACCCACAGGCTCAACACCACATGGAAGCCACCAAGAGTTGGGGCTTACACCCTCTGAAGCAATGGCCCAACTTGTACCTTGGCCTCTCTTAGCCATGACTAGAGCTGGAGTGGCTAAGATGCAGGGCACCAAGTCCTGAGGCTCCACACAGCAGTGGGTCTCTGGGCCCGGCCCATAAAACCATTTTTCCCTCCTAGGCTTCTGGGCCTGTGATGGGAGGGGCTGCCATGAAGGTCTCTGACATGCCCCTGAAGACATTTTTCCCAGTGTCTTGGCCATTAACATTCAGATTCTCATTATTTATGCACATTTCTGCAGCCAGCTTGAATTATCCTCAGAAAATGGGTTTTCTTTTATTTTTCTTTTTTTTTTATTATACTTTAAATTCTAGGGTACATGTGCACAACATGCAGGTTTGATACATAGGTATACATGTGCCATGTTGGTTTGCTGGACCCATCAACTCATCATTTACATTAGGTATTTCTCCTAATGCTATCCGTCCCCCAGCCCCCCTACCCTGTGACAGGCCCTGGCGTGTGATGTTCCCCATCCTGTGTCCAAGTGATCTCATTGTTCAATTCCAACCTATGAGTGAGAACATGTGGTGTTTGGTTTTCTGTCCTTGTGATAGTTTGCTGAGAATGATGGTTTCTAGCTTCACCCATGTCTCACGGATGAAGTCATCCTTTTTTATGGCTGCATAGTATTCCATGGTGTATATGTGCCACATTTTCTTAATCCAGTCTATCATTGATGGACACTTGGGTTGGTTCCAAGTCTTTGCTATTGTGAATAGTGCCACAATACACATATGCGTGCATGTGTCTTTATAGTAGTATGATTTACAATCCTTTGGGTATATACCCAGTAATGGGATTGCTGGGTCCAATGGTAATTCTAGTTCTAGATCCTTGAGGAATCACCACACTGTCTTCCACAATGGTTGAACTAATTTACACTCCCACCAACAGTGTAAAAGCGTTCCTATTTCTCCACATCCTCTCCAGCATCTGCTGTTTCCTGACTTTTTAATTATTGCCATTCTAACTGGCATGAGATGGTATCTCATTGTGGTTTTGATTTGCATTTCTCTGATGACCAGTGATGATGAGCATTTTTTCATGTGTCTGTTGACTGCATAAATGTCTTCTTTTGAGAAGTGTCTATTCATATCCTTTGCCCACTTTTTGATGGGGTTGTTTGTTTTTTTCTTGTAAATTTGTTTGAATTATTTGTAGATTCTGTGTATTAGCCCTTTGTCAGGTGGGTAGATTGCAAAAATTTTCTCCCATTCTGTAGGTTGCCTGTTCACTCTGATGGTAGTTTCTTTTGCCATGCAAAACTTTTTAGTTTAATTAGATCCCATTTGTCAATTTTGGCTTTTGTTGCCATTGCTTTTGGTGTTTTAGTCTTGAAGTCCTTGCCCATGCCTATGTCCTGAATGGTATTGCCTAGATTTTCTTCTAGGGTTTTTATGGTTTTAGGTCTAACATTTAAGTCTTTAATCCATCTTGAATTAATTTTTGTATAAGGTGTAAGGAAGGGTTCCAGTTTCAGCTTTCTACATATGGCTAGCCAGTTTTCCCAGCACCATTTATTAAATAGGGAATCCTTTCCCCATTTCTTGTTTTTCTCAGGTTTGTCAAAGATCAGATGGTTGTAGATGTGTGGTGTTATTTCTGAGGCCTCTGTTCTGTTCCATTGGTCTGTATATCTGTGTTGGTACCAGTACCATGCTGTTTTGATTACTGTAGACTTGTAGTATAGTTTGAAGTCAGGTAACGTGATGCCTCCAGCTTTGTTCTTTTTGCTTAGGATTGCCTTGGCAATGAGGGCTCTTTTTTGGTTCCACACGAACTTTAAAGTTGTTTTTTTCCAATTCTGTGAAAAAAGTCATTGGTAGCTAGATGGGGATTGCATTGAATCTCTAAATTACTTTGGGCAGTACGGAACATTTTCATGATATTCATTTTTCCTATCCATGAGCATGGAATATTCTTCCATTTGTTTGTGTCCTCTTTTATTTCATTGAGCAGTGGTTTGTAGTTCTCCTTGAAGAGGTCCTTCACATCCCTTGTAATTGAATTCCTAGGTATTTTATTCTCTTTGTAGCAATTGTGAATGGGAGTTCACTCACGATTTGGCTCTCCGTTTGTCTGTTAATGGTGTATAGGAATGCTTGTGATTTTTGCACATTGATTTTGTATCGTGAGACTGCTGAAGTTGCTTATCAACTTAAGGAGATTATGAGCTGAGATGATGGGGTTTTCTAAATATACAATCATGTCATCTGCAAACAGGGACAATTTGACTTCCTCATTTCCTAATTGAATACCCTTTATTTCTTTCTCTTTCCTGATCGCCCTGGCCAGAACTTCCAACACTATGTTGAATAGGAGTGGTGAGAGAGGGCATCCTTGCCTTGTGCCGGTTTTCAAAGGGAATGCTTTCAGCTTTTGCCCATTCAGTATGATATTGGCTGTGGGTGTGTCATAAATAGCTCTTATTATTTTGAGACACATTCAATCAATACCTAGTTTATTGAGAGTTTTTAGCATGAAGGGTTGTTGAATTTTGTTGAAGGCCTTTTCTGCATCTATTGAGATAATCATGTCGGTTTTGTCATTGATTCTGTTTATGTGATGGATTACGTTTATTGATTTGCATATGTTGAACCAGCCTTGCATCCCAGGGGTGAAGTCGACTTGATCATGGTGGGTAAGCTTTTTGATGTGCTGCTGGATTTGGTTTGTCAGTATTTTATTGAGGATTTTTGCATCAATGTTCATCAGGGATATTGGTCTAAAATTCTCTTTTTTTGTTGTGTCTCTGCCAGGCTTTGGAATCAGAATGATGTTGGCCTCATAAAATGAGTTAGGGAAGATTCCCTCTTTTTCTATTGATTGGAATAGTTTCAGAAGGAATATTACCAACTCCTCTTTGTACCTCTGGTAGAATTCAGCTGTGAATCCATCTGGTCCTGGACTTTTTTTGGTTGGTAAGCTATTAATTATTGCCTCAGTTTCAGAGCCTGTTATTGGTCTATTCAGAGATTCAACTTCTTTCTGGTTTAGTCTTGAGAGGGTGTATAAGTCGAGGAATTTATCCATCTCTTCTAGATTTTCTAGTTTATTTGCGTAGAGGTGTTTGTAGTATTCTCTGATGGTAGTTTGTATTTCTGTGGGATCGGTGGTGATATCCCCTTTATTATTTTTTATTGCATCTATTTGATACTTCTCTCTTTTCTTCTTTATTAGTCTTGCCAGCAGTCTATCAATTTTGTTGATCTTTTCAAAAAACCGGCTCCTGGATTCATTGATTTTTTGAAGAGTTTTTTGTGTCTCTATCTCTTTCAGTTCTGCTCTGATCTTAGTTATTTCTTGCCTTCTGCTAGCTTTTGAATGTGTTTGCTCTTGCTTCTCTAGTTCTTTTAATTGTGATGTTATGGTGTCAATTTTAGATCTTTCCTGCTTTCTCTTGTGGGCATTTAGTGCTATAAATTTCCCCCTACACAATGCATTAAATGTGTCCCAAAGATTCTGCTACGTTGCATCTTTGTTCTCATTGGTTTCAAAGAACATCTTTATTTCTGCCTTCATTTCGTTATGTACCCAGTAGTCATTCAGGAGCAAGTTGTTCAGTTTCCATGTAGTTGTGCAGTTTTGCGTGAGTTTTTTAATCCTGAGTTCTAATTTGATTGCACTGTGGTCTGAGAGATAGTTTGTTGTGATTTCTGTTCTTTTACATTTGCTGAGGAGTGCTTTACTTCCAATTATGTGGTCAATTTTAGAATAAGTGCAATGTGGTGCTGAGAAGAATGTATATTCTGTTGATTTGGGGTGGAGAGTTCTGTAGATGTCTATTAGGTCTACTTGTTGCAGAGCTGAGTTCGAGTCCTGGATATCTTTTAACGTTCTGTCTCGTTGATCCGTCTAATATTGACAGTGGGGTGTTAAAGTCTTGCATTATTATTGTGTGGGAGTCTAAGTCTCTTTGTACGTCTCTAAGGAGTTGCTTTGTGAATCTGGGTACTCCTGTATTGGGTGCATATATATTTAGGATAGTCAGCTCTTCTTGTTGAATTGATGCCTTTACCATTATGTAATGGCCTTCTTTGTCCCTTTTGATCTTTGTTGGTTTAAAGTCTGTTCTATCAGAGACTAGGATTGCAACCCCTGCTTTTTTTTTTTTTTTTTTTTGCTTTCCATTTGCTTGGTAGATCTTCCTCCTTGCCTTTTTTTGGAGCCTATGTGTGTCTTATGTGTGTCTTTGCACGTGAGATGGGTCTCCTGAATACAGCACACTGACGGGTCTTGATTCTTTATCCAATTTGCCAGTCTGTGTCTTTTAATTGAGGCATTTAGCCCATTTACATTTAGGGTTAATATTGTTATGTGTGAATTTGATCCTGTCATTATGATGTTAGCTGGTTATTTTGCCCATTAATTGATGCAGTTTATTCATAGCATCAATAGTCTTTACAATTTGGCATGTTTTTGCAGTGGCTGGTACTGGTTGTTTCTTTCCATGTTTAGTGCTTCCTTTGGGGGCTTTTGTAAGGCAGGCCTGGTGGTGACAAAATCTCTCAGCATTTGCTTGTCTGTAAAGGATTTTATTTCTCCTTTAGTTATGAAGCTTAGTTTGGCTGGATATGAAATTCTGGGTTGAAAATTCTTTTCTTTAAAAAGTTGAATATTGGCCCCCACTCTCTTCTGGCTTGTAGGGTTTCTGCCGAGAGATCTGTTGTTAGTCTGATGGGCTTCCCTTTGGGGGTAACCCGACCTTTCTCTCTAGCTGCCCTTAACACTTTTTCCTTTATTTCAACCTTGGTGAATCGGACAATTATGTGTCTTTGGGTTGCTCTTCTCAAAGAGTATATTTGTGTTGTTCTCTGTGTTTCCTGAATTTGAATGTTGGCCTGCCTTACTAGGTTGGGAAAGTTCTCCTGGATAATATCCTGAAGAGTGTTTTCCAACTTGGTTACATTCTCCCCATCACTTTCAGGTACACCAATAAAATGCAAATTTGGTCTTTTCACATAGTCCTGTATTTCTTGGAGGCTTTTTTTGTTTCTTTGTACTCTTTTTTCTCTAACCTTGTCTTCTCACTTTATTTCATTAATTTGTTGTTCAATCACTGATAACCTTTCTTCCACTTGATTGGATTGGCTACTGAAGCTTGTGCATTCATCATGAAGTTCTCGTGCCATGGTTTTCAGCTCCATCAGGTCATTTAAGGTCTTATGTACACTGTTTACTCTAGTTAGCCATTCGTCTAATCTTTTTTCAAGGTTTTTTTAGCTTTCTTGCGATGGGTTCGAACATCCTCTTTTAGCTCAGGGGTCTGGCGAATCATGCCCTACAAATCATAAATTCTCATCTGATGGGTTTTATTTAACCCTATATATCATGACTTACTTTCCTATATGACTCTGGCATAACATTACATGACAAAGAAGAAAGTCAAAATATTCTACTTTGCCATATTTTGAAATGGTCCTTTGTGGGGGAAAATGTGCATTTGTAAAGAATCTATGAACATAGCTAGATCTTTTTCTTCCAGCCCCTCCCAATCCTGAAGAGATTAAGTAAGAGTCTAGTGCCTTTTAACGGTCCAAATAGGAAATCTTTGTCATCTACTGTCTCTAAGGGCAGCCACTATAAGACTACAAAAGAACCTTGGTCTCCACAATCTTTTATGTTAGCCTAAACATTTCCTTTCTATTGATCCAGGTATTTAGACAAACTCAACCAATTGTCAATCTGAAAACGTTTAAATTTACCTATAGCCTGGAAACCCCGTGCTTTGAGTTGTTCCACCTTTCTGAACCAAACCAATGTATTTCTTTCTTTTCTTTTCTTTTTTTTTTTTTTGGAGACAGAGTCTCACTCTGTTACCCAGGCTGGAGTCCAGTGGTGCGATCTTGGCTCACTGCAACCTCTGCCTCCCGGGTTCAAGTGATTATCCTGCCTCAGTCTCCTGAGTAGCTGGGATTACAGGCACTCACCATCTCACCTGGCTAATTTTTGTATTTCTACTAGAGATGGGTTTTCACCATGTTGGCCAGGTTGGTCTCGAACTCCTGTCCTCAGGTGATCCACCTGCCTCAGCCTCCCAAAGTGCTAGGATTACAGGCATGAGCCACTGCGTCTGGCCCAAACCAATGTATTTCTTAAATGTATTTGATTGATGTCTCATGCCTCCCTAAAATGTATGAAACCAAGCTTCACCCCAACCACCCTAAGCACATGTTCTCAGGACCTCCTGAAAGCTGTATCACAAGCCATTGTCTCTCGTATTTGGCTCAGAATAAATCTCTTCAAATATTTTAGAGTTTGACTCTTTTTATTGACACACTACAATAGCATCCAAACTTTTTTGATGACTAAAATACTTTGAACACTCACTCTTGATATCTATTTTTAATCCATTATACATGTTCACATATATGAAACATAAACAAAAATATAATTTTTAAAACATACAGTATAAAATTAAATATAAACAGTTATATTTTCTTCCCCATATATTTTTTTATTTTCAGTAGGTTTTTGGGGAACAGGTGATGTTTGGTTACATGAATATGTTTTTTGGTGGTGATTTCTGAAATTTTGGTGCACCCATCACTCAAGCAGAGTACAATGTACCCAATGTGTAGTCTTTTATGCCTCATCCCCCTCACCCTTTCCCCCGAGTCCCCAAAGTCCATTGTATCATTCTAATGCCTTTGTGTCATCACAGCTTATCTCCTCCTATGACTGAGAACATGTGATGTTTGGTTTTCCATTCCTGAGTTAGTTCACTTTGAATATTGGTCTCCAATTTCATCCTGATTGCTGCAAATGCCATTATTTTGTTCCTTTTTATGGCTGAGTAGTATTCTAGCACTCCATGGTATGAGTATATATATACATATATATACATATACTATATATATATATATATCACATTTTCTTTATCCACTTGTTGATTGATGGGCATTCGGGCTGGTTCTATATTTCTGCAATTGTGAATGGTAATGCTATAATCATGCACGTGCAGGTATCTTTTTTGTATAATGACTTCTTTTCCTCTGGGTAGATACCCAGTAGTGGGATTGCTGGATCAAATCGTAGATCTACTTTTAGTTCTTTAAGAATCTCCACACTGTTTTTTATAGTGTTTGTACTAGTTTACATTCCCACCAGCAGTGTAAAAGTGTAAAAGTGTTCCCTTTTCACCACATCCATGCCAACATCTATTTTTTTTTTATTTTTTTATTATGGCCTTTCTTGCAGGAGTGAGGTGGTATTGCATTGTGGTTTTGATTTGCATTTCCCTGATAATCAGTGATGTTGAACATTTTTTCATGTTTGTTGGCCATTTGTATATCTTCTTTTGAGAATTGCCAATTCATATCCTTAGCCCACTTTTTGATGGAATTGTTTGTTTTGTTCTTACTGGTTTGTCTGACTTCCTTGTAGATTCTGGATATTAGTCCTTTGTTGTATGTATAGATTGTGAAGATTTTTCTCCCACTCTGTGGGTTGTCTGTTTATTCTGCTAATTATTTCTTTTGCTGCGCAGAAGCTTTTTTATTTTAATTAAGTCCCATCTATTTATCTTTGTGTTTGTTGCCTTTGCTTTTGAGTTCTTGGTCATGAAGTCTTTGTCTAAGCCAATGTCTAGAAGGGTTTTTCCAATGTTATTGTATTAGTCTGTTCTCACACTGCTAATAAAGACTTACCTGAGACTGGGTAATTTCTAAAGGAAAGAGGTTTAATGGACTCACATTTCCACATAGCTGGGAAGGCTTCACAATCATGGTGGAAGGCAAAGGAGAAGCCAAGGCATGTCTTACATGGCAGCAGGCAAGAGAGAATGAGAAACAAGCAAAAGGGGTTTCTCCTTATAAAACCATCAGATCTCATGAGACTTATTCACTACCACGAGAACAGTACGGGAGAAACCACCCTCATCATTCAACTATCTCCCACTGGGTCCCTCCCACAACACATGGGAATTATGGGAGCTACAATTCAAGATGAGATATGGGTGGCAACACAGCCAAACCATATCATTCTGCCCCTAGGCCCAGCCCACAAAACCATATTTTCCTCCTAGGCCTCCAGGCCTGTGAGGGGAGGGGCTGCTGTGAAGACCTCTGACGTGCTCTGGAGACATTTTCCCATTATCTTGGTTATTAACATTTGGCTCCTTGTTACTTATGCAAATTTCTGCAGTCAGCTTGAATTTCTCCTCAGAAAATGGGATTTTCTTTTCTATCACATTGTCAGGCTGCAAATTTTCCAAACTTTATGCTCTGCTTCCCTTATAAAACTGATTGTCTATAACAGCACTCAAGTCACCTCTTGAATGGTTTGCTGCTTAAAAATTTCTTCTGCCAGATACCCTAAATCATCTCTCTAAAGTTCAAAGTTCCACAAATGTCTAGGGCAGGGGCAAAATGCCACCAGTCTCTTTGCTAAAACATAGCAAGAGTCATCTTTACTCCGGTTCCCAACAAGTTCCTTATCTCCATCTGAGACCAACTCAGCCTGGATTTCATTGTCCATATCATTATCAGCATTTGGTCAAAGCCATTCAACAAGTCCCTAGGAAGTTCCAAACTTTCCCACATTTCCCTGTCTTCTTCTGAGCCCTCTGAGCTGTTCCAACCTCTGCCTGTTACCCAGTTCAAAAGTCTTTTCCACATTTTTGGGTGTCTTTACAGCAGCATCTTACTCTACCAGTACCAGTTTACTGTATTAGTCCATTTTCATGCCACTGACAAAGACATACCCCAGACTGGGTAATTTATATAGCAAAAGTAGTTTAATGAACTCACAGTTCCAGGTAGCTGGGGTGGCCTCACAATCATGGTGAAAGGTGAAAGACACATCTTACGTGGCAGCAGGCAAGAGAGAATGATAGCCAAGCAAAAGGGGTTTCCCCATATGAAACCATCAGATCTTGTGAGACTTATTCACCACCAGGAGAACAGTATGGGGTAAACTGCCCCGATGATTCAATTATCTCCAACCAGGTCTGGGATGGTTAATACTGAGTGTCAACTTGATTGGATTGAAGGGTTCCAAGTACTAATCCTGGGTGTGTCTGTGAGGGTGTTGCCAAAGGAGATTAACATTTGAGTCAGTGGGTTGGGGAAGGCAGACCCACCCTTAATCTGGTGGGCACCATCTAATCAGCCTCCAGCCAATATGAAGCAGGCAGAAAAACGTGAAAAGGTGAGACTGGTCTAGCCTCCCAGCCTACATCTTTCTCCTGTGTGCTGGATGCTTCCTGTCCTCAAACATTGGACTCCAAATTCTTCAGTTTTGGGGCTCGGACTGGCTCTCCTTGCTCCTCAGCTTGCAGATAGCCTATCGTGGGACCTTGTCATCATGTGAGTTAATACTTAATAAACTCCTATATGTACATGTGTGTGTATATATATATACATATATATACACAATTATTTCCCTCTAGAGAACCCTGATACAAGGTCCCTCCCACAACACGTGGCAATCATGGGAGCTACAATTCAAGATGAGATATGAATGGGGGACACAGCCAAACCATATCAGTTATCTTCTAGAATTTTTATGGTTTCAGGTCTTAGATTCAAGTCTTTGATCCATCTTCAGTTGGTTTTTGTATAGGGTGACAGATGAGGATTCAGAGACTGGGTAATTTATAAAGAAAAGAGGTTTAATTGACTCACAGTTCCACATGGCTTGGGAGGTCTCAGGTAACTTACAATCGTGGCAGAAGAGGAAGCAGGCATGTCTTACATGGTGGCAAGGGAGAGAGAGCATGGGAAGCAGGAACTGTCAAACACTTATAAAACCATCAGATCTCATGAGAACTCACTATCATGAGGACAGTATGGGGGAAACTGCCACCATGATCCAGTCACCTCCCACCAGGTCCCTTCCTTGACACATGGGGATTACAATTCGAGATGAGATTTGGGTGGGGACACAAACCATATCAGACCCTGAGCCTACATTTTCAAATAAGCCACTCTGAAATTCCTGACAGACAGAAACTATGAGATAATGTATGTTTGTTGTTTTAAGCCACTGAGTTTTGGAGTAACTTTTTATGCAGTAACAGATAACAACTAATACAGATTTTGCTACCTGGAAGTGGGGTGCTATCAAGATATCAAGACCATCCTAGCCAACATGGTGAAACCCCATCTCTACTAAAAATACAAAAATTAGCTGGGCACTGTGACGCACGCCTGTAGTCCCAGCTACTTGGGAGGCTGAGGCAGGAGAATCGCTTGAACCTGGGAGGCAGAGGTTGCAGTGAGACAAGATTGAGCCACTGCACTCCAGCCTGGTGACAGAGCGAGACTCCGTCTCAAAAGCAAAAAAAAAAAAAAAAAAAAAAGCATCTAAAAATTTGGGAGTGGCTTGGGAATTAGGCAGTTTTGCAAAACCTGGAAGGACTTCAAAGACAGTATCCATAAAAGGCTAAAATTTCTTGAATAGACTGTTTGGAGAAGTCTGAGTTTTGAGGAGGCTACCAGTGGGGGGTTAAATAGAAGTAAGGAATATGTTACAGGAAAGTGAAGGAAGAGGGATCTTTGCTAAGTAGTGGCAGAAAGTTTAGCTACACTGTCACCTGAAATTATTTGGAAAGTAGAAAATATACCAAATGAACTGGATGACCTAGCTAAAGTAACTTCTAGCAAAAGCATTGAAGGTGCTGCCTGGTTGCTTCTTGTTGCTTATAGCAAAATGTGAAAGGACAGAGACATGCTTAAGGAAGAAATGTTAAACAAAAAGGAGTGCTGGTTTTGGAGATTCCTAGATCCTCCAAGGGTAAACAATGCCAAAATTAAGAAATAGCCTTGGAACAAAGGTAAAATCCAGGGTACTCTCTGGAAAACATGGTCTAAAAATAAAACTGGAAGTATGACTGTAAAATCTTTTGTTAAAGCCTCAGAAAGATCCAAGGTCATGCTTCAAAGAGCTGTTCAGTCAAGCAACAGAGCTTTGAAGAAGCTTAAGGGCACTGTCCCTCAGTAGTCACAGCAGATGTCCAATGTTAGGAAGGGCTTATCTCAAAGATATTTTTGGACAAAGCTTTGGTGTAATGGTGTAATGGGGTAAACCTTAATAAGAATCAGAGAACACTCACAAAGTTTTAAAGAGAATTATATTTATGGGAACATTTCCAGCCTGAACTGAAAGGGGCAGAGACAATACAAAATGACAAGAGACCTTTGGATCTCCAAAATTCTACTGGCAGGAAGAAAGCTGAAAAAATCATGCACCTGGAAACAGAGTGTTTTTTGTGGAAAGGAAAGATGACTCAGAGGATAGAACCAAGAGCCCAGGGGGGAGAGCCAAGAGGTGCAGAGAATTATTCCCAGACCGAGTCCTAATCAAGGAACTTGCAACATGTCCTTAGGTATATTTCAGAATTGTTTATGGAACAGCGACTCCTTTGTGCCTGTTTTCCCCTTTCCTTGTACAGTAATGTCTGTAGAGGTTATTCTACTCATTCCCACCATTGCATGTTGGGTGTATCCGTGGCCGATATCTTTTCTCTTTGGTTCACAGGTCCTCAGGTTGAGAGGAACTGTACTCCAGAAGCTATACTTAAAGAACTACATCTGAGGAGCATTATGTGCACCTGGACCTGGACCTGATCTCAGTGATGAGAATCTAGACTTCAAACTGATAGTGTAATGGGATGAGACTTTTAGGGGCCTTGGGAGGAGTGAGTGTACTTTGCATATGGGAGGAATATCAATAGTTGGTGGAAAGAGGGAGAACTGCAGTAGCTGTGAAATTTGTCCACAAATTTTTTGCTACTCCTTCCTTTCAAAGGAAGACCCTATTTCCCTTCCCCTTGAGGGTGAGCTGCTTTTACTGTCTTGTTTCTAATGAATAGGATAAAGAAATTCATCAGTGACTCGCTTCTAACGAATAGAATAAAGCAAAAGTGATTGTGACATTTCAGAGACTAGATCATAAAAAAGACAGTGCGGCTTCCTCTGTGCTCCCTCTCTAGTGGAGCACTCACTCTGGGGTAAGTTAGTTGTCATGTCCTGATGGCATTCAAGTAACCTATGGAGAGGCCCACAATTTGAGGGACTGAGGTCTTCTGCCAGCAGCCACATGACTGAGCCATCAGTGAAGCAGATCCTCCAGCTCCATGCAAGCCATCAGGTGACTGCAGACAGTGGCAGATTTGATAGATGAGACTTCTTTCTAGGCAGGCTGGCCACCCTTTTCTTGAAAGATTCTGTGTGGTTTCTGGCAGCTCTCTGTGTGTGAGCAGGGAGGGGATGGCCAAACTTCCGCTGTCCTGGGCAGAGCACACCAACATATCTACTCTATCTTTTCCAGGGGAAGGGTGGATTAACTAGCACAGGTCTTGTTTTAGAATGATAGCACCAAGCAAGGAAATTCTAGGAGGAGTTTTCAAGCTCCTCTACTCTCAATATGGAAGGCTGACTAAACTGGTGACTTTGAGTGTGTGTGGGAGCCACCTAGTATATCTCATGACTCAGAACTTACATGAGTCACTTCTAAGGCTAATAATGAGCTTGCAAGGTTAGAAGGGCTGTGTCTCCCTAAAGTCTGCTTTTAGACACACATGCACCAGCCTTGTGCCTGTTCTAGGATAGGTTGTGTGCTTTGTCTTGGGTACCCTGCTATCACTGTTGAGAAATTTCTCAGTCCACTGGGAGAAGAAAATTGTTCATTTCCATGCTCACACTTCCTCTGCTCTCTCTGTCCTGATTGGCTAACCATGGTACTGGGGTGAGAAAGCTGAGACTAGTGGTGTTGCTAGAGCGAGGTTGTCTTGACTTAGAAGAGCTGATTGTGAAATTTTCAGAAATTTTGCTTGCTGATTATTAGTCACAGCCATTATTAAAAATTAATGTACATGGCATGAAGCATATATGGCAAGATGTTAGTGAATCTAACTGGTGTGTATATGGGTGTTCAATGTGCTATTTTTTCCTATTTTCTGTATGTTTAAAAGTATATATTTATTTTTTAAAATTAAAAAGGCAACACAAACAAAAAAATTAATGTACATGAACTTACTATTAAATGCATTACATTAAAACATAGATAGCAAATACTCAAAACTAATCAATCACTTCCTAGTTATTTTACTACACTCTTACCTACACTTTTTTTTTTTTTTTTTTTGAGACGAAGTCTTGTTCTGTTGCCCAGGCTGGAGTGCAGTGGTGCAATCTCGGCTCACTGCAACCTCTGCCTCCTGGGTTCAAACAATTCTCCTGCCTCAGCCTCCCGAGTAGCTGGGATTACCGGCATGCACCACCACACCTGGCTAATTTGCCTGGCAATGTTGGCCATGCTGGCCATGTTGGCAAGGTTGGTCTTGAACTCCTGACCTCAGGTGACCCACCCACCTTGGCCTCCTGAAGTGCTGGGATTATAGGTCTTATCTACACTCTTGAAGTTATTTTGTCCATTCTGTATGTATGGTGGAAATACTGAATATACATATAATGGTATGTTCCTGTACTTCTGCTCAACTCTGCATTCAGTGATACAACATTGATAGCATGAAATCAGCCATTGTGGGAGTATTTGCAGCATAGAAATCAGCAAATGCTACAGGTCTGACTTTTTTTTCTCAGAAGAGCTGGTTGTTAAGCATTTACCAGTACATCACTGGCTGGCACCCAACTGTTGATACAGACAAGGGTGGACTTCATGGCATCTCACAACTTTTTAAATTGAACCTTGTTTCAAGAGACTCAGCTAGGTGATCTTCAAACTACAACAAGTCTAAATGGATGAGATTAACATTCTCCTGCTGGAAGGACTCTGTGAAACCCTGCCTGCTCTTGCAGGTCAGGATAGGGACCATACAGAGCCATGGGTGCTGCCAATCATTCATGCATTCATGACTTAGAAGAATCCTGTCATGTACCTCTCCTAGGGCAATTTGGAGGTCAGGTCAGTGGCTGTCCAGTCTGCCTCACCAGGCAAATAGGCATTCTAGAAAGAATTGTCTGAGAGGGATGGAGAGCAGCTGCTCCATACAGTAACCACAATGACACCATTAATCTCACCCTAGGGTCTTGAGCCTTTGCAAATAATGCTACCTTGGCAAAGAATGGCAGAATCTTAAGTTTCAGGGGGTATCTCAATCTGAACTTGTGTGTGGGGCCATCTAGCACTCAAATTTTCCTGCTGGCACTCCCATTATTTATGAAAAAGTAGACAAGTGGGACTTTGATTCAGTGGCAGGATGGGATCACTACCCACTCCTGCTCAATTGCATCCGGTTGTACAATTCTAGCAGATCCAGGAACTCACAGAATCTGAACTCAGTAGGCTATTTAGCTTTGTATGCAAGAGGACTAGTGAAAGACAGCATTTCAAGCTGGACTGGGACAGTACATATATTTGGGGCTATCCTGTTGCAGAGGGCACTACATGATGACCAAAGGCTCAGGCTTCCCTTCCATGGTGTAGAGTTGTTGCTGCAAAGAGGCTTCCCAGCCCGGAACTACCACTTCCAAGCTCCATCGCACCTCTAGGCAAGATCATTTGACCAGCTATTGCCAATACAACAAGTAAACATGACGTGTATCATTTTAGGGCCAAAGTGATTGAGTAACAGGTGTGTGATTCTTCCCACTTTCATGTGCTTCTGAAACACTAGGGTGACCTTAAAGCCACAAGATGGCAGAGCCATAAGATGGAAATAGCTGGATCCTTTAGTCACTTGGAAGAGAGTCACAGTCTCTCTAACAGATATGAGAGAAACTTCTATTATGCTAAACCACCAAGATGTGGTTGTTTGTTATATCAACTAGTGTTACTTTGATTAATACATGCTCTCTGGCCTGTGTACTACTCCAAGTAAATTCTAGGGCCTTTTTATTATTATCCTTCTCAACCTCCTGAACCAAGGAGTGGTTGTCTATCTCATTCTCTAAGATATTCTGTTTCATTTAGAATGAGCCCTTGATCTGAGTAATCCTGGTACCAACCAAAGACTAAGGGAAATCAGATACCGCCCCTCCCTCCTTAGGAAATTATTCATTTGGTGATATTTTGAATCATACGCCTCATTTCAGGCTGCCAGGGAGCACACCTGTGCCAGCACAGCCTTAAGAGGGTCCCCAGCAAAGGCACAATGAACCCAGGTGCCTCGGCCTTACTCCCACCCTGGAAGACAGCCTGACAATCAACCTGCTTGTTGAGGCTTTTGGTGGGGCAGCATCAGGCCCAGTGTTCTAAGGGGGAAAAAAAATGCAGAACCAAAGATACGCCAGGGAAATCTCTTGGGGACAGTAACCCAAGACTTTGTAATATACTGTTATCCTTCCCTTCTCAGGGCCACAAGCCACATTTGCTGTCGGGTAGATATCCTGACTAATGTAGTCCACTTTCTACACTGCCATTTCAGTTCTATTACCTGCTGCCCCACTGTCTGATGCTTGCAGGAGCTTCTCCAGTTCATTGACTTGCACCGCTATGTTCTGTTGAATCAAAAACCCACCCATTTTGTGCCTTTCCCAGAGTCTTCAACTACCATTTGACCCATCTACTGCTTACCTCCATCACATAAACGGTTACAGCAGCTAGTGTTATTTTGATTGATACATGTTCACACATGAAGTGTGTTGAACCAGACCCTCAAATAGTAGCCCTGACATTCTGCCTGCTGTGCCAGCAAGACTCTTGAGCCCTCTGACCTCGTTGATAGCCAAGTTTGATGTCTTACACAGTTCTACCGGGAACCCCTAGCCATTTCAATAATGAAAGACACTGTTTCTCTACTTTCCTGTACCACACAGTACTTGCAGGTCAGTGTCTTTGAGAACTACAGGCTGCCTGATACCTTGCAGGATGCACCTCTACCAACATATAGTCATTGCTGAGATGGGGAGGGCAGAGGGCTGCTGTCGGCATGGAACCTGATGTGGTTTTCCTCCTGCTCCATGTTCTACTCACCTTCCCTAAAGCAACCCTGATGCATATGAGAGGACCTGTTCCTGGCCTCATTCCAGATCTCTGAAACCATTAGCCACACTCACTGCTGCCTGAGTGCCGCCACAGGAGGATGTAAGGGTTTCTCCAGCTCCTGGTAGGCAGTTGGCTCCCTGCTCTCATATCATCACCCACTTCACCACTAATAACCACCGACAGACCAGTCCAAAGAAGGAAGCTGAAATAAGAATTGCTCATTCATTTAGTCGGCAAATATGTGACAGACACTGTGCTAGGCTCTAGGGATATAGCAGTGAACAAAACCAAGTCCTTCTCTCATGTAGCTGATGGTCTGGTGATGGAATACATCCAATAAACACATCACTAAATAAATTACATTCAATGGGCACAAGTGAGGGCATTTTGCTAAGTGAAATAAGCCAGTCATGAAAAGACAAATACCATGTGATGCTACTTATAAGAGGTATCTATAATAGTCAAACTCATAGAAGCAGAAAATAGAATGCTGCTTGCCAGGGTTTGGGGTAAGGGGGTAATATGGGAGTTGCTGTTCAATGGGTATGAAGTTTCAGTTATGAAAGATGAATAAGTTTTAGAGATCTGCCGTACAACCTAGTACCAATGGTTAACAGTATGGTATTGTGCACTTCAAAATTTGTTTAGGGTAGATCTCATGGTAGGCATTCTTAATACATACAAACACATATAACACACGCACATACACACACACACACACACACACACACACACACAAAACCAAAGGGACACAAGGAAACTTTGGGATGTGTTGGATATGTCTATTACCTTGCTTGTAGTGATGGTATTGTGGGTGTTTGCATATGTGCAAACTCATCAAATTGTATGCAGGAAATATTAGGTTGGTGCAATTCTTTTATTTTTTTTAAATTATACTTTAAGTTTTAGGGTACATGTGCACAATGTGCAGGTTTGTTACATATGTATACATGTGCCATGTTGGTGTGCTGCACCCAGTAACCCGTCATTTAACATTAGGTATATCTCCAAATACTATCCCTCCACCCTCCCCCCACCCCACAACAGGCCCCGGTGTGTGATGTTCCCCTTCCTGTGTCCATGTGTTCTCATTGTTCAATTCCCATCTATGAGTGAGAACATGCGGCGTTTGGTTTTTTTGTCCTTGAGATAGTTTGCTGAGAATGATGGTTTCCAGCTTCATCCATGTCCCTACAAAGGACATGAACTCATCATTTTTTATGGCTGCATAGTATTCCATGGTGTATATGTGCCACATTTTCTTAATCCAGTCTATCATTGTTGGACATTTGGGTTGGTTCCAAATTTTTGCTATTGTGAATAGTGCCGCAATAAACATATGTGTGCATGTGTCTTTATAGCAGCATGATTTATAATCCTTCGGGTGTATACCCAGTAATGGGATGGCTGGGTCAAATGGTATTTCCAGTTCTAGATCCCTGAGGAATCGCCACACTGACTTCCACAAGGGTTGAACTAGTTTACAGTCCCACCAACAGTGTAAAAGTGTTCCTATTTCTCCACATCCTCTCCAGCACCTGTTGTTTCCTGACTTTTTAAGGATCACCATTCTAACTGGTGTGAGATGGTATCTCACTGTGGTTTTGATTTGCATTTCTCTGATGGCCAGTGATGATGAGCATTTTTTCATGTGTCTGTTGGCTGCATAATTGTCTTCTTTTGAGAAGTGTCTGTTCATCTCCTTCGCCCACTTTTTGATGGGGTTGTTTTTTTCTTGTAAACTTGTTTGAGTTCATTGTAGATTCTGGATATTAGCCCTTTGTCAGATGAGTAGACTGCAAAAATTTTCTCCCATTCTGTAGGTTGCCTGTTCGCTCTGATGGTGGTCTCTTTTGCCGTGCAGAAGCTCTTTAGTTTAATTAGATCCCATTTGTCAATTTTGTCTTTTGTTGCCATTGCTTTTGGTGTTTTAGACATGAAGTCCTTGCCCATGCCTATGTCCTGAATGGTATTGCCTAGGTTTTCTTCTAGGGTTTTTATGGTTTTAGGTCTAACATTTAAGTCTTTAATCCATCTTGAATTAATTTTTTGTAAAAGGTGTAAGGAAGGGATCCAGTTTCAGCTTTCCACATATGGCTAGCCAGTTTTGCCAGCACCATTTATTAAATAGGGCATCATTTCCCCATTTCTTGTTTTTGTCAGGTTTGTCAAAGATCAGGTGGTTGTAGTTATGTGGCATTATTTCTGAGGGCTCTGTTCTGTTCCATTGGTCTATATCTCTGTTTTGGTACCAGTACCATGCTGTTTTGGTTACTGTAGACTTGTAGTATAGTTTGAAGTCAGGTAGCGTGATGCCCCCAGCTTTGTTCTTTTTGCTTAGGATTGACTTGGCAATGCGGGCTCTTTTTTGGTTCCATATGAACTTTAAAGTAGTTTTTTCCAATCCTGTGAAAAAAGTCATTGGTAGCTTGATGGGGATGGCATTGAATCTATAAATTACCTTGGGCGGTATGGCCATTTTCACAATATTGATTCTTCCTACCCATGAGCATGGAATGTTCTTCCATTTGTTTGTATCCTCTTTGATTTCCTTGAGCAGTGGTTTGTAGTTCTCCTTGAAGAGGTCCTTCACATACCTTGTAAGTTGGATTCCTAGGTATTTTATTCTCTTTGAAGCAATTGTGAATGGGAGTTCACTCATGATTTGGCTCTCTGTTTGTCTGTTATTGGTGTATAAGAATGCTTGTGATTTTTGTACATTGATTTTGTATCCTGAGACTTTGCTGAAGTTGCTTATCAGCTTAAGGAGATTTTGGGCTGAGACCATGGCGTTTTCTAGATATACAATCATGTCATCTGCAAACAGGGACAATTTGACTTCCTCTTTTCCTAATTTAATACCCTTTATTTCCTTCTCCTGCCTGATTGCCCTGGCCAGAACTTCCAACACTATGTTGAATAGGAGTGGTGAGAGAGGGCATCTCTGTCTTGTGCCAGTTTTCAAAGGGAATGCTTCCAGTTTTTGCCCATTCAGTATGATATTGGCTGTGGGTTTGTCATAGATAGCTCTTATTATTTTGAGATAGTTCCCATCAATACCTAATTTATTGAGAGTTTTTAGCATGAAGCGTAGTTGAATTTTGTCAAAGGCCTTTTCTGCATCTATTGAGATAATCATACGGTTTTTGTCGTTGATTCTGTTTATATGCTGGATTACGTTTATTGATTTGCATATGTTGAACCAGCCTTGCATCCCAGGGATGAAGCCCACTTGATCATGGTGGATAAGCTTTTTGATGTGCTGCTGGATTTGGTTTGCCAGTATTTTATTGAGGATTTTTGCATCGATGTTCATCAGGGATATTGGTCTAAAATTCTCTTTTTTTGTTGTGTCTCTGCCTGGCTTTGATATCAGTATGATGCTGGCCTCATAAAATGAGTTAGGGAGGATTCCCTCTTTTCCTGTTGATTGGAATAGTTTCAGAAGGAATGGTACCAGTTCCTCCTTGTACCTCTGGTAGAATTCGGCTGTGAATCCATCTGGTCCTGGACTTTTTTTGGTTGGTAAGTTATTAATTATTGCCTCAATTTCAGAGCCTGTTATTGGTCTATTCAGAGATTCAACTTCTTCCTGGTTTAGTCTTGGGAGGGTGTATGTGTCGAGGAATTTACCCATGTCTTCTAGATTTTCTAGTTTATTTGCGTAGAGATGTTTATAGTGTTCTCTGATGGTAGTTAGTTTGTATTTCTGTGGGATCGGTGGTGACATCCCCTTTGTCATTTTTTATTGTGTCTATTTGATTCTTCTCCCTTTTCTTCTTTATTAGTCTTGCTAGTGGTCTATTAATTTCGCTGATCTTTTCAAAAAACCAGCTCCTGGATTCATTGATTTTTTTGAAGGGTTTTTTGTGTCTCTATTTCCTTCAGTTCTGCTCTGATCTCAGTTATTTCTTGCCATCTGCTAGCTTTTGAATGTGTTTGCTCTTGCTTCTCTAGTTCTTTTAATTGTGATGTTAAGGTGTCAATTTTAGATCTTTCCTGCTTTCTCTTGTGGGCATTTAGTGCTATCAATTTCCCTCTACACACTGCTTTGAATGCGTCCCAGAGATTCTGGTATGTTGTGTCTTTGTTCTCGTTGGTTTCAAAGAACATCTTTATTTCTGCCTTCATTTTGTTATTTACCCAGTAGTCATTCAGGAGCAGGTTGTTCAGTTTCCATGTAGTTGAGCGGTTTTGAGTGAGTTTCTTAATCCTGAGTTCTAATTTGATTGCACTGTGGTCTGAGAGACAGTTTGTTATAATTTCTTTTCTTTTACATTTGCTGAGGGGTGCTTTACTTCCAGGTTCGTGCACAATTCTTTGTATATTGATTATGCTTTAATAAAGCTGTTTTAAAACTAAAGCAGAGTAAGGGGATGGAGAATGACTAGAAGAGGGGTTGCTGTTTTAGAAAGAGTGGGCAGGGAAGTCTTCTCTGAGATGCTGACATTTGAATAAAGTCCTGAATGCAGTGAGGTAGCAAACCATGGGGCAAGAATGTTTCAAGAGAGGGGACAGCAAGTGCTAAATGGCCTGAGATATGAATGAGCATGGTGTGTTTGAGAAACAGGATGAAGGCAGAGTTACCAGAGCCACCTTCTATTTAAATGACTCAGAACTAGTTACCCCTCATGCCTTACACTCCCACTTATCTGTTGCCACAAGAAGGAAGTTCAAGCCTCCCATTATTACCTGGACCATTCATTATCTTCGCTTAGCTTAGTACATCTCCTAATCGACGCTTCCTTCTCCCTGCTTGTATCAATAACCTCACTTTTGTTTCTTAGGCCTAAGAGAAGCAATCAGAAGAGAAGTAGCTCATCTTCCCACAATTAGATCTGTCACTTTACCAGCATATCCTCATCCCCTCTGCTGTTCCTCTTGATACAAAGGATAAACTGACTATACCCCAGCACTTACACCCTCCTGCCAATTCAAGGACCTTACTCCCATAAAAAAAAAAAACCCTCTTTCTCTTGCAATCATAAGCATTTTCTTGTCTGCTGGATCAGTCCCATCAGCTTACCAATATGTTTGTCTATACCCCATGCCCACCGCCAACTACTCCCGAATTCTCTGTTAACCTCTTTGATGAAGCTCTGCAAAGAATTGACTGTACCTTCTGGCTCCACTTTCTCATTTCTCATTTTTTTTTCAACCCTTTCCTCTCAAGTTTTTATTAAGGTTCCCAAGACTACCATCTTGCTAAATCTTATGAACTTAGAAACATTTAACACAGTTTGTTTGACTCTGTTCTCTTTGAGACAGGTTTTTTTTTTTTTTCTGAGACAGAATCTTACTCTGTTGCCCAGGCTGGAATGCAGTGGCACAATCTTGGCTCACAGCAACCTCTGCCTCCTGGGTTCAAGAGATTCTCCTGCCTCAGCCTCCCAAGTAGCTGGGACTGCAGTTGCACACCACCACACCCAGCTAATTTTTGCGTTTTTAGTAGAGACCGGGTTTCACCATGTTGGCCAGGCTGGTCTTGAACTCCTGACCTCGGGTGATCCTCCCGCCTTGGCCTTCCAAAGTGCTGGGATTACTGGCGTGAGCCACTGCCCGGCCTTTGGAACACTTTTTTGGCTTGGCTTCTGGAAAACCACGGTCTCCTGGTTGCCCTCCCTTCTTACTGCCCACTCTTTCTCAGTCTCTCTGATTGCTCCAACTCCTCTTCCTCATCTCAAAATGTTAAGAGTGACCCAAGATTTAGTCCTCAGACCTCTTCTGTCTACATTTACTTCCTGGATGAGCTCACCCAATCTCATAGCTTTAAATAACATCTTATATACGCCAAAGTTATATCTCTAGCCCTGACCCCCGCCACTAAGCTCCAGATTTGTATATCTGACTATACATATGACATCTCCATTTGGATATCTAGTAGATGTCTCAAACGGTCTCAAAAAATAGCCCCTATTTCTCCTACCTTAAAACCGTTTCTTCCCCAGCCTATCCCAATGGTCAATGATACCACTATTTATCCAGTTTCTCAGATGAGAGGCATCTTTGAATTTTCTCTTTCCCTCAAACCCCAAATCCAATGCATCAGCAGCACCTATCAGCTCTATCTCTCACCATCTCCACTGCTATTTCCCTTGTACAAGCCACTGTTACCTTTCACCAGGAATACTGCAGTAGTTTCTTAACTGGGATCCCTGATTTCACTCTTAGCTCCATAAGGATTTTTCACACAGCAGCCAGAATGGTCTTTTAAAATTTTTGAACTTTACTCTGTCACTCTTCTAGTTAAAACTCTTCATGTGATGGCTTCTTAACATTGTATTTAAAATAAAATCCAAATTTTCCCATGGCCCACAAAGCCCTATGTAATTGGCCTCAGCCTACTTCTCCAACCCTTTCTCCTGTCTCTTTACCTTGGTCAATCAGCTTTGTCTGGTTTTCCTTGAAAGGACCAAGCTCATTCCTGCCTCAGGGCCTTTGTACTTGGTGTTTCTTCTGCGTGAAACAATCTTCCCTGAGATGCTCCCATGACTTCACTTAATTTGGGTCTCTGATCAAATACCACTTCTTCAGAGGAGTCTTCTCTAATCACTAAATCTGAAGTAGCTGCCCTGCTGTCAATCTCAATCCCCTTGTCCTGTTTCATTTTTCTTCACAGAACTCACCATACATAACTTCATGTATTTGTTAATTTGCCTACTTGTTTTGTCCCTCTTCTCCAATCGAATTTAAGCTCCTGAGGGCAGAGATACCATCTGGCTTGTTAACAACTATATTGCTAACACTTGGAGCAGTGCTGACACACAGAAGATACCCATATGTTGAATGGCTGAATAAATCCCACTGTTTTCTGCCTTCATCCCTCAGTCTGCACACATCCACCTAGTCTTTCACGATTCCTCACTAGGCCCAGTCCACCTAGACCCCTGCACACACCACACCCTCAGGAATTGAAAGCCTAAGTATATGATTACAGGAGACTCTGGACTTCCAAGCCCATCCAATAGACTCCAGCAGGAGGTTTATGGGCCAGAGGGATACTCATAAGAGCCCAAGTCTCCCCTTAAGTACCTCTCAGAAGCCTTGCAAACTCCCATGGAGCCAATCCAGCTGCAGCCTCAGCTTGCCTAGCAAAAGCCTGAAGCTAGAGGAATGAGTGTATTTAAGTGGCCTCTGCTTATTTTCTATACTACATCTCACTCCAGAAGGGATTTGAGCCGGGTGGCTTACTTAAACACTGGGTTCAAGTCTGTAATTTCAGCACTTTGGGAGGCTGAGGCAGAAGGATTGCTTGAGCCCAGGAGTTCAAAACCAGCCTAAGCAACTTAGTGAGACCCTGTCTTTACAATAAAAATAAAAATTAGAAAATCAGCCGGCATGGTGCCCATGCCTGTAGTAGTCCCAGCTAATTGGGAGGCTGAAGCAGGAGGATCATTTGAACCCATGATGACGAGGCTGCAGTAAGCTATGATCACATCACTGCACTCCGGCCTGGGGGAACGGAGCGAGACTCTGTCAAAAAACAAAGAAACAAACAAACAAAACCCTCTCATATCTATTCTTACAACACGTCCTATGCAACACATAAAAGGGGCACATTAGCACATACTCACCACTGACAGTGTTAGTTCTGCACCACACTCCTCAATTTGCTCATAGTTGATACCATCCCATTCCTCACCTTTCTGGCTTTCCAATACTTTCATTTTTGTCCTTGTCTAGTCCTTGTCTACATTTCAGACTTATCTTTTTTTTTTCCTAGCAATGACACTGACTCTTCTATGTTTGTGATTATCTGGGTTTTTTTTTTTTTTGAGATGAGTCTCGCTCTGTCGTCCAGGCTGGAGTGCAGTGGCACAATCTCGGCTCACTGCAAGCTCCGCCTCCTGGGTTCACGTCATTCTCCTGCCTCAGCGTCCCGAGTAGCTGGGACTACAGGGACTCACCACCACGCCCGGCTACTTTTTTATATTTTTAGTAGAGATGGGGTTTCACTGTGTTAGCCAGGATGGTCTCGATCTCCTGACCCCGTGATCCGCCCGCTTCGGCCTCCCAAAGTGTTGGGATTACAGGCATGAGCCACCGCGCCCAGCTGGGTTTTTTGTTTTTTGTAGAGACGGGGTCTCACCATGTTGCCTAGGCTGGTCTTGAATTCCTTGCCTCAAGTGATACTCCCGCCTAGGCCTTCCAAAGGGCTGAGATTACAGGTGTGAGCCACTGCACCTGGCCCTTCTCAGGACACTTTGGAAAATGCCTCCACTGGACTCACTCTGACTCCAAGTGAGGTAATATATGGCAACCCATAGCCTTGGGGAAATTTGGGGACCCTTTTTCTCTCAGACTTGAAAGGAATCTCCACCATTTCCAAATCCATGAATATGTGGGAAAGAAAGTCTTATTGGCTGCAGGAGAGGAGTAAAACAGTTCACAGACACCTTGGTGTTCACTGATAACTGCCTGAATAGAGTTAGAAGGAAACAGGGGATAACAGTTGGTTTCAACTCCTAGATCAGGAGTTTGAGACCTCAGGCTGTGAAGATCCCAGCCAGAGTTCTCCTACTTCACAACGTGTACTGGCATTACAGTGGCCCCAAGACTACACTTATTGGGAGAATGGGACGAAACCTGATGATTCTTTTTTCTTCTCTTGGTTTTTCCGTTTTGATGATGCTTGCTCTCCAATTATAGTTTTTGCTTTTAAATAGCTATGGGGAACTGTGAACTTCAGTTTCCTTGTTTGTAAAATATAAATTATAATCTCTATTTCTGAGAGTTGTGAGGAGTAAATGAGAATACACATAAAGTACGGAGAACATTGCCTAGGAAATAGTAGCTCATTAAAGTATCTCTCAACTCTTCTAGTTGACCTGCAGTCAACCTCTGTTTCAGCCTTTTACTATGGGTTCTTAGGGCTTACACACAATTCTCAAACTCAAAGGAAGCTCTGATGTTACTACGTCCCTTGACAATAAACAACAGGGACAGAGATTGGTGACAGTGATTCATAGAAATTTTGGTCCCTTCCAATTTGAAGAAAAGTGGAAGCTTCGGTCCTCAATCTTGCACTGTCATGCTTTTTAGGGGCTAATGGCTTGTGAGTCATGCATAAAGCAGAGATATAAGGCAAGGGTGAGAGACAAAGTGAGAAAGAGAGAGAGAAAATAAGAAGAGATCACCTACTGGCTAGGCCAGCCAACCTCATGGGGATTAGGCCAGACCAATCACAATGCAAGAATCAGCTGGCATCTCACTGGAAAGAGTAGGAGAGCATACACAGGTGTGACAGAAGCAGCATGAGCAACAAAGAGACACAAGAATAAAGTAATAAAAATATGTTTAAATGCATGATATCATGTAATGACAATAGTCACCATTAAAGAATTCCAATGTAACCAACCTATCATTTTGAAAACTGGAAACTAAAGGTAAAGATACAAGCATTTGTCCTGTTTTTCCTAATATAGAAAGGGTGATCAAATAATAAATGTGGGGAAGTTTCTTCTTATTCTAGCTAAGAAACTAAAAAGTAATGATAGAATTAGAATATAACCATTCTAATGTAATCCCTAATTATCAGTGAATTTAATATTAAGCATTATTAGTTGATAACATCACAAGACACCAGACATTATATGTGCCTCCTGTTGAAGAACCTAACACTACCAATGAAGTATTCTTGACAAAATACAAGCTAGAATCTAACCAAGCTTTTATATCAGCTATCAATTTACAAGAAATATAGAGTAAGAGAAATATCTTAAATGACACCACAGGGAGGCCTTGAGCAAAACTCTGGATGTGGGAAACTCTACTGGAAAACTGACTCAGTTTCTTCAACAAATAGACCTTAAAGAATGGGAAGAGAGAGATGGAAGGGGAAATCTATGGATTAAAGGACTTACTAGATGTTATTGAATTGCAGTGTGTGGACTTTATCTTGATCCAGTTTCAATGAAACTATATATATATCTGTATGAGACATTTCAAAAATTTGAACACTGGGAAGATAGTTGATGATATTAAAATTGTCGGTTATTTTTGAGACAGGGTCTCACTCTGTCACCCAGGCTGGAGTGCAGTGGCATGATCATGGCTCACGGCATCCTCGACCTCCCAGGCTCAAGTGATCTTCCCACCTCAGCCTCCTGAGTAGCTGGAACCACGGGTGTGCACCACCATGCCCAGCTAATTTTTTGATTAGCCACTATGTTGCCCAGGCTGGTCTTGACTCCTGACCACAAGCAGTCCTCCCAACCTGGCTCCCAAAGTGCTGCTGCGATTACAGATGTGAGACACTCCACCTGGCCAAATTGTCCATTTTTGAGACATGATAATGGTATTATGATTTTAAAATCTTAAAGTGTGTTAGTCTGTTCTCACACCGCTATAAAGAAATACCTGAGACTGGGTAATTTATAAAGAAAAGAGGTTTAACTGACTCACAGTTCTACAGGCTGTACAGTAGGCATGGTGGTATCATCTTCTGGAGAGGCCTCAGGGAACTTACAATCACGTCAGAAGGCAAAGTGGGAGGAGGCACTTCACATGGGGAGCAGGAAGAAGACGGGGGTGGAAGTACTACACATGTTTAAACAACCAGATCTCATGAGAACTCACTCTCTATTGTGAGGATGTACCAAGAGGGAAATCTGCCCTCATGATCCAATCACCTTCCACCAGGCTCCCCCTCCAACATTGAGGACTACAATTCGACATGAGATTTGGGTGGGGACACAGATCCAAACCATATCATAAAGTCTGAATGGAATTCTATGATGTTTGGGATTTGCTTTAAAGTAATCCAGAGTAGAGGATGGGGGCATAGAACATGGTCAACAAAATTGGGCATGAGTTGATCATTGTTAATGCTGGGTAACGGTTACGTGGAGATTCATTACACAATTCTGTATTTTGTTTATGTTTAAAATTTTCCATAATACAAAATTCAGAGTTAGGACAGTTTACTTTGGGAAGTGAGAGCTCTCACTAACATCATGAGTTGACTTGGTTAGCATCCTGATATGGCTTTGCTGTGTTCCCACCCAAATCTCATCTTGAATTGTAGCTTCCATAATCCCCATGTGTCGTGGGAGGTAACTGAATCATGAGGGTGGTTACCCTCATGCTGTTCTCATGATAGTGAGTTCTCACAAGATTTGATGGTTTTATACTGGGCTTCCCCCTGCCTTCACTCTCATTCTTCCCTCTCCTGCCACCCTGTGAAGAAGGACATGTTGGCTTCCCCCTGCCTTCACTCTCATTCTTCCCTCTCCTGCCACCCTGTGAAGAAGGACATGTTGGCTTCCCCTTCTGCCATGACTGTAAGTTTCTTGAGGCCTCCCAGCCAGGCAGAACTGTGAGTCAATTAAACCTTGTTTCTTAATAAATTACCCAATCTCAGGTATGTCCTTATAGCAGCGTGAGAATGGACTAACACACACCCAGAGGTAATTATGGGGTGAGGAAAGTGGGATGAATTTACTAATTTCTATATGACTCTAGTACTTGAATGAGCAGCCCTGGTAGGGTTGATGGCACCATATGACTATTTCTAGCCAAAGATTTATGAATGGAAGTGGCATCTATTACTTTTGAGCCAGAGGACTGAGAACCTATAAGACTCTATTTCCTTCTTTCATGGCAACTAGCATAATTTGAAATAATGGGGGCAGGCACAATGGCTCACACCTGTAATCCCAGCATTTTGCAAGGCCTAGGTGGGCAGATAACTTGAGGTCAGGAGTTCGAGACCAGCCTAGCCAACATGGTGAAAACCCATCTCTACTAAAAACACAAAGGTTAGCCAGGTGTGGTGGCAGGTGCCTGTAGTCCCAGCTACTCAGGAGGCTGAGGCAGGAAAATTGCTTGAACCTGGGAGTTGGAGGTTTCAGTGAGCTGAGATGGTACCACTGTACTCCAGCCTGGGCAACAGAGTGAGACTCTGTCTCCAAAAAAAGAAATAATGGCTGCGTCCTCAGACTGGGTCTCTGACTGACTAGGAAGAATAGCAAACAAAAAGTACAAAATGGTAGGTCTTAAATGAGAAAACTAAACAAATGGGGAGAGAAAAAGAGAATGAGAACTCAAGAACAAGGAGTGTAGCTTTTATGATATTCAAATTCATACATTCAGAGATTCAGGTATATAGTAAATTGATAAAGCAAGAACAGAATGCTGCAACAAAAGAGTAATCATGGATAAGAAAGACTTTTTAGAAATTAAAAAATAATTACATAAAAATTTATTTTATGCTTTAAATTTATTACTTATATTATAAATTTATAATATGAAGTCAAGGAACATAAAGCAAAACCAGAAAAAGCTAAAAAACAAGAGAAAAGTTGAGACATGGAGAATCAGTCCAACTTTGGTTTAGTAGTTGTTCTTAAAAAGATGACAGATAAAATGGAAGTGATGCAATAACTTTTTTTTTTTTTTTGAGACGGAGTCTTGCTCTGTCACCCAGTCTGGAGTGCAGTGGCGTGATCTCGGCTCACTGCAAGCTCCGCCTCCCAGGTTCACGCCATTCTCCTGCCTCAGCCTCCTGAGTAGCTGGGATTACAGGCACCGTGCCCAGCTAATGTTTTTGTATTTTTAGTAGAGACAGGAGTTTCACCGTGTTAGCCAGGACGATCTCGATCTGCTGACCTCGTGATCCACCCACCTCGGCCTTCCAAAGTGCCGGGATTACAGGCGTGAGCCACCATGCCCGGCCCAATAACTTTTTAAAGAAGAAAATTTCTCAGAAGTGAAGAAACACATGACTATTTAAATTGAAAGGGCTCTTCAATTCAGAATAAGTTAAATAAAAACAAGATCAACACTTACTCCTGAAAGAAAATTATAGGCCCAGATAATTTTGAGTTCTATCAAATATTTAAGAAACATAATACAAAGGATAACACCAGAGAGGGTGGAGCAAGATGGCGGAATAGAAGGCTACATCATTTATTCCCCTCACTGAAACAACTTTTGACAACTATCTGCACACAGAAAAGCACCATCATAAGAACCAACAATCAGGTGAGCACTCACAGTATCTAGTTTTAACTACATATTGTGGAAAGTGGCATTGAGGAGGGAAGGAGAAACATTCTTAAGTCACCAACACCACCCCTCCCTCATCCCCTGGCAGTAGAGAGAATCTGTGCACTTGCGAGAGGAAGAACACAGTGACTAGGGGACTTTACATTGAACTCAGTCCTGCCCTGTCACAGCAGAGAATAAAACCGTGCCAGGCTCAGCCAGCAATCATGCACGGAGGGAGCATTTGGACCAGCCCTAATCAGAGGGGAATCACCCAGTCCAGTGGTGGAAACTTGAGTTTATCAGAAGCCTTGCAACTGCAGACTGAAGTGCTCTGGCGTCCTAGGTAAACCTTGAATGGCAGACTAGGGCACAAAGACTACAATTCCTAGTGATAGGCTGGGCTTAGAGCCAGTGAACTAGGGTGGCACATGACCTAGGGAGACAACACCCAAGTATCTAAAGGAGTGCTTATGCCCCTCCTCCCCCAACCACAGGGAGTGCAGCTTGTAGCAACGAAAGTGACTCCTTCCTTCTGCTTAAGGAGAGGAGAGTGAAGAGTAAAAACGACTTTGTCTTGCATCTTGGATACCAGCTCAGCCACAGTAGGATAGGGCACTGGACAAAGTCATGAGGCACCCATTCCAGGTCCTAGCTCCTGAACGAAAATTCTAGACACACTGTGGGCCAAAAGAAAACCCACTGCCTTAAACAGAAGGATCCAGTACTGGCAGGATTAATCACCTGCTGACTAAAGAGCCCTCAGGCCCTGAATAACCAGCAGTGATAACCAGGCAGTACTCCATGGGCCTTGAGCTCTGAGATGTGCTGGCTTCTGGGGGTGATTCAGCACATTTCCAGTGTGGTGGCTACCGTGAAAGACTAGTTCTGTTTGAGAAAAGCAGAGGGAAAAATAAAGGTGACTTTACCTTGCACCCTAGGTACTAACTCGGCCACAGTGGGGTCAAGGAACAAGCAGGCTCCTGGGGACCCTGAGTCCAGGACTAGGCCTTAGACAGCATTTCTGAACTTGCCCTGGACAAGAGAGGAGTCCACTGCCATAAAGGGTGAATCCCAGGCTTGGCAGCATTCACCACAAGCTTATAGAAGAGCCCTTGGGGTCTAAGCAAATATCAGTGGTGGCCTGGCAGAACCCCCCATGGAGCAGTGGTGGTGGCCATGGGAAGAGGCTCCTCTGCTGGTGGAAAGGGGAAGAAAGAGCAGGAAGGACTTTGTATTGTGGCTTGAGTGCCAGCTTATTTGCAGTAGAATAGAACATCAGGAAAATTGCAAAGGTTTTTGACTCTGATCCCTGGCTCCCAGACAGCATCTCTGGACATACCTGGGGTCTGGGGGGAAGTCATCAACTGAAAGGGAAGGGACTTGGGCAAGGCCCTGTGCTGTGGTGGCTTCAGGCCTGACCCAGTGCAGTCTCAGTGGTGGTGGCCACAGGAGTGCTTGCATCACCACTCCCCAGTTCCAGGTGGCTCAGGAGAGAGAGAGAGAGAGAGAGAGAGAGAGAGAGAACTCCCTTTGTTTGGGAAAAAGTAAAGGAAAAAAGCAAGAGTCTCTGGCCAGTAATCCAGAGAATTCTTCCAGATCAAATTCAAGACCACCAAGGCAGTACCTCTATGAGTCTGCAAAAACTACAGTGCTCTAGGGCTTGGTGCCCAAGTCCCTTTGAATACCTGGAAAACCTTTCCAAGGAGGCCAGGCACAAACAATCCCAGACTGTGAAGACTACAATAAATACCTAGCTCTTTAATACCCAGACACCAGTGAATATCTACAAGCATCAACACCATCCAGGAAAACATGACCTCACCAAATAAACTAAATAAGGAACCAGGAAACAATCTTGGAGAAACAGAGATATGTGACCTTTCGGACAGATAATTCAAATTAGCTGTTTTGAGGAAACTCAAAGAGATTCATGATAACGCAGAGAAGGAATTCAGAATTCTATCAGATAAATTTAACAAAGAGGTTGAAATAATTATAAGAATCAAGGAGAAATTCTAGAGTTGAAAAATGCAATTGATATGCTGAAGAATGCATCAGAATCTCTTAATAGCAGAATTGATCGAGCAGAAGAATTAGCAAGTTTTTCTGCTTACAAATGTATCTAAAAATTCAATAATAATAAAAAAGAATTAGTGAGCTTGAAGACAGGCTATTTGAAAACACACAGAGGAGACAAAAGAAAAAAAGACTAAAAGACAATGAAGCATGCCTGCAAGATCTAGAAAATAGCATCAAAGGGGCAAATCTAAGAGTTATAGGCCTTAAGAAGGAGGTAGAGAAAGTAATAGGAATAGAAAGTTTACTCAACAGGACAATAACAGAGAACTTCCCAAACTTAGAAAGAGATATTAATATTTAAGTACAAAAAGGTTATAGAACACCAAGCAGATTTAACCCAAAGAAGACTACCTCAAGGCATTTAATTATCAAATTCCCAAACATCAAGGATAAAGAAAGGATCCTAAAAGCAGCAAGAGAAAAGAAGCAAATAATGTACAATGAAGCTCCAATACATCTGGCAGCAGCCTTTTCAGTGGACACCTCACAAACCAAGAGAGAGTGGCATGACATATTTAAAGTGCTGAAGGAAAGAAAAACTTTTACCTTAGAATAGTATATCTGGCAAAAATATCCCTTAAGCATGAAGAAGGAATAAAGACTTTCCCATACAAACAAAATCTGAGAAATTTCATCAACACCAGACCTGTCCTACAATAAATCCTAAAGGGAGTAGCTCAATCTGAAAGAAAAGGATGTTCATGAGCAAGAAGAAATCATCTGAAGGTACATAACTTATTGGTAATACTAAGCACACAAAATAACACAAAATAGTATATACTAAGCACACAAAATAACACAAAATAGTATAACACTATAATTGTGGTGTGTAAACTACTCAACTTAAGTGGGAAGACTAAACAATGAACCAATCAGAAATAATAACTACAACATTTTTTAAAGAAGTAGTACAAGGCCAGGTGCAGTGGCTCATGCCTGTAATCCCAGCACTTTGGAAGGCCGAGGCAGGTGGATCATGAGGTTCGGAGTTTGAGACCAGCCTGGCCAACATGGTGAAACCCTGTCTCTCCTAAAAATACAAAAATTAGCTGGGCGTGGTGGCACATGCCTGTAATCCCAGTTACTGGGGAGGCTGAGGCAAGAGAATCTCTTGAACCCAAGAGGCGAAGGTTGCAGGGAGCCAAGATCGTGCCACTGCATTCCAACCTGGGTGACAGAGCAAGACTCCATCTCAGAAAAAAAAAACAAACAACAACAACAAAAAGTACAATAATACATAGGAACAACAAAAAGTTTAAAAGTGGGGGAACAAAGTTAAAGTATGGAGTTTTTATTAGTTTTCCTTTTGCATGTTTGTTTAGGCAATCAGTGGTAACTTGTCATCAGTTTAAAATAATGGGTTTTCAGGAGGCGGAGCTTGCAGTGAGCCGAGATCACACCACTGCACTCCAGCCTGGGCGACAGAGTGAGACTCTGTCTCAAAAAAAAAAAAAATGGGTTTTAAGGTAGTGTTTGCAAGCTTCACGGTAACGTCAAATTGAAAATCATACAATGGATACACAAAAAATAAAAGCAAAAGAAATTAAAGCATACCATCAGAGGAAATCACCTTCACTAAAAGGAAAACAGTAAGGAAAGAAAGAAGGAAGAGAAAACAACAAAACAACCACAAAACAAATAACAAAATGGCAGGAGTAAGTCCTTATTTATCAATAATAACATTGAATGAATGGAAATGAAATAAACTCTTGAATCAAAAGACATAGAGTGGCAAAATGGATGAAAAAACAAGATCCAATGGCCTGTTGTCTACAAGAAACACACTTAACCTATAAAGACACACATAGACTGAAAATAAAGGGATGTAAAAAGATATTCCATGCCAAAGAAAACCAAAAAGGTTCAGAAGTAGCTATACTTATATCAGACAAAATAGATTTCAAGACAAGAATTGTAAGATGAAACAAAGAAGAAAATTATGTAATGATAAAGGGGTTGATTCAGCAAGATGATATAATGATGGTGTAAATATATAATATATATTATATTATATATATTACATATAATTTATATATTACTATATATATTATATATAATTTATATATTATATTATATATTATATATAATTTATATATTATTTTATATATTATATATTATATATAATTTATATATTATATTATATATTATATATAATTTATATATTATATTATATATTATATATAATTTATATATTATATTATATATTATATATAATTTATATATTATATTATATATTATATATAATTTATATATTATATTATATATTATATATAATTATATATGTATATTATATATATAATTATATATGTATATTATATATATAATTATATATGTATATTATATATTATATATAATTATATATGTATATTATATATATTATATATTATTATATATTATATATATTATATATGTATATTATATATATTATATATATAATTATATATGTATATTATATATATTATATATAATTATATATGTATATTATATATCTTATACATATAATTATATATATTATATATATTATACATATAATTATATGTATATTATATATATTATATATATAATTATATATGTATATTATATATATTATATATATAATTATATATGTATATTATATATATTATATATATAATTACATATGTAATTATATATATTATATATATAATTATATATGTAATTATATATATTATATATATAATTACATATGTAATTATATATATTATATATATATAATTATATATGTAATTATATATATTATATATATATAATTATATATGTAATTATATATTATATATATATTATATATTATATATATAATTATATATGTATATTATATATCTTATATATATAATTATATATGTATATTATATAATTACATATATACACCATCATTATATCATCTTGTTGATATCATCCGGACCAACACAGGAGATATATATATATATACATACATATATATATATATATATATATATATATACATACATATATATATATACACACATACATATATATATACACACACATACATATATATATATACATACATATATATATACACATACATATATATATACATACATATACACATACATATATATATATATACATATATATATACACACACACACACATATCCAACCCTGGAACACACAGCTGTGTAAAGCAAATATTATTAGAGCTAAGGAGACAGGCCTCAATACAAAAATAGCTGGAGACTTCAACACCCTACTTTCAGCATTGGACAGATCTTCCAGACAGATAATCAACAAAGAAACACCAGAAAATCTGCACTGTGCAACAAATGGGCCTAATAGATATTTACAGAACATTTCATCCATGGCTGCAGAATAGACATTCTTTTCCTCAACACAAGGATCATGTTCAAGGATAGACCATATGTTAAGTCACAAAACAAGTCTTAACATATTCAAAAAATTGAAATAACATCAAGCATCTTCTCTGACCACAATGGAATAAAACTAGAAATCAGTAACGAGGGATTTTGGAAACTATACAAATACATGGAAATTAAACAATATGCTCCTGAGTGACCAGTGGGTCAATAAAGAAATTAAGAAGAATATCGAAAAATTTATTGAAACAAATGACAACAGAAAGACAACATACTAAAACCTATGGGATACAGCAAAAGCCATACTAAGAGGGAAATGTATAGCTGTAAGCACCTACATCAAAAAAGAAAAACTTCTAATAAATAACCTAATAATGCATCTTAAAGAACTAGAAAAGCAAGAGCAAGCCAAACCCAAAATTAGTAGAAGAAAAGAAATAATAAAGATCAGAGCAGAAATAAATGAATTTGAAAGGAATAAAACAATACAAAAGCTCAATGAAAGAAAAGTTGTTTTTTTGAAAAGATAAAAAAAATTGGCAAATTTTAGCCATACTTAGAAAAAAATAGAGAAGACCAAAAAAAATGAAATCAGAGATGAAAAAGGAGACATTGAAACAGATACTGCAGAAATTCAAGGGATTATTAGTGGCTGCTATGGGTAACTACATGCCAATAAATTGGAAAATCTAAAAGAAATGGACAAATTCCTGCACACATACAACCTACCAAGATTGAACCAGGAAGAAATCCCAAACCTGAACAAACCAATAACAAGTAACAAGATCAAAGCAGAAATAAAACATCTCCCAGTAAAGAAAAGCCCAGGACCTGTCAGCTTCACTGCTGAATTCTACCAAACATTTAAAGAAGAACTAATACCAGTCCTACTCAAACCATTCCAAGAAATAGAGGAAGAGGGAATAGTACCAAACTCATCCTATGAGGCCAGTATTACCCTGATACCAAAACCAAAGACACATCATAAAAGGAACACTGCAGGCCAATATCACTCATGAATATTGATGCAAAGATCCTCAAGAAAATCGTAGCAAATTGAATTCAACAATAAATTAAAAAGATCATTCATCATGACCAAATGGGATTTATCCCTGGAATTCAAGGATGGTTCAACATAGGCAAATCAATCAACGTGATACATCATATCAACAAAATGAAGAGGAAAAACCATACGATCATTTCAATTGATGCTGAAAAGCATTTGATAAAATTTAACATTCCTTCATGATAAAATTCCTCAGAAAACTGGGAATCGAAAGAACATACCTCAACATAATAAAAGCCATGTATGACAGACTAACATATGACACCTAATATCTTACTGAATGGGGAGAAATGGAAAGCCTTTCCTGTAAGGTCTGGAAAATGACAAGGATGCCCACTTTCACCACGGTTACTCAACATGGTACTGGAAGTCTTAGCTAGAGCAATCAATCAAGACAAGGAATGAAAGGGCATCTGAATTGGAAAGGAAGAAGTCAAATGATCTGTTTGCAGATGATATGATCTTATATTTGGAAAAACTGAAAGACTCAACAAGAAAACTATTAAAACTGATAAACAAACTTAGCAAAGTTGCAATATACAAAATCAACATGCAGAAATCAGTAGCATTCCTTTTCTTTTCTTTTCTTTCTTCTTTCTTTCTCTATTTCTTTCTTTCCTTTTTTTTTTTTTTTTTTGAGACAGAGTATTGCTCTGTCACCCAGGCTTGAGTACAGTGGCATGATCATGGCTCATTGCAACCTCTGCCTCCCAGGTTAAAGAGATTCTCATGCCTCGGCCTCCCAATAGCTGGGACTACAGGCGTGGGCCACCACACCCAGCTAATTTTTGTATTTTTAGTAGAGACCAGGTTTCGCCGTGTTGGTCAAGCTGGTCTGGAACTCCTGGCCTCAAAAGACCCGCCTGTCTCAGCCTCCCAAACTGCTGCGATTACAGGCATGAGCCACCAGGCTTGGCTTAAAATTCAGTAGCATTTCTATATGACAACAGTGAACAATCTGAAAAGAAATTTTAAAAATTAATCCCATTTACAATAGCCACAATAAAATAAAATATCTAGGAATAACTTAACCAAAGAAGTAAAATATCTCTACAATGAAAACTATAAAACACAAATGAAAGAAACTGAAGAGGTCACCCAAAAATGGAAAGATATTCTATGTTCGTGGATTGGAAGAATCAATATTGTTAAAATGTCCCTTCTACCCAAAGCAATCTACAGATTCAATGCAATCCCTTTTAAAATGCCAATGATATTCTTCACAGACATGCAAAAAACAATCACAAAATTTATATGGAACCACAAAAGACCCAGATAGCCAAAGCTATCTTGAGCAAGAAGAACAGAATTGGAGGAACCTGACTTCAAATTATACTACAGAGTTATAAGTAACCCAAACAGCATAGTACTGGCGTTAAAAAAGACACATAGGCCAATGGAACAGAATAAAGAACCCAGAAATAAATCCACACACCTACAGTGAACTCGTTTTTGACAAAGGTCCCAAGAACGTACATTGGGGAAAAGACAATCTCTTCAATAAATGGTGCTGGGAAAACTGGATATCCATTTGCAGAAGAATGAAATTAGAGTCCCACCTCTCACCACATACAAAAATCAAATCAAAATGGATTAAAGACCTCAAAACATAAAACTACTAGAGGAAAACATTGGAGAAACTCTTCACAACATTGGTCTGGACAAGAATTTGTTGAGTAATACCCCATAAGCACAGGCAATCAAAGTAAAAATGGAAAAATGGGGTCACATCAAGTTAAAAAGCTTCTGCACAGCAAAGGAAACCATCAACAAAGTGAAGAGACAACCCACAGAATGGGAGAAAATATCTGCAAACTATGTATCTGATAAAGGATTAATAATCAGAATATAGACGTGTTCAAACAACTCTATAGGAAAAAACCCAATAATACGATTAAAAACTGGACAAAAGGTTTGGATAGACATTTTTCAAAAGAAGACCTACAAATGGCAAACAGACATATATAAAGGTGCTCTACATCATTGATCATTAAGGAAATGCAAATTAAAACTACAACAAGATATCATCATCAATCAGATGTTTCATCATCACCTCAGTTGAAATGACTTTTATCCAAAAGACAGGCAATAACAAATGCTGACAAGGATGTGAGAAGAATGAACCCTTGTACACTGTTGGCAGGAATGTAAATTAGTAAAACCACTATGGAGAAGTTTGGAGGTTCCTCAAAAAACTGAAAAGAGAACTACCGTACGATCCAGCAATCCCATTGCTGGGTATATGCCCAATAGAAAGGAAATGAGTATATTGAAGGATATCTGCCCTCCCATATTTGTTGCAGCAGTGTTCACGATAGCCAACATTTGGAAGCAACCTAAGTGTTCACCAACAGATGAAGAAAGGAAATGTGCTACTTATACACAATGGAGTACCATTCAGCCATAAAAATGAATGACATCTAGACATTTGCAACAACATTGATGGAACTGTAGGTTATTACGCTAAGTGAAATAAGCCAGGCACAGAAAGAGAAACATTGCATGTCCTCACTTATTTGTGAGATCTAAAAATCAAAACAATTGAACTCATGGACATAGAGAACAGAGGGATGGTTACCAGAGGCTGGGGAGAGTAGTCGGGGGTTTTGGGGGAGGTGGGAATGGTTAATGGGTAAAAAAAAAAATAGTTAAAAAGAATGAATAAGACCTAGTATTTGATAGCACAGCAGGTGACTATAGTCAATAATTTAATTGTACATTTTAAAATAACTATGACTATAATTGGATTGTGTGTAACACAAAGGATAAATGCTTGAGGTGATGGATACACCATTTTCATGGTGTGATTGTTACACATTGCATGTCCGTACCAAAATATCTCAAATACACCATAAATATATACACCCACTATCCACCCACAAAAATTAAAAATAAAAAAATTTTAAAAAGAAATAAAAGAGTAACACCAAATTTACACAAATCCAGCTTTCCTCGATCTCTTGCTTATAAATAGCTGATTGTAGAATTTCTCAACCTCCATAATTATGTGAGACAATTCCTTATAAGAAATCTCATTATATATCCCAGTGCTTGTGTTTCTTTGGAGAACCTGGACTAATACATATGCCAAGAAATTAGATAAATTTCTAGAAACACATAAGCTACCGAAAATGAGTCAAAAAGAAGTAGAAAATTTGAATAGAATTAGAACAAGCATAGATATTGTGTCAGTAATAAAAAAAATCAAATTCTTAACTCATTGTAGGAGGCCAGTATTATCTCTATAACAAAGTCAGACAAGAGCAATCACCAGAAAAGTACTTCAGACCAATATTCTTTGAATATTGATGCAAAAATACTCGATAAAATTTTTAGCCAACTGAATACAACAACATGTTAAAAGCACTATATGCCAAAATGAATTAAGAAGCATATAAAAAGAAATAAACAGCAAGACCAAGTGCAGTTTATACCAGAAACGCAAGGCTGATTCAACATATAAGCATGAATCAACACAATACACCATATTAATAGAATAAGGGATAAAACCCACATGACCATCTCAATAGACACTGAAAAAGCATTTGATTAAATCCAACAGCCATTAATGATACAAACCCTCAACAAACTAGGAATAGAAGATAAGTTTGCCAGCCAGATACGAGTGTCTGAAAACAAAACAAAACAAAACAAAAAACACATAGGTAACATGATACCTAATAGTAAAAGCCTGAGTGCTTACCCCCATGTTCAGGAACTAGATGAGGTTGTCCACTTTCATCACTCCTGTTCAACTTCTATTCAACATTGTAATGGAGATTTCCTAGGCAAGAAAAAGAACTAAATAGTATCCAGATTAGAAAGAAAGAGGTAAAGCTATCTCTATTTGCAGATGGCATAATCTTACACAGAAAATTGATAAAGGATACACACACACACACACCCCCACACACACCCCTATAATAGCTAACAACTAAGTTCAGCAAAGTTGCAAATACTAAATCAATATAAAAATTAGTTGTATTTCTATACACTAGCAATGAACAATCAAAATGAAATTTAGCAAACAATTCCAGAGGAAGTGACATTAGGAAGAGAGTGGAAAAGGAAGCCCTGGACTGTCCTTTCTTGCACAGAGACATCAATTCAACAACAATTCTTTATGAGAAATACAGAAACCATTTAAGAAGCTCCTGCAACCCACGTGAGCATGACATCAGCTGCATCAAAGTCAGTTAGAAAGTCTGGGGCACTAGCTCACCCTGTTCCTTCCCCTGGCTCAGCATGGAATAATCAGAAGAGAACTCCCAGCTTCTGGCTTCTCTATGGAGGGGAAAACAGAAGGCTGAATCATATATCCAATGTTCAGACAAAGGTGATGGTTAACATTAGCATGCACCCCCTCACCATGTTCTCTCTCCCTGGTGCAGAGTGGAACCAGTGGGAGAAAACTTCCAATTCCTGGCTTCTCCATGGAAAGGTAAAGAGTTGGTGGGTGTGTCAAACATTCCAGCTTTTTCAGGGGCTGTATGAGGAACTGGTTTCTATCTTGCCTGTCTCAGAATGTTGACTGAATGCAAAATATTCTAGACACCTGGGGGCATCTGAGAACAAAAGAGAGGAGGGTGTCTGGCTGCTGCTCTAAAGGACCCATGGTACAGCAGACAGAGGCTGATTCAACTCAGTGGCCTTTCCTTCATGGGTAAATGGAAGAGCAAGTGGAGTGATGCATGTGTTTAATGTTCAAGATTTTCAGGAGGCTGCCTGAGGGACTGTTTACTGTCTCACCAACTCAAAGCACTGACATAATCCAGCATACATTTTTCTAGAAATGTGGGGACCACTGAGAACAAAAAAGAATTGGATGCTTTGTGGCAGCTCCAGAGAATCTGCAGTACCACACACAGACGCTAGGGGAAGCAAAAGATTATGAGCCCCTAAAAATAAACCAGAATATTCCTCAGGTTGGTAATTTACATACAAAAATTCAGAGAAGATATATCCACAGAAAATATTTGAGAGACCCCCAGAGTCTCTAGCCAGATTGATTGATAAAGGTCTTTTTCCATACAAAGCCAGAGTGTAAAGACCAGTAGAGATAGCTATTTTTTTCAAATGCACAGAAAACAGCACCAATTTATAAGCCACACAACAAAAGAGGGTAATATAACCCAATTAAAGGAACAAAATAAATCTCCAGAAACCAACTCTAAAGAAATTAAGATAGCTTCCTTTCCAACTTAGACCCAGCAGAATGGCTCCCGCAAAGAAGGATGACAAGAAGAAAAAGGGCCGTTCTGCCATCAACAAGATGGTGACCCGAGGGTACACCATCAACATTCACAAGCGCATCCATGCAGTGGGCTTCAAGAAGCGTGCCCCTCGGGCACTCAAAGAGATTCGGAAATTTGCCATGAAGGAGATGGGAACTCCAGATGTGCGCATTGACACCAGGTTCAACAAAGCTGTCTGGGCCAAAGGAATAAGGAATGTCCCATACCCTACCCATGTGCGGTTGTCTAGAAAATGTAATGAGGATGAAGATTCACCAAACAAGCTCTATACTTTGGTTACCTATGTACCTGTTACCACTTTCGAAAATCTACAGACAGTCAATGTGGATGAGAACTACATCACTGATCATCAAAAACATCAAATAAAGTTATAAAATTGAAAAAAGTAAATTAAGATAAATGAACAACCTGACCAAGAATTCAAAATAGCTGTTACAAAGGTGCTCAGTGAACTCAGGAAAACTATGCATAAACAAAATGAAAATATCACCAAAAAATAGAACATATAAAAAAAGAATAAAACAGATTTTTTTTGCTGCTGAATAATATAATAACTGAATTGAAAAATTCACTAAAGAATTTCAACAGGAGACTTGACCAAGCAGAAGAATCAATGGACTCACAGACAAGCCCCTTGAAATTATCCAGTCAGAGGAAGAAAGGAAAAAAAAAGAGACCAAGAATAGTGGCTCACACCTGTAATCCCAGTACTTTGGGAGGCTGAGGCAGGAGGATCACTTGGGTTCAGGAGTTTGAGACCAGCCTGGGCAAGATGGTAAAACCCTGTACAAAAATTTTGTACTTTTTGTACAAAATGAAAATTAGCAGAGTTTGGTGGCACATGCCTGTAGTCCCAGCTACTTGGGGGACTGAAGCAGGAGGATTGCTTGAGCCCAGGAGATTGAGGCTGAAGTGAGCCATGTTCACACCACTGCACTCCAGCCTGGGTGACAATGTGAGACCCTGTCTCAAGAAAAAAAGAAAAAGAAAAAAGAAAAAGAGTGAAGAACAAAGCCTAAGAGACTTACGAGACACCATCAAGCAGACCAATATACACAATAGGAATTGCAGAAGGAGAAGAGAGAGAAAGGTGGAGAAAGCCTGTTTGAAGATATAACAGACAAAAACTTCCAAAACTTGGGAAAGATAATGGACATCCATAGTCAAGGATCCCAAAGGACTCCAAATAGGATGAAACCAATGGAGTCCACAAGACAAATTGTGATTGAATTGTGAAAAGTCAAAGATAAGAGAGTTTTCCAAGCAGCAGGTGCAAAGTGACTCATCATATACAAGGGAGTCCTCGTGAAACCATCAGTAAATTTTTCAGCATAAACCTAGTAGGCCAGAAGAAAGTGGGATATATTTTCAAAGTGCTGAGAGAAAAATACTGCCAACAAAATACATTTGGCATAGCTGTCTTTCAAAAATGAAGGGGAAGGAAAGACTTTCCCAGATAAACAAAAGATGGAGGGAGCTCATTACAACTAGATTTGCCTTAGAAGAAATGCTAAAGGGAATCCTTAAAGGTGAAATGAAAGGATGGTAAATAGCAAGGTGAAACCGTATGAAAGTATAAAGCTCTCTGTTAAAGGTAAATATTTAGACAAATACATATTACTGTGATATTGCTATGGTGATGCAGAAATCACTTTTAGTTCTGGTATAGATGTTAAAAGATAAAAGTATAAGAATTAACTACAAAATATAAAAAGATGTAATTTGTGACATTAATATCAGAAAGTGTGGGGGGATAAGTAAAAAGGTACAGCTTTTATATGTGACTGAATTTAAGATATTATCAGTTTAAAATATATTGTTATAACTATAAGATATCTTAGGTAAGTCCCATGGTAACCACAAAAAAAGTAACTATAGAAGATATAGAAAAGAATGAGAAAAGAATCAAAGCATGTACTACAAAAAGTCAACAAAACACAAAAGAAGAGAGAAAGAGAAGAAACGAGGCTCAAAACTCTCCATAAGACAGACCAGGCACAGCAGTCATGCCTGTAATCCCTGCACTTTTTGGGAGGCTGAGGCAGGAGGATCACTTGAGGCCAGGAGTTTCAGATCAGCCCAAACAACACAGCAAGACCCCATCTTTTAAAAAGTTAAAAAAAAAAATAGGACACAGGGGTGGAGCCAAGATGGCTGAATAGGAACAGCTCCAGTCTACAGCTCCCAGAGTGAGCGATGCAGAAGACAAATGATTTCTGCATTTCCAACTGAGGTACTGGGTTGATCTCACTGGGGAGTGCCAGACAGTGGGTGCAGCGCACCGTGCATGAGCCAAAGCATGGCTAGGCATCGCCTCACCCGGGAAGCCCAGGGGGTGGGGGAATTCCCTTTCCTAGTCAAAGAAAGGTGTCAGAGATGGCACCTGGAAAATCGGGTCACTCCCACCCTAATACTGCGCTTTTCCAAAGGGCTTAATGAACGGCACACCAGGAGATTACATCCCGCACCTGGCTAGGAGGGTCCTACGGCCACAGAGCCTTGCTCATTGCTAGCACAGCAGTCTGAGATCAAACTGCAAGGTGGCAGCGAGGCGGGGGGAAGAGCACCCGCCACTGCCCAGGATTCAGTAGGTAAACAAAGCAGCCAGGAAGCTTGAACTGGGTGGAGCCCACCACAGCTCAAGGAGGCCTGCCTGCCTCTCTAGGCTCCACCTCTGGGGGCAGGGCACAGACAAACAAAAGATAGCAATAATCTCTTCACATTTAAATGTCCCTGTCTGACAGCTTTGAAGAGAGTAGTGGTTCTCCTAGAATGCAGCTTGAGATCTGAGAACAGGCAGACTGCCTCCTCAAGTTGGTCCCTGACCCCCGGGTAGCCAAACTGGGAGGCACCCCCGAGTACGGGCAGACTGACATGTCACAGAGCCGGGTACTCCTCTGAGACAAAACTTCCAGAGGAACGATCAGGCAACAGCATTTGCTGTTCACCAATATCCGCTGTTCTGCAGCCACCGCTGCTGATACCCAGGCAATCAGGGTCTGGAGTGGACCTCCAGTAAACTCCAACAGACCTGCAGCTGAGGGTCCTGACTGTTAGAAGGAAAACTAACAAACAGAAAGGACATCCACACCAAAAACCCATCTGTAGGTCACCATCATCAAAGACCAAAGGTAGATAAAACCACAAAGATGGGGAAAAAACAGAGCAGAAAAACCGGAAACTCTAAAAATCACAGCGCCTCACCTCTTCCAAAGGAATGCAGCTCCTCACCAGCAAAGGAACAAAGCTGGATGGAGAATGACTTTGACAAGTTGAGAGAAGAAGGCTTCAGAAGATCAAACTACTCCAAGCTAAAGGAGGAAGTTTGAACCAATGGCAAAGAATTTAAAAACTTTGAAAAAAACTTAGACCAATGGATAACTAGAATAACCAATGCAGAGGAGTCCTTAAAGGACCTCATGGAGCTGAAAACCATGGCACAAGAACTATGTGACGAATGCACAAGCCTCAGTAACCGATGCGATCAACTGGAAGAAAGGGTATCAGCGATGGAAGACAAAATGAATGAAATGAAGAGTGAAGAGAAGTTTAGAGAAAAAAGAATAAAAAGAAACGAACAAAGTCTCCAAGAAATATGGTACTATGGGAAAAGACCAAATCTACATCTAATTGGTGTACCTGAAAGTGATGGGGAGAATGGAACCAAGGTGGAAAACACTCTGCAGGATTTTATCCAGGAGAACATCCCCAATCTAGCAAGGCAGGCCAATATTCAAATTCAGGAAATACAGAGAATACCACAAAGATACTCCTCGAGCAGAGCAACTCCAAGACACATAATTGTCCTATTCACCAAAGTTGAAATGAAAGAAAAAATGTTAAGAGCAGCCAGAGAGAAAGGTCGGGTTACCCACAAAGGGAAGCCCATCAGACTAACAGCTGATCTCTCTGCAGAAACCCTACAAGCTAGAAGAGAGTGGGGGCCAATATTCAACATTCTTAAAGAAAAGAATTTTCAACCCAGAATTTCATATCCAGCCAAACTAAGCTTCATAAGTGAAGCAGAAATAAAATCCTTTACAGACAAGCAAATGCTGAGAGATTTTGTCACCACCAGGCCTCCCCTAAAAGAGCTCCTGAAGGAAGCACTAAACATGGAAAGGAACAACCAGTACCAGCCACTGCAAAAACATGCCAAATTGTAAAGACCATCGAGGCTAGGAAGAAACTGCATCAACTAATGAGCAAGATAACCAGCTAACATCATAATGACAGGATCAAATTCACACATAACAATACTAACCTTAAATGTAAATGGGCTAAATGCTTCAATTAAAAGGCACAGACTGTCAAATTGGATAAACAGTCAAGACCCATCAGTTTGCTGTATTCAGGAAACTCATCTCACATGCAGAGATACACATAGGCTCAAAATAAAAGGATGGAGGAAGATCTACCAAGCAAATGGAAAACAAAAAAAGGCACGGGTTGCAATCCTAATCTCTGATAAAACAGACTTTAAACCAACAAAGATCAAAAGAGACAAAGAAGGCCATTACTAATGGTAAAGGGATCAATTCAACAAGAACTAACTAACCTAAATATATATGCAACCAATACAGGAGTACCCAGATGCATAAAGCAAGTCTTTAGTGACCTACAAAGAGACTTAGACTCCCACACAATAATAATGGGAGAATTTAACACCCCACTGTCAATATTAGACAGATCAATGAGACAGAAAGTTAACAAGGATATCCAGGAATTGAACTCAGCTCTACACCAAAGAGACCTAATAGACATCTACAGAACTCTCCACCCCAAATCAACAGAATATACATTCTTTTCAGCACCACACCACACCTATTCCAAAATTACCCACATAGTTGGAAGTAAAGCACTCCTCAGCAAATGTAAAAGAAAAGAAATTATAACAAACTGTCTTGCAGACCACAGTGCAATCAAACTAAAGCTCAGGATTAAGAAACTCACTCAAAACCACTCTACTACATGGAAACTGAACAACCTGCTCCTGAATGACTACTGGGTACATAACGAAATGAAGGCAGAAATAAAGATGTTCTTTGAAACCAACGAGAACAAAGACACAACATACCAGAATCTCTGGGACACATTCAAAGCAGTGTGTAGAGAGAAATTGATAGCACTAAATGCCCACAAGAGAAAGCAGGAAAGATCTAAAATTGACACCTTAACATCACAATTAAAAGAACTAGAGAAGCAAGAGCAAACACATTCAAAAGCTAGCAGAAGGCAAGAAATAACTGAGATCAGAGCAGAACTGAAGGAAATAGAGACACAAAAAACCCTTCAAAAAATCAATGAATCCAGGAGCTGGTTTTTTGAAAAGATCAGCGAAATTAATAGACCACTAGCAAGACTAATAAAGAAGAAAAGGGAGAAGAATCAAATAGACGCAATAAATAATGACAGAGGGGATATCACCACTGATCCCACAGAAATACAAACTACCATCAGAGAATACTATAAACACCTCTACACAAATAAACTAGAAAATCTAGAAGAAATAGATAAATTCCTCGACACATACACTCTCCCAAGACTAAACCAGGAAGAAGTTGAATCTCTGAATAGACCAATAACAGGCTCTGAAATTGAGGCAATAATTAATAGCTTACCAACCAAAAAAAGTCCAGGACCAGATGGATTCACAGCCGAATTCTACCAGAGGTACAAGGAGGAGCTGGTACGATTCCTTCTGAAACTATTCCAATCAATAGAAAAAGAGGGAATCCTCCCTAACTCATTTTATGAGACCAGCATCATCCTGATACCAAAGCCAGGCAGAGACACAACAAAAAAAGAGAACTTTAGACCAATATCCTTGATGAATATTGATGCAAAAATCTTCAATAAAATACTGGCAAACCGAATCCAGCAGCACATCAAAAAGCTTATCCACCATGATCAAGTGGGCTTCATCCCTGGGATGCAAGGCTCGTTCAACATACGAAAATCAATAAACATAATCCAGCATATAAAAAGAACTAAAGACAAAAACCAAATGATTATCACAAAAGATGCAGAAAAGGCCTTTGACAAAATTCAACAACCTTCATGCTAAAAACTCTCATTAAATTAGGTATTGATGGGACATATCTCAAAATAATAAGAGCTATCTATGACAAACCCACAGCCAATATCATACTGAATGGACAAAAACTGGAAGCATTCCCTTTGAAAACTGGCACAAGACAGGGGTGCCGTCTCTCACCACTCCTATTCAACATAGTGTTGGAAGTTCTGGCTAGGGCAATCAGGCAGGAGAAGGAAATAAAGGGCATTCAATTAGGAAAAGAGGAAGTCAAATTGTCCCTGTTTGCAGATGACATGATTGTATATCTAGAAAACCCCATGGTCTCAGCCCAAAATCTCCTTAAGCTGATAAGCAACTTCAGCAAAGTCTCAGGATACAAAATCAGTGTGCAAAAATCACATGCATTCTTATACACCAATAAGAGAGAAACAGCCAAATCATGAGTGAACTCCCATTTTTCACTCATTTGAAATTTGAAGCACTTTTCACTCATTTGAAATTTGAAGCGTGTTCCATTGCTTCAAAGAGAATAAAATACCTAGGAATCCAACTTACAAGGTATGTGAAGGACCTCTTCAAGGAGAACTACAAACCACTGCTCAGTGAAATCAAAGAGGATACAAACAAATGGAAGAACATTCCATGCTCATGGGTAGGAAGAATCAATACCGTGAAAATGGCCATACCGCCCAAGGTAATTTATAGATTCAATGCCATCCCCATCAAGCTACCAATGACTTTCTTCACAGAATTGGAAAAAACTACTTTAAAGTTCATATGGAACCAAAAAAGAGCCCGCATTGCCAAGTCAATCCTAAGCCAAAAGAACAAAGCTGGAGGCATCACGCTACCTGACTTCAAACTATACTACAAGGCTACAGTAACCAAAACAGCATGGTACTGGTACCATAACAGAGATATAGATCAATGGAACAGAACAGAGCGCTCAGAAATAATGCCGCATATCTACAACTATCTGATCTTTGACAAACCTGATAAAAACGAGCAATGGGGAAAGGATTCCCTATTTAATAAATGGTGTTGGGAAAACGGGCTAGCCATATGTAGAAAGCTGAAACTGGATCCCTTCCTTACACCTTTTACAAAAATTAATTCAAGATGGATTAAAGACTTACATGTTAGACCTAAAACCATAAAAACCCTAGAAGAAAACCTAGGCAATACCATTCAGGACATAGGCATGGGCAAGGACTTCATGTCTGAAACACCAAAAGCAATGGCAACAAAAGCTAAAATTGACAAATGGGATCTAATTAAACTAAAGAGCTTCTGCACAGCAAAAGAAACTACCATCAGAGTGAACAGGCAACCTACAGAATGGGAGAACATTTTTGCAACCTACTCATCTGACAAAGGGCTAATATCCAGAATCTACAATGAACTCAAACAAATTTACAAGAAAAAAACAAACAACTCCATCAAAAAGTGGGCCAAGGATATGAACAGACACTTCTCAAAAGAAGACAATTATGCAGCCAACAGACACATGAAAAAATGCTCATCATCACTGGCCATCAGAGAAATGCAAATCAAAACCACAGTGAGATACCATCTGACACCAGTTAGAATGGCGATCCTTAAAAAGTCAGGAAACAACAGGTGCTGGAGAGGATGTGGAGAAATAGGAACACTTTTACACTGTTGGTGGGACTGTAAACTAGTTCAACCATTGTGGAAGTCAGTGTGGCGATTCCTCAGGGATCTAGAACTAGAAATACCATTTGACCCAGCCATCCCATTACTGGGTATATACCCAAAGGATTATAAATCATGCTGCTATAAAGACACATGCACACGTATGTTTATTGCGGCACTATTCACAATAGCAAATACTTGGAACCAACCCAAATGTCCAACAACAATAGACTGGATTAAGAAAATGTGGCACATATACACCATGGAATACTATGCAGCCATAAAAATGATGAGTTCATGTCCTTTGTAGGGACATGGATGAAGCTGGAAACCATCATTCTCAGCAAACTATCGCAAGGATGAAAAACCAAACACTGCATGTTCTCACTCACAGGTGGGAATTGAACAATGAGAACTCATGGACACAGGAAGGGGAACATCACACACTGTGGCCTGTTGTGGGGTGGGGGGAGTGGGGTGCAGCACACCAAGATGGCACATGTATACATATGTAACAAACCTGCACGTTGTGCACTTGTACCCTAAAACTGAAAGTATAAAAGAAAAAAAGACTACTATGAGACATTATATGCCAACAAATTGGGTAATCTGAAAGAAACGGATAAAGTTCCAGAAACATGCAACCTATTAACAGAGAATCATGAAGAAATAGAATCTGAACAGACCTATAACTAGTAAGGAAATTGAATCAGTAACTAAAAACTTTTATCAAAGAAAAGCACAGGATGTGATGGCTTTACTGAATAATTCTAACAGACATTTATAGAAGAATCGTTACCAATCCTTCTCAAATGCTTCAGAAAAAATCAATAGGAGGCAATATTTCCAAATTCCTATTTGATGCTCCAATAGCATCAAAAAATAAAATGGGAAAAACATAATTAATGAAGTCAATGGCTAATACACTGTAAACAAGAAAATATTGCTGAAAGAAGTTAAAGACGACACAAATAAATGGAAAACATTACATGTTCCTGTATTGGAAGAATTAATATTAAGATATCCAAAGCAATCTACAAGCTCAATGCAATCCCTACCAAAATACCATGGGATTTTAAATGAAAATAGAAAAACAAGCCTAAAATTCATATGGAACCACGAAACACCCCAAATAGCCAAAACAATCTTGAGAAAGAAAAAAAGCACAAGGCCTCATACTTCCTGACTTCAAAATATATTACAAATCTACAGTAATCAAAACAGTATGGTACCTGCATAAAGACAGACATATAAACCATATAAACAGAATAGAGAACCCAGAAATAAACACAGGCTATACAGTCAAATGATCTTTGGTGGGGGTGCCAAGACTATACAAAAGAGAAAGAATAGTCTCTTTAACAAATGGTGTTGGTAAAACTGAATATCCACATGCAAAAGAGGAAAATTGCACCCTAATCTTATAGTATATATAAAAAAACTGAAAATAGATGAAAAACATAATTGTAAACCTGAAACTAAAACTCCTAGAAGAAAACATGGGGAAAGCTTTGTAATACTGGTCTTGGCAATGATTTCTTAGATATGACACTAAAGCACCAGCACCAAAACCAAAACTAGACAAGTGGGACTGCATTAAACTAAACATTTTCTGTATAGCAAAAGAAACAAACAAGAGTGAAAAGGCAACCTACAGAATGGGAGAACATGTTTGCAAACCAATATATGATAAGAGAACATTATCCAAATATATCCAACATATATAAAGAACTCCTACAACTCAGCAAAAATCTCAAATAACTCAATTTAAAGAATCACCAAGGGACTTGAATTTTTCCAAAGACGACACACAAATAGCAAACAGATATATGAAAAGATGTTCAATATCATTAATCATCAGAAAAATGCAAATTAGATCCACAATAAGATATCACCTAGTGCCTGTTAAGATGGCCATTATTAAAACAAACAAAACAACAGGAGTGTTGGTGAGGATGTGGAGAAATTGGAACTCTGCATTGTTGGTGGGAATGTAAAATGGTGCCACTGCTATAAATAAGAGTATGGACACTCCTAAAAAATTAAAAATAGAACTACTACATAATCCAGCAATCTTACTTCTGGGTATCTATCTGAAAAATCAGAAGCAGGATCTCAAAGAGATATTTGCACTCATATGTTCGTTGCAGCATTATTCACAATAGCCAAGGGGTCAAAACAACCTAAATAACTATTGATGGATGACAGGATTAAAAACGTGGTATACACAAACAACGGAATATTATTCAGCCTTTAAAAGGAAGGAAATTTGGTTATATGCTACAACATGGATGAATCTTGAGGACATTATACCAAGTGAAATAAGGTAGTCATAGGACAAATACTGCACAATTCCTCTTGTATGTGGTATTTAAAGCAGTCAAACATATAGAAGCAGGAAGTAGAATAATGGTGGCTGGAGGCTTGGGAAAAGGGAAAATGCAACGTTGCTGTTCAATGGGTATTGAGTTTTCTTCTGCAGGATGAAAAAGTTCTAGAGATCTGTTGCACAGCAATGTGTGTATAGTTAATAATGCTGTAGTGTGCACTTAATAATTTGTTAGGAGTATAGATCTCAAGAGGTTTTTACCACAGTAAAAAAGAAAACAGAATAATTTCATTTATAATAGCATCCAAAGAATAAAATATTTAGGAGTAAAATTTTGAAAGATGTGGAAGACATGTACATTGAAAATTATAGAACATCATTGAAATAAATTAAAGGATGACCTAGGTAAATGAAAACAAATGCCATTCTCATGGATTGAAAGACTTAATATTATTAAGATGGCAATACTCCCCAAATTATAGTACATAGATACAATGGAATATTATTCAGCCATAAAAAGAAAGTACTGTTACATGCTGCAAGATGGATGAACCTTGAAAACATACTCAGTGAAAGAAGCCAGACACAAAAGGCCTCATACTATATGATTCCATTCATATAAAATGTCCAGAATAGGGAAATCCATAGAGCTAGAGAGTAGATTAGTGGTTTCCAGGGTATGGGGAGGTAGGAATTGAATCTAGTTGCTAACAGATCTGATTATTCTTGTGATGTAAATATTCTGGTATTATATAGTGGTGATGGTTGCACATAATGAATATACTGAAAACCACTGAAGTGCAAACTTTAACATTGTAAATTTTATATTATGTGAATTATATCTCAGTTAAAAAAACACTATGAGATACCTTAACACAGCCACCAGAATGGTTAATATTAAAAACGCTCCAAAACCAAATATTATGAATGATGTGGAGCAACTGGAAATCTCATGCACTGGTGGGAATGTAAAATGGTACAACCACTTTACAAAATTTGACAGTTCTTTTCCAGTTAAACATATGCATTTCCTATGACCCAGGAATCTACACCTAAGTTGTTACTCATGAAGAATTTAAACATATGTGCCCGCAAAGACTTGTAGACAAATACTCATAGCTGATTTATTCATAATAGCCCCCATCTGGAAATAATCCATACTTCCATAACTTTACAGACTGTGATGTATTCATACAATAGGTACTACTCAGCAATAAAAGGAATGAAATTATACATGTAGCAACATGAATGAAGCTATAACATATAATGAGTAAAAATTTATACATTACATTGTTTAATTTATCTGAAATTCTAGATTATACACTATGTTATTTCATTTCTATAAAAATCTAGAACAGGCAAAACTACTTTATGTTAGGGAAAATCAGTGATTTCTCTACAGGACTGGAGCTGGGCATTGTTGGAGAAAGGTTATTAGGGAACTTTCTGAGGTGATGCTAACATTTTATATTGTGATGGGGTTTGGGTTACACAGATGTATCCATTTTCCAAAATTTAGTGAATGTACAATATGACTTGTGCATTTCATTTTATGTAGTTTTTTTGAGACAGGGTATTTCTCTGTCACCCAGGCTGAAATGAAGTGGCATGATCATGGTTCACTGTAGCCTTGACCTCCCAGGCTCAAGCAATCCTTCCACCTCAGCCTTCTGAGTCTAGAGGTGTGTGTCACCATGCCTGACTAATTTTTTAATTTTTTCTGTTTGTAGAGATGAGGTTTTGCTGTGTCCCAGACTGGTCCCAGACTCCTGGGCTCAAGTCAAGTGATCCTCCTATCTCAGCCTTCCAAATTTCTGGGATTACAGACGTGAGCCATCACACTTGGCCTCATTTAATGTAAATTTCTAATAAACAGCTAATCAGTATTGAACTCTAGTTAATTATATGCATGCTGATGCGTTTACAGTGAAATGTGCTGATGTCTGCAACTTACTTTGAAATGAAGCAAAACATAAGGTGAATTAATAGATAGCTGGACAGATATATGATAAAGCAACTATAGCAAACTATTCATGTTAGAATCAAAGTGATGAGTATTCACATGTTTATCATAATGCTTTCTGATTTTAATGTGTGTTTGAAAAAATCATCATAAAATTTTTCCAGAAAATCCAAACTTAGATACATCCTTGTGAAATTCCATACCCTCAATGAGAGAGGATCCTACAATCTCCCGGAAACAAAACAAAAACAAAACACAAATATGGAACAAAGGACCAAAAATCAAAATGGCACCAAAATAAGATCAGTATTGGACCTCTCCTTAGTAACTGTGGTTAACAGAAGGCAGTGGAGAAATTCCCTCAAAATTCTGGGAAAATTAGAGTTTTGCTCTGTCGCCAAGGCTGGAGTGCAGTGGCACCATCTCAGCTCACTGCAACCTCCGCCTCCCAGGTTTAAGCGATTCTTCTACCTCAGCCTCCGAGTAGCTGGGATTACAGGCCACCATGCCTGGCTAATTTTTTTTTTTTTTTTTTTGTATTTTTAGTAGAGATGGGTTTTCGCCATGTTGGCCAGTATAGTCTCGAACTCCTGAGCTCAGGTGATCCGCCCGCCTTGGCCCCCCCAAAGTGCTGGGATTACAGGCATGAGCCACCGCCCCCAGGCAGGTTTACCTATCTTTGAATTTATCACTAACAAAAGCTATAAGATTACTTACATAAAGGATTAGAATAATCAGTTGCCCGGGCATAGTGGCAAATCATCTCATGACTGTGAGGGGAACACAGCCTTGGAATAAATTTGATACTATGGAGAGAGGCAGAAAGACTCCAAAACTTCGATGTTACCTTGTAATCACTGATGAACCAACCTTTAAGCTTGCCTTCCCTATGGACTTTCTCTTATGTAACCTAATGTATTTCCTCATTGTTTAAATAAACTTGTTAAACTCTTTGTTGCTTGGAGCCAAGCATCCTGATACAAAAAGCATGCATTACTTTTGTGAGGAAAAAATAAGTGAGTAACTTCAAGAAATAAAAAAGAGATGTACAAGAAAGTCATGAGCTAGATAGGAAGCAATCCATGAAGAATAAGAAAAGAGAATGTTATTTGGTATTGATGATCAGAACATTCTTAAAATAGCATGATTTTAGAGACATACAATTAGATTTCCTTCTCTGTGGGCTCAATTACACTACATGATTCTGCAGTAAACAATATTAGTATAATCCTAATAGTGTAAATACTGTTGTTTTTGGTATTTTATAAATAATAAGCAAAGCTTAGGCAGCATAACTATATCTATAGAAAAATTTAAGTGCCATAAATCTGGAGAGTTATAAAATTTTATCTGACATAGATTCTGGAGGTAGAGAGAGGATAGGGAATGAGGGAAAATGAGGAGTTTAAATTATCTTATGTAAAGAGAGTCAAATGATAATCTCTAAGGTGAGGACTGCCTGAGTTCCAGTACTGGCTCTACCACTTATTAGCTTTGTGAACTTGGGCAAATTATTTAATCTCTCTGTGCCTCAGTTTCCTTATCTATAAAATGAGGAAAATAATAGTACCTACGTCACAAGATTGTTAGTAAGAGAAGTAAACTAATATTGTATAAAGAGCTTAAAAAAATCTGTCATTTAGTAAGTGTTCAGTAAATATAGGTACTATTATTTCTGTTATCTATCCAGAAACTGTGGTTAAAGTATACTATTGAAAGTTACAAAAGTAATTCATAGGAGAATTTAAAATAATATTAACTCTAAAAATATGGGAGATAGTAGTAATGTAATGAGTTAATTTCTTTTTTTCTTTTTTATTTTATTTTATTTTTTTTTTTTTTTGAGACGGAGTCTCGCTCTGTCGCCCAGGCTGGAGTGCAGTGGCACGATCTCGGCTCACTGCAACCTCCGCCTCCCGGGTTCATGCCATTATCCTGCCTCAGCCTCCCTAGTAGCTGGGACTACAGGCGCCTGCCAATTTTTGGCGGGCTAATTTTTGTATTTTTAGTGGAGACGGGGTTTCACCGTGTTAGCCAGGATGGTCTCGATCTCCTGACCTCATGATCCACCCGCCTCAGCCTCCCAAAGTGCTGGGATTACAGGCGTGAGCCACTGTGCCTGGCCTAAATGAGCTAATTTCTTACCTTTCTTACCTTGGGTAAGGTACAAGTTATTAAAACAAAGAAATAGATAAGCATATTATTTAAGGTTACAGAGTAAACCACTTGAAGAATTAAAACTAAAAATGGTTAAAAATAGCTAACTCTGGGATGTGAGCCAGGAAGAAGAACCAGAGATTTTACTTTTAATTTCATATACTCTGTTTTGTTTGAAAATTTTCACTATTTGCATGTATTACTAATGTAAAAGTCTAATCTAATAAAATATAGCTTTTTTTTCAAGTGACTGTCTCTCTTGTTAGGCAGTAGGTGCTAAACTGAGGGTTATTTTTTTCTTTATTTTTTCTTATTATGCTTTAAGTTCTGGGATACATGTGCAAAACGTGCAGGTTTGTTACATAGGTATACACATACCATGGTGGTTTGCTGCACCCATCAACCCATCATCTACATTAGGTATTTCTCCTAATGCTATCCCTCCCCTAGCCCCCCACCCCCCGACAGGCCCTGATGTGTGAGGTTCCCCTCCCTGTGTCCATGCGTTCTCATTGTTCAACTCCCACTTATGAGTGAGAACATGCGGTGTTTGGTTTTCTGTTCCTGTGTTAATTTGCTGAGAATGATGGTTTCCAGCTTCATCCATGTCCCTGCAGAGGACATGAACTCTGCAGTTCATCCTTTTTTATGGCTGCATAGTATTCCATGGTGTATATGTGCCACATTTTCTTTATCCAGTCTATCATTGATTGGCATTTGGGTTGTTCCCAAGTCTTTGCTATTGTGAATAGTGCTGCAATAAACATATGTGTGCATGTGTCATTATAGTAGAATGATTTATAATCCTTTGGGTATATACCCAGTAATGGGATTGCTGGGTCAAATGGATTTCTGGTTCTACATGTTTGAGGAATTGTCACACTGTCTTCTAAAGAGCTTCTGCACAGCAAAAGAAACTATCATCAGAGTGAACAGGCAACCTACCGAATGGGAGAAAATTTTTGCAATCTATCCATCTGACAAAGGGCTAATATCCAGAATCTACAAGGAACTTCAACAAATTTACAAGAAAAAACAACCCCATCAAAAAGTGGGTGAAGGCTATGAGCAGACACTTCTCAAAATAAGACATTTGTGTGGCCAAGAAACATATGAAAAAAAAGCTCATCATTACTGGTCATTAGAGAAATGCGAATCAAAACCACGATGAGATACCATCTCATGCCAGTTAGAATGGTGATCATTAAAAAGTCAGGAAACAACAGATGCTGGAGAGGATGTGGAGAAATAGGGATGCTTTTACACTGTTGGTAGGAGTATAAATTAGTTCAAATTTTTTTCACTTTTTAAACTTTTTTTCCTGTCCCTTAAAATGTCCCGTAAACATTTTATTTTATTTATTTATTTATTTTTGAGACAGTCTCACTCTGTTGCCCAGGCTGGAGTGCAGTGGCATGATCTCAGCTCACTGCAACCTCCGGCTCACAGGTTCAAGCAATTCTCCTGCCTCAGCCTCCCGAGTAGCTGGGAATACAGGTGTGTGCCACCATGCCTGGCTAATTTTTGTATTTTTAGTAGAGACAGGGTTTCATTATGTTGGCTAGACAGGTCTTGAACTCTTGACCTCAAGTGATCCACCCGCCTCAGCCTCCCAAAGTGCTAGGATTACAAGCGTGAGCCACCACGCCTGGCCAAACTTTTTATTTTGAAATAATTGTAGATTCACAAGAAGACGCAAAGATAGTACATTCACAAGAAGACGCAAAGATAGTACTGATTTCATTTTACATAACTATAGAAAAACCAGAAAACTGAAATTGGTCAAGACTAGGAAACTGAAATTGGTACAACACTTGTGTATAATTCTGTCTTTTTTTTCCTCATGTATAGATATGTGTAGCCATCACAGTAATTAAGAGACGGAACTATTTCATCACCACAAAACCTCCTTCATATTATCCTTTATAGTTACATACACCTCTTTGCCACATCCCTAAACTCTGGCAACCACTAACACTAAACTGTTCTCCATCTATGTAATTTTGTTATTTCAAGAATGTTATATAAATGGAACCATGCAGTGTGATCTTTTGATATGGGCCTTTTACATTCAGCACAATATCCTTCAGCTCCATTTGAGTTTTTGTGTGTATCAATAGTTCATTCCCTTTTAGTGCTGAATAGTAGTCCCTGGTGTATGTCTTAGTTCATTTTGTGTTGCTGTAAAGGAATACCTGAGGCTGGGTAATTTATAAGAGGTTTATTTGGCTCACAGTTCTGCAGGCTGTACAAGAAGTGTGGTGCCAGCATCCACCTCTACTGAGGGTTTCAGGCTGCTTCCACTCATGTCAGAAGGTGAAGGGGAACCAGCCTGTACGTAAATCACATGGTGAGAAAGGAAGAAAGAGAGAAGGTGGACATGCCAGGTTCTTCTTAATGACCAGCTCTTGTGGAACTAATAGTGAGAACTCACCCTCCCTCCCAGGGGGATGTTAATCTATTCACAAAGGATCTGCCCCCATGACACAAACACCTCCCATTAGGCCCCACCCCCAACAACTGGGATCAAATATCAACATGAGATTTGGAGGGGGCAAAAATCTTGGGATGTTCAATATTTTGGCTTCCCTGAGCCACACTGGAAGAAGAATTGTCTTGGGCCACACACAAAATACAGTAACACTAACGATAGCTGATTAGCTAAAAAAAAAAAAGAAAAAAAAACCCTAAAAAAATCTCATAATGTTTTAAGAAAGTTTACGAATTTCTGTTGGGCTGCATTCAAAGCTGTCCTGGACCTTATGTAGCCCACGGGCTGTGGGTTGGACAAACTCGATCTAAACTATAGGAATATAGACATGCCACAGTTTGATTAACCGTTTACCTATTGAAGGACACTTGGTTGTTTCCAGTTTTTGGCTATTATAAATAAAGCTGCTATTAACCATCATGTCCAGGTTTTGTGTGAATGTAAATGTTCATTTTTCTGGGATAGATCTCCAGCAGTACAGTGGCTAGGTCATGTGGTAATTATATGTTATAGATTTGAGAAACTGCCAAACTATTTTTCAGAGCAGCTGTACCATATTAAATTTTCACCAGCAATGTTTGAATGATCCAATTTCTCTGCATCCTTTCCAAAATTTGGTATTGTCACTGTTTTTCATTTTGTCTATTCCAATAAGTGTGTAGTGATATCTTGTTGTGATTTTAATTTGCATTTCCCTAATAGCTAGTGAAGTTAAATATATTTTCATGTAGGTTTTTTGCCATCTGCTTACCTTGTTTATTTCAGCATTTGTTCAAATCGTTTGCCCATTTTCAAATTGGATATTTGTTTTCTTGTTCAGTTTTGAGAGATCTTTATATACCCTACATATGAGATCTTTGCGAGATTTGCGTCTTGCAAGCATTTTCTCCCAGTTTTAACTTATCTCTTAATCCTCTTAGCAGAATGTCTCACAGACTAAAAGTTTTAAACTTTAATTAAGTCCAATTTATACATTTTTAAATAGATTGTGCTTTTTGTGTCATGTCAAAAAATTCTTCATCAATCACTAGGTCCCAAAGATGATTGATAGCTTTATGTTCTGTATTTAAATCTTGATCTATTTTGAATTCAGTTTTATGATGTGTGAGTTTTATTTTTTGCCTATGGATATGCAGTTGTTCCAGCATCATTTATTGAAAATGCTATCCTTCCTCCATTAAATATATTTGCACCTTTTTCAAAAATCAGTTGAGCATAATTTTTCACTTCTATTTATGGGTTCCCTGTTTTGTTCCATTCATCTATATGCGTCTCCCTCTGCAAGCACCACACTCTCTTGATTCCTCTAGCTATATTGTAAGCCTTACAATTGGGTAGAATACTTCCTCCTATTTTATTCTTCTTTGTCAAGATTGTTTTAGCTCTTCTACGGCTTGTGCATAAATTTTAGAATAAGCTTGATTATAAAATTGTCAAATCTCAACAAAATTGTCAACTAACCTATAAATCAGTTTAGGGAGAATTGATGTCTTTACTCTGTTAAATCTTCCAATCCATCAGCACAATATTTCTTTCCATTTATTAAGATATTCCTTCTTTTCTTCATCAGTGTTTTGTAGTGTTTTGTTTTTTAGAGACAGGATCTTGCTCTGTTGCCCAGGTTGGAGTGCAGTGGTGCAATCATAGCTCAATGTGACCTTGAACTTCTGGGCTGAAGTTATCCTCCTGCCTCGGCCTTCCACAGGCACTCACCGCCATGCCTGGCTAACTATTTTTTTGGGGGGTGGGGGTGGTGGAGACAAGGACACACTATGTTGTTTAAGCTGGTTTCAAACTCCTGGCCCCAGGCAATCCTCCTGCCTCAGCCTCCCAAAGTGCTTGGATTATAGGCATGACCATTGCACCTGGTCTGTTTTGTATTTTTCAGCATACAAATCCTATACATGTACTTTTGCTTGTTTGTTTGAGACAGGGTCTTGCTCTCACCCAGGTTGGCGTGCTATGGTGCAATCACAGCTCACTGCAATCTTGACCTCCCAGGCTCAAGCAATCCTTTCATCTCCCCGGTAGCTGGGACTACAGGAGCATGCCACCATGCCTGGCTAATTTTTATTTTTATTATATTTTTTAAGTATAGAGGAGGTCTCATTATGTTGCCCAGGCTGGTCTCGAATTCCTGGACTCAAGCAATCTCCCCGCCTTGGCCTCCCAAAGTGTTGAGTTTATAGGCATGAACCAGCATGCACAGCCTTACACATGTTTTTTTGAACTTATACTTAATAAAATTTAAATACATGTTTCAAGTTTATTTATCTTAAATTGGTAGACACAATTTCAGATATTGCTTCAACATACTTATTTCATTTCTTTTGGAAGTGTACCCAGAAGTGGGATTGCTGGATCATATGGTAGCTATATTTTTAATTTTTTGAGGACCCTCCATACTGTTTTCCATATTGGCTGTACTGATTTACATCCCCACTAATAGTGTACGACGTTCTCTTTTCTCTATATTCTTGCCAATATTTTTAAAATCTTTCATTAAAATTTTCTTTTATTTTAATGTTTGTGAGTACATAGTAGGTATATATATTTATGGGGTACATGAGATGTTTTGATACAGGCATGCAATGTGTAATCACATCATGTAAAATGAGGTATCCATTCCCTCAAGTATTTATCCTTTGTGTTACAAGCAATCCAAGTATACTCTTTTAGTTATTTAAAAATGTACAATGAGGCTGGGCGCGGTGACTCATGCCTGTAATCCCAGAACTTTGGGAGGCCTAGGTGGGTGGATCACTTGAGGCCAGGAGTTTGAGACCAAACCGGGCAACATGGTGAAACCCCGTCTCTACTAAAAATACAAAAATTAGCCAGGCATGGTGGTGTGCACTTGTAATCACAGCTGCTTAAGAGTCTGAGGCATGAGAATTGCTTGAACCTGGGAGGCGAAGGTTTCAGTGAGCCAAGATTGCGCCACTGCACTCCAGCCTGGGTGACAGAGCAAGACTCGGTCTCAACAACAACAACAAAATAATAAAAAATAAAATAAAATGTACAATTAAATTATTACTGACTATAGTCACTTGTTGTGCTGTCAAATACTAGGTCTTATTCATTCTTTCTATTATTTTGTACTCATTAACCATCCTCACCTCATCCACAACCCTCCACTACCCTTCCTAGCCTCTGGTAACCATCCTTCTATTCTCTATCTCCATGAGTTCAATTGTTTTGATTTTCAGACCCCCAGGAGAAGTGAGAACATGTGATGTTTGTCTTTCTGTGCCTGGCTTATTTCACTTAGCGTAATGACCTCCAGTTCCATCTAAGTCATTGTAAATGGCTGGATCGCCTTCTTTTTTATGGCAGAATGGTACTCAGTTGTGTAAAGTACCACATTTACTTTATTCATCTGTTGATGGACACTTAAGTTACTTCTGAATCTTGGCTATTGTGAACAGTGCTGCAACAAACATGGGAGTGCAGATATCTCTGGTATACTGATTTTCCTTCTTTCCTTCCTTCCTTCCTTCCTTCTCCCTTTCCTTTCCTTTCCTTTCTTCCTTCCTTCCTTCTTTCCTTTCCCTTCCTTCCCTTCTCCTTCCTTCTTTTCTCTCCTCTCCTCTCCTGTTTCCTTCCTTCCTTCCTTCCTTCCTTACTTCCTTCCTTCCTCTTTTCTTTTTGAGCCAGAATCTTGCTCTGTCACCCAGGTTGGAGTGCAGTGGCATGATCTTGGCTCACTGAAACCTCCACCTCCCAGGTTCAAGTGATTCTCCTGCCTCAGCCTCCCGAGCAGCTGGGACTACAGGCACGTGCCACCACGCCCGGCTAAATTTGGTATTTTTAGTAGAGATGGGGTTTCACCCTGTTAGCCAGGATGGTCTCGATTGTGATCCGCCTGCCTCGGCCTATCAAAGTGCTGGGATTACAGGCGTGAGCCACCACGCCTGGCATGGTTTCCTTTCTTTTGGGTATATATCCAGCAGTGGGATTGCTGGATCGTATGGTAGCCCAATTTTTAGTTTTTTGAGGAACCTCCAACTGTTCTCCATAGTAGTTGTACTAATTAAAATTCCCACCAACAGTGTACGAGGGTTCCCTTATCTCCACATCCTTGTCAGCATTTGTTATTGCTTGTCTTTTGGATAAAAGCCCTTCCAACTGGGGTGATGATGAGATCTCATTGTAGTTTTGATTTGCATTTCTCTGGTGATCATTGATGTTAGACACCTTTAATATGCCTGTTTGCCATTTGTAGGCCTTCTTTTGAGAAATGTCAATCCAAACCTTTTGCCCAGATTTTAATTGGACTATTGGATTTTTTTATAGAGTTGTTTGAGCTCCTTCTATATTCTGGTTATTAATCCTTTATCAGATACATAGTTTGCAAATATTTTCTCCCATTCTGTGGGTTGTCTCTTCACTTTGCTGATTGTATCTTTGGCTGTACAGAAGCTTTTTCACTTGATGTGATCCCATTTGTCCATTTTTGCTTTGATTGCCTGGGCTTGTGGGGTATTACTCAAGAAATTTTTGCCCAGACCAATGTTCTGGAGAGTTTCCCCAATGTTTTCTTCTAGTAGTCTCATGGTGTGAGGTCTTAGATTTAAGTCTTTAATACATTTTGATTTGATTTTTGTATATGGTGGGAGATAGGAGTCTAATTTCATTCTTCTGCATATAGATATCGAGTTTTCCCAGCACCATTTATTGAAGGGACTATCTTTTCCCCGATGTATATTCTTGGCAAGTTTGTTGAAAATGAGTTCACTGTAGGTGTGTGTATATGGTTTTGGGTTCTCTATTCTGTTCCATTGGTCTATGTGTCTGTTTTTATGCCAGTACCATGCTGTTTTGGTTACTTATAGCTCTTCAGTATAATTTGAAGTCAGGTAATGTGATTCCCCCAGTTCTATTCTTTTTGCTCAGGATAACTTTGGCAATTCTGGGTCTTTTGTGGTTCCATATAAATTTTAGGATTACTTTCTTTTATTTCTGTGAAGAATGTCATTGACATTTTGATAGGAATTGCATTGAATCTGTAGATTGCTTTGGGTAGTATGAACATTTTAACAATATTGATTCTTCCAATCTATGAACACAGAATATCTTTCCACTTGTTTGGTGTCCTCTTCAATTTCTTTCATCAATGCTTCATTATAGAGATCATTCACTTCTTTGGTTAATGACTAGATATTTAATTTTATTTGTGGCTATTGTACATGGATTAGTTTTTAAATTTCTTTTTCAGATTGTTTACTATTGTCATACAGAAATGGTACTGATTTTTTATGTTGATTTTGTATCCTGCAACTTTACTGAGTTTATCAGTTCTAATAGTTTTACAGTGGAGTCTTTAGGTTTTTTCAAATATAAGATGATATGATCTGCAAACAAGGATAATTTGACTTCTTCTTTTCCAGCTTGGATGCCCTTTCTTTCTCTTGTCTCATTGCTCTAGTTAGAACTCCCAGTGCTATGTTGAATAACAGTGGTGAAAGTGAGCATTCTTGTTGTGTTCCAGATCTTAGAGGAATGGCTTTCTGTCTTTCCCTATTCAGTATGATACCTACATGCGTGTTTGTCATATATGGCTTTTATTATATTGAGATATGTTCCTTCTATTACCAGTTTTCTGAGGATTTTTTGTCATGAAGGAATGTTAAATCTTAACAAATGCTTTTCAGTATCAATTGAAATGATCATATGGTTTTTCTTCTTCATTCTGTTGATATGATGTATTATATTGATTGATATGCATATGTTCAACCATCCTTGAATCCCAGGGATAAATTCCACTTGATCATGATAAATGAACTTCTTAATGTATTATTGAATTCAATGTGCTAGTATTTTGTTGAGGATTTTTGCATCAATATTTGTGAGAGATATTGGCCTGTAGTGATCCTTTTTTTGATGTATCCTTGGTTTTGGTATCAGGGTAATACTGGCCTCGAAGGATGGGTTTGAAAGTATCCCCTCCTCCTCTATTTCTTGGAATGGTTTGAGTAGGATTGGTATTAGTCCTTCTTTAAATGTTTGGTAGAATTCAGCAGTGAAGCCGACAGGTCCTGGGCTTTTCTTTACTGGGAGATGTTTTATTTCTGCTTTGATCTTGCTACTTGTTATTTGTTTGTTCAGGTTTGGGACTTCTTCTTGGTTCAATCTTAGTAGATTGTATGTGTGTAGGGATTTGTCCATCTTTTTTTTAGATTTTCCAATTTATTGGCATGTAGTTACCCATAGCAGCCACTAATAATCCCTTGAATTTCTGCAGTATCTGTTTCAATGTCTCCTTTTTCATCTCTGATTTTATTTATTTTGGTCTTCTCTATTTTTTTCTTAGTCTGGCTAAAATTTGTCGATTTTGTTTATCTTTTCAAAAAACCAACCTTCTGTTTAATTGAGTTTCGTATTCTTTTCTTCCTTTCAAATTCATTTATTTCTGCTCTGATCTTTATTATTTCTTTTCTTCTACTAATTTTGGTTTGGCTTGCTCTTGCTTTTCTAGTTCTTTAAGACGCGTTATTAGGTTATTTATTAGAAGTTTTTCTTTTTTGATGTAGGTGCTTACAGCTATACATTTCCCTCTTAGTATGGCTTTTGCTGTATCCCATAGGGTTTAGTATGTTATCTTTCTGTTGTCATTCATTTCAAGAAATTTTTCAATTTTCTTCTTAATTTCTTTATTGACCCACTGGTCACTCAGGAGCATATTGTTTAATTTCCATGTATTTGTATAGTTTCCAAAATTCCTCTTGTTATTGATGTCTAGTTTTATTCCATTGTGGTCAGAGAAGATGCTTGATGTTACTTCAATTTTTTTGAATATGTTAAGACTTGTTTTGTGACCTAACGTATGGCCTATCCTTGAAAATGTTTCATGTGTTGAAGAAAAAAATTTGTATTCTGCAGCCATGGATGAAATGCTCTGTAAATATCTGTTAGGTCCATTTGTTGCATCGTGCAGATTTTCTGGTGTTTCTTTGTTGATTATTTGTCTGGAAGATCTGTCCAATGCTGAAAGTAGGGTGTTGAAGTCTCCAGCTATTATTGTATTGAGGCCTGTCTCCTTAGCTCTAACGATATTTGCTTTATATATCTGGGTGCTTCAGTGATGGGTGCATATATATTTAAAATTGTTATATCCTCTTATAGAATTGACACTTTTGTCATTATATAATGACCTTCTTTGTCCTTTCTTGTAGTTTTTGTCTTGAAATCTATTTTGTCTGGTATAAATATAGCTACTCCTGCTTTCTTTTTGGTTTTCTTTGGCATGAAATATAATTTTTATCCCTTTGTTTTCAGCTTATATGTGTCTTTATAGGTAAAGTATATTTCTTGTAGGCAACGGGTCATTGGTTTTTTTTTGTTTGTTTTTTTTTTTTTGTTTTTGACAGAGTTTCCCTCTGTCGCCCAGGCTGGAGAGTGCAGTGGCGCAATCTCGGCTCACTGCAACCTCTGCCTCCCAGGTTTAAGTGATTCTCTTGCCTCAGCCTCTCAAGTAGCTGGGATTACAGGCATGCACCAAGATGCCCAGCTATCTTTTGTATTTCTAGTAGAGACGGGGTTTCACCACATTGGCCAGGCTGGTCTCGAACTCATAACGTCAAGTGATCTGCCCATTCTGGCCTTCCAAAGTGCTGGGATTACAGGTGTGAGTCACCACAAGGTCTTGTTTTTTATCCATTCAGCCACTCTATTTCTTTTGATTCAAGAGGTTAGTCCATTTTCATTCAATGTTATTATTGATAAGTAAGGACTTTCTGCCATTTTGTTATTTGTTTTCTGGTTGTTTTGTAGTCTTCTCTTCTTTATTTCCTTTTAGTGAAGGTGATTTTTCTCTGGTGATATGATTTAGTTTCTTGCGTTTTATCTTTTTGTGTATACATTGTATATTTTTTGATTTTGAGGTTTCCATGAGACTTGTAAATACTATCTTATAACACATTATTTTAAGCTGGTGACAACACTGTTTTTATAAATAAGCAAATAAACAAACAGGAAGAAAAGTAATGAAGACTTTATGAATTACTTCTTCCCCTGATTTTTAACTTTTTGTTATTTCTATTTATATCTTTTTGTACTGTCTGTTTCATGAGAAGTTGTTGTAGTTATTATTTTTGATTAGTTCATTGTTTAGTCTTTGTTCTTAAGAGTAGTTTACACACCACAGTTACAGTGTTACAATATTCTGTGTTTTTCTGTGTACTTACTATTACCAGTGAGTTTTGTACCTTCAGATGATTTTCTATTGCTCATTAACATCATTTTCTAATTGATGTACTACCTTTAGCATTTCTTCTGCAACAGGTCTGATGATCTTTCATCTTTTTGATAATAGCCATTCTAACAGGTAGGAAGTGGTATCTCATTGTGGTTTTAATTTGCATTTTCCTGATGATTAGTGATATTGAACATTTTTTCACATACCTGTTGACCATTTGTACGTCTTCTTTTGAGAAATTTCTATTCAAGTCCTTTTGACATATTTTAATAGGGTTATTTGTGTTCTTACTTTTGAGTTGAGTTTCTTATATATTTTGGATATTAACCCTTTATCAGATACGTGGTTTACAAATACATTCTCCCAATTTGTAGGTTGTTTCTTCATGCTGTTGATTGTTTCCTTTGCTTCACAGTTTTTTTATTTGATGTTATCCTGTCTATTTTTGCTTTTTTTGGCTGTGCTTTTGGGATCATATCCAAAAAATCATTGCCCAGACCAAGGTCATGGAGGTTTTCTCCTGTTTTCTTACAGGAATTTTATAGTTTCAGGTCTTAGGTTTAAGTCTTTAATCTGAGTTGAGTTTTGTATATGGTGTGAGATAAGGGTCTAATTTCATTCTTCTGGATGTAGCAATTGCATTATTTTACATTCCCACCAACAATACAAAGATTCCAATTTTTTCACATCCTTGCCAACAGTTGCTATTGTCTTTTTAAAAAAATTTTATTTATTTATTTATTTATTTATATGAGACAGAGTCTCACTGCGATGCTCAGGCTGGAGTGCAAAGGTGTGATCTCAGCTCACTGCAACCTCTGCTTCCCAGATTCAAGTGATTCTCCTGCCTCAGCCTCCAGAGTAGCTGGGATTACAGTAGCACCACCACGCCCGGGTAATTTTTGTATTTTTAGTAGAGACGGGGTTTCACCATATTGGCTAGACGGTGGCTCACATCTGTAATCCCAGCAATTTGGAAGGCCGAGGTGGGAGGATCACTTGAGGTCAGGAGCTATTGTCTTTTTCATTCTAGCTACCCTAGTAGGTGTGAAGAATATCACATAGTGGTTTTGATTTATATTTTCCTAATGACTAATGATGTTAAGCCTCTTTCTATATGTTTATTGGCCATTCATATATTTTCTTTGAAGGAACACCTATTCAAATCCTTTGCCCATTTTTATGGTAGATTATTTGTATTTTTGTTGTTGAGTTGTAAGAGTTCTTTATATATGCTGGATAGTAGATCTTATCCAATATGATTGGCTAGTATCCTCCATTCTGTGTGTTGTCACTATCTTGATAGTGTCTTTTGATGCATAAAAGTTTTAAATTTTGATAATACTGAATTCATTTATGTTTTCCTTTGGTTCCTTGTGCTTTTGGTGTCATATCTAAGAAACTATTGCCTGATCCAAGGACACTCAGATTTACATCTATGTATTCTTCTGAGAGTTTTATAGTTTTTGCTCTTACATTTAAATCTTTGATTATTTTGATTTAATTTTTGCATAGGTGTGAGCTAAAGATTCAACTTAATTCTTTTGCATGTGGATATCCATTTGTGCCTGCAATAGTTGTTGAAAAGACCACTTTTTCTCCATTGAATATTATTGGCACCTTTGTCTAAAATCAATTGACCATAAATAGAAGGCTTTATTCCTGGTATCTCAATTATATTACATTGGTCTATGTAGCTGTTTTTTTTTTTTCTTTTTAAGACAGGGTCTCACTCTGTCATCCAGGCTGGAGTGCAGCGGTGTGATCATAGCTCACTGCAGCCTTGGCCTTTTGGGCTCAAGTGATCCTTCCACCTCAGCCTCCTGAGTAGCTGGGACTACAGGTACACAACACCATGCCCGGCTAATTGTTTGTTATTTTTTGTAGAGACAGGGGTCTCGCTGTCTTGCTCAGGCTGATCTCATACTCCTGGGCTCAAGTGATCTGCTGTCCTGGCCTCCCAAAATGCTGGGATTACAGGCGTGAGCCACAGCACCCAGCCTATGTATCTATTTTGATTCCAGTCCTATATTATCTTTTTCTCCAAAATTTGTTTATTTTAAATCAAGAAATAAGATTATATGTATTTATCATGTATAACATATTTTGAAGTATATATACATAGTAGAATTATTAAATCTAGCTACTTATAATATGTATTACCTCACATAGTTATCATTTTTGTGGTGAGAACATTTAGCATCCACTCTCTTAGCATTTTTCAATACAATATATCATCATTAACTTGTAGCAGAAGTAGAGAGTAGAATGGTGGTTACAAGAGGCTGAGGCAGTTGTGGGGGAAGGTTGGGGAAATGTTGGTCAAGGGATACAAAATTACCGTCCAATACTATCTTTATTACTATAGCTTTGTAGTAAGTTTCAAAATCAGGAAGTCCAATTTCTGTAACTTTTTATTCTTTTTCAAGAACACTTTAGCTATTCTGACTCTTCCATTTTCACATGAATTTTCAAATCAGCTTGTCAATTTCTGTAATAAAGGCAGCCAGGATTTTTATAAGGATTGCATCTAATCTTTAGCTCAATAGGGAATATTGCCCTTTTAACATTATTAAATTTTCCAGTTCATAAACATGAGCTATCTTTTCATTTATTAGGTACTTAATTTCTATTTATTTATTTTATTTATTTATTTATTTTTGAGATGGGGTCTCACTCTGTCACCCAGGCTGGAGTGCAGTGGCACAATTACGGCTCACAGCAGCCTCCACCTCTTGGGCTCAAGCAATCCTTCCAACTCAGCCTCCTGAGTATCTAGGACTACAGGCATGCACCAACACACCTGGCTTTTTTTTTTCTTTTTTGGTAGACAGGGTCTTACTATGTTGCCTAGGCTGGTCTCGAACTCCTGGGCTCAAGTAATCCTCCTACTTCAGCCTCTGAAGTGCTGGGATTACAGGTGTGAGCCCCTGTGACCAGCCCTTATATTCCTAATTTGTTTAATGGTTTTTCATGAAAGGGAGCTGAATTTTTGTCTAATCTTTTTCTTCATTTTTTTAGGTGATCATGTAGTTTCCGCTCTTTATTTTATCAGTATGGTGTATTTCATGTACTGATTTTTATACATTGAACCAACCTTACATTCCTGGGATAAATCCCACTTACTCATTCTTTTCGTTGTTTTGTTTTTGAGTTGGGGGTCTCACTGTATTGCCCAGTCTGGAGTGCAGTGGTGCAATCATGACTCACTATAACTTTGCCCTTCTGGGCTCAAGCTATCTGCTTACCTCAGCCTCTCACGTAGCTGGGACCACAGGCTTACACTTCCACACTGGGCTAACCTTTTGATGTTTTTAGAGATGAGGTCTCACTACGTTGTCCAGGCTGGTCTCAAACTCCTGGACTCAAGCAATTCTCTCATCTTAGCCTCCCGAAGTACTGGGACTACAGGCATGAGCCACTGCACCCATCCATTCATTGTTAATCATCCTTTTTATATGTTGGTGGTTCAGTTTGTTAGTATTTGGTTGGGGATTTTTGCATCTATATCCATAAAGAATATTGTTCTGTAACTTCTTGTCCTATGATGTCTTTTTCTGGTTTTGGTATCAGGGTAATACTGGCCTCATAGAATGAGTTGGGAAGCATTAATTCTTCTTTGATTTATTGGAAACATTTTTAAAGGATTGCTGTTAATTTTTCATTAAACATTTGGTAGAATTAACCATTGAAACCATTTTGGTCCTGAGCTTTTCTTTGTAGGAATTTTTCTATTATTAATTCAATAACTTTGCTTGTTATAGATCCATTCAAGTTTTCTCTTTTTTTCAGTTCTTTTTGGTAGTTTGTGTCTTTTTAGATATTTGTCTAGTTCATCTAAGTTGCCTAATATTTTGGGCATAGAGTTGTTCATAGTATTCCATTATGGTATGGTTAATATTGAGTGTCCACTTGATTGGACTGAAGGGTGCAAAGTATTGTTCCTGGGTGTGCCTGTGAGGGTGTTGCCAAAGGAGATTAACATTAGAGTCAGTGGACTGGGAGAGGCAGACCTACCCTCAATCTGGTGGGCACCATCTAATCAGCTGCCAGTATGGCTAGAATACAGCAGTCGGAATAACGTGGAAGGACTTGACTTGCTGAGCCTTCCAGCCTTCATCTCTCTCCCATGCTGGATGCTTCCTGCCCTCGAACATTGGACTCCAAGTTCTTTGGCTTTTGGACTCTCGTACTTACACCAGTGGTTTGCCAGGGGCTCTTGGTCCTTCAGCCACAGACTGAAGGCTGCACTGTCGGCTTCCCTACTTTTGGGGTTTTGGGATCGGACGGGCTTCCTTGCTCCTCAGCTTGCAGATAGCCTATTGTGTGATTTCACCTTGTGATCATGTGAGTCAATTCTCCTAATAAACTCTCCTTCATATATACATCTATCCTATTAGTTCCGTCCCTCTAGAGAACCCTGACTAATACACCTTATAATCCCTTTTGTTTCTGTAAAGTTGGTAGTAACATCCTCTCTTTTATTTCTGATTTTATTAGTGTTCTCTCTCTGCATCCCCCTCTCCCTAATCTGTCCAGTTAAAGGTTTGCCATTATTTTCGGCCTTCAGAGAATCAACTTTTTGTTTCGCCCCAGGGCACCCTGGAAGGAGGAGCTCTGTGCTGAGCTCAGAGCCCTGGGCTGGCAGTGAGGGACTCTGGAGCACAGGCCGAACCAGGCCCAGGCCAGGGGAGATTCAGGGGTCACCTAACCTCTCTGTCCTCGCCCTCCCTAAGCTCAGACACAGAGGTCTGGGGCAGCTCATGACTGCCTCCAGGCACTTGGACTGGGCAGGTGGAGCTGGATAACCCAGGCCTGGCTCTTTCCCAGACACGCGGGGGCCTGTCATCTCCCCTCAATCAACACCAGTCAGTGTGCCAGCCTGATGGAAGGCTGGGCCCCAGCATCCACTCAGTAGACCCCCCGGGCCATGACAGTGCCACAGGTCCCATTTGACACCCAGGATGGGTCTCTGGACTGACCTTACTGGCCCATCTCAAAGGGGCCAGAGGTTTTCTGCTGCAGGCAGATGGAGCACCCCCCGCCCAACCCCTCGGGGAGGTCTGCCTGCCCAGCCCTAACAAATAGGTGGGGTCACCGTGGACAGAGCACTTGGTGACCGTAGTGGCACAGACGCCCAGAGCAGGATGTCCACCCCGGTGCCCCACCCCATTCCTGCCCTCCAGATTCCAAAGGTCACAACATGCAGAGAGGAGATGAGCAAAGGCAAGCCTGCCTCTGACACAGCCCCACACCCCACACACAACAGGCGAGGACAGGAGTGCTCCCCTCTGCCCAGCTTAGTCTCAGTCCTCAGCCCTGGAGCTTGCTTCTCCCTGGCTAGGCCCACTTTCCTCATCTGGAAAAAATGGGGTGGGCCCTGGTTCTAGGGTCCCTTCCTTCCAGAACGCTCTGCTTCTGTGAGCTCCTCTGTGTGTTCCCATGGGGGTGGGGCATCTGCAAGTCCAGCATGCACAGGGCTTCTGCAGAGCACGGGGGTGGGGGTGGCATGATGGTCCTCTGAGGATGGGGGGTACCTGGGGCCAGGGGAGGAAAGTGAGAAAAAGGAAGGGTGGGGAGCCTGGGGGAAAGGCAGGGAAGGGGAGGGCTGAGGCTAAGCTGCCCCACTCCTGGAGCCCTGGTCTCTGCCCCCAGCGTTGCTCCCGGCTCACCTTGGGGCTATGGGTACCCAGAGTCCTTGAACAGCCCTCAGGATCCTACCTCCTTGTCTGGGATCCTTACAAGTGTCCCTCCAGGGCTGCAGCTCCCAAGAAAAAACCTGGGAGGGGGAGGAGAAGCGGGAGGAAGCAGAAAGAGAGGCTCTTCCTTCCCATCTGCCAGCTCCACCGTCAGCTGCCACGGCCTGACCCCACACTGCCACCAGACCTGGCGCCCTGGAAGCTGGAGGGCTGCTTGTGGAGTGGTGTGTGGCTTTTATACGCCCTGCCCCCAGCCTGGCCCAGCCCAGCCCTGTGAAGAGGGGTCTCTAGGGCTTGACAATGTCAATTCAGGCTGGCTGAGCCTGTCCCTGGCCAACCACCCCCCTGTCTCCTGACCTTGAAGGGCAGCCCTCAGAGGCCCCAGGATGACATCCGAGAGGGCATGGGATGTGTTCGGTTGGTTGAGGGCCACTCAGCAAAGGGCTCTGGGCTCAACTTGGCCTTGGAGCCCGTCTACCCTCTCAACAGACCTTTCCTCAAGCACAGCTCCCCGCTTTCCCCTCCATACACACACACTTACTAAGCAGGAGTTCTGATTTGCCCTCAGCCAGGGCTGGAACTTCCCCACACACATGCATCAGCTGGTCCCGTAACATCAGTAGGCATGGGCATATACCAGAACATGCGGCACATCTCATGAAAGTGTGACTCCTTTATGTTATTCACCACATACTTTTCACGTACACTATAGGCAGGTCTCCACATGGCACCTTGTGTGTATTTTCATCTTTATTTTGTACTTGAGGAAACTGAAGCTTAGAGACATGAATGTGAATGGCAAAGCTGGGCTATGACTCCCAAGGCCACGCAAACTTGATTCCAGGCTCAGAGCCAGAGGGAGATGGGGAGCGTATGGTTTGCTGGAACTGTCTGTGAACCCCTCTGCTCCCTCCGTATGAGATTTCCTCATCCTGTGGTGTAGATTGGCAGAGGGCTCCAGGTTGGGGCTGCAGGACTGTACCCCTCCTCTGTTCTTCTCCTTTTCCTTGATTAGCCCTGGGTCTGGCTCTTACACTCTGGGGATGAAAGCAGGATAGAAAAGGTGGAATGGGAAACAAATCATGGAAGAAAGCTGCAAACAGTCCAAAAGGCAGCATTCCTCCATGGGTAAGCAAAATGGAATGATCTGATTGTTACACAAGGTGGCCTGTAGTGTAAAATAATTTACTGCAATGTCAAATGCCTTTTTGAAAAGTTCCAGATGAGGAATAAAAACAAAACAGGCTCAAATGGATTCAAAATTCCAAAAAGTTAGAAAGTGGAAGGCTCCATGAAGTGATTCTCTTTCTTTTTCTCCTTCTACCAAGAGCTTTCCATCAATCTTCCCTGCAAATCAACGCTGTGCAATGAGAAAGGATACTTTTAAAGGTGCTTCTTATAGTATAGAGGGGTTCTCCTGTTTTATTTTGAAGAAGAAATGTCTGAGAGACCAGAATGGAATGATAGAATGAGCTGTGTCTTGAATCCATAAGGAAGCCTTAATTTGAGCTCTAGCTCTGACACTAACCTGCTCTGTTAGCCAGGCCAGTTCCCTCTGGGTCATCATTCTCTTATCTGTGAAATGGGAGTGACGGGGAGATGTTAGGCTAAGTGATCCTAAAAGTCTGTTCTGGTTCTGTAGGTGATGCTCAGCCTGTCTCTTTTATCAAGAGTATAGTTTACTTGTTACAAAATGGAAGCATTGGGTTACATTACTTTGAAGGCCCCTGCCAGTTCTTTCATTTGCGGCCTGAGATGAGGAGACATTCCTGGCTCACCTGTCTCCTTTACCAGCTCCCTACATGAGGCACCATGCTGAATAATTGGTCCTTGAAGCTGAGGGAGAACTCCAGAAGAATGGGGTGTGGGTGTGTCCAGGCCAGAAAGGGAGGAAGAATTATGGCATAGTGTGGGAACTGCAGAATGGAGAGGAAGACAGATGGGTTCAAAAATCTAGCTCCACCACTTCCCAGCTGTTGTGATTTTAAGCAAGTCACATAACCTTTCTTAGCCTTGCTTTACTTGTGGTCAAAACATGCCTTGGGGGATGTTGGAGAGTTCAAGTGAGAGTGAAAGGGCTTAAGAAAGTGTTCATTGCTCTACAAATATCCCGTATGGTCAAGTATGATATTCAGCAGCCACACTCTGGTAGGGGCCCATTCTGATTGGTCAGAGCTTGTGCCACAGCTGTGAAATATTTCAAGTACCACTTTCCGGTGGTACTATTATTACTATTACCATTATTATTATTATTACCCAGGGTTTCTAGAAGGCCACCCTCTTAGAAAAACTTGGAAGACCCTCCTTCCCAAGACCTTGGGAGTCAAGCTTGAGCTATTCCTCCCTCCTTTCCAGAAGGGCTTGCTCAGAAACAGGTAAAGAGCAATTGCCGAGCATGTGTGCTCCTTCAAGCTCTGTGGTTGTCAGGCAGTCCCTAACAGAGCTAGGTTGGAGGATGGCAAACCACAGTCTTAAGTGAGATATGAACACTCTGAACAAAAAAGTTGAAAAGACATCTAAAATTGTGATGAAGACAAGCTCTGGGATGGTTTTCCATGAGGTTTTGACGAATGGGAGAAGCCCCACTTGTTTGTACTTGAGCAAATGCCATGCTCCTTCCATAGAGAGCTAAACAGCCATGCTCTTTAAACTTTCATGTGCATGGGAAGAACCCGGGGAATCCTGTAAAAATGCAAGTTCTGATTCAAAGGTCTGGGTTGGGGCCTGAGATTCCACACTTGTAACAAGCCCCTAGCATATTGAGGAACAAGTGGCTAGGTTACCTCATTGGGACCATGTACCCTGAGATGATTACTTCTTTCTGGAACAAATAATTGAGTGCTAACCTTTGTTTCTCTTCTTCAACTCAAAGGCAGAGCTTAGTAGTGAGGAGAAAGGGGAAGGACAAAGGAGTGGTGACAGAGCTGCAATATGAATGGAGTGAAGTCCTATCTATAAGGGCCTCTCCTATCCATGGCATCTTCCCCTTTCCTGATTTTCTTTTCTTTTCTTTTTTTTTTTTTGAGATGGAGCCTCATTCTTGTCGCCCATGCTGAAGTGCAGTGGCACGATCTTGGCTCACTGCAACCTCCGCCTCCCAGGTTCAAGCTATTCCCCTGCCTCAGCCTCCTGAGTAGCTGGGATTACAGGCACCCGCCACCACGCCCAGCTAATTTTTGTACTTTTAGTAGAGATGGGGTTTTGCCATGTTGGCCAGGCTGGTTTCGAACTCCTGACCTCAGGTAATCTGCCCTTTCCTGATCTTTGAGGGTTCCAGCCAGCATGAAGTGAAGCAAGGCACTCAGAGAAATGGGCTGTTTACCATCTCCCTACCAGCTGACTTGGCCAGTTCATTCATTTCCTTATTCATTCACTAATCCATTTAACCATCCACCCCCCTGTATGGCAGATGCACCTGAGAGTAATAACTTAAGCATACCCTGAGAATGACCTGAGAATGGTCTAAGAAGAATGTGTGCTCAGAGTTCCAAGCTAAGGAATCCAGGAGTGGCCAACCCGGAGATTCATTCCTTATCTATGAGGAACATCTGAACCCCTGGCCCAATTCTTGGAACACAGGACATGCAAGGAACCAAGGCCCTTTGTTTTGGGTTAGATGGAGGTTGCTAGGAGGAGAGTGCTAAGTAAAAATGTTGTATAAACTGCATGCTTTTTACAAATGGTATTGGTTTTCCTGTCGAGCCCACCCCTCCTGGACCACCCCGTATGTAAATCTCCAATAAACCCTATGTCTTGTTTACTGGATCCAGCTCTCTTCTGTGGCCTCTCAGACACAGTGCCATCCCTATTGGAATCAATAGGGGTCTGACATGACACCCAGTCAGTAAAAAGTTACTAAGTATACTCTATTTCAAGCCTTGTGATGAGCACATTCATTCAGAAATGAATCAGATACAGCCTCATCCCTCAAGAAGCTCACAGACTAACAAATAAGTTGCAATTCAGTATGATACATTTTATAATAGAATATTAACAAGATGAAACAGATTCATGAAGGAGGGGGATGTTTACCATTTCTGGGTATAGGATGATGGTTAGAAAGGCTTCATAGGGTAGGAGGTGATACTTAAGATGGGACTTGATGTAATAGTATTTGTCATGCAGATACAGTGGAAATACATTCCAGGCAGAGAGAGGCACCAGCACGCACAAAGGCATTTACTAGTGTGTTAGGCAACCATAAATGGGTGGAATATGGTATGTGTTAGTTTGGATGCTTTCAACCGCAAGTGAGTGGATATCCAACTAAAAGTATTATGAACACATGAACACATTGGCTTATCTCACATGATAAGTAGTCCAAAGGTAGGTGGTTCCCAGGCAGGTTCAGTGGCTCAATGATGATGTCATCAAGGATTCAGAGGCTTTCTTATCCTTCCATTCAATCATCATTGATTTGTCAATGACATCTCTCTCTCTTTTTTAAATTAAAAAAAAATTTTTAGAGATAGGGCCTTGCTCCATCACCCAGACTGGAATGCAGTGGCATGATCTTTGATCTCTCTTTTTGATTGCAAGATGGTTATTGTGTTGCATGCAGGCTCAACCACATACAGTGAAGAATGAGAGGACCCCTTCATTCCATGTGTGTTCTTATAGCAGGCAGGAAAACCTTTCCCGGAAGCTCCCCATCAGACATTCCTTTCCCATGCCCTAAATGCAAGAAAGGCTAGAAAGGTGAGTTTATGGCATTTTTAGTCTTTATAGTGGGGAGCTGTACCACAAGGAAGTGATGGCAGGACAAAAGTCTGAAGAAGTCAGGTCCTGAAGACCCTGTTTGCCTGGCTAAGAATTTTGCATTTTCTTATGCAGGCTATTGGAGAGAAATTGGATCACAGGAGTAATACAATCAAATCTGCATTTTGGAAAGATCATATTGCTAGGTATATACATATGCGTGAAAATATATAGAAAAGGCCTGGAATGATCAATGTCAAATGATGATTATCTCTGAGGAGGGCAGTGGGCTTGGCAGAGGTGAAGGGGGACGTGCACTTTTTACTCTTTAGCAATTATTCCCAATGGGGGGAGATTTTGCCACCCATGGGATATTTTCTCATGTCTGTAGATGTTTCTTAGTTATCACAGCTGGGAGAGTGCTGCTGGCATCTAGTGGGCAGAGGCCAGGGATGTTGCTAAACATCCTACAAGACACCGGACAGCCCTCACAACAAAGAATTATCCAGTCCCAAATGTCAATAGTGCTGAGGACGAAAAACCCCAGTCTAAAGAAGTCTATAGACTTCTTTATTATTAATATTGTTTGCTACAAAAAGCTACTCATGTAGTATTTATGTTTTTAAAATGTTTAAAAGCACAATTGCCTTACCCACAATTTGTAAGCAATGTTGGAAAGCAGATTGGAGGGGTAGAGGGTGGAGGCTGGAGGCAGGGAGAAGAGTTAGGAGGCTGTTGCAATATTTAACTGAACGGCTTATTTTCTTTATGCTGCCAGATGAAGTCCCTCTCCTCCCAAGGGCCTCTCTCTGTGTGAGACGGCAGTAAGCCCCTCTCCCCACTAGTGGCTCGACCTAGTGCAGCTTGGCCTTCTTCTCTGAGGACCTCAGGTGGACCCAAGGAACCCATCCCATCCCAACACTGTGGCAATATATGCTCACCTTTGACGCCCAAATGACTAGACCTTCCAGACAATTAGGCCCCACCGGAGTGCATAATTCCAAGTTAGAGGATTCTAGGAGGAAATAATGCATTTCCATGGTGTTTTTCAATTAAAAAAAATTAGAGGCTTTGACTTGTTTAATCCTCAGGATTAAGAACAGCTGAAGACCAGCGAGAACAGTACTGAATTGTACCCAGGTGTTTGTATATTTAAAACTCATGTGTGAGTTTCATTTGATTTAAATGTTTAACTTAGTAGAAGCTGATGTTAAAGCCAAGCTGCTCTCATAGAGTTCCAGTCTTCTGAAAAAGGTATAAATGGGTTGAAAAGCACAATGCTCTCCTTGTCTCAGTTCACCTCTCCCACAGCCAGCTTAGCTACTGGGACTATGATAAATCCCCCCTCCATTTGCATAGCACTCACAGAGCCTCAGTTGCTCTGACATCCTTTTTATCATTTCATCATAAAAATAACCACTTAGAAGGTGCACAGGACAGAGACTTTTATCCAGATTTTTCAGAATAGGAGACCTGGAGTGATGCAGCCTGGAGTGATGCAGAGATTTGCCCAAGATTTCCAAGCTATAAGGGGCTGGGCTAGGACTATGAGGTATGCCTACTGCCTCTCAGCCTAGTCTTCCTTCCCTTCTGATATAAGGGTCTGATTTTCTACATATTTACTTTTTTTTTTTTTAATATAGCTTGTCTTCCCCACTGGAATGTAAGCTTCAGGAGGGCAGAGACTGTGTTGGTCTCATTTACTATTGTGTCCTCAGTGAGTGGAACAGTGTCTGGCATATAATGATAAATATTTGTTTAACGAATAAATGAAATGTATACATGCGAGAATTGAACTCCACAAAGAAGTGCTTTGTCCCAAATCCCATGGCTAGGTGCTGCTTCAGACAGGACTGGACCCTATGTCCTTCTTCCTCCTAATTGCCAGGACAGTGCTTTCCCTGCTCGCATGGGGTCAGGACTTAGCTCTAAAACTACTCTCTGTCGATTTGGGGGCCAGGACACTAGAAGAGGGGCAAGAGGCTTGGTGGTCAGGTCCCAGTGCCAACAAGCTGATGGCAATTATTGCAGTCTTGAGAAAGGCCACTGTGCCTTTGATAGAGAAAAGCTCTGGTTTGGGCCACAAGCTGAGCCCCTAGGCCTGGCTCAGCCCCTTGGGGCCTGGCCCCAAGGCCACTCAGTAGTCTGGGGAACTGAGGTCATCCACATGGAAAGTGTTTAGAGTGGTGTCTGGCACATAGTAAGTGCTCAATGCATGTTAGCTGTGGTTGTGGTTATTTTGTTAGAATTCATCATTATACTTTCTTCTTATTGTTCTGTTGTTATTTATTTTATTTTCACCATCTCATCATTGCTCTTATTACTCTTAGTTTGCTTTTTTCTCCTTCCACATATTTCATGCATTTTTCTTCCTCCAGCTCTATGGATTGATGGTATATAGAGAAATGGAAGCATATCAGCCCAGCAGTGGCTGCTTGTTCCAGGTCTTATGGTTCACCAAGTCACCAAGAAGGCCACAACTTCACAGCTCAGGGCTTGCTTTTGCTGAGGCTGGGCCTCTTGGGAAGCCTTCTTGCCACTATAGCATGGTCTGAGTCGAGCTGTACAAGCTGTGTTGTGTCAAATACAGGGGGGCAGGCACTTTTGGACTGGCCTTTGCCCTGTGGGATGTCTACTATCTAACCTTGCCTGGTGCCCAGTTGCTGCTCATCTCCTTCCCCCATAGCTGAGAACTTCTGACCCCACCTTCAGGCCCAGCTCCATCTCTGGCCCCCATGATGACACTTGGTCAGCCCTGGGCCCACCTGCTGGCCTCCACATCAGACTCTTGCCGTGGTTTGGCCCTGGCCCTATGCCCATGTTCTAGTCACTGGGCTCTGACTGGAAATAAAGACCAAGTCCCCACCTTGCCCACGCCAGCTCTGATCCCTGGGTTCCATCCTTGGTAAAGTGATAGCTGAGCTCTGGTTTGCTATTGCTGATCCCCTCACAGACTTAAATCTGGCCCCTTTTCCCCCAGCAAGGTCTTGCTGCCACCTGCCCCCACCCCCCTGCCCACCCCAACTGTCCCCTAGAGTATTTGGCGTCACCCATCCCTGGACTCCTCGTCAGTTGCTGTGTCCTCCCCAAGACATTGTGTGAGACTGAAGACTTCTGCTGTTCCCTTGGGCATCCCCACTTCTGGCTATTGCCTCAGCTCTCTAGAGAGCCTGTTCTGTCTGTTCTGTCTCTTCTGCCTGCCTGACTGCAAGTATAGCAAAGCCTGCCCAGGTCCTTCCATCTCTCAGGGCATCTGGGCTTGCTTCAGCAAACTGTGGCCATGATAACCCATAATAGGAAATCTGACTACCCACCAAGGCTAGCAGGGGCTTCCAGCATTAGCTGACACTAACTTGGGCTCTCCCTGAGCTCTGTTAGGCCTTGAGACATGCCATTGGGCCATCCAGGGGCCCTAAGAGGAGGCCCAGAGTGTCACTGACCCAGACCTTGCTCCAAGCCAGTCTGTTTCTTTCTCCCACCCCGTTTCTCGGTCCCCCTCTCCCAATATTTGACTCCTCCCTTCCCCCCCACCCCCAACCCTGCTCTCTCAGCCCTGCCAGGTTCTGGCTGACCTGTTAGAGCCAAGACGACAGCCCTGATACCAGAGCATTTGGTGCCACCACCTTGTGCATAAATTGCTGGGCTGATGATAACCTACAATCCTACTGACAGATGCTTATGGGATTCAGCCTCCAGTTGCCACCACTTCCTGTGAGGCCCAGCAGGATTGGCCTGTTGGCAAGTGGGCCTCTTGGAGAGGTAAAGTGGGTTGGCCCAGGGTGGAGGCTGCCAGCTCTGGCTAGGAAACATAGCAGAGCCTGGTCCTTGGGGATCTCATATCCCCTGCCCTGACTCTAATTCTCAGTACACCAAGCTGGTTGGAGTAGAAGCCACTGGAGCTAGGAGGTGCTGAGTTGACCTACTTATGGGCAGTAGCCACTGTGGCGGGAGGCAGGGGCCTTGTGTTCCTGAGCTGGGAAGTCAATATTTCGCACCTCAGGCCCTGCTGAGTGGAAGACCAGACTTTCCAACATCAGGAATTTCACTTCTCCAAGGGGTATCTCATGTCTTTTCTAGAGATCATGCTTAGGCCTGCCTCAGTGTCAGGCCGTTGGCCTTGATGACACACCAAACACCAGTCTCCATCCCATCCCAAGAAACTCCTACAAGGCAAGGGACATTTTACACACACACAAAAATGATCAGCTGCCTCCTATCTGCCAGAACTCCCTGTAGTATGGGCATTTGACATGGAGCCTTCTGGAAGCTGGGAGAGGAATGGAAGGGGAGTTCCAAAGTCTTTTATAGAAATGGTTGGGCCTCACTGGTGAGGAAAGCTGAGGGAAGGAAGGGACTCAGGAACTTAATAGTATAAAGGTATAGCTTACCTCTCTGGTATAATCACTCTTGAACCAGTCACAAAGAATACTGAAGCTAGAAGGATACTTAGAGCCACATAGCCCATTGGTTTTCAAACTTAGATGTTCATCAGAATCACCAGAGAACCAGATTCTTCTCCCTAAGGTTCAGATTCAGGAAATTTGGGGAAGAGCCTGGGGATCTACACTTTGGAATATAGTTGTGCACTGGGTTTAGGAACCATTGGTCTAGTCCAGTGCTCTCACATTACAGATAGGGGAAACTGAGGCTTAGAGAGGCAAGTTTGCAAGATCATCCGGCAATGACCTAACCTGATGTTGAGGGTCCTGTGTGATCTGATTCTAATCTGCCCTTTCTCATTCTAGTTTCCCATTTATGCATTCTTGGGGTTGCTGTATAAAATATAGGACACCAGTTAAAGGTGAGTTTGACACACTTGTATTAAAATTTATCTGAAGTCCAACTTTAACTGGGCACCTTGTACTGTTATTTGCTCAGTATTGCGATTCTATGAACCCTATACTAGAGACATCTTGAATGAACTTCTTCATATGTAATTTCTGAATTCCTACTTTTAGACCTTTGCTTATGCTGTTTCTTCTGTCGAGAATACTCATCCCATCACTTCCCCAAAACCTGCTCATCAACACGAATGCCACCTCTTCCCTCAAGCTTTCTTATTCCTTGAGTTGACCTTCATCTAGCCTCCAATAACACTTTCTCTGACTCTCTGCTTCCACCCCCTCATGCTGTATTTTGGATCAAGGCTCTTTGTCTGGTTGGCTTAACTCTCCTGTAGAGCATGAGTCAGCCCTTTGCCAGGGTGGGGGTCATATCTGAACAGATGGCAAAGTGTAAAAGAATGGGTTCTGGAGTTGGATGGCTTTTGTTTGAACCCCAGCTCTCTCACCTACCAGCTGTGTGACCTTGAGCAAGATTTCTTACCTCTCTGGGACTCAGTTTTCTCATCCATGAAATGAAAATTATAAGAATAATTTCTTCATAATGTTACTGTGAAAACTAAATGAGAGTGCTTAGAATGGAAAGAGGAAACAAAAAATGCCCAATAAATCTTAGCAATTGTTATAAATCATCATCATCATCATCATCATCATCATCATCATCATCATCTCTGTATCCTCAGCGCCAAGCACAGAGTGGTAATCAGTAAGGTCTACTGAATGAACACATAGGTGAAAGTAAAAGGCCTGGATATAAGATCCTGTGACCTATTAGCAGAAGGCGCTAGATGCTAATGTGTATAGCTCTGCACTGAAAATACACATGCCTTGGAAAATCATGTTCCCTCAGAAGAAAGTTTCTGCCCTTGAGGAGCTGTGTAAAATACCACATTTCTCTCTAAGAGAATAAGCTGTTGTTTGGAGATTGTTACACAAATGTTTGTCTCGTAGGAGCACTTCTATGCTTTTATTCTCTAAGGTAATGATTGGAAATGGAAATCAAGACTTGTGCCTTTCACAAGTCCCTGCCTTCCTGTGGAATGCTAGAAACTTTATTTTCTTTCCACCAAGCTTAGCTCTTTCCCTCTGTTATAGTGGAATGCATTAATTGAAAGATTGGCATATGCTCAGAAACCAGGAAAAAAATGATGAAATACAAACACCAAGTTCTGTCCAAGTTTACTTTTCTGATTCTTCACTATTACTCCTGTAATGGTTAATTTTAGGTGTCAACTTGACTGGATTATGGAACACCTAGAAACCTAGTAAAGCATTATTTTTGGATGTTTCTGGAGGAGATCAGGGTATGAGTCTGAGTGGACTAGGTGGGGAAGATCCACTCTCAATATGAGCGGGCACCAGCCAGTCTGCTGGAGGCCTGCAGAGAGCAAAAACAGAAAAGGCAAATGTGTTGATTTACCCGCTGGAGCTAGCATACAGTCTTCCTCTTCTGTCCTTGGACATCAGAATTCCAGGTTCTCCAGCCTTTGAACTCTAGACTTACACCAGTGCTTCCTCCACAACACCAGGGTTCTCAGGCCCTTCAACCTCAGACTGAGAGTTACACCTCAGCTTCCCTTGTTCTAAGGCCTTCAGATTTGGACTGAGCCATGCACGTTACCAGCATTCTAGGGTCTCCAGCTTGCAGACCTTGCAGACAGCCTGTTGTGGGACTTCTCAGCCTCCATAATTTCATGAGCCAATTCTCCTGATAAATCCCTTCATATATATATATATATATATATATATATATATATATATATATGGAGAGAGAGAGAGAGAGAGCTTAAATGAGCATAAAATAAACAGGTAGAGATTGAAATAAAAGGAGATGAGAGAGGTACTTTTCTAGTGCAATGAGATGTATTATTCTCATCTGAAATCACTTATGATTTTTATTGGAACAAGGCACCCAGCAAATTGCCTGGCAGAGAGTAGATGTCAAATAAATATTTGTCGAATGGATGAATGGATATCATTGAATGAAAAGTAGAATGTAAATAGATAAATAAATCATTTTTAACAAAATAAATGAGGAAGAATTCTTCTAATATTTTCCTGCCTACCATGTCCCTGTCTCAATGTGGAAAAGTGACTGATTTGGCCCTGCCATGGGAACCCTGCCTGAACTGTGGTGTAAGTAAATACCATTTATAGTCACCTCTCTTAGACTCTTGAAGCTATTAGGAACCCAAGTGGTTAGCTAAGCCAATCTTTTTCTAGTATGCATCTAGTGACAGGAAACTCACTACCTCATTGGCATCCATGCTATGATTCTTGGATGCTCTAAAAATATCTGACTGCTGCATCAATTACAGGTCTAGTGCTAGGACGCAAGCCTCTCTATCATCCAGACTCAGGTACTCTCCAGTGTATCACAGCTGCCGCCCTTAGAATATATAGCTGTATTTTATTCAAAGGCGGTGGGAAAATAACTTTCCTAGGAAGCAGGAAACCTGGATCCAACTCTGAGCTCTGCCACTGCCTTGCTGTGTGAATTTGGGTATTCTCCTTCCTTATTTGGGCCTCAGTTTCCTTTTTTTGCACAATGAGGGGGGTTTCAAACAGGATGCTCTGCAAGACTCTTCCAGCTCAGATGTTCCAGGACTCTCTAATGAGGTCTAATTAAGATCTTCTAATGCAGTGGTTCTCAAATTGTGGTCCAAGAATCCCTGGAATGCCTGGGCAACATAGTGAGACCCCCATCTCTAAATATATTTATATATAATAGAATATATTCTATATACTATATAGTATATAGAATATATTCTATTATATATAGTATATAGAATATATTTTATTATATATAGTATATAGAATATATTTTATTGTATATAGTATATAGAATATATTTTATTGTATATAGTATATAGAATATATTTTATTGTATATAGTATATAGAATATATTTTATTGTATATAGTATATAGAATATATATTAAATTATTAAATTACATACAGTATATATTATATATATATATATATATATATATATATATATATATATATATATATTAGTCAAGTGTAGTGGCGTGCACCTGTAGTCCCAGTTACTTAACAGGCTGAGGCAAAAGAGTTCGAGGCTACAATAAGCTATGATCGTGCCACTGCACTCCAGCTTGGGTGACAGATTGAGACCCTGTCTCAAAAGAAAAAAAGAAAGAAAGAAAGAAAAGAATCCCTGAAGGTCCCTGAGAATCTTTCCAAAGGTCAAGGTCAAGGAGGTCTTTTCAAACTAACATATCTGCAGGAGGCAGAATTTTCTTTACATACTTCAATACACAACAGAAGCAGCTAGCTTCTGAATCCAGCCAAACATCAAAGAGAATAACAACAAATGTAAAATCTCCCCACTCTTCTCGGTAAATTTATTTTTGTTTTGTAAAATATTGTTATACTTCATAAAATATTAAAAATATATTCTAGAATATATTATTTATATTAACATGTTTAATCTTTAAGCATGACTTTGACAACGAACGAATCAATCAAGCAATATTCCTTAAATGTTTCCATCTTAATTTCTAATATAGTTAACATGGATAGATGTAACCCACGTAAATAAAAACTCCATCAAATCATTCATAACTTTTAATGGTGTACCGCGGTCCCGTTTAGTAGGTCTGACTTCCTTTCTCATTCCATATAGTTTTCTCTCTGGTCCCCCAATGGTCACAGATGTGCTCTGCTCAATATCTGGCACAGGAATGGACACAGTGTCTCTGGGAGGGAGGCCATTCTTCCTTCCTCATGGGCCTCAGCCATAATGGGCCTGTCTTCTCCTTCACCTGGGTTCCTTGGCAAAGACCAGTGACTTGGGCCTTAAACAAGACACCCTCTTGTGGGCAGTGCCAGTTCCCAGGTGGAGAAATCAAGCAGCTGATCAGGCGAGGCTTGATGTGCTAGCCTCCCTGCTTGCCTGTGCACAGTTGCCCAGCCCCTCTGGGTTCCAGCTACGCTGAATGATACACTCTCCATATCCGCCACCCAAAGAAAGCAGATTTCATTACTGCTATGCCAGTTGTGTCAGGCCTTGAGTGTGAGGCAAGGGAGAACCTGCCTGATTCAGATCCCCCATGGGGTATATGGGGAAGAGGGATATGAGGAGGGAGGACTTGTGTTAACTGAGAGAACCCACTTCACATCAGGTCCTGCATGTTCCTTCTTCCTTTTTTTTTTTTTTGTTTCTTTTTTCTTTTTTTTTTTAGACATTTGAGACGGAGTTTCGCTCTTGTCGTCCAGGCTGTAGTGCAATGGCGTGATCTCGGCTCACTGCAACCTCCGCCTCCTGGGTTCAAGCGATTCTCCTGCCTCAGCCTCCTGAGTAGCTGGGATTACAGGCATCCACCACCATGCCCAGCTAATTTTTTGTATTTTTAGTAGAGACAGGGTTTCACCATATTAATCAGGCTGGTCTCGAACTCCTGACCTCAGGTGATCTGCCCATCTCGGCCTCCCAAAGTGCTGGGATTATAGGCGTGAGCCACCGCGCCGGGCCTGTTCCTTCTTTCTTAATGACAAACCTGGGAGGTGAGTAGAGATCTTTATCCTTATTCTCCTATTATAGCCATGGAAACCAAAGGTCCCAGAGGTAATGTGACTTGTCTAAGGTGGTTATGCAACCAAAAAAGTAGCTGGGCTTGGATCTAAAGTCATATCTAATAATGTCAAATCAATGCTCCTTCTGCTTTACCAGAAGCAGGGAGAGCCAGGAGCGTTCAGGACAAGACGAGAGAGGAAGGGAGCTAACATTTATTGAACATTTACTATGTGCCAAGCATATGTTATCTCATTAACTCCTAACAGCAGTCCCCTTATGTAAGCAGTGACTCTCAGTTTACAGATGAGGAAACAGGCTTAGGGAAGGGAAGTGGCTTTTGTAAGGGTACACTGTTAGGAGGTAGCAGAACCAGGATTCAAATCTAAGTCTGTCTGGCTCCAAAGCCTCTGCTTCTTCAATAATACCAAATGAGATTTATTTTTATTTGTTAATTGTTTATTTATGATGAGACACCATTTCTTAACCCACATATTCATATTTCATAGTTCAGGAACACAGGTCTGTGACCAACTTCTATGTAATTCAACCCAAAGAAATTCTTTATATTCCAAAATCACTTTGTACTCTGAAATGTACCAACCTTCCTCATCTCCTCAAAATCTTTTATGGAATCATAATTTCTGTAAAAATCTGCACATGCCTTCTTCCTTGGTTTGGTCAGAGCAAACATAGAGAGCTGCAACCCTCAGGGAAGCAACAAATGCTCCAATAATATGAAACCCATGTGTCTGAGGTTTCATCAAAGCACTGGAAGCCATGGTAGTTATTATCCTTGATAGGTATGTCAACCTCAACACCAATATCCTTCCTGGCTGATGGAGAATGAGCCACAAATAACATATATTGAGAACGTACTTTATGCCAGACACTATACTACATGCTTTAATTCATTCTGTTTAAACCTCCCAAAGGAAGTAGGTACTATTATTATTCCCCATTTTACGGATGGGCACACTAAGGCAGTAACAGGCCCAAGGTCACCAGTTAAAGAGTAACAGAACTAGTATTGAATCCAGGCAGTCAACTTCCGAGTTCATGGCTTAAAACCACCTCAAGACAAAACTGGTGTGAGAGACCCAGAATTGAAACTGAAGTCTCCTGGTTTCTTAGCTTAATGTGGTGTGCTGCGCACTAATGCCTCCTGAATGAATGCCCAAAGGCACGGCTGACACATCTCCTCCCAGGGGCTGGAATGGAAAGAAGGAGGTGAACTCCAGAGAGTGAAAGACTATGAGGCCATCCTAGGAGGGCAGGCAGCTTTTCCTGTAATAGTTGCTTCCCAGTTCTCCATCCTCAGGTCTCTGGCTGCAGGGCAGGAGGGCATATGCTCAAAGGAGAAAACTCTCTCTGGGCTCTGACTCCTCGTGTTATTCCTCCCCCACATGCAGAGGGCTTCCCCTTATAAGCCTGTGCTCAGCTGGACGTGGGTTGGAAGCCACTTACCTTGGCTCTTGCTGACCATCTTCCCGACACAGCCCAACAGAACTCACATCTGAGACACCCCTGAGGTCGGAGCTAGAGAGAGGGTGAGGTCAGTGATTGCAGCCTCCTTGGTACAAACGAGGAAACTGAGGGTCACAGAGTAAGTTGTAAACAGAGCTGGGGGGACCCTCACAGAGCCTCTGGACAAACCTCCGGACAAAGCCACTGATGAAGAAAGTCCCCGAAGGCAGGTAGAGGCTTGCTTAAAGCAACCTAGGACCTTCCAGGGTCCCAGGACCTGGCTGTTTGCCTGACTAGCTTGGGTCTCTGAAACAGAAGTGAGGCCAGGGAGAGTTAGTTATTCTGGGCCTCATGATGACATGTGCCTCCAGAGACCCAAGCCTGGCCTTTTGCCATGGGGTCCCTGGGAGCCTTCTGGCTACCAGCCATGGCACCCTGCCTTCTGATGTCTGGGGAGGGGCTGAGAGAGGGGGAGGGTCACTGCTTCTTAATGGCTTTCTGCCCAGAAAGCCTCTAGAACTGCCTGCTGCTGACTTTCTTTCCTTTCAGGGCATCCAGAGGGTTCAAGTTTAGATTTCAGGCTAAACTTCTGGGCTTAGAGGGTCCTGAGCATGGGACTGGATAAAGGAGGGAAGCCATCATCTCTTCAGAAGATGTTCAGAAAAGGGCATACACCCAGTCTATCTGAGCTGGGAGAGAGCTGCTGTTATGCCCTGGGGCAGGGGGATGGATGAAATGGCATTTGAGGGCTCAGATTCTCTTTGGGGCAAGACCTGACTTCCTATGGACTCCCAGGAGCAGCAGGGGAGTTCTGAGAGGAACTGTGATTGTCCAGAGTGGAGTTTCTTTGAGACTTGCCCTGTACCTAACCCCAAACAGATTTGATACTTAGAGACCTCTAACCCGGCATCTCATTGTACAGCTGGGAAAACTGAGACCCAGGAGGAAGGGGCCTCTCCGAGATGCCACAGTGAGTCAAGAGTCCTCACTTCAGAGGGCTGGAGAATAATCTACTGAGGCAGGGCCAGGGCACCTGTCTGAGAGGGGCTTCTAAGGCTGCAAGCTTTTCCCCTTCCGTGGACTGCATTCACACCTTGTTCGGTCCTGCTGGGGCCGGGGCTCTCCTTCCTTGCCCCTTTTCCTTGGCACTCTTTCCACAGGCCCTGTGTGGTCTGGGCTCTACCGAGAGGTCCCCAAGGAGAGCTGGCGTGTCAGTCAGCCAAGAAGCAAGCAGGCAGGCAATGCCAGCATGCAGGTGGCGGGGCTGGCAGGGGAGCCGGCAGGAGGGCCGGACACCCGGAGCCGGGGAACTGTAATGTTCAGGGAATTTCAATTGGCATTGCTGTCCCGTTCCAGCCAACTGGCTAACGGTGCCGAGTTTGAATCAGTGACCCGCCTCCTGGTCCCTCCTCCTTAGCCGGCCTCTCTCCCTCCCTCCTTTTTTCCCTCCCTCGGTGGCCTTCCAGGAGGCGGGAGGCGCCCGCTGTCGAGGCAGCTGAGCCCCGGCAACCGCTGCTCTCCGCCTCTCCCCTCGCGGGGCCGGCTCATGGAGCGCAGGGACCGGGCTGGCTCTCGCCGAGCCCCGGGCCTCTTTTAGCCTCGTCCCCAGAGAGGGAGGAGCCGGTGCCCGGCACAGCCCCGCCGGCCCTAGAAGCTCCCCACGCGCCACCATGCCTCTGCTGGACGTTTTCTGGTCTTGCTTCAGGAAGGTGAAGGTAAGTGACTGGCCAGCCCCAGCCCATCCCGCTGCTCAGGGGGGAAGGAGGCAGATGTGGACCACTGCGCACCAGCTGGGAAAACGGACCAGACGGGCTTCTGAGACTACCTGAGGCTCTCGGAGTTAGAAAGGCTTGGGTTCAAGTCTCACCTTTGTCACTTAACCAGTTCTGTGACCTTCTGTTGCATTCCCATACAAACAAGTCTGCTAGTTGGCTCTTTTTAATAAAACTCGCCTCTGTTGCTTCCTGGATCTTGCCACAAAGGCAAGATACTTAACCTCTCTGAACCTCAGTTTCCTCTCAGCTTTAGAATGAGGACCATAGTAACACCAACCTTACGGGGTGATGAGGTTGGTGTTATTGTTTACATAGCAAATGTATGCAAATCCAGGAGATAATGTGTGTAAGCTTCCTAGCAGGATGCCTGGTGTGGAGCATCCACACAAACAATGGTATCTATTATTATTATTATTATTAATTTCTATCCATATATATAAAAGCACATACTCTGTGCTAGGCACCACTGGAGCTACACAAAGACAAAAAAGGGCTGGACACAGTGGCTCACGTCTGTAATCCCAGCATTCTGGGAGGCCGAGGTGGGAGGATCACTTGAGGCCAGGGGTTCAAGACCAGCTTAGGCAACATAAGGAGACCCCCATCTCCATTTTTTAAAAGAAGACAAAGAAGGACATGGCTTTTGTCCTCAAAGAGAATATAAGAAAAGTGACAAATATTTACCAGGCACCTACTATATGCCAGACATTGTGCTAAATAGTCAGTTTGTCAGTAAATATTTGTTGAGTGTCTACTATATCCTGGCCATGGGGGATACATGAGCACAGCCGAACCCACAAGTGTGTGTAAAGCATGATTCCACTCTCAAGAACCAAGAAACTAATATTTATTTAGTATCCACTATGTACCAGACCTAGGCACTTTTAATTCATTCATGTGGCAGTGATCCTCAGCACAACCCATTGTTTTCCTGCTTTTATAGATAGGGAAAAGACACTGTGAATAGTTAAGAAATATTTACAAGGTTGCTCAGATATGACTGGCAGAGCTGGGATCTGAGCTCCTAAGTCCATGCCTTTCTTGACGCTGTGTGGTTTCCCACAGTCCAACCCAGTAGGAAGACTTTCAAACGACTAGCCTGACTGTAAGACAGGATGAAAGAATGCTGGGACCTTTGGGAAGGAAAGATCCATTCCACCGGGAGGGACTTGGAGAGGTTTCACAGGAGGTCACATTTGGGCTGAGCCTGAGGCTTAAAGGAAGAGAAGAGTTTGTCAGTCCAAAAGTGGGGGAAGGGCATTCCAGGCATGCCTGGCAGAGGGAACTTCGTGAGCTAGAGTTTGGAGGCAGTCAAATGGTAGTGGGCTGGGGGAAAGGCTTCTTTCGTGATGTGGCTCAAATGTAGGGTTAGAGAGGATAGGAGCTTGAGAAAGGGAAGCAGAGACTACTTCCCAAAGGGTTTGGAATTAATCTGTGGATTCATGGTCCTCATCTAGTAGGGGTCCTGAATGAGATTTTTCAACCATCTGTGGTGGAATGAGAGAAAAGTAGGGATAATGTCGTGCAGTGTTCATAAAACTAAATTAATTCAACTCAAAGGACTATTCTTTATTTGGAGACTGTTGTGTCCTTCCTGTGGGGGTGGGGATTCAAATGATCTTTCTCCTACAAAATATGAGTGAGAAATTTTTTAAATGTCTGCCCTCAGCAAAATTACAAAGTTTGCGACATGCTGATTGTTTCCCTATTTATTTATTTAAGAACACTTTCCTCATCCATGAAATCTGAAAGTCTGGTGACTACTGTTTTGGGGAATAAGGGGCTGATTTCAGCATAATAGGGATATAATTAAGTGGACGGTTTTAGAAAAAGCACTCCAGCAGTAGTGGGCAGGGATGGTGTGGAAGGGCCCAAGTGGAGATGCAGAGGCCAGGAAGGAGGCAGCTGCAGTGGAAATAAGGATGGGAGAGGAAGAAATGATAGAGAGCTGGATGGAATGATAATGACGAGGGAAGGGAAAATTAAAGTGCCTTTGAGGTTTGACGCCCGAGAGGCACCTCTGTCCCCTACCCCAGTTAACTGTTCTAGGTGCTTGGCATGGATTTAAATCTCTTTGCACTCATTACCCCAACTTCTCAGATGCCCAGAAAACATGTCCTAACCCCTGTCAGCCTCTTGGAAACTGTTGGGCTAGGTTAAGAGCAGTGGCTCATGCCTATAATTCTAGCATTTTGGGAGGCCAATGCGAGAGGATTGATTGAGGCCAGGAGTTCCAGACCAGCCTGGGCAATAATGAGACCCTTTATGAAAAATAAAAAAAATTTGCTGGGCACGGTGATGCATAATGGACACCTATAGTCCCAGTTACTTAGGAGACTGAATTGGGAGGATTGCTTGAGCCCAGGAGTTCAAGGCTGCAGTGTGCTATGATTGCACCACTACACTCCAGCCTGGACTACAGAGCAAGATCCTATAGAAGAAGAAGAAGGAGGAGGAGGAGGAGGAGGAAGAGGAGGAGGGGAGGAGGAGGAGGGGAGGAGGAGGAGGAGGAGGAGGAGGAGGAGGAATAGTAATTATAGGTATGGTGTCACGCCTGTAATCCCAGCACTTTGGGATGCCGAGGCAGGTGGATCACTTGAGTCCAGGAAATCAAGACCAGCCTGGGCAGCATAGTAAGACTGTGTCTCTAGAAAAAAAAATTTAAAATTAGTCAGGCATGGTGATGCATGCCTGTTTTCTCAGCTACTTGTGGGGCTGAGGCAGGAGGATGGCTGCAGTGAGTCATGATCGCACCACTGCACTCCAACCTGGCCATCAGACTAAGGCTATGTCTCAAACAAAACAAAACAAAACAAAACAAAACAAAACAAAACAAAACAAAACAAAACAAAACTGGTGGGCTAGGACAGCCCCAAGAGAAGGTTGAGGATCTCTATCATGGGTCCCAGACGTTTGCACGCATTCACTTATGAGTGTGTCCACAGAGGACATACACGTGCATTTGTGCATATTCAACCCCACACACATATGCACAGGCACACCATTCAAGTGTGCATACACACATACATAGAGACGAACACACATATACCCTGGCACAAACAGGCAAATGCACATGTACACACAGACAGTGCACATTCCTAGCATGATGTAGACTCACACACATATGCATGCATGCATATACAGAGGTAAGCACACAGGCACATCAGATACATACCCTCCTATGCACAAGCATGAGGGACACACAGAGACACAGCCAGGCACATCTCCAAAAAGCCTGTAGACATACAAAAGCATGCACACGGCGTGAAGGTCCACGTGCATGCACATGCATATGCACAGGTCTGTGGTTGCTCATGTCCTTGGCAGATGTGAATCAACACATGGCTGGATCTCAGGGCTAAGAGGCAGCCTGCCGGATCCACACACTTGGACTGCGTGCTCCCTTTTCCAATGCTGCTGCTTTGAGGCCCCAGTCAGAAAGGCAGGCTCTCTGGGCTCGGGAGCTCAGTCAAGGGCACGGGCTGCTGTGAGCCACCCTCCCTCTCTGAGCCAGGCCCCCTGAGTGCGGGAGACTGAGGGGTTTGAGGGGTGGGGAATGGCCGGGACAGATCCTGTCAGAGCTGAAAGGGCCCTCTCAGATCATCTTATTCAAACTTCTCATGGTCCTGATAGGGAAACCGAGCCCCTTCCCTCCCCCACCATATGGAGCCCTTCATCAGCTGAAGAGGTATGAGGAGGGGTGAAGCACACAAACTTGGGTTTCAATTCCACCCCACACCCACAGGCACACATACTAGCTGTGTGCCTTCGAGCAAGTCTTCTCCGAGCCTCAATTTCCTTGTTTGCAGAATGACACTAATCAGTGCCCGCCTCACAGAAATGCCACGAACATTTGGTGGGTGGGTTAAGTCTTTTTTTTTTTTTTTTGACCGAGTCTCGCTCTGTTGCCCAGGCTGGAGTGCAGTGTCTGCTCATTGCAACCTCCACCTCCCGGGTTCAAGCGATTCTCCTGCCTCAGCCTCCCGAGTAGCTGGAATTACAGGCGCCCGCCACCACGCCCAGCTAATTTTTTTTTTTTTTTGTATTTTTAGTAGAGACAGGGTTTCACCGTGTTGGCCAGGCTGGTCTCGAGCTCCTAACCCTAAGTGATCAGCCCGCCTTGGCTTCCCAAAGTGCGGGAATTACAGGCGTAAGTCACCACGCTCGGCAAGGCTGTGTCTTTAAAGTGCCTGACATGGAGTAGGTGGTCAATACACATGATTTGTTGGAAGCAGCTTCCGAAACTGTGTACTAGAGGCACCACAGCAAAGAATGAGGGTTATTCTATATTTGAAAATTCCAGGGTTAGGGTCTCAGGTCCAGTCTGCTCCTTTGCCACAACTCCTCAGCCCTCTACTTTGACTATGCCTGGGTCTAGGAATAGAAGTGATCCATTTGGGAGATGAAGGCTGACACCCCAGAAGCCAGGGATGGTGGGAAGGTGGCAAAAGGCCAGGCCAGGGCTCAGGATTGCTTTGAGCTGCTCTTGTGTTAGGGGCAGCCAAGGGACAAGACGTTTAAGTGTGAGATGAACCCAGTATAAATAGTCCAATACGTGTTTGCTGTGTCTTCCCCTGGAGGCCAGTCAGGGCCCGGAAGGCATCCATGGCCCCTTGGTACAACGAAGCATGCATGAGTCAGTTTCTCACCCGCTCCCCCGCAACACACAGCCACACACCCCACACTCCACACACATGAAACACACACCACACACACACCACAAACACATCACACCATACACACACCACACACCACACACATACACCACACTCCCCCACACACACACCCCACACACCACACACACACACACCACACACCACACACACACCCCACACACCCCACACCCCACACACACCCCCACACACCACACCACACACACACACACCCACACCCCACACACACACACCACACCACACACACCACACCACACACACACATCACACACACCACACACACACACCACACCACACACACACACCACACACCACACACCACACACACACCACACACCACACACACACCACCACACACACACACCCCACACACCACACACACACATCACACACCACACACACCACACACCACACACACACCACACCACACACCACACACACCACACACACACACCACACACCACACACACACCACACACCACACACACCACACCAAACACACACACCACACACACACAACACAGCACACACACATCACACACACACCACACCACACAACATACACACCACACCACACACACACACCACACATACACCACACACACCACACACCACACCACACACACACCACACACCACACACACACCACACCACACACCACACACACACACCCCACACACCACACACACCCCACACACACCCCCAAACGCACACCACACCACACACACACACCCCACACACACCACACACACCACACCACACACACCACACACCACACATACACCTCACACCACACACACACACCCCACACCCCACACACACACCCCACACCCCTCACACACACCATACACACCACACACACCACACACACCACAGCACACACACACCACAGCACACATACACCACACACACACCACACACACACCACACCACACAAGCACACACACCCCACCACACACACACACACCCCACACACCACACACACACCATACACGCCACATACACCCCCCAACACACCACACCACACACACACCACACCACACATACACCACACACACCACACCACACACACACACCACACGCCACACACACACACACCCCACACATCACACATACCACAAACACACACACCACATACACACACACACACCACATACATACAGAACCATTTCTTTGATGTATTCTTTTGCCCCCTTCCAGCACTTAGCATGGTGTTATGCACATAAGGGGTGCCCGGAACACAAATCCTCCCTCATGTTACTCCGCTTCAGGTGGGCATATCAGGTCCTAGAGGGCACTGGCTTGGGAGGTGGGAAATCTGCCTGGAGCGCCATCTCAACCATGACCTCTGGATGACCTTGAGAGGGTCAATTCTCTCTCCTGTCCCTCAGTTCCCTCCTCTTATAGGTAGATAATCATGCAATATCAGAGATGAAAAGGCCCTTGGAGGTCATCTATTCCTCTTTCTCTGTTCCTCTCTCCAAACTACCAGTGAGGAAACTGAGGCCCAGAGAGGGGAGAGATGTGGCCAAGGTCTCAGAGGGCATCAGGACACAGCGGATTCCAATGTGGTCTGTGTAATACACCATAATCTCCCTACTCGTTCTGTGGCAAAATCCAAACACAACTTGTCTCTGGTAAAATCTAAAAGCAGTACTGGGGGAATGTCTCTACACATGCCACACACACACATGCATACATGCACGTATGTGTTAACAACCCTGCCGTACCTACCCACAAGGCTTCTATGGGAGTTAAAGCAAATCATGGACAGACAGTCGTGTGGACTGGGAAGGCTCATAGAGGTGAACCTCCCAGTCGTGGGCCAACATGGGATCCCATGCTTTTCACTAGGCACCATACTCACATACTTAGGTCATGCACATGAGTGTGTATGTGCACAAGGGCTTTCCTGAGCTCGCCCAGGCACACATTCTCAAGCACCATCTCCTGTGAATGCTCTCATCCAAGTATGCATGAGACTTCCATGTGGCTGCTCTTATACATGGCTTCCCAGGCACCTGTTCATATGGGTGTGAGGTTTCACACCCCCTGTGCAGGCTCACATTCATGCACACACACACACACACTCGCAAGTGAGGTGAGCATGCATCCTCCTTATGTGTGCTTGCCCATACCCCAGCCCCTCTCTGCCCCCAGGCCAGCTCTCAGCTTCCCAATCTGCCTAGGAGCAGCCTGGCAGGATATGGGGTGAACGTGTGACGATGATAGGGTGATTCAGCAATTTCACTCCCAGCCTCCAGGATGTCTCTCCTTTTTCATTCCTTTGCCCTTGTCATCCCAAGTAAGTCCAATTTGCCACATGCAGTGTGTATTTGTTGTGGAAGGGGCAGGGGGAGTATAGAGAATTCAGGGGTTCACATGAATGTATACAAACTCCTGGGGCTGGAAAGGGACCTCAGAGACTCCTCGATGCCATCACTACAGAGTTGCCTCTATCACATCTTACCAAAAGAATGGCCAGACACTTGCACACCTCCAGTGATGTGGAGCTCACCGCTTCCTCAGGACACTATTGCAGATCCCTTCGTCAGTCTGATGTGTGTGTGTGTGTGTCTGTCTGTCTGTGAGTGGAAGTACTAATGTACATGTGCACATATGAGACAGTATATACAGCCAGCCACGTCTTAATTACTTGTTCCAAAGAAATAAATTATGACATAAGACTCTCAGGTCATGGTAAAACCACGTAGAGGGGGAAAGGCAAGGGCCTATACTCCATAGAAGGAAGGTTCACTCGCAGGGCCCTTTCTGCAGAGTTCCACAGCCCACTCAAATAACCTGTCAGCTGGGTGATAGGTATTGGCCCCCTATATGTGTGAAAAATTCAGACCGTGGATTGTCCCTGACATGGTTAATTGTAAGATGCCTAGATGCTGGACATATGCTGTGTAACTTTGAGGCACAGGCCCATGGGCTAGAGCAAAATAATAAGTTGTGGTAAGGTTATTGGCATAGATGGAGCTCAAGAGAGTTGTGAGGTGGCTTCTGGGTGATCTAGGAAGCTTTCTGGGACCAGTTTTTGGGACCAGAGTAGAAGGCAGCTTAGTGTTGCCAAAGGAGCACTGGACACAGAGTGAGACTGACCTGGATATTACGTCCACCTCTGCCACATCTAGGCTGAGTGCTCCTGGGCCTGTCACCTCTCCTCAGTGGATAAGACTTAATGGAGTTGCCAGCGAGATGATGTCTGTAAAAGCCTGTTACAAGGTAGATGCTCCATTGAATCTGAATCTGAAGGGATGATCTTTGGAAGAAAAGGGCAAGGAGTGTTTTCAAGGCAGAGTGAGGTTGGAGACATGTGAGGGAAGAGTCATAGATCCAAGGGACTTGTCCTGAGTGGAGGTGTTGGGAATGAATGGAAATGGGAAGAGGAGGAAGAACAAGAGACTTTGAAATTTGTCTGTGGGAGTTTGAACTTCATGTTCTTGATGCAGTGAAAAGACCAAAACATCTACATGGAGTCAAGCCCTTCACCTATCTGAGCCACAACTTGCTAGCTGTGTTGACCATGAGAAAGTTACTTCGCCTTTCTCAAAAGAAGACATTTATGCCGCCAAAAGACACATGAAAAAATGCTCATCATCACTGGCCATCAGAGAAATGCAAATCAAAACCACAGTGAGATACCATCTCACACCAGTTAGAATGGCGATCATTAAAAAGTCAGGAAACAACATCAGGAGAGGGTGTGGAGAAATAGGATCACTTTTACACTGTTGGTGGGACTGTAAACTAGTTCAGCCATTGTGGAAGACAGTGTGGCGATTCCTCAAGGATCTAGAAGTAGAAATACCATTTGACCCAGCCATCCCATTACTGGGTATATACCCAAAAGATTATAAATCATGCTGCTAATAAAGACACATGCACGCATATGTTTATTGTGGCACTATTCACAATAGCAAAGACTTGGAACCAACCCAAATGTCCATCAATGATAGACTGGATTAAGACAATGTGGCACCTATACACACCATGGAATACTATGCAGCCATAAAAAAGGATGAGTTCGTGTCCTTTGTAGGGACATGGATGAAGATGGAAACCATCATTCTCAGCAAACTATCTCAAGGACAAAAAACCAAACACCGCATGTTCTCACTCATGGGTGGGAATTGAACAATGAGAACACCTGGACACAGGAAGGGGAACATCACAGACCGGGGCCTGTTGTGGGGTGGAGGAGGGGGGAGGGATAGCATTAGGAGATATACCTAATGTAAATGATGAGTTAATGGGTGCAGCACACCAACATGGCACATGTATACATATGTAACAAACCTGCACATTGTGCACATGTACCCTAGAACTTAAAAGTATAATTAAAAAAGAAAAAAAGTTACTTCGCCTTTCTGAGCCTTAGTTTCTTGCTCCAAAAAATGTAGATAATAGTACCCAACTTACATGGTTATTATGAAGCTCAAATGAGTTAATATGTATAAAGCTCTTAGAAAAGGGGCACATAGTAAGCATTGCTCATCTTTATTATTTGTACACTGGGGAGAATGATAACTCCTACCTTATAGGGCTGTAGTAAGGATCAAATGAGAATGATCCCAAAGCCTGTTGAGATGTTTATTTGTTGTTATCTTGGACAAAATGTGTGTGTGTGGGGGAGTTTCCTTAGGCTGAGAATAGCCTTAAGTAATTCATTCTTTCACTAGTTCAACCAAGCAATATTTATTCAGGGCCTACTATGTGCCAGACACTGTGTTAGGTCTTGAGGAGATAGGTAATGGTGAGCAAAACTGCTGTAGGTCCTCATCTCATGCAGCTTACTGTCTAGTGGATACAAAATGAGTTTTTCACACTCAACCCCCAAGTGCCCTATTGGTGGGCACGATTGATTTAGTCCAGAAAATTTCAGTATATGAAACTGTTCAATGCGTTAACAGTTTTAGTTAATCTAGAACCTGTGATTGGCCATCCCACCTAGTCCTTAAGGCAAAGGGATAGCCATGCTGAAGTGTGAGTAATTCCTGCAACAGCAAAGTCTGGAACAATCTTAGGCTCAGCCTGGAAATGGGGATGGGGACCCCTCTGCCAAATTTGCCTGATCCGAAGCTCCTAACCCTTGCCCCATCAGCACAACTGGTGTGATTTACTCGAGTCATGTGAGATTGGATAATATTTGTTCTCGGGGGTGGAAGAGATGGGGACGAGCATTGGGAAGGTGAGATGGGGAGTAGGAAGCAAGGCTTCAACTCTGACTTAAGTCTCTTCAGATACAGATTCTTACTTTGCTTTTAGCTTCTTTGATGCCAAAAGGTGTACAAGTGGGAGGTCCCGGCGGGGTGGAGGATATACTTCCTATGGCTATGGTGGAGGTTGGGGGAGGCAAAAATGAGTTGGAAGAGGCTGCAGATTGGCAATACCAGACTTCTCTTTTACCCCTAAAGACTAGAGAAAGTTAGAACTAATACTAGCTAATATTTGCACTTGATCTTAGCCAAGAGGTCAGGAAGTGATACTAGCTAATATTTGTAGAGCACATACTATGTGGTGTACACTGTTCGAAACCCTCCACATATATTAACTCATTTCACCATCACAATAATCCTGCAAGGCAAGCTATCATTGTCATCATCCTCATTTTACTGAAACACAGAAAGGTTTAGAAATTTATCCAAGATTACACAGCTATTAAGTGGTGAATTGGGGATTTTTAACCCAGGTAATCTAGTTTCAAAGTCCACTATGTTCATGTAATCTGTGCTGCATTTCTCCACCTATAAAATGAGGAGGCTGGATTGGTTTATCTCTGAGTCTTTCCAGCTCTGACAGTCTCATTATATTTCACATATACTTCTATGAACTTCCAGGCCAAATGAAAAAAAAATGCTGCTCCCAAATGTCAGTGATTTCCACTAAAGTCCCTCGGGAGGAGAGTGGGGAGCCCAGGCTCAGGGAAAAGAGCCGACACTGGAGCTTGGTCTTCCCAGCAGCCTCTAGGGCCTGAGAACAGCTGGGGACCTGGGAAGCTCTGGGAGCCAGGGCCCGGCCTGCATTTCCAAGTCACTTGTAACAATAACAAGGAGCAGCAGCTCAGGCAGCCTCTGCTGGGATTTGGGGTCAGAGGTTTCACAGTGGGTGGAGGAACAGACCTCCTCAACTCCATCCCTCTGGGCAGCCCTTGAGCTGTTGCTGCTGCTGCTGTCAGGGCCCTTAGAGTCCAGGTCAATCAGCAGTTCCAAGGCTGAGGCTGCCAAGGGGCAGGGGAAAGGAAGTCCTGCACTTGGGGAATGGGAGTTGAGGCCCTGGAAATGGATGCAGGCTGACTTTCCCTGGCCCTTTCCTCTACCTTGGGTTGGTTGCCTTCTGGGAGCTGGAGAGAAGAATGTAGTATGAAGATATAATGTCATAGATGGAAATAGGACACTGATCTAACAGCCCTGGTTCTGCCTCCTCTTCTCTTCTCTAAGCCTCAGTTTCCTTACCTACAACATGAGGAGAATATTCCCCACTTCATAATTGATTGTGATGATGACCTATGTGAAAAGGCCTGCCACACAATGGGTGCTCAGTAAATATGAGTTGAATGTAAAGATAGTTGATTGATTGCTCTAGGTGACCCTGGGCCCATAGCTTGGACTCTGTTTTTTCATCTATAAAATGAGGAAACATTTTTACCTGCCATTCCCTTCATTCCCTGGCTGAGGAGAGCCTAGAATTGGGGACATCCTGTGGAAGTGAAAGGACAGTAGAAAACACAGATGCGACTACCCTCAGGGTCAGGAAGTGGGTTGTTTAAGCAATTTCCTCATTCCTTCTATTCCCGCCCCTGCTCCCACCCCTGGTCAGACTAGTTTAGAGTCTGGAAAAGAAGCTCCATCCCACACTGGAATCCCCGTGTCTCTCTCCTCCAGCCCCTTCCTACACTCACCCTTATAGGGCGCCTCTCCCGGAAAGACTCTGCAGTTCTGGGCAGGAAGGAGGGTCCCTGTTGACTGGTGAGAAAGTCAAGTCTTTGGGATATTACATTCCTGAGATTATCCAGAGAACCCCTGGGGGTTGCAGCTGCTGCTGACTCTCCTCCCTGGCCCTACTCTTGGCCTGCTGTGGACATGAGGACTGTAGGGCCCAAGGCAGGAGAAAGATTGGGGGAAAGGCTCAAAGGCAAAGAGTCAGGCCTGGAGCAGCCCTGCAGGCCAGGTGAGGAGTCAGGATGGGGCAGGAGGAAAGGATGTCCTGGCAGCACTGGCAGGAAGGAATTAAGGGGAAAAGCGTCCGAGGGAGTAGGAATTTTTGCCAAGGGGAGACTTATAAAACCATCAGCATTCCTTAGGCTATAGGTTGGGGGCCCTTTTCGGGGGTGGATGAGTAGGTATTAGATCACAGTCATCCTGGTGGATAGAGATGGAAAGTCAGGCTTTCTGAGAGGCCTTCTGTGAGGCCCACATACTCCAAGCCAGTGTGGGACAGCTTGCACCCTTGGGGGGAGACAGAGGGGAGGTAGGTGTTCTGGGGGTTCCTCAGGAGGCTGTCCCAGATTCTGAGTTCTATAAAAGCCTTCTAGAATTTATTGCTTCCATTGCTCTTTCCCAGCTGGGATTGTTCCTCATCCTCTCCTTTGTGATAGAAGACTAAGAATTGTCAGGCACCTACCTCTCATTTGGTAACAAGTCTGAAGCCCAGCAAAGAATTGGTCAAAGGTACAGGGTCAAGCGCAGAATGTGTCAGTCAGTCCTTCTTGAAACCAGCTCTCCTCTGCCCTTTTCAGGGACAAGATTGGCATCCTCCAGGGCTGTAGCACCCCATCCCCAGCAGACATCACATCCCGAACATGAGCATATGTCTCCAGGTCATTGACATGGGGTTTAAAAGTGGCACCGTGACACCAGTGCTCCAACTTAGGACCTGGTGGCAGGCTCAATTGAGCTTCAGCCCACATACCATCCTCCATCTCTACTCAGCTGTCTCTGAACTGTGAGCTGCTCTAAGAAACCAGCCTGTGTCTAATTGACCCCTGTGTCCTGCGACAACCTGGCTCAAAACAGCCCCTATTCTAGGCCTAGCCTAGAGAAAGTTTGCCAAGTGCATAGAACACACATGGACTCCCATGTACGTACAAGTGGCCAAAGCCACTGCACCCACCTTCCAGCTGAGAGACCCCAAGACAGAGGAGTCAGCTCCAGAGGGCTCATGAGAGCCTGCTTTCCACAGTGGCCATGGTCTGTGCTGGCAAAACTCAGGATAGGCCTGGGGGCGGTGAGAGCCCACTCTGGAAGAAGGGAGGGCCAAGCTGTGAATAGGGCTCTGTGTGGCCCGGCTGAGAAGGCTGGGGGAGGCTGGAATGTGAAGAACGTGCTCTCATGACTGTGGTCCTAGGCCTGGGTCTATGGCACAGGACTGGCTAGGAGTGAGGGGTGGGGATGTTGGAGGTGGTTAGAGAAGGAAGGGAGAGGTGGGGCAGAGAAACCAGGCAAGGCAAGGAAAAAAAGTCTCTCCAGACATCTCCTCAGATACCAGGGCAAGGGCTGGTCCTAGAGCCTGGAGGCTGAGCGAAGAGGATGCTGGGGAGAGTGAGCTCCATCCCAGCCACTTGTGGCTGAGGATGGCCCGGTTCTGGACAAAGCTTGTCCATAGCCTTTGCAGCTTGTCTCCAAACTACACCTCTCAGACCTCCCTACTTCTCACCCAGCAACCATCGTTCTGTTTTTATCCTCCTTTTGGCTCTGGCTTTCGCATTTGCACTCTTTCAACGTGTTTCCCTTTTCTCTGAAAAAACTCATGATCTGCCTTTTATTTTTGCCTGGCAACTGTATCTCCCACTAGACTGAGAGCTCCTCCAGGGCAGGAATCACATCTGCTTTTGTTCATGTTTGCATCTGCAGGTCTACCCCAGTGCCTAGTGGACTGCTCAGAGCAGATGCTCCACAGACTTTTTTGAATTCAACAGGTCTAAGGGGAAATTCATTACAACAGGAAGATTTCCCCCCGTATACCCCCAAATAACTTTTTCCTCTGTTCCTGACTTCAGTTAATAGCACCACCATCCACCCAGTTGCCAGGCCAGAAACATTGGGGTCATCCTTGACTCCTCGCTTATCTTCCCACATCCTATCATTTACTTTGGTTCTACCATGTAAATTGTCTATATATTGGTCCCCTTCTTCCTACCCTAAGGACCACTGCCCAACCCAGAACCTTACCACTAACTCTGGTCTCCCTTTGTTTTTCCTTCTTTCTTTCTTTTCCTTCCTTCCTTCCTTCCTTCCTTCCTTCCTTCCTTCCTTCCTTCCTTCCCTCCCTCCCTCCTTCCTCTCTCTCTCTCTCTCTCTCTCTCTCTTTCTTTCTTTCTTTCTTTCTTTCTTTCTTTCTTTCTTTCTTTCTTTCTTTCTTTTTGGAGTTTCGCTCTTGTTGCCCAGGCTGGAGTGCCATGGCGTGATCTCAGCTCACTGCAACCTCCGCCTCCCAGGTTCAAGTGATTCTCCTGCCTCAGCCTCCTGAGTAGCTGGGATTGTAGGCATGTGCCACCACGCCCAGCTAATTTTTTGTATTTTTAGTAGAGACAGGGTTTTTCTATGTTGGTCAGGCTGGTCTCGAACTCCCGACCTCAGGGGATCCACCCGCCTTGGACTCCCAAAGTGCTGGGAGGCCACTGTGCCGGGCCTCTGGTCTCCCCTTCTCTAGTTTTGCCTAGGCCCCCCATTCCCAATCCATCCTTCACTCAACAGTTAGAGTAACATTCCGAAACATAAATCTGACTACGTTACCTCTCTGTTTAGGCCCCCTCAATGGCTCTCCATTGGGCTCTAGATAAAGTCTCAAGTTCTTAAGATGACCTATAAGGCCCTTCGTGATCTGGCCCCTAACCTGCTGCTTCAGATTCATTTCCCACTCTCTGTCTGGCACTCTGCTCTCCAGCTAGACCAAGGTCCTAAATGTGACAGTTCTGGGAAATGAGATGAACAGACGGGTGGGACAAACCACAGGCTTTGATACATCCTCATCCTTTTCTATTCTCTCCCTTCTACCTGCCAGGCTCTTTGCCCCCTTGTCTTCTTGATGAACAACTGCTTAGCTTTCAAGACCTGTTCTAAACACTACTTCCTTCATGAGGGTCCTTATGACAATGTGCCCCCACTCCCAGCAACAAATTACTCCCTCTGCTCAGTTCCACAAGGCTTTATACTTTCCAATAGCACTCACATTGAATTGTGATGATTTGTGCATGTAATCGACTCCCCCTCTGAGCTGAGAGTTCATCAAGGGCAGGGAATATGTCTGATCTATATGAATCCCTGAGTACCTAGCACAGGACTTAGCTCTGAGGAGGTACCTAATGAATGAGTGAATAAATAAAGGAATATATGAATGAATGACCCACTGGATGAGAAGATTGTCACCACTAATCCTGGTCTTCTTCTAGAGTGGCTGTCTTTATAACTTTTGGATTCTTGGCCTCTGGGTTCAGAACCTCCAAATCAGAGGGATATGTTCTACAACAAGGAAACAAAAAGGGCCTTCACTTTGTAGCAGAAATCTTTGATGCAAAAGTTCATATGCTATCTTCCCCTGTAAGTCTTTCAGCTACCAAAATAGCATCAAGATTAAGGTCAAAAGCAGAGTGGGACTCATGGGCCTGATCCAATCCAGGTTATTCTGGACCTCAGAGAGAAAAAAATAGAGTGCCATAAAATTGGGAGCCCTATTGATCTCAAGCACAGACTTGGTTCTGACATTTACCTTGACCTTGAGCAAATCATTTCACTTCTGTGCCCCATTTGCCTTATGTGTCACATGAAGATAATAAAATCTACCATGCAAGATGGTTGTAATGGCCAAAGAAGGTCACTCATTTGCAACCTATAAATCCCTAAATTTAAGGCCTACTTATCTCCTGAACTATCTGTAATTCTGTTAAAACTATGATGGGTTAGGCTGGTGGAGTGGGGGAGTAGGAGATTTAATAGGACTAGAGCATAGAGTACAGTCTGTCCCACCCATCAGTTCATCTCTTAATTTCCAAGAACTGTCACATTTAAGACCTCACAGGGGCCTGCTTTGTCCTTCTCTTCTACTCTCTCATCCTTTCTCATTCTTCTTTCCTCCCCCTTTGTCTACACTGAGAATTATATTGACTTGCTTAATCATAGTTCCACTTTGTAGCTTTGTAGCAAACTTTCATATCTGTCGCTATTGGTCTTTCTCCTCTGGTCACGCCGATCTCATTCTAGAACTTTTTATCTCCTTCACACTAACATCCCTCAAGGGTCCTGCCAGTGAACACTCGGGAGGACATCCCCCATCCCTCCTCTCTCCTGTGGCCAATTGTGGGCTACGAGGGTGGATCAGACCTTTAGTCATTTTAGGGTAATCTAAGGCTGAGACAAATCTTTTAGGATTAGGAAGCATTGTGGTCAAGTGTCTGCACCTGGTATGGCAGTCATTGTGCAGAGGGTAAGAGATAGACACATACTATGGCAACTATTTTCCTGATAACCACTTGGTTGGTTTAGAGGCTGGCTGTGTGAAAGGAGAACAGGCAAGAAGACCCTTCTACCTCTAAGAGGTACCCTTCTTTCCTTCCTTCTTTCTTTTCTCTCCTCCTTAACTATTGAATGAATGTCTCTACAACTACCATTTTAGCCCAAGCCACTGACATTGTTTGCCTGAACTACTGCAAAAGCCTCCTAACAGATCTCCCCACTTCCACCCTGGCTCTACAATCCACTTCCTACCCAGCAGCCAGAGTGACCTTTTGAAGGTAGAAATCAGATCTTGTCATTCTCCTGCTCTATATCCACCAATGGCTGCCTACTGTAATTTGAATCAAAGTCCAAATCCTTACCCTGGCCTTAGCCTCTCATAATTTGGCCTTCGTTTCTCTCTTCACCATCCGCCTGAAATGCTCTTCACCTAGCTCTTCACATTGCTGACAACTTCTTGCCATCTGGGTCTCTGCTCAAAGTTCAGCTCTTTAGAGAGACCCCTCAGGCCACCTCTCTATCCCCCCACTCAATCACTCTCTACCTCATCCTGTCTTTAAAAGTTTCTCCTTCTTGGTTCTTAGTGATGACTGAAATTTCCTTATTTCTTTGTTTACTTATTTATTGTTTGTCTCTTCCTACTAAGAGTTCAGCTGCGTAAGGATCTCATCTGTCTAGATCACTGCTATATCCTTAGCATCTAGCATAGTGCTCTGAAGGGCACTGGTATTGTATAAATATTTGTTGAATGCATGAATTTATAGAGTGCTTAATCATTTTAAAAAGTGCCTTTATGTACGTTAATTTGTCACAAAGCCTGTGAAGTCGGGATTATTGCTTTCCTAGTCTTATGAATGCAGATGCTGAGGCTAAAGAGGTTATGAGTGATGTTCAATGTCACATAATCAGTAAGCAGGGGAAGGTGACCCTGAACTTGGGTTCTCCAATTCTGAATACTGCCCTTGCCACCAACACATCCTGTTTCTAGCCTTGTTGATGCTATACCAAGGATGGTATGTGCCAAGCAAATGTTGACTTATTCTTTAATAATCTTTCTTATCAGGCCTCGGAACAGTACTGTGAGCTGTGGCAGAGTGTCTCCAATCCCCTGACCTGGGGGCCTTCTCCATTCAGGGAGAGTGAAGTGAACCAGCAGGATCAGCCATGGGGTAGCAGAAAGTACAGTTGTATGGAGTGGGCAGCCAGGAGTCTGGGTCTGGGCTCCACTTTGCTCCTTACTTCATTTTCCTTTTCTTTGGACCTCCATGTGTCTTTCTGTAAAATGGGTAATGGGTAGATCGAACTTGCTAACTTTAAGATCGCTTTCAGTTCAGATATTGCATCTCTGCAATGCCTTGACTTCTTCTCTGTTTCTTTTGCAGTGCTTCCCATTGCTGCAGGTGAAGAAGAACGCTGGTAAGTACACGAGGTGGGCATTGCAAGTGGCATACAAAGAGACTGAGCTTCTCAGTAGTCCTCATGGGGCAACCGATCAGGTCCCTGGGCAGCAGAGCCAACGGCCGAGATGCAAAAGCCGGAGACATCCTCTCTGTCTCCCTCCACTGGGCATTTGCTGTCCTCCTCGGGCCCTGCTTTTTGGCTCACGTGCAGAGCCTCTTTATTTCTCAGCCGGAGGTTTTGCTCTTGTCAGAGAGCCAGGGGAGGACTTCCCTCCAGAGCTTTCAGCAAGTGGCAGCCACCCATATACTTCCCTTGTTCTCAAATGCCTTCTTTCCACTGGGAAGTGTATTAGGGGTGAGAGATGCCTCAGGAGAGAAAACAGGTAAGTGGAGGGTAAAGGAAGGAGACTTGGAATTTGGGGTTCAGTGTCTGTTATATTCCCAGCACTTGCTTTATCTAGAAGGCTTCCAACAGGAGGTAGGCTTTGGAGTTCATTAGACTGAGGTGATATATATAGCCTTTTCCTTTTGCTCTCTCACAAGTTTCTGTGAGCCCAACTTCCCATCTTCCTGGTGCCTCTGGTGTCCTACTTGGGTGTGGATAAGTGGATGGCATACTGGGAGCAACTACCTTCCATTGAGAAGGATACAGTTGTCTAGAGAGGGATAACAGCTTTGTGGAGGAAGAGAAAGAAGGCTACTGGCCAGGGAAGAGTTTGGTGCTGGAGCCTGAACTCCTGGTATCAGCTGGGCTTTGCTAAGGTCATCGAGGCCATCGTCCTGGCTCTAGCCTGACTTCAGCCATTCCCATTGGCTCCAATTTTTCATCAGGATGAGCTCATGACTTGAATGAGCATAGCTTCTAGGAGACAGTTAGGATTGGGGTTGCCAAAACAGAAAGGCATCTATTAACAAGTGGCATGCTAAGGGCCTGTGCAAGGCATCTTGGGAAGACGTTGGAAGAGACAACCAGAACCCTTACTAATAAGAACCTTCCAAAGTAGTTGGAGCTGGTTTGGGCGAATCACGCCAGGATGCAGAGAGAGGATTCTAGTGACTTCCCAAGGACGTTTCCATCTTACGGCTCTGAGTTTTTGGGTGGTGGCTGCTACAAAACAAGAACTGATAGGTGAGGGGTTTATTTGCATTGCCATGACAGCAGAGAAGAGAGGATTTATTTTGAAACAGGAACACTGCTTTGATCAGCATACAGCATACATCTGCTTCTCCACTTCCCCACCCTGCCTTTCCCCGTCATCATCATTCCAAGGCGTCTTGCTGCGCAGTTTCTGCTTTGCAACAGAGACTTCTGAGGGCACAAGGTCTGTGCACTGCCCATACTAGGGGAAGGACACACTTCTCCATTTCAGAGACACCAGCTTCAAAGGCTAAAAGAAACCCCTCAGGCCCTGAAATAGTGACCCCCTTAGATGAATGCACCCACAGCTGCCAAGTTACTTCTTTAGAATATCTGTGCCAGGCAGAGGTGCCAGCACTGAGCTCTGGGAGGGTGGCTTCCAGAGGAGCCAGGACTATCTTTTACTGGGTAGGGTCAGGCAGAGGAGGTTGCCACCTACAAAGCTGAGATGGGACTGGTCTTTCTGCTATTTCTTAGGTTAAAGTTTGAAAATGTCTATTTAAAGGCAAATGGGAACACATTGTTTCAGGCTGATTCAAAAACAATCTGACATAAATTATGAGTTTATGTGGATGTGGAAATGGTAGCAGCAAGGCACTGGGAATCAAAGCACCTGGATTTTAGCCCAAATTTCATTATAGATTCACTGTGTGAGCCCAGGAAAGTAGCTTCCTCTGTCTGGGCTGGCATCTACATCTACAAAATGGAGCTTATTGCATGGGACTCTTGTATGGATCACAATAGACAGCGCATTAAAAATGTCAAAGTACTGAACAAATGTGATTGTTTCTGAAATTTAGGTCAGGGGGTGAGCAGAACGCTTCATCTGTTTTATTACGTATTATTTGAGAAATAGGTAATACCTTCACAGGTTTCAAAATTCAAGAGGTACAAAAATACAAAGTCTCTTCTCACCCCAAGTCCCCAACCACCCAGCAGTCCTCTTAGAGGTGATCAGTGTTAGCAGCTTCTTGGCCCTCGATGAGTTTAGAAGGTCTGAATCAAGTGAGCTGTGCTAGATGGGACTGCGATGGGGGCTGGCACTGCCTGACTGGCCTGGGGGTGGGGCTGAGGGGAGCTGCAGAAAGGGTCATGGAGCAGGAATCTCGGGGCAGGAAATATGGGGTGGTAGAATCAGCATTCTTTTGGGACCCAGTCTTGACTGTGCCACTCGTGGTGGAATGATAACAAGTAAGAGGCTTCCCCTCTCCGAACCTCAATGTTCTCATCTGTACATTGAGCCTGCCCCATTCTCCTAAGCCATTTCTCCCAAGTGTGACCAGAGCAGAACAGAAGTGGTAGAGGAGAGGACCAGCCAGGGACTTTTTAGTGACAAAAAAGCCAAAATACTGACTCTGGGCTGACAGTTGTATATAATAATTTCCCTCTTTCTCTCTCTTTCTTTTCTTTCTTTCTTTCTTTCTTTCTTTCTTTCTTTCTTTCTTTCTTTCTTTCTTTCTGTCTTTCTTTCTTTCTTTCTCTTTCTTTTCTTTCTTTCTTCTTTCTCCTTCTCTTTCTCCTTCCTTCCTACCTACCCTTCCTTCCTTCCTTCCCTCCTCCTTCTTCTTTCTCTTTTTTCTCCTCTTTCTTTCTTTCTTTCTTTCTTTCTTTCTTTCTTTCTCTTTCTTTCTTTCTTTCTTTCTTTCTTCTTTTTTTCTTTCCTTCCTTCCTTCCTTCCTTTTTTTTTCTATGAGACACGGTCTCTGTCACTCAGGCTGAAGCGCAGTGGTGCAGCATAGCTCACTGCGGCCTTAATCTTCTGGGCTTAAGGGATCCTCTCACTTCAGCCTCCTTCCTCAATAGCTGGGACTACAGGGGTGCATCGCCACGCCCAGCTCATCTTCCTTCTATTAGGATGAATCAAGCAAAGATTTATCTGACACATCATTGCTTTTGTTCTAGTGGTCCCACTGACAGAGGAAACCTTGTAAGGGCTGTCACAGGATCACTTGGTACCACCTTATAGGAGAGCATTAGGAATGTCCAACTGGCTTCAACACATGTGGTGCTGCCCAGGCCCAAAAGAATGACCTGAATTACCTTTGAAGTCCCTGCTATCACAGTCCAAGAAGCCACTAGCACAGTGTTTCCCAAATGTCACTTATTTGTGAACCAACTTCAGAATTTTTGCCATCACATCATCCATGCCATTAAGTACTTAATATTTTTCTTTAAATCAACCTGATTTTAAATAATAACCTCACCCTAAGCCATAATATCTATGAAATTAGGTTTTGAGGCACTAGTTACATTTTTCCTAATATGTAGTAAATTAAATATATATCATGATGCAGATGCCAATGTACCACCCCAAATCATCCTATGCCAACATATATATCAAACACTGAGAAACACAGAGCTAGCGGTAGTAAAACCAGCAGCTCAGGAGGAGGTTCAGGCCTTAGGGACTCACTCCAAGACATGCTACATGCTCTCAGGCTCCCAGCATCACTTCATATTTCTTCCAGACCCACACACCCTGTTGCTTGAGCACAAATTGCTCCTAAGATGGAAAGGTCCTGGAGCCTAAAAGGAACCCGCTTCCTCCAAATAAAACCCACAATTCAAAACTGCCTCTTAAGTGCTGAAGTGAGAATACTTGATTGGGGCCGGAAGCTCCAGGTTCCAGTTTTGGCTGTGACCTTTGCCAGCTGTGTGTCCTTGGGCCTCTCGCTTTCCCTCTCTGGGCCTTAGTGTCTCTAACTATAAAATGAATAGCTTGCTTTAAATGACCTCTAAGGTATCTTGCTGTTCTGAAATTCAATGACTCCTTGACTTACAAACCCCACACTCCGCGGAGCTCATTAGCTCGCTTACCAGCAGCCCACAGAGGTGAGGAGGCTGCTGACCTTCCCTCCCACCGCCTTTGCACCAAATCTTCCCCAAGGCCCCCTGCTCCCAGTGCACAAAGCTCCTTTTGTTGCCTGGAGCCATTCGGGGCTTCACTCCAGGCTCCTGCTGAAGTGGCTGAGGTGGCCTGGTGGGGTAATAGTTTGCCTGTAACAAGAGCCCCTGCTCGCAACCCAACTGGCTCCAGTCTGGCTGCAGGCTTGGCCTCAGCATCAGACTCATCCATCAGCTGCCCCAGACCCCTCCCCCAAGCTCTGAGGGGGCGGGGAGACAGATTTGAACAGTAGAAAATGGAAACAAATACATTTATTTAACATGCTATTGGGTGTCTGTCACCTCCAAGGCTCACAAGGGCAGTAGACAAAAATACTAAGCATATGAAAGTCATCAGAATAATAATAATTCAATCCACATCCTTTCTTTTGAAAATGACCAAATCATTTTTATAACGGAGTCTTGACAGATCTGGTCATTTAACATTTGTTATTTTACAAAGAACATTTGCAGGGCATGGCTTATCTAACATTTGACAGATATTTTACCCAGCAACTTGGAATAGTATAAAGATCTACTTAGTTAGGGAGCATCTGGAATTTATTATCATTTGAGACAGGAAATCTTTTAACCATGATCCACAGTGAATTCAGCCAAGGTAAAAATGCTGGGATGTGACTTGAGAGACCTAGGATCTAGTCTCGTCTCCATCATTAACTCCTTCTGCGACCTTGAGTTAGTCACCTCTGCCCCATGGGCCTCAGTTTCCTTGTCTGCAAAATGAGAATGTTGAACTAGAGGGTCTCAAGATTTTGATTTTGCACTCTGACCCCCTCTCCTCCAGAAGTCAGGCTGAAAGGAAGGGGAGGTGGGGGTAGGGTCAGTGGAAAGGGCAATTTCAAGGTGTTCTTTGGGATGGGGGGAAGGATTTCCAGGCCTGTGGAGGAGTGTAAGGGCTTCTTTTGTGGCCTAAGGGGCTGGGAAGCCCAGGTTCTCAGTTGCTGTTTTCAAGAGTGCAAGACAGAATTAGGTCTAGGTTTAGAGAGTCAGGTCAGGTACATCTCCCTAGGTATAGCCTAGATGACCATTTTCACAGTGTAGGCCACTCCAAATCAGGAGCTGGAGAGGGCATGGGAACTTCAGGTGGAAAGACAGGTCTGAAAAGGACCTGGGAAGTGCTACTGGACACTTCCACCAGAAGGTCCTGTGGATCCTTCAAACTCAACACTAAAGATCATAATTCTTTATCATTTCTCTGGAAACCTCCTCTTTCTCCAGAATCCGCTTTCTTGGTTAAAGCAGCCCCATGCACCCAGCCACTCCAGCAAGAGTCACGGGCGTTACCTGGACTCCATTTTTCTAATTTGCTGCCATTTAGTTGTGTGCATGGGACCTCTTCATAAGGCTTCCTAAATCTACCGCCTTTTCTTGTCACTCACACTAGCATAGCCCTCCATCTGGGCCCTAGCAGCTCTGGCCTTGATGGTTGCAACCGCTACCTAACTGGTCTTCCTGCCACCATGCTCGCCCTTCCAGTTCACCCTCCATGCTGCTGCCAAAGTTCTCTCTTTAAAAGAAAAACTTAGGCATCCTCAAAAATCTTTGGTCATTTCCTACCTTTGGTCAAAGTCCAACTTCTTTGCTCTGGCATTCAAGGTCTCTCAAGCTTAGACAGCCTATCTTTCTTGCTTCCTTTCCCACCTCGTTCCTATATTTCTGAGCCCCATGGGACAACTTGCTATTTCCTAGACAGACAGTGAATTCTCATATTGGACTCTCCACTGAGTGTGTTGTTGCCAGCCCCCTTCTTGGCCTGTCAAGCCACACTCTGGCCTCCCTTTCCATCTTGTCCATAGCTATTACATTATAAAACATCACACTGTTCTGCATTGGCCTCTTTTCTTTCCTGTCTCTCCCATAGACCATGAGCTCTTGGTGTACAATGGCTATATCTGACTGACCCCTGGATTCCCAGAACTAAGCATAAGGTCTCACATAAACAATGAGTCTGCCAAGAACTGGCTTTTATTTTTGATGGCATAGCAAAAGAACTTCTGGTAATCAGACTGGTGACTTCTTCCTTTCAGCAGACTTTCTTCCCTATCATTTCAGCTCTGAACTAGCTATTACAGATCAACATAGAGCCCCACTGGCTCCAGATGACAAAACCTCTTGAGACAGGGCCTTAAGGATCCAGTGGTTCCAGCCAATGGTGCAGATCCGTGTAAAACACATTTTCACCAAACTCTTGAAATTTGGAGGTCGCCCACATCTCAAGGCAGGAAGGGCACTTAAGGACTATATTAACCCATGCTTTTGAAACTGAGTACTGAGGAGCCCTAGTGTCCCCTAGTGTCTTAGGGGACATGAAAGGAAGACAGAGTTATGGGATATCTCATTCCTGCTTCATTCAACTAAACCTATTTGACTTTTTGAAGTTTCCATGAACATTTCATTTGGAGACTGGAGTTGGCGGCATTAAAGTTTCATTTGGAGACTGTAGTTGGCTGCATTAAATGTTGGCGATCATAGCTCGAATCTGGTGTTCAATTTTCCCTTTTTTACCTTTCCTGCTACATGCCCAACTTGAGCTTTGACCAAACTCCTCAGGTATGGTGAAGCATCCTTTTTCATTCTATACTGTTAAAAGTTCTTTATATTGAGCCAGAATCTGCCTTACAACAACTTCCACCCAGTGGTCCTATTTTCACCCCTTGGAAGTAGTGTGTTCCTTCTTCCTTAAGGCCAATCTGCTGTCATTTAGAATCTCCCAAAGTCTAAGGTAGGAGAGATCTTATAGCTCATACAGTCCAATGTTCTCGTTGCAGCTGGGGAATGAAGCCCAGAGAAACTAAGTGATCTGCACAACAGCATAGAGCTAGTTGGCAGCAAAACTGAGACTAGAACCCAAGTCTCTACTCATCTATAATGCGCTCCCCAGAATCTGTCCTTTCCTAGCTCCTAAAATCGTTTCTCACAGTCCTGATCACTCTTCACTACACGTACTCCTGACTGACAGTGACCAATGGCTGAAGATCAGCAGCTGAGCTTGTGAAAGCTCCATGGCTCCCAAGCCTTGGTCTGCCTGGGGAGAAGGCAGAGACAAAGCAGAACAAACTGGTGTCAGAAGCAGAGCCGTTCCCTCACCACAGCCTGAAAGTCATTCTCCTCATCCTTCTCTTCTTTCCATAAAACTAAATTCCATTCAAACAGCGCCCCACCCCCCATGGCAGGGCAGCCAAGGGGCAGCTTTCAGAGGCCCCTTCTGACCTGTTTGCTAAAGGGTTCCTGCTGTGTGACCTTCCACATCCCAAGCCCAGAAACAGGAAGAGTTAGTTTGGTTTGCTTTTTGGGAAGAAAAATGAAAACATAGGAAGTAGGGCTCCTGAGAACAGAGGCTTCCAACTCTGTGTTCATTTGTCCCTGGAGCAGGATATTTCAGGGAATACATTCCACAGGGGAAGGGAACAGCCTCCCTTATTAAAAACAAAACACAAAACCCTTCAAGGTTTGGAAAAAGAAAAAGGCCAAAAGGAGACTTTTAAGGAGGGGAGGGGCAATTGTTTTATAATCTCCAGCCCTTCACCCCCTTGGCCACTTGGAGCTGTCATACTTTGATCTCACTACCATTATCAGCACATCTGTTGCCCAGAGATGTCCTGCTCCCTTTAACCTATGGCCCAAGAAAGAGTCCAAGTCTCCTTTCTTGTTTCCCTGAGGATGACCGAAGTAGGCTGGCACTCAGAATCTTCAATTAAAACCAAGAAAAAACAGACAGTAATTAATTACACAATGCACAAACAGCAGAACAACATTCAGGCCTTGCCAAGTACATGCTTTTTGTTTTAAGAAGCCCAGCAAAAGCAGGGAAGTGCTTTGTCAGTCCCCAAATATCTCCCAGGATAACTATTTCATCGTCCCAGATACGCTGCCATAAGTTTGCCTGGCTTTTTCCTCCCTCAGCTGTCAGTCACTGGGAGGCAGATGCCATCTTGTTTCCCTACTACTGTTGCTAGAAGGGCAATGCAACAGGTCTTTTACCAAAAACAACAACAACAACAACAAAACAACCTTCCAGAACCCCTACTGTTCTTTTCAGTTCTAGTTTCTGGGCTGAGGAACATGGTTAGTTCACAGATAGTTGCCAGGGTAAAAGTGTGGATCATTTTGGGGTGCCAAAGAAACATATAGCCCTGGAAGGAAACCAGCTCTGCCTACAATCTGGAGCTTCTACAGGTACACATGTACATGTGTCACATGTGTAGTGTGCAAACACACACATAGTCTATTTACCAAAATTTTAGTTTCATGGAATAACAAGGCCTTCACCATACAAAAACATACCATTGTCTCCCCTGAGGTTATGGGTAAGCAGAACCTCTTCCTAGAAGATGCTTCCAAGAGCATCTGCCTAGAATGGCTTGTTTTTTTCCAAAAAGATCTGGAGGCAAAATTTTCATATTAAAACAAGCATATAATTGTTGTGGAATAGCATAAAAAATTCACATGAATTACCTGGGCATGATGGCTCACACCTGTAATCCCAGCACTTTGGGAGGCCAAGGCGGGTGGATCACCTGAAGTCAGGAGTTCGAGACCAGCCTGACCAACATGGTGAAACCCCGTCTCTACTAAAAATACAAAAATTAGCTAAGTGTGGTGGTGGGTGCCTGTAATCCCAGCTACTCGGGAGGCTGAGGCGGGAGAATCGCTTGAACACAGAGGCGGAGGTTGCAGTGAGCCGAGATCGCACCATTGCCCTGCAGCCTGGGCGACAAGAGCAAAACTCCGTCTCAAAAAAAAAAAAAAAAAAAAATTCACATGAATTCATAAGATAAAAGTGGAGACTTGAAAAAAAATTCTCACTTGTGGTTGGCTGTGTGAGATTCTCCTCCAGCTCCTCGGGCCTCTGTGGGGAATAAATTCTTTCTGTTCATTGGAGGTACTTTGGGGATGCAAAAGTCTGAGAGCCACAAAGTAAAACAGTAGGCTCCTTGAGGGTAGAAACGTCTCATTTTTCTCTGTATCCTCACATCTGAAACAGAGCCAGCCACAGAGTGCTTGGGAACTATTTGCTCCATTCATGCATCCATCCATCCATCCATTCATCTATCTATCCATCCTTACCAAGAAACAAGCAAAAAAGGTAGCCTTAGAGTGGTGGAAAGAATACAGTTTCTGGAAAATTCATAAACCTCTGGGTCTGAATTCTGACTCTGTCACTTATTAGCCTCAGTTTTCATCACGTCTCTAAGCCTCAGTTTTCTCAGGTTTTTTTTTTTGTTGTTGTTGTTGTTGTTTTGAGATGGAGTCTTGCTCTGTTGCCCAGGCTGGAGTGCAGTGGTGCAATCTTGGCTCCCTGCAACCTCCACCTCCTGGGTTTAGTTGATTCTCCCACCTTAGCCTCCCAAGTAGCTGGGATTACAGGCACGCACCACCATGCCCGGCTAATTTTTGTATTTTTTTTTTTTTTTTGAGATGGAGTTTCGCTCTTGTTGCCCAGGCTGGAGTGCAATGATGAGATCTCGGCTCACTGCAACCTCCGCCTCCCGGGTTCAAGCGATTCTCCTGCCTCAGCCTCCCCGAGTAGCTAGGATTACACACATGCACCACCATGCCTGGCTAATTTTTGTATTTTTAGTTGAGACGGGGTTTCACCATGTTGGCCAGGCTGATCTCGAACTCTTGACCTCAGGTGATCCGCCTGCCTCGGCCTCCCAAAGCGCTGGGATTACAGGCGTGAGGCACTGCTCCCAGCCTAATTTTTGTATTTTTAGTAGAGACAGCGTTTTGCCATGTTGGCCAGGCTGGTCTCGAACTCCTGACCTCAGGTGATCCACCCGTCTCAGCTTCCCAAAGTGCTTGGATTGCAGGGATGAGCCACCATGCCTTGCCCTAGTTTTCTCAGTTTTAAAATAAGAATCCAAATACCCAACTCCTGAGTTGATGTGGGACCTTAAGTGTGATAATGGGAGTGGGAGTGCTCTATAAGATCCCAGACAATACAGAAATTATAGTTATTTCATGACTATCAAATTACCACCATGACTAGCCCAGACAGTAGTGGGGTGGGGGGAGGGGAAGATGTTTTCTCCAGCCAGAAGTCTGATTTGAGAATAAGAAAGCAGGAGCTGAGACCTCAGGAATGAGCCCCCGGGCCTCTGGGATGGAGAGGGCAGATGTTGAATCCTAGCTCCAGCTCCACCTCCACTCCAGGAAGGCAGTACGCAGGCCAGAGGGGAACTTGGGGTGGAGTGATGGAAGGATCAGATGTGCCTCATACACTTCAGGTCTCCAAAGACCAGATGTGCTTTCCTTCTCACGTCTGCCAATAAGCCCCTTTGAGGCCCGGTTTGCAGCAAGGGTCATTCATCACTGGGGCTGAAATACAACCAGGCATAGTGTGTTGACTTGGCTGCTAACAGACTCTGCCTCCTTGGGTAAGTCCTTTTTCCTCTCTGGGCCCCAATTTCCCTATCATTAAAATGAAAGGATTGGATCGGGTTGTCCCTCAGGTCCTTTGAGCTCCTACACGCTGTATTTAAGACTTTTTTGGGCCTTGATTTTCTAAAAATGTGAACAATGTGATTTGCCAAAAATATAATTGGTCTGATCATCTGATAGTTGGACACTGAATCATGGATGGGTGAAAAAGTTCAAAGCAATTGTGGGGCAGGAGACGGGCCTGGCTGGGGCCCTCTTCTGTTTTTAAGTCTGCTGGTTCCTGTGGCTCCTTCTGTACGTGTCTGTGTCTGGCCAAACTGGCCCGGCTCGCCTGAAAATCTCAGAGCAAGCCAAGGTTGTAGCCCAGGTAGATGGCTTGTGGATACAGCAGGTGTTTCCCAAGCCCTGGGATCCGGCTCAGGTACCTCACAAGATAAAATGAGGAAAGGAAAGAAAACAGGAAATCCTACCCACTATATGCAACTAATTGTTTAGGAAGAATTCCTTCTAGGCAAGCCCGTTGTCTCAGAAGTCAGCAACAGCTGCTGGGTTGGAATGGCTAACTTGTGCAATCTCTGAGATTCTTAGGCTCCCCCCAAACCCCGTCTCAACCTGTTTAGCCCTCTGCCATTCTCTGAAGCTCAGCTCAAATACTGTTCCCTCCCACTTTCAAATCCCCATCATACTGTATATCTGTCTTATAGCATGAATCATGCCTTGTGTTTTGAGCTATTTCCTTTCACCTATGGATTAAAAATAAAATACATGTTCTGAGTGAAAATTCCAACCTATAATCTTTCACTCTCACTTTCCAGAGTTAGCCGCTCTGAAAAGGTTGTTGTTTTTTGTTTGTTTGTTTGTTTGTTTTATTTGTTTTTCCTTTCCAGAAATCTTCTATTGCCAAAGCTATTGAAAATGTGAGGTTGGGCTTGGTGACTTATGCCTGTAATCCCAGCAATTTGGGAGGCCAAGGTGGGAGGATCATTTGTGTCCAGGAGTTTGAGACCAGCCTGGGCAACATAGGGAGACCCCGCCCCTACCAAAAAAAAAAAAATTAGCCAGGTGTGGTGGTACATGCCTGTAGTCCCAGGTACTCAGGAAGCTGAGGTGGGAGGATGGCTTGAGCCTGGGAGGTTGAGGCTGCAGTGGGCCGTGATCGTGGCACTGCACTCCAGCCTGGGTGACAGAGTGAGACCCTGTCTCAAAAAAATTAAAAAAAAAAGTTTTGAACAGAGCGTTGGCTCTGGAGTCTAAGCACTTAGATTTAAGTCTCAGCTCTCTGCTTGTTGGTCAGATCAGCTTCAGCAAATTCTATCACCCCTTTGACCCTCAGTTGTCTGCTCTGTAAATGGGATAGACATGTCCTCTTCTCCTGTCTCACAGGGTTGGTGTAAGGGCCAAATAAGAAAAGAGATTGAAAGCACCTTGGAAACTGTAAGGGGGGCCCTATTTATCTCCATGCTTGTCACTGCAACTTGACTGTAAGCATCTTTGAAACAGAAACTTGGCCCCTCGAGGGCTGTGTCCCCATTGCCTCTTGTTCCAGTTTGTCCAGAATGGGAAGGTGGTGATGCCGGGGGTATGGAACTGAATCCCCAGAGTCGTGCTACACCTGGAGATGCTGATGCTCTGCTCCTGCCCTGGTTCTGGGTACACAGCTACTTGACCTTCCTTTGAAGCCAAACCCAGCTGAGAGGACCATTTTTCTAAAGTTACTTGGCTTGCAAAATGCTGCTCCTCCACCAAGTGGGCACTGGCCCAGCCTCACTGCCCCAGTGTGCTTTCATTACTTTGAAAATTCTGCAACTCTTGTTTCACCCCCTCTACCTCCTTCAGCTCCTAGTTCCTCAGATTCTGGCTCCAAGTAATGATTTCAAAGTTCCCCATGCCCCCCACCCACCCCCCCAATGTATGATACATATATATAGAGAGAGAGGAAGTAGAAAGATGTGGCCAAGAAAATTCAATTTTCTGAATGGATCAGATGTAAAACTGTTGGAAATTACAGCTAGAAAGCTCTGCAGATAGCATTTAGTCCAACCTGCATCACTCCCCTTCAACCTTTGACAGAAGGGAAACTGAGACCCAGAAAAGGGAAGGGACTTATGCAGGGAATTTGCGGCTCTGACCTCCAAGTAAAGGTGGGAAGGGGCGAGACTCTGCAATTTACCAATGCACCGCTGAAAGGGTTAAAGTCAAGGAAACTAGCCTGGGGAAGGTGGGTGGGGTCAAAGAAGAGATGAGTGTGGCCAGAGAAGGGAGGATCAATCAGGAGAAACAGTCAGGACCAGCTGCAAAATTCCCCTGGAAAGTGGAAATAGAAGAAATATGAGGGTTGTGGTTTAGCAAGTTATTATGAGCCTTGCTGGGCAAAGAGAGGGAAGAGAGAGGAAGAGAAAAGTAGAGGGGGCCCAAAGAGGAGTAAAAAGGGAAGGAGGAAGGCCAAACCAGACGAATGGAGGAGTTTGAGAGTGATAGGGTCAGTGAGTGCTTAAACACAGCAAATCAGTAGAGTCCTGTCCCATGTGGGGCATCCAGCTACCTTATAAGTTACCACTAGCTCTGCTGCCTGGTTTCTTCTTCTAGGCTCTGAGCACATGAGCCAGTCCTTACTTTCTTAGCAAACTCAGCCCTTTTCCACTGTCCACTGTTTGGAGAGGCAGTTCCAGACTGTAGGCTTTTTACTTCAGTAGAGTTGGCACACCAACACAAGGGCACTGTGCAGCCTGGCCTGGCTGCCAGAGCAGGCTCTAGATCCCCCACTCCACAGTCATGATCTGATTTTAGTCACACAGTCATACTATGAGTTGAACTCAGCCCATTTTACAGATGAGAGGTGCAATAATTTTCAAATGAAAACAACAACAATAAGAATAAACCTAAGTATATACTGGGAAACAATACACGTACTGATTAAGAATGAGAGTGCTGGAGACAAACGGCCTGTATTCAGATCCCCATTTTGCCCCTCATTAGTTGTGTGATCTTGGACAGGTTGCCAAATTTCTCTGTGCAGGTTTGGAAGGATCAAATGAGTTGATCCAAGTATACAACCTTTGAACAATGCCTGGCACATAGTCGGTGCTCAATAAATGGCGACTATTCTTGCCATTGTCATTAGTATGTGCCAGATGCTGTTTTAAGTGTTTTATCTGTATTATGTCATGCAATCATCACTCACAAGGTAACTGAGGCTCAAGTGCAAGAAGAATATATCTGGTTCATTGGCTTTTAAAACTTCGTTAGATGCAGACTTCTACCCCCCAAAATTGAATCCTATGTGACACCCCAATATATAAAACAAAACAAATAAAAACAGCATGGCTCTGATTGAAGCAAGGTGGGGTAGGGGTGGGACTTGGAGACTCCTGGCTCAGTGTTCCCTGTTCTCCCCTCCCCCAGCCTCCCTATGATAGGCTTTGAGGCTCTTCCCCACCCACTGATCTAGTCCATCTAAACTTTTTATGCTCAGATAAAGACATTGTAACTCTGAGAGAGCAAATAACATGCCCAAGGTTAAACAACAAGTCAAAGGCAGAGTGGGGTACCAGGCATGAAGGGACAATCACTTGGTCAAAGAGAACAGCCCCCTTGGTTAAACTAGAACACAGAACATCCCAAGCTTGGGCAAAGAAGAGCTAGGAAAGGAGAGTGAGCAGGAGGGAAGGGGGATCCCCGATGTGAGCAGCCCCACTGACTATTCATATGCTGCTGGGGCCATGCAGACGTCAAGATGAGACAAAGCCCTATCCACATGGGGCCTCTCATTGCACAGGGTTTGGGGTTCTGTTGTGACAAGGGATGTAGCCTCCTCTCTCTTAGGTGTCTGTTCTGTGGGATGCAGCTGACTGGGGCCAAATCCCACCATCTAGGCCTTCCGATTGGGCTCCTGGCCTGAGCTGGCATTACCACAACTCCCCTTCTCCTCCAGGGTTCTGGGATGGCAGCTTGACTTCCAACCCATTGTTGTTGGGGTGGGGGAGGTAAGAGGGGTAGACTTGACGCTCCGCCCTTTTCACAGCTTCCATGTATGTGCACCCCTATCTGTTCAAGGCATGCCACTGCCAACACTGTTTATCTAAGAAACTGTGCGTCGCCAACTTTTGTCTCTAGGACTTTGGCATGGGTTACCTGGGGACACCGCCCTGAGGAGAAATTATAGGATAAATTTTTCCAGAGAACTTCTTCGAGAACTCAGGACTTCCCTGGAATCCCTTCTGACCTGATCTCGTGAGCTACTCAGGCTCCGTGCAAGCCTTGGAAGACAATCTGCAGGGCCGAGCAGGGGAGGGGCAAATGCTGGAAGACAAAGCTCAAGTGCAAGGCCCTGAGTTCCTTGCCTCTGTTTGGATGGGCTTCAGGATCTCCATCTGTCCCACGTGGGGCAGGCATGGATCAGATGCTCTCTGAGGACCCACCAGCTCCAGGCTGGGCTTGTGTGGAAGCCCTGACCACTCGGTGCTCTCTCAGGCACTGGCCTAGAATCCGAGGGGGACACACCAAGTGATGGAAACAAACAGGGCCCCTGGCTAGTCACAAGAGGGCAAGGATGAGGACACAGGAGGCAGAGTACTGACCTCCAAACTGCAAAACGCTCCTCTGACACCAAAGCAGCTTTTCTTTCTGGCAAGGCCAGTTTGCATGAATGGACAGAGCCCTGGAATCCTGAGCCAGACTGCAAGGCATGTGTTACTGTGTGTTGGTGCTGTGCCCTGCCAGGTGACAGGAAGAGGAAAAGGGGCTTATGCAAGCTCTGACTGAGGGGAAGGTGTGTGTACTAAGGCCAGGAAGTGGGGGTGGGGGCCGCTGTAGGTGGGCACTGTGACTACTTCCCAGATAAAGGCAGAAGGAATTAGTGAGCATCAGACCTGAGTGGCCTACGTGATACAAGGGCAAGAAGAAAGCAGCGAGGCAGGGTGAAGGGGTAAGTGGTGACTTTTCTGTTGACAAACACTTCTTTCCACCTAATAGTTCAGGGAGGTAGGTGTTACTGTCTCCATTTAACAAGTGAGGAAACTGAGGCTCAGAGGAGTTCTATGACATGTCATCTAGTAAGTGTTGAAGCTGATGTTCACATCTAAGGCTGTTTTGAGAGTTGCAGTTCTTAGGGGCCCCTTCTCTAGAGCTGGTAAAATGTGCACACATATACACTGTTTCTGCCATCCAGCAACCCTTCTAAGACTTGGCCGCAAAGGGCTAGGAATTATCCTTCCCATTTTACTAAAGCCCAGAAAAGGTGAATGATTGGGCCTTAGTCATCCATAGCAAGGTAGAGACAGGCAAAAGGCTGAGACTGGGGGGCCTTCTGATGGAAAGCTGCCGTACGCTGCTAGAAGTAGCACTCCCACTGTGGTTCCACCTGTGTCTGGTCATTTTCCACTTACGAAGTGCTCTCAAATCCATTATCTTGAGGTTTACAGGGCAGAAAAAAAAATCTTCCATTTTCTAGGTGAAGAAACTGAGCATCAGTTACTTGCCAAAGGTTACACAGCTACTGAATGGCAGAGTCAGGACTTGAGACCAGAGTTGTGTCCAAACTCCCCTTTACTTTTCTGCCAAGTGCATGTGGCCAGCAACGGAAGGACAGAGTAAGTTCACTGAAACATAATGTTTGAGACCAAAAGCAACAAACCCCAACTCCCTGGGGAGATATCTAAGCCCTTCTCTTTTTTCCATATGAACCTCTGAATTGCAGAGGCAGGCTTGCAGCCTTTGAAGGGGAAACAGAGAAGCCAATGAGCTCAGTTCTCCACAGCAGACTCCAAGAGCTGCTGGCTTTCATGGCTAACTAGATGCCTCATCGGCCCAATGGCTTTGTGGTCAGGGTGCCAGGGTTGGTCCAGCCACACCAATGGTGGGACTGGGGGAAGGTCTTCTCTCTCTTCCCCTCTCACCACCTGTGGTTGCATTTCATGCTTGGTCATTGAGTCATTTTTATGCTCTTTTCCTCAGTAACATGGGGGAAAGAAAACCTCAAATCTCTCAGCCACCATTTGGTTTGGTCAAGGTTGCTCCTGGGCTTTCCACTCACCCACCCACCTACTCACTTACTCTTCAATTTTTTTTTTTTTTTTCAGACAGAGTCTCGCTCTGTCACCCAGGCTGGAGTGCAGTGGCATGATCTCAGCTCACTGCAACCTCCGCCTCCCGGTTTCAAGTGATTCTCCTGCCTCAGACTCCCGAGTAGCTGGGACTACAGGCGCACACCACCACGCCTGGCTAATTTTTGTATTTTTAATAGAGATGGGGTTTCACCATGTTGGCCAGGCTGGTCTCAAACTCCTGACCTCAAGTGATCCGCCCACCTTGGCCTCCCAAAGTGCTGGGATTACAGGCGTGAAGCACTGCGCCCAGTGCATTCAATCTTTTAATGAATATCCTCTCAAGTGCTAATGCTGCGCCAAATCCCTTCCTGAGCAATGGATATGCCATTAATAATAAAATACAGCCCCTGGCTGAGAGAATTCAAACCCTTATTGGGCAGGAAGACATGGATAATTAAACTCGATATAGAATGATTGCTGATGTAACTGAGCTGTGGAGTCACCCAGAAAGGGAACACCTTATGCTATTCATAGGAGATACTGTACTAAACTGGTATGTTGGACTTTACCAAGTATAGGAGATAGGGCAAATAATTTAACCTCTTCATGTCTTCATTTCCTTATCTGTAAAATGGGATAATAGTACCTACAGGGTTTCTGTAAGGACTTTATGAGTTAAAATGTGCAAAGAGCTGAGGATAGAGTCAGGCACATTGAAAGCACCATATAAATGTTTGTGAAATAAGTAAAGGAAATAAGGATGAGCATTCTTGTGAGAGAGAAGTGCACATGTAACACATTTGGTGGGTTAAGGAGGTGTGTTCTGGGAATGCCACCTGCGTTAACTGGGCAGTCTTGTGGGTGCTTTGAATGCCAGTCTTAGAAGTGTGGACTTGTCCCTGTAGGTGATGGGCAACCATTTCTAAAGCTAGATCTTTGCCACAGAGTGTGGCAGAGGACTCCTGTGTGAAATGCTAGTGCTGTATCCACCAGCTCAACAGGTGCTAGGCCCAAGAGACTGCCACCAGCCAGGAAACAGTCAGTTGCCAAATCTGAACGCTGGACCAGCCCTGTGCATGGCTCAGCCCCAGGATTAGCATCGATATAGGGAAAGGGGCAGCAGGGAGCCCCCTTGTCACTGCCCTCAAGGAGCTGATCTTCTAATTGGAATAAGGCCTGCTTCTGCCAATAATCAAATCAATCATCCTGGTGGGAAGTGGTGGAGGTAGGTAGGTAAGAGAAACTCCATGTGGCCTGAGAGGCAGTATGTACAGTGGTTACTAGCTAAAGCTGACAGTCCAAACTGTATGACCTTGGGCAAATTATTTAACCTCTCTATGCTACAGTTTTCCCATTGAAAATGGTAGCAATAATAATTCAGCTTATCATAGAGTTATATATGATGATTAAATCATATATAGAAAGTGCTTAGAATGCTGGCTCACATGACAAACACTCCATAAACCTTAGCTATTCTCAGTGACTAAGGGCCTATCTTTTACTGAACCAGGTGCCTGCTACCCCTGGGGTACAAGGCCATGGCCTGGAGGCATATGAAGGTATTAGACCGGTATGTCTCCTCTTCCTGGAGTGTACATTTTCCTCAAAGGCTTAAGGAAGGAAAAGATGAATTTTAATAAGAAAACAAGGATGCATACTAGAGTTAACTGAAAATTCAAGTGGATGTTTAAGATAAAAGCTGGACTTCAAAGACATTCCCACTTGGAGCCAACACTTCAGGTTTACATCATCAGCCCCCCAAGGTTTCATCACATTCTTCCCTCTCAGCCCTTAGGGGTACTTGAATACAAAAGTTACAGTAAAACAAACACTTGTGAATTCAAGTAACTCTCAAGGGGGTCCAATCATTCTCTGGGGGTAAGGATGATTACCACCGTTATATATGGGTGAAGATGGAGGCTCGAGGTCCCAATCCTGCCACTGCCACTTATGAGCAATTTGGATTACCTTTGCTGCTTCTGAGTTTCTCCAACTGTAAACTGGGGTAATGATGATGATATATATACTTCAGAGCATTGTGGTAAGAATTAAATAAGCACTTAGAACAATGTCTGGTATAGCTTGTGCTCAATCCACATCAGCTTTTATTAGATCCATTCTTGCATCTCCTCTCACAGCACCATTGTCAGCTATGTGTCATATTATGTCCATTATCTGGAGGAGAAACTTGAAGCTGTGGAGGTTCAGTAAGGTGCCCCCTCTCCTCCTCTTTGCTAACAGCAGGCATTCCTGCCTGGAGTGGGGAGGTGGTGGGAATAAATAACCTCGAAGGTCCTTCCCAGCAACAGGGCTCTGTGACTCAAGTGAATCTTCGGAGCTCTTTCATATCACTGTTCTGGCTGGAGCTGAAGCAGCAGAACTCAGGAAATAGGGGTGGGACTGGACAGGGCGGGAGATGCCTTAGCAGGGTGGGAAGTGACTGCTGCCGCCCTTCCTTCTAGGCCGCTGCCACTGCCGGGGGCTATGTCCCACACTCCCGCCCAACCGGAGAGCAAAAGGGAAACTCCTCTGCTTGGAGGAAGCTGACTGAGGCCTCCTTTTCCGCGGGCGGCGTGGGGGAGGGGGCTGCCCCTGTGAGAGGCGCAGTGCAGGGACTACTCGAAACTCAGGAGTCAACGGGGTGGCAGCAGAAAGCTGGGCCCAGAGAGGGGCATCCCAGTGGCTGTTTGTCCTGCCTGGGCTAGTCCAGAATGGGGACTGCTGATAGGCCAGAGGGTGCTGGGAGAGACGGGCTTCCCATTGATTTATGGTCATTTGAAGGGAAAAGGAAAATAATTCCATGAAGTAGAAATGGCCTAGTGGAAGGAGGAGCAGAGTCAGATCTGCCTTGGTTCTGAAACAAACTCACTGTGTGACCTTGGACAAGTCCTCTTCCCCACATGAAGAATGCATTCATTCAGTTAGTAAATATTTTGTGAACACCTGCTATGTGCCACCATTGCCCTGGGGAAAAGGGATGCATGGCATGAAGATCAACATGTTAACCTCTAATTTCCTTCTAGCTCTGACACTGAGTTCATGAAAAGTGGGTGCAAATATCATGCAAATAAGCACATATCAACTGGAAACTGCACTTCCTTTTTCTAGCTTATCCCTCACAAATGGAGTAGCTTAGCTCTAGATTCCAGGAACAAGGTATGGAGACAGTAGGGGGGAGGGGCTGTGACCTTCACCCATGTACCCCTTTATCGTTCACAAAGCACATTCATTATTCCCATCGTGTCATAGGAATATTACCCTCATTTTACAGATGAGGAAACTGAGTCTCAGAGAGGAGAAATCACCCAGGTTATGCCACAGTTAGAGCAGAGGCCCTATTAGGATGTTGGTCCCTTTACTGGCCACCAACAGAAGTAGAATGGAAATGACCTGGTCTGAGAGCTGTTGGTAACTTTTGGCCTTATCTCCATTGAAAACAAATTTAACCAGGACCCCCCACCATCCCCAAGTCAGGTAATGCAAGTTTGCTTGCGGTGGTGGGGATTGCGTATTAGAAAAAACGGTTATGTACCTTAGAGTCCTAGTCCAGGCTTTTTTTGTGGTACACGCCAGGGGCTAAACTCTTTGAAAATAAAAGCTAATCTTTCTTAATGAAGTCTATACTCCGTGCCAGGCACCATGATCAGTCCTTCAGATCCTTACAACAGTCCTGCAACATAGAGATAACTGCCCCGGCCTAGATGATGGCCAAGTCATTTGCATTCTTGGGCCTCAGTTTTCCATCTGTAACATAAGGGAGTCTATAAGGACTGATTCCACTTCAGGATATTCTGGTACTAGAAAGATTTCAAAGTGTCGTTGGTGGAACCCAGCTGGTCGGTTGCTCAGGCCAGCCAGTCAGAGAATGTGGTTGCAGGGAGGAGTGAAAAGCAGGGGGCGGTAAAGGGAGGCCGAGGAGTGAGTCAGTCTGTCAAGATGGCCAGAGCCATTGTTTCCTTCTCCATCTGGCTGTTGCACAAGGCCTTCCTCCATGTCACATGGTTGGTGAGATTTGGGGGCAGACAGGAGGTGGAGGGGCTGACCCCATAACTAGGAAGACACCCCCACTATCTTGCACCGAGGTATGAGAACAGAAAGGAGAGGAATCAGTGGAGGGAAAACTCGCAGATGGGGGCCAAGTTGGAAAAGTCTGGAAAGAAGGTGACTCCAACCTGGAAGAAGGCTTCCTATGGTGATGGGGAGGCGGAATAGTTGAGTAGATGACTGGAGGCTAGAGAAGGGGGAGTTCCTGCTCAAGGTGGGGGCGTGGAACTTTCTAATTGCGACTGAGGGGGCGGGGAAACACAGCCATCATCCGCTCAGCCCCTCCCTCCCCGGGCTCCCCGCGGATTCGCTCAGTCCCGGGGCAAAACTACCCGAGGCGCCAGCACTCCGGCTCGCCAGCTCGCTCTTGGGCTGCTTAGCCGCCTGGCACCGCGCGGCGCCCGCGGACACATGGCCCAGGCGCGGGGCTGGGGTCCGGCGTTGCGGTTCCCGAAGCCACGGACGTGGACTCCGTGGGGTGTGGAGGGCACCCGGTGGTACGCGCCGCGCTGGGATCCAGGTGAACTGAGAGCCAGGCAGCCCCAGGCGGGGAGGTCAGGGCTGAGCTGCGCTTCGCGGAGAGCTTCCCGCACCGGCTCTTCGAAGCTCCCTGCTCCCTCTGCCTCCTTGTTTGGTTCCAGCCCGGTTTTCATCGTTGAGTCCTATGTCCATTTGTCTAAAACCTCACCCCTGGCCGGCAGTGCCCCCTTTTGAGGCTTTCCACCCCGCACGCCTTCTTTCTTCTAATTCTTAGGCAGCTCTTGCCCCGCCCTATGGGTGCCCCATCCTCTTATCCCAGCAGTCTATCCGGCTTCGTCCCCACCCACCTCTGTCTACATCCTCCGCTCAAAAAGAACACCACTTTGGTTACTAACACGTGGTAGGCGTTCAGTAAACAGTATGTCCCTTTACACCCATTCCTCCAGCACCTTCTTCGTCTCTGCCTTTGGTGTCTGCTTGTTCACCCTCCTGTCTTCCTGTCCCACTATATGTCTAAACCTCAACCTGTATTTTTTCCTTGTCATTGAGTTGTCCGTCTGTCCTTTCATCCTTTTATTTTTATTTATTTATTTATTTTTTGGTCTCCAGATCGTTAAGTGTTATCACCTACACAGTAGCTCCCTACATCCCCCTATCACTCCAAGGGCCTCTTACCTTCCCACTCTGTACCCCAGGTGCAGGACACAGCCCAGCAACCCTGGTAGCACCTTTATAATCAACTCGCATTGCCTGGGAGCTCCAAACCAAGGAATGGGTCTCTGAGGGATCTCCCAAAGTCTCTGGCATTTTGTCTTTTTAAAAATTGAAAAAAAAGTTTTGGGGTACTTATATTTCCAGGCTACTACTTCTGAGTAATTGTTATACTCACTCACTCTCTCTCGAGACTCGAACTTCTGAGCTCAAACAACCCTCCCTCCTCAGTCTCCAAAGTAGCTGGGATTATTGCACCCAGCTCTAATTCGCTCTTGATTCCACTTAAAGGGCAGGGAGGAAATAGCAAACTGGGTTGGGTTTCTCACCATAGATTTAACATGGAATTGAACACGCTGAAACACAGGATCCTTGGAGATTCTGAGAACAGACTCTCTGATTGTACTTATGGGGACACTGAGAGCCAGAGAGGGCAAGACTCTCAGCCAGGTCACACAGTTCCTCCGTGGTAGAAACAAAGTAGAAGCCAGAGTGACAGTTGCCTGGCCCTGACCCAGGAGCCTTGGGTGTTGGGGGCCAGGATCATTTCCTTGGGGGCCTGTCCATATAGAGTCATCAGGTCCCATCCACCCCGGAAGCCTGGCTGCCCCTCCCTCCCTGTCCTCTGGGAACTGACCTGGCTACCCACCTGCCTGGGATGGGCGTTCTCTGTCAGGGGCTGCCATTGCCTCCCCCACTGACATGGGAGCTCCAGGAAGGCAGGTACCCAGGCTGTGGGCCTGCCCGCCCCACTCTCTGACCCTGTCCCTTGCCCAGTGCCCGGCACAGACAAGGTCTGGGTAACCATGTTATGGGAATGGCTGATGCATGTGTGTGGGGAAGTTCCAGCCCTGGCTGAGGGCAAATCAGAACTCCTGCTTAGTAAGTGTGTATGTATGGAGGGGAAAGGGGGGAGCTGTGCTTGAGGAAAGGCCTGTTGAGAGGGTAGACGAGCTCCAAGGCCAAGTTGAGCCCAGAGCCCTTTGCTGAGTGGCCCTCAACCAACCAAACACATCCCATGCCCTCTCCGATGTCATCCTGGGGCCTCTGAGGGCTGCCCTTCAAGGTCAGGAGACAGGGGGGTGGTTGGCCAGGGACAGGCTCAGCCAGCCTGAATTGACATTGTCAAGCCCTAGAGACCCCTCTTCACAGGGCTGGGCTGGGCCAGGCTGGGGGCAGGGCGTATAAAAGCCACACACCACTCCACAAGCAGCCCTCCAGCTTCCAGGGCGCCACGTCTGGTGGCAGTGTGGGGTCAGGCCGTGGCAGCTGACGATGGAACCTGTGAATGGGAAGGAAGAGCCTCTCTTTCTGCTTCCCCGGCTCCTCCTCGCCTTCCCAGGTTTTTTCTTTGGGAGCTGCAGCCCTGGAGGGACACTGGAAAGGATCCCAGACAAGGAGGTAGGATCCTGAGGGCTGTTCAAGGACTCTGGATACCCATAGCCCCAAGGTGAGCTGGGAGCAACGCTGGGGGCAAAGACCAGGGCTCCAGGAGTGGGGCAGCTTAGCCTCAGCCCTCCCCTTCCCTGCCTTTCCCCCAGGCTCCCCACCCTTCCTTTTTCTCACTTTCCTCCCCTGGCCCCAGGTACCCCCCATCCTCAGAGGACCATCATGCCACCCCCACCCCCGTGCTCTGCAGAAGCCCTGTGCATGCTGGACTTGCAGATGCCCCACCCCCATGGGAACACACAGAGCAGCTCACAGAAGCAGAGCGTTCTGGAAGGAAGGGACCCTAGAACCAGGGCCCACCCCATTTTTTCCAGATGAGGAAAGTGGGCCTAGCCAGGGAGAAGCAAGCTCCAGGGCTGAGGACTGAGACTAAGCTGGGCAGAGGGGAGCACTCCTGTCCTCGCCTGTTGTGTGTGGGGTGTGGGGCTGTGTCAGAGGCAGGCTTGCCTTTGCTCATCTCCTCTCTGCATGTTGTGACCTTTGGAATCTGGAGGGCAGGAATGGGGTGGGGCACCGGGGTGGACATCCTGCTCTGGGCGTCTGTGCCACTACGGTCACCAAGTGCTCTGTCCACGGTGACCCCATCTATTTGTTAGGGCTGGGCAGGCAGACCTCCCCGAGGCGTTAGTGGGGTGCTCCATCTGCCTGCAGCAGAAAACCTCTGGGGACCCTTTGAGATGGGCCAGTAAGGTCAGTCCGGAGACCCATCCTGGGTGTCAAATGGTACCTGTGGCACTGTCATGGCCCGGGGGGTCTACTGAGTGGATGCTGGGGCCCAGCCTTCCATCAGGCTGGCACATTGACTGGTGTTGGTTGAGGAGAGATGACAGGTCCCCGCGTATCTGGGAAAGAGCCAGGGCTGGGTTATCCAGCTCCACCTGCCCAGTCCAAGTGCCTGGAGGCAGTCATGAGCCGCCCCACACCTGTATGTCTGAGCTTAGGGAGGGCAAGGGCAGAGAGGTTAGGTGACCCCTGAATCTCCCCTGGCCTGGGCCTGGCTGGGCCTGTGCTCCAGAGTCCCTCACTGCCAGCCCAGGGCTCTGAGCTCAGCACAGAGCTCCTCCTTCCAGGGTGCTCTGGGGTGAGGCTGGAGGCAACCGTGATAGTCCCCTAGGCTGTGGGCTGAGAGGGGGTGCTCCTTCCAGGATGTAGCTTTCTGTCCTCTGTCCACACTTGGCAATGTATAGACAGTGAGGTGTTTGTGTGGCCCTCACCTTTTCAAACCCCTCCCCACCACTGTATTCCCTCTGTCCACATCTGCCTCTGCTTGGGCTGTCTTCTTAGTGCAAATCTCCCTCCTATGGCCATGGCTCCTCAGGAAGTTTTGTTTTGTTTTGTTTTGTTTTGTTTTGTTTGTTTGTTTGTTTTAATGAACCATGACTATCCTCTGTTTTGGGACCTGATCAATAGCCCCCTTTCATGAGGCTGGGCGGGGGCCCCAAGCCACCAGGGAGCAGGCTTCGTTGAGGCATGCGGGAATGTGCGTACAAGTGTCAGAGCCTGTGTGTGAGGCCACCGGTACTCATGTACTTGGTGGGGCTGGTCTGAGTGTAATTCATTTTCCCCTCACTGCTCCTACCCCTTTTCTAAAAACTTCCCAGCTGAATTCCCTGAAGTGATTTGCTGCGGTTTCTTTAGCTCCTATGGAAAAGAGTAGTAGAAGAGTCTATCTGGTTCCTTTTGGATATTAACCTAGCCATTCCAGAGTGGGGGCATGGGTCTGCCAGCAGCAGCTCGAGCAACTCCCATTCCCAGGCAGGCAGGGCGGGGGGACTGTTGGGAGTCCTCAGGTAGGCCCTTATTGGGACCCAAGGGTCTCAGAGTGAGGCTCAGGGGAATGGTATATGGAACTGCTCTTTGCCACAGCGTAGGAGAAAAGGGCTGATAGGTCCCCCAAAGGTTAGCTCTATAGCACCTTCAGTGTCATCCTGCCACCTGCCACAGTCCTTTACAGTATACTTTCACATTTATTGTCTCTACTCTACCCAGTGGGTATTATACTCTAGTCTTGTTATTTATAGGTGAAAAAACTGATGGCTGGGGTGGCACAATGACTTGTCCTGGGTGGCATAACAAGAAAGTGGTAGAACTGGGGCCAGCATTTAGCTCTACTAATTCCTAATCCAGGGCTCATTCTACTATTGCTCAGTGCTTCTCACCATATCTGACGCTTATAAGCACTTACTATGTGCCAGCCATCACTCTTAAGTGTTTACTTAGCCTAGTGGATCTGCTCTGCAGCCATTGAAGGTCAGGGTTGTGATGATCATCTACACTTTCCAGATGAGGAAACTGAGGCAGAGTCACACAGCTAGTAAGTAGCAGAGGCCATTTGTACCCAGGCCATCTTGCTCCAGTGTTCATTATACTCCCTCTTGTGGGGCTTACGTGGTCTGTGGGCATGGTAGAATGAGGAAAGCCCCATGCCTCGGGCACAGAAACACACACACACACGCACACACACACACGCACAAACATACACACAGAGACTTTTTCTTTTGCCAGGCCTTGGCCTGCTTCAAGCACTCTACATTCCCCTGCCTGATGACTGAGCTGGCATCCAAGGTAGCAACAGCAATGGTACTATAGGACACACAGGCAAGAGTGAGGGCTTGAGGAAAAGGGGAAGTCAAGAACCTAAAGCCTCCAGTTACCTCCACAGCCACTCAGGCTGCAACCTAGAAATGGGCCTGTGAAAAGATACTCTTTCTCATCCATTCCAGGCACTATTAATCCATGCAAGACTCAGGGGCAGGGAGCAGGGGTTGGCAGGGGTATTGAAGGGGATGAGCTATCTTTGCCCTGCTGAACAGGCTGAGCTCTCCTGGCCAGAATAAAAGAGGGAGATCAAAAAAGACCAAAAGAAATAGCCCTGATATCGCTTGGGCCATTTCAAAATGTCACAATGTGCATGGCAAATATCATGATTGTAGCTTACCCTGACAATTGTGTTCACTGTCATTCGACAAGCATTTTTATTGAACATCTACTCTATGCCAGGCACTGCGAAGTTCTCCTTCTAAGTATTTATAGCAGTGCCCCATTTTTTGGTAGTTTTCATACTATACCCTCCTCCTTTTTTGTTTCCTGGTTTGATGGCTTTTAAAAAAATACAGCTGGTGTCTCAGAACCCATGATATCTGATTCAGTTAAATGTATCTACTAAAAGATAAGTTGACTTTGCTCATTAGTCATATGATTGTCATTTATTTTTGGTTGTGCTTTGAATATCTTTCAACATTTGTTCATTCATTAACAAACAATAGTGAGGAAAGTACTGTAAGCACTGTGCTTGGTTTCCTGGAGTGGATGGAATTGGCTTTGACAAGGTTTCTTGCCCTTAGGGAAATGATAAAATCATTGCAGGACCCCACTTTTTGTCCTTTTTAGCACTGTGCACAGGCAAGATGCCTTTGGCTTCAACTCAGAGCCTTAAGGATGCTTACAATTGTTAAAGCCCAGCCTCAGGAAGGAGGTCATATCCCTTCCCACCCACCAGAAGGATTTTGCTTCTGGGAGTAACTTCTGGTGTGCAGGCCTCATCCATAGACCCACAGGGACTTGGCGCACCTTGAACAAATTGCTAGAGGATACGAGGGGCAGTCCTGCCATCAAGAGGAAAAGAGGGATACATGGGACACACAGTGGTGGTAGTGTCACTTTATCATTGCTCCTCTGACTCTCATCAGGGCCAGCAGGGAAGGAATGTGGGAGAATTTCAGTTTGGCCTAGTGAACTGAAAGCTAGACAGGAGAGGGGCACTTGGGGCTGGGTTAGGTCTGGCTCTGTCTTTCCCTGGGTGACCTTGATAAAGTTGCTGCCCTCAGAGACAGATATTTTTGCTCTCATCTGTATCAGATACTCTAACAAGCAAGTTAGATGGATGCAGTTCCTGCCTTCTAGGAATGGTGTGGAGAAAATAACCAGTGTACAGGTATTGACCCTGCCATGGATTTGCTGAGTAAATCATTTGAGGCCAGGAGTGTGAGACCAGCCTGGGCAACATAGCAAGACTTCAGCTCTACAAAAAATGTAAAAATTAGCTGAGCATGGTGGCACACACCTGTTATCCTAGCTACTCAGGAAGTTGAGGCAGGAGATTTTCTTGACCACAGGAGTTCCAGGCTGGGTAGCTTTAAGTGAGTCATGCTTAAAGTCTGCTCAGTTTCTGTCTTTGTAAATGTGAGGGATAGCAGTTGAACTGCATGAGGTCCTGGATACTCTCAGACCTGACTAATAGGAGTCCTCAATTCAACAATGAAATCAAGGTTGTGAACTTGTGTTGGACCCTTGTGATGAAAGGCCAGAGAGAAATCAAAGCCGAAGGCTCTTGTTTCTTACTGAATTTGAATGGACTTTCTGGTGGTGCTTACTATCAGAACTCCTGGAAGCCCTCCCCTGCCACGATTAATGTTCGTGCCCCAAATTTTCCATGCATTTCTCTGCGGAGGTAGAGTTCAGACTTGGGGTAGGGGACAGAAGCCTGGGGTATTGGGGAAGTTGCAGAGCCACTGGGGCCTGAGCAACGTAGGGATGGCAGCTTCCTGCTCAAATTCCTAATTATCTGGTTTTCCCCTACCAATTGGAGATTTCACTGAAGTTGTGTCTTCTGGACATCCCATAAATTATCCGAGCAAGTCACTGAACCCTCCCGGGCACATAGCATATGTGTTTAAATCCCCCAAACAGTGCCGGACTCATTCAGAACTCAATAAATATTAGCCTGTGTGCCTGGCCAAGTCACTGCTTGAGCCTCAGTCTTTGGGCTTGCACCTCCTCCCTGGCAGCGGTGTGACCGGAGGGAAAGGCAGCGGCGAGGGCCTTGGAGGACCTGCAGGCAGTGCCCCGCCCACCCAGATTTGGGTGACTTTCTGGCGAGTCCGGTGGGCCAGACTGCGCCCCCATTGGCCGAGGGGAGGTGGGCGGGGCGTCCCTACAGCCCTACTCGCCGACGCTCCCTCCCCACTTGAGCTGAGTGGACTCGGGTTGACAACGGCTAAGCAGCCGCGGCAGCTGCTCTTCTGGCTGGCACCGTCACCCCTGCCCGACCCCAGGCCCCGCGTGTGTCCCGGACGGAGCAGTCCCTCCTGGGCTCGCCTCCTGCCCGCTCGCTCTGTGTCAGCGCCCGAACCCAAAGGGGTGGACGCGGCCTCCAGGTAGGAGTCTGGGCGACGGCAGGGGGAGATCCAGACAAACGGGGGCGCCTGGGGCTCCCTCTCCCCGCTTTGCCTCTCTGGCGCGCTCCGGCTCGGCCCTTCTCCTAGCGGTTCCGCCGGGCGGCGTACGCAAGAGACAGGGAGGAAGCGAGCCGAGCCACCCCCGCCCCTGGGATTGGGGGGTCAGAATCGCCGAAATTGGGGGACCCCCGAGCGCGCCAGCCGCGCGTCTTCCAGCGAAGCCTCGCGAGTGGGGCGGTGGAAGGCAGCTGTCCGCCTGTTACCGCCGGGCCCGTGGGTCTCGCAGCCGTCGCTCTGGGGCTTTGGAGGGGCGTTGCAGCTGGCCGGGGGCGGCAGAGCTTCAGGCTCTGTTGCCGGGTCGCGCCAGATCTCCTGCCCTCTCCTTTCTCTGCTTTCGAGGGCATTTCCAGGAAGCCCCCGTCCGGCTGTATGGGTTTTCCCGTCGGCCACTGCCTCATTGCTTTCTCTCCTGAGAAATGCCCAGGACTTCTTGGTATTAAGATAGCTGCGGGGACCAAGCGAAAACGTTTGGACACGTCTCATCTTCATAGGCCTCATTTTCCCATAAAGTCCAAAATGGGTTTGGATTAGAGGAAAGGCTTTTAGTGGAAGTTTTTGGAATTTCCAAATTAGGTAGTGTGGGGTTCTCTCCACGTTCCTCCTGACACTTGTGAAAGTTGCGCGCTGAATTACGACTCAGGAAACTGGGGTTCAGCCAGTCCATGTGACCTTAGGCGAGTCATACTACTGTGTGGGCCATAGTGTTTTCAGCCACACCTCAGGTGGCAGCTTGATTTCAGTATCTAAAGGGCCCGGTCTCTTTCACCCTGACATTTGTTTACTTGGTACCTGGGGTCAGGCTCCTAACTGGCAGGTAAAAGGTTGTCTCTGAGACGCTCGGGGTGGCAGCAGCTATGCACACGGAGAGCTTTGTGGTGATTATGCAGCTAAGCCAGCTGGAAAACTAGAGTGTGCGTGGAGGGGTGGGCGACAGCAGCCAGACCAAGGTAGGGAGAGGTGGGAGTTTTCTTCCAGAGCCTGGGGCCCCAGAGGTTGGGGGCCTCAGAGATTGGGCTGGCTTGGAGCCTATGCTTACCCCCAAGTCCCAGGGCCTGGCTTCTCTCCCAGTCAGAGCCTAAGCGGGGAGGAGGGGTTAATGAATCACACCCAGGGCTATTTTCAAACCCTGACTCCTCCTGTGCGACCTGCTCCCTCCCCACTCTAGGGTTTGCCGCCCCCCCGCCCCCCACACCTGTATTATTGCCCTCTGAGTTTTCCTCTCATTTTCATCCTCCTGGAATGAAAGGGGGACAAATCTTGTCTGCGGATGCGATGGGAAGGTGGGCAGCCCAAAGGCATGGAGAAGAAGGCTGCAGGTGATTTCTGGGTGGCTTTCGCAGTGGGAAGAGTGTGATGGGAAGGGTGGTGTTTTGCTGTAAGGGCATAGGGGTCGGTAGTGAAACTCTTTCACTCTAAAGGTACAGCTGCCATCTAGCTGGACATTCTGGGCTGGTTTTCATTTTAGGGACGTGGCCTTTTGTTAATGTGTTGGACTTTGGATTTTGGATTTCTGCTCCCTAGACCTCTATATTTAGTGCTAGGAAACACCACACTGGACACTGCCTCTCCTGTTTTTGGAGAATTATGCTAAACCTCTCTGTGCATCTACAGCTCCCCTCCCCCACCTAGAGAGGAGAAGCTGCCTACAGATGATATCTGGAGGTGTTTAGAGCAAGAAGGGCTGAACTGAAGGTGTGCAAAGCAAAGGGGCTGTGTGCGCTGTGTGCTTGCTTGAGACAGGGCTTGCAGTGAGTCATGTGGGGAGGATGGCAGAGCCTTCCTTATTCAAACACAATACCTCCTGAGTTCCAGCAGAGAAGCAAAGAAAGTGGCACCAAGAAGACTCGAATGTTGTCCCTCTCTGTCCTCTTAAAGTTTTAAAATTCCATTATTGGGACTACAGATTGGAGAGGGAGCAGAAGACCCCTGTGTCTAGGTTTAGAGGATAGCAACAGGGACACAAAGGCAAGAAGGTCCCAAAGGAAGGAGGGGATGGAGTCTCCAATTGGGAAGCTGTCACAGCTGCAGCTGCTTTGCTGCTAGGAGACTCCTGGAGCTCCTTATTTGAGCCATGGAAAGTTCAGGTTCAACAGATGGCAGGTTTATCACGTGCAGGCTGTGCCCTCACCTCTTTTCTGGCTAGAAGAAAGGGTTGCCTCTGCCTTGAAAAGAAGAGAAGGACCTTTTGCCTTAGGCTCCCAGTTTGGTTAGGATCAGGTGTCATGGCCCTGGGCCTTGGGAAAGCTGTTCAGCAGATAAAATAGGGACAGCAGATTTCAAAGATACAAGGGCTTTAGGGTGGGAAGTGTGAGCTCCCGGAGATCTAGGTGAGTTTTACATTCTTCCCCACCCCACAACAGGGTAGTTGGGCACTGGGTTGGGCACACAGTTGCTGGTGTCAGGTGTTTATTAAGGGGTCTTGGTTTGTGTGTGCGCACGTGTGCATGGGCATGCATTCGGGAAGGGTCCTGGTAGATAGGAATCAGTGGACTGGAGGCCACAGCCTGGGCCCTTGTCACAAGTCTGAAGTGCTGTGTTTGTGGGTGGAGTTTCCTTTTCCCCAGCCCTGCAGGTTGGTAACTTGCATGCTAAACAGTTGCTGTTCCTGTTTACCTCGACCACACACAGGAATTTTAGAACTGAATGTTAAGTTCCCTAGGAGTTCAGGGTGGTGTGGAGCAAAGAACAGGGGATTGGGAGTTGAACATGGGGAGCTTTAACTCCAGGCTCTGCCGCCCCCCTCAAATTCTCCGACTCTGGGTTTCTCCTCATTTTTTCCACTTCACTGGATTAAACTAGGGGATCCATAGCTAAGTGCTTTGTAAACTACCATGTGCTGTATAAATTATTAGTCATTAAGTTTAGGCTTGGTGCTAGGTCTTGTGGAGGACACAGAGTAAAAACCCCCAGTTCCAGGGAATGTACCATCTAGTTTGGGGGTTAGTGGCATAAATAATACATGCCACTAATTATTTATGTATTAAATAATAATACCTTGGTGAGGACTTCAAAAAAATTATTGTGAATAATTTCAAACATATATAAAAATAGAGATAATTAGTGTACTAAGACCCCATGTACCCATCACCCAGTTTCAACAGCCATTTGCCCATGGCCAATCCTGCCCTGTCCATACTCTTATCTACATCATGCCCTTGTTATTTTGAAACAAATCCCAGAAACCTTATCAGTTCATCTATACATATTTCAATACGTATTTCTAAAAGATAAGGATTCATAAAAACAACCATTATCACACCTAAAATAGTTTCTTAATATTATCAAATAACCGGTAAGTGTTCATATTTCCAATTGTTGAGAAGGACTTATTTGCCCTGGACGTCCATTCTGCCCTGGGAAATCCATTCCAGGGAGTGATTGCTTTTGACTGAGGGGAAGGTGACGGACAGAGGCAGTGGCATTTGAGCTGAACCTTGGAAGAGAGGCCCAGGAAAGGTCCCAGCCCAGATGTTAGCCGCCTCTAGGGCTCCAGATCTGGAGGCTGACCCATGGAGGCTTCTTGCGGAGACTTCCTGCCTTTGTTTCTCTAGCAGTAAATGACAGTTCTCACTCTCACACTTGCTTCCCCAGTCCAGGGCACCCAGGAGTTTGGGGTACGCAGGTCTGGGAGAATTCTGGGAGGCTGCTCTCCACCTAGGCCCCTCCCCTGCGCCTGGCCCCTGAGGCCAGTTCAGAGCAAAACAGGATGCATTCAGGATGAACGTCTTTCCCAGCTTGTCATCTAATCACCAAGGCCCAGCTTGGAGCTTCCTCTCTCATTCATGATAAAAACCCTCACTGTCTCTCTTTTCCCTTCCGCCCCAGTAAGGGTGTGCTGACTTCCTCCATATCCGGGCCAGCCCTCTACCCCCATGTGGGGCTGAGGGAGAGATTCCCTCAGTGCAGGCCTCTGCCCCCACCCACCTCACCACAGCCTGTCAGAGAGGGAGAGAAAGACCCCAGGAATGTTCTCCCTGACTGCAGGCTCCTGCTCTTGGGCTGTCTTTGGGAAAAGAGCAGCCTCCTTCCAACAAGCCTGGGGTCCTGCCACTGCTTGGTTAATCATTGAGCCACATAATAACCACCTTGGAAAGTCATCTCTAGGGGATGGTCATTAACTAACTCCCTGTCCACCTCAGGCCTTAAAGAGACCATATCCTGAACCCTCACCTTCCCCCAAGGGAACATTGACAAACATTCACTCACGGGAACTTCTGGGGCCAGTGAAAAGTCTGCCCCTCCATCCTTTACTTGGCAAACGGAAGCAGTTATTCACACCATTTGAAGGACATGGGTTCAGCTTGGATGGTATTGAGAAGGGGAGCGGAGTGAATTGATGGGGATTTGGATGGGCAGTGGGGTCCAGCATCAGAGTTAAAAAGGGGTAGGGGGGTGTTTCTAGGAGTAGTTGATCGCCTCATCTCAATTTGAAAGTCTAAAAGAGCAAGAAATGCCCACCCAAAGGGTCTGCCGATGCTGGGTATGGGGTGAGGCTGTGTGAATGTGTGTCTGTTTTCAGTACAGCTGTGGGTCCCTCCACACCAGGCTGCAGTGGAAATGGGGACAGCCAACCACATGATTGCTGCTGAGAGGCTGAGGACCTCTGTAAGTGGAGGAGGATGCCTTCCTCCGGGAGCCTGTATCTGGACAAGCAGTGGCACTTGGTAAGGGTCGGGCCAGGACCCAGACCCAGACCCAGACCCAGACCCAGACCCAGACCCAGACCCAATTTAGAAAGCTCCAGACCATATGCAGTTTCCTGCAGTTTCAGTAGGAAGAGAAGGAACCACCCCGTGGGCCTACTACAGAGTTGGGAAACGGCTTCTGGTTCTGCCCCCTCTATAGCTTTCTCTCGGTGAGTGATTTTTGCTTTCTCTGGGCCTCAATTTCCACAACTATAAAGTGGGTAGGGCAGTTGGCAGGCAGACTCAGTGGTCTGTGAGCCTTCCTTTCAGCTATGCAAGTATGCCTCCCCACTCAAGACCCTTTTCTTATCTACCAGGCAATGGTGAGCTGGCTTCAAATTCAATCAGGCCCAGACACTGAATGTTCTCAGCTGGCTGGGTCAGTTGGAGCTGGCCAAGCCCTGAATTGCCACAGCTTGGGTTCTCCTTGTGCTTGGGCATTTCTGCAGTTTGCTCTCTGGCCCCTCCCCAAGCCTGTGTCTGTCCCTAGTGGCCAGCCACTCTCTGACCCATTCAGCCACAAGTTAATGAGTGAACTGCTCCCCCTGGGTCGTACCAGCCCAAGGTGCTCCTGGGATCCTAGGTCCCTGTGGGAAGCAGCCAAGGGCCTAGCCAGCTCCAGTCACCTTTATGCTCTCTCCCACAACCCCTCTAGAGGTAGGTATGCAGGCAGAGCTCAGGGCAGAAGGACCTTTAGAGGGCACTAGGTCCAACTTTCCTTCTGAAGCTTGGGGCTTCCCGACAGGTACTTGTGCAGTTCCTGCTCACTCATGTTCAATACCTGGGAATGTGATATGTTTCAAGCAAGTTGCTTTCGTCTTTGGAATGTGTGAAAGTTTTCTCTTATGTTGAACTTAACTGTGCCTCCCTGAGGCTTCTAACCCTGGGTTCCGAGTGTGCCCTCTGGGACCACCTGGACCCTGTCTGCTCTCTCTGACCTTCAGGGATCTGAGGATGGAACCCAAGTGCACCTGTGTCTTCTCTAGGCCAAACAACCTTCAAGCGTCTGCGCTCCTTCTCAGACCTGGAGCAGCCCCCTTCCCAGCCTCATCACTGTCCTCTGTCCTCCCTACATGCTACTGTTTATGGCCCCCTTAACATGTGGGGGCAGGAAATGGGGCACTGGAAACCCCTCACTCCCCTTAGTTTATTTATAGTCTGAACTTGTTCAGATGACTTTTCCATAATCCTTTTCTGGTTACCACAACAGGTAGACTCCTAACCCCCAGAATCTTGGGTGCAAATACCTTAGACAACACTGATTTGTTTATGGTTCAGGTCCAGCCAGCTCTCACGATTGGAGAGCCCTTGGAAGGTAGGGCCTTCTTATTGGTGCCCCCATAGTGGAGGACAAGCCTGGTGTTAGTAGGTGTTCCCCTTGTTGAGTTAAATACAATGTAATATGTGGGGGGCTTCCAGCGTACCCTGCTTTCCTGCCACTCGGTTTTATCTTTGGAGTTGGTCAGGGGTGGGTGGAGGGAAGGGGATATTTTAGGGAGTACTGAAGCCGGAAATGAGTATGAGCCATGCCCACAGTGGGGCCTAGAAGAGTGAATCAGACAGTGAGAAATACCAACGTAGCCATTCCTTCCCCTGGCAGTTGATGATGATGACTATGAGTCCTCCCATTTCTTCAGTTGCCAAGGCACTTTCACTTCCATGATTCCATTGTGTTCTTAGAGCAGCCCTGTAAAGTAGATGGTATGATTTCCCCAGAATGATCTGTGGTGGTCTCCACCTGAGGCCCAGGGAAGGGAAGAACAGTCTCCAGTGAGGGAGGATTTGGAGCCCAGGTCTCCTGACCCTCAGCCCTCCCTGTTTTCCCCAAACCACACCCAGCAGCCATGGCAGCCGGGGCTGACTCGGCAGCTTCCCCACCACAGAGGAACCCCTGCCCTGGCTGCAACTCTGTTCCTGTGAGAGAGTGAGCTCCAAGGGACGTGGCCTAGGATTTCCTGTCCTTTATCTGGGCTGGCCAAAGGCTGGCCTGTCTGAGGTGTGAGATAGGCACCTGCAGCCAGCCTTTCTGCTCCAGGCTGAGGTCAAGTCAGGCTGTGGCAGAGGCAGTGAGCTTGTGGGAAGAGCTTGTCCCCAAACATCTGTCCTGAGCAGTGCCCACACCAGCAGGGCCTTCTAAATGGGAAAAACAGAGAGGGGAATGTGGAAAAGGGGTCAGAGTGGAGCAGAAGTAAAATACGTCCTGAGCTGTACACAAGCTCTCATGTTCACAGTGCTGGGAGACTTTGGGCAAATTACTTAACTTCTCTGAGCCTTCATTTTGTCAGCTCTAAAATGGAGATATGTACCCACCTCATGGAGTTGTTGAATATTAAATCCAACAATATAAATAAAATTATTGCCATTATTGTTGCTTGGTAGTACCTTCTGCAGTCCTGTCATTTGGTTGTTTTTCACTGACCTGGGGGTGGGCAGTTCTCAAACCTGCCACCTCGTGGGCATTCGGTCTGGACTTTGCAGTCATTTCAGAGTCCACCTTACCCAGAAAAGCTCCCTTTGGCCATGCCCACCCACAGGGCTCCCTTCCTCTGGCCTTCTTTAGTGGCATTCGCGACACTCAACAGGCTATAGTAGTGATGGTGACACCAATAATAATAGTGAACTCTTCTAAATTCTTGGCAAATTTTAACTTCTTTAGCATTCATGGCAATTCCATAAGGTAGGTACTGCTATCTTTGTCTCTCTTTTATTTAATAAACTTGCCCAAGGTCACATATCCGGGGAGTGATGGAGCTGGGATCAGGACCCAGGTGGTCTGACTCCACCTCCTGACATCTTTAATGACTGGGCCATGCCTCTCTCCAGATGCCTGGCCAGGAGGCAAGAGCTGAGGTTCGGGTCTCCTTCCCCACCTGAGTGCTCATCACACGCACCAGTGATCAGTCACTTCTGGACAGGCAGTCCCCAGGTCCTTGCCTGTCTGCTCTGTGCACTTCTTCTCACCCTCCATCACCAAGGTGGACAGATGGATAGAGGGAAGACATGGAGGAGTGGGTATTCATGCTCTAAAACAGAGCTGCATTGGGGTGGGGAGGGAGTGCAGGAGGGAGTTGGGCAGTGGGGGTGGCAGTGTGGGCAGTGGGGGTGGCAGTGTGGTTCTGACATCAGCACCAGGCCTGCCTGATTAGCACCTTCTAGTACTGGGGGTGGAGAACAGGGTGCTGGGTGGCATCAGGGAGGAAGAGACATTTGAATATGCTCTCTTGACAACCAGGTTGCATTATTTAGAAGGCATGGGTGGTTAGGGGCTGGCAGGAGGCTGGCTGGATTAGCTCTTATGATCACTAGCTGGCGTGTCCCATGCTAGAATTGGGTGGGAGGAGGTTGTCCAGAAGCTGTAGCCCTCCCCGAAGTGCTTCCATCTCAGGGTCTTGGGGGCTGCAAGCTTCCTTCCCTCAGGCTGTACTAGCTGCCAGCTCCATTGCTTCAGGGCTTATTCCCCTTTATCTTGCCTCCGAAGCAAGCTCCAGGGAGTGCTACGAAGGCCAGTCCATGGTAGCCTGTCTCCCTGAGAAGGATGGGCCTGGCAGCAGCTCTGGCCGAGTGCTGCAGGAGAATTCAGTTTTTGTTCTGTTTTCAGACCTTAGTACCCAGCATAGGGCTTGGCACCAAGTAGGTGCTTGGGTATTATTAGTTGAATAAATTCACAGTCCATGGGGAGTGGATTCTAAAGGGAGAGCCGAGGGAGGCTGAAATGGGAACAGGTCAACAGGAGGGCTGTGGTTATTTAGGTAGGCTTCTGGCCCAATCTGTAGTCCAACAGAAGCTACATGACCTATTGCAGCCTCAGTTTTCCCATTTGTACCATAGGCATTACCTGCTTTGGAGGAGTTCTTGTGGGGACCAAGTGACATACAGGATGATCAAGTGCTTTCCTGGCTGATAGGAAGTTAAATTCAGGCTAACCACTCTTACTACAAAAACCCTGGTAGATGATTTTGTGTCTGCTGTGTGCCAGGCCCCAGCCTAGACAATTTCTTTTCTTTAATGAGGAAGATTCTAACTTGGTAGCTCTGACTCTAGAGCCAAACTGCCTGGATTTGCATCTTGGCTCACCTCTTCTTAGCTGCTGACCTTGGGCAAGTTACTCCATATCTCTGGGCCTCAGTTTCCTCCTCTGTAAAATAGAGATATTATTGGAGCACTTAGCTCACAGGTTTGTTGTGAAGATTCAATGACATAATACACATTAAAAAAAAAAACTTAAAGAAATGTCTGGGATATAATAATGGCTCAGTACAAAGTCCATGGCTCAGGGCACATAGTAAGTACTGTATAACTATTAGTGTCTGCTATATTTTATTAATAATTACATTCAGTATCTTAAATATTGCTGTCATTAATGAGTAAGAAGTATAGAGCCAGGACCAGGGGCGGTGGTGGCTCACACCAGCAATTTGGAAGGCTGAGGCAGAAGGATTGCCTGAGCCAAGGAGTTTGAGACCAGCCTGGGCAATATAGGGAGACACCTATCTCTACAAAATATAAAAAATACAAAAATTAGCTGGACATGGTGGTGCACGCCTGTAGTCCCAGCTACTCTGGAGGCTGAGGTGGGAGGATTGCTTGAGCCCGGGAGGTCGAGGCTGCAGTGAGCTGTGATTGTGCTACTACACTCCAGCCCTGGTGACAGAGTGAGGCCTCATTTTAAAAAAAGAAAAGGAAGAGGTACAGAGAGGTGACAAATAGGCTACGTCTTCAGGTGGCTAGCCTGTTAACTCTTCCCACTGTACCCTGTAACTTCTACGCCCATAGGCCCTACAGAGCTGTAAGACCACCATTTGGGGTTCTCCTTCCCTTGGCCCTACCATGGCCTGAGCATGCACGTCATCACCCTTGCCCCCAGAGCCCTAGGCTCCGCCCCTTGCTATGTGCTCAGCATCACAGCCCTCCCTCTGGCTCTCCTTGGGGCTGGGGGAGGGGTCGTGTCTGCTCCCTTCCCGGGGAGGCCACTTCTCTCAGGCCCATTTCCTTTCTATCAGAGATAATTTTCTCTGGATCTCAGGGTGGGGCCAGGCTCCTTCAAGGCATTTCCTGCCCAGGAGTTTATATTTGGCCTGAGCAAAAGGAAAGGGAAGTAGGCAAGGGGGTGGGATGCAGACGTGGTGGCACAGGGTCAAAACAGACAAGTGCCAAGACTTTCCAGACCAAGAGAGGGAGGCAGGAGGTAGGCATGCCCCTTCTCTCAAGTGAACGTGGGTGCCCTCCCCTGAGCTTGGCAGAGTGAAGTGCTCCTTCAGGTCATAATGCCTCCACCATCAAGCAGAGTTCATTTTCTGTTCGCACATCTCTGAGCCTTGGTTCCTGGCTATGTGGTTTCTGTCCTAGGGCAAGGCTTTGAGGTGAAGACATGTGCTCAATTCCATTTCTAGTGCTGTGGTGATACCAGACAAGGGAGCAGAGTCAGAGGCCTCTATACTGTGTAGTGGGAAGTAGGGCTTCCTGTCTGTGTGTTGCCAGAACATTCGGTAGCCCTTAACACACTGCAGCGGCAACACAAAGACCAAAAGTACCCAGTGCAGAGAAGCCCCCAGTTGAATGGGGGATAGACTCACATGCTGCTGAGATGATCATGGAAATGTGTTAGGGGACTGCTTCATTGAACTGAGCCACTGGGTGTTAGGGGGTTGGTGAGAGGTCAGGGGAGGCTTCGCGGGAGTGGGTGTTTGACCTCCAGCTTGATGAAGAAATAGCAGTTTGAAGCTTCAAATCAGGCCATGTCTAGATTGTGCAGAGCCTTGAATGCCAGGGAGCAGTCAAGACTATCTGCCCCAGGCTGTGGGAGCTCTTTAGGTTGTAGAGTAGGGGAGCGGCCAGGTTAGAGCTGGGCTCTTGGAAGAAGCAGCTGGCAGGATGGCCCCTTGAAAGGAGAGGCTGGAGGCTGGGAACTTGGAGGGCTGAAGTAATCCAGGCAGGAGAACCTAGAGCACAGTTGGGCAGGAAAAAACCCAACCATTTGATGGAAAAGTTGGTAGAATTTGGTGCCTAAATACATGTGGCCAGAAGAGAGCAAGGATGACTTGAGGTTTAAGCCTAGGCAGTGGGCGTATTGGGAGGCAGGAACATATAGAGAGCTGGTTTGTGGGGAAAGATGGGTTTGGTTTGCGTTGCCACTGAGGTTCCTCGCTTGGGTCCTCAGAAGAGAATGTGAAGGAAGGAAGCTCCCCGCACTGAGACAGCCACTACGCATCACACACACCTCTGCTGCAGCTCTAGATTTTGGGGAACGGCCATTAGGAGATGTGGAAACTGAGGTTCAGACAGAGGTAATGGCTTGCCTGAGGTTATGCAAGTTGCTCATGGAGCTAAGGCCAGAAGGTAGTTCACCTGACCGTTAGTCCAATACTTTCCACTCAAACCACAGTGGAGAGCAGTCACCGCTGGCCTAATATCTGCCCCAGACTGGTTTGGCTGGCATCATTTATCTCTAGGCCAGGGACTGGAGATGGTGGAGTAGCACATGGCTCATTAAAACAACTCTCTCTTTCCTAGGCACCATGACCTTGTCAGAGCACCTGGGACTGGGTTGGGGGCAGGAGCCCCTTGGGGGCAAGAAAACTAATGGAGCAACTGCAGCAGAGCAGGTGGCAGCTTTGACCTTCCTTGTCATAGGGAAACCCAGTGCCAGGCAGGAATGTTAGCTGTCTACTTTGGTCCTGCCATACCAAGCTCAAGCCCAGGAGCCCACAGGCTGGGCTGCCTCTGGACCCAAATTCTCCAGCAGCCTCAGTGGGCCTGAGGTCTGGTTTAACCTCAGGGTGCTCGTGACTCTCCCTCATTTACAGCTGCACACAGGAGCTCAGGCCACTGCTTCACGGAGAGGAGCGGGGAACCACAGTTGGGGGTTTCTTGTGTAACTTCCATTTTTAAATAAAATGCCAAACCAGAATTGCCACCTCTTCCTGGCCGATCCTGCAAGGTGTCCACGGTGTGCAAAGGCTAGGGACCACCACTGAATGTTGCACCCATTCTTCACTTCAGCCCCCAGGACATCCTGGGGGGAGGGTGGGCTGCCCAGAGGGGCCGGAGGCCCCAGATAAGGCAGAGGCCAACCCTCAGGATCTCGTGCTTCAGATCTGGAGTCAACCTTCCTTTGTCTGGGGCTGTCTGGTGTGGTGTATGATGTTTAGCAACATCCCTGGCCTCTACTGAGTAGATGCTAGCAGCATTTACTCCTTGACCCCCACCAATTGAGATGACCAAAAACGTCTCCAGACATTGCCAAATGTCCCCTGGGGGAAAAATTGTCCCTGGTTGAGAATCCCTGTGGTAGAGACTAGAAGTTTTTTCTGGGGTGTGCAGTGTTGAGAGAGGGATGTTATACAGAAGGTAGAACCACACACCTGAACCTACCACTGGCCAGCTAAAAGATTCAGTGGCTTGTTTTTCCTGCCACCCTGTCCTAGGGGCCCCTCCTGGGCTGTTTGCTTTGGTGGTGCCTCATTTGTGACAGGGAGGCTCCAGAAGTGTTGCTCGCATGGGCCTGGAACTTGGCATCCAGCTGTAGCCCCGGCCAAGACCGAGGCTGGCATCTGAACAGGTGCAGCAGGGCCCTGAGTTCTGCCCGGTGACCTAACAAGCCAGAGGCCAGCCAGGGTCCAGCACTGCCAACCTAGGCTGGGTGAAATACAGAGGCCCTTCCTGCGGTGCCCCTCCTGTGAGGTTTGGAATGTAGGATGAGAGCTATTTTGGTCCTGTCTCCTTTCCTCCCTGTGCCTCCCTCTGTAAGAATCAAGTTAGAGTTGTGATTCCAGTGAAGAGCAGCAGGAGCAGAGAGAGGCACCAGTGAACTGGACCGCCCCATAGATAGGGCACTGCAGACCCCCTTGCATGTCTGCTTCAAGGTCAGGAGGGAAAGTCTTGGTGGCCCTGTAATCCCTGACAGCTCTTAGTACAGGTCCTCATGAAGGTCCCTTTCCCACTGTCCCCCAGGGAGAGAGGTGGCATAGCCAGTCAGCCACCCATTACAGCACTTCTTCTAGGGGCACTGCCAACCTAGAGGGTAGCTTTGTGCAAATTCAAATGAAACAGTGCCCCTGAGGGATGCAGCCCTGTGCCAGGGCTCAAGCCTTGGTGGGCAAGCTTATTTTGGCCTGGGTCCCTTAGTGTTTCCTTAGGGGAGGGTAAAAGAAGCTGCTCAGAGCAGTTGGGGCCACATGCTGAGGATGGTAGCTTCTGAGATACAAGCCCTCTGCCAAAAGGCCAGCACCTTCTCCTTAAGAGGGGTCCCTCTCTAGGGTTGGAGAGCGGGCAAAGGAAATGGGCCTTGTAGCAACCAAAAGAAATGATCTGAGAAGCAGTTTGCCAGGGCCTAGCATTTCTGAGCAGCAGTAGCAGGGCCTGCAGTGGTAGGCGACTCCTTGCCTGCCTCCTAGCCCTGCCTTGAGGGACCAGCCTCACAGAGCCTGCCTTGGGAACTGGGGTTGTCACATAGATAGTGGCATCACAGGTCTTTCTCCGCCGCTCAGGACACTGGCTTTTCCTCCTGCACTCACTGAAGGTGGGAGAGACAAACATGGAGACCAGACCCTGTTTTGGAGGCCCCCATCCTCTGGCGAGGGCCACGGAGGAGATGCTTTTCCAAATAGGAAGCTAAGTCAGGTAAAGGAGGCCACCACGTGTTTAAAGTCACCTTAAGGAGCAGGTCAGCTAACTCAATGACCTTCACAAACACCGACTGCCTGCCTTCCCTCAGCCATCATAGACATTCACACTGATGCTGGTCACTCTCCCTGCTCCTGCACTCAGGTCTAGAGAGAACGTGGGCCTATGAATAGAACAGGCCTGTGACTGGTCTCTGGGTAGAATTTTCCAGGGACCTATATCTGTGGCTTTCTAGCAGGCCTTTTCTGTTTAGGGCGGTGGTCTTTATCTCAGGCTGTACTTTAGAAGAACCGGGAGAGCTCTCAAAAACAAACAAACAAAAATGAACCCTATCCCCAGAGAGTTTAATTTAACTAGTCATGGGTGGGGCCCATTAGTAAAAGCTCCCCAGGAGATTTTAATGTGCAGCCAGATTTGAGAGGTGAGGGAGGAATGGGACGGGACACCCAAGAGCTCCAGCAGTAATAAAGGATGCTTTCATCTATGTCCCTGTGACATCCATCCATTGCTTGTCTTGAGTCCTGTATCTTCCCGCCTGGTCCCCATGCCTGATACTGTCTTTATGGGTAGGCATGAGCAGGCTGAACCCAGGACCGGGCAGCTCTCTTATAACCCACTGAGTGACCAGAAGGTACAAGGACTAGGGTTGCCTAGTAGTGGTGTGAAGAGGGGGTACCCAGCCCAAGAGTGGGGTTGGTGATACTGGCTGGCTGAGGCCTTACTTCCTGTAGTCTAGATTAGATGCCTGTTGCCTTCTCTCTTCCTCCTGGCTCTCTTCTCTCACCTCTTTTCAACTGGTACACAATCTGAACTGTGTCTTAAAGACTAGATGGGTACAAAATTCAGCTCATCTTAACAAAAATAGCCTTCATTAATGATAACTTTTATATAGCCACTTTCAAAACCAGCAAAAGCCCGATCAAATCTATAAGGTAACCACAGTGGTAGACAGGAAAGTCGTTAGTCTCCACTGTATAAATTTGGAAACCAAAGCTTAGAGAATGACACGAGTTGTCTCAGATGACTTAGTGGCAAGCATGGAAGCTGGCTTGATTAGAAAAAAGCTTTTTTTCCAACTTAGTGATCATCTTTGGGCATTATTGCATCTCCCAGTGAGAAATGTTGCTGCCTCTTTCCTGGGTGCATAAGCCCTATGCTTGAGTGTTTCTCAAGACCAGAAGGCCTGCTTTTTTCCTGGTTGCATCCTTCTCAGCATAGAAAACTGCTCTGTGCTGTCTCTGGGACGTGGCCTGTGTAAATGTAGGTGCAGATACTGTCATTGACCTCAGAAAGCATGTGCTGCTGCTCAGCCTTTCCTTCTTTGATGCTCCCTCCAGGAGACCTGTGGGTTTGGCTCTGAGGCCTGATTGGACTCTGGAGCTTTCTAGTATGCCCTCTCCCCTGACTCTCCCAGCCTGGGTCATCTGGGCCCCTCCCCCAGGGGCTTAAGTCTCAGTGGAATCCAGTTTGTGCCAGCTGACTGCTGTTACTGACCTATCCTGGCACATCACCTAAGCTTTGGCCAGAGCATGCACTGCCTGCAGAATATAGCCTTTAAAACTGCTGGCAGCCATGCCTTGGAATCTGCATATCTGGATACAGAGGTAGGGCAAGGGGCCACAGACATTCCTACCTCACTCACCTCAGCCTGCCCGTTGTCACTCTCCCCACCAGATACATAAGCCCATCCTCAGTCCGGGCCACCTGGGCTTCAGCCCCAGGTGAATCGAGTCTACTGGGGGTGGGGGTGGGGTCGCTCCTGGCCTCAGCCTGGGTAGGCTGAGACGAGTGGGAGGGACAAGGCAGAGCACCTCAGTTCAGCCTTTAATCACCAAGACATATGTCTCTGACTGATCCATCTGGGAGGGAGCCTCGGGGCCTCCCAGCCCTCCATGAGATGGTGTATTGTGGGGAGCCAATGTCCCTGACATCCTGTTTGGTAATAACCCATTACATTCTCTAGATTCCTGTTAAGGAGGGCTGGTGGGGAATTCAGTCTGTAGCCCTACTCCAAACTCCTTTGCTCCTTTGTCTTTGGAGCAATTGCAGCCTCTTTGAAGGCTCCTTACCTCACTTCCCCCAGCCATTTGGCTGCAATTCTGACAGTGGTCTGGGCAAAGCCATTGTCCGGACCCACAGGGGAACGCAGCAGCTGGGCTTCTTTCTCTAATTTCCTCTTTTTCTTTGGGACCCTTCAGAGTCAGAGTTGGGGTGGAACACATTTGTTGAGTGCTTGGTATTATGTGCCAGGGGCTTTTACTTTCTGTAGTATTTTATTTAATGCTCTCAGTAGCTATAAGATGTGGATGCTGGCTGGGTGTGGTGGCTCACACCTGTAATCCTAGCACTTTGGGAGGCTGAGACAGGGAGACAGGAGGATCACTGGAGGCCAGGAGATGGATATCAGCCTGGGCAATATAGTAAGACCCTGTCTCTACAAAAAATAAAAAGAAAATTAACCAGGTGTGGTGTGGTGGATGCTATTGTAGTCCTAGCTACTCAGGAGGCTGAGATGGGAGGATCACACAAACCCAGGAGTTTGAGCCTGCAGTGAGCTGTGATAGCGCCACTGCACTCCAGCTTGGTTGACAGAGTGAAACCCTGTCTCAAAAAGAAAAAAAAAACCCATAAACATGAAAAATAAAATAAAAATAGAAAAAAGATGTGGATGCCATGGCTCCTATTTTACCAAGAAGGAAACAGAAACCTGGAGAGGTTATACAACTCGCCCAAAGTCAAAGAGCTAGTGACTGACAGCATCAGGATTTGAACCCTGGGTTGTGACTCCACTAGACCAGAAGGAGCAGGAAAACAGCCTGGGGGGCTGGGGTTGGTTCCTTTGAGTCTGAGCTCCTTGCTTGGCTGGCATGAGGGCAGGTGGCATAATGCAATGGCAAAGAGCACTGAACATGGAGTGAAAAGATCAGGGTTATAGTCTCAGCTGTGACACTTTACCCTGTATGACCTTGGAAAAGTCTCTTGGGCCTCAGTAGGCCTTATACTGTAACTTTTAAAAAATACCAATGTGGAGAGTCCTACCGCAGATCAATTAAGCCAGCCTTCTGGGGAAGGGGCCCTGGGCACTGGTATTTTTTAAAATAACACTTCCTAGCTGATTCTTATGTGCATCCAGGGGTGAGAATCACTGAGCAATGTGATTTAGACCAAGACTTTTCAAACTTTAATGTGTTTGCCCAAGGGTCTTCTTAAATATAGTGGTTCTGGGTGTGGGGCTTGGGATTCTGCATTTCTAACAAGCTCCCAGGTGATGTTGATGCTGCTAGTCTGGGACTACACTTTGAGTAGCAAGGGGCTACAGGGCTCTAGGTAGTCATGAAAGAACTTGGCATTGACCTGAGTGAGATGGTCCCCTTCTGCCAACCCCCAGCTAGGGCCAATGCCTAGCATCAGGGGAGGGAGGTGCCTCTCCTACCCTCTCCATTAGCCATGAGTAACTGAGGGCTGCAGTGGGATTTTAAGGGTGTGTTCCTGGCATGCAGGCCTACCCTAGAGATTTGCTCCCTTTCCTGGGGTGGCCATACTTGTGACCCTTTAGGGGCCACTGTCTGCTCCTGCGCCTGCCTCTCTGGAAGTCCTAACCTGGTCCATTTTCTGGCACCTCCCTTTTGTCCTAATAACAGGAAAGCAGAGCTGGCTGCCAGGATGCGTGCTAAGATGGGGAAAGGGTCTCATCCCAGGGGCATGACAGGAACAGGGACAGGGAAGTGGCTGTGGCAGCCAGCTCAGCTGTCCTAGCAGCAGAACCATGTTCCTCACAGGCTCCCTGGGCAGCTCCCTTTGGACTGGTCTTACATCACCTAGACTACCACTGGCCTGGAGCACAGGATCCTTTTTCAGGCTTGCATTGCCCCCTGCCAGACAGGTGGAGGTACTGCTAGCAGGGCTCTGTCAGACACTTTCCAGGGACCCCTCAGAGGTCCTGGCGATTCCTAGATCTCTATCTTAGGTTAGGAAGTTGCAGTAACATAAAACATACATGTATGCATGCACACACACACACACACACACACACACGGAGAGAAAGAGACGAGAGAGAGAGAGAGACAGAGAGACAGAGAGAGAAAGAGAGGCAGATGCATGCACAGACTGAGGTGCCTGTGGGTATATACAGGTGCATGGTCCCACAGTGATCCTCATGAGTCATGGACATGAGCAGATTTGGCTACAGCTACATGTAGAGACAGATGCTGTGGTGGGCACTGACCTGTTGCATTCACTCACAGAAATGCAGAGATGTTCATCCTTGCCCTTACCCCCATTTGCCCCCAAAACCTGCAGGGGCTCCAGGGGCTGCAGAGCCCTCTCTTCTTTCCCTCAAATCCTCATCAGTGTGTGACCCTTGAGGAGCCCATTACTTTTTCTGACTGACTTCTGACTTCCCCCACTCTTCCCTCCACTGTCTACTCACCTAGCATCTCTGAAATACTGTTTTGTCCTTCATCTTATCTGTCCCAGCCACTAGGATTTCATCCTGGGTTTCCTTGTGAGTGAGCACTGGGAAGAGAGAGCTCTTCCTGTCTTGGAAAAACCTCACCAGCCTCCTTAGAGTCCTCTGGTCAGGGGGGCCAGGCGAGACTGTGGCCACAGGTGCTGAGGAAATGGAGGATGTGTTGGGGGCAGGACTCCATGGCAGGATCAGCTCTGCTGAAGCCAGCTGACTTCCCCAACCAACCCGGTGATGCCAGGTCCCATGGTCCCAGCCCCATTCATCTTGGCATCACCTGGGTGGGAAGCAAATAACCGCCCAGGCAGGTGCAGGGCTTTGCTGCTGGTATTTGGCCTACCCTGACTAGGAGCGCCTCCTCTGTGGCTTTAGTCCAGCTGCACATCTCTGCTGGTGCTGGCAGGGGTGCTCAGCTCTGTGCCAGAACTCCCAGAGCAGAGGCGACAGGCTGACCTAGCCATGGCCCCCCAAGACCCCGACAGGCCAGTACTGTGTCTTCATGACACTCAGCACTGCACTATGACACAAATAGGCCAAGAGGGCTGGGGCAGTACTGGGAAGCTCCCTGAGGAGGGAGGACTATAATGAGCATGGGGGTGCTGCTGTCAGACTCAGCTGGGATTCCAACCCTGGCACTGCTGCTTTGTCCACTGTGAGACCATAGGCTGAGCCTGTTTGTTTGTCTGTAAAATGGGGATAGCAAAGCCATCACCAGTTATTGTGTGTGTGAAATGAGAGTTGGCTGTCAAAGTGCTGAAGAATGTTAGATGCGATGATGAGAAAGAGAATGATAGGAATGGTTGAACATTTCTACTTCCTGCCTGGGCTAAGGTGGTCTACCCAGGGCCTTGGAAGGGGGTGAG